>NC_000015.10:80776874-82026874 GCF_000001405.40 Homo sapiens
TAAACTGTAATAAGGCAGGCTGCTGTAGGGTCAGGTGCTGTCTTTGCTGATCAGCAGGTGGAGTGTGGAGGCCCTTGTTTTAGGGAACAGATGTGGCATCCTGTCAGCAGACTGAGGATGCCAGACTTGGGCAGCTTGAGGCAACAGTGAGCAGGCAGGCCAATCTACTGCACAAGGATGTAGCTGAGGGGGCTGCATCCCACCTGAGGAAGGTGGGTTGGAGGCAAATGCAAAGAATGGAGGAAGGGCAGGCTTTCTGGGTGGCAGGTCACACCATTGATGGGCGTTTCCCTTCTCTCTGGAGACTCTCTGCTGGGAGATTTCGGCAAGAATCAGAAAACTAACACAGCCTTTCTTGACCAGCTCTTTCCTGTCTCTGCATTTATAAGAGCAAGACAATGGATTGCGAAAGTGTGGGCAGTAAATCCACCAGTGTCATGTTGCTATATTTATCCATAAAGAATTACGCGGCACGCCCCGTTCATCACTGAGTGCTGAATGGCAGTGCTGAATGGAGAACTGGCTGGAGAATCTGGTTTTAGACATTCGGAGCCTGTTTGTAATTCATCAGCACTGCTCTTTTCCCCTGGGCATTGGTCTGTGATAAAGAAAACTGGATACCAGAGGAATGTGCTGGGCATTTCAGTGCTTTGAGAAAACATAGCCAAGCACTTCTCAGGGCCCATCCCTAGACAGGACCCTGCCTTTACCACTTCATCTCCCAGATGGCTGTGGAGCCAGCCCCTCACCAGAGAGCTACCTGGCTCCACTCAGGCCTCAAATCTACTGTCTGTTGATGGAAAATCCTGCATGTCGTGCCAAGCCAGGCTGATTCAAGGTCGACCTTTCTCCATTTGGGCCAAATGCCCAGCACCCCCAAACCCCTAACACACAACTCTTTGTGGGTCTGGTTTCTGGGAGCTCCTTAAGGAAGAAAAACATAAACAGGAATCATGGTGAGGACTGGGGAGAGGGGCCCTGGGTCGGGGGGGCTCCATTTTATTCGGCTGGAAAGAAAAGGTTGGGGAGGAGGGCTTGCCATTGGATCCAGTTCATTACTTCCCAATAAATCAAAGAAGGGCTGAGAATCCTGACCACCACCCCCAGTAAGGATCAAGTTCCGCTTTCTGGAAGAGGCCTAGAGGTGGATTGCAGGACTTCCCAGTTTAACCAGGTGACAAAGGCTTCTGCTTCAGCCCAGATGTGATCACAGACTTCCACAGCTTCTGCCGACCACAGCCTGGCCTTAAAGTCCAGACCTAGAGTCCCGGAGCTAGTGTGTACTACACAGAATGGAGACCTTGCCTGAGGAGCTGGTTCTCAGAGAACACTGGCAGGAAGGAAGAAAGAAATGTATATTCTAGGAGGCCTCTGCTAACCAGGAAAGGGGGCTGAGTCACACTCTGAAAGGTGGAAGAGGCAGAGAGCAGGTATCAACGCCCTCATTTTACAGATTAAAACAAAACAAGAAAAACAAACACTCCTCACCTCCCTGCAAAAAAACCACCCTGAGGCTCAGACAGGGGAAGTAGCTGGCCCTGGTCACACAGTAGGTTAGCGGCAGAGTTGAGAGGAGACTCCATATGCCCTAGGGATGTGTTGTGATGAACTTTTCCTACTGGTACTGTTTCCTCCCGCGAGGGAATGTCTAGACCAGCCGCACCTTCTTGCTTTGACCCTTCAGAACTTTGGCCTGTCCAGTTAAAGAGGCACAGAGCCCTCCTACCCACAGGGAATGTTTCTAACTTACCAAGCACCTATTATGTGCTTAGAACTTGGACTTTCCTGATCTCATTTAAGCCTCACCATTCTAGTGAGGAAGCATCACAGAACCCATTTTCCTGATGAGGAAACTGAGACTGGGAGGGGTTAAGATCCTGTACACAGTTGTAACTGGCATGTCTGAATCCAGTTTCAAACCAAGGTGCCTTTCAGTGAACACCCAAGCATCTTCCTCTCGGATTAACTGCTAGGCCAATACCAAAATCTCTTTCTCGGGCTACTCTTTTGCTGCTGAGTTAAAAAGAGATCCTGAGACTTAGCCTGGGACCCCGACTCGCGGCGATTCTGTGGCAGGCGCAGACCTTTTCTCCTGTCCTCCACTGCCTCTTTGCCTCGGAGGGCGCCCCGGGGCGCGAGCGGGGCACGGGCGACCCTGGCTCCTTGGAGGCCCGGGGACTTGCTCTCCGCGGTCCGCCGCGGCCGCTCCACCGAGTCCTGGCCTCCAGCGCCCTCACCTGGCTGCTGCGGGCGGGACTCTGCGCACCCGGGCTCCGCGGGCTCAGGTCTGCGTCTCCCAGAGCCGCCGCCAGAGCCCGCCCCGGTCCGGCCCGGGCACAGGGCCCCCGCCCCACTTGGGCAAGGCGGGGGCGCGTGGAGGGAAGTTTCATCGGGGGGCGAGGGAGGGAGCTTCGGTGCCGCGCGGGCGTCAGGGGCTCCTCGGGGGAGGAGTCAGTAAAAGTGGCTATAAAAGCGGCCTCTCGGCTGAGGGCCGGGGAGCTAGCGCTCAAGCAGAGCCCAGCGCGGTGCTATCGGACAGAGCCTGGCGAGCGCAAGCGGCGCGGGGAGCCAGCGGGGCTGAGCGCGGCCAGGGTCTGAACCCAGATTTCCCAGACTAGCTACCACTCCGCTTGCCCACGCCCCGGGAGCTCGCGGCGCCTGGCGGTCAGCGACCAGACGTCCGGGGCCGCTGCGCTCCTGGCCCGCGAGGCGTGACACTGTCTCGGCTACAGACCCAGAGGTAAGAGGGCCTGGCTGGGGGCGTCAGGGATGAGCTGACGGCCCATGCCACGGAAGAGAGGTAAGAAGTGGGGGCCCGCGCCTCCACCCGGCACAGGGTAAACGTTACCCGCCTCAGTTTCTGTTTGTCTGTCCACCCTGTGCTGTGCAGTCTACCTCTATCTGTCTGTTTGTCCATGCGTCTGTTGATGGGCACACGCTCTTGGCACTGTCCTCTGTGGGATTTCTCTGAGATCTTGTGATGCTTTACAAGCTGCAGGTGCCGGGGGGCGCTGGAGTCCCCAGAGGGCATCCAGAGGGGGCAGACTCCTGCTTTCCGTAGATTTTCCCCCTTCTGAATGGCACCGGGGGCTTGCGCCCGGGAGAGTGTCTCGCCGAGGAGGGAGTACCACAAGGGTCAGGTCTCGGTGTCCTGCCGACTGGGAGCCAGCTCACGCCGAGCTCTAGCGGGCGTGCGCCTAGCAACAGGTCTGCGCCCTGCTGCTCCTGCCTCAGCACGCTCTTCCTCCCAGTTTCCCTCGCCTCCCAGTGCCTCCGGGACAGCGCTAGGCACCCAGCGACGCGCTGGCGCGGGGCCGAGCTGAGGCAATTGCAATGTTAGATGAACCCGGGGGGCTCTGCTGATGTTTAGACTGAGACTCCAAACGTGGCATCGCTGGAAGAAGGTCTGGTGGTCCCTGGCAAAGGACGTCGGCTCCAAGAAAGGTCGCGTTAGGTTGTGAGGAAAGGCAGAGAGTCCTGGCAGAACGCTGGCCAGGTCTCCAGCTCGCCGCTCTGGGAACGAAGGCCAGTGACATTCTGGAATGGACCCCAAGGGATGCGTGTGCTCATGAGAGAGGAGCGCTGTGCGCCCTGGGTCCTCAGCCGCAGACACTCTCTGCGACAGCCGCTGTTCCCCAAGGGTCGGACGCTACGGCAGTCCCAGGAGTTCCGCCAGCTGCCGGGTTTGAGGTCCTGAGTCCTTCTCCAAGCAGCCAACGCTACCCACAGGTGAGAGCTCCCTTTAAAAACTAATCTTCTGATGTGTGAGCCAGTGCCTGGCTGCAGCCCCATACCAGGGACGGTGAGCCGGGGAGCGCGTCTCTCCATCCCTGCGGTCTGGAAAGTGATCCAGGGCGCGCCCGAGGGCGGGGAGCCGGCGGCTCTGCGTGCCCAGGCGCGACGCCACCATGGACAGCTCCCAGCCACTTCCTCCACTCGGGGTCTGTGGCCCTGGGTCTCCGGGGAAGTCGTGCGCTTTCTTCCCAGACCCAAGGCGTTGGGGCGCTGGGAAAGAGGAAAGGGACTGAGAGTCCGCTGGGGCCCTCGGTATTACCACTCAGGAGGCAGCCCAGCCCTCAGGAGTCTGTGGTTTGTGACCAGGTCCTAGCTGAGCCGGCAGTTCTGCAGGACCTCCCGGGGGCACTCTGTGGTTCTCTGGCTTTTCTATGACACCACGGAGACCCCTCAGAGCTGTTAGGAAAGTATGGCCCCTGAGAATCCGACCCAGGCAGTGAGATAATGCCAGATACAATTACGCCAGACATAATTAGGGATCCAGCTCAAACTGTTTTCTGTGTAGGGCACAAGTTCATGTGTTCCATCAAATTAAATTATTTATTTAGTACATATGGGATTGGGAGGATATATTAGTTTTACGATTAATGATAGAATGGAGAAGAAATCAAATAGAGCAAATTTATAGAGAAGGCAATCGGATGCATTTGCAAAAGCAACTATGCGGTTTTCTGATCCTAATAGTTTTGTTCAAAGCCCATGACTTTCTTAAAGCAATTTCCAAAGGCTCCTTTTTAGCCCAGTAGATGACTTTTCAAGTTGGTCACTTGAAACAGGGTGGAAAAACCTGTAGGGTTTAATCTGTGCACCAAATTAAAGATCTCCCTTCTCTGGTAAGAAACGACACTGGATGGGGCTCTTTTTGTCATTTCCACCCATACTGAAGTGTGTATCTTCCTTTATTTTAAAATTACAAGAAACGCAGGTCTGCTTTTTTTGTGTGTGACTGACAAAGGCCGACGGAGAGTAAAAACAAGTAAACACCTCTTATAAAAAAAAATTTTGAGACAGCATCTGTGACTTTGGGAAAGTTGCTCAAATGTTTTGTGCCTGTTTGCTGATATGTAAACTGGGAATAACGCAATGCCATCTTGCAGGGTTGCTATGAGAATTACAGTAATTGGTACAATGTAAAGCATTTAATCCAGTGCTGAGCATAGAGAAATCGTTTTAAATGGTAGCAATTACAGGTATATTTTAAAGACAGTTGTGCATTTCTTTTGAATTATGTTCACCATCCCTTTGCCCTCTCTCTTAACCTAGTAACTGTTTGATAGGGACTCCATCTTCACTTTATTTTTGCATCCGAGAACTTGTTGATGGAATTGATGAAAATGCTGGAGTTGATCACAATGAAAAAAAAATTCTTATTTAAAGACAAATGGAAGAACTTTTATGTGATAAAAATCGGTCAACTGTTTTCCCCTACCTACACTACTTGGAGGAAAGATAAAAGTAAGTTGTTTTCAAAATACTCTCACAGCCCTCTGGTTCAGATGATCAATTTTTCCTGATTGTTCTCTCACAAGAATGCAAGGTCTTCTAAGTGGCTTTGTTGTCTTTCTGCAAGTGAAGTACTCTTGGGTATTGATGGAGAGTGGCCTCTAAGGCCTGGTTTCTAGATCACTCCAGGATGAAGTAGGGGTTAGCTTTATGGAGTGGAACTTTGCCCAGGGGTTCACTGAGTGGTCATTGCCAAGCAGGAAGCACCTTACTTCATGCTTGAGCCTTGCTTAGGTGTGAGATTCTGACCAAGATACTTGCTCTGCCCAGAGCAGTGAGCACTTATTTGATCCCAGCTGGACTGGAGGGTCCCTTCCAGCTCTGCATTTCAGGGTTCTGTCTGGTAGACATCACTAATACATGACACACCACAGAAGTTTGGAGAATGGAATTGTATAGTACCCAGTCTTCCAGTTAGAGTTTTCTCCCCCCACAAAAGTGTGTGTGTGTGCGTGCATGTGAGTGTTTTTATCCCTGTCAGTTTTACATTCTGGTGCTCTTAGATTTTTATTCTTCTCCTCCTTCTGCTCTTAATAGCTCAGAAGGAATCTTAGCTTCTTCCGTCTAAAAGGATTGGAGCTGAAGAATACATGCTACAGATGCTCAGAATCTTTCTATGAGACTGCTGGTGACATGAACAGAGCAGGAGGACATGGGGCCTTGGATGACCTTGAATTCCTGGCTGTCTTCTGTGGACTCCCATGCAGATTCCAGTTTCCAGCATACCCATGGCTTTCTGGTAAGAAAACTATTGAACTACAGGACACTCTTGGAGTGAAGGCCAATGAGGGGAGGAACTGTCATGTAAAGTGGTAGAAACGAGCTCTTCATCAGTCCTGTGGCATTCTGCCTATTGCAACAGTATCTGAGTCCTCAGGACAGACAGAGCAAATGGCAAGAGTGGCATTCAGTGGGGAAGGCCAGCAGAGTGAAAGGGGTGAATTCAATTATTCTCATCAGCCTCCTTTGAAGCCTGCTGCTTAAGTGACCTCTTTTTAGTACCTTCTGTGGTATCGGCAAAGCATCACAATTTGATGGATTAAATGCAATTTGCATTTGCAGTTATAGCTCAAAAGAGAAATGCAAACATGTAGGTTGGGTTCCTAAATGGGAACAAAGTTGTATTTGTGAGTTGCATCCACAAGATAGCATATCTTTGAAAAGTCTGGACTACACATCTCTTTCTACATGATGGCACATACCCAGGTGTTTGATCTTATCAGGGTAAAGCATCAGCTATCTCTCACTGCTTGTTTTTTACCATTATCTGGAGGCAGTTTCAGTTTCCTTTGAACAGTGAATAGGAAAGGATCACATTCTTACTCTCTTGTATCTGGTTGGGTTGGCAGGAGGCTGGAAGTGGCAGTGGGTACTGGGGGAGACTTCTCAGTGCTGGGTTCCTTTCTACTGTTTTGCAAGCTATTCAGCTGGGCCTGAACCTCCTTTCCCTAAAGTCTGGCATGTAGAAACTTTGCTAATTTGAGTAGGATGGTGACTGTCATGGTGACTTTTATTAATATCTGCACCTCTTTGCTTTAGCTACTTTCTTCAGGGGCCATCTTATCCTCTCTGGCAGGCCCCTAGTCCTTCTTTTTCTTCTCTGTGCCCTGGCACCAGGCTTTGTTCAAGCTTGGTTCTTCAGAACGGAGGCTGCTTGCAGAGAAATGTCATCAAATATACATTTGCTGTCTGCTTAGTTCCCTTGGTGTTAGGAAACACACATGGCCACCCAGAGGGAGAGGAGCTGCTACTCCTCTCTGCCCCTGTTATTTTTTAGGGCCTGTCCCTAGACTCAGCTTGGCTCCAGGAATCTGAATCCATCCTTGCCTCCCCACCCCTGCAGGTGAGTGAGCCCTGGGGAGCACAAGCAGTCAGGCCTTCCTTGCACAGGCACCTGCTCAGAGCAAGGAGCTGGACAGCCTGGCTCCTTGCACTGGGATATCTTTGAGTCTTCTGGAAGGGCAGTCATATCAGGGGTTTAGATGCAACTTCAGTTTAAAGTGCTTTGCCCAGACTTTGAAAACCTTTGAAGACCAGGTCTTTGAAAGCCCTGTGAATTTCTTTCTCTCCTGTCAGTAGGAGAGCTGCACCATTAGACATTTTCTGTTACGGAGAAAGCATATCTAGATAGTTGTTCTGGCATGGAAGGTGTCCATGCCAGATTGCTGTCTTACCTGTTTTTAGACATCACACGGAGGAGGGAGGGCCACAGGCTTCCCCAGGAGCCTGCTGCACTCTTTGGCCCTCTCTGAGGTGAGGAGTTCATGCTGTTCTCCAGAGTCTTTATGGCTGTAAGGTATGCACTCAGCCCTTGGGACGAGGAAAGTGCAGTGGCCTGGAGGACAGGCACATTTTTCTGTGGCTCTGCCAGTCAGGAAAGGTGGGAACCATTGGAGTGTTCCTTGGGGACTGCTTGCTGCTTACTGTGACTGTACTCCTTGCCTGGACTATCAGCCAGGACCTGGGCAGGTTCCTTGACTTCTCTAGTCCTTTGTTTAGGGGTTAGGTTAGACCAGTGCTTCTTAGACTTAAAATATGCCAGCAACTCACAGGGGCACGTGTTAAAGTGAGAGTTCTGATTTGGCAGATCTGAGGTAGGGCCTGAGAGTCCACCTTTCCAACATGCTCCCAGGTGACGCTGCTGGTGCACAGAGCTGCCTTCAAGTCGTGGGGGCCTATGTCATTATGACATTGATGACTTTCTGTGATTCTGATTCCAATTCTTCTTGGTGTAATTTAAGTCAGTTCCCGTTGTCCGAGTTGAGGAAGCCCAGCTGGTCTGTGCCCTCCTAATGACCTTATAATGACCCTTAAAATTCTTGGAGATAATTATTGTCGCTCCTAAGCCATCTTATCAGCAGACTAAATATCTTGGCCCCCTTTAAGTTTCCACTTTTCCCTGTCATAATAAATTTTCCAAAGCTCTCTGGACCGAGCTACTTTTAAGCGCAAGATCGTTGTGCAAATGGCAATTTATCTTTGCCTGGCAGAGGCATTTGAATGTAATTTTGGTGGTATTAAGAGATCACTTAGGGAATTTCATCTAACTCTGGCTCCAGACACTGAGAATGGATGTTTACATTTAAACAACTTTTTTAGACTCCAAAGATCACAATTTCTTCTTTTTTGAACCTGAAAATGAAATTAAGGCCCAATTATCTTCCTCAACCCCCTCCCTGTGGCACTCCTGGGAGGATGAACTGGTCATCACCAGTACATTCTGGGTAGCCCAAGATGCTGGTGTGCAATTGTGTTCCGTCACCCACCGCCACAATCGGAAGCAGAAAATAAGTTGAGTACAAGTTTTTGATCATCTTCTATGAGGCAGGCCCTGAATGAGTCACTGAGAAGGCAGTTGAATACATGGTTCCTGCTCTCGAAGAGCTGGCAGCCTGGTGAGAGGACAGACATCCCAGTCAGAAGCTGTCATACAGGGTGATGGGGGCTAGGACAGATTAGTCAAGAGGAGTGGAGGGCGTGAGACCTGCTGGAGAAATGAAGAAGACCAGTAATTCAGCCAGAGGAGATCCAAGGAAGCTTCACTGAGGGCATATGAGGAGAGTCAGAAGCTCAGAAAGGCCTAAACCCCTTACTTCCTGCAACCTTTCAGATGCATGAAGTTTCTTACCTGCCTCAGATGCATAAGCTCCCTCACCTGTCCAGGTCCATAAGCTCCCTTACTTGCATCATGTGCATAAGCTCCCTTACCTGCCCAGGCTTTGGGCTACACTGGGCGCAAGAGAGTGCTTCTGAGCAGCTGTTAGGCCTCTTTCCTTTAGGAGACCTTTAGTCTTCTAGACTAGTAATTTAAAAATTACTTGAACCACAAAATGCTTTTTTTGCGATAAAATCTTAGTAAATCCAATTTAAAAACTAGATAAGAAGTGGCTGTGGTTGGGGATGGGAGCTGATTTTTGTCTTGAGTTCTCTCAAAAAGTTCCACAGAGCTCTGTGGGTTCCAAGGAGCACACTCTGAAAACTTCGGTCCTGGGTCATTTCGTTTTGCTTTTGGCAGTCATATCAATAGTGTTAGCTTAGTTTTATTGTGGTTTGTGTTGCTATGTCTTTTTGTTTTGTTTTTGTGACAAAGTCTCACTTTTGTCACCCGGGCTAGAGAGCAGTGGCATGAACACAGTTCCCTGCAGCCCCAACCTCCTAGGCTCAGGTGATCCTCAAGCCCCCCAAGTAGCTGGGACTAATTTTAGCTAATTTTTTGGACTAATTTTAACATTTTTGTAAAGATGAGTTTCATCGTGTTGCTCAGGCTGGTCTCAAACTCCTGAGCCCAAGATATCTGCCCACCACTGCCTCCCAAAGTGCTGGGATTACAGGCTTGAGCCATTGCACCCAGCCTGCTATGTCTTTAATATTCTGGATGTCTTGCTGTGTGTGTGTGTGTGTGTGTGTGTGTGTGTGTGTGTGTCCATCAACAATTTTCAGTGAAAATTGAAAACCAGAATTAAAATTAAAAACGGAAATCTGGAATTACCACATGTGTGATAATCCAACAAAGATGGGGTACATGGAGGACCAGTGAGAAGGGCTGTATATGATAGGTGCAGGAAACTCCAACCTGTAGCTGAGCATGGGAGGGACAAACAAAGTTGTGAGCTTTTTGCAAAAATGGGCTTCTTATTTACAACCTGGTCTGTTAATCTTGTTAAACCTCCCAATATTTTTTATATAAAACCTGGTAAGGAAAAAGAAATCTTATTTTCAGGGTTTAAAATTTGGCAAGGTCTATCCAGGAACTTGCATCCTTTTTCATTGATGTCAAAAAGCCAAATTTGATTGATCGCAAGATGTTTTGAAGGTGGGGCTTGAAAAGAGGAGGCAAGTCAGATAGACAGGAATGGAAGAGCTCTGCTGCAGAGGCGCAGGGTTGCGGGTGGTGGCTCCAATTTTTAGCTGTGGCTTCTGTCTGCCTCCTACAAAGCTCTCCTCAAGGGAGAAAATGATGCCCTGAATGGGATAACACCCGAAGAGAGGCTGCCCCTCACTGATGAGTGGTCCCAGTCCTTAGAAAGGGAACTGAAGAGCCCCTTCTGGGCCTGGAGCCAGCTCTAAAAACATAATCATATGAATTATTGAAGATGGTGAGAGTAAGGCTTGTTCAGTCTAGAGAGTTTAGACAATACCTTCACCTCTGGAAGAACCCTGCTAGGTATGTGAGGAACTCTAGCAGAGGGAAGGGGCCCCCTGGCAGATGGGTTTCCCTCCAGGATGGGCATTTGCAGTTGCCTGGGGCTCCTTCTACTGGCCATACCAAAACACTTGCCCTGGACAGTGTCAAAGAAGGCTGAGTGTTGGTGGGTGATCAGCAGCATCTCTTTCTGGGGGAATCCAGCCCCCTGTCTGGAGGCCTTTGCGTCAGCCCACATCACCATAGCAACTGGAACATACTAAAACAAAGACTGACTCCCAGACCTTGGGATTCAGCCTCTCTCTCTCCTACTTCCTAGATTTTTCCTCAAAGCTGGACTTAGGTTGGATCCTTGGTTGCGCTGATCTCTTAGCACTGGTAGCCACAGATGCCGGTTTCTAAAATCCCATGGAACTGTCTTAGGGGGCTGGCCAGTGGTGAACCTGAGCCATCCACTTGTACACAGTGGCTGCTGCCTGGGCTCTCACCATGTGTGGGCCCTTCTCTCCAGCTTCCAGAGGAGGCAGTGGTATCTGCAGCGAGGAGACAAAAACACTGATGCTCAGAGTTACAGAGATGGTATAGGCTGATGCCCTTGGGTGTCTGTCTGGCTCTTAGTCCAAAGCATTACTTGTTTGCCTTCTCTATAGGACTCTTGTCATGCCGTGAGGGACTTATTCCCAGCTTGGTCTCCTCAAGCCCCCTAAAGGCTCGCCTCAGGAGTCCTACTGAATCCTGGGTCTCCAGTGCCTCCCAGGCCCCTGTCGGTGTGCAAAGTCATGCTCCTTCTTGTAAAGAACAGTAGGAATGAGCCCCAAAAGGAGTGCATAGAGGAGCTAGTTTGGGTGAACCATTAAAATAAATTTTTTTTAAGGCCGGGTGAGGTGGCTCACACCTGTAATCCCAGCACTTTGAGAGGCTGAGGCAGCCAGATCACTTGAGGTCAGGAGTTTGAAATGAGCCTGGCCAACATGGTGAAATGCTGTCTCTACTAAAAATACAAAAATTAGCCAGGCATGGTGACACATGCCTGTAATCCCAGCTACTCCGGAGGCTGAGGAAGGAGAATTGCTTGAACCCGAGAGGTGGAAGTTGCAGTGAGCTGAGATTGCGCCACTGCACTCCAGCCTGGGCAGCAAGAGTGAAACTCCATCTCAAAAAAAAAAAAAAAGAAAAAAGAAAAAAGAAAAAGAAAAAGAAAAACATTTCTTTTAGAAGAAACCGGTGGTTTATGACAAGCCTATTTCAAAGCTGATTGTGTTACAGGCACTGAGTAATTCACTCTAATGCTAGTTTTCCAAAGGTTTGGGTTCAGGAAAACCTCAAACATAGTGGCTAAGTACTTTTCCTTTCCTTTCCTTTTAAAACCCTGTTTATTTTCAGAGGCGTTTAATCCATATGTTTTAGATCCATTTGCATGTTACTCAGCAAAAGGTTGTTTTGCACTAACGTTGCTGAGCCATGAGTGAGCCTGCTCATCTCTCTTCCGCTCCAACTGGTGCTTGCAGCTGAGCCCCATGCTCACGGCCAGACGACTCTAAAGCTTTATATTAGACACAAGGAAACATAAGCACTAGAGGCAAAAAAAAAAATCAATAATATTGACCCTATCTTTATTTAGAATTTTGATATTTCATTCATCATGAAATTTTTGGTGCTAATTTTGGTTTTTAAAGTGTTGCATTGCACTATTCTTTATATTGATTATTGAGTTTTTTGGTGGCCTCTTCAGTTTTGCACCCAAGGCGAGTGCCTTTCTTATCTCACTCTCATCCTGTCCCTGGTAAACACCCACTTCCAGGGCCCATTCTGTTTGGAAGGTTAGCATCCCAGTTGGTGTGGGTTCTGCTGTGGTCTCCCAGGCAGAGATCAGTACCAGAGACAAGGCAGACAAGCCCTTTGGTGATGCTAAAGGCTCCTCTGAGCCCTGTTGATTTGAATTTGGGGTGTGGGGCTTCCAGAGAAAGTGGAGAAGACAGGAACGTGTGTCCTCTTCAGACTTGGGATCTGACGTTGCTCTCTTCCCTTCTCCCTTACTTCCCTTCCTTTTCGGAGAGGGCAGGAATTGTGGTGCTCCGTAGTAGAATGTTTTGCAAATTCTGCTGGGCTGATGTGTCACTAGTCTGTGACTGCTTAAGAAGCCACAGAGTTCATCAGATTTCTCAATTCAGTTCCTGGTAGTGAGAGAGAAAGCAGTTGGAGGATTTTGGCTTTGGGACTTCCATATGCAGAGATTTCTTCTTGCTTAAATGATTTTTTTTTTAAATAAAAAGGCGTGGTCATCTCAGTGGTGTCTGTTTAGTTGGTAGCTTTGAAGAGGCTTGGAGATTCCTCTGACCACATAATTGTGGGTTATGTGTATGCCTGAACTTTCCAGGTGACTGAGAAACAGCTGAAATCTGTTCTACATTTTAAAATCACAGTGTAATGTTACAAATGGTGACACATTAACATATCCTGGAGTTTTCTGAGAATGACCATGTAGTGAAGTTCATTTTTACTTTAAACATCTCCATATAAAATTTATTTAAATAAAAAGCTATTTTTGACATACAAAAAGATGATACTTCCGTTGAATCTTGTGTAATAAGCATGAACTTGAGCTTCTGCTCTGTTGAGGTTGTTTGAGGACATCACCCCTCTGAGCTCAGGGGGAACGAGGGGCAGAGAGGCAGAGTCACTATTTGAATAGAGCCCTGCTCATGAAGGGCCCTTAGTGGCCATTGTGGGATACGTGGTGCAGAAGTCTGTGGTTTCCCTCAGTGGAGATGGCTTCTCATCTCAGCCACGTCCCAATACAATAAAGAGTCCTTTCTTCATTCAGAGACAGGACCCCTACTTGGCTCAAAGGCAGAGACTTTTCATGTTCTGTTTTACTCCCAAGGGCTAGCACATAGTAGGTGCTCAAATATTTTTTAAATATTCAAATGAATGAGTCCTGCGTCTGAACACCAGCCCCCCAAGCATGTACATTTCTCACTACATTTGATGTTCACTCTTGTGTATTCTGCTCTGGTATTTGAATGAGACTAAAGCCTGACTAAAGTCAATTTCTCAGAGGTCTGTACTCCTGTGGCTTTATGGTTATTTCCATCAGCATCATTAATATTCAGTGCTTATTGGGCAACTAAAACATTCAGACTCACGCAGACAGCATTGCATGCATCATCTTATTTAAACTTCCTGACAACTGTGAACAAGACATTGTCCTGTTTTGCAGATGGAGAAGGTCAGTGAAGCCGCATCACTTATGCAGCTCCAGGTGGGGGTCACTCGGCTCAAGGTGGTGGAGTTGGAACTCAGACCTATGTCACCGTGAGTCCAAAAGCTCTTCATAATAACTAATGTTGCTCAAATCTTGACTTTTGAAAAAACATGTTGAGGGGAATATTAGAATTCACAGTAGATCAGACTCATAGAACAGTATTCATAGAGTTGAATTCGTTGAGAGTAATTGTAACCCGAATGCACTCATCATTGACCCGCCCATTCTTTCTAGATACTTGGGTTTCAGAGATGACTCCGTTGCATTTCCCTGCAATGGAAAAGCTCACAGTTTAGTTGAGGAGACAGACATACATTCAACTACCTACAATCCATGCTGTAACAGAGGCATAAACAAAGCAATATGGAAGCACTACAAAGTGATGGTAAACTACTTTGCTGGGGAAAGAGACAAGGTAACATGGAGGAAGTGATATTTGATTGGGCCTTAAAGAAAAGTACAATTTCTCCCAGGCCAGAGAATGGAGGGTTAAGAAGGAAGGAATATCTTGAACTGAATGCAGAGGATTAAAAAAAAAAAAAGATATTTAGAGAAGAACTAGAAGTTTCCTGTGGCTGGAAATGAGATCATAAAGGTGGGGCAGGGCTGTAGATCCTTAAAAGCTGAGTCAGGGAGTTCAGCTTTTCACCTGAGTGAAGTGTGTGATCAATTGGTGGGTGTTAGGTCCTTGTACCTGGTGGCAGGTATCTAAGGTTGGGCTTGTCTTCCTCCCTCCCAAGGGTGGTGTTCTTGGTAAGAAATGCATTCCAGAATCCCACTTCTCACTCTAGATTATCGGATAATGTCACTGCTAGGGCTCAGTAAATACCCTTCAGCAAGAAGGATAACTGCGCTGTCCGAAGTGAATTGTTGGTACCAGGGTAATAGGGCCCAGAAGGTGATAGAGAGAAGATTAAATCAGGGACATTTCAGGGGTCTTGTGGTTCGAGTCGCTGCCAACATGAGGTTTCTTCCCGCTGCAAGTAGAGGCTCCAAGCCCTTGAGGAAAATTTTCCGAGGCTCCTAATCCCAGGCCCTTGTCTCACAATATCCCTTTGGACCGATGCATCCCTGTTTGCTGTATGCAGTCTCAGGGCTGGGGTGAGGAGGGTTTATCCTGTGGCCTCTGTGCTGGCTTTTTGTGAGCTGTGCAGATATTATGATTTTTTCATAATTCTTCATGAATTCTTGGACACATTTCTAACTGCCTTGTTGACTGACCTGCAGCAGAGGCGGCAGAGGGAAAGTGGGATAAAGGGACAGCATTTCAAGTGAGACTCCCCTTTGGGGAGGAGGGAGTAGTCACCACGAAGGATGCAGATTCAGCTCAAATTTCCTCAAAGCTTAACTGGATGAGATGGATACTCTGAATGCGGTCTGGTCTGCCGATGCCCCCTGGGTGACCTTCCGTAGTCCTCATCTCTTCTCTGCACTGTAGTTGTCATCAGACATTTGGGTGATTTTAGCAAAATAAACCCACCCACAAATATTCTTTTAGTGCCATCCCTGTATGTGGTCTTAAAGCAAATCTGAGTATGCCCACCAAGTAGCCAGAGGAGAGAAAGTCACAAAGGCTGGGTTCTTCCATTCAACAGAAACACATTAAATTCAGATCACCAATATCTCCAAGATGGTTCTAATCAGACAAAAAGAGAGAAATAATGAAGTATTCCAGGAAGGGCCCAGTTAGGTTTTGTTGACTGCAAAATAAACTGTTCTCCATATTCTTTCTCCACCAGTTTGCATGCTGTCTACTTTATATCTTCCTTGGGTTGTAGAATATTAGAGCTGGTGTAATAAACTGGGAAAGGGCATAAGCTTTGGAGCCCAGCAGTCCCAGTTATAAATCTACCTCCTGCACTGGTTAGCTGCTTGACTTTGGACAGGTTACTTCACCTTTCTGTGCCTCAGTTGCTTATCCATCCCCTAAAATAGGATGATTATATATTATTCTGTGTACTATGTGAACTAATACACGGCAACTTCTTAGAGTTATGATCTTGTACATACTAGGTATACAAAATAGCATGTCTCTTCCAATTGTCAATGTAGCTGATTGAATTAGCAGACACTGTATGTAGAGATGGCCATGCTGTGACTTTGGGGGAATTTACAAACTTTAAACCTTTGGCAAGCTATGGGCAGTAGCTGGTCCTAGAACAAGAATCTGAATGGCCAAGGCATGTGCTCTAGTGTTCCCTTGCAGAGATAGAGATTGTGTCTCCTCGGTGTGGTGTCTGTCAAGCTCAACACTCCATGAGATCAGGAACTAGTCCATCTCAGTCACCATTGTATCTCCAGAACTGAGACATTCAGGCATGAATGTTGTCCTGAGAGGAGAGCTACTTACTAGCATTTCCTGAGACCTACTACTTACAGTCACTTTATAAGTGCTTTACATATATTGGTAGGACACAGAATAGAGAAAGGTAGTCCAGGTCTTCTGACTTCTGATGAAAATACAGTTTAAGAAGTGTAAAAAGCAGACTTGCTAGTATCTCTGTGCCCTGGCTCAGAATATCACATTAAGAGGGTAAGCGTTGGAGCTGCAGGTTTTGAGATTGACATGGGTGGCAGCAGGTTGGTGCAATAGTGAAATTTGAAGGGCACAAACTCCTTGCCTAGCTTGGCTGTGTAACCTGTCCAATTATTTGCTTTCATTCAGGACGTCTTTCCCCCTTCTGCTCTCTGAAACTGGAAGATGTTGAGAGGCACATAATTAATTTGGGTGTGTTAGACCAACGCCCTCAAAGTTCCTTATTTACTTGTCATTATGCATAACTACACACATTATCAACACGAGGTTAAGTCTTCTGTGGTGGGTGTTTTTCTCTTACCCAAAGTGAAGGGGAGTGGTTACCATTGAATGGTGGAACTCTGGTTATCACAGCTGGGTTTCCCACAGGTAGGGTTACCCACAAGATCAGAATAATTTATCACTAATTACGGTTTTGGAAATGAAGCTTAGATGAGCCCTTCCTAAAGTGCATTTCTTGGGAGCATCGCTTCCTTGAGCTGTTACTAGATATTCTGAGGTCAAACAAGTTTGAGACAAACTGGGATAAACAAAGTTGACCTGTTTTCATTTTCCAAGATCTTCTCAATGGCTTTGTAAACCAGCATGCACCATGTCTCTCAGGGAGAGGTGCATAGTGTATAGTATCTCCCAGACGTGTTGGTCTAGGGAATTCCCTTTCTATTTTCACAGAGGACTTTCTGAGACTTGGGTGCTGTGGGACCTATGTTGGGGAAACACTGAGCTAAATATTCATTAGTGGGATAGGATGAAAAACAAACACCACATGAAACTGGGCATCCCCGCCAGAAATTCTTAATAGGTGCTCATTACAGTTTTATTAACACTAGGGTCATCTTTGAACTTAAGTAGAATGCTTTTGTCAAGTTGTTTTTGTTATTTATGATTTTATTTTTAGGTCAAAGTGTTGCCAAGTGGGTTCCTGGTTTTGGGGATTTGAAAAGTGGGACAACTTGAGGTCAAAGACCCTCCAGCAGTTTATCTTTGCCTTTCTGTTGTCTGTGATTTTTATCTGGTTTAACCACAGGTGACCTAGTAGTCCCATCTGGCCCCTAGAGAGGGTTGTAGCTTGTTCCAAATGGTCCCAAATCAGAAATTTCTCCCTCACACAAAATAACAGTGAGCTTACAAACTTGTAGTATCCATATTCATATGACTATTTTTTTAACCAGAAGTTTTTCCTTTGCTTGTCTGACTCATTCACTCATTTATTCCCTCATTTAGCAGTTTACTGAAGTCAGCTTATAATATTGCAGAGGCTGCTAGGCTCTGGGGATGCAGCAGTGACCAAAATGAGCTGAGACCTGCCTGCATGGAGATTACAGTCTAGAGCAGTGCTGTCCAGGAGACATACAATGGGTGCCACATTTGGAATTCTGAGTTTTCTAGTAGCCCCACTAAGACAAAGTTTAAAAAGAAACAGGTAAAATTAATTTTAATAATATACTTTATTTTCACCTCATACATCCAAACTATTGTCACTTCAACAGGTAGTCACTATAAAAAGTAATGAGATTGTTTACATTTTTTTATACTAAATCTTCAAAATTGGTATGTATTTTCTGCTTACAGCATATCTCAATTCGGACCTGCCATGTTTCCCGTGCTTAATAGCCACAGGCGGCTAGTGGAACAGTGTAGGTCTAGGGAGAGAGACAAATATAAAAAAATAGATATGAAAAAATCACGGGCGTATGTGATTCCAAACTGTGGCCAGTGATATGAAGAAAAGTTGAAAGGTTTGAGGAGAAAAAATAGGGGATCTGCTACAAGTGGCTGGTGGAAGTAGAAGTGGGAGCAGGGAGAGAAAGCCTCTTTTGGGAAGCAACATAGGCAGAGCCTAGGAGGATAGTGAGTAGAAGCTAGAAAGACCAAGAGTGGGGGCAAGGATGTCCTAGGTAATGAGGATGCAAAGAGGCCTCAAGACAGAGAGTGAGAGAAGCCCAGATTGGCTGGGGCAGGGAAAGTGAGGTGAGGAGCAAGGCAGGACTGAAGGGGAGGCAGGGGTGAGGGGGCAGGAAGGGGATCATGCAGCATCTTTTAAACCATGCTCAGGACTGTGAACATCATCCTGAAAGCAATGGGAAGACATGAAATTTCAAGCAGGGGAGTTACATTGTCTGATTTTTCTGTTTTTTTTAAAGGGATCCCTCTGGCTGCTCTCTGTCTGGGTAGGTGGGGGTGATAGGCAATAGTTAGCAAAAATAAATGCAGGAAGATGGCAGGGGATGCTATGGTGCTGGGCTAGGGACCTGGTGATGGTGGGTTGGAGTGGAGGCAGTGGGGAAGGAGAAGTGTGGGTGGATCCAGCTGGTGTTTAGGAGATGCAATGGACAGACAGGATGGTGGATTGGACATAGGGTAAGGGAGAGGGAGGTGTCCAGGAGAACTCCCAGGTGGTGGGATGAGCATCTAGGTGGATGTTAGGAAGACTAGAGTGGGTTTGGGCTGGAGATTATACTCCAGGACACACTGGGCACGGCCAAGCAAGAAACCTTGCATCTTTTCAACAGGAGTTATTCATTGCTCTTGAAAAGCCAGGTGCAGTGGCTCAGACCTATAATCCCAGTGCTTTGGGAGGCCAAGGTGGGAGGATTTCTTGAGCCCAGGAGTTCAAGGCCAGCCTGGGCAACACAGCAAGACCCCCATCTATAAGAAAAAGGAATTGCCAGGTGCTGTGGCTCACATGTATAGTCCTGGCTACTTGGGAGGCTAAGGCAGGAGGATCATTTGAGCCCAGGAGTTTGAGGCTGCATGGAGCCATGATTGTACCACTACACTCCAGCCTGGGTGACAGAGGATAAGAGAATTTTAAATGATATGGAGTTTTTTGTTATTATCTCTGAGGAAATGATACAAAATTACCTCTGATTCATGTTGCAATTTATTATTGCAGTAACACACAGCTTGTACCAGAAAATATTTTCATAAAGAGGTGGCTTTTCCCATAACTTTAAACTTTAAAAATAGCATTTAATAAGAGCTTACCAGGATTTTATTTTGATTTCTTTTTTGTTTATTTATTTAGCTGTTTTTGAGATGCGGGGGCGTCTCACTACGTTGCCTAGGCTGGTTTCAAATTCCTGGGCCCAAGCGATCCTCCTGTGTCGGCCTCCCGAGCAGTTGGGACTACATGTACATGCCACCGTGCCCAGCCTTAGCAAGTATTTTAAAGAGGGCTTTGAAGTAGCTTCTCTTTGTGGATTACACTCAGAACTATAGAGTGCTTAGCAAATGGATGGGGCTGCAGTGAAATCCACTGTCACTAATGTGTGCTCTCAGTGGGTCCATTTTTCATCCTGGAGAGCTCTGATGGAGAACTTGAAACCCAAGATGTATTCGAAAGGAGACTGCCAGGAAATGAATGAGCAGACTCAGGGTATTCTGGATGAAATGCTCTTATTACAAGACTGTTGGTGCATGTTCCATGTCCCACTTATGTGTGTGATAAGCCACCAATACATTTATCAGTCTGACCTGTTTACCGAAAAAGATATCAAGGCTTGAGAGCTCTGAGTCACTGCCAGGTAGATCAATAAAACCATGAGATATTGCAGTTGCTTAGACCATTTATTCAGCAAACGTTTATTAATCAACCACTCTACACCAGACATGGAGAATGCAAAACCCAGTAACTTACGCTCCTACCTTTCAATCTGGGAGCGTGGGGTGGGTGACTGGGGTCAGGAGAACACATGAGATTAATGCATTTTATGTCCATATAAGGCAAAGAGTGGGCAGAAAAGTGGGACCTCATTATTCTTGGGGGAATTAATCTTTGACTTGAACCTTACAAAGTATAGTAAGAATTTGTCTGTTGATTAGAGAGGGCATTTTAGGCAAAGGGCAATCAGATAACCTGGTACATTAAAGGAGCTATGAGTGGCTCAGGGTGGCTGGGGTGTAAGGATGAAGCTGGATGTGGAGAGAGATGAGGCTCTGGCATGAAAGATGTCCAGAGAAGTCTTATTAGGTAAGGTTGGAAAGGTTCGTGTGACACTTCATGGCACCAGTTTGACGAACCTGGCCAGAACTGCCTACGGGAATTGTGCACAGCAACCTGTGATTGTCAGAAATTGAGAAGTGGAGGTGATTGCAGATCATTATAGATGATTATAAATAGAGTACAATGTGTATTTGAATATAATCTGGGATCATGATATCTTTGGTGTAGACACAACCTCCATCGCTATTCGATGCCACAGGGAGCACCTACAGTGTCCCGGTGCTTTGCCAGGCATGAGCAGTGCTGGCGTGTGGAGGGTAGGGAGAGTGCAGGGAGGACAGAGGCGTGCAGGGTCCAGCTGCTCCTGGGGTGCTCATGGTCTAAGGGGATAGAGAGATGTGTACACAAGAAAAGCAGCAGTCACACTGTTCACCAACATCCAGTCCCTCTTTTTTTCTGGGCACAAGGGAGGCTAATGCATTCCACACTTTCGATGTTAGTTGTGGTCAAGTGTCTTGTCTTAGTCAATGAAATATGAACAAAAGTTGTGTGTGTCATTTCTAGAAGAAACGTACAAAAACTAACACACGGTTCTTTAGCTCCTCTCCTCTGCTGCAGTGACTGGCAATGGCCTGGATGGAGGGGCCAGCTTGGGTACTTAGGTGCCCATAACAGCCCAGGGTCCTCCACACACCCACGGTGGACCTGGGAACTAGATGAGAAAGAAGTCCTGCAGCTTCGGGTTCTTTATTACCACAGCAGAGTATAACCCATCCTCACTAGGAAGCAATGCCAGGCCGCCTCCACTGTGTTTTAGGCCACTGTGTAGAAAGGAAATGCTCCTTCATTAATTAATTCATTACACAAACATTTGGGTCTGTGCTCTAAGCACTGTGTGAAACCAGCCTGGTTCTAAGACTTTTGGAGGAATGAGCAATAACTAGGAGTTGGAGTGGTCAAGGGAGGTATTTTATTACTTTTTAAAAAAGAATGTACATGGTGCATGTGTATATACATATTACACATTTTTCCATTATATAAGCCATATAACCGTGTATTTCCTTATCACTTGGAAAGTACAGAAATGAAAAAGAAAAACCCATAATCCTACTACTGAAGATAGACACTATAGGAATTTTGATGAATATTTTTCTAGTGTTATTACTGTATATTTTTTACATAACGTTGATAGAATTTTACCTTATACGTAACACATCTTAAAGTTTATTCATAAGCATTTTCAGTTTTCAAAGTCGTCTTTTTAATTGCTATAAAATAACATCAAATTTTTCTAAATTTTTACTATTAACATTTAAAATGACCGTTTTATATGTTTTTTCCCAAGTTTTGCTGATTTCCATAGAATGATTTCTAGAAGTATAAGTAAACAAGAAAATGGCCTCCAAAGATTTATTCAAATTAACAGTCTCACTAATTGTGTACAACAGTGTTATTTACACTGATATTTGATATTACTATAACTTAAAAAATCATTTTAACAGGTGAAAATTCATAGCTAATAGGTTTGTATTTCTTTGATAACTGGAGAGGTTGAAAGCCATCCTATGTATTTGTTTACTAGTTATTTTTAGTTTTTGGAATTATGTATTCATATCATATACCTATTGATGGGGTATTCATATTTTTCTTATCAGTAGGTCTGATCTCATTACATATTTGAAGTTTTCTCTCCCATTCTTCCCTTTCAGTTATTTTGAAAAATATGTAAAATATTTTCATGCAGTTCAATGTGTTGATCATTTACATATTGATTTATTTTTTAATGTACAATTCTAGAGTCTTCTAGAGGTTCCGTGGATTGATTTTTAAGTTCTTTGACCTGTCTCAAATTTACTTCAGTTCATAGTGCAAGAAGAAACTCTAACACACTTTTCCCTTCAATTTACTAACTTGCTATCCCAGGACAGCTTCATGGAACAGTCTTTCCTTTATCCGTTGATTTGTCCTGCCAGTAAAAGCTTATTTGATCCAGTTACCAGTGTGGAAGATGACAGGAATGAGATAAAGCTAGCACAGTGGGAATTCAGCCAGACATTTGATCTGACCATCTGGGCAAACTTCACAGATTCCATCTTAGCAGACCAGGCCTGGGTATGTCTCAGGTTTTGCAGAGATGTGGTCAGCTTAGGGATGTTCTGCACTAAGGATTTAGCCAAGTGAGGATTAGCCCAGAGTGGCACAATGGGCTGCCAGCCGCCTTGTGAGCACGAGATCTAGGCAGTCCCTGCGCAGCACTGGTTAGGAGAGGAAATAGATGGCTCTTCCCTAGGGCCTCGTCTGTGTTTCTCTCAATGAGTTGAGGCCTGAAAGAGGCCACACTGGGACTCCCACTTGTGGCCCAGGCTAGGGAAGGCCTGGTCTGGAGAGAAGTCACAATTTTGAGAGTCATATATAGTTTCTTCTGCAAAATGAGAGCTTATGAAAGGTTTATTCACAAATAGTGTATGGAATAGAACTACCCTGCACAATCCTGTTACTGAGCATCTGCCCAAAGGAAAAGAAATCAATATATTAGTATCAAAGACATACTTGCACTTATATTTTTATTACAGTATTATTGACAATAGCAAAGATATGGAATCAATCTAAGTGTCCATCAATGGATGAATGGATAAAGAAAATGTATATATATGCAATGGAATATTATTCAGCCACAAAAAATAATGAAATCCTGTCTTTTGCAGCAACATGGTAGTATAACCAGAGGTCTTCATCTTAAGTGAAATAAGCCCTGACTTGATCACAAATTTTGTAAAGAAATTTATTATTTTTTATTTTTTAGAGAGACAAGGTCTCTCTCTGCCACCCAGGCTGGAGTGCAGTAGCATGATCATAGCTCACTGTAGCCTCGAACTCCTGGGCTCAAGCAATCCTTCTGCCTCTCAGCCTCCTGAGTAGCTGGGACTACAGGCACATAACACCATGCCAGCTAATTTTATGTGTGTGTGTGTGTGTGTGTGTGTGTGTGTGTGTGTGTGTAGACGGGATCTCATCATCTTGCCCAGGTTAGTCTTGAACTCCTGGACTCAAGTGATCCTCCCATCTCAACCTCCAAAAGTGCTGGGTTACAGGCATGAGTCACTGCACCTGGCTGGAAATTTGTTAATAGCCTATGTTGAAGGGGTAGCTGAAATCACCTCACCATCCTCTGGGTTTCCAGAGCACCTCCATTCTTATAGCCCATGTGAGTCGTATGGTGGGGTGTGGTTCTATGTCCTTTCTCGCCCTCTGTCTGGGACTGCCGAGAGAGCAGGTCTCATGTCATTTATTTGTAGAGTCTCAGGGCCTATTGCAGGATCTGACAGAGTCAATGACTGCTACCTTTGCGGAATGAATGAATAAAATCATTAATGGCTGAATGTGGCTGGCTTTTCCACGTCTTCCCACAGCTGGGGTACTTAATATTGGCTGAGGCAACTACTTTTAAACTGTTGGTATTTCTCTTTAATAAAATCTTGGGAAAACCTTGATTTTCATGTCATTTTACTTTGGGACTTTTTCCAAAATCCAGGCTTTATTTTTCATCAAACACATGTCATGATCATGCTCTTAGGGAGTCTTTACAAACCATCATCATGCTCTTGAGGGAATCTTTTGAAAACCTTACTTTAGATCAGAGTTAGAGAAGAAATTCACATTCTAATAGATTTGCAGGGTAATTGATATTCTCGCCATCTCTGTTCATATTTGAAATATTTCAGTACTCGATGTAGGGGCAAAAACATTGAGTTTACACCTTCTAATAACTTTCCAAAAACCTGTTATAAAGTAAAACTGTTGATTCAGAGGTTTGGGGATCTCTGGGGATACAGCTCAGCCTTGGGGCCCAGGGCCTACCGTAGCTGGGCTACACCTTCCTCTCCAGCTTCTTGTCCAGCTGCTTCTCCCTTCTGTTTTAGACTCTAGCAACATCCTAGGATTGTTATGGTCCTGTTGATGCAATGCTGCTTCTTGCCATCTTGCTGCTGTAAATGCTGCTTTCTCTGCTCAATCATCTAGCAAACTACCATTCATTCTTCCTGACCCTGCTGAGGCATCCCCTTCTCTGTGAAGAGTTCCCTCTCTCCTTCTCCAATGTATCAGTAAGCTATTGCTGTGTAATAAACCACCCCCAAGGCAGTGGCTTGAAACAACTGTGTATTATTGTCCTGTGGGTCAACCAGCTGGTTCTGCTGATCCGGACAGGCTTGGCTAATCTCAACTCTGTTTTGTATCTATCGGCAGAACAACTGGAGGCTGGCTGGTCTAGGATGGCCTCATTTATGTGTTTGGCATTGGCTAGCTCTCAATTCAGTGGATGAGGGTGACTGGACCATGCGTCTCTCATCACCCAGTAGACTAGCCTGGGTTTGTTCTCGAGGTGACTGATGCTGTTCTGTGAGAGAGAAGGAAAGCATGCATGGCCTCTGGAGGCCTGGATCTCAAAACCCAATGGCACACCAGCACTTCTGCTGCTTTCTTTTGGCTGAAGCCAGGTCAGTTCATGTTCAAGGGGAGGAGATTTAGACTCTACCTTTTAATGGGAGAAGCTGCATAGTTACATTGCAAAAGACAAGGATCTGAGGGGAGGAGAGAAGGATGAGTGGAATGGTTGATTGATTTTTGTGATCAATCCACCACACCCACCTTTGATAGAGGTACTTACTCTGTAGTACAATTGGCCTTCCATACTGTGGGTTCCATACCTATAGATTCAACCAATTGCAAACTGAAAATATTTGAAATATGTTTGCATCTGCACTGAACATGTACAGACTATTTTTCTTGTCCTTACAGGATAATAATACGGGATAACAACTATTGACAAAGCATTTACATTGTATTAGGTATTATAAGTAATCTAGAGATGATTTAAAGTATACAGGAGGATGTATGTATGTTATATGCAAATACTACACTCTTTTATATTAGGGACTTGAGCATCTGGAGAGTGTGGTATCTGAGGGAGTTCCTGGAACTAATGTGCAGATGCCAAGGGACAACTGTACTATTGTACTTGGAAGTACTCATGGGGTCATATTGCATTGTTTCTTTGAGTCCTAATTCTGCCAACATGGCCTGGTGCTTGCATTAATCAGCTTTCTAATCTCTGAGTAACAAGGCACAGTAACAAGGAGCAGTAACAAGGCACAGGGCTGGCACCTGAGAGTGGAGGTACCCAGGAGGCAGACACCATAAGGCGGGAAAGGGACATATGTACAGAATCATGGCTGCATGTCCTGAAGCCTGGCTTAAGCCATCAACGGCTGCTGGGCAGGGGCCAAAGCCCTGTTATCCCTTTCGCCCTTCCTGATGGCTCTGCCTCTGCCTTCAGCTGGGCGTGGGCAGGCCCCACCCACCGAGGCTCCAGCCCTTACCCACAGTGTCAGCAATGCAGCCTCCAGAGGATGTGCTCAGGCCCTGCCCACACACCCGGATGTTGACAGGGGCATGACTCCAGCGCCAGCTCTAATGGATGGTCTCATCGCTTTTAAAATAATGACCATGGGGCGTGGGCTGGCGAGAGCAGTGACATCACTTTCCTGCAATTCTGGGTCAGTTCCTGCTGCTTTTCTCTGTATGTTTGAATGACTGAAATAAATCTATTGGTTGGATATATTTCCTGGAAGACTTCTGACATGTTCACATGCCTATCTTGGAATGTGGTCAGGAGAGCAATGGCTTTGGACTTAGAGGTCCTGGGTTCAAGATTCTGCTACTAGCTTGCTGTATGAACTTGGACTAGCAACTTAACTTCTCCAGGCCTGTGTTTTCTCATTTGTACAATGATGGGAGGAATACCCTTGGTTTTGTAAAGGAATGGTGAGGACGAACTGGGATCTCTTGTCAGAGACACTGTCTTAGTCAGTTTGGGCTGCTATAACAAAGTTCCACAGATTAGGTGGCTTGTTAACAGCAGAAATATATTTCTCACAGTTCTGGAGGCTAGAAGTCCAAGCTCAGGATGCCAGCATGGTTGGGCTCTGGAGGGCTCCTAAACACCATTATTCTTCATTCACGCTTCTCAGAGCCCTAAGGAAGAGAGTGATTCCTCAGCTCAATTGTGAACTGCTCCTGCCACTCTGTACTTCCTCGTGTAAAGAAACCAGACTTTACATCATGGGTGACCACTCCCGCAGAGTTGTACAGAACCTCCCTTGGGGCCACAGGATGGCTGGATTCTGTCCCCTCATATACAAGGAGGTTATTGGGACAGCATTTCTCCCTAGAACAAGAGTGTATATTTCAGAAAGCTATGGATGACTTCCCATGGTCATCAGATCACTAGGCAGGAATGCTATTCTCCTGATAGATGTGTGGAAAGTATTCAATTCAATTTTGACCCAAAGTTCTAGGCACTGGATTAAGAAATGCCAAACCCAAAACGTTTAACTTTAGAATTAAAAAAAAAATGAAAAAGAATCTTAGAAGCAGCAAAATATTATAATGGAAAGTTCCCTGGACGGGAAGACAAGGTGGTGAAGATGACAATGATGATGCTGATGGCCAGACACCGTGATGAGTATTTGCATTCATTATCTCCTTTAGACTTCCCAACAGCTCCATGCAGTTGGTTCTAGACCATCCAGATTATCTAGCTGAGAAAAAAAGGGTCTGAGAGAGGTTAAGCAACGGTTCTACAGACACATAGCTAATCTGTGGCGTGGAAGAGATCTGCTGTCTGAGCTCAAGTCTGTCTTGGGCTCCAGACCCACAGGTCTCTACTTTGCCTCTGACTCATTTTCTGTTGTGGGTAAATGGCTGTCTTTGGACTGCAATGATCCCATCTGGAATATAAATCAGATGGACCCTGTATTATTCTGTTCTCATGCTGCTAATAAAGACAAACTCGAGACTGGATAATTTCTAAAGAAAAGAGATTTAATGGACTCACAGTTCCACAGCTGGGGAGGCCTCACAATGATGGTGAAAGGCAAAGGAGAAGCAAAGGCACATGTTGCATGCCAGCAGGCAAGAGAGCTTGTGCAGGGGAACTCCCCTTTATAAAACCATCAGATCTTGCGATACTTATTCACTTTCAAGAGAACAGCACCGGAAAGACCTGCCCCCATGATTCAGTTACCTCCCACCAGGTCCCTTTCACAATGCATCGGAATTATGAGAGCTACAATTGAAGATGAGATTTGGGTGGGGACACAGGCAAACCATATCAGACCCCAAGATCTCTTTTCAGCTCTATAGGCTGATCCCTGTGACTTGCATCTTGCAGAAGAAAACAATGGCTTTTCAGTGCCTTTTTTGTAAATAATATGGCTGCATAGTCAGAGAATATGGGAGACAGTGTCTCCTTTATTTTGAAGACATAATTGTGGTTTGGTGGAAAGAGCTCTGGACTAAGAGACAGAAGGCCTAGGTTTTACTTTTAGCTTCAATACCATGTGGCCATGTGACCGGAGGAAGGTTGACTCTTCTGAACTTCAGTTCCTCTACCTGAGAAACAAGAAGCTTGGACTGGACTGGCTCTAGGCTCTTGTCAGCTCTGACATCTGGGCAAGGATGCCAGGTGCCTCACCTACTGCTCCAGATGTCCCAGGAGAGGTTTCCATGCAGGATTTCAACTTGCTGAAAGCACGTGCGTCTTTCCTAATGAATGACTGGGATTCCTTCACAGGTGAAAATCTCTAAACCTCTGGGAAAGTCTGTAATGTCACAGCAAACTCATCTTCTTTGTATGATAAAACCGAGGTCTTTCCTCTGGTTGATGATAAGGGGAGACAGAGTTCTTGTCATAGTACTTGAACTAGGGGACAAGCAAAAGGGCCACATAGGAAAGGCTTTTGGTTGTTGCTTAATAAAAGCAACAATAAGGTTTTGGAAAGGCTTTAATTCATCGCTCATGTAGAAGGTAGCCGGGCCTGAATTTCTAGAAGATCCAAAGCTGGGAGCAAGTCACATGGCTGCACGGAGAACTACCATGGCCACCCTGGAACTGCACGTTTTCCCCTTTGTGCATTTAGCTAGCACGAGAGGGCCCCAATTCCTGTATCAACACCTATCCTCCCACCAGGTCTCACAACCACATGAAAGCAGGAGAGGCGGATTTATGCCTTAACAGCCCCCAAAACAAGCTTTGTGCACTGATAAAATCAGTGGCTGGCTTAGAGATCACATCAGCCCTGGAGAAACTGCTTCATGATTTGACAAGGCTGCTAAAGGCTGTTTGCATTCTGTGAGTCAGGTCCGAAGCAAAAGGAATACACAGAAGAAGATGATTATGAGTGTTTTGAAAACCTGCCCCTTCCTGCCCGCCCGGGACAATATTTACAAAGCAGACATGCAAACAAGCAGACCTTCTTTTCAGGTTTAAATTGCCTACTGAGCCAGGCGGTTCCCGTGCTGGGGTGCTTGCCCAGCACTAAGTTAGGTGTTTAAAAAACGCATTTGCCAGCCAGCTGCCTGCCTTCCCTTTGGTGGTTACCGTGTGGTTAGGAAGCTCAGGAGTAGTGTTGTTCTTACCTGAGTAAGATACAGACTCTTTTTAAGGGAAAACATTCCCAAGGATGTCTACTGTTGAATTAATTAACTTTATTATTATGTTATTTAAATATATACAAACATAAAACTAGGTATAAATTCCTCAGCTTATAGTTCTTACACATCTATAAATCTAAAACAAATTTACAAATGATATGCAAACAAAACTCTAACATGAATCAAATTTAAATTGCTTACATAAACTTGATATGCCAAATCTACCAATGTTGGGCTTCACAGGAAAAAGTTTTATCTCTCCATTTTGCATTTCACTTGTTTTGGTCTCAGCTTATTTAATTTTGTGTATAAAGGACCATTGTTTGAGTCATCCTGTGTCACTTTTTCCCACTTTTTAACACTGAACTCATTGGGACATGAATTTATTATTTTATTAAGCTGGTTGCTTTAAAAGGAAATCTCCCAATACCTTACACTAAAAGAAATTTCAATTGCTGGTTAATGGAATATTCTACACTCTGTATTTATGTACTGGTAATGAATAACTGAAAGCTGGTGAGGGCAAAGACAAGGTATGTAAAATGCGTTTGTGAGCAACCAGAATATCTTATAACACATTTTATTGGGGAGGCTGGCATGCCCATACCAACGTATGTCATGTGATGACTCAGTTCTTCTACCACTTAATTCTAATTACTGTGAAAACTTTCGAGGTGCCTAGGTATTGTTTGACCTTGACTTGGTCCAAGGTATTCACTAATGCAGATGGCGTTGAAATTGTGTGCAGCACTTCATTACAAGGGCTTATCCAGTTGATCTAGAAGAAAGGCTTGTATGACAGAGCCCTTGAGACTATGTCCATAGGAGTCTTTGGACCCCAGTTCTGAAAAATATTCTGGAGAGAAGCTCATGGTGAGCGCTCATAGAAGAAAAAGGTCTCCTTGCAATATGGGATGACCCAAGAGAATAATTTTCTTCCAGGAACCAGGAAAGAGGAAATGGGGATGAATTTGTCCATTTGATCATTTATTCACTAAATATGTGTGAAATCCCACCTGTTTTACATACCTAGCAGAGGGGATGGGGAAAGGGTCATGGTAAAATTAAGTATAATTGCTCCCCTGGACAGCTGATTGAGAGAGTTTGAAAAGCTCTTTGAAATTGCTTTCTGAACTAGATTATAAGCTCCAGAAGAAAAATAATCTCTAACCTTTGGAGTTATGCCACACTTTATGCATAGCGTTATCCTGTTTGATCATCTGCTCACTTTCCAGTTTTCTTTTCAAATGACCTCCGTCTATTTCTGGGAATTAAATCCTAAGACGGATAAAAATTTGCCACTTTTAAGCACAGTCTTGAGGATGTGCTGAAGGCTTTAAGGTCCCTAGCTCCTCCAGAGGGTGTGTTAGATGAGATAATCATCTGCATGTCTAAGTTCTGCTGCGTTTAAGATAGAAGAGCCTCAGCTTACAACACAAAGCAACACAAGAAATAGTGCATGGAAGTCAATCGGTGATCAATGTCAAATCAGTGTCAGAAACAAAAAGTATTATGAGTTTGGGTGAGAGACTAAAATTGTGGGCTGGGCTTTCTTAAAACAGGTTTAAAGAAAAGGTGGGACTAGACGTAGGATAGGTGAGAAATAAATTGTAGACAGTAGGGAAAGGGGCATTTGAGGTTAAAGGAAGAGTAGAGACAAAGTATCTAGAGAGGATTTTTTTTTTTTTTTTTTGAGACAGGGTCTCGTTCTGTCACCAAGGCTAGAGTGCAGTGGCACAATCATAGCTCACTGCAGCCTCAAATTCCTGGGCTCAAGTGATCCTCCTACTTCAGCCTCCTAAGTAGCTGGGACTACAGGTGCATGCCACTATGCCTGCTAATTAATTTGTATAGAAACAGAGTTTCACTATGCTGTCCAGGCTGGTCTCAAACCACTGGCCTCAAATGATCCTCCTGCCTTGGCCTCCCAAAGTGTTGGGATTACAGACATGAGCCACCACACCTGGCCTGAGGAGAGGATATTTGTAAGAATTAGAGGGAGGATAAGTCTGGAAAGACAGATTGGATCCAAATTTTGGAGGCCTTGGAGGCCAGAACAAGAGTGTGCATGGTACTGTAGTCAGTGGGAGCCACTGGATCAACTGTTGAGGGACAGTAAGACATCATAGCTAAAGGCTGTCTTAAAAACATTGAGTCATCAAAAGGTTAGCAGCCAGCACAGTGGCCTTCATTTAAAACCTTTTCTTTCCATTTCAATATTTCTGTCAGTGCTCTGCCATTGCATTGACATTTACAAAGATCTGTTTGTAGTAGGGGTAGTTTATAGGTTGCTGAGATTGTGTCCTGGTGTTCGTAGGCACCTGTGTGCTCTGTAGAGAGCATGTGTCAGGGAGCACCTGTGTGCTCCTGGACAGGGAGCACTTGTCCGCAGGCTCCTGCTGACAGCGTCCACTTGATCTTCCCTCTCTGTGTCTCCTCTCTCTACCCATTGCAGCCCCTTGCCAAGCTTCATTCTGAATATAATACTTAACCCAGGATTTGTGGGCAGTTTATAAAACTCTTTGACACTTGTGTCACTCTTAGTAACCCTTTGAAGTCAGGAGACTAGGCTAGGTATTTTTCTCTTTATAGATGAAGCTAAGGCTCAATAGGGAGAACTAAGTCATCCAAGATCACCATGGCCTGTTCAGTATCCGGCATGTTAGGAATGGTGAGTGGTGCATAGACGCTGACTGACAAGGAGGCAGACCTGATGCTGGGGATGGCCCACCTGCAGCCTTCCACTGCTGAGACCCTCACAGCTGTAAATGGAAGGTATTACATACAGCGCATCTGCCCCCCACTGCCCCCACTTAGGCAGCTGCATTCTTGAGCTGGGAATATAAACTGGCATCAACCACCCTCCATCCTAACTTCAGGTGGGCAGGCAGGGTTCTAGCAGCACCCATAGAGCTGACCTATGAGATTCAGAGCATCTACCTGTACCACACCTGTGAAAAATAACAAGCCAGGATACAGTGGCATCATCACAGATGAATAAATTATATGAAAAACAACAAACAAAACTTAGGCCCATGAAAATGTTATGGAACAGAAAAGAAGGAAATAACTATAGCATGGAAAGGTAGAGAAAAAAACAACAGAAAAAATTGCTATAGGAAATAGAAGTAGTTTGGGTAGCATCTGCTTTGAACACTCCACAATAAAAAAAAAATCAATTCTATGAAATAAGAGATAACAGGTTCAAGCGAAATAACATATGGGGAAGCCAAAAAAAAAAAAATACCTGTAAAGAAGCCAACAATGGGCTAGGATGGTTTAAAGCAGAAACAGAAAAAATTAGAAAGTAGAACTGACTTTGCTAAAAATTGTCAGTGATTTAATTGATCAACACCATATGCTGTCCCAGAATTGCAGAGAAATAGAAAGAAATGCCAGTGATTGGGGACAAGATGATAAATATGAATGCTCGAGGATGAAGAAACAAGAGTAAGTTATTGATTTTTCTTACATTACCTACTTGTGGTCAGATGTGGGGATTTGCACAGTTTCATATAATGTCCGTGAAAATATCAATTATATTGAAAGATTTAAAAATGGGTACTATATTAAAGCCAGCAATTTCACTTCTGACACCTGATGTTAAAGACTTTATCAGGGAAGAGCACAGGAATGCCTCTACAATAATTTTTATTATAGTGATGTTTATAATAGTGAATAATTGGAAACCTCCCAAATGCCCAGCTGTAGGGGAAAGGTTGAGTCAATTATTGTGTCTCCATATAATGTAATCATACGTAGCTATTTAAAATCTTGCAAAAGAATGTTTATTTATATGGGAAAATGTTCATATTGTGAAGTCAGCATTTGAATCTATCTGAGACGGAGTGCTGCTATTAAATATTTCTTCAATCAACTAGAAGAAAATATAACAATTCAGTTTCTATAAAGTGTGAATTTCCTTTTATGGAATTGTTCTGGATGAAACTGATAGGTTAATTTCATGGTACTACATAACAAATTGCCATACTTAAAACAACACCAAGTTGTTAGTTCACAGTCCTGTGGATAGGAAGCATGGTGCAGAGTGACAGGGTTCTCTACCCATGGTGTCACCAGGCTGAAATCAAGGTGTTGGCCAGGCTTAGGTCTTGTCTAGAGGCTATGGGGGAAAATCCGCTTCTGGGCCCTTTCTTGTAGTTTGCTGAATTCATTTCCTTAAGCTGGTAGGACTGAAGTCCATTTCCATGTTTGTTGTTAGCTGGGGGCTGCTGTAAGCACACTGAGGCCAGCTGTACTTCTTGCCATGTGTTCCCCTCTGTCTTCAAGCCAACAATTGTGCAGCAAATATTGTTTGTGCTTTGAGTATCTAGGTTCTCTTTCTGCAACCAGCCAGAGACTACTTTCTTCTTTTAAAGGGCCCATGTGATTAAATCAGACTCACCTGAATAATATCCGTATCTTAAAGTCAACTGATTTGGGACTTTAATTACATCTTCAAAATCTCTGTACTGCAGTACCTACATTAGTGTTTGATTGGGTAACTGTGAGCAAGGTATGTGTGTATACCAGGTTCTGGGAATCTTGGTGGGGGGATCTTAAAATTCTGCCTGCCACACAATTGATACATTGATTTTTTTCTTAACTAATAATATGGATGTGCAATATCGTGACATTATTGAGACCAGGCTTCATAAGATTTCATAAAGTCTTATGAAGCAGAAAAAGTCTTACAAATATAGCCTACAACTATGTTTCCCTTTTGATTTGAGTAAGATTTGATTGAGTAAGATTTAGACTCTCCTGAAGGACAACTTTCCATTTTCTTTTTTGAGTCACCTGTGTTTTTTTGTTTGTTTGTTTGTTTTTGAGACGGAGTCTCACTCTGTCACCCAGGCTGGAGTGCAGTGGCGCAATCTCAGCTCACTGCAAGCTCCGCCTTCCGGATTCATGCCATTCTCTTGCCTTAGCCTCCCGAGTAGCTGGGACTACAGGCGCCCTCCACTGCGGCCAGCTAATTTTTTGTATTTTTAGTAGAGATGGGCTTTCACCGTGGTCTTGATCTCCTGACCTTGTGATCCGCCCTCCTCGGCCTCCCAAAGTGCTGGGATTACAGGCGTGAGCCACCATGCCCGGCCTACCTGTGTTCTTTAAACTTGTACTTAAAATGGCTCACTGACTTGGCTCCTTGAGAACTTGTCTGCTCCTTGTCTATTCACCTATCCACCCACTAGTCTCTCCATCTACCAAATCACCCACAGTATATCTATCCATGTTATCCATTCAACCATCCATCCATCCATCCATCCATCCATCCATCCATCCATCCAACCAGCCACTCTCACATTCAGCCATCCATGTCCTCTTCCAACCATCTGGCTGTCCATCCAGCAATAAAATTACCATTTCCCCATCCATTCGCCTACTCAACCTTCTGTCCATTCATTTGCCTGTCTATTTACCAACCTACCCATCACGCAGACATCATGCTTCTCATTGATTTAATAAACTACTTTGAACTCTAACTACATGCTGGGCCTTGTAGTAGACACCAGGATACTAGGATAAAGCCTCTTCCCCCAACCTACTTACAGTCTAGTGGAGAAATGAGACAAAAAACTAAATAGAATTCAACATGAAAATTCCTATAATAGAAGAATGTCAGGTGGTTTAGGAGCCCAAAGTCGGGTAGGAAATCTGGAAATGGTGAAAAAAGGTATATAAACTGGCCCTTGGAGGATGACAGTTGTCCATTGCTGAATGAAATCCTGCAAGTTTTTACTGCATCCATCATGGAGCCTGGAGATTGCAAGTGTTCTCAATCTCTATGAGGGTGACATTTTTCCAGTGTGACTGATGTACTGTAGAAATTACAGAGCACAGTCCTGGAGGGCTGGATCAATGGCATTGATTTTGCTCTCTTCTGGACATGGTCAAGTGATAATGACAGGGAAGATTGAGACATGCCAGAGGCAACCTTCCCAAACTGACAGTGATGAATGTCCCATTTTAAACCACAGTTCCTGTGAGCCTGATTTATTTTATTTATTTATTTTGAGACAGAGTCTCACTCTCTTACCCAGGCTGAAGTGCAGTGGCATGATCTCAGCTCATTGCAACTTCTGCCTCCCGGAGTCAAACGATCCTCCTGTCTCAGCCTCCTGAGTAGCTGAGGCCACAGGTGCTTGCCACTAGGCCCGCCTAATGTTTTCTATGTCTTCGTAGAGATGGGGTTTCACCATGTTGCCCAGGCTGGTCTTGAACTCGTGAGCTCAAGAAATCTGCCTGCCTCAGCCTCCCAAACTGTTGGGATTACAGGCGTGAGCTACCACACCCAGCCCATAAGCCTGATTTAAACCTAGTCCACAAACACCTGGCTTTCTCTGGCATAATTTGACAGTTGCTTTGAGTGCCAGAGAATTTACGTCATTGTGCCTGGGAGCTCACACTCAGCATGGTTTTTGCTTTGACTCCACGTCCCGGTTTGTTGTTGTTTTTAGGGAGGGGCTTTCTCTGTATGTTGCCCAGGCTGGAGGGCAGTGGCTATTCACAGGCACCAGCATCGTAGCACACTACAGGGCTGAACTCCTGGGCTCAAGCAAACCTCCTGTCTCAGCCTCTCAAGTAGCTGGGATTACAGGCGCATGACACCGGGCTGGCTTGATGTCCTGTTTTAACCCGAGTTGTTTGTAGCCAGCTTTGGCAAACCTCTCATGAGCATATTCTGCAATGTTATAATTACCTGGGTGGTGGCCTGCATCTGGGGATCACTTAAATGCTTTCATCTTCATGTCCATCTAAGGATAATTTCAATGAGAAGCTTCTAGGTCATTTCCATAGACTCCTCTTCCCCTCTTGTTTGTATTACAAACTTGTGTAAAAGAAGAGGATTTTGGAGAGAGAGACTTGGATTCAAATCCTAGCTCCACCGTTAGTCATTTGCATGGCCTTGTATACCCTTGCTAAGCCTCAGATCTCTCACCTGTATAATGGGCCCAATAGTACCTGCTTGTGGGCCTATTGTGAGGATTTTTGTCAAGCGTAGTAACACACTCAGGAAATGGGAGCTGCTTTTGTGGTTGCTGTTACTGCAGTGATTCCCAGGGACATTTGATATTTTAAATTACATTGGAAGAATTCTCATATTTTTTTCACAGGCAGAATTGGCTCATGGATCAGACTAACCAGATTTATAGTTAAACATGTTTATAAAAAACATGAAGTCATGTTTTTTTAAATGCAGCAGGAAAGCAAATCATTAGGTCTAATTTGTTAGGCTGAGAAAACACTGGAATGAAAGTGCTGTTAACAAACACTTAGCGTAGGCTGGGCAATAATCACATGTACTTTAGCTTGAAAGGTTTGTGTGCCCTGTTGGAAGGGTTTGGGTCAGAGGCCTATGATGGCTTCATTGAAAATGCAGAGTTGGACATAGCCATCCCTACACCAGCATCGTGCTGAAATTAAGGGGGATAGACTTCAAAAGAAATTTTGTGTTTTACATCATTGCCATGTTTTCCCTTTACAATGCATGATTAATTTTAATTTTTCTAATGCATTTGTTTTTGTCAATAAAGGCAGAAGATGAGGAATGAAAACAAGAGCTAATAGTAACTATCCCACTTGACCCAATGCTTCTGTGACCAGAAGCTGGTCACTTCTGGGTTGATAAAATGGGAGCAATAATAGCACCTCCTTCAAAAGGTTGTAGTGAGGGTTAAATGAGTTCATGCAGATGTACTTAGAACAGTGGTTGGGACATAGTCAGTGTTCAGCAAGTGTTAGCTGCCATCCTCCTCCTCGTTATCATTTGTAATAGGAGCAGCAGTACGGATTTTTTTTTTTTTTTTTTTGACGGAGTCTCACTCTGTCACCCAGGTTGGAGTGCAGTGGCATGATCTCAGCTCACTGCAACCCCTGTCTCCTGGGTTCAAGCGATTCTCCTGCCTCAGCCTCCCAAGTAGCTGGGATTACAGGTGCTGCCACACCCAGCTGATTTTTGTATTTTTAGTAGAGACAAGGTTTCACTATGTTGGCCAGGCTGGTCTCGAATTCCTGTCCTCAGGTGATCCACCTGCGTTGGCCTCCCAAAATGCTGGGATTACAGGTGTGAGCCACCACACCCGGCCGGAGCAGCAGTACTGTCTTAAGAGTAGGAACCTGAAGCACTCTAAAGGTGAAATAATTTCCTCAAGGTCCAATGGCAAGTGGAACAGTCCAAATTTGAATTCGGACAGATGATTTCAGAGCCAGCAGTCTGAATTATGCTTTTCAAAATGATTTTGATGTTGTACAAGTAAGACTTAATATTTATATCAATTACTGCTATCTTTCTAAAAGGCAAATTTGATCATTTTTCTCTCACTTAAAATCCACTAGCCCCTGGGCTTCTCAAGGGTGGAAGAGATGTTTCATTCACTGAAGTAGTTCTAATACCTGGCTCCATACCTGTAGCAGCAAAGGTTTATTGATCAAAGCTGAGACACCCTCTCCCATCCATAAAAGGATAAAGTCCAAACTCTTTGGCTTTTTTTTTTTTTTTTTTTTTTTTTGAGACAGAGTCTCCCTCTGTTGCCCAGGCTGGAGTGCAGTGGTGCAATCAGCTCACTGCAAGCTCCACCTCTCGGGTTCACGCCATTCTCCTGCCTCAGCCTCCCCAGTAGCTGGGACTACAGGTGCCCGCCACCACGCCTGGCTAATTTTTTTGTATTTTTAGTAGAGACGGGGTTTCACCACGTTAGCCAGGATGGTCTCGATCTCCTGACCTCGTGATCCACCCGCCTTGGCCTCCCAAAGTGCTAGGATTACAGGTGTGAGCCACTGAGCCCGGCCTAAACTCTTTGGCTTGACACCAGAGCAACCCACGGCTTGGCCACCATCTCCAGCTCAGCCTGGTACCCAGCAGTTCTCTCTCTGCTCCAGCTAGGGCAGCACATTGGTCATTGCTTTCTTTGGCTTGAAAGATCCTCTTCAAGGTTCACATGTCGCTGACAATCTCCTACTCTTCCTTCAAGACCCAGCTCAATGTCACCCACTCTTAGAATTCTTCTCCTGCATCTTCCCTATTCCCCAAACCTCAGGGCAGAACCTGTGGGTGCCTTGGAAGATTGCTCACTGAGGGTCTTCAGTTGGACCTCAAAGGATAGGTAGGCTTTGGGCCTGTGAAGAAGGGAAAGGTACCTTAGCCAGAGTAACAGCATGGGCAACACACAGACCTGGAGAATGAATGGCTATGAGAGAGATTTCACTAATTCCTCCAAATCATTATTTTCTCCAGTGTGAGTTGTATTATTTCCTCCTCCCCATGCAGACTTAAATTCTAGGGGTGTGCTTTCTTTTTCTCTCCTTTTTTAAGAGATGGGAGTCTCACTTTCTTGGCCAGCTGGTCTCGAACTCCTGCCCTCAGTGATCCTCCCCTCTTGGCCTCCCAAAGTGCTGGGATTATAGACATGAGCCACTGGGCCAGCCCAACGGTTGCACTTTCAATACAGGTGGAGAGTGTCCCTACTGCTTTTCCTGATCCCTGAGAGGGTCTTTCAAAGGAGATCACAGTAGCAATTCACTTCTTTGGAAAAACCGGTCCAAGTAAGGAAAACCTGCCATATATACCCTGCATGTAAGACAGAGTAGAGAAGCCACTGGCCAGGATGCTGGGAGAACGGCATTCTTATCCTAACTCCGTCACTCACTAACTTTCAGACTAGAGGCAAATGCCTCAGCCTCTCTGAGATTAGGTTTCTTCATCTGTAAAATGGGTATCCTGTGGCCTGCCTGGCCCAATTCCCAGTGCTGTGGTGAAGACCAGATGAGCAACGCTCTGTCCCTATCTAGCTTTGAGACATTGGGAAAGGCATTTAATTACTATACCTTGAATTCTTTGGTCATGAAAACGAGGCCAAGAATACTTTCCAGATTGTTTGGCTATGAGGATTAGATGAAGTAACATATGGAAAATGCACAGTACAATGCCTGGTATATAGTAGATATTCAATGGATATTCTTTTCTTTTTTCCTTCCTTCCTTCCTCTCTCCCTTCCTACCTCCCTTCTTTCTTTCCTTCTTCTTTCCTTCCTTTCCTCCTTCCTTCCCTCCCTCATTCCTTCTCCTTTGTTTCTTAGTTATAAAAATAAGGAGTTAGAATAAATATCCTCTCATTAAATAGTCTAACTCTGTGCCTTTTAAAAAAAATTAAAGATCATGTTTTATTAATGAGATATTATTTGGAAAGCCAAAGAAATATATTTTCCAAGTAGGAGGGAGAAGATCCAGCTTTTTTCTGCCCTGGGAGCTCCAGAAGTTTAAGGCGAAATGATAAACATGTCAGAATGACTTCTTTATTTCTATTTATAATCTTTGCCATACAGCTCGGTGGATGGTGAGGTGCTTTTTCCAGCATAGAAACTTTCCTTGGCCGAGGAAAGGCAAGAATAAATACTTTTCCTGGGATGAGTCCATTACCGGTGCCCTCTTTCCAATATTCCTCCAGATTGAAATTTATGCTTAAAAATCCAAATGAGTTAGGAGAGACTGTGACTTTCTAAAGCAAACTCTTTTGCAATGCTATTTTACTGTGAAAAGTCAGCGCTATTTTTCTTTTTTAAGTTGTGATGGCTGCATGTGGATTTCAGGGCAAAGTGGGTATATGGTAACCCTGAGGAATTGTCTCTGATCAAGACCACAGGAGAAACTTTCCCATCTCAGCAGGGCCTCTTAAGCCCTAAATGCTTCCCTTCTCTGCATCACCACTCAGTGGTGGCTGAGGCAGGCTAGGCTAGCTACCACTCACAGTTTTCCAGGGAGTGGAAAGCTCTGAAATCAAAGAAATGGGTCCTTGAGGGAGGCAGGAAAGTTGTCTGTCTGGATGTTTCCTCGGACCTCTGTCTGCTTCCTACTCCAGGGCCTCCTGCAGGCAGGTGTTTATGCTGATCATTAGGATCTTATCACCTCTCCTCTCCTTGCCTCATTTCTGCACCACCTGGGCCAGTCCGCCCACAAATAAGCCACACCTCCTGGCCCAGGTCAAGCTACTTGTCCTCTGGGAAGCCCTCCCTGATTACTCCAGATATCAGAATTTTCTTTCCTGGAATCTTTAAAAGATTGAATCATCTCCACTGAATGATCTCCTCCAACACTCTAACCTGACCCTGTCAGCTGGATTGAAACTCTTCTCGTATATGTTTGCATGAGGAAGGGTGGGGATGGGTCTCAGGACGGGCACTGGGAGAGAAGATAGAGGTCAAACGAGGGTGAGAGGACATTGTGTCCTTGTACCTGCACAGCTCCAAGCCCAGTAATGAGCACAAACCAGGTGAGCAATGAATACTTGTGATTAGGAGCCTACAGTGCACCGTTACTCTAGGAGAGTAACTGCAAACAAAGCGGCAGACGGGGTTCTCGCTCCTCAGGCTTCAGCCCAGAGATCTTATTTATATGCCTGAACAGAGTAAAGGTAAGTCTATTATTATATTTTTATGTTTGTAATATATACTCTGCCTACTTCCAGAAAAGAATGGAGTTGGCTGACAGTAAACAGTTTATAACAAGGCTATTTATATAGAAATAGAAACGGAAAGCCATGGTGAAGGAGGAAGGAGCTAAAATGACGATACCTTGGCTGATGTAATTATTATGATTATACACAGCGTGGAGCTGGGGATGCGGAAGGCTGTGGGACAGGCTGCCCTGGAACATGTAGTGTCTGTCATTTGAAGGAGAAGTGAGGAGAAAGTTGCTCAAATAATTGGATATTGCTTATAGGAGAATAGGATTTGCATAAATGATGTGTGAGTAGGCTGGGCATAGTGGCTCACACCTGTAGTCCCAGCACTACACTACTGAGAGGACGAGGTGGGTGAATAGCTTGAGCTCAGGAGTTCAAGACCAGTCTGAGCAACACGGCAAAACCCCATCTCTACAAAAACAACAACAACAAAAATTAGCCAGCCATGGTGGTGTGTGCCTGTAGTCCCAGCTACTCAGGAGGCTGAGGTGGGAGGATCACTTGAGTCCGGGAGGTAGAGGTTGTGGTGAGCGGTGATTGCATCACTGCACTCCAGCCTGAGTGACAGAGTGGGACCCTGTCTCAAAATAATAATAATAATAATAATAATAATAATAATAATAATATGTAAGTAGAAGCAGAGAGGATTATGGGAACATTTGGGGGTATGTGGCTGTGAGGATCCTGACAACTGCTGCAAAGATGAGCGAGAACTGCAATTTAGGAGGCTGCGGTGGCAAATTGTGGCTTTATTCTTGGATGATTGTGTTTGGTGCTTCTGGGTCAATTTTCAGACAATATTTAATTTTTCAGTGAGATCTATGACTTGCTTAAATGCACCACTTCTTGTAAAAATTATATGATCAGAGCATATACATTTCCATTTTGGCAATAGGTGTTGGTCAGTTAATGTAAAAGGTTTCAGTGTTTCTTAATTATTTAACCTCTCTGGGCATTCGTCATCTTATTTGTATGATGTAGATAATAGCATTTTTCCTATTTTACGTGGTTGTTGAGAGGATCCGATGGAATGACTAGCTGAAAGTGTTTGTAAAAGTCAGGATAAGTAAAGCAATGCTGCAGGAACAAACAATCCCCAAATTTCAGCAGCTTACTACAAAAAAATATGTATTTCTCACTCATGTTCATGTCCAATGTGTGTTAGCAAGGAGATACTGTCTCTCACAGTCATGCAAGACCCCTTGCTGGGGAAGCTGCACCTCCATATATGCTTCTACCATCACCAGGGCAGAGGAGAGGGAGCATGGTGGATCATACACTGGCTCTTAAGACTTCACTTGTGTGACATATGTCACTTCTACTCATGTATCATCGGCCAAACCAAGTCACATGGCCATAGTCTCACTTGAAAAGGGGCAGGAGAAGTGCAAACTTATCATGGGCCCAAAGGAGAAGAGAATCAGAGTATTTCTGAACAGTTTTAATTTTGGCACAGACTTGAAAGTACTTAGAATTAGCTCCAAAAATATATGAATATTTTCATTCTCCAAGCAGCTGTATTTGTATCACAACGGAAGTCCTGAACTCTAAGCTGCAGGGAGCATTACTGATGTCAGAATAGCTCATCAATTTCAACAGGTCAACTCCACGATGTAGCAGTGGTCCAAACTGAAGCCAGTGCACCACTTACTAGCTACTGCAGACAGACTGGAGAAGTCTCACCTCGTGCCAACTCCCACTGATTGTTGGTGGCTTCTGGGAGATTTGTGTAAAGGATTGGTTCTGGGGCTTGTAGAGAAAGAGTTGTAATTGATTAATAATGTCTAACATGGGAACAAGAAGTGGGGAGTGGAAGCCATTGCCAGGCTTTTGTCAACCTTAATCAATCGCATCGCTCAGAGGGCTTCACAGTAGCTGTTGAAAGGATTTGCCTACAGAGATCCATCCTGGGGAGTGGCTTCCAAACTCCTCTCTTCCCAGCGTGCATTACAGGGCCAGTCCACAGCTTACAAAGGACCAGGTTATCTCTGCATTGTCCCAGGTTCAGCCCAGCCTGGGCATCTTCAGTCTTCTTTGGCTGTACCAGGTAACACATCTTTCTAGAGACCCTGAGAGAATGCCATTTTCTGAGTTTCCACAGGCTAGCCAGAAAGGCTGTTAAATAACTCACCCAGCTAGTTCTTTCCAAAAATACCCAGTCCTATTTTTAAAATGGAGGATTATATAATTCTTCAACTGGCCTCACTCATTTCCCTTTTTGCATAGATGCCATGCCTGTCAGAGTGTGGTTAGGAGCTCAGGAAGCCATGGAGAGGCACAGGATTTGAAATCTGCAGTCTCATGAGACAGGAAGTTGATTCCACTCATGGCAGGGTTGGGTCCTGTCTAGTGGATGGTCACTCTTAGGGATGGTTCCAGATGTCTTGCTGGGTTCGGCTTGCTTATGTTTGCTTTAATCAGGATGCCAGTGGTGTGGTTCAGAAGTTGCTTTTCATCTGGGATCTTTGTCATATCCATTAATGTCTTGATCATGACAGGATGTGACCTGGAATGGGAACATTGGTACAATTCCTCAAATTTATGTTCACCAAGACCAATGACAGCACACCCTGAGTATTCCCCCTTTACCCTCTACAGCATTCATAAACAGAAATTGGGGACTTTAATCATTTTAAATGATGGGCTAGATTGCTTTCAGCCTATTTTGTTTTAAGGAGGAAAGAAAGGATCTTCTCTTAGAGAAAGAGGAAGGGAATGGGGGAACATTTATTAAGCACCTACTTTAGGCCCATGCCAGGTATTTCTTATACATTATGACATTGATCCTCATGAATATCCTTGAGCTATGGGTCTCAATAACCCTATTTTGTGGATGGAGGAAACTGAGGCTCAGTTAAGTTGGTTGACTTGGTCACTTGGTCACAATAGGACAGAGTCAGGATTCAAAGGCAAGTCTGTCTGAAACCCCTTGACTTCTGCAGTCAACCAGAGAATTGAATTGTAGACATCTCAAAGTGGCCAGCATGACAAGGGTGGGACAGTGAAGCTCAACCAGCCTTTCTCTTGCCCATGTTAATCTTTGATTCTCGGCTAAGGTCACAGCTCCTGCTCTGGACTGTTCCAGAATTCCGTGGGGCTGTGCAAAAACATGCCACCTCTTCTGTCTCCCTCTCTCTCTGAGTTGGATGTTTCTTTTCCCTGACTGATTTTCCTCTATTTAATCTGGAATTCTCCAGGGCAGTGGTATTCCATGGTAGTGCTGCTACCCAGACTGGTCAGAGGAAAGTGGGCAGCCTGTTCCTTATAAATACCGTGAGTCACATGTCTTCCCAACTGCCAAAAATATTCAAGCAGAGCCCAGTATTCCTTTGGCCTGCATAAATTTCTGAGGACTGGTAGCATAGTGTATCCTTTATATTCATAGATGCGTATGCTCTCCTGGGGTCTTCTTAGCTTAGGAACCTGGTTTTTGATGGGTCAAGGTTTTTTCCTTGATTCATCCAACCTGAACCACAGTCAGGATCATCAGTTACAAGGAGTAGCAGTGGATCACAGCATAGGATGTGGATTCAGGAGGGCTGGCTTGGCTGCTGACTAGCCAAGTGACCCTGAACTACTCCCTCAACTTTCTGATTCTCAGTTTCTGAGTCTGTAAAAGGGGGTAATAATAGTTATTAAGGGCACAGGCCATAGAAGCTGATAGATCTGGATTTAATTCCCGAGGACAGTGAGAACTAGGTAACTGTAGTTAAGTCCCTCAACCTTTTCAAACCTCAGTTTTCTCACCTATTATAGAAAAGAAATTATAATAATACTTAACCCGCTGGGACGCTGTACACAGTAAATGAATGTAAACATGGGAATACTTAGGACAATTTCTGGTATTTAATAAATGTTAAATATGTTTTGAATATTACTGTTTTATGTTATTATTAACTAGTTTACAAGGGGAGGATCAAGTAAACTAAAAATGTGAAAGTGTCTGATACAGAGTTTGGAACCCAAAAGATGCTTCAAAATAGTGAAATTTGCACTTCATCATAAAGATGTGAAACCTTTGAGAAGGCAGTAGTTGGAAAGGAACTGTTCAAACAACTGGCTCTGTGCTGGTTGCTCAGAATTTAGAGATGAGCTTCACTCATCTGCTGGCCCCTTGGAGCACATAATCTCACGGGGAAATAGCTGCTGGCAGGATGGCATTGTGAGGATGCAGACAACTCAGAGGAATGAGGGAGCAGGGAGCATGGGAGACTCATTATTTCCTGGCTTATTGCATTCAGGAACCTTAATTTCTGTTTTATTCCTGGTGGTTTGATCTACCAGTGCTGTCAGTGACCAGAAAGAGAAGCAGAGGTCAAGTTATAAAAGTTCATGTTAGGAAGTTATGACCCATATATAGCCAACAGCTGTGGAAAGCGTTTAGGCAGGAGAAAGGATGAGTACAGGTGCTTTCTAGGAAGATAGTTCTGGCAACTACGTGGATTGGGTAGAAGCAGGTAGATAAAAGCAGGGAGATCGGCAGGGAGGCTTTTTCCATCAACCAGGTGAAAATAATAGGGTCCGAAAATAGAAGAGCATATTCAAGAGGCCTGTGAGAGATGAGTAGACAGGTTCATCCAAGAAGACAGGCTGAAGGGTTGCCACTCAATCAGGGTGTGAGAGGGGACAGTGTGAGGGAGAGGGAATGAGGTCTTTGGGGGAGAAAAGACCTTTGTGTATCCCTTACATCTCTTTCTCTCCATTGGAACTTCTTCTAATGGGCTACTTAGAGGTGCCCATGGGCCATGGAACAAATTGGGGCTGAAAGGAGAAGGAGGACTGCCTGAAGGCACAGCTCTGTGTGGCAGATCCCTGAAAGGGACTCTCAGGACAGTCTCCCCTTGGGATTAGAAAGGTATGCATGTCAGGAGCTCTTGGAAGCACTTGAACTTTCTAGAGGCCGCCATGTTGGAAGGCTGTTGTTTGCCATTGGGCACCTGAAGAGTGACACAGCTGGTTTTCTTTTCCTCCTGGTTGCTGCACCTTGAGACTGTGGTGCTATGATTGGATCAGTTCATCCTCAAGTGGAGAATAACTGGAAGTGTGCCAATGTGTCCCAGTGTTACCTGGGATCTGACAGCCCCTGAAGCCATTGTACATCCAACTGGCTTCGACAGAAGCTCCCAGTCAAGACTGAAACTTTGATGCTTCTTGTGCACAGCTTCCTGGCTCCCCCAGATGTGTTTCCCATCAGTCCCAGTGCCGAGCCCAGAGCCTGGTTTTCTGCAGGCACTCAGAGCATGGCTGTTGACTGAATGCATGAGCCTCCCTGTTGCCTGCCGCTGGGGCTACCACCTCAGAGACCTTGCAGGAAGTGAGGGTGATTGATGTTTGTAATGACCTCATGGTGTTTTGACAGTCTTCTCATATGTGCAGTCACAGCTCTGTCCCTTTCCAACCCAAATCCAGCCTGTGCCAGGCATCAGGTCTCTGAAACGAGGGCCAGGTTCCCCTTGGTGTGGATTCATGAGCCTCCCTTTAAGCTGTCACTGTCCGGTTCTTATGCAGGCTCTGTTTTCACAAGACCCAGTCTTTCTCCTTGATTTTCCACATGAAGGACAGAAAAGATTGTGAATAAGCTCAGAGCAGAAAGCTCTGATCTGACATTAGCAGTGTCAATACCACATTGAAAACAGTGGCTTGCCCAGTGATGGTGAACACTCTAAGGTGGCTCGGTTTTCGTAGGACCAAGCACAGCTGCTTGGCTAACGATTTGGTTTTATTTCCTCCTCTCATGTTGTTTGTGGCATCAAATGAGGATATTTCCACTTTGAGAGTGTCCCTCTCCCCAACGTGGTGCCATTTGGTTTATATGCCTTGATTGACTTCCATCTGCTGCCACACAGGACACCTCCTCACTCTTGAGCTTTTCAAACAGATGGTCAGAAATGAGAGCCAAATTTGAGAAACAGTCAAACGAAGTGAGAACATGGGGCTGGGAGTCCAGGGGCCAGAATCCAGGCTTGGATGAGCTACTGACTGATTGTGTGGTCCTGAAAAATTGCTGAATGTTTCTGGGCATCCGCTATTTTGCATATTAAAATAACAATAACAACAACAACAACAACCCGCAATCCTTTCTTACGCTAAGATTTAAATGGGAGAGAACAGGGTTTCAGGAAGGGAAATGGAGAAACGGTTTGTTTGAATTTCTTGTTTAAATGAGAGTATGCCTCTGTTTACACCCCTGGGGAGTCTCGGCCTGTGTGGTTTTTACAGATATTTGTATGTGTTAATTCCCCTTGAGCTAAACACAAGTCGTTCCGTTGATGGCAACTAGCTTCAGACACAGTTGGAGTCCCCAGAGGGTTGGCCAGGAGCAAAGTGTGTACCCACGTGAGGCCTTTGGAGATGATGCCGTCAGTGAGAGGAATCTGCCCTGGCATTCCAGGGCCAGAATTAGTTGGGGCATGGATGGAGACTTGGGATCCTGTTGTCAACCACAGAGGTCTCCTGATGTGGCTCTGCAGGGACTTTTCAGTCTTAGCTCAGCTTTCCAACAGGTCCACCTTCTCCCCTAGACCCTGGGGACCCAGTCCCTTTCCCCTTCTGTAATCCTCAAACCACCCACGCCATCACTTGGGGTCTCCTGTCCTGAGACTAGATATGAGGAGGCCCCATTTTCCCAACTCAACCCTGATGGTGGGTTCCAGCTACACCAGGTATGGGTAAATCTTAACAGTTTTACTAATTTTTAAGATAGGGAGAGGTGATAAGAATGTTCTGTGAGTTGTATATTTGGACTGAGGTCAAAATGAAGGCACTTCCAGAAGGTGAAATGATGAATACAAGAAAAAAGACGATGGACCTTTCTTTCACATTTACAATATGCCCAACAGAAGGCCAGGTGTGGGAATTCTCTCATCCACCTGTAAACTATCCCTGTCTCACAGATGGGGAAACTGAGCACACCTGTTAAGTGGTAAAGCTGGGATTTAACCCCCAATGTGCAGACTCTAAGACCCCAGCACAGCATCAAGAAGGGGCCTGGTCAATGCACCCCTGAATTTGGCATGTCTGAAGCACTGAACTCTCCCTGCTGTTGGGGCTATAAGTCTTTTCTTTAGCCTGGGACAGCAATTAGGCTTTGTCTTGCTTATCAGCGCAAGTGAGAAAGACCGTGAAGGCACACTGGGGGGCCCTGGGGACGGGTGTTGTGTTTGATGAGTGACATCTGCCTGGAGTTTGAAAAGGGGAAGTGAGGGATGTTTGCTTTATATTTCATGGCTGTGCTATAAGATTCGAGGCAGTCCAGTCCACAGCTGCAGCTCCCCCACCCTCACCTGCTGGTGCTTACCCACTAGTGCCACCTGCTCTTGAGGGTGGCATAGGGTCTTTTCTTGTTTGGGCCTCAGATTCTCATCTTTTGGGCTTCTGGGTGAAACTGTCACCAGGGCAGTCCCCTCTGTCACAGTCTCAGCTGGCATCCCTGAAGAGTTCTGCTTGTTGCTCCTGTCCTCTCCTCTTAAGACCCAAGAGGACAGTCTCCAGCATCCTCTGCTCCAGACCCGCAGCCTCTTGCCCCATGAGCACTTGGAGCCATCCATGTCCCCAGCCACTACACCTCAATTCAACACATTTGGATATTCTGGCCTCTATTTGGAGGGGAGGGGGCAGGAGGTGTGCACATTATTCTGACATCAGCAGCCTGGCCCAACAGGGTGGCCGGTTCTTTAATATTGTCTTGATTCACTAATTACATTTTATAAGTAGTTGGAAAGATGGTTACTAAATAGGAAAGGCTCATTGTCTCTTGTCTTTGATTCTTCCCACCTCTTTGAACTAGGTAGGGTGGGTGCTTATGTTTCTGGTTCCCACATAGTAAGCAGACTAGTTGGGACAGACTCAATAGGCCCACTTTTCTCCAGCTCAGAAAGTGATCTCGCAGGGCCTGTGGCAGAAGCAGTGTTTTCCTATGTTTGGGCTCAGCTTTTATCATCAGATTGGGATATATGAAGTTCTGGAATATTCTTGAGCTGTGAACTGTGAGCTTGAGTAAAATAGATCCTTTGATCTCCATTTGGGTCTGCATGTATTCCCCACCAGCTAAAGAGGGAGGAAGGAGGTGTCATCAGCACCCCAGCCTGCTCACATCTTACCTATGGGCTGTCATAACAAACTTGTGATGTAGGTTTGAGAGGTCTTGATATCACCATTTATAGGTGAAGACAATAACTAAGAGTTAACTGTGTACCGGATGGGCATTGTACCACTATGAAGTGTGTGTGTGTGTGTGTGCATGTGTGCGTAAAACTTCATTTAATAACTCACAACAAACCTATGGTAGCATTACCTTCAATTTATAAATGAGGAAACTGAGGCTCAGCAAGGTTAAATGATGTGTCAAGAAAAACACATAGTAGTGAATAGCTGAACCAGGAAAAAAATGTACAATTCCTAACTTCAAGGCCCAAGCCCTTTCCCCCACCCTCGGTGAAGCAGGCATTATTTTCTCCTCTTATTCTTGTAAATGTTAATAAGAATTTCCAGGACAGGGCTGGGCTAGAAAGTCCTCTGTCTGACCTGCTATTTAAACCACTCCAAATGCTGAGCATTGGCCAAGCCACAGCATGCATGGCCATGGTTCAAACAAGTAAGCAAAGCCATTGCGCCTTCTCATTAGCATTGGGAGGAGAACAAAAGTGAGAGAGGCAAAGTGTCCATCAGCGATTTCACTTTGAAGCCAAGGCCCTGGATTTGCATCTGGCCAGATCTCTCAGATATCATTCAGGGCACAGAATGGGTGGCAAGATGCAGGATGACCCCTCGGGCTTTAAGAATGCTCCCCTTTCCCCAACTAAGATCTGCAGATAGCTCTCCTGTGCTGTTGCTCCGACTGTCCTCTGACCATCACAGACTGCCCGAGGGCACATTTGTCTGTTATTGCCCAGGCAACAGAAACATCTGAGATAAAGAAAAGATTGTGGGCACCTGGCCTTCTCTGTTTGTATGACATACAGACTCACCTTTTAGACTCTCCCACCTACAATTGTACAAATTGTTACTTAGGAACTTCACCATCTGCACGTCTTTCTTCTGTGCAACTCCATCCAATCATTTTCATTCATTTAGTGTTAACCATCTCCTTCTGCATGCTAGGCTGCTTTATGCATGGTAGGGAATTAAAAATATATGTGATCCTACTCTCAAAGATCTTATATTTTAGATAGTGTATTTTCTCCGGATGCTACAAATACTGCATTATTTACAAAACTCATTTGCTGTCAAGTTACCAGTCTGGGCATTTTTGTTGTCTGTTTGGGTTTATTCTGCATGCAGCTCTTTTCTCTCATTTCCCCTGCCGCCTTCCTGGTGCATAGTAACCTTTAGTGGCCTTGGCTTCTATGAGGCTTCTACATCTTGCCTTAGGGTAAGCAAAGGGCTACTTTAGAATAAGCTGGTCAGTACCAAGAATATCACTTAACACTTTTTGGTGCTGTCTTTTGTGGTCATAGCAAGGGTTTTCCTGGATTTTCAGTGTACAAACCAAGTTATAGGTTTATGCAGCAACTCATGATCAGAGCGAGTCTTGCAGAGAACTAAGACCTGAACTTGAGCTATAGTCTCTTGGCTTTTAAATTATGCAGGCCTCAAATTGCAGAGCCTCCACCTTTCGCTGTTATAATTAGGGTATAATAAGTATTATATAATCATATGTGCCAGACTTGGGGCAGAGGCCACAGTCATAGGCAAAATTTGGCCCACAGAAGTCATGCATTTGGCCTTCCAGGGATGGATGCCTTTAACTGTGGCATTCATGCTTCAGTGTGCCCTCCAGTTGGCCACAGTCCCTACTGCTCCTTATTGCCTCTCACCCAGCCTCTCCCTTCATTTCTTAGCTACCTGTTCCCTGATGGGTTTGAGTTTTCACCTTCTGTTTAGCATAACATCCTCATTTAATCCTCTTAATAACTCAAAAACATTTTATGGGTGAGGAAACTGAGGCCCATTTAGAGGTTGTGTTACTTGTCCCAAGTCCTACAATAAGAAGCAGGACTGAGGATGGGTTTACTCTTTCTAAGGTCATAGTTCCTGCCCTTTCACTCCATGGTGCTGCTTCCAACCTGCTTCTTTATCCATTAGACAAATCACTACCATGCACAGCAGTGGGCCAGGTCTCACCTGGGGATAGGTGACGTGTCCCCAGTGATGATTTTGTTCCACCATTTGAAGCACATGATTAACTCAGTTCTTTTTACCTGATATGAGAAAGGGAGAGAAAGAGAGAAAATACCACTCTGTCCCTAAGGTGGTCACCATGGGAGTGAGTAGTGGGAGAAGGGAAACTGGCTTATAAAGAGATACTGCAGTATAGCCTGATAGTTTTCAGTCCAAAGTCAACGACCTGCACAGCATGTTAAACTTCCTGAAGTGGGCGGATCACCTGAGGTCAGGAGTTTGAGACCAGCCTGGCCAACATGGTGAAACCCTGTCTCTACTAAAAATACAAAAATTAGCTGGGCATGGTGGTATGTCCCTGTAATCCCTGCTACTTGGGAAGCTGAGGCAGGAGAAACTCTTGAACCCGGGAGGTGGAGGTTGCAGTGAGCCGAGATCACACCACTGTACTCCAGCCTGGGAGACAGAGCGAGACTCTTTTTCAAAAACAAACAACAACAACAAAAAACTTCCCCCAGGAAAATCCATTGCAAACCACCAAACAGATTATATTAGGAAACATATTCCTTTGCTACTGAGAATTAGGAAAGGATGCATCTACATACCTGAGACTTGGAGAAATTTTGACAAAATTATCATGGAGAGGAGACTAGAGTGAAAAATCTCCTCCCTCCATCTCCCTCAAAACTGTGGAATTCCCAAGCTGGCAAAATTAATTTACTGTCAGTTTATCAGTTTGGCATTCCTGTAGCAAATCTAAATTATCCCCATCTCCCCTTCCCCATCTCTGAAAGATTTGAAACAGTCTCATACCACCTCTGTCAGAATCCTAAGTAGATAGATCCAGTTGAAATATTTGAATGTGAGGCATGAAGGAAAAAAGTCATTATCAAAGGGTTAAAAAAAGGATTTCATGTGAAGAAAAGTGCTTTGGTTTTCCCCAAGACTTCTTAAGAATGCAGGCCGGGTGTGGTGGCTCACGCCTATAATCCTAGCACTTTGGGAGGCCGAGGCAGGCAGATCACCTGAGGTCAGGGGTTCGAGACCAGCCTAGCTAACATGGTGAAACCTCGTCTCTACTAAAAATACAGAAAATTAGCCCGGTGTGGTGGTGGATGCCTGTAATCCCAGTTACTCGGGAGGCTCAGCCAGGACTATCACTTGAACCCAGAAGGTGGAGGCTGCAGTGAGCTGAGATTGTGCCACTGCACTCCAGCCTGGGTGAAAGAGTGAGACTCTGTCTCAAAAGAAAAAAAAAAAATGCCGAATGCCACGCAGCAGTCCCAGAATCCAGAGGTGAAAAGTCTGGTCCAAACATCCCATTGTCCAAAATAATAAGGCAATACACAATTTGAATCATTTGATCATAGAGCTTGATTTGAAAGACATATTTTGAATACTAGAAGGGTTGTTCATTCCTTAGAATAAACCTATGGCTAATCATTTGTAAAGTGAATATTCTTATATAATGAATTTTTTCTGGTGATGTAAATATATACTTCCTAGCCTATTTATGAATTTCACACATGGAGTTTTCTAAAAGCAGGGCGTAGTGGAATTGAATCTTCTAAGAAAAATAGCAGGCACTTTGAGATGACAGGAACTGGTTTTCTTCCTCTTGTTTTTCTCAGTCTGTGTTGTAGGTGCTGTAATTAAAAACCAGGCTTTGGAACAGGTCTCCACTGGAGTGGTCTTGAGTAGACTTACAAATGGCTGCAATGCTTCCAATGGCAGTTGATCTGTGTGAGCCAGGAGTGGGGTAGAAATCTGGGGACTGGAATTTCAGTCTGAGTTCAGGATTGCTCATCTGCAACTGGCAACAATGGCCTCTTCCTCTTTTCCCTGCACAGAAAGTGGTCTGTGAAATTAAAGTGGAGAACAGCTGCTAGGAGCTCATGCTGGGGACCCACAGTGGAGGCCACATTTTGTGATCCCAGAGGGATTCCCAAACCCACCTGACAGCTGCTCCAGGCCTTCTCTGTTCTCCTGATCCCTGCCCTGATGGAGGCCTGACCCATCTGGCCAGAGTGCCTTCAACTCCCACCTTGAAATACCTGTCACCGCCCACATCCCTGGCCTTCCTCAGGACTTAGAGGTTGAGGGGCTTGTCTTTCCCGCTTGGGCCCTTCCCTCCCACTCCTTCCGTCTTCTGGGTTCCTGATACCTGAGCACCCTCATACGATTCCTGATCCTCATTCAGCTGCTGCTGTTGCTCAGCTGATGCCTTTGGGAATGAGATGCCTGCCTCTGCCACCCTTAGCTCCCTGTCACACGGTTCCTCATTAGCTCCTGCTGTCTCACTTCCACCTTTGTGGTTCCACAGAGCCTCTCCTTTTAAAAGCTACCCACATTTTTCATCCTTCTGGACCGCCCTGCCATGTTGGGCACCCCTTAGATCAGTTCTCAAACCATATTCCACGGAACCCTAGGATTTACACAAAGGTTTCTCTGGAGTTTTGAGGAAAGGAGGTAATAAGCTGGTCTTCACCCTATTTCAGCCAGTGCAACTGCTCTTATCAATTAACTACTGGGATGTTATGAGGAGTTTCTTAGAACAGAGATTTGCTGCACAGGCTCTGGGCCTAATGTAGATGCACCTAGAAGGCCTGCTCTGGGGCTGTGCACATCAGAGGCAGGAATTTCTGCAGGTTGACCAAATACCTTTAAGGAGTATTGGGTTTTTATGGGGAGTATAGGAAGGCTGGTAAACCAACGCTTCCTTTATGCAATTTCCCCAAATCTTACTGTGCAAATCTCTTCTCACAAATCTCCAGGCAGTTATCTTGGGACTGATGCTTCTTGACCTAGTACCATAGAAGGGAGGTAGCGGGTGTGTGTGTGTGTGTGTGTGTGTGTGTGTGTGTGTGCGCGCATGTCCTTCCAATAAGCAACCAGGCCACTGCTCCAGAGGTTCTGACCACTCCTAACCCAGTTTTTATGTTATAAGGGGATCTGGGACCGCTCTACACAAATGACTCCTTGTCTCACAATTCCTCATGGGCCAAGTTTCCTGGTCCAGGCTGATGGCTGGTCACTTTTACATCCGCCCATAAACTTCCTTTGTTCAACCCTCCTATTGGTCATTGGCTCAGCATTTTGTAATTTACTTTTTTTCATATTTATCTGTTAGCAACAAGACACAGTTCAACTTCCTGCAGTCATTACTGTAATTAGCATAAAGCAGCAGCCCCTGACTGTGAGCATGATTCCTGTAGTAGCCTGTATCCACAGTTCTTTGTCTCTTACAGTGTCAGACTGAGCCCAGGATGGAGTAAGAGCCAGGACTGGCATGCCCTGGAAGTGCCCTTCTGGTTCTAGGACTGTGATTTCTCTGAGCTGTCTGTCTGCCCACGACTAAGGATGGCCCCAGAGCCCTGGAGCTCAATGGGATCAACCTTCCTATCCCCTCCCTCCTGCCTCGAGGGTACTTTGAGCAGGAAAGGGGCACCTTGGAGTTGCCGGGGGATGAACGTCTTTGTGTTTTTGTTTTTTTTAAGGTGACTCCCTGCATTTTATTTCTTTCATCTTGTGAGCTCTTTGGAAGTCTTTGTGTTAACTGGAAATAAAATTATCTTTATTTTTAAGCTATGTTTTTAGCTTATCTAATCATGACCCCATGGGCTGAGTAATGTTACTAGATAGCAAGGTGTGGAGGATGCAGATGACCTGGTTCAAGCTGTGGTTCTGCTACCTGCTTGTTGTATGACTAGGCACATCTGTTAACTTCTCTGAGGCTCAGTTTCCATACCTGTAAAATGGGGGCAATAATATCTGCTTGTATCCATTAAGTCATTCAACATGTACTGAATGTTTTATGTGTATTTTGCCTATATTAATCATGTACTGGGTCCAGCACTGACCCCCTGGAGTTCACATGTAGGCAGAAGTAAATCAAGAGGCAGTTACCGTGCTGGGAGATTATGTACTGTTAGTTTTGAGAACCTTGGTCTAGCCTTCCAACCTACCTTCCAACCTGGAAATTTGGGAGGTGTGGGAAACGGGTGACCTCAGGAGACTGATAGGACTCCGCGTGTTTGAGAAAGAACTGGCTTTTGGTCTAGGTAGGAGGTAGAGAGCACTTTCCGTGAAGGTGTTGAGGTTTAGGCAAGGTTGTGAATTATAGAACAGGAGCTCTGGAAGGTATCGTGGGAGAGGCTCAGAGAAAGCATGGGTGGCTGGGGGATTGGGGGAGGATAGAGAGAGCCTGTGAGGATGTCTTTCTGGCAGTGTCTAAGGTCACGTGACAAGCAGAGCTCGATGGGCTCAGTGGGCCACGGCACTTCCCAAGCCGCTGATTCCAGTTTCACAGTGGGCACAGGAGTGCAGATTAGGGCTAAGTTGGGGGGACAGGATGCACAGCGTGTTGGCTCAGGATCTCTGGGAGGTGGCACCTGTGACCTGGGCTAATCATGCTACTTTCAGAGTCAAGCAGCAAGCCAATGGGTAGGGAAAGACCAGCCTCTCTGAACTGGGTCCCACGTGGAGATAGTGAATACAGGGCACCGGTGAGCATTCCAGATGACTCCAAAGCCCCGGCTGGAGTATCCAGGTTCCAACTGTATCTCCTTACAGAGACCTGCAGCTCTGTGTGTCCAGAGGGGTTCATGCTGGGCAACTGTGGTGGTGAAGGTCAGGTGTCCTCAAGCTGACCACAAGTCACAGCTTGTTGTCTTTCTTGTCAGAGGGACTCTGGGTGCAGCTGCTGGCCACTGGGCTCATTCAAGGGCGTTAGTGCCAAATTCCTTCTCCCTGGCCTTCCTCACGTTGATCTGTGTACAAATGGAGCTGCAGGGGAAAGGTGGGTTTCCAAAAGGAGTGACAGTGAGGAAGAGACCGAGATAGAAAGAACCTGTTGCAAACATTTCCCATCTTTTGTCATTCAAATGGATACTGTTTTAAGTATCACCTGTTCTGGTCATAAAAGACAAGAATGTGTTTGTAGAAGCTTCTAGGATGCCTGGCATACACCATGCAGGAAGCACCCTTCCAAGTCGGCTGGCCTGCTTTTGTTTTGCAAAATCTGGTTTGAAAATTTTGCACTTTCCATATTTAGCAACATTTCAGTGGGTGTGAATTTATATTGCTACAGCCATGGCTAAAAGTAATTCACTCTTTGATCTATGTTGCCTATGTGTTACTATACAGACAGGACTTCAGGTTTCTGGAGCTTTGGTTTAAAATAAACTCTGTGTGTGTGTGTGTGTGTGTGTGTGTGTGTGTGTGTGTAAGAGAAACAGACAGACTCTAGGGCATTGCTAGTTCCAATTGGTGGGACTTGCTTGTGACCTGTTTGGTCCAAAAGTTGGTCAAAACTGTAGATTTGCAAATCAGCAGGATTCACTCCCGGCTCTCATTTTGATGTTTCAAATGAGTGCATGTTGTGCATTTGAATTAGATCGGAATGAGTTTTGGGGGTCTCACTGAGACACTCATACATGTCAGGATTTGCCACTTTGGAAGCTGGAGGCAGTTAATATGTCCATTAACCCAGGGTATCAAAGTGGCAGCTCATGAGTCAGATGTGGCCTGCAGTTGTTTTGTTCAGCCCATGCAGTCTTTTAAAAATCTGGAAAATTCACATTAAAATCCAGATATTCCAGGTATCTCTTAAGGCTTAACTTTCTCAAAACTCAGTGATTTTAAAGAACAGTGACATTTATCTGTTTCTCAAATCTGTGATGTGGACAGAGCCAACTTGTCTCTGTTCTGCATCAGTTGAGAGGCTGGGGCTGGAAGCATCTGAGGCTCACTCACTCACATGCCTGGCAGCTGATGCTGGCTCTCAACCGAAACCTCCCCAGGGGCTACAGTGGCCTTTCCGTGTGGCTTTCTCACAGCATGTTGGCTGTGTTCCAATGGTGAAAGTCCACAGAGAGAGAGAGAGACCCCAGTGGAAGGCACATCATTTTTCTAAACGACTCTTGGAAGTTACACTTCTGCTCCATTCTGGTGATTAGAAGTCAGTCATTAAAGTTAGTCCATATGCACAGACAGGGGAATTAGACCCCACTTTTTTATGGAAGGACTATCAAAGAATGCAGACACGTTTTAAAACCAACATGCCAATCTCTCACTTCTCTTGGGAAATTCGGGGACCCAGCAAGATGTGGCCTGAGCAGTGGCTGCCCCTGTAGACAGGGCATGGGCCCTCCAGTTTGCTGGGTCCCCTCCACCCACCGAGATATTGCACCCAACCCCTGTAGGCATTTCAGCTTGGGTCTGCCACTCTAGGCTTTCCATATCTGAGGGTTCAGACTCACTTTTCAGCTCCTTCAATTTACAAGGAATTCTCATTTTTGAAACGTAAGAACTCAGAATTTACTCAGAAGTAAATTTTTTTCCTCCAAAGGAATCAGGTTATATCCAAACAGGTGATTTTTCTGAGAACCAAGCAACTCATTACCCATCCTTCCTTTGGGTATCAGAGATGCAGTTTGGAGGGCTGTGTGGGGGGCATGGGCAGAGGCAGTCAAGATGGCTCTACCCTCCTCATCATCATCATTTGTAGTAGGAGCAGCAGTACTGTCTTTTTTTTTTCTTTTTTTTTTTTTTGGACAGAGTCTCACTCTGTCACCCAGGCTGGAGTGCAGTGGCATGATCTCTGTTCACTGCAATCTCTGCCTCCCAGGCTCAAGTGATTCTCCTGCCTCAGCCTCCTTAGTAGCTGGGATTACAGGCTTGCATCACCACACCCAGCTAATTTTTTGTATTTTTAGTAGAGATGGGGTTTTGCCATGTTGGCCAGGCTGGTCTTGAACTCGTGTCCTCAAGTGATCTGCCTGCCTCAGCCTCCCAAAGTGCTGGGATTACAGACGTGAGTCACTGTGCTCAGCCTTCTTCAGCATTATTGATAATTGGGGCTGGATGACTTTTTGTTTTGGCGGGCTATTCTGTGCATTGTAGGGTGTTTAGTGGCACCCTTGGCCTTCATCCACTAGGTGCCAATAGCACCCCCACCTCCCAGTTGTCTCCCAAAATGTCTCCAGACATGGCAATATGTCCTGAGGGGGTTGGAAAAAGGGTAAAATCACCCCCAGTTGAAAGCCACTGATTTCTCTATGTATTCTGGATAGGAACCCTTTGTCAGTTAAATATTTTGCAAATATCTCCTCCCACTCTGCAGCATGCCTTTTCAGGCTCTTAAAGGTGTTTTTGATGAACAGAAGTTCTTAGTGTAGTCCAGTTACCAATCTTTTTTAAAATTGTTAGTCCTTTTTTATTTCTGTTTTACACATCTTTGCCTGTCCTACCTTTTCTTCTGGAAACTTTATTTTTGTCTTTCACACTCAGAGCTACCATCTACATTGGGATTGACTTTTTGCATGGCCAAAAGTAGAGTCAGGCTTCATTTTTAAAATATGGCTATTCAATTGACTCAGCAACTTTTATTGAAAACATTACTCTTTCCTTATTGCCCTGGGGAGCCACAGCTGTCATAAATCAAATGTCTATAATCCGTGTGGCTGTCTTTTATTCTGTTTCATTGGTCCATTTATGTATCCTTGTAACAATACTACGCTGTCTTAAAGACTTAGCTTTAGCATATGTCTTGAAATCCAGGAGATTAAGGCCTCCCACTTTGTTCTTTGAGATTGTCTTTACTGTTCTTGGCCCTTAGCAGTTTCACACAACTTCTAGAATCACCTTGTCAGTTTCCATTAAGGGAAACATAGTGGCGTTTTGTTTGGGATTCTCCCTATCAGTTTGGAAAAAAAACCAAATATTTACAATATTGAGTCTTCCAATTCATGAAGATAGGATCTATCCATTATTTAGGCCTTTGAAAATTTGTCTCTTTCTCAAAAAAATATTTTTTTGCTTTAAAAAAAAGAGCATGTGGCAGCTTCTTATATTACTCAAGTGTTGTTATTTTTCAAAATAGGGATTGTTTGCATTTTTAGGAGATTATGTTTCTTGGACTAAAAACTATTCTGAGTCCTCATTGCAGAGAGAGAGAGAGAGAGAGAGAAAGAGACAGAGAGCAAGAGAGCATGCAGCCAAATTTCTTAGCTTGGCATTCAGTGGGTTTAGCAAGCTAGCTCCAGCCCGCCTCCTGCCCTCCTTCTTCCTATCTTATATATCTTTTCTTTTGGCCCTATGAAGCTACTCCAAGTTCCCCCAATTCACCATGCTTTTGCTCCTACTGTCCTCTCTGCCTGGAATGTCAGGAAGGGCTTCATGGAGAATGTAGTACCATCGCTGAGTTCCAAAGTAGGAATTTCTAGGCAGAAACAAGGGAATACCCATGGGCCACCAATGCCTAACCAGGCCCAAGACAGGGTAGGAGCTCAATCAGTATCTGCCCACCTGGGATATTTGTCAGGTCCCGGGTCTGGGTGATAGGCAGGGGCCCCGCATGGCCACCCTTCAGCCTGCAGGGGCAGCCAATCTCTGCTTTTCTGGCTCAAAGAAGGAAGCAGTTTGTCTCAAACATGTGGAATCTACCAGCCTGTCTTTCCGTAGTCTGCATCCACGGGGTGCCCACAAAGTCTGGAAACAGATATTATTTTGTTCATTACAGATTGGAAATGTCCTTGAGGACATTGTGTATGTTCACCTGTGTGTCCAGGGTTGGTGGGCACCTGGGATTTCTTAGGGGTTTCCTCTTTCTTAGGGACCTTGCAGGCTGGTGCTATGATCATCCACAGTCTCCCTTCTCCCACGGTCTGTTTCTCTCTGCCTCACTGTTGCCACAGACAGTCTGGACAGATTACAGCTTTGCCCCAACTTGAACCATGGATTTTTCTTTTCAAAATAAAACATAATAAAATTTTGGTGAAAATGGAAATATCTACATGTTTATTTTTAAGTGTTTTTTTTTTAAATGTTAAGTTTTTTGGTTGGTTGGGAAACATCAAAATAGGTCATGTGTAACTTGGTTTGCTCATAAAAAAAAAGTGGCTCATACTTGGTATATTTAGAGATGAGACGGAAGTGATTTTTTTTTTTTTTTTTGTATTCAGTTTTTCTCTATTTTTCTTTTTAAACCAAAAAGTGCTTGGAAAATTTCTCCACCCTATCCACTGTTAGTGCATTTTCCTGGCCTTAAAATTCTGGTAAAGCCTTCTGTTGCCCAAACTGAAGAGTTAAGTGTGCTGAGCTTGGCTTGACCTTCAGTTCTGCTTCTCTAAGAGCGAAAAGGCATCTTTTTCAGGACTGGTGCTATTAATGGGCTGAGGAGGACAGTGTTCCGAAGGGCAGAAAAATGCCTTCCTCTGTGAGAAATTAAGGCAGTGATTTCAAACAAATTGTTTCGCCAGTGTCTGGCATCCCTGCGGGTTGTCTCTGGTTTTCGTCCACTTGTACCAAATGCATTCATGAACATGGCAGACATTTTGCTGAAGGTCTCACAGGGAAGGACGGCTTGGAGACACACATTCCGTAAAAAACAGCTTGAAAACCTTCCTCAAACGTTTCTGTTTTCCATAGTTCCTTTTGCCATAGCGTCCAATCCTATGAGTTCTTTTGTTTTTCCTTTTCCTCCTGGATTTTCTGCCTCCTTACCTCCTGGGTTTTCTGCCTCCTTACCTCCTGGGTTTTCTGCCAGCCTTACCCTCTACCTCCATCACATCCAAAGGCCTCCTGCTTATTATGCAGAGAAATTTGGTCTGGTGTCAGCTTCCACGCCCAGATTTTAATTTTTTTATCCAACAGGGCATTCAGCAAATGAAGACCCTGCAGTTACCAGGACCAGAGCAGTAGGAAGTTATAAGTGATATTTTGCAGCAAGGCAGAATAATGTGATAGGATTGTAAGGGCTAAGCAGTGGAGTCCTAGAAGATGTCCTGAGCCCCTGGCTGCCTTGAGTTCTATTTTGGAAACGTTATTTCTAATTTCTCCCCAGTCCCTAGCTCCCAACTACCAGAGCTGGCCCCAGAACCACTCTCCCCTTCACTGGGAACAGACCCACATCCAACATCCCTATTCTATCTGCAATCATCTGCTGACTGTGGTCTAAGGGATGTGTCTGGCCCCCAGCACAGGCCCTGAGGCCAAGGAGAAGATGAGGTTGCTAAAACTCCAGGGCACTACCAGGCCCTCCTCAGTTATCTGTGGTTGCTCAGAATGATTTGCTTCATAAGCACTCCGAGACGCACAGATGGGGGAGAGTGATGTCATACCAGATTCCATGCTTGATAGACAGACAGATGGATATGCAAATGGAATGAACGAGAGAGATGGGAGGGGTGTAAATGATGGGTGGTGGAGTCTAGAATCAGGTAAGCAGAGGGTTTCCCAGGCTCCTTTGGAAGAGGAGTTCAAAATGACAAGACGCAAAGAACACCATTCTTTATGGCAACCTGGTACAGAACACAGGCACCAGCTCATGTCTGTCCTCACAACACCCTTGAGAGGTCACTGGAGCTTAGGAAACCAAGGGTTGCCCAGAAACATACAGTCAAAACTCAGATTCTAATGCCAGAGTTCCAGCCACTTCACCAGACTGCCTCCAAGAAGTTGCCACTGGTTGGCTGGAAGTCTTGTTCCAAATACTATCTGATGATATTTTCCTTCTTCCCCATCTGCCTTCCTTCAAGAGGAAGTAAACAGATATTCTAGAGCATCTGAACCAAGCATCTTTGCATTTATTTGGGGACATTATTAGTGTCATTTCTTTTCATTCAAGATGCCAGCTGTTGGGGGCAAAGTTGCCCCGCTGAGCTCATGGTATAGACATGGGCAGTTGCTAAAGTAATCCCTCCCCACCTGGAGGTTTCACCTTGCATCCCAAATACCACCCCTGCACAGACTGGGGTCTCTCATTGCTTTCCTCTGTGCCCTCCACTGGCCACACCAACTTCCTTGTTTACCCATCTTAGGTGAGAACACCCTTTCTCCCATGGACTCCTACCAATGCATTTCCCACTCTGCCCCTCTGGCTGTCCCAGGTGTGCTGTATGCAACAGCCCCCCCAGGTCTCTATGCTGCTGTTCCCTGCCCCAGACTCTCTGCTTGTCCAGACCCTGACCTGCGATGTGGAAGTGTGATAGAGGAGAGGGAATTCCAGGCAGAGTAGGAGCGGAGATGACCCATCCACATGCGTTCCACTCGCAGGGAGCGGAGGGTGGGGACGAGTCATTCATAGGGACTCCACACCCAGCTGGCTGGAGCAACGGGTCTTGCAGGTGAGCCCAGCCTGTCAGGACCCTCCTTCCTGGCAGGGACCCTGCTGGCCCGTGGGTGATGCCTTTCTCCTTGGCGCTGCCTCCAGAACTGTGGCGAGGCAGCCGTTTTCAAATGTTTGTTTGGGTTTTCTGGAAGCTCTTTGAAGTTGGAATGAAAAATCTGCCTAGTGGTTCTGAAATGGCCTCTCTGGCTCAGCAGGCCTGGGTCCTGCATCATTCCCTTGGTTCAAGGCTGAGTGCAATGCCACCACCCATTGCTGCCCAAATATGATGGTTGGATTGAAGTTCCCAGATATGTCATCAGGCCCCTTTAAGAAGTTCTCTTTCCTCTATGTTGTTCTACGCGCCTCATCCACCTCACTAGTCAGGAGGTCCTTGATGATAAAACCCCCCGTGTGATTTGTCTTTGTATTCCCAAGACCTATCCCAATGCCCTATACTCAGTGGCAACCACTATTGACACAGCTCTTTAAAATTCATAGAGTACTTCCATGTTCTCTCTTCAGAAGTATAAGGAAGGCATTCCCATTTTGCAGACGAGCACACTGAGGTTCAGACAGGTTGGGCAACTTGCTTTCAGTGACTCAGCTAGGACGGGGCAGACTGAGTATTTGACCCTGTGTGGCTCCAAAATCTGTGCTCCCCGGCTTCTGCCCTGCTTTCCCTGGACAGCCAAAGCGCTCCGTGCATGTTTGGTGCTGAGGTATTAGGGGGTTTAAGTCACAGGGTGTCCAGCACTCAGGAGCTGAGGCCACCCGCAGGCGTCTTGGTTGGCAGCTGAGCCCTCTGAGGTAACAGGAAATAGAGGCAGCGGGACTCAGGCTGGGGTTGAGGTGTTCGGGGTAGCAGGAGAGGAGGAGAAGCTGCTGAAGTGGTGGCAGCCACACTCAGTGAAGTAAGAGGCGCCCCTGCCCAGCGGCCTGAAAGCCACTTCTCCTCAGCCAGCAGGAATCGCATTCCATAGCACAGGAAGCCTCTGTTCAGAGGAGGTCCAGTCAGGAGTGAAGGCTGTGGAGTCAAGGCCGTGAGTGTGTGTGTGTGTGTGTGTGTGTGTGTGTGTGTGTGTGTGTTTAATTTGTGGCTTCAACAGAGGCCAGACTTAAGAATGAATGAAAGAGACAAACAAGGGCAGCTTGTCCCAAGTGGGGGAGGGAGAAGTGTGGACACCAGCTTCTGAGGGAGTCAAGTGCAAAGTCCTGGGCTCCCTGCAAACCGGGCCCTGCAGGAGGGCCAGCACCCGCAGCAGCAGCAGCGAAGCCGGCCAGACCTCCTGGCCTTCCTCACAGCAGAAGGGTGGGCCTTCAGCAACGGGGCCCTGTGCAGTGGGAAAAGGCAACACTGTGCTTGCCTTTGTGGCTAACAGGGGCTGTGCTGCAAATGCTTCAGGAGAGCCCCTGCAGGCTGAGAGGGACATTAGAAAGTTCCATCCTCTTCATCTGCCCACCTCCCTTGGACTGTGGGCTGTGGGCTGCATGGGGCACAGGCACAGGGCTGGATGTGTGGGGCAATTCACCCTCCCAGGTGGTCATTCCTTCTGGCTTTTTATTTGTCCAATATTCCTTCAGTCTCGATTATGTCCCAGGCAAAGTGCTAGACACGCCACACACATTTTCTTCCCTTGCCCTCACAACAACCCTAGCAGGTTGGCACTATCCACCGCATTTTATAGCTGAGGACACAGAACTGTAAAAATGAAGAAGTGACAAGTCCAAGGCCACCCAGCTGGGAAAGGTGGGGTGGGACTTGAAGCTGCTGAGTCTTTTTGAATCTCCTCCTCTAAGGGGCCCCCCAGGCCAGCAGGGAAGAGAAAGTCATAAGCACCCAATTCTGGTAGAAGGCAGAAAGTGGAAAGGGGGGTGTCTAAGTCCCAAGGTGCTTCCTAGGGGCTCGGAGGGTGGCCCCAGAAGACCCCGGGGGATCAGTGTTCTCCAGGAGTCTTGAAGGGCAAGTGTGATGTGGAAGTGTGATAGAGGAGAGGGAATTCCACACAGAGTAGGAGCAGAGATGACCCATCCACTCGCGTTCCACTCACGGGGCATGGAGGGTGGGGACGAGTCATTCATGGGGACTCCACACCCAGTTGGCTGGAGCAGCAGGTCTTGCAAGTCAGCCCAGCCTGTCAGGACCCTCCTTCCTGGCAGGGACCCCGGCTGGCCCACGGGTAATGCCTTTCTCCTTGGCGCTGCCTCCAGAACTGTGGCGAGGCAGCCGTTTTTAAATGTTTGTTTGGGTTTTCTGGAAGCTCCTTGAAGTTGGAATGAAAAATCTGCCTGGTGGTTCTGAAATGGCCTCTCCGGCTCAGTGGGCCTGGCTCCTACAGCATTCCCTGAAGAAGTAAACAGGCCCGTGCAGGGGGAAACTGCAGGGGCCACACTGCTGGACTGCTGGGTGTCCCTGGCCCGAGGCGTGGGAGGCCGGCCCTGGGCCCTGCAGCGCCCGAGTGTTTGCCCAGTTGCCCTGGACACACCAGCCTGGGGTGCAGGGACCACTGCCGCCTGAGAGGGAGTCCTAGGGGGTCCAGGACAGGAAGCCAGCGGTGTTTTATGTTACATTAGGAACACCAGCAGGCTTTCTGGAGTGGACTGAGCCTTGTGGTCAAGAAATAGGCAGGCTTGGAGGCTGTCGGGCTTCCCACCATGCAGCCACCATGCCTCACCTTCATTAGCTGACAAAGCAGTTCTCTGTCCTCACTGGCCACAAGGGGAGGAGGACACAGCTTTTGGAAACCTCCAGGCTGCTATCCTGGAACCTGGAGCCACGGCCAGGGACAGCTTGAGCGTCCCCTCCCCTCTCATCTTGTCCTCTGAGGGGTAGGCTGTGCCCCAGCTGAACGGGGCACCTGTGGCTTTGCCAGCTGATGGCTGCCATGTGGGAATTTGGACCTGGGTTGCCAGATCTTCAGATTTTCCAGCAAAGCTGGAAATCCAGATGTTTGTATGAAACTTCCCCAATTTAAAAAATGTTTAAAAACACTATGCAGGACGACCTATACACATCTGCAGGCCAGACTCGGTCCCTAGGCAGCCAGTTAGTGACCTCTACTCTCTGCCTTCAGACACCCAGGGCCACCTAAACAAAGGGCCCCCATGACAGTGATGGGTTGGGGGTGGAGAAAATGCTCTAGGAGAGACCCTGGAGTCCACAGGCAAGAAGGGCATGGGATCATCCTTTCCCTGCTCCTCCTAAAGGGCAGGCACTGCTCCACTTCTTGGTTCCCGTCCACTCTGTTGGTACAGACATGGGGGAAGCGGGCAAGGGATATGACTTCTAGAATTTGGACCTTGTTTCTCTCTCAGGCACTTCCACTTGCCCTTAACCTGATCTCCTGCTGGTTCAGTCCACCTGGTATGTTTATCAGGAGGCTCTTTCTTTTTCCTTCCTTCTCTTCTCTGTCCATGGCTTTCCCTCTTACAGGTCCTTGGTAGCTGCCGGAGCCCTCCCTCCAGGGGGTGTTGGCCAATGACAAGGCTGGGAGGCCAGGGCCGACCAATCAGAGCAGTTGGCCGTATTGCTGGGAATTAATAGCAACATTGCATATGGGGAAAGCATGAGATTTGGGATCACACAGACCTAGATTCAACGCCTTCCCTAACTGGCCAAAAGACCTTGAGACAGCTGCACAAATTTCCTGCAACTCTGTTCCTCATCTGTAAATGGTGATACTAATTCCTGGCGGGGATTACATACAAAGATGCATGGAAAATGCCTAGCACAGTGCCTGGGATATATTAAGAGCTCATCCATAGTTGTCACTGATTTGAGACAGTGACAACTATGGATGAGCTCTCAATATATTCTTGAGTTGCATGTCTATCAGAAGATGTGATGCCAGGTTCTCAACAGTCAACTTAGAAACACACTCTTGGAATAGAAACACGTTGGGTACCATTTGTACGTGTATTATATATGTATTTCCTTTTCATCTTTTACCTATTCTCTTTTAAACAGAGTGGTGGATTAAAAGGTAATGAATTACGCACAAAGTAGCTTCTCACTTCTCACTGCCTTTCATTTTTCTTCTCCTCCTACTTGGCCTTTCTCCCCCACCAGGACCTTTACTCTGGTCTTCTGTGTTTGCTAATTCATTAGTCAACAAATGTTTACTAAGCACAAAGACTCGTTCTTTGTTCTCAAGGGAGGGAGGCAGACAGATGATTGCAGCAAGGTTGAGGATAAAGAGAAATCCGGGGTTGGGTGCGGTGACTCACACCTGTACTCCCAGAACTTTGGGAGGCTGAGGCGGGTGGATCACCAGAAATCAGGAGTTTGAGACCAGCCTGGCCAACATGGTGAAACCCCATCTCTACTAAAAATACAAAAATTAGCTGGGCGTGGTGGCAGGCATCTGTAATTCCAGCTACTGGGGAGGCTGAGGCAGGAGAATCGCTTGAACCTGGGAGGCAGAGGTTGCAGTGAGCCGTGATTGTGCCATTGCACTCCAGCCTGGGCAACAAGAGCGAGACTCCATCTCAAAAAAAAAGAGAGAGAGAGAAATCCAGGATGTGGAGGGGCCTGGAGTGCAGAAGACATCTGGGAGATCTTAGAGAGAGGCTTGAGGTTTGAGAGAGAATAAGGGTCGTGGCAGCAGGAATGAGGAAGAGATGGATTCATGAGACCTGTAGAGGGACCTTCCAGGAGGTCCCAGGGGTCAGTGGATGGGAAGAGCCAAGAGGAACTCCTCATTTCTGTTTAGATGATTGAGTGGATGACATTGTCACCAACTGAAAGCAGAAGCAGCAGAGAACATCTTGCTAGTGAGAGGTGATGAGCTGGACCATACAAGGTGACCTTTAAAATGCTGGTGGGACAACCAGGTAGAACCATCCCATAAATGATAACAGTGAACTCACTACATGCCAGACTGTCTTAGGTGTTGTATCTTATTTAATCTCCACGATGGCCTTATGAGGGAAGGCACCATCATGATCCTTACTTTTCAGGTGACTATTTTAAGGGTAAGAAATATTAGGTAACTCACCAGTCCAGTGGTCACTGGTTCAAGTGAGTAGAGCTAGTCTGACTCCAGAGCCCATCTTCTTGCCCATTTCATGTATTTATTCAATTAACATTTATTGAAGACCTACTATGAAGCTGGCACCGTTTAGATGCTTTGAATATATCAGTCAAGAAGACCTGCCTTCACGCAGCTCCTGTTCTACTGCGCACACTGCCTCTGCTCAGAGACAGCTGAGGATATGGATGACAGTTCTGGCTGGAGGGGCAGGGGGGCTGCTACACCCACTCCCACTCTGAAATCTCACTTCCAGGGTGAGGGACAGGTGCTTCCTTCACCCACCCACATCAGTCTATATCCCCATGCTAACCATTTTGCTTTGTGCCAGGCCAGGTGGCAGAAGGAAGGGCAGATGCTTGAGAAGGACAGTCATAGAATAGTTCCTTCTAACCCTTTTGTGGCGTCAGTCTCAGACGGTTTCTATATGGAGCTGGACATATCCCTCCATCTCTATCAGCTCATGGTGGAGACCATGTGTTGAGGAGATCATGAAGGGGCTCTTCCTCTGGGTGCTCTGTCACCCAGCCCCCAGCAGCCCACCCAGGTGTCAAAAGACAGGTCTGCCCCTCACTCCAGAGAATAGCTAGGATCCTGGTGGCATGGCACTTTGGAAAGTATGAGACCCCTCCTTGTTTTACAGAAGAAGAAACTGAGGCAGGGAGCAGCCAGTCATTGCCCGAGGCTTCCTGGCAAATTAGTGACAGAGCCAGTTGAGAATGCAGCCCACGTTTGTGTTGCTTCAACTCAGCCCCAGATCCTTCACTCTCCATGGGGGCTGCTTTGGGGAAGCCAGCTTTGCACCCCCACTTCCCTGGAAGGCAGAGCACTAAGGCTGCCACCCAGCCATCGCTCAGGCGGGTCCACACAGCCCCGGGCCAACCTCCCTGGCACTCACACCCAGTGTCCGGAGCAGCTGGTCAGTGGGCGTGGAGCTCCTGCTTGTGTGCCCCCACCCCTGTCGCGCCCTCCCCCTGCCTGGGATGAGCTGCAGCTGCCTCGGGGCCTCTCTGCCTGCGCCCCCCAGCCAGCCTGTGCCCTGCTTTAATGTGTCCTGGGGAAAATAGCTGGCAATGCTCAGGCGACAAGCAAAGGCCATTTTTTAAAAAAAGACTAATGCCAGGATGAGGGGGCAGGAGGGGGTGGAAACAGCTGCAGGCTCCTCTTCCAAATTTAGCCAGGTGACTGCTTTGCCCTGCTCCTCTTTCTCTGGGGTTTTTGGGTGGCCATTGCCTCCATGGTAGGACTGTGTTCCTGAAAACCACCCCCCAGATGACTCACAGAGCTGTGGCAGCTCAGAGAGGAATGTCTATTCATTTCAGCTGGGGCTCTTGTCAGCCAGTTGGACCTGACCAGCAGCTCCACTGTTGCAGAATTGGGCTGCTTCCTACTTCCTGTGTCCCCATCCGATTTCAGGGCCTACCATCCCCAAAGTGACAGAAGATAGCATGGAATGAGGCAGCCATGCCCAGATATCAGAGGTGCTGAAAACATCCTGAGGCTGTGTAGAAACACAGCGAAGATTGGGGCATGGAGCAGGAGCAGGAGAGAAGCCAGGTGGCCCAGCCTTGGGTTGGGAGAACAGGGCATGGCCCCAGCCCCAGGGTGCCCATGGGCAGGACTCAGAGCCCCAGAACCGAGCACTCACCATGTCCACTTCTCATTTATTCTTTAAGTGTTAGAAGGACCTTCAAATCAGCTCATCCAGATGTTCCTAAGTATGAATGATTTGTAAAACGATTTTATGGATATATATGGATAATATATATCCATAAATATTATCCATATACATATATAGATAAAGCTAAATTGTTCTGCATAACCAGTAATTTGACAATTATTTATTGGGGGATGAATCTAATGTCTGAGGAGGAATACATTTCAAAAATATATTGAGGCCGGGTGTGATGGCACTTTGGGAGCCAAGGCAGGAGGATTGCTTGAGCCCAAGAGTTTGAGATCATCCTGGGCAACATAGCTAGACCCTGTCTTCACAAAAAATTTAAAATTTAGCCAGGCGTGGTGGTGCATGCCTTTGGTTCTAGCTACTTGGGAGGCTGAGGCGGGAGGATCTCTTGAGCCTGGGAGGTCAAGGCTGCAGTGAGCAGTGATCACACCACTGCATTCTAGCCTGGGCAACAAAGTGAGACCCTATTTCAAAAAAAGTACCCAGAAATATATTGAGCAAATATGGTGCTACATACAGTGTGGATGATACAGGTAGTATATGAACATGGCACTAAAAAACCTGTCAGTGGAGCCTATTTGAGAAAATATGGGAAATGCTGATCATCACCTTCCTCTTTGTTCTGGTTTTCTGGTCTTCTTCTCTGGTCTCCTTCTCCTTGGTCTTCATCCAGGGAAAACAGACAGTTCTATGAACTGATTTTGGTGTGGTGGGATCTGGGACAGCAGGCATTCCAGCCTTTAACCTTCCCACAGTGACTTTGGCTGTGACCTGGGATGGAGTGGGCAGGCCATAACTGAGGTGGAAAATCCTGTCAGTGAGCTAGATCGAGTCATTAGGCGGAGCTGGATGGGATCAGAGAAAATGGCTTAGACCCTGGAGTGTCACGAAAAGACACACAAGGCAACTAGTGAAGTCAGCAGACATTCCAGCACCTGCCCTCCTCCCTCCATCCTCTAGATCTAGGAGACTCCTCCTGACACACCCACCTCAGACACTTCAGCCTGTCCCTGTTCTGGGCACGCATGCCCTCTGCTACATACACTCCCACCCTCAACATCACTTCCAGGCTGAGGGAACAGGTGCTTCCTTTACCCACCCACCTCAGTGTAAATCTCCATACAGACCATTTTGCTTTGGGCCAGGCCAGGTGGCAGAGGGAAGGGGAGACACTTGGGAAGCACAGTCATGGAATACTTTCTATCTAACCCTTTGGCAGTGTCAGGCCCAGATGGTTTCTATTATGGAGGTGGACGTTTCCCCCATCCCCATAAACTCACCCACATAGGCCCGTGTGGGACATGCATTGACTCATTCACTTATAGTCACTCAACCAACCAGAGCGCTCTTCCCCCGTCTCTCTCTGGGTCAGTAATGCTTGTCTTGCAGGTCTCCAGATAGCCCGAGACAGGCTTTTCCTCCCCCAGGAAAACCTTTCCTGTGCTTCACCTGCTGGGTGGATCACCTGTCAGTAGTGCTTAGCCTGCACTAATCATCGTTGTAGGTCAGAGGCCTCTGGAGCAGCTATTCATGTGCTTGGCCGTCTGGGTCAAGGGAACTGATGTTCAAACAGGATGTGTGCAAGCTCATCTTCTCACCGGGGTGGTACTGATACTGCCCAGGAAACTAGTGAGGAGTGAACTTGATGAGTAACAGCAGCTTAGAGACAGTGTCATCTCTTTTCTCAGACCCATGTGGAAGGGAGAAAGGCCTGCCTGCCGGTGGTCCCGATGCCACTAGGTGGGGCAGGATTTGAGTGATCAGCTCAAGATCTGAAAGATCAAAGGTGGCTGAAATGAAAAGGACGCTTTCTAAGCATAAATGTGAAGTCCTAATTCCTGGCTCAGCAACTCAGCTGTTGATACTAGAGCCTAATAATCACTTGTTGTGGTGACAAGACTTGGGGGCTTTACTCAGTGGTTTCCATTTCCTGGCTGTGCACTGGAAGCCCTGAGCACGTTTTTAAAAGATCAAGTCCAGGGTTCCATCCCAGAATGTTCAGAATGAAGATCTCCAGGAAAGGACTTAGGAAATTGTGTATTTTAGAAGTTCTCCAGGTGGTTCTTATGTAGCTTTTGATTATTTTGGAGGTGGGGTGGGCAGGACAGGGTCTCGCTGTGCCACGCAGGCTGGAGTGCAGTGGCACAATCTTGGCTTCTCTATAGGAAAGCCTTGACCTCCCCAGCTCAAGCCATCCTCCCACCTTAGCCTCCCAAGCAGTTAGGATTACAGGCATGCACCATCATGCCTGGCTAATTTTTGCATTTTTAGTAGAGATGGGGTTTCGCCATGTTGGCCAGGCTGGTTTTGAACTCCTGACCTTAAGTGATCAGCTCACCTTGGCCTCCCAAAGTGTTGAAACTGCAGGCATGAGCTGCTGCACCCAGCCCTTATGTAGCTTTTGGAAACAAGTGAGGAGTGAACTTAGGGCTTTATGGGAAGCATCAATACATTACATCAATAAACCAAATGTGAGCCAACAGAAAGCTTCCGGGTTGGGGTGCAGTCTGGGCTCACCACAGCTCTAGCAGCGACTCAGGACCATGTTGTGAAGAAAGTAAAGATCCAGTCCCTTCACTGCTATACCACCTGGGAGTAGGACCCCCAGAATCCAATATTTCAGGTATTTCATCTGCTCTAGCAAGATGCCTTTGACAAACAGCTGCAATTTGTGCCTGTGTGATGGTCCTAGTCACCAAGGGTGGTGGCCAGCAAGGCTACTGAGAAAATAGATCCTCACTCCATGGGCTCAGAAGGCTGATGCTGGGACCATCTTCTTTCATTCTGGCAAAACCGTGGGTTTCTTCAGAATGTCAAAGTGCAGAAGGGCGCTGTGGGTGGCAGGATGCTTGCTGGCCAGGTAGCAGATGGAAATCAGTGTCCCTGCCCACCCAGGAGGAGCCAGGAGCAGAAGGTGAAACAGTGAGCCGTGGAGATGCTCGACTCTTCCTGAGATTCCTTCCATGATTTCCAGAGACGGTGAAGTCACGATGCACAGCTCTCCAGCATGTGCATCTCCTCCTCAAATGCCTTCTGCAGGGACAAAGAGGACTTTATCCTCAAGAGTGGGACACAGTTCTGTAGCAAAATGTGGCAGGTTGAATGGAAATAATGATCTTCAGAACTTTAAGAAGGAGATGACCCAGATGAAATAGAAATTGGGTAATTTATCAGAAAGCCTGGAAAAACATCTGAGAGAGACCCCTGCAGGAGACTGAGGTCTGGAAGGGCTGAGGTAGCGTATTCTTATTCTGGCCTCCACAAGCCGCATGGACTCCTCCTATCTGGCCTCGTCACCTGGCCTCCACCAGCCTTTTTCCTATAGGGAAGCCACTCACGCTCCACAGTTCTGGGAAACGGACTGATGAGAGATTTAGTTCTGGACAGCCGCCCCTCAACTGTTCCTGTTCCATGCTCTGACACCTCGGGTTGGCCTCAGACAATCTACTCAACACCTTGTAATACATTTATAGACCTGTGGCTCAGGAAAAGCTGTGGGGAAGGACAGAGCTTCAGCAGGCCAAGTCCCAAGCCTGTGGGGCCTTTTCTTCTTGAACTCATGCAGTGGCTGGCATTTCTAGGGAGAGGGCTGAAGTTCAGTTCACATCGTCCCATTTATGGAGGATCTCTCTTGGGGTTATTCTTCCAAGGAGCATCAGCAAGAAAGGAAGGAAGCCATCTCTTGATGTCCTGGGGCACTGCCTGCCCATAGATGAGAAGGGGTTCCCAGGCGGAAAGAAGGGGTGCAGGAAGCTGCACCCAAGAAACCAGTTTCCCCAGCTTCTGAAAGTAGGGCCAGCCCTGCAATGTGGGGTGCAGCTGCCCAAGAGGGGCTAAATGGACCTTGCAGGGTCACTCCAGATGAATCTTTTCTGCACTCCCAGAACTCAGGCCTCAACCTCCTCATGGTCAGTGTGTTCTCTGATGAGCGTGTGCGCGTGCACACACACACACACACACACACACACCCTGGCTTCAGGGATCTCTTTAGAAATTTTTTTTTTTTTTTTTTTTTTTTTTTTTTTTTTTTTTTTTTTTTTTTTTTTGAGAGAGATAGAGCCTTGCTCTGTTGCCCAGGCTGGAGTGCAGTGGTGCTATCTTGGCTCACTGCAACCTCTGCTTCCCAGGTTAAAGTGATCCTCCCACCTCAGCCACCCAAGTAGCTGGGATTACAGGCGTGCATCACCACAGCTGGCTATTTTTTTTGTAGAGATGGGGTTTCACTATGTTGGCCAGGCTGGTCTCCAACTCCTGACCTCAAGTGCTGCCTTGGCCTCCCAAAGTGCTGGGATTATAGGTGAATGAGCCACTGTGCCTGGCCAATCTCTTTAAAATATGTCTAGAGTCCATGTCTCTCTCTTGATCTCCGGACTCACCTATGCAACTGCCCACTGAGCCTCTACACGGGCCACCTGAAAGCATTTCCAATTCAGCAGGAACTTCCAGCCAGCTGGGAAATCTGCTCACCATTGCCTTGGCGAGGAGCCTACTCTCTACTCCAGCCACAAACCTCTGAGTCACCCTGGCCTCTTCCCTCTTGCTCACCCACTTCACGCCGTGGGATCGGTTACCAACTCTGCCAGTGACCTGAGGGTTCTCGGGCCAGTTCACTCCTTAGGCCCAGTTCCAGTTACTCGTGTGCTGGACAAATGAGGTGGATGAGGCTACTCTTAATCTAAATGTCCTGTGTGGTTGAGCAGAATGACCACCAGAGAGAGAGAGAGAGAGAGTAAGCAAGTAGGTTAACTAGGAAGTCAGCTGTCAAATTGATGTTATCAGGGAGGTTCTCAAAAATGAGGCCAGATTGAAATATACTAAAGGAAGTGAAATACCCGAATGGGTGGGAAGGGATTCCAGGCAGGGATGCTGAGCAAGTGAAGGCAGAGAGACAGAGATGCTCAAGGATGACCCAAGAGACAATGCATGGCCCACTGCGCCTGATACATGCTAGAGATGAGTTGGCCCAAGGTGTGATGAGTTAGGTAAGGGCCACCCTCTGCTAAGCCATCAAGAGTTTGTAAGCAGTGGTGGTGGGGAGAGGGCGGCACCGCAAGCTTTAGAACAAGACTGGAGCATAGTGAATATGTGTTTGGGAAGGTTCCATTGGCAAAGCGGTGTTCAGGGAGAGGAGGCTGTTATGGCTGTCCAGGCAAGGGATGGGCAGAGCAGGTAAATGTCAGGGTCAGGGGTGGGAGAGGTGGGAGATGCACATAGGAGGGGTCGGAGAGGTGTCTTTGGCAGGAGCTGGCCGGGGAGTGATTCCTAGTCAGGGGTTTTGGGCATGTGTAGAAGGACAGAGTGGTGGCAGCTTCTTTATTGTCATCTTCTTTTTTTTGAGATAGAGTCCCACTCTGTCGCCTAGGCTGGAGTGCAGTAGCGCAATCTCAGTTCAATGCAACCTTCACCTTCCAGGTTCGAGTGATTCTCATGTCTCAGCCTCCCAAGTAGCCGGGATTACAAACATGTGCCACCATGCCTAGCTAATTTTTTTGTATTTTTAGTAGCGATAGGGTTTCACCATGTTGGCCAGGCTGGTCTCAAACTCCTGGCTTCAAGTGATCCCGCCTTGGCCACCCAAAGTGCTGGGATTACAGGTGTGAGGCATCACGCCCAGCCATCATCTTCTTGTTATTTTCCCAAGGAGACATGTCCTGTAGGGTGGGTGAGGAGAAGCCATGTTGTCAGGGACTTGGCTGCTCCCTAAAGTTGAAGGTGTGGAGGGAAGGGGGTTCCTTTTCACTGCAGTGATCCCCATGGACTCAGCTACAGCCTGGCTCAGTTTTCTCCCAGGTCTGTCAGCTCACCCCCTTACTCATCAGGGCTCTGGGATTGTCAGTGACAGAAACCCAGCTCCAAGCCAACAGAGAAGGTGAAGGTGCAGAGAATCCAAGGTAGGATTGAGAAACGAAATTCTGAAAACATCTTTGGGGGAGGCAGGCTCAGGGATGGCTGAAAGCAGGGCTGCAGGGCTCCAGTGCCAACAGGGAACAGGGCAGCTGATGGGGCTGCTGACTGGTACTGAGTAACTTTCACCACAGCAATGAGACTGACTTCAGACTCTCTCTATCTCCAAGCCCAGGATCCTGGGAAGCAACTCATTGGTCTGGCTTGAGTCAGGCATTCGCCTGTGGACCTGTTGGCAGGGGCCAGTGCCAGGGTGGTGCTAGCCCTCATGGGAGTCCCTGGAGTGACTATGTGGGAGGGGGAGGGGCAGGGCATAGAGGAGGGGAGGCAGGCAGACAATCCTGGGGTCACCGCAACTCCACAGCAGGGCCAGGGAGCAAACAAAGGGTGAACAGGAGACAGGGACGTGGCCAGTGATTGGCTAACAAATCTAATCCCTCTCTAGGTGAGGTTCTTTTTAGAGTTAACGTGAGTCATTTGTTCATTGATCCGTTGAGCATTGATTCTGTGATTCATCCCACAAGCCTTTACTGAATCCCTATTCTAGGCCAGGCCCTCGATCACAGATAGAAAAGGGAAGAAAATAAGGTTCCCTGCCCTGCAGTAGTTCATGTTCTAGCATGGGAAATTCACGTAATAAAATTCTATAATAATAAGAGACCTATGCTGAATAGAGGTGGGAAATAAGGAAGAAAGAGTGATTCATTCTTCTTGGAAATTTATTAAAGGCTTGATGGGTAGTAGATTTCCTCCAGGCATTGGTGCTGGAGAAGAGCCTTCCAGCAGAAACAGCAATGTGATAAAAGGCACAGACCATGAGCTCACGTTGGACACTGGGTGGGCAGGGGGTCATCTGGTGGTACTAGCGTGGCCAGAGTGTAAGTTAGAAGGTGGCGTGGGGCATGAAGCGAGAGAACAGGTGAGGTTGAGTAGATATCTAGGGGCCACTTCTTGAGGGACCTCATACAGCAACACGGGTTTTGGAAGGGTGTAAAATACAAGATTTGCCTTTGAGAAAGACTATCCTGGCAGCAGTGTAGGCGATGGACTGGAAGGAGGAGGAGACTGGAGATGGGCTGACCATCAGGAGGCCACCGTGAATGTCAGGATAGAGAGGTCCTCCTGCACTGAAGAGATGATGAGGAAGTAGAAGACTGTGGGTAGAACTTCAAGGGGGACAGGTTGAGTTCACGAGCAAGAGTGAGAGGAGGCAAACTTTGCAGGGCAGGAAGGAGTGCTTGATTGAGAGTTCACTGCTGTCTTCTGATGGAACTGTTTGTTCCTTGGAACAGCAGAGTAGTGAGAAAATGCAGTGGCTTGAAATTCTGATAACTGGGACCCTGGAACAGAAGTACCACTTGCTGATTATGTGAATTTGGACAAATCACTTAACCTCTGAGATGTGGTGGGAGTTAAACCATGTAGTAAGCAGATAGCCTGATACCTGGCACACAGAAGGCCCTTGAAGTGTAACATTTACATCAGAATCAGAACCTTTTTGGATTCCATGGCTACTTCCAATGTGTGTGTGTGTTTTTTTTTTAAGTGGAGAGGTACGATTACTAACCAGTAGGAGCAACAATATTATTCTAGGTTGGTGCAAAAGTAATTGCATTTTTGCTGTTACTTTTAATAGTTGCGTATCGAAGACAGCATTTGCTTTTATGGCATCGGAAACATTCTGACTCAGCTTACTGACATTTCCTCTGCCATCATCTTCTTTCATACTGAAATGTGGTTTAAAATATATATATATATCATTTCTTCCCATTCAAAGAAGGGTTTATGCCTCTGCTTTCATGTCCCAACATACTTTGAGAGATAGTCTCACCCCCTCCCTTTTCCTCTTTTATGCCAGGACCCTGGAGAACAGCCAGGTAAGGTGGTGCTTATCTCATTTTCAGTCCTGAAGGAGGAGGAAGATCAAGTGTGTGCAGCGTTAAGTGTCTGGAAGGCGTTTATTTGATTTTCAGCTTGTCTTTGTTCCAACATGGATTGAATGGTAAATACAGGAAAGTAGCTCCCAATAGGCGCCTGAATAGCTGAGGGGCAAAATGTCCCGGTGGCCCACACCCACATGTACCATCATCATGAGTCCTTCAAGCCTGCACAGCTCACTCCTGTCCAGCCCTGGGATACCAGGTGAGTCAGGAGAATGACTTCCTCTGTTCTTACAAAGTCCTGGCCACCAGAGATGGTACTGTTAGCACAGGAGAGACATTGAGAATAGGGTAGAAATCTATGCAGAAAAGTGTTTGTTGTGGCTGAGAGTTCCAATGCCCATTTAAGACCCTGGGAGAAAAAAGTCAGATCACTCATGTATGGGCTGAAGAACTAAGACTTTTGGTTGCAAGTAAGAGAAACCAAGTTGAGCTACATTTAGTCAAATGGAAAGGGGGGAAAAGCATGGGGTTTGGATTTATGATAAGGACATAGGGAGTGTCTCCTAGCTTCAAAGGCAGGAATAAAGCCAGGCCGCAAGAAGGGACTGGAACCAGGAGAAAAATAATCAGCCCAGCTTTGGTCCTTTGTGCCTCTGGTCCAGTCTGTTTCGTCTGGGAGTCAGAAATCTTGCTGAACAAGCGTGACTCTAGGAGGTCCATTTTGTGAAAGGGCAGATCACAGAGAGGGCTCTGGAACAAAGTGGAGACCCTGGCTCAAGGCAGAGATTTGGGAAGCCCTACAATATGGTGGTCTTTGAAGCCCTAAGAAGGGAATTGACCCAATTCAAATGGCATGGATCTCATAGTAAGAGGTAGGACTACTTGAGAGAGAAGATCAAAACAGAGAGATTAGATTCCAAGGGCTCTAGAACAAAGCTCTAAGGGCGAGCATTGTTTTCTCATCTCTCTGCTCCCACAACCCCACTTCCCAGACTTAAGGACAATGGTGTATACATAAGAAGGGCTGAATAAACATATAGGTTGAATGGCATAGAACAGACACTTTTATAGATCAAGACATGGACGATTTTGTATTGTTCAACCTAATATGTGATGCACGAGCATTGAGTTGAATTGAGACCTTGCTTTGAACCTTTGTTATGGGACCTTGGGGCAAGTCATGGTCTTGATGGTTTTTAAGGTTATTCCTTGGACCCAGGTGCTGGAAGCACAACTTCCAAATGTAATACCCAGAAGCAAACTGACAGAGGCAGGAACAAGCTGGAGTCAGAGAGATCTGTGTTCAGATTCCAACCAGGCACTGTCCCCTGGGCCTCTGCAGGCCCTCAGTGAGCCAGCGAGGCCTGCCCTGAGATGACAGTGCTACCTCCTCTCTCTGCCAGGACCACTTTCTCTCATTTTATGGAGAAAATCAAGGAATAACTTTTTCCAACTGAAGCCTCTGGAAGATCTTAGGCAACACGGCCGACTAGAGCTGAACCTAGGCCAGCATCCTGGGCCACAGCTCAGCTCTGCAAATGTAGCCAGAGCCTGAGGCGGGGGCTCTTCTCCCTGCCTGGCAACTTCTCCTGGCTATAAACCAAGCGTGGGCTGCAGCTCCTGGGAGACCAGGCTGAAGGCCCAGGAGATGCTTCAGGCAATTTGCAGTTGCTCCCTTGAATTCCATTTTTAACAGCATCTGTAGGGCAGGGAACGCAAGGCTGACCTGTGAGCCTGGTGTCCTGACTTCTCAGGGCAAGACTCTTTCAAAAGTATTTCTTGAGCATCCACATTTGTTTTCAGCAAATCAGTCTCTGCTCTGCCCTTTTGAAGAACACAGCTAACAATGGAAAACAACTTTTATGTAAGAGAGTTAACTGCAAACCGGGTGCTTTCCTAAGCATTTTGTATATGTTATCTCTTTGAATCCTCTCGAAACCTCAATTAGGCAGAAGATACTTAATAGCCTTATAAGCTAGACAGGAATCTTAGCCTAAAAATGCAAAGGGAAGTCCTGGGGAGGGAAAGGAGAAAACCAGGAAGAGGAAAAATAAATCCACGAGATAATGTTGTAAAATATAATGAAGCCATACCTATTTTAAAAAAACCCACAGAAATTTCCCAGACCTGGAGAGCCACTAAGTGGCACATGCAGGGGTCAAACTATGTCTATGGTGGCTCATGCCTGAATCCCAGCCCTTTGGGAGGCCGAGGCAGGAGGATCACTTCAGTCCAGGAGTTCAAGACCAGCCTGGGCAACAGGACATAGTGAGAATAAACAAATTAAAAAATTAGCTCGGCATGGTGGTGTGTGCCTGTAGTCCTAGCCACTCAGGTGGCTGAGATGGAAGGATCGCTTGAGTACAGGGGTTTGAGGCTGCAGTGAGATGTGATCATGCCACTGCACTGAAGCTCTTTGAGACAGAGTGAGACACCATCTCAAAAAATAAATAAATAAAAATAAAAGTCAAAGCTCCTCCTCACCAACATATAGTAACATTTATGGAACACATGCTTACCTCACTCTTCCTCAAAACTGCTGTTTGAGGAAGGTCCTGTTGTCACCAGCATCTTTCAGATGAAGAAGCTGCAGAACAGGGAGGTACCAGAACTTGCACACAGCAGATGAGTGGTGGAACTGGGAACTGAGCCGAGGACACCTGCCTCCAAAGCATCTTGTTGGGTTGGAGAAGGACAGTGGCAAACACAGCTCGTTCTCACTGCATTTTGGTAGCAAAGTTGTGCCTTCTTTTTTTTTTTCTTTTTCTTTTTTTTCTTTTTTGAGATGGAATCTCACTGTTCCCAGGCTGGAGTGCAGTGGCACGATCTCGGCTTACTGCAACTTCTGCCTCCTGGGTTCAAGCTCCTGCCTCCTGGGTTCAGCTCCTGTCTCGGCCTCCCAAGTAGCTGGGACCATAGGCATATGCCACCACACTTGGCTAATTTTTGCGTTTTTAGTAGAGACGGGGTTTTGCCATGTTGGCCAGGCTAGTCTCGAACTCCTGTCCTCAAGAGATCTGCCTGCCTCAGCCTCTGAAAGTGCTGGGATTACAGGTGTGAGCCACCGCACCCAGCCCGTGCCTTCTTTTTGCTCCCAAATCCCATTTTATTGGAGTTCCCTGAAGCAGTCATAGTAAGGCAGTTGTGTAGTAGAGCATATTAATGCAATTGGATATTTCTTTGCCATTCTAGGAAATTATCTACTGATACACACAGCAACGTAGGTGAATCCCAAAAACATGCTGAGTGAAAGAAACCTTGTACAAAGGTCTACATACTGGATCATTCCATTTACATGAAGTCCTAGCAGAGGCAAAGTGAATCTATGGAATGTTTCTGGTATTTCTCACTTAGAAGAGTGGTTGCCTCTTGTTGGAATTGACTGGGAAGGGGATGAGGGAACTTTCTGGGGTGATGATAATGTTCTGGACATTCCTGGGGATCTGGGTTTCAGAGACATATGCATTTGTCAAAACTCAACAAGTGTGCATTTTAGGTTTGTGTGTTTTATTTACATGTAAAATTTCCCTCAAAAGATGAAAAAAAGAATATGGAACTCTAGTTAATAATATGCAGGCTGAAGTGTTTAAGGGGAAATGTGGACGGTGGTGTCTTCACTTTACTGTGAAATGCATCCAAAGACTGAGATTGATTTCTGGATGGATAGATGGATGTGCAATAACACAGCAAAATGTTACTGGTAGCATCTAGGTTGCACTGTATTAGTGTTCACTGTGAGATTCTTTCAACTTGGCTGTGTGTTTGAAAATTTTCATAGCAAAATGTTGGGTTGGAGGGGAAAGCGATTATGTGGAATCCTGGGGTCCCCTAGTGGTGAGTTAGGGGTCCCGGAGCTCAGGATTGCAAGCTGAGATTATGCAGTCAGGAACTGTCATCCTTACATATCTCTGTCACAGCTCCCTGGCCCTGGGTAAGCACTAAAATATGCATTTTCCTGGGTCTCACTTTAGAGAGAGAATACTGAGGCCCAGGGAAGGTCTGCCAAGGTCTCCCAGGACTAGAACCTAGGACTCCCTGTTTCTGGCCTCTCCTCCCAGCTAGCTTTATCAGAACCCATTTTCTTCCACAGAACAGGGCCTTTTGTTCTATAGCCCAGGGCTGTAAATTTCACCTGCGTGCAGGGATCCAGGTAACTGATCCCATCACAATGAGCCGGTGGCACCCAGGGCAGTAAAACAGGCCTATGCGTTAGAACCCCACCTGCCAGTGGCTTCCTGTAGGTGTATTTGAAGTAGTAGGAAACCAGAGTGGTTTCTACAAATAAATAACCCAGGAAAAGACAAGCCTCTCAGATCAAAGAAGGACTCTGGCCCAAACTTGAACTAAAATCAAGCGTGCTCTTTCGACTCCACTCTGGCTGGGCAGAGGGAGGAGTAGAGAAAGTCTATCTGCTGTGCAAACATTCCCTGTCTCTGCCCTTCCTGGGTTTGTGTGAGCCTGAGAACAGGAGCCCGGGAGGAAGGCTGCACTCTCTGAACTGCTGCCAGGCCCTGCCTCATGACATTCCAGCCTGGCTTCCAGGCACAGCAGGTGCCAACAAATTGGCCTCTTGTGTGTCCGAGCCTAAGGGGCTCATTCATGGGCTGCACGCCTGTCTCAGGGCTCTCATGTAAGCCCTCTAGGGCCCCCAGCTCTTTGAGGAAATTTCATGGCATCCTCTGTGTTTCTTGGCCCTACTGGTTAATATTAATGCTTCCCAGGGGAAAGGAAGGAGAATGGAAAGAGATGCACAGAAGCCAGCAGTTCTGACTCCTTTCACGGTGGGGAAGGATGAGGGCAGAAGGTGTCTTAGAGCAGAGGAAGGACCCTTAGAAGTTGAAGTTTGCAAACTTCACCGTGCACATTAGTCACTGAGGATTGCCAGTCAGTGGCCTGGGGCAAGACCTCTGGTTTCTAACAGGCTCTTGGGTGATGCTGATGTTGCTGGTCCCTTGACCACACTCTGAGTAGCATCACCAACGGCCAAATCCCTCCCGTCATGAAGTTAATGGACAATAAGCAAACCCATTAGTGAATATATGATTATAAACTGTGTGAAGAAAATAACCAGGATGCTACAAAGGGTATTGAGGCAGGGACCTTCAGATGGGAAGAAGATGGTAGGAAAAGCATCTGTAAGAACAGGACTTTAGACTGGGACCTGAGGGTGAGTGGAGTAGGGAAAGCATTCCCGGCAGTAGGAGCAGCATGTGAAAAGTCCCTGGGGCAGAATCAAGCTTGGCATCTTCAAGGAAATGACAGAGAGGCCCATGTTGCATGGGTGGAGACTGGCATGAGATGAGGCTGGAGAAGGGTCAGGCCACACAGGGCTGGATAAAGGGCTCTGACTTCATTCTTGGTGTGATGGGAAGCCCTTGGAGGATTTTAAGCAAAAATGTGCCACGATTCATGCTGGTGGGTCTGTGGAAGATGGATTGGGATAAGGTGGGGAGTAGGCTGGTGGGTGGTTCTTGCATAGTCCTTCATGAAATAGTCGTCAACCTTAGTGGTAGTAAAGATTTTCATTCTTTCCAATGTGGGTCACATTTTCTAGGAAACTGCATGTTTTGGGGACATGATACAATTGAGGAAAATAAGTATTCTTTTCCGATAAAGTAATGTAAGGCCTCATTAATTAAATAAACGCTTTATGAGAGCAAAAAGACTTGGAAAGAATTAACCTTTGGCTGGGCTTGGTGGCTCACGCCTGTAATCCCAGCACTTTGGGAGGCCAAGGCGGATGGATCACCTGAGGTCAGGAGTTCAAGAGCAGCCTGACCAACATGGAGAAACCTGGTCTCTACTAAAAAAAAAAAAAAAAATACAAAATTAGCTGGGTGTGGTGGCACATGCCTGTAATACCAGCTACTCAGGAGGCTGAGGCAGGAGAATCCCTTGAACCTGGGAGGCAGAGGTTTCAGTGAGCCAAGGTTGCGCCATTGCACTCCAGCCTGAGCAACAAGAGCGAAACTCCATCTCAAAAAAAAAAGAAAAAAAGAACTAATCTTCATCTTTCCTTCTCCTTTTGGCTTCTTATTAGTTAGGGTTGTTTCCATAGTGAATGTCAAAAACACAATTCAAACTGGCTTAAATGAAAAAGGAACTTTGTTGGCTCATGCAATTGAAAGTCCAGGGATAGTAGTAGCTTCAGGCATAATTGGGTCTTGGTGCTCAAGTATTAGCTTTCTCCATCTCTAGGCTCCACATTCCCCTGTGCAAGCTTCACTCTTAGAGAGGCTCTCTCAATATAGAGGCAAGGGTGGCCCCAGCAACTCCAGGCTTGCCAACCACAGTGGGATGAGATCCAGCTTTCCCAGTAGTTCCAGCCAATGTCCCTTTTTTTTGACTTGGGTCAACTGAACATCCCTGCACCAATCACAGCAGCCAGGGGAATGGATCTATTCATTGGCCAGGCCGGGTCACATATCTACCTTAGGAGCAAGGCGAGTGGGTCAGCCCCCATTGAGCTACATGGACTGAGAGTAAAGGGAAAGATGGCTGCAAAGGAAGATCTAGGGGCTGAATTCGGGAGCAGGAGATGAAACTCACAAACATCCTCTGTGGGCTCCTCATTCATTTTGAATGTAGCACCTTCTCCCATCAATCATTAAGGCTGGTTCCAGTTCATCACCTTTTGTTCTAAACCTGTGTCTGGATCTTGCCTCTCCTGAAGACATCTAGTTCTGGGAGCAGGAGGCATCTTGCTGGCAATGATGCCCTATCTGTCCCATCTCTCCTGCTGCTCCCAGCAGACTATGCCTTTGCCCAGGTCAGAAGGCCTTTGCCCCACAAGGCCCTTGTTTCCAGTTTCAAGGATGCCTCTAGTTCACAGTCCACATGCCGGAAGGCAATGATGGGCCTACCCTGGGTCTAAACACAGATCTCAATCCATGGCATCTGTGCTAACTCCAGGTAGACAGTATCAGAATCGAATGGATTATAGAGCACCTAGTTATTGTGCACCAAGAACTGGAGAATTGCTTGGTTTGAAAATCCCTTGCACATTTAGTGGTCGGAAGTATTGGGATAGTGGAGGGAAAAAGCAGTTTTTCCTTTAGTTGGTGGAGAGAAGTAAACACGTTTTCCCCTTTCTGCTGTACCTCTAGAAGGGTTTTACCTGCATCAGAATCTTTCAGGGTGTCTGGCAGGGGTGCACATGCAGATTACTGAGTCCTGCCCCAGATCCACAGTCAGAACCCAAAGGGTAGGGTGGATCTGCCTGCTTGTCAAGCTCTGCAGAGTATTCTCCCTGTCTCCCACTCATACACAGGCACACACGCACACACACATACACACACAGGGACACGCATACACATTTTCTAGACCTTTCCAGCTCAGGTTGTTGGCTCCGCCTGCTTTCAAGGCCTCTGGATGAGTCTCTCCAGTGCTTCATTCCCCCTGTTCCTTCATTTAATTTGGAAAGTGGGTGCTTTAGAATTACACTTCTATCATACAAAAGTAGTTTGAACAGACAAAACAGAGCCACACATAGAACCACTCCAATAGCAGCTAACATTTTCCAGGATCTTCTGGTTTTGAGAACTTCTTTCACGTCCAGGTGTGTATGGTGTGGCACACTTAGCTAGAATCCAGCCTTCTTGGACCCTATCACATTACCTGTCTTCTCTCTGGGCACTAGAATATTAAGGACAGTTGTAAGTCGGGCCCACACAGTCTGAGATGATGTACTTGCAGTGCCTGGAGGCATCACTCCAAAAGGATTAGCTGTTAGTGTGAAAGCCATGGATGGGATGAGAATGGAACAATGCTTGCTGCGGACTTTATTTAAGCCAGCACGGCAGCACTGAAAACACCACACCCAGTGGTGGGGATTTTCAATGCCCATCTCACCTACCAGGCAATCAATGCAGCACTGAGCTGAGTGGGCATCTGCTGCAGAGAAAGGCATCGTTTCTACAGCATGCCCTGCCTCAAGCACTATGCATGTCCCTTCTCTCCCTTCCCACCCCCACCTTGCCTGCACCCCAGTTTTGGCCACCTGGGTGTTCACGTCTTATCACCCTCAACTTACCCTACCCCTTAGCTGTGCTGACCCCTCTGCCCTCTGACCTCACCACACAGCTCCAGCCCCTGCCTGCTGCACTCCCTCACACCCTTCTCTTTCTGTGTTCCCTCTGCCTGTGTGTTCCCAGGGCATCTCCTAACCCCATTGTCTCTTCCTTCCGGTGCCTGCTCCAATGCCACCTTATCAGAGAGAGCTTTCCTCTCCTCTGCTTGATTTCTCTCTGTAGCTCTTTGTGTGATCAGACATATATGGGATGCCTTTCCTTGCTTATTGGTTTCTATTCTTCCTCCTGTAACCCCTGTCTCCGACAACTGGACTGTGAGCTCTAACCTGATCCAGAGCAGGGTCTTTTCCTGAGTTGTTTCCTGCCGTGTCTCAATGCCTAGAACCATCGTGCAGTAGGCACTAATAATAAACACGGATTGATTAATTAAATTCCAGCAGAGACCTCCAGGCTGCACTCCTATTCCCCTCCCATTCCTCCTCCCTGTCCCTGGCAGTGGTACCTTTTAAAAGTACACATCGACTCACTCCTCTGGCTCCTCCTGTCCGCCAGTGCCCCCACACCCATGCTTTCAGGATAAAATCCAGACTCCTTAACTTTGCACTGAAGGTGCTTCATGAATGAACCCTGCACTACGCTCATCTTTGCTGATCCTTGGCACCTGCTGTATTCTCCAGGCATCCTCACTCTCCTTAAGCACTGATTTTCTCCTCTTTGAAACAAAGGTCTTCCTGGGACTATGAGCCTCCCTTCCCACATTGGGCCAGGAACCCCCCAGTGGGGAGAATGGGGAAAAAAGGGCCACTAAATAACCTAGATGAGGAGTGATGTGGGTCTTGACCCTGGTAGGAGGTGATGGGAAGAGGGCAGGGGGCATCTGGTAGAAATTTTTCTTGAGCCCCAGAAACAAGTAGGCACACATAGAATAACTTCAGGCCAGAAGAAACGCCAAGCCAACTGCTGATGCTAGTATTTTCAGTTAACAAATACAACTGATGAAGTGTTTATTGCTACAATCACTTACCAAGTCAGTACAGTGCACACAACCAGCTGGGAAGATGTATAGCCCAGTGAGTAGACTTGGGTAGCTCCAAGTTCTGACTCAGAGTCTCAAGAGAGGCTCATCTTACCTTTGAGGTCTTTGAACTCTGTGATCTAGCTGCTCTTGGCATCACCTGACCTTTTAGCTGCCGGCTCTGAGGAGCCAGCCCACACTGCATTTGCCCAGGGAACTGGGAATAAAAAGGCTCATGGTGGGGCAGCCTCCTGCGCTCCCCTTGGCCCTGGCAGACTTTCCCTGCCTGAACGAGAGCCAGCTGGCAGAGCCTTTTGTGGATGATGCCTGGGGAAGCCAGAGTTGGGACTCGGGTCAACTTGTCTTTGACGTCAGGTGGCAGCTCCTCTCCTGAAATACTTACTTGCATCCATGCATCCACTGATTTATAAGGAGGCTGAGGAGCCTGGGTTGGGCTGGTGGAATTTAAACTGTCTTTCCAGATGAGGCTCACTTGTTTAAAGACCATTGGTGGACTGGGAAGGCCAGACAGATGCTCAAATTCAGGAAAGGACAATGAGGCTTCCAAGAGAGGAATCCCTTCATGGAAGAAGCCATCCTGTGCCATGCAGACTCAAAGTCGGGGCTGGAGGGACAGTCGGGAGAGGTTTAAGGTGGAGAGCGACCCAGCTACCAGAGCAGCATTCATTACCAGGTCCTATGTGTGTTGAATGAACCTCTCTGTCAGCCTCCCTAATACCATGGGAGCCAGGTCACCTGGCTGTGGAACATGTAACTGAGCATGGACTCTCCCTCTCCATGCAGATAAGATGGGCCACTTTCACTGTGAGGTAGGAGGCAGCTTCCAGGGCGGGCTGGACTGGGGGGAGAATCCCTCATGTCCCATGCACGAAGATAGCAGCAGGTGGATGAGGAGCAGGGGTGGAGATGGAACTTAGCTAAACCCCCAGTGAGAGGCTGTGGCTGTGAAATCCCAGGATATTTGCAGCATGAGCTGGGACAGGATTCATGTAGGCACCCGTGGGGAGTCCCAGAAATACCTGGAGGAATCATGCAAGAGGCCTGTCCTATGGGAATAAGTGAATCTCAGAGGTGATGGGCGTCTATGGTCTGGGGACTGAGGGCAGGGAAAACTGGGAACTTGGCTTACCTTTTATCGTGGGCAGCACCCTCTCCAGAGAGCCCTGGGATTGGCGGGAGAGGCCAGGACCCTTCCTCGCTGCAGCCTCCAGTCACTCCAAACTGTAGGAGGGGCAGGCTGGCCTTGGATTTGGTGAGCCTGGGAGCACCTGTATCAGTAACAAGACTTCCCCTCTAGCTTTATGATGCTGGGAGACAAAACAAGCTTTAACAGGGAAAGTACTCTTTTTTTCCTCAATTGAGGGTAATGCTTAAATGACAAAAAAAGAGTGATGTATTTTTTAAAAAATCTGCTTATTTTAATGTCTCCAATTTCTACTTCAAAATACACCCACCTGTTTTGATAGAGGGTGTTGGACAAGGAGTTGAAAGTTGCAGAGCCGGCAAATAGCCAGATTCATTTGGCAAACACATTCAGTCAGTCCAATGTTGACTGGGCAGCCTTGGTGTGCCAAGCTACTGAACTAAGGTCTGTTGGGAAGGAAAATGTGTTCACGGAGTCCCTGCCCTCAAGGAGCCCGCAGCCCAGTGTGGAAAATGTTCAGGAACTCTAAAGACAGAATGAGATAAGTTTAAAGAAGGGTTTGATGACTATGATGTGGATGCAGAGGGAGAAGGAATTGATAGGAAATTTAGGGCCAGGGAGAACCCTCTAGGGGAGGTAGAAATTATTTTATTTTGTAATTAAAACAAATTATGCATTTCAAAAGCTTGAGCATGGCAGCTGGGAGGATGGTCTGGAAGAGAAAAAACATTGAAATCAAGGAAGCAGACATCAGAATGGGGCAAGGCCTTTGGGGGCCCGGAGGAAGTTCGTGGGACTAAGAATAGATCTGCTCCCTATGTGCTGCATTTCCATCACCCCTTCTCCTCTTTCACAGCCACTAGCCCAGCAGGTGTTGTGTTTTCATTCATGGAATCCCCCAGAAGGGTGGGAGTTTAATACTGGGATGGGTAAACAAGGCCATATTTTATCTTTTAATCCCTCTCCTCTCCAGTCCTCTCCTTTGCCTTCCTCTCCCCTCCCCTCTCTTCTCCCTTTCCCTTCCCTCTTTTGGGATCTGTGCTTTGCTTGAATGTGAGAGGCAAGCAAAGCCCCCTGGAATAAAACAATGAGCCAGGCTGCCGCGCAGAAATGACCTCTTCTCATACCCTGGCCCTCTGAGGTAGCAGGAACCTCCCTTTATCCGCCCCTGAATTCTCTGCTAGAAGGCTTACTGTTCCAGGACCCCAGGACTCTGGCTTGGTGCATCTGCCACACTTCACATAATCCAGGCAGAACTTTTGCCTAGAGCCCAGTGAGGGACTCTCATTAGGTCATATTTGGGTTTTTTCCCCAGGTCATAAACATATTGCCTGACAGGGGTGAGTTTCCTGCATAAAGCCCTCTGTGGCAAGCTTTCAAGAAAGCACCTCTTGTTTAGATGTAACTCTCATCTGAAGATGCAGTTCTACCAATTTATTCGTGAAAAAGGCTACCCTAAAAGCCCATGTAGTAAGCCAGGCTGACGGTCAGCTGCATCCGTCACTGCCCGGGAGGCAACCCTGGGTAATGGCGACACACTGACCTTTATGGAGTCTTCATCCGGGCCGGCCCGTGTACCACACACATCGCATACATCATCTCATCCCTCTAACAGACCTCTAAGACAGCTATTATTCCCCCATTTTACAACTGAGCGGACAGAGGCTTAGATTGTTGAGTAATTGGCCAACTACACATACCGCCCTTAAGTGGCAGGTCTGAGACTTAAATTTGGATCTAGCTTGTGATAAAGCCTGATACATTTTCAAATATTTAGGAGGTTGACACTTAACTGATGGCTGACAAGTGTCTGTTTGAGATTTAGTTAATACTCTGTAACTAACAGTTCTCAAACGTAAGCGCTTATCAGAATCACCTGGAGGATTTGTTACGACAGCTTTCTGGGCCCCACCCTCAGATTTTTCTGAGTCACTTGGTCAGTAGGTCTGGAGTGGGACTGAGAACCTGTGTTTCTAACAGGTAGTGTGATGCTGCTGTTCAGGGAATACCACCGTGAGAACTGTCACTCTGAACTGAATTGTAGCTCTAGTGTGGACCTTCTACACCACTCTGAGTCCTGAGGCTCAGAGCTGTTCCATAGAAGTCTCTACAATGATAAATGTGTCCTCAACCTGTGATGTCCAATGTAGTAGCCCCTAACCATATACAAGCTGTGGAGGACTTGAAATGTACCTAGTGCAACTGAGGAACTAAATTTTTTATTTTTTTATTTTTATTTTTTTGAGACAGAGTCTCGCTCTGTCACCCAGACTGGAGTGCAGTGGTGCAATCTTGGCTCACTATAACCTTTGCCTCCCGGGTTCAAGCGATTTTCCTGCCTCAGCCTCCTGGGTAGCTGGGTCTACGGGCTCGCGCCACCACGCCCGGCTAATGTTTGTATTTTTAGTAGAGACGGAGTTTCACCATGCTGGCCAGGATGGTCTCTATCTCTTGACCTCGTGACCCACCAGCCTCGGCCTCCCAAAGTGCTGGGATTATAGGCGTGAGCCACCGCGCCCGGCCAAGGAACTAAATTTTTAATTTTATCTAATTATAATTGAATTTAAATTTACATAGCCACATGTGATTCATGGCTACTGTACTGGACAGCATGCAGCCATGTCCAGCCCTTTGAACGTGAGGACTTTTTTGCTTATCTGTGATGGTGGATATCATGAAAATTATGCACAGCCCTTTTTTTTTTTTTTTTTTATAGCTCATCAGCTACTGTTAGTGTATTTTATGTGTGGCCCAAGACAATTCTTCTTCTTCCAGTATGGCCCAGGGAAACCAAAAGTTTGGACACCCTGCCAGATTTATCATTGTGGCTAAATTATTTACTCTTACGTTAAATCTCAAGTGAGTAATTACAGGCTGACTTTTCATTAGGACATATCTGGTTTGCTGGGAGGGTCATGTGCATTATTTAGATTTCAGTGCCTGTTGCACAGGGGTATGGGACTGGGGGATCCTTAAGGGTGGAGATCTTACTTTCCTTTTCCCCCAGCACCAGCGCAGTGGCCGCCCACGGGCTAACGATGTGAGCTGAATGAATAGGAGGATGTGAAATAGTTTCAGAGCTACCTTTCTCCCAGCTGCAATTGGCAAAGGCTTTGGAACCATCCCTCCCCTACAGCTGATTGGTGGGGTGAGGAGGGATTTGGACTTGATGGCACAGCAGGATCAAATGGGATTCACTCTGCCATGCTTGGGGATAGGGCGAGTCCGTGAGGGTGAATTTCTGTTATCACAGGGAACTGTAGCATCTCTCCTCTTTGGCTCTGTAGGTGGTTCCCCATTGGAAATTTCCCGTATCAATGTTTTTTAGGAAAAAGATAATTTAAGACTCTTGGCTGGGCACGTTGGCTCAAGCCTGTAATCCCAGCACTTTGGGAGGTCGAGGCAGGTGGATCACTTGAAGTCAGGAGTTCAAGACCAGCCTGACCAACATGGTGAAACCCCATCTCTACTGAAAATACAAAAAAATTAGCCAGGCGTGGTGGTGGGCGCCTGTAATCCCAGCTACTGGGGAGGCTGAGGCAGAGAATTGCTTGAACTCGGGAGGCAGAGGTTGCAGTGAGCTGAGATGGCGCCACTGCCCTCCAGCCTAGGTGACAGAGTGAGACTCTGTCTTAAAAATAAATAAATAAATAAATAAATAAATAAATAAATAAATAAAATAAGCCAGGTGTGGTGGCACATGCCTGTAATCCCAGCTACTTGGGAGGCTGAGGCAGGAGAATGGCATGAACCCGGGAGGCAGAGATTGCAGTGAGCTGAGATCACACCACTGCACTCCAGCCTGGGCAACAAGAACAAAACTCTGTCTTAAAAAAAAAAAAAAGACTCTATGGATACATAAAAGGTACCCAAGGCATGTGTTTACTATCCAAATAATGATTTGAAGCGTTGCCTCAATAGAAACAGAAGAAGGAATACATGGGCCTAGTCCTCCCCTCTCTCGCCTTTCCTCCCAAGCAAGCAGAGTGACAGAGAAGATGACATGTGTCCCATAACTTGAGCTCAGACAGCAATTCCCCTATCAGATACTGGTTCAGGTTTCCATTTAGTTGCTCCTAATCAACATAAGCAATTGTCTTCTACTCTGTGGGCCTCGGTTTGCAAATCTGTAAAATGGGGAGGGTGGGGGTGAACTAGATCCTTGCTGCTTAAAGCATAGTCCACCAACAAGCAGCAACAGCCTCCCCTGGGAGCTTGTTAGAAACACAGAATCAGACCCTGCCCCAGACCTGCCCTATCAGAATCTGCATTTGAACAAGTCCCCTCCCCTACACTGATAGGCATAAGAAAGTGCACGCTGGAATAGGTGTCTTATTTCAGCTCCTACTGTCTGTGAGCCTGAAGCTAAACTGCAAGTTGTTTTATTTTTAGGAATTAGAAGCACAGTTTCTGGAAGAGAGACCAGGCTTTGGAGGGCCTCTGGGGTTTTTGGTCTTTGCAGCAATGGGAGAGGTCTGGGCAGGTGTGTTTTCAAAAGGTAAAAGTAACTCATGCCAGAGAAACATGTTTCTTGCAGCATCCTGGGATGCCCTGATCTGCAGAGGCAAAGGGTTTTCTAAGTGCTTCTCTCCAAGGATGCAGGCTGGGGTGCCCTGTCCCTGGGGTCCCCGCACAGCAGCCCCAAACATCCTGTCTAAGGAGACTGTGCTGATGGCAAGCCCTCTGAGAAAGGGCTGGCAGGAGGGAGCTCAGGGCTGCTGGAAGTTCCCCAGGCTTGGGACTCTTCCTGTGTTTATCTGTGATCCAGAGGGGTGCTTGGATTGTTCTGTCTCCCATTTCCTTCTTCTCTCTAGGGATACTGTGTCAGGACCAGGTGACCAGAGAGATGCATTTTTCTGTCAGGAGAGAGCTGGGCCTGGGGAGGAACAAGTGGCAGATGGAGGCGGTGGGGCAGGGGGGCGGCGTGTTTGGCTGCCCCTTACCTGACCCAGGAGAGGAGGACAGGGCTCTTACTGGGCAATGTCAGAGAAGGGTTTCTGCATCACAATTTGTCAGGGAAGATTTCTGTCCCATGGGAACAAGACCTCTGAGCTCTGCTTTCCTGTTTCTGTGGTTTCTGGTGTCCACAAAGATAGACTTTTGGGTCCTTAGCCAGAAAAGGATCTTAGTGGACCCTGTGCAGGCAATCCAGTCCTCCAGGAGCCACGGCATGGATTTAAGAGTCCATGAACAAGAAACCTAGGTCACAAAGGAAGGGGGAAACATAGAAGCTTCTCTGACCACCACAAGAAAGCTGGAGGGAGATTCTTGCCCACCTTCCCCAAGCTCACCCAGGCTTGATTTCAAGATCATTATTTTGTCTACCAGGGGCAGAGAAATGGCTCAAATCAAGCATTTACTCTTCCCAGTAAGCCTTGGTGAGAGATAGGCAGGGAGTGGTGTTATTGTTCCCATTTTACAGAATGTGGGTTCTGGAGCCAGACCACCTGGGTTCAAATCCTGACTAAGCCACCTACTAGTTCTGTAACCCTTGGCAGCACCTCAGCCCCCACCCCAGACCTACCGAATCAGAATCTGCATTTCTTGGCAAGTTTCCTGGGGAAACAGGTGCACGCTGAAGTTTGAGAAGTGCTGGCTGTATAATCTCTCATATTCCTATCAGCGCCTACATTCTGAGATCCTGAGATTATACTGCAAATAATTTAATCCTTAGAAGCACAACTTCTGGAAAAGAAAGGCAGGTTTGAACTTTGTCACCTACTTCCTGTGTGTCCTTGGGCAAGTTAGATACTTTGTGCCTCAGTTTCCCCATCCATAAACTAGAGATAATAATGATACCTAGCTCAGAGTATTGCTTTGAGATAGTAAATTCGTCAATATATGAAAAGTGCATAAAGCAGTGCCTCGCACCTAACAGGACCCTGGTAGTGTTTGCTTCAATTATTACTATTATCATTACAGGTGAGAAACCTGTGAGCCTCAGAAAAGCTAGGTGATTTACTCGAGGATGCTGTGTTAGTTTGCTAGGGCTGCCATAACAAAGTAGCACGGACTGGGTGAATTCAACAACAGAAATGTATTTACTCATAGTTCTGGAGGCTAGAAGTCTGAGATCGAGGTGTCAGGAGGGTTGGCTTCTTCTGAAGCCTCTCTCCTTGGCTTGAAGCCTCTCTCCTTGGCTTGAAGGTGGCTGTCTTCTCCCTGTCTCTTCACATGGTCTCTCCTTTGTGTCTGCATCTTAGTCTCCTCTTCTTATGAGGACACCAGTCATATTGGATTAGGGCCCACCCGTATGACCTCATTTTACCTTAGTTACCTCTTTAAAGGTCCTGTCTCCAAATACAGTCACATTCTGAGGTGCTGGGGGATAGGATTTCCACATATGAATTTGGGGAGTGCACAATTCAGCCTGTAACAGATATGTAACCATTAAGTGACATATAAGCATAAACAAAACTGTGCCCAAGAGAATTCACAAGGGTGTGGTTGATTCCAAAGCCTGCCACCTCTCAACAGGAGAAAAACTGACTTATATTCTCATATGTCATTTTAAGGGAAGTGTCCAGAGTCATTAGGCTCAAATAAAATATTTCCCTTGAACTTTGCTAAGTGAAGCAAAGAGTGACTGTCTAGATTGTGCTATCCTGTCAATGGTACCATCTCTTTATCTTCCTTTGCCTAAGAAGATAGCAGCTTGCCATTTGGGAGTATAGTTCCTTGTGTACTTGCCTCTCTTTCCTCTTGCCAGTAAGATACTCGAGAGGCAGGATTCACATCCGATTCCTCTCTGTACCTCCCAAAGCTCCTACTCCAGAGACCAGTGATATATATGAGTTGACATTTTTCAAGTTAGTATATCTCAGTTGACCCTCACAACAATAGCTCATGGTTATCAGTAGTATTATTATTCCCATGTTCACAATGAGAAGGCACAGAGAGATTGAATGGGCTGCCAGAGGTCACACAGCTGATGAGAGCCAGAGTTGGAATTCAAACCCAGATTTTCAGGTCCCATCTCCCATCTCTTCTTTCATGCCATGGACTGTCCTTGATATCAAGAGCCCTCATGGCTTGAGCACTGACCACGGGTCACAGTGTCTCTTTTGATTCTCACAGTGACCCTGGAATTTACAGTGCATCATCCCAGCGTTACAGACTTTTAAATGGGGTACAAGTGGCCAGGTGGCACCCTCCATGTGAGCTGCATGGCTGGGATTGAAGACTCTGGAGCCCATGCTCCTGGCTACCCCACCGTCCTGCTAGTCACTGAGCTGAACCTTGCCTAGGTTTGCCTAAAGCAAGAATCACCTCATGCAGGGTGGGTAGGGACGGGGATGGCTGTCCCTCTGCTGTCTTATCCCAGGAACTTCCAGGTCACCCTGCAGATCTCATCTCGCCTCCTGCCTTACAGCTTAAACTGACCCTTTCTCTTACCTCCTGCTACCTCTTCTTCCAATAATCCCTAGAACAGATCCTAGCTTCTGTAGCCTCTCTGGGCAGCAGGAATCCTCATCCCCATGAGGTTGAGGATGCCGTGGGAGTGCCGTTGCTCTGCAGCCTCTCAGGAGGCTCCTGTAACACTTGGCTCCTCTTCCCCTGTCTCCCCTTGCTCTGCAGGTGACAAGCCCTGGACTCCGGTGCGGCTGGGCCTGGGGCTACCTGAAGGGAGAGCAGAGACTCAGGTGCCCGGTGAGCAATGGCAGTGAGGAGAAGCAGAGAGCAACGCCAGCAAGCAACGCCTCCTGCCCCTGCTTTTGCTCTTGTGTCTCTTGACCCTGTGAGGTCCAGCAACCATGGGGACTGAGCAGCAGTTGGACTTGGGGGCAGCCGAGCTTCTGGAAAATTTTAGCTTGTTATTGTGAAGACTTGTGGAATATCCCAAAGTGCTGGCTTTCGGAAAAGGGTGCCTACATTTTCTTCTGCACAGGCTCTGCTGAAGGAGTTTGCTGCACTCTTGAAAGGACAGGCAAGCTCAGGTCCTCATGGCTCGATCTCTGAGCAGGCCTCTAACCCAGTGAGGACAGCGGTCAACCAGTCTCCAGCTAACAGCTTCCTGCAGAGACTTCCAGCATTGTTAGCTAACATGCACTCTTCTGAGGCCTTCAACAGCTGGAAACTGTTTCAGGACTATCTTGCCAGCTAAGAAGCGGAATCCCAGTTCTTGTTGCCAGGAAGCTTTTAATGGCCAATGGAGAATGCTGTCCTCCCTTGGTGAAAGAATTCCCAAGGAAATTTGGGAATCTTTTAGGATTCACTTCAATGGAATGTTTCTTGGGACATGTGTCTTCAGGCACTGGAAGCCACTCACGGACAAGAAGGCACGGATGACCCCTTGCTCAGCAATGTGGGATTAGCCTCTTTGGGCAGGGCAATCTCTCTGCCCCCAGTGGCTTAGACAGCTGGCTCTGAGACATAGCAGAAGGTCTCACAAATGTTAGGAAAAGGGGGTTGAGCATTATTCCTCCATGTGGAATTATTTTTGTATTTATCCAGAAAGTGACTCTTTTTTGGTCTTTGAAATCATCTGTGATATAATTAGAAGATGTCAGAGCTTCAATGTCCATGTCACTAACCTCCCCACTCGGTACCTGGGAAGTCTGAGGTCCACAGAAGGAAATGTCTTAATGAGGGTCACCCAACAAGTTAGGGCAGGAGGGATGCCCCCGCCCAGCCTGCCTCCCATACCCTGCCACCTCCAACCTTGCTGTCTGTCATCTTCCTTTACCAAGGAAGGGCTCCTCTGAAGCCATGATGATTTGGGGCCCTTTGGCAGCAGACAGCAAACTATTCATACCTTTGGTTTTTCTAAACTGGTGGAGACCTGAGACCAGGGTTCTGGCTTTTCCATGAGGACCATAATATGCTCCTATTCCTGCTGTTCCCTTCTTTTCTATTGCAAGGAGCATGAAATGGAGCACTCCTCTTCTGGGGGCCATGGGAAAGGAGCCATTCCCAGATGCCGTGATGCGTGACTTCAGCAATCTGGCTGAAGTGACTAGAATGGGCCCTGTTGTTCTCGGCAGAGCAGGCTTGGGTCAGGCAGGGCGGCTGTTAAGAGGACACGGCCGGCATTGATTCTGGGAGTATCGTTTCCTCCCTCCCCCGGCCTCCCAAGCACACCTGTGTGGGAGGTACCAGGCAGAGGGCCCAGTGTGCTCCTTTCAGTCCCCTTGCCTGTCCCACCTCACTGAACTCGCACAAAGAGCTTCACTTTGAACCGAAAGGTCAGGGGTGACCAGACTTTTCGCTAAGCTGGTTCAAAGGGAGGAGCCTGGGCCGGGTGAGATAGATTTTGGCCCTTTTCTCAGTGTGGGAGAGTATCTGTTTGTTCCTGGGCACAACTACAGTCATATTCAGAGGAGAAATTGCGGAGATGGCATAGAAGCCGAAGCTGGCCACCGCCAAAGCCCGTCTAAGTTCTCTATGTGTGCTACAGAGGGCTTGCACAAAGACATCTCTCCAAGCGACATTATAGCCTGAAAAGGAAATCTCACATCTTTTCCTTTATTAAGTTCCTGTCTGTAGGTTTACCTAGACAGATTCCCATAGTAAACTTCTATATGAGTAAAAGGAAACAAAAATAACGGTGGCTTAAATAAAATCGAAGTTTAATAAACTAGAAGTTTAATTCAGGCGGGCATGGTGGCTCACGCCTGTAATCCCAACACTTTGGGATCACTTGAGGTCAGGAGTTTGAGACCAACCTGGCCAACATGGTGAAATGCTGTCCCTACTAAAAATACAAAAATTAGCCAGGTGTGGTGGTGCATGCCTGCAATCCCAACTACTGGGGAGGCTGAGGCAGGAGAATTGCTGGAACCCAGGAGGTAGAGGTTGCAGTGAGCCGAGCTCCCGCCACTACACTCTAGCCTGGTGACAGAGCAAGACTCTGTCTTAATAAAATAAAATAAAATAATAAAATAAAATAGCTTAATTCTGTCTCAATAAAATGAGTCCATCATCTAGGGCTATTTTGGTTCTACACAGGGTCAGGGCCTAAGTTTTCTCTCTGCTTGCATTGGCATCCTCAGTGCATGCATGGCTCCTACTATATGGCCCAAGATAGCTGCTGAAAATCCAGCCATCACATCTTCTTTCCAGCTAGCAGGAAGGAGAAGGGAGAGAAGAAAGTCTCTCTGTCCTTCCTTTAAGGGAATTTCCTGGAATTCAAACACTACACTTCTGCTATATTGGCCAGAGCTGAATTTCAAGGCCACAACTAATGCAAGGGAGACTGAGGAATGTAATCTTTATTCTAGGTAGCCATGTGCCCAGATAAAAACCAGGGATTCTGTTACCGAGGAAGGAGAAGAAAATGAATACTGGGGACAATTAGCTATCTTTGCTACATCTTCCTCCTAGATAGATAAGAGGGCTTATAACATGTGGGCATCTATATTTATGTTTCCAATATTATTATCCGGGACTGGATTAGAAGCATAGACTGATAATGTAAAGGTTAGAAATCAGCCAGTCCACACCCTCATTTTAAAGGTTAGAAAACTGAGATCCAGAGAGATTAAACAGATCATCTGAGATCACACAGCGAGTTGGTGGAATCTAATTCCCAGCTCATGTTCAGTGGGAGTATTTTTGTTCTGCTCTGTTTCTTAACTTAAGAGAAAAGCTTCATTCTGGAGGGGAAGGAGTTTTGAGTGCCAAGGATGAAATTCCACCCATCACTCGGTCTCTGAGCTGCAGGACACAGGCAGGACAACGGTAGGATTTTCATGCCCCGATCTGCCTGGCCTTGAGTTGTGGCAGCTGGGGAAGCCACTGGTGAGGACGCTGCACTGGAGTGTGGGCTGGCTGAGTGTGCCCATTCTGTCACTGCCTGTCCCGTGTCTGTGTGTGTGCATGTGGCTCTGTTTATCTCCATGTCGGCCCTGTATACTGATTCCAGCCTGCCAAGGCTGCATGTCTGACTCTGTGTGCTTCTCTTTCAGGGAGCACACTGCCAGGATGGGAGCTGCTGGGAGGCAGGACTTCCTCTTCAAGGCCATGCTGACCATCAGCTGGCTCACTCTGACCTGCTTCCCTGGGGCCACATCCACAGGTGAGCACTGCAAACAGATGGACCTCTGTATCTCAGCATGGAAGGCACGGCCCCTCACTGGAGCAAGGCTGCTTTTGGGGGAGCCAGGAGAAGGAGCCGTGGGAGTGGGTCAGGGTGCCTGGGCCTTGGCCCGACCTTACTAAACTCCTTGGTCCCCGGCACGTTTCGTCCTGGGCTTCAGTTTCATCATCCACAAAATGAAGGGGTTGGACTAGAATCAGGGATTGCAAACTCAGCGCCTACAGAAGCCAGGCCCCTGACACAAATGAGTGAAGCTGACCAGGTAGCGACTGTGGTCAACTGGAGAACTGAGACCCTTCTAAAGGGAAACACTGTTCTCACTTCTAGCCAATCGCTACTGCGGGAAGGTGGATCCCCTTTTGCAGGATCTGAATTTTTAAGAGAAGCCAGAAATCTAGAGCTTTATGTAAAATCTCCCTAGTTTGTAAATGTTACCAATGAATTCAAAATGTAAAAACCACTCTAATAGGCTGTTAAAAAAAAAAACAAAAACAAAAAAACACGTATCTGAGAAATATCTTTCCAACTCTGTCTGGACCACCTGGTCTCAATGCTCCCTTCCTGCTTTGGTGTCATAAGATCTGGGTACATTAAAGTACTTTTCAGCTGTAATGCTCTAAGCCAGGTTTAGATCTATTTTTCTATCTCAGCATTGTCAGCTTTTTCTTCAAGTGATTTTCAATTAACATCTAGAAGTGTAAGGTAAGTTTCCCTGGGCTACAGGAAACACTGATCAGATAATCCAAACTTGGGACAGAAGACAGTGACAGACAGGGACAATTTTTAAATTTCAAATGGGGGTTTAGTGCTGCAATATTATCATCACCATTGATTGCTCTTTTGTTAATGCTATTTTTATGTCCATTGAGTTTGATGCTTTTCTATAAGAATAAAGAATCTTACATTGAATTTATATTTTGTTTTTCTCAACCCATTGATAGAAGAGAATAATTGATAACTAGTGAAATTCCTTCACTGTGATTTTTTGAAGAATCTTTCTGATCCTTAGGGGACATAGCAAGTAGCATTTTTTTTTTTTTTTTTTTTTTTTTTTTTTGAGATAGGGTCTCGCTCTGTTGCCTAAGCTGGAGTGCAGTGATATGATCGTGGTTCACTGCAGCCTCTACCTCCCGGGCTCAAAAGATTCTCTCATCTCAGCCTCCCTAGTAGCTGGGACCACAGATGCACACCACTATGCCTGGCTATTTTTAAAATGTTTTAGTAAAGACAGTGTCCCACTATGTTGTCCAGGCTAGTCTCAAACTCCTAGGCTCAAGGGATCCTTCAGCCTCGGTCTCCCAAAGTGCTGGGATTACAGGTGTGAGCCACCATGCCCAGCCAGTAGTCCTTATTTTAACCCTCCAGGCAATAATTGGCTATATTACCTGAATTTATTCATTTGTCTTTCTTTCATTTATTCAATTAACAAACACAAAGCGAGCATTGACTCTGCCAGGAACTGGGTTTGGGTTTATCTTTTAGGGTGACTTATCCTAAAAGTGATCCACCTTGGAGAGGTGCCCTCAGGTACTTCCCTTGATTATTTCTTCCCGCATCCTGGCACCTCTCTTGCTGTTTGCCTATCAGCTATGTGGAAAGGGGCTGAGCCTCTGGTTCCCTCTGGCCTGTGCTTTTCTCTGATGTCAGAGGGATGTAGAAGCCAACCCTTGCTATTCATGCTCCAAGTAGGTCGGGCTTGCACTCCCTCTCAATCCCGCTTCTGGTGGCCCCTCCTGGGAAAGTGAGGGTGGTTTCCATGGTGATAGTTCAGCGAAAGCCCTGGCCCTCTTCAGACACTTTCTGATTCATACAAATGAAAAGCCACTGACACTGGCCTTCACCGAGAGGAAAATGTCCAGCTCCAAAAAAAGGAGTGTCCATTCAAGGCCAATCTTGCACCTGCTGTGCTTTAGCTGTGGTGTCAGAGCTTCTGGAGAGCTGGGATGTGTGCTCACACAGGTCAGACTGACCACCTCCAAATCCAGATGCAAAGTCTATGCAAACTCCTGCACTTGGAGAGTGAAAAGAACAGTCAGGATTGTCCTGGCAGATGCGGACTACGAGGCTGCAAGGCTTTGCCCAGTGGAGTTGCAATGGCTCCTTCCCAGCATATTCATGGCTCCTTGCCTGGACCACTGGGATCCTCAGTTGGCCATATATGTTCCCCGCGTGGCTGGGAATTCACCACCTTGGAGCCTGACACTCTTGTCCAGGACTTGATGGAAGGCAGCCCAGGGCCTCTGACTGGCCTCTACTGGAATCCAGCCAAGCACCTGACCCTGTCTGGAGATAAAACCAGCAGTGGGTTTCACAGCCCAGCCCTCATGACCATCCTTGGCTGCTCAGTATCACCGCAGAGAGCCCACCCCACCACTGGCGACTCTGCTCTTACGTTAAAATGGAAAGTCCACTGATGAGCAAGCCCACGTCTTCCCACATTTTTTCCTTTTGTTGCCACTGCTTGAGCCCCTTGACATTTACAATAGCTGGAAGAGCTACTTTGGTGAAACTCCAAAAAATGTGAAATTCTTTTCTTGATGAAAGAGATCCAAAGCCTGTGCTAGGGCTGACAGCAAGGCAGAGGGAGCCTAGAGGAGGGTTGTTATGGGGCTGGAAGCAGGGATGAGGATGAGACCCAGCAAGCGGACACTAAGTGCCTGCACTCTGCTTTGCAGAGAAGAGAAGGGCCAGTAGCTGCCTTCCAATGGGCAAAGAGGACAACTCAGTGTGGGTGTGGGGTCTGTATCTGGTGCTGCTGAGTGCAGATGAAGGGGGAGCTTCCTTCCAGTTTTCCTTGACATATATAAATATGGGACAGACACTCCTACTCTGGAGATAGCTGAACAAAAATCAAGGCGCATTTAGAACTGACACGCTCATAATTGCACTGTATTAGTCTGTTTTCATGCTGCTGATAAAGACATACCCGCGGCTGGATAATTTGTAAAGAGAAAGAGGTTTAATGGACTCACAGTTCCACATGACTGGGGAGGCCTCACAATCATGGTAGAAGGTGAAAGGCACATCTTACAGGGCAGTGGACAAGAGGAAATGAGAACGAAGTGAAAGGCGATTCCCCTGATAAAACCATCAGATTTCCTGAGACGTATTCACCACCATGAGAACACTATGGAGAAAACCACCCCCATGATTCAATTATATCCCACTGGGTCCCTCTCACAACACATGGGAATTGTGAGAGCTACAATTCAAGATGAGATTTGGGTGAGGACACAGCCAAACCATAGCATGCACTGAAGCCAGAATCCCTCCCAGGGTTTCTTTGCTCAAGAGACACCTTCTTTGCTCAAGAGACACAGCCTCTCCTAGGCTCCCTTCTGCAGGGCCTGAGCTGTGAGCTTGCTTCCATTCCTTCCAGTACCTGCCCCAGAGTTTCTCATCTGAAACCTTGCTCTGCCATGAGCTTACCTGCACGTCACCTTCCCACCTCCTCACCCCCAACCCGGGTTAATTTGAAAGCTACTGTTTCATACTTCGCTCCCTTCTGGTCACAGAAAAAAGGAGGGCACTGGGGCTTGTTCTTGGAGCCAGTTCATTCTCATCTTGTTTTGTCCATTGTCTCTTCCCACCTGTTTCCCTCTGGATTTTCCATGCTATTGATGGAGATTGTTCCAGTTTCTGTGACAGCGCCAGTCCTCCTCACTCAAGCCCACCTCAGGACACTGCTGGGTCAAGCCTTGTTAGCTATGTGAACATTGAGACTCTTTCCTGTGCTTCTGCAGAGGTCAGGGAGAAGTGCCTCTGCAATACCCACCCCCGGTCTTTTTAGGCTCAACTAAACATTCACACTGGTGACCACATGTCACACTGGTCCTCAGACTCCTTTGGAAAATATAGAATAGGAAACACAGATGCCATCAGAGCAGCATCAGCCTCCTCTCTTCCATGGGAATGGTCCTGGCAGCCTTCCAGACAGCCATCTAGAAACTATTCTCTTTGGTTCTCTAGGTGACAGCTCAGGTGAGAGGAAATCAGACTGTAACTGGACAAGTGTGGAGACCACTGTGTCTTAGAAGCCTCATGCCCCACTGGAGCCAGTAGCAACTCCGTAGATGTAACTTTCAGGGTTCTTGCAAAATGTCCCATTATAAGAGTCACTGCACTCAGGGAAGCCTACAGTGTGACATCTCCACCACGTATAGATATAAACTATAGTTCCTCCCAGTTTAGATGACATTCACCAATCAGGGGTCACTTTGTTATAAACAATGTTGCTACGTAACAATTTATATAATACTATCTTTCTCAGGTTTCCAGGGGAACAGAGCTAGAAAATTAACAAAAGGTCTAATTCTCATGCAGAAAGGGAAAGAGCTTCATTAGCTATTCAAATGTTGCTTTCCAGAAGACAGAATGTCCTGGAATCTGAGTAGTCTAGGTAAATCATTGCATAACTTCAGAGCTTGGAATGTCCTGAGAAGCCATCTGGTCTACGCTTTATTTATTAAATGGGGAAACTGAACCCAGAAAAGGGAAGTGACTTATTCACAGATATGTGATGAATTCATGCAAAATATATGACTGGTCCCCATGGTTCCTGCCTCCTATGTCAGGAGGTCTCTCAGCTCTCTAAGGTCTTGCTTTTAGCTCTAACAGAGAGGAGGTAGGGGCCTTAAAGATGCATGGGAGCCCCCTTTTGGCCTGTAGCATTCTTGCTTGGTGAGGCTGGTAGATGGGAGCAGTGACATCTCTCTGTCCTTGGCAGTGGCTGCTGGGTGCCCTGACCAGAGCCCTGAGTTGCAACCCTGGAACCCTGGCCATGACCAAGACCACCATGTGCATATCGGCCAGGGCAAGACACTGCTGCTCACCTCTTCTGCCACGGTCTATTCCATCCACATCTCAGAGGGAGGTAAGCCAATCTCTCTCTGCTGCTCCCTCTTCCCTCCACTGCCCCAGAGCTTAGCAGATAGGATGCAGGTTGCCATGAGCTCAGATGGACAGAATAAACATCACATGCTTTGGGTTCATGTTGGCATTTGGTTGTCTGAGATAACCATCAGCTCTGAGCTGTTAGGAATGGCTTGTCGGAGGTCCAATCTTAGTGAAAGGAGCACTTATCGAGAAAACTCCTTATTGGTGTCTTGAGTAATTCTGTTTATCTTACTTTTAGAGGCCTGGTCATTGAATGCAGTACATGCAGTGATGGCATTTGACCAGACAGGCATTATTTACACATTGCAAAGCAGAGAGCATAGAAAAGTAATTACAGCCAGCCATCTATATCTGTGGGTTCTGCTCGTGAATTCAACCAATTCGAGGTTGAAAATATTCCAAATAATTTGCACCTGTACCGAACATGTACAGATTTTTCCTTGTCATTATTTCCTTAAAATACAGTTTGACAACTATTTATACAGTATTTACATTGAACTAGGTATTATAAGCAATCTAGAGATGATTTCAAGTATATGGGAGGATGTGCATAGGTTAGATGCAAATATGCAAATACTATGCCATTTAATCAGCGACTGGAGCATCCATGGAGTTTGGTATCTGGGAGGTGCTGGAACCAATTCCCTTCAGATACTGAGGGATGACTTTACTTGTAAGTACACCAAGCATAGGAATGTTTGGAAGATGTGCCTTTTTGCCTGCCCCGGTGAGATGGGGAGTGCTTAGGGAGTCTGCCCTTGGCTCTGATATAACCTTACCCTTAACACTGTGTTATTAAACCTCCCCCCAATGCTACCTCTTCAGGCAAGCTGGTCATTAAAGACCACGACGAGCCGATTGTTTTGCGAACCCGGCACATCCTGATTGACAACGGAGGAGAGCTGCATGCTGGGAGTGCCCTCTGCCCTTTCCAGGGCAATTTCACCATCATTTTGTATGGAAGGTGCGTAGACCACTCCTACAGATCAAATGCTACCCATGGATCTGACAAGAGGGAGACTTTCCAAGACAGAGAGAGAGGCAAGAGGGCAAGCTTGCCTGTAAGATAGGAATCATTCTGTCCTGCCAGATGGGGATCATGAACAAGACAGACATGGTGATTTGGGAGAGCTGAAGTCCATAAGGCTTGTTATTTATAGTGGCCTGGATGCTGTACTTGTTTTAGAGACGGGCCTGCCAGCCTTTCAGCCACCTTCCAATCATGTCATGTTCAGGGAGGCTCTGCAAGTGTTTATATAATAGGCTACGATGGACAAGATACAGGAAAATTCCATGTGGTACTTGCCCCTGGCTGTGTTCCCTCTTTAAACAATTGAGAGTGCTAAGAAGTGAGAGTCAGGAATGCACAAGGATATGCAGCGCATGTCCAGGTGATTCCACATCTGATATGGACAAAAATACAAAACACTTAGAACTGAATGGAAAACATGCCAACTTGTGAACTAATAATTGGCACGTCTGCTTGGCCCTGAGGGCTTTATTTTGGTCTGGCTTAGGAAGATTGGGTTGCTAATGTTTTTGTTGTTATTGTTGTTGTTGTTTTGAGATGGAATCTTGCTCTGTGGCCCAGGCTGGAGTGCAGTGGCATGAGCTCAGTTCACCACAACCTCTGCCTCCTGGTTTAAGCAATTCTGGTGCCTCAGCTTCCCAAATAGCTGAAACTACAGGCATGTTCCACCACGCCTGGCTGATTCTTGTATCTTTAGTAGAGATGGAGTTTCACCACGTTGGCCAGGCTGGTCTTGAACTCCTGACCTCAAGTGATCTGCCTGTCTCGGCCTCTCAAAGTGCTGGGATTACAGGCATGAGCCACAAGCCCAGCCGCTAGTGTTATTTTTACTGACCTCAGGTGATAAAAGTGTGACTGGCTCTATGGTGGCCGTGGTGGGGGGTCAGGGAGCTGAGCTGTGACTCCTAGGTTCCCTCTGGGTTCAGTATCCAGTAAAGAGATGTGTCAGCCAACTCTGGGGAGCTGTTTTCTCTTGCAGGGCTGATGAAGGTATTCAGCCGGATCCTTACTATGGTCTGAAGTACATTGGGGTTGGTAAAGGAGGCGCTCTTGAGTTGCATGGACAGAAAAAGCTCTCCTGGACATTTCTGAACAAGACCCTTCACCCAGGTGGCATGGCAGAAGGAGGCTATTTTTTTGAAAGGAGCTGGGGCCACCGTGGAGTTATTGTTCATGTCATCGACCCCAAATCAGGCACAGTCATCCATTCTGACCGGTAAGGTTTGCCTTCACTTAAACGTATACTCATTCATTCAAAGTACACTTATTGAGTGTGCTCCCTGGCCAGGTGCCGCTCTAGGTGCTGGGAGAACAGCAGTGAATGAAACAGATGGGAATCCCTGCCTTCAAGGAGTTCTGTCCTTCCCCAGGCATTGGCCTAATGATGCTGAATTGAAGAGGAGCAAGCATGCACACATATGTACATACAACGTAGTTTCAGATTGTGATAATTGGTAGTAAGGGGGAAAAAAGACAGAGTGAGATGCTAGAGTGTAACTAGGGAAGACCACTTTGGATAGGGTGGTCAGGGAAAGGCAGTGTAAGGATGCAACATTTGAGCTGAGAAATGAAGGGTGAGGATATGTCAGGGAAAGAGTGTTCAAGACAGACAGCAAGTGCAGAAGGCCGGAGGTATGAAAGGGCATGACATTCTCAAACGATGGAAAGGCCACCAGAGTTGTGGGAGCACAGCGAGTGGCGGAAGAGCAGCATGCAATCACATGGGAGTTACAAATGGGGGCGGGACAGGACCTCGGAGGCTGCGGTAAGGACGTGGGTTTTCTTCTAAGTGGGATGCAAAGTCACTGAAAGTCTTTAAGAAGAGCATGATCTGATTTAAAAGTACCTTCTGGCTGTAGAGAATGGTTTTAATTGTGAGGCAAAAGCAAAGATGGTGCAGGGGGTTAGGAAGCTTCTGCTGTGGTCTAGGCAAGACATGGCAGTGATGAGGACCCAGAAGGAACGGCGGCTAGTGGATGTACCTGAGAGATGTTTGGAAGGCAGCATGGGCAGGTGTAAGCTGGCAGATGCTGCCAAGGCTGGACCTGCCCTGCAGTCCCAGGAGCTCTCATCCTGGCCCTTTAGAGGGAAGGACAGAGGTGGGGTAGACAAACAGAGACAGAGCTACCCTGGGGCTGCTGGGGAAGGGAGACAGGCATTCCTCAAGAACAGGGCCCGAGCTGTGGGTGTCACCATGAAGGCAGCAGGAGCCAGCTACGGTCAGGGGCAGGGTGGGCAGGAGCTGAAGTGCTTGCTGGTGCTCACAGACACCCAACCTTGCCGGTAAACATTAGTACCTATAACAGTCACTGGACTTTCTCCCCGTAAAACACTGTTCATCACTTTACCTGTCAAATATACTTCAATCTTCATCAAAATTCTGTGAGGCAAGTTCTGTTATTATCTACCTTGTAGAGATGAAAGCACTGAGGCTCACAGGGCTAAATTTACTCAGTCACAAGGTTGGAAAGTGTTGGAGATGGGATTCAAACCCAGGTGTGCCTGTATCGCCTCCACGGATAACGGCTGACACCTTGATTGACACAAAGTATGTCAGGGAGCCCCTGCCTTCACACTAGAGAGGATGTCCTCTTCAATTGTGTGCTGATCTTTTTGGTGCTGTTTCTTAAGTACAACAGTGTTACTTGAAGAGATCCAACTTAAAGTTTATTTACTGACCTGTTAGTGAGAAGTGATCTGGACAGATGCTGTAGAGATGGCAAGGACAGAATGTCTGCTTGTTCCGAATATCTTTTGCTTAAAGTATATGTTGGAGATCTCAATAATCTGATAGATGAATGTGTATGAGTAAAGATAATAAGCGCATGCACACACATACACACACACACACACACACACACATACACACACACAAGTAAATGCAGGCAAAAGTCATCTGAGAAGGTTACTTAGAGAAGCAGGAACTTAGGTCAGCTTTTGAAAGGTAGTAGGTGCTTGATCAGGTACAGAAAAGGTGGGAAGGAATGATGAAGACAGGAGTGGGCGGGTGAGGTGGTCACTGGGCACTGAGAAGCACTAGGCTTGCAGCAGGAGCTTCCTGGGGAGGGTCAGTGGAGGGTGCGAGGTTAGGTGGGGCTGGACCAGATTGTGCCAACAGTTGGAAACAAGTGTGAGGACCCAGGAGCAGCTATCCAGCTACCACCGGTACCAACATTGTTTTTCTTTTCCAAAAACCTCCTTAGATTACTTTCCCAGATTCATTTTAGAACTATTTTCCTTAAGTTCCAAGACATACTCTTTAGGAATTTCTACTGTAATTGCATAAAATCTTTATCCTTACATGGGGAAGAGTTGGAATCATTACAAAATTGTGTCTTTGCTTTGTAAATTATTCTCACCAGGGGTATAGATTTTGTGTGTGTGATTTGTATTTCATGGATATTTTACGTGTATGAGGGCAGGTTATCAGTCAATTTGGAGATTATTAGTTCTTGCTATTATAAGAGATCTGCTGTCTAACATTGCAAAATACTGGATAGTACACTTAAAATTTTAAGAGGGTAGATCTCAAGGTAAGTGTTCTTACCACAATAAAGTAAAATAATTTTTAAAAAATAAACAGGAGAAAATAGCAATGCAACAACATTTACAATACTCAAATGTTATATGACTGCTACTGTGTGAATCAGAGATTACATTTTAATGATTCTAAGATGCATTATCATAAGAATCATTAACAGGTCAATAAATAAACTTTAAGTTGGATCTCTGCAAGTAACTCTGTGCAAGCTGCTCTAGGGGTGGGAGAAGGGATTTGGGATAGTCTCCATGTCATTTCCAAGAATTCTGGGATTGGTGTTTTACTCGGATCAGAGATATAAATTCCTAATGCCCTAGCTATCTGAACTATCTCCTAAAGTCAGGCTCTTCCAAGAGGCATGATCCTCTGCCTCCAGGATGAAAGGGGAACATCAAAAGGCCTAGACCTCAAGTATGTGACCCACTCAACATCCTGGAGCTTGAAGTCTTCACTGCTGCAATCATTTCTTTGGCATTTTACTCAGCGAATGAACATTATGGTCAAGTCAAAACCCTTCTTCTTGGATATCACTGTATGGTATGCAAAATAATGAAACTTGTTTGCTCTTTAAAGAAAAGGCTTCCTTCTTTAAGAATCACAGCCCTGGGATCATCGGATAGCATGTTAGCTGTCGCAGCACAGGCATGTGCTTAGAGCTCTTTGTTTTGGCTGCGGTCAAGACTATTCAGATCTCTTCTCTCTGCCCTTTTTAGGTTTGACACCTATAGATCCAAGAAAGAGAGTGAACGTCTGGTCCAGTATTTGAACGCGGTGCCCGATGGCAGGATCCTTTCTGTTGCAGTGAATGATGAAGGTTCTCGAAATCTGGATGACATGGCCAGGAAGGCGATGACCAAATTGGGAAGCAAACACTTCCTGCACCTTGGATTTAGGTACTGCCCCTCACTTCGGCTTCCACTGGGCTCTGGAACATTGAAGCCACTCTATCCCACTGAGAATTTACCTTTCCCATCTCCTCTCCCCACAGCCGTACCATCCTAAATGACCTAGTGGATGCAGGCATTTGCATTTGACATCTGAGTTTGGCATATTTGGGAATTGTTCTTAAAGAATGCTTGTTTTTTCTTACAAGCATAGTTCACTCAAAACAAACAAAAGCTCGCTGTTTATATGAACTCATTCATTCAGTCGGCCACTTACAAAATATTAAGTGAGCATCTACTGTGTGTAAGAGCCATGCCTCCAATGCACAGCTAATATTCATTTTCTCTTTCTTTGGTAAAGAGGTCATGTCATGGCTTGGGGTTTTTCAGAGATTATGTGAAGTGTCTCTGCTGAGGCAAATGACCAAGGAGAAGCAACCCTTTGACATGATCTAATATGTGTTTTGTTTGCCTTGGAGTGCAGCATCATGCCTGACATTGGCATGCACACACATTGACACTAAGAGGAAGCTGTTTGCCCCACAGTAAACAATGCCTTTTTTAAAAATTTAATTTAATTTAAAGTTCCAGGATACATATGCAGGACGTGCTTGTTTGTTACCTAGGTAAACGTGTGCCGCGATGGTTTGCTGCACCTATCAACCTATCACCCCGGTATTAAGCCCAGCATCCACTAGCTATTTGTCCTGATCCTCTCCCTCCCTCTGCCCCTCGCCCCTGCCAAGCCCCAGTGTGTGTTGTTCCCCTCCCTGTGTCCATGGTAAGCACACCTTTTTATCATGTTGAATCAAATCTCAGCTCAGTGGAAAGTTGAGGTTATCTGTCCCATGGCTGTTTAGAGATTACGATGCTCCTCCCTTCAGCTTCCCACATCTGGGAGCAAGATCAGAGGGAAGCCAGAGACTTTTCTGGGCTTGGAGCAAAGCAATTTTGCTGGCTGGGCAGAAATTCCCTGGGCAAGGGAGGGGTGCTCCAGGTTCCAGAGTGCATTTTCCGACAGCCCAGAGACTACTTCTTCTGGACGGGAAACTCAAGCAGGAAACTTAAGCAGCCAAAGATGACAATGACACCTTGGCATTGCAAGCCTCCTTTGTTAGCAAACACTAAGTGCACTTCCATTCTGTTGTTTTATAAACCAAAAGGCCAGTTTATTAATTTACAGTGAGAGTTAGAAACACCAGGAAACTGACTATTTACGGCCTCAGCAGAAGAAGAAAGTGGCTAAGGGCCCAAGATCTGGCATCCAGTGGCCTGAGTTTGAGTCTGGGTTGCACCTTCCAGGAGGTGTGACTGCAGGCAAGTGACTCATTCTCTTTGCCTGGTCCTGCATCTGTAAAATGGGATATACGAGGAGCTATCTCAAAGGACTATAGGACAATTAAATGTGATAATATGAACAAAATATTTGTCATCATGTCTGGCACAGAATAAGCACTCCATAAATGTTAGCAACTATTTTCTCCTTATAAGCAAGAGCCACTGGAAAGGTGGGCACTCGCCGTCTTTTGCCAGGGCTGTTCACATGGGCAAAGGAGATACATAGGTGGGAATTACACGTCCACACCTCATTTGTATAGAGACATTCTTTGAGTGATAAACTTGAAGCATCTAAAATCAGTAGGAGAACTGAGACTTGGACCCTTCATTTGTTCACCCATTCAGGAAATGAACACATACTGGTGGGAGGTACTCGGTTAGACCAGGTGTCCTGAACTCTTGGGGGAAGGCAGGTATGAATGGAAATTGGTGACGGGGCATGAGAGAGCAAGAGAGTGGGCAAGTGTAGTTTAGTGCAGACGAACACATGAGGATGAGGCCAAGCTGGTTCCCATAGAGAGATCAGCAGCTTCGGAGGCCCAGGGGCAAAAGCATGCCTCTCCCAAAGAAGGTGGGGATGGCGAGGCAGTGGCAGTATATGAGAGAGGCAAGGGGTGAGAGGTGAGGCTGGAGGGGGGCGGGGGCAAAGGACCTTCGAATCTGTGCCAAGGAGCTTGGATTTTATCCAAAGGGCAATGGGGAGCTACTGAAGGATTTAAGCAGGAAAGTGGACAGTTAAATCCCCAACCTCAGTTAAACACCGTTCAATAGTGATTCATTTTCCAAGACAAGAGATCAAAACAAGAATAATGAGAGCTATTCAGCACCAAAATCGATTGATAGCTTATAGTAAGAGAGGGCTACTGTAGGGGGGGAAAATCTCTTTCCTTCTACTCTTCTAAGTTCTTGACTGGAGCACCTGCAACAAATCACTGATTAACAGGAGAAAAGCACACAAATGTATTTCAGATAGTAAGTTTTAAACGACATGGGAGCCTTCATAAGGAAACGAGGACCCAAATACACAGTTAAACCTGAGTGTCTGTACACGAGGTTTGATGAAGTGGAGAGCTGTGGGAAAATGTGGTAGGACAAGGGGCTTGAGTTAAACACAGTAAACAGGGGAAATTTAGCAAGGTCTCTGTTCCTTCAGATTCCTCTTGGCTTCCTTCTGTGTTTGGGGATAAGGATGCTCTTTTTCTCAGAATAAGGAAGGCCCTCTCACATAAGGGTCTTAGACCTGCTTCAGGGGAAAGTCAGAAACTCCTTCCTGCCATTTCACAAATTCCTTGAGCTTGAAATATTCAATATGCCAAGTTGCCATTTTGGGGGGTAGCGTCTCCTGAACTTCATTACTGCATTAGGCATTACGCAAAATGCCTAAAACAAAATGGGGTAAGAAAACCTTGCTGCCCTAAAGCAGCACGTGCTTTCATGGAGGAATGATGGATGTACAATTTTTCAAAACCTTAAGCCTTTTTTTGCTTCCCTCCCCATTAAGAAGAAGAGAGATTTCTCTCCTTTCCACGGCCCAAGGCAGATGGCTAGGGCAGTCAGTCATGTTAGCCTCTGGTATTTTCCTCGAGCTCAACTCTAGGGGAGCTGAGCATGAGAGAAATAACCTTTCTCTCTTGGAACATGTTTTCCTGAAGGTATCCAAGCATTTGCTTCAGGACATAATTGAGCCTGGCGGGTGGTATAGTAGGTCTGTTGGCTTGTTTGTTTATTTGTGATTCATGCTCCCATCTTCTGCCAGAATGGAGCTGAAGAGGCTCACAGGGAGCAAACATCAGGCAGGCCAGGGAGCGAGAAAGCCCAGAGGAGTGCTTGCAAAGAAAGGTGCTTCTTCTGGAGAAGAGAAGCCCAGCAAGTGAATGAATTTCCCCCAAACAGCAGGGAGGGACCCTCCTTCACCTGACGCTGCTTCAACTCTGCCCCATCCCCCCACACTCTGTGCAGGTACAGACTCGTGCAGAACTTTACTTTTTGTTATGTTTTTCTTTTTTTCAGACACCCTTGGAGTTTTCTAACTGTGAAAGGAAATCCATCATCTTCAGTGGAAGACCATATTGAATATCATGGTAATACATAGCTGGCTGGAGGCCTGATTCCCTCCAGTGTCTCTCTGATCAAGAGGTGCAGGGCTTTTCTGAACATCTCACTTTTCTCAGAGCATGGCTTCCCAGCTCCCAATGTCTAGATGAGTGAGCAGCCGCTTAACTGGCCACCTTACATGGAAGTGGCAAAGGCCAATGCTGGCCAAAGGCCCATCACTTGCAGTAATATTTCCCTTTTCATGGAAATCTTCACTGACTTAATCAAAAACCTAGAATTGGCATAGAAAAGATAAGAACTGAGATAGAGCCAGCAGGGGTGGTATTTTAAGAGCTAAAACGAGGCTGGGTGTGGTGGCTCACGCTTGTAATCCCAGCATTTTGGGAGGCCGAGGCGGGTGGATCACTTGAGGTCAGGAGTTCGAAACCACCCTGGCCAATATGGTAAAACCGTGTCTCTACTAAAATTACAAAAAAAAAAAGAATTAGCCAGGCATGGTGGTGGGCACCTGTAGTCCCAGCTACTTGGGAGGAGATTGCACCACTGCACTCCAGCCTGAGCAACAGAGACCCCGTCTCAAAAAAATTTAAAAAAAAAGAGCTAAAGCGACACTTTAGATGGGCCTTCAGGACACAGTAGTAGCCTCCTTTGCCCAGCAAAGGCTGCGGGAAGCGCTGCAGTTCTAATGCCAAGGAGGAATTCAGACCGTGAGACATGCTAGAGCTCTGCAATCTGAATTTGTTGGGAGGCTGGAACTAAACTTTCAAAACTGAAACAAAAGAATGGATGATCATCTCTTCCCAAGTGAATGAATGTCCTAATTTTCTTTTATTTACTTAAAAAATATTTTTAAAGAAATGAGTCAATGCCCATGTGCGTAGGGGGGTTTCCTTGCCTTGGAGTCACAACTTTTTGAATTTGGGGGTCTGTCCAGCTCCTAAAGGGTCTCGTTTCTCTGACAGGACATCGAGGCTCTGCTGCTGCCCGGGTATTCAAATTGTTCCAGACAGAGCATGGCGAATATTTCAATGTTTCTTTGTCCAGTGAGTGGGTTCAAGGTGAGGAGTTTCAGACAATTTGGTGACACCTAACAGTGGGATAGAAGACCAGAAATCACTGTCTTTGCAGAACTAGGATTTATCTCTTATACCAGTAGGACCACTTTAATTTTTGCAGAATCAACTAAAAATGTGCAACCAAAAGTTGTCTTTAATTAGACAAGCCACTTTAGCCCATAGCCCAGAAGGATGTTCTCCTCTGGCTAAGATTTCAATTTCACCTCAGTCAGGGTCTGCGGCATTCAGCTTAGTTCACGGAATATCTTTGATGTGGCAGGCAATGGCACTGAACAGGAAATGCAGATAGGAATAGAACCTGCCCTCCAAATAGCCCACATGCAGGGATTGCAGAAAGCAGCAATCCTAGTTGCAGTCCTTGGATAACGGGTTTACAGATGGATTTTCTTTCTTTTCTCTTTAATTTGCTTTTGCAATAACAAAGAATATAAATTGCTTTTATAAAAGTAAGAAACTCATTAAGAGAAACTCATTTTTTAATTAAAACATGGGAGCATAGGCAGATTGATTAGAGCCATCCATGCCCCAGCCTGGTGCAACCATGGACAGATAATATTCAGTTCCCATGGTGCTGAGGATGCTTGGAGACAACACTGAGTGTGACTTGCCCTCACAGACAACCTCCTGTCTGACTGTGCTGTTTGCTTTCTGCCTAGACGTGGAGTGGACGGAGTGGTTCGATCATGATAAAGTATCTCAGACTAAAGGTGGGGAGAAAATTTCAGACCTCTGGAAAGCTCACCCAGGAAAAATATGCAATCGTCCCATTGATATACAGGTACCAAACTCACAGCAAAAATAGAAAATAGAAATGTGTTGTTTTGAAGAAGACTCTATAGATCACAGACATTCTTGTCACTTGGGTGCTGTGATTCTCGTTGCCCTCCTGTGAGGTAGGTCAGCCAAAGAGTACCATTCCCACTTTAGAGACTGAAGCAGAGGCTTACTATCTGCCCAAAAGCCAGGGCTCAGATTCTCTCCTGGGTCCAGCTTCTGAGTTCCTTCTCTTTAACTTGCTTCTTCAGCCATGACTGAGTGTGCCCCCACCACAGGGATGGGTTTGGACTCCCCAGCCTCACTTCCCCGTCAATTTCCTTAGGGACCTTGAGTGCACAGGATGCAGCTAGGATTTGGGGTGCAGGCCAGGCCAGCCCAGATGGAGAACACACGCATGGCCTTGTTCTCAATTGAGCTAAATCAAAGCCAGCATTCATAGAATGGACAGTGTTTGCTCAAAATCTTCACTTAGAGTTAATTCCATCTGAAGGGGACCTTGATGTTCTCAGTTGGCTCCATCAAGAAAGTGTTGAGTAAATATACAGGCCTCACCAGCTGAGCCAGTGGGATACTAGGCTTTGGGAACAACAGGAGAGACAGGAGAAATAGGCAAAGTAAATGAGATTTATCTCCTTATGCCCAGTCTCATTCCAAGACAAGATTTGAGGCTGCTTAAATGCTTGATAGAGAATTAGAAGTCATTTGAGCTGGGCTCAGTGGATCATGCCTGTAATCCCAGCACTTTGGGAGGCCAAGGTGGGCAGATCACTTGAGGTCAGGAGTTAGAGACCAGCCTGGCCAGTATGGTGAAACCCCCTCTCGACTAAAAATACAAAAAAAAAAAAAAAATTAGCTTGGTGTGGTGGCGGGTGCCTGTAGTCCCAGCTACTCAGGGTCTGAGGCAGGAGAATTGCGTAAACAGGAGGTGGAGGTTGTGGTGAGCTGAGATCGCACCACTGTACTCCAGCCTGGGTGACCGAGCAAGACTCTGACTCAAAAAAAAAAACAAAAAAAAACCAGGCATTTGAGAAAGGCCATCTCCACCCATTTTATCCTCCTTCAGCCAATAAAAATAGCTACCCCATTTGTACAACACTTTTTCCTAGAATATCAAAGCTCGGGTCCCAGGTCAGCTCGAGTCCCAGGCCATCTGTCTGTGCTTTCACCCCGCCACACCATCCTGGGCAGAACTTCTACCCTCTGTCTTGCCTTGTAAGAAGGACCACTTATCCAAGGGAGGAGCCTCTGTTCTGCACTTAGCAAAGTCTGAGGAAAACTTTCTCATTATTTGGCTGAGACTCTTCCCTTCACATGGCTTCAGTGTTATTGAGAAGGATTTACCCAGATTAAGTTTCAAGTTGCAGATTCTCCTTGGGTCCAACAGAATCAAAAAGCACTGATCCCCCACAGCACATTCTTTCCAGATTTAATTTTAATTTTCTCTCATAACCTTGAATGTTCCAGCTTTAATTCTGAAATAGCCATAATCTTATCCCTCCAGTTCACTTGACCACAGGAAGTCTAGCTCTTTACCAACCTCCCCTCTCCAAATACTTCTGGAAATGCTCAAGGAATGCTTACATGGTCTACAAATCTTTCCTGGTGTTTGCTCTGCCAGTTTTCTGGCTCCAGACACTGTTGATTGGAAGACCACCTCTCAGTGCCAGGAAAACAGCATTCCTTAGACATTCCCCACTCTTGCATTTACTTTGCTCCCAGCACAGACACAGGCCCTTCCTAGAGTGTCCCAAAACACAATTAAACCCAGGCTGAGAGCTCCATAAGCCAAGACCTTCATAGGGACCCAACCCTACACTCTATAACTGTTAGTCTGTTGCCATATTGCAAGACCTAGTTTTCTTCTAACAAAAAGAGTTCCCTTGGCAATACATTCCCCAAATTCAAGTTCTCCATTATTTGAGGTTCAGAGAACAGAAGATTCAACAGCAGTGTGGTCCCCTTACTCAGAAGCTTAGGGAAGTCTTCCCACAATGAAAGCATTCAGAACTCCCAATTCCATAATAAGACCTTTGGCTTTTTCTTGGCAAAACCAAGGTCTATTGAGATGGTCATCTAAAAGATAAGAGTCATGTGCCTCCAAGGGTGAATTCAAACCTCCATCTCTACCGAAGAGAAGGTGTTGCCACGCTGGAGAGATCAGGCTTACTCCTAATTCTCGCCACCAATCTTTAATCAATGGTCATCTCCAGACTTAGCTAGAGCATCTCTTCATGCTCATCAAAGGTAAAAATGGTGATGTAGAATATGCTCCTGGATGTTTCCAAGGCCAGAAAAACAAAGCCAGTCTTTCCTATGCTCACAAGAGGTGAGAGAAGCAGGATTTCCCCATTTTTAGCAGGTGACAAATGCATCAGCCAAAAGTTAAATGTCCTAGTTAATTAACCCAGGGAGAGACTAAAATGAAACACAACTCCCCACATGCTCATTTTTGCCACTATTGCAAAAATGCAGTTTTTCTCTGGTCACCTGGTGCCTCTCACCTCCCCGGGCCCTGAGCTTTTACGTGCTCCTCTTCCTGCTTGTGCCTGCCCCCAGTGCCCAACTCCGTGTCATACACAGTGGGTCCCGGCATACCTGCCATGCACTGACATAGCCAGATCCTCTGGGCCAGGGAGTGTCAAGGACATTTGCAACCTAGGCAAGATTGGAGGAGGCAGGTTGGGAAGAAAGAGGAAGCAGCAAGACTGCACAGTTGACCTTAAGAAAAGCTTTTCCAAGATCTGATATTTTGTGATTCTGAAAAAAATTATAATAACAAAAACACACTGTTTCTATGTCTTGCCCTTCGTTCAGCTCTCCTTGGCTGAAAAATCCTCTTGCCTCCCACCTTCTCTCTTAAAACCCAGCCACCCTTCAAGGCCAGTGGGATCTACTGGACTGAGATTTCCTTGGGGACATCAGGCAGTCTGTGTGTTCCCCACAGCAGCTGGTGCAGTGGCTAGAGGTCGGCCTGATGGTAACAAAAACATATTCTGAAGCCAGAGAGATCACAGCTCTACCACTTGTGAGCTTTGGCATATCAGCAAGTGAGGTGCCCACGGTGCAAAATTTAAGGCAGCCCGCTCCCTCCAGCGCCAACTCTGCACTTGCATGACCCTAAGAGTGGGTGCTGCCTTAAATTTTGTGCCCTGGGTACCTCACTCACAGTCTTGTTACTTAGTGTCTCGTTTCCTCACAGCAAAAATAGGGATAATAATTATTTCCTCATGGGCATGTTTTGTGGATTCAGTGCAATGAAGTGTGCAGACTGAAAAGTGGCCCATACATTTTTTATTATTTAAAATTAATTTATTGGCTGGACTGGTGGCCCACGCCGGTAATCCCAGCACTTTGGGAGGCCAAAGTGGGTGGATCAATTGAAGTTAGGAGTTCGAGACCAGCCTGGCCAAGCTGATGAAACCCTATCTCTACTAAAAATACAAAAATTAGCTGGGTGTGGTGGCGGGCACCTGTAATCCCAGCTACTCGGGAGGCTGAGGCAGAAGAATCGCTTGAACAGGTGGAGGTTGCAGTGAGCTGAGGTGGCGCCATTGTACTCCAGCCTGGGCAAGAGAGTGAGGCTCTGTCTCAAAATAAATAAATAAATGAAATGAAATGAAATGAAATAAAATAAAATAAATTTACTATTAGTTATTATATTGATAATTATTTTGTTAATACTTATTATTACCAAGAATAATAATAAACTCAAGTCTACTTAAAGATCTCTTTCTCTGAATGATGATGGATTCCTTTTACTCTTCTTATCCAAAACTGAGGTCATTTTTCAGGTTAGAAAAAAGGAAAAAAAGAAAAAACAGCAGAATTGAGTAGATGTTCTCCTGGAATTATTGTTGGATGTTATACCTGGAAAAAATCTCCAGCCCCCTTCGATAATGTTTTCAGGCTCAGTTCTCAATCTTACGGGGTCTCCAATTGAAGAACATGCTACCCTCAGGGGAAAACTTCAGGAGGCCCGAGGAGCTGGGCTTACCTTAACTGACCTTGAGCTTACATCTGAACCCCTCTGAGCATCAGCGTTGACCTCCGTCTAAAAGCAAGTTTGCAACCCCTGCCTCTCTGGCTGCTGCAGAGACCACCTGAGATAGGGGGTGTGAGTGTGTTTTTGCAGGAAATGACTGAGTTTTAATTGTGGCTGAACTCACATCCACATGGCTCTTCTTCCAAGCCAAAGATAACGGAGCTGCTGGGTTTAAAACAATGTTTCCTAAAAAGTCTCCTCTTTTTTTTTTTTTTTGACTGGCTATACTTTCCTTCCTTATTACCCCAGTCTGGTCCCTTTGGTCTCTATGCCAAAGATGACAGCAGCTGCAGCCCTTGCTCTAAATTGCATGTCTTTGAATGATAGTCATGGTCAGGATGCAGACACACCCTGGCTCTGGGATGGGCCCCAGCTGGCAGGGATCATGCCCTCCCTGGAGGCCTGCTCCCTAAATTCTCCACCTGGCCTTGTAGCTGCTCACCAGCCAGCCCTCATCCACTGAGACCTCACTCTGTGCCAGGCCCTGGGCTGAATGCTGGGGACAAGGGGGCAAAAACCAGCTCCTTGCCCACCCAGAGCCCACCATGCGGTGGGAGGAGGCAGACATTTGAACAAAAGACATTAGGCGGCTTCCACCTTAGGGCAAGAGTGGATGGGGCTTAGAAGTGTTGTGATGTAGTTACATAAGTCTGGGTTCAAGTTTTAGCTCTGCCACCTACTGGCTTTGTGATCCTGGGTAAGTAACTGAACCTCTCTGAGGATGAGTTTCCTTATCTGTAAAACTAACAGCAGCCTCATAGTTTTGCTATGAAGATGAAATGAGATAATATAGGTAAACATCTAGCTTTAGTGGTTCTCAAACTTTCTTGCCCATTAGAATCACCTGGACAACTTTTCAAAGTCCAGATGTCCATGCTGCACCCCAGACACAATCAAATCTGAGGCTCCGAGGATGGGGACTGGGCATGAGTATTTTTTAAAGACTCCTCCCCATGGGATGCAGAACCATGTTTGGACTGTTGGCCGCTGTTCATGGTGCTGGTAGTGGTGGTGCAAATTGTAAAAAGTGGCCAGCCCAGATCCTAGAAGAGTGGCTACTTATTGTAAATGCTCCGTAAAATGTTCACCCAGCCATAAGCAGTAGATCACTGGTTTCGATACTGAGTACTGTAGGACCTCAGGCCAGGCATTTATCTATTCCAAGACTTTAGGCTGTCTTTCTCATAACAAAACTGATGGGGGCAATCATTGGGATAATCATCTCGGGCCGTTGTAAATAGTGTTGCAGCAGGGACAATTTTAGACTTCTGAGTATATGTTTAGAACATTAATCAGCACCTTCCTTCTCTATAAAAAAAAAACGACTTTGCTCTGTAATTTCTGTGTCATTCCCAGGCCACTACAATGGATGGAGTTAACCTCAGCACCGAGGTTGTCTACAAAAAAGGCCAGGATTATAGGTTTGCTTGCTACGACCGGGGCAGAGCCTGCCGGAGCTACCGTGTACGGTTCCTCTGTGGGAAGCCTGGTAAGCAGCCCCTTGTCGGGGACACAGATGCAACTATGGCTCGGTTCCTTGAACTGGCAGCTATGCAGGCAACTTCCAGACCTCTCAGTGAGACAGTGCTCCCAAAGGAGAGCACTTTTGTGACACGGGAGCAGTGGGAGGATCCTTGGAGTTGGCAGGAGACAGCAGAACCCCACCCTGCCCATAAGCCTTTCAGGAAGGGGAAGGGCCTGGTCCAAGGCAGTCAAGGTACAAATGGACAGAGCTGCCCTCCCCTGCAGAGATGTGCAGTTCTTTGCCTCTTTGGGTGCTATTATTTTAAATCCAGTACCTAAGGTGCTTGTTAGAAGAGATTGGAAATGGTCGGGTTGTTCTCGGAGGCACTTGGCCATCTCCAGAAGGCAGTCATTAGGAATGAAAGTTTAGGGGGAGAAGTTTATGGCTACCGAAAATAATAGTTGAGAGGAACTATATTTGTTTTACATCTTGAGCAAAGTGGGTGGGGTGAGGCAGCCACATTTAACTCCAGCTAAGAAGTTAGTGGAAAATTCCCCCGCCCAGAGCTAATGAATGGCTCTTTTCTGGTAGGGTTTTTGTTGACTTCAAAAACCTTTACCAAGAGTGGGATGGAGCAAGCCAGTGATCTGGGTTTTGGATAGGCAAACCTGGCATTTAGTTATTTAGGGAGGGGAAGGGAAAAAAGAGGTAGCCAAAAGTTTGCCAAGAGCAAAGGGCTCTATCTCAGTCTTTCCTGTTTTGGGTTACAGTGAGGCCCAAACTCACAGTCACCATTGACACCAATGTGAACAGCACCATTCTGAACTTGGAGGATAATGTACAGTCATGGAAACCTGGAGATACCCTGGTCATTGCCAGTACTGATTACTCCATGTACCAGGCAGAAGAGTTCCAGGTGCTTCCCTGCAGATCCTGCGCCCCCAACCAGGTCAAAGTGGCAGGTAGGACTTTTACTAATCCCTTCCTAGACTGGATGAATCTGAAAATTGTTAGGCTTAAAGTAAACTGAAGTTACAACAAATCTGTATCAGTCAGCTATGGCTGTAATAATGCTGCATAACAAAAAAAATCTTAAAACTTCATGACAGGTCTTTATTTCTTACTCATGTATCTGCAGGTTGTCTAGGGATCAGCTTCTCTAGACTGAGCCTGACTCCAGGCTGAGAGTTGGGTTCAAGTCACTTCCATATGACTCCCATTCTTCCCAAAACATATTCTTCTCACGGGGGAGATTGCAAACTCCTAGTGGTGAGCAGAAACACAGAACTCTTAAGGCCTAGGCTCAAAGATGGCACATTCTCACACATTCCATTGGCTAAAGTAAGTCACATGGTAAAGCACAACACAAATAGGCTAGGGAAGCATATGTCTGTCACCAAGTTTGAGGGGGAGGAAGTGAATATTTGTTAGACAGTTATTCAATCTACTACAAAATTTTTAATCTCTTGTATCTGTGAGTTTGGGGTTTTTCTTTTTCTTCTCCTAAATCTTGATTTAGATGTCCTGTAATTTATGTTATTGGAGGTTACTGGAATCACAGATTGTTGAAGGTAAAAAGAGACTTCAAATATAATCCAGGTCAATTATTCTTAGTAGGGGGAGTTATGTATCAATTAGAGTTCTTTGGCTGTTAGCAACAGAATCCAACTTGACTATCTTAAGCAAAACAGGAATTTATTGAGAGGCTATTCAACTTGGAGAACTAAAGGATAAGCTGAATAACTAACCTCCAAAAGGACAGGGAACAGGGTAGCTTCTGGGATCTGGGTAGCAGGAACTAATGGACTGTATCCTTAAGGCATCATCTTTAAGAACCATGCTTAGGCCATGGGACATAGTGCTCAAAAGTCACCTTCCAGGGAGAGAGCATCTGCTTGGGCTGGTGGCTTGTGTGCTCACCCTTTGGCTAGGAAAGGCAGGAACAGTCATTGAAAGTTCTTCTAAGACTGCATTAAATGGATAAATGGCTGTTCCGCAAAGGAAAATTGGGATATATTACCAGAAGAAAGGGGAATCAGAACTTAAGAGGTGTTAAACGTATCACATGCTACAGGACCATACCACCTGGAGGAGTATTAGAATATGGGGTTGGGAGAAAGACCATGGATTGAGAAAGCGTATCCAATATACTCACCATATCTATTATTTTGGAAAGAAACCCACAGAACATAAAATTCAACACAATCTTTTTGGCTGCCTGAGATGTGCTTGTGGAAGAATCTGTGGAGGCAAAGTTTAAAAAATCTGAGAACACTGATGGAATTCAGTCCCCTTATCTTAACACTCATGGGGGAGGCGGACCTAGAGGTCATGTGGTGGAGGCAGTCCACAAACAATGCAGCTGTGATGTCAGGGTGCCCACCTTACACCTCAGACCCTGAAAAAGAAGGCTTACGTGTTTTGGAGGGAGATGGTAATTTGGTGAGTGTAGCTAAAGAGAGGGAAAGAAGCAGCAGCTTGTGGGTAGAGGCCAAGATGACTAGACATTTGTTCCTTGACAAAGTAACAGAGTCTGCTTTTTTAATTGACAATGTTTGAACCCCTACATTATTTGCAAAAGGTTTCAGGGTATCTTACCATAAACACAAGTCCAAGTAAATCTGGCAATGAGGGTAAAAAAGATGGAAGGAGAATAAATTCAGCAAAAGCAGAGGGGGAGGTGACCGAGATTAGCAGAAGAGCAGAAGATACTAAAATAGACAATAAACTTTATCTCTAAGCTACCTGGAAGCCAGAGCAAAGAAAGAAACCTCACAAATTACTTAACTATCATTATCCACTGAAAGGAAGGCAACAAGGAGCCCAGAAGACCAAGAGGGACAACTTTCTCAGCTGTGAGCCACTGAGGAATTTTCCACAGGGGTTTTCATATGAAAGATATTCACAACAATGTGAGCAGCAATGCTGGGAGCAGTTTTATGCAAAGATGCTCTGTGTGGGGCTATTTGCAGTTTGACTCCTAATAGTAGATGGGGACATGCTGTTGGTCACATTCTATGAAGACGTTTTGAAGAAGACATTTTTGGTTTGGGTTTTGTTTGGCAGAGGCAGAATAGAATAAAGAACATGGGCTTTGGAACAAGACACCTGGAATTTGGGTTCCAGGAATGCCAGTTATTTGCTGTATGACCTTAGACAATTACGTAATCTTTCTTTATGTCAGCTTCCTCATCTGTAAATGGAGATAATGATTGTGGCTATTTCATGGGATTGTTGTGAGGATTAAAGGAGTTTGTATATGTGAGGCACTTACAATATTGCCTAGCACACAGTAAGTGCTTAATGAATGTTAGCTCTTATTATTACCATTAGGTGCAATAATTTAGCAGCTATGCTTAAAGATGGGAAAGGAGGAAGGGGTGTGGCTAACAGCAATTTATACCAATTCTGCTCCTTTGGGACATGCAGGTAGAGGGTGTTGTAGTGAGAGGGAAACAAACTATTTCTATCATTATTATTATTGTTATTGCTTTATAGAGACAGAGCCTCACTATGTTGCCCAGGCTGTTCTTGAAATCCTGGGCTTAAGCGATCCTCCCTCCTCAGCCCTCCCAAAGTGCCAGGATTACAAGCATAAGCCACCACACCCGGCTATCATCATTATTAATGAACATAGGTCTGTCATAGGCCTGCAGCTATTTCTCTGCATGTCTCCAGTGCCTCAAGGTGTGGATGCCATCTCTGTCAGTGTGCATGTTGCACACTTCCCCCACCCTTAGGCTGGGCAGGTGGCCTTGCCCCACCTTTCCTCCACAGGGAGGTGGGCAGGAGCATTTCATCATGTATTCAACAAGCCATTAGAAAGCACATACAGGCCGGGCGCGGTGGCTCACGTCTGTAATTCCAGGACTTTGGGATGCTGAGGCAGATGGATCACAAGGTCAAGAGTTCGAGACCAGCCTGGCCAACATGATGAAACCCCGTCTCTACTAAAAATACAAAAATTAGCCGGGTGTAGTGGCGCGTGCCTGTAATCCCAGCTACTCAGGAGGCTGAGGCAGGAGAATCACTTGAACCTGGGAGGCGGAGGTTGCAGTGAGCCAAGATCATGCCACTGCACTCCAGCCTGGGTGACAGAGTAATACTCTGTCTCAAAAAAAAAAAAAAAAGAAAGAAAGAGAGAAAGAAAACACATACAATGTGCCAGGCAATGTGCCAGGCTTGTATATGCCATGGTGAGCAAGATAGATGCATTCCCTGTCCTCAGGGAGCCTGCAGTCCAGCAGTGAAGATAGATATCCACCAAAGTATTGTTCCAATCAAAATAGAATTCCAATATAGAATGATGACAACTGCTATCAAAGTGGAATATGGGAGGTGCTGGGAGTATAGAAAAGGGAGATTTGGCAAAGACAGATGGGCATGTGAGTCTTCCCAGAGGAATGAGTGACTGAGCTGAGACAGAATAGAAGCTACCTAGGGAGAAGTACTGCCACAGGGGAACATAAAGTTGAGGGGTGCATGAGGCGTTCCAGCTACCAAGAGGCCGGAGTAGCTGAAGTAGAGAATGGGAGGGCTGCATGGGGCTCGAGAGAGAGGGAGGGGCCATGGTGCAGTTAAGGGCTTTATTCTGAGTGCACAGGGAAGTCATTGAAGGGCAGAAGCCTACTGGATATCCCCTGGCAGGGAAAGACCGTCTAGATTTGTGTTTATAGGAGGGAGCCAAGAAAAGCAAGTTCCTAATGATTGTTAAACCCTTGGGTCTTCACTGAATGACTATGTGTCACCCAGGGACAATTGTGAAGAAGCCTCTGGGAGGTCAGATGTCCCCCTGGACTCTTGGCAGGAGTGGCATTCAGACCATCTGAGCTGATGTCACTGCTCACTATAAGATGATCCATGGGCCTGGGGTAGCATTTGGACTATTTAGGAGGGTGAAAGCCTGACCGTGAGCCCTTGCCTGCATGGAGGTGGGAGGGCATGCCAGGGAGAGGTGCTCGGGGTTTCTTGAGACCAGTCCCCATCTGCACCCCAGGGTGGGTCACCCCAAGGCCTGCACGGGAGTTCTCACTTTGAGCAGGTCCTGACAAGGCAGCTGTGGTGCCGAGGGTGGCCCTGAGAATGGAGAACCTTGTGTGCGTCAGAGCATTTCTGCCTCAGCCTACAGTGGGGTTGGGGTGTCCATGCAGGAGAGCTGCTCTTCTTGATCACGTTTGACTGCCTGGGTCAGCTGCTTCTGGAGGTCCCTGAAGGCTGGACAGAATGCAGGGGGGCAGCTCCAGGCCCCGAGTACCAAGCGGGAGAGGATAAGTGGAGAAGATCCTGCGCCCACCTCAACGCCCTCCACTTTCCTTGGGGTTAGCACTGCCTGTGCTTGTTTCCGCGTTAGCCCCACCCCAGCCTACCTCCCTCCCTGAAGGACATTCGGCTCGGAGCAGCCACCTCCTTTGCCCTGCCGAGGAGCTGTGAGGCCCCCATGAAAACAGCAGCCCCTGGTGAACAGCACCAGAAAAGCCCCAGGTAGGGGTGTGTGTGTGTGTGTGTGTGTGTGTGTGTGTGTGTGTGTGTGTGTGTGTGTGTGTGTGTGTGTCTGTGTGTGTGTCTGTGTGTGTGTGTGTATTTTGTGTGTGTATTTTGTGTCTGTCTGTTCTGGAGAGGCTCACATTCCTCCTATTCATCCCCAAGCCCATTCTCTGGCTCTCCATCTCCCTGTTGACAGGATCAAGGATTCCACCTGCTTCTCCCTTTTCTGTGAGCCCCACCCACCCACCTAGGGACACAGCTATCTCTTAGGCTTCTCTTCCCCAGGCTGGCTGCAGACACGGACACGATCTCCCTGGGTCCTTCTTCCTCATTGCTCCCAGATTTCATTCTACAGGACTGTTTGCATTTCCCTTAAGGCCTTTCTGATGGGAAACAGATGGGGGTAACATAGTAATGAAAATGCATGAATCATCTAAAAAAAAATTTCAAAATTTTGTCAACCACAGTATGATTACCAACACCTCACAGTGTGGCAGTTGGAACTCCCCTCCCTTGATTTTCCACCCTGTTGTCTTTACCACCTCCCCACTTTGCCCATAAACACCCCCCACATCTTTAAAGAATGCCACTATTAGCTAGAATTAACATGAATTTCGTTTTCTGTGATATTCCAAGTACTTCACATAAACCATCTTGTTCACTCTTCACAACAACCTAATACAGTAGGGGCTACTGTTTTCTTCATGACACAAATGAGGAAACTGAGGCTCATGGAAATTAAATATCTAGACATTTAATTTCCAATATGGTGGCCACGAGCCACATGTGGCTACTTAAGTCTAAATTGGATTACATTACGTTAAAAATTCTATTCCTGGCCAGGCGTGGTGGCTTACGCTTGTAATCCCAACACTTTGGGAGGCTGAGGTGGGTGGATCACCTGAGGTCAGGAGTTCGAGACCAGCCTGGCCAACATAGTGAAACCCCGTCTCTACTAAAAATACAAAAATTAACCGGGTGTGGTGGCAGGCACCTGTAATCCCAGCTACTCGGGAGGCTGCAGCAGGAGAATCGCTTGAACCTTGGAGGTGGAGGTTGCAGTGAGCCGAGATCGCACCATTGCACTCCAGCCTGGGGGACAAGAGTGAGACTTTGTCTCAAAAAAAAAAAAAAAATTGATTCCTCAGTCACAGCAGCCAGGTTTCGTGTGTCCAGTAGCCACCGGTGACTAGTGGCTACCATACTGGACAACGCAGAATAGAGCATTTCCTTCATCACAGGAAGTTCTAGTGGGCGGCACTGATGTAGGTCAAGCAAGTCAACAGCTGAGCCAGGATTTCAACTCAGCTTCATTCTCCCTCAGTGAAGGCCCTTGTTCCCAAAGTCTCCACCTGAAGATGACTGTGAGGAACCTGGGTTTAAGTTTGCTTTCTGGGGCCCTCCAGCTTAAGTCCCTCTGGGCTTGTCCTCATACCCGATCTGAGAAGGTCAGGCCCCATCTCCCTCTCCACCAGACTCACTGAGTCCTGCTAGGTCTGAGCTACATGTGCACACTCTGGCTCCCTCCATTGGAAGGTCTTTGATGTTTTTTCTTCTCTTGACCCTGGGGTACCTAGCACCCTGTGTACTCTCTAGAGAGGGATCTGGGGGTTGTGGAAGCAGGACACCTGCAGAGTAAAGACTAGGGAAGGGTGACATCTGCAGCCCTGTGTAGGGCAACTGTGCAGAGCCCCTCTGCTTCCCAGGCCTCCTCCCCGCTCACCCAGGTGCTCATGGCTCTTCTGGATTATTTGAGACAAGGCTAGTTTGGCCACATCTGCTTTTCCCTGGTTGGGCTTCACGTATCAGTACTTTGAGGAGGAAGGGAGGAGTGGATGCTGGTGGGAGAATTCTGAGGCAGGATGGGGTGCGGGGGAGTCAGGCACACACTGTCCCTCATCTCTCGGATAGCAGCCTGGGAGTGGCCAGTGAAGGCGGCAGCAGGACAGATAAGGTGGCTGCCGCAGCTAACAGCCATGGCCAGGTCTTGTAAAAGGTTCTGATAGGAAGCTCTGCAGCCGGGAAGACGGCTGTGGGACTGAAATATTCTTGCAGCTCTCAATCTGACTTATATTTCCTTGGCTGACGGGAGTCTGATAAACACAGTGCCTCCACCTACCTGACAGTCACTCCTACACCCTGCCCAACTTCTCCTACGGAACAAAGAAAGATGCCAAATTTGCTATCTACCAACTCCCATTATTATAGGTGTGAAGCCAGTGGTGGGAGCCTTGGGGATGGTGCTAGTGACAGCTGCAGGTGTCATTTCTGTTACACTAGCCTCCTACCATATGCCAGGGGCTTAATTTCTAAGCACAGCCCATGGATTAACTCATTTAACAATCACAGCCAACTTTTGAGGTATGTGCTATTATTATCTCCATTTTATAGATGAAGAGCCTGAGGTTCCAGGAGCTTAAATATGCTCAGGGACTCACAGCTGTGAGCTGAGTTGGAATCTGACCCTCACAGCCTGGCTCCAGAGTCACAATCCTCCCCATCACATTATCTTACCTCTGCAGCCACGTTCAAGACCAGATCCCTGAGGAAGGTCCTCTGGCCACCTACAAGAGCAGAAGCCTCTAGTCAGTGTCCTTCCTGGACACCATATTTTAAGGTGGATGCTGGCAAGTTGAGAGAAGCACCCAGAGCACCAGGATGCACGTGCTGTAAGGGATGGTTGGAAGACGAAGGATGAATGTCCTGGAGGCGGGGAGGCTCGGCCTGGTTTCCTGGCTCTGCTGAGCACTGCAGGAACTCCCAGAAGGAAAGACTAACATTGAGTGTGGTCAGGGAGGACATCACTGAGAAGGAGGAACTGGAGCTAAGTGGGACAAAGTGGAGAAAGCTTGCTGCAGGTAGAGGGAGATACACGCATGGAAGCTCTGAGATGTAAAATAGCAAAGGCATGTTCAAGGAAGGATGATGGTCTGGTCTGGCCAGAACAGAAGAGGGTATGTGGGAGTGATGAGATGAACCCACAGGAGTTGGAGTTTCACTGTGTCAACCCCTTAGACTGGTAAACGGGGAGCTGAGTTTTGCATGGAGACCTCTTTGCCATCCCCTGCCTGGCAAGACTGAGCCTGTTGCTCTCTGTGCCTGTTCCCTCAACATGCTCAACCCTTTGGGGAGTTTGGGAAGTCTGATTCCTTTCCTTGGTGAAGTTTGCTGTGTGCTCTCAGGATCCACTCAGAAGCCAGTGCAAAGCTCTGTTTCAGAAAGATTCTGCCCCCCACACCTGGGAAGGCCCCGTAACTGAAGACCACAGAGCTGATGGATGGGAGATGAGTCACGGATGGAAGGAAAGGTTTTTCTGTGGGTGGCCGGAAGGAGCCCTGCTTCTGGATCTTAGAACTGTAAAGACACATGGCTCTGTGGCCCAAATGAGAAGCCATGTTCAGTGGGCTGCCCTGGAGGAGGGGGCTCCAGCATTCTGCAGAGTTAACTCATTTCATATCATTTCCCCTGGTTGGTGTCAGAACCCTGGATGAAACCAAAGGCCTGACAGCTTCCACGTGTGGTGTCCACTCCTGACCCCTTTGGCAGGGCACAGAGCTTTTTGGCATCTGCATATCAGGGAGTAAGAGTCCATTGCAGTAAATGAAATCTTTCTAAGATTATTATTACTTAAAGTCTGATACTTGTTTAAAGAAGGATTCTGTGCTGGGTGTGGTGGCACCCACCTGTAGTCCCAGCATTTTGGGATCCCCAGGCAGGAGGATTTTTTGAGCCCAGGAGTTCGAGACTACAGTGAGCTGTGATCACACCACTGCATTCCAGCCTGGGTGACAGGGCAAGACCCAACCCAGTATCTGAAAAAGAAGGAGGACTCTGTGATAGATGGAATAATGACCCCTAAATATATTCATGTCCTGATCTTCAGTACCCATGAATGTTAGCTTATGTGACAAAAGGGACTTTGCAGATGTGGTAAATTAAGGTTCTGGAGATGGGAGATTATCTTGGATTATCTGGGTGGGCCAAATGTGATCACAAGGGTCCTTAAAAGAGGGACACAGGAAGGTCAGAGTCAGAAGAAAGTGACGTGATGACAGGGGCAGCGACTGGAGTGATGCACGTTAAAGATGGCGGAAGGGGTCATGAGCCAAGGAACACAGGCAGCCACTCAAATCTGAAAAGGGCAAGGAACAGATTCTCCTCTGGAGCCTCCATGAGGAACCAGCCCTGTTGACACCTTGATTTATCCCCGTTAGATTCATTTCATACTTGTGACTCCCAAGGCTATAAGAGAATACATTTATGTTGTTTTAAGCCCCTAAGTTTACGGTAATTTGTTACTGCAGGATAGGAAACTAATACCAACTCCATAGGAGATATTTTCTCAAATTTGCCCTGCGTCAATTTCACATCTTGAATAAGATACTTCAAAAAAAACCCCACAATCTCACTGAGTCTGCAGAATCCCAGAAGAGTAAACATCCCTAGAAACACTGCAGGCATACAGGATATGCGCAGGGTGAAGGGGCAGGCAAGAGTCAGCTCTTCCTGTGGAGGAGAGAGCAGGACAGTGTCACTGGAGTGGGTGTTACTCAGGGCTAATTATAACCATGGCCTTCACATGTGAACACTGGCAGTGTCTGGGGGCTGAGGCCAGTGCTCCATTGCTCCAGTTAAGATCACAGCGAAAGCCAAGCCGTGTAGGTGGTGTGGTTCAGGCTGGGTATCCACATGGGAGGTTACTGCTGTCTGTAATTGTATCCTCAAATGGAAGAGAAAGTATCCATAAGCCAGGTCAGCAACCTCAGTGAAGAGCCCAACGAATTTAGAGCCCGCCTAAGATCTCTTTATTCCATAAAAGAGTGTGGGATTGTTGTGGAGGCAGAATTTGCGGCTATAAATCAAAGGCAGTTCTAAAGTTTGAACTCTTGTCACCCTGCACCGTTCTTGAGATGCATTTTCTGCACAGAGTGGGGAGGAAGGGACTGCATTTGGCAAGAGATTGAGTGGAGTGATGGGAGGGAGAGAATGGAGAGAAAACAGAGGGGTTAGGTGCAGACCACAGGTTCAGGGGCTCTGATTACAGCAGGAGAAAGACTGGCAATTACTAGGAGGGGTAGCAGAACTGGAAAAGGTCTTTTGTTTGTTAGTTTTTTAAGGATGGGAAGGTCTAGAGAAGTTTGAAGACGGAATATAAGGAGCCCAAATGAAGGAAGAAATGAAATCACTAGTGGAGGGAGTCCAGGGCCTTAAGGATATGGAAAGGGGTAAGACTGGGGGTCAGTGCACAAGTCGGGAGAGCATCCTCTCCACCGACACCAGAGGAAGGGTGGGGGATGGTGAGGAGCTCAGTACAGAGTTGGGTGGAGGCCGTTCTTCACTGCTCCACGTGGTACCATGGAGGCATCCAGAGCCAGGCCACAGTGGTGGATGCAGAAGCTCCAATCTGGCTCTTTCTGGAGCCCCAGGCTGTAGATACACACTCTACATGAGGCTGAGGTAAGCAGAATAGGGATTTGCCTGCTTTAACAGATTATGAATTTGCACTGCTGTAAAGCAGGGGCTTTAAAGACAGAGGGGTTCTGTTTTATCTTCCTAAGATCGGCAATCTACGGTATCATCCAGAGACCAGGTTTCTTCTCTCCCGTTGCTCTGCCATCTCTGGGGCATGGTGCTCACCTGCATGGGCGAGGCTGGCCTGCCAGCCCCCAGAAAAGAGCAAGAGGAGGGCAGTCTGGAGGTGGCACTTATCACTTCTCAAACCTTACAGCCACACCTAACTACAGGGAGGCTGAGAAATGTCATTCCCTTGGGTGGCCCTGTGTCCAGCTAAAATGCAGGAGTCTAGGACTGAAAAACAGAAGAGGAGACAAATATTAGGGGACAATTAGCCATTTCTGCCAAAGGCTTCAGACCTAAGCCTGTGTAACTGTGAGATCTGGGTCTGCATGCAGGCGTGTGACTTCACCTCCCTGACCTTCATCCTTCTGTAACATGAGACCACTGTGCACACCAGGCATGGCGATGAGTAAGCAGCAGCCATGGAGGCACCTGGCAGGGGCCCAGAACTCAGTGGGCATGCAGTACCTGCTGTTGTTTACCGTCCTCCCTTTCTGCCCTAGGGAAACCAATGTACCTGCACATCGGGGAGGAGATAGACGGCGTGGACATGCGGGCGGAGGTTGGGCTTCTGAGCCGGAACATCATAGTGATGGGGGAGATGGAGGACAAATGCTACCCCTACAGAAACCACATCTGCAATTTCTTTGACTTCGATACCTTTGGGGGCCACATCAAGGTATGTGTCTCTCTGGCAGAGTCTTTCAACCCAACCAGGAGAGTTCCTATGATGTCAGCCTCTAGACGGGCCTTCTTGGTAGGGATGAGGGTGGGGGAACAGGAGGTGGGATCAAGGGGAGGGCGCCTTCTGGAAGTTTGAGAAGTCTTATGTATTATCCATTAGTGTGCAGCTCCCCCCCCACCAATATTTGGGAATAAGAGAGATGATGGAGCTAACTCAGCAACAAACAGCTCTCTGCTCTCGGCCACGTGGTACACATCACACTGTTTCAACATTGCCTTCATTCCTTGTCTTCATTATTTCATGATTACTTCATTATTGCCCTGATCACTTCCTAAAAGAACTAGCATTTAACTTGCAAAAGGTCACATTTACAATGGATCCATTACCATATAGATAAAACAATAAGCAGGTGAGAGGAACTAGAAGTCACAGCATTGGCTGGGCGTGGTGGCTCCCGCCTGTAATCCCAACACTTTGGGGAGCCAAGGCGGGTGGATCACCTGAGGTCAGGAATTCGAGACCAGCCTGGCCACCATGGTGAAACCCCGTCTCTACTAAAAATACAAAAATTAGCTGGGCTGGTGGCGGGCGCCTGTAATCCCAGCTACTTGGGAGGCTGAGACAGGAGAATTGCTTGAACCCAGGAGGCAGAGGTTCAGGGAGCCGAGATCTCACCACTGCACTCCAGCCTGGTGACAGAGTGAGACTCCATCTCAAAACAAAAACAACAACAAAAACAAAAAGAAGTTGTAGCATTAAATTTACCTGTGAGTTTCCTGGCTAGAGTCAAGACAAAGAAGAGACATAGTGAGCTGCAGGGTTCTTACCGCACAATATAGGAAAACGATACTAATTTACTGGTGCTTACGTTTTCCTAGTATTAAGCTCAAAGAGGAATTTCTTTTATATCACAATGCAAAGTGCCTTTTCCAGGCATATTATATTGCTTAAGATACCCACAATTTCTTCATGTGGTAATTGGTTTCAATGCCAATAGCATAATATTACCTCAGAGTTTTGCTAAGACAGTTCTCGTAAAGCTAATATCACGCACTTTAAGGATAAGACTTTTTGGTAGTGGAACTGAAGAGACAAATGGAGTGAAACTTACAGCATTCACAATGGGGGCCCTACTGGCATTTTATGTGAGATGACTCTTTGTCACATAGGCCTATATTATAGGATTTCTATCATCCCTGGCCCCTACTCATTCAATGCTAGCAGCGCTCCCCAGTTATTATCACCACCAAAAACGCTTTATATATCCAGTCATCTCCTGGGTATAGGGTGGGGCAGAGGTGATGGTACTGTCCTCAGTTGAGAAACTCATTAGTGATACTAAAGCAGAAATAGCAGGTCTATGTCACACAAGCTGCTATAGCCCCCTTTTCAATCCTGAGACCAGTCCCTGAATGATCAGGGGACTCTTTCCCACTGAGCTCAAACTAGCCCTCAGAATCATTCTCAACACAGCTCTCCAGGGCCGCTACTACTGGAGTTGACACTCCAGTTGACACCTATTTTTGGAAGAAATGGTTAGCATGCCAAGACTATCCTTCTTTAGTAGAGGTTAGCTGAGCCTGACTTTTGACAGGATTCATTTTCAGACTGTGTTTTCATGGTAGGCACCCTGGAGGGCAGGAGTTCCGTGTGGTCAAGAGGTTTTCTTGAGCCTGAAAGAATGGGTCTATGCATATCGTGAAGTGAGTGTGTGGCATTCCCTCCACTCACACACATGCCACCAGAACATGGGCTCATGAAGATTCCAGAGTCGGTGTTCCCTTTCCCTTTGCTAGGAGAAGGTCTTGGGTGGGAGACAATGGCAAAGGCTCTTGCTGCTCCATACTTCACTGTAACCTGGATTCCCCATGGTCATAGGGCATGCTTTTTGCCAGCCCACTCCTCCAGATTATCTCAGAGTTATCCCTTGCTCATAACACTTGATGGTTTGGGAGACAGGAAAGGAGGTTCAAAGTGAGCCCCAGCTATAGCATAGCTCTTCAGAACATCTCATTTCTAAGCACTCCATTTCCTCACAATGTCCTCTGTCATTAGCAGTGCCTTGCCTGTCTTCCACAGTATAAGAAGGGCCAGGCATTCTAACCCATTTGCAGAGAATATCTTTGATTTACTGAGTACTAAGTGGAGACTGACAAAGAACAATGCCTCTGCATCTTTGGAATATGGGCACCAGCCAGGGAAATCACAAAGCATCTCATGGGCTCCTCTGACTCTCGGTTCTCCTCTCCTAGTTTGCTCTGGGATTTAAGGCAGCACACTTGGAGGGCACGGAGCTGAAGCATATGGGACAGCAGCTGGTGGGTCAGTACCCGATTCACTTCCACCTGGCCGGTGATGTAGACGAAAGGGGAGGTTATGACCCACCCACATACATCAGGGACCTCTCCATCCATCATACATTCTCTCGCTGCGTCACAGTCCATGGCTCCAATGGCTTGTTGGTAAGAACCTCCTTCCCTCAGGGAACTCTGGGGATGGGCCATGGATGGTTAGCACTGGAGGGGTGTTTGGATGTAGACACTTAATCCAGGGCCTTTGGGGATTGAACCATCCTTAGTTCAGGTTTCAGAAAGATATCAACTGGGAGCAGATCACCAACCAAACAGGAAGGAGAAAATAGAGGTTTGTCCTTACCAAAGGTACCAAGCAGAGATGGGAGAGTGATTACTTTGTGGTGGTTTCTGGGAGTCCAGTTTTTCCTGTACTTCATTGGCATCACATGAAATCTGGAGATCATTCCACGGCCACACAGCATGACAGCTCTGCTAACTGCAGACAGGGGGATCATGCGAAGACCCGGCTGTGGTATCTACCCAACAGATTTGAGATGGTGACAACAATGGGCTTTTTTTCTTCTGATGAACCAAGTGTTCCTTCAGAGCAAGTGCTGCTGGGAGAAATACTCTCATTAACAAATTGGCATGTGTATCAGAGGCTTGTCTTGATTTCCACAGATAATTTTCGTACTAAATTGACCTTTCTCGAAGTGAACTACATTTCTATCCTCTGTAAAGTTTAACACTGGACATCACAAAATGGTACCCCGCAAGCTGAATCTAGCAACCAGATATGTTTTGTTTGGCTTATACTGTGTTTAGAGAAACATTTGAACATTTTTACACTAAATTGATAATTTTACACTAAATTGGACTTTCTTTAAATGAACTACACTTTATATCCTCTATAAACTTTAAAACCGGATGTCACAGAATGACACCCTTTAAGCTGAATCCAGCTACACGATGTGTTTTGTTTGGCTTAAATAGTGGTTAAAGAAACATTTGAATTAGTTTCCATCATTTAAAAATTAAGAGATTCTACATAAAAATCTGGATTCCTGGCTTCTTTTGAAAAGTAGGATGAGTTGGCAATGCCCATCCTGCCTCCCTGCATGGCAACAATGGCTTAGAGCAGAGTCAAGGCTGCCTCCCCTAAGACAGGTGGGTGGGCATTCTCCAGTGTGCAGCAGGCCTACCGTGGCTGTTACAATTACTGTAAAACCCCAGGCCGGTGCCACTCCTTTCATTGCCTGCTGGTCCCTGTGGGCATTTGAGTTTGTAAGCACTGCTTTAAACCAAGCAGAGCGAGCCTCGCCAACAGGCATATGGTTATGGGAAAATGAGGAGGCTGTCTGTGTGACACTAGTGTGGTTCTATTTGATGTACTCTTCTATTATAAAGGATTGTCTGTTGTTTCTGTGTTTTAAATGCTCTGATTTAAAACCTCCCACTGAGTAAAGAGAAGAGATCATCGGCTTTGGAGCCCAGTCTAGGGGGGCCTGGGTTCAAGGGCTTGATCCACAGATTGTGAGCTGTGGGACCTTGGGCAAGTAGCTTAACCTCTCTGAACCTCAGTTTCCTGCTCAGTCAAGTGGAGAAACAACACCAAACACATAGGGCTGTCGTGAGGATGAATGAGATGCAAGTGGGTTTCATGTGGAGATGCTGTCCACACATGAAGGCTGATTCTCCCCAGCAGGTGGTAGAGGACTGTGCTGGAGCCATTGCTGGAAGATGTAGGATTTTTTTCTGTCTCAAGGAAAAAGGAAAGGAGAATGTTTTCTGGCTGAAGCTGAAAGACATCAAGATTTACAATAAATTCAGAATGTCAGGGATAAGCATGGGCTCTGGAGCCAGACTTCCTGGGTTGCGATTGGAGTTCTGCCGCTTACAAGCCATGTGATCTTGGGCCAGTCATTTTACTGCTCTGTGCTTCTGTAAAACGGAGAGGATGGCACTGCTTACCCTACATGGTTGCTTCCAGGATTGAGCAAGCAGAGAACATGGAAAGCATGGAGCCCAGTGTGTGGCCCACACTTTGCCCTGGGTGCAGGTCTCAGGTCTGTCCTGCTCCCTCATGCGATTTGCAGAACCAGTGCAATGGATGCAGTCACACCTTTCTCACACAGGGTGGTGATGGAGGTCAGGATACATGGTGAAGAGAACAATGTAGAATTGGTTAGGAAAGATAACAGGCTTCACTGAGTCTTTGGAGCTTTACTTGTTCTAAGCATTTTTGTTGAAGTTCTATTCATAAATTTAGCTTAAATTCACCTACATTTAACTTTACTAAAGAGAAAGATATTAAGATTACTGGAAGCCTGTAATTACAGATCTGGAGCAGTTTGAATGGAAGCTGTTGTGAATCTCAGGGAAAATACACCACACACACACACACACACACACACACACCCTGGAGTGTGGTTGTGTGGCTGTGCTTTCTCACTCACTTGCTGTGTGACCACTGGCAAGCTACTTGACCAGGCAGGTCTTCAGTTTCCTCACACGTGCTGTGGAGAATGTGATGGCTTCCTCTCAGGGTGGTTCAGTTAGAAAATGCCTGTGAAATGTTTTTGGCTGTCTTTGGAATAGCAAACCTTTCTCAGAGTGCTGAGCCCAGGTCTTAGCTGCAGCAATGGACTCAAAAAGGGGGAAGCGGCACAAGAATGGCTGGTGGCAGGGGCATAGGCCTTGGGCACTCTAGGACACCCAGCAGGGCAGTGTTGAGAGTGAGCATCCTGGCAGGGCTGGAGGCTGGGAGAGGCTGGGATTGCTGGGAGAGGCTGGGAGAGCTGACAGAGGCTGGGATTGCTGGGAAAGGCTGGGAGAGCTGGGAGAGGCTGGGAGAGCTGGGAGAGGCTGTGATTGCTGGGAGAGGCTGGGAGAGGCTGGGAGAGCTGGGAGAGGCTGAGATTGCTGGGAAAGGCTGGGAGAGCTGGGAGAGGCTGGGAGAGCTGGGAGAGGCTGGGAGAGACTGGGAAAGACTGGGAAAGATGGCATAGGCCTTGAGCCAGGAGTGTGAGTTCATGAAGATAGGCTGGGGGAGTGAGAGATGCGTGGGGCAAGAGGGAAGGCAGCAGTTCAGGGGTAGCCCATGGAGCTGTATCTGGAGCAGCCACGTGGGTCACTTCTACCCACAGTGGAGGTGGACTCTTGTAGCCAGAGCTGTGGACAACCTCTCAGAACCAGAAGACCCTTGCTGCCCTGTATGCCAAGGTCTCCCTCCGGCCTGGGTCTCAGGGATGCCAGCTGCAAACTGGGAGGGCCATTGTACAGACACTAGGTGGCTGAGGTACCAGTTACAGCCTGGTCTTGGTGGCCACATAGAGGTCCAGCCTCACTCAGCTTGATGGCCAAGCTGGTGGGTTAGGATTTGGAGTCTGCAGGCCTTGAGGCCTTCCCAAGGTAAAACCAAATTGTCCTGGCTTAGAATCTAGATGAAGTGCAGGCCTCTAACTCTTTAAGCCAGACAGACAGCAGGGTAATGGAGCACATTCCAGTGCCCTTCCCTAAGATCTCCAAGAGCCATCCCCCGCATGGGAATTGGGTTTATGGATTGGCACCTCACCCTGTAAATGCTCCGCCACTGGGGCAGAGATTTCCACATTCGGAGATGCTGCCTTGGGAACTGGATGATCTCCATCAGTATTTTACATTTGCTTCCTTCATTTTGGCTTGAAGGATTTACTCACGGCTGACTATGTTTGGAAAGATGTTTTTAGCTGATGGGACAAAAAGAGGCCAAATACAGACAAAGACGAGATCCTGATTTGGAATGCAGAGGCCACTCAGTAGCATCACAGAAGCCTTTTTCCTAAACAGCATCCCTGATCTGAAGGAGGAAGAGATTCCAGACAAGCAGATACTGGCTCGGGAGAAAGAGGGATTTGTAGGTGTGCAGAGCTGAGAGTGCCTTAAAGCCTGGCTCTGGGCTGATCCTACAGTGTCCTGGTAGCCCCTAGCTCATGAGCTCCTCTCTCCCTGCTGCCTGTAGACAGGCTCTGATATCCTTTATCCTCAGAGGACAGCTTCCCTCATCCCTAATTCCCCCGTGGGCAGCCACCTTTGCTCTTTCCCTTTCTTCACCACCAACTCTTGGGAAGGGTGGTCTGAAATTCCTCCAACTCCTGCTTCTTACTCCTGTCCTGACACAAATGTGGCCTTCTCAACTTTTGCTCTCTCTGAGCCTTGGTGATGGTTCTCAACAATGTCATTCAAAATGTCACCACCAAGCTCAGCAAACCCACTGCTGTCTCTCCTGCTTCATTCAACTCCTAACTCTTTCTTGATATAACAGTTACTGTGGGCTTCAGTAGAACATTGAGGTAAAAGAGCATAGAGTCACAGAGACCTGTGTTTTCATCTGCCAGTATGGCCTTGGGGGACTGATGGAAATTTTGTGGGACTCAGTTCCTTCCTGTGTGAAGGGAGGATGATGACAGAACTGAGTTCAAAGGGTCTTTAGGAAGATTAAACCAGATAATGTATGTGATATGGTCAGCAATGATATTAAATAGTATTGCTTATTAAATAGTATCACTGTGTGCCTCTGTATCTAACTGTGTTCTGTGTAAACATCGCTGGTTCTGTGAGATAGTAGCAAGTATCCAAACAAACAAAAAGACACTGGCCTCTGTAGTTAAATGACCTTGGCAAACACAGCATACATGCCTTCTTTCCCTGTTTTGGAAATTCACGATGCGTGCTAGCAGAGTAAAGGCTTGCAATAAAAATACATGCTTAGCTTTGGTTATCCTAGCGATGCCTAAACTCATTCGCATCTTACAGAGCTGGTGTTCCGTAACACAGTTTGTAACAGAGAAGCACTGGAAAATGCTTCTCACTACATTGATACTGTCAGTGGTGTCTTTCTTGAAATGCAATGGTTAGCACCAAAGCTGCAGGATGCAGGCAGATGTGGGGTGCAGTCTGCCTTCAAAGGAAGGCTCTACAGTATCTGTAGGCTGGATAGTGGGGGTGGGGGATGCAAAATGGGCCCCCACTTCATCTTAACATGTGTTTCTGAACTCTGAGGCAGGACATAGGGGGATTCACCTTCCTGTTTTTCCTGAAGGAAAGTAATGGAATGGTCCAGTACTTTTGTGGAAGGACAAAATGACTTCAATATGGGTTCTGCTTGTTTCCTCCTCCCTTCCCTCTTTAAGGCAGAGAATGGGAGAAGATACCATGCTCTTTCCTTCTTTTCCTCCTCGTGTATTGCTCAAAATGTGCTATCTTTGACATAAATGCTTCCAATAGCCACAAGATGCTTGAAACCAGGATGTCCCCAACAGGCTGCCACATGTGGCCCTGCAGGTTGTGCCCTGCACTGCTCCAGGGGTGCCATCTATATGGACTGCAGCCAGTCCCCAGGTGCCCCAGCCCCAGGGACACATCCTCCCTCTGGCATTCTATGAAAGATGGCTGAGCCCCCTGTGTCTTTGGCAGGAAATCCAGGGCCCTCTCTCCTGGACTCAAAGCTCTGGGATTTGTGGGAGAAGCTTCCGCTTTTCCTGGTTACCTCCCTCTTTCAGTTTCTTGAATTCACATTCTCAATTCTTGATTCATGTAGCTGCTCTCATCTTGGAACTGCTCAACAGGTTCACCTTTCCTGCTACTTAGACAGAGCTGATTTATCAAGACAGGGGAATTGCAATAAAGAGTTTAATTCATGCAGAGCTGGCTGTATGGGAGACCGGAGTTTTTTTTATTACTCAGATCAGTCTCCCCCAAAATTGGGGGATCAGGGTTTTTAAGGACAATTCGATGGTTAGGGGGTCGGAAAGGGGGAGTGCTGATTGGTGGGGTCGGATATGAAATCATAGGGAGTCAAAGCTGTCCTCTTGTGCTGAGTCAGTTCCTGGGTGGGGGCCACAAGACCAGATGAGCCAGTTTATCAATGTGGGAGGCACTAGCTGGTCCATTTAGTGCCAGATCTGAAAAATATCTCAAGCACTAATCTTAGGTTTTACAATAGTGATGTTTTCCCCAGGAGCAGTTGGGGAGGTTCAGAATCTTGTGGCCTCTAGCTACATGACTCCTAAACCATAATTTCTAATCTTGTGGCTAATTTGTTAGTCCTACAAAAGCAGTTTAGTCCCTGCGTAAGACGGGGGTTTGTTTCGGGAAGGGACGGTTATCGTTTTTGTTTCAAAGTTAAACTATAAACTAAGTTCCTCCCAAAGTCAGTCTGGCCTACGCCCAGGAATGACCAAGGATAGCTTGGAGGTTAGAAGCAAGATGGAGTTGGTTAGGTCAGATCTCTTTCACTGTCATAATTTTCTAACTCTTATAATTGTTGCAAAGGCATTTTCAATCTCTCCTTTCCATATGAGCCCAAATATGAAACCCAGACTCTTGTCCTTGATTTCCACAAAAGTTTCATTGGCCCAGGGCTTTTACTGGTAGATTGGGGTAAGAGATGGGAGGGAGAGGGGGTACATTACAGATCAGCACCGAAACCAACACTAAGAGATGGAGTAACAGGTCCCTCTATAGACCAAACGCTTCCCCCCAGGCTACTCCCTCCCCAACCTGGTTGTTGAGTTCTTGCCCCTCCTCCTCATTCTCCCATCCTCCTCCCCACCTCTCCTGGGCTGCCTTAGAAACTCATTCCTGTCCTTGTTAGGCAGAGTAATTTGGTTGTCCGGGTTTTTTTCTTCCACCCAGTTTTAATCTGCATATTCAAAAACTCATTAAGACACTCTGTAAAACAAATAACCCACCACCATACTCTATGGCAATCTTCTTTTCAGCAGTTCAAAAAGAAATTTTTTAAAAAGTAATGGCAGAAGATTGGAAATTCCAGTCTTCTTTATAACATGGCTGTATTTGTTGTCGAGTTTTTCATTAACATAAATCATATCATACCCACCCTAGAAGGCAGAAACAAGTAAAGTTCACTTCTATCTGCATTTGTTTGTTTTAAACAGCAGTTTCTTTTACTTGCTGTATACAGGTTGATGGTGGAAATCATTACATACAGATATGTCCTGATTTGCACAGAATGGTCCATTTTAGACGTGTTGTCCCAGCTTAACTACTAATCACACCTCCTTCACTTCAAACGTGTCCTGGTTCAGATCATAAACCAAATAAAATGGTCACACCCTCCCCCGCCACTGAAGCAGTCGCTACTGGCTCTTTCTAGCTCTTTGTCAGGCAGAGCCCAGGAGTTTTCTCCTACACAATCTTATGCCTGGACCACACGTAACAACAACTGAAGACTTAAAACAGTGTTCAGGAATTGCTTTCACGACTGCCGACCATCAGCAGGAAGGAAGATATCCAGAAGGACAAAGAGAAAAATACAATTTGTGCAAGAGAATGGGGGGAGAACTTACATATTACTTCTGGTTGGCATACATAGGGACTGAATGGCCACCCGTGAATCTATATGCATGTTTGTTTATGCAGCTACTATTTATGTATCTGCTATCTGTCTATCCATCTATCTATATCTATCTATCCATCTATCTACATCTATCATCTCAAGCTATGTCACAGTTTAAATATTTAACACTGGGTAATGTTCTAAGGAGGAACAATCCCAGAATTTTAGAGCTGGAAGAAAATTTAGACGTCATCCCATCACACAGGGACACTTAGGCAAGTCACACACAGCAAGTTTGTGGCTGAGTAACTTGTGTCTTCTACCCCCACCCGAGGGCTGTCCTCGGCCTTATCATGCTTCCCTCTTGATTCTGTGTGTCATCGTCACCCCACTCCTAATGAGAAGAAAGAAATGCAGCCCAAAGTGAGAGCGTCTTTTTCTTTCTGGCATTGTTGAGTATTGATTGACACACAGGTTATGGACTCAGACAGATGGGGAATCAAGTCCCAATTCGGTCCATGCAAAAGAAGTGACTTGGGGCAACTTTCTAAGTCTGCGTCACTTATAGAATCGTAGTTGTGATGAGGTTTAAATAAGACAACATGTAAAAACATTTGGTATCCAATAAACAGCGGTCATTTTTCTTCCTTTCAATGAGGCTTTTTCTCTCAGGAGGGAATTTTTTTCTCTGGCATTTTTTAGAATAGGAATATACCTAACTCATTGTTTACTCCTATTCAGAGAAAGACTACCCAAAGTATGATCCACACAGTAGAGTAAATGGATCCCTAAGATTTAGAAAGAGCTATGGGCAGGAGGCAGGAGGCAGGAGGCAGGAGGCAAGAGGCCTGAGTTTGATCACAGCTGCAGAATGAGGTTGCTGAGCATCCTGGGACACTCCACATCCCTTCTCTGGGCCTTGGCATCCTCCTCTGTAAAGTTGGAGGCATTAAACTTGACCTCAGATGTTCTGGCCAGCTCAGGAAGCCCACATTTCCTTGCCTTTTTCTCCCATGCTTGTCTGTCCAGGCTATTTATAACAAACTTTTAGGGCTTAATAGGAGAAAGGAAAGCAGTCCCATTGGCTGACCTTGATATTGATTGACTTATTAAACAGGTGAATAGGATTCAAGATCACACCCTTGCCTATTACTAAAGATGAAGGGAAGGATGTTTATTCAGAAGAACAGAGAGCTTGCCTGGAACAGAGCTACTTGCTTGTATGTTGGGTTCTCCCATATGGAGTGAGTGGACACAGAAAACCATGCTTTCTGCCTTGACCTTGTACATATGGCTTATGTGACCTTTGGCAAATCACTTGCTTTCTCTGAGTCTCGTTTTCCTCGTCTCTAAAAAAAAATTAAAATTGAATAGAGGATGGTGTGAGATTTCAGCAAGATTAAAAGGTATAAGAGGCCAGTCCACTGCTGGGATATGGAGTGTGGTCTGATGATCCTTTTAAAGAATGGCTGCCTGGGAGTTGGGGAGTAGGCGGCTGTCATATGAAAGACCCTGGGCCAGGTGCAGTGGCTCACGCCTGTAATCCTAGCACTTTGGGAGGCCGAGGCAGAAGGATTGCTTGAGCCCAGGAGTTTGAGACCAGCCTGGGCAACATGGTGAAAGCCCATCTCTACCAAAAATACAAAAATTAGTCATTCGTGGTGGTGCAAACTTGTAGTCCCAGCTCCCCAGGGGGCTGAGGTGGGAAAATGGTTTGAGCTCAGGAGGCAGAGGTTGTAGTGAGCCGAGATCATGCCACTGCACTCCAGCCTAGGCAACAGAGCCAGACCTTGTCTCACAAAAAGAAAAAAGAAAAAAAAAAGACTTGAAGGAACTGTGATGTCTACATCAGGGCCTCTCAATCAGGGATGATTCTGTCACCCTTCCTCCCTCCTACCCAATGGAATTTTTGGCAATGAATGTCTGGAGACATTTTTGGTTGTCACAACTGAAGGGGTTTTCCTGGCATCTAATAGGTAGAGGCCAGGGAAGCTGCTAAACAACCTGCAATCACGGGACAGCCTCTCAAAATGTTCACACAGTGCCAGGGTGGTAGGTGGAGGATTGTTGCTGGTCGGTATGTGGATTTTCCAGTGCTTGGCATGGTGGCAGGTACTGAATAGGTGTGGGTTGAATTGATGTCATCGGGAATCAGGAACTCCCTTGGTGGATGACATCATCGGGCAGTCTGTACCCAGGGGTGGGGATGAAGGGTGTAAGATAAGTGAGGTTTTTCTCACCATTGCCCCACTATGGAACAGGCCACCTTGCAAGGAAGTGAGCATCTCTCTGGAGTGTCTGAGCAGAAGCAGGGTACCTGTTTGCCAGTTATGCTTGGGAACAGAGTCTGGGATTGGACAGGGGGGTGGGGCCCAGGCTACAGGCCCTCTGAAGACCTGAGTTCTGAGATTGATGAGTTTAGAGATACAGACACAGAAGGGGCTTCAGAGATCATGGAGTTCAAGTCCTTCATTTTTGCGGTGGAAAAAAAAGTGACTGAAGAGAAGATAGGAGGCTTGTCTAAGATCCCCGCGCTGCTTGGATGTGCTGCTGAAACTGCATCCCTGGTATCTCAATATCCATGCAAATGTTCTTTCTGCTTTCCCCACTAACTGTGTGATTCCAAGAAGGAAACCAAAGAGCTGGAGTTTGCAGCCCTTTCTAGTTCTGAACCCAGGCGTTGCAAATGTGGCTTGATGCACGTCTTGGGCTGACAAGCTGGCTTGGATTTCTGAATGAGGGTACAATAAGGAGCATCAATATTGGTCTTAATAAAAAGCACACCTGCCCCAGCTCAGGTGCTGCTCCTAGATGAAGTTCCCTCGTCCACCCTTACTCAGTGGGATCTCCTCTGTGGAGTCCCTCCACGGTAAGTCCTTGTACACAGGGCACTCAGCTGTGTGCTCCATCAGGGTGGGTGCACGTGGCCCAGCCCATGGCCTCCTCTTGGATTCACCTTCTCACGTATGATATCTTGCCCCCTTTCCTACCCTATAGAGCCTCACCACCCCCAACTCCTCCAGCTGGAAAGGACTTTTAAAAGTCACCATCCCTGGCACGGCGCGGTGGCTCACACCTGTAATCCCAGCACTTTGGGAGCCCAAGGCGGGCGGATCATGAGGTCAGGAGATTGAGACCAGCCTGGCCAACATTGTGAAACCCAGTCTCTACTGAAAACACGCAGAAAATTAGCTGGGTGTGGGGGCGTGTGCCTATAGTCCCAGCTACTCGGGAGGCTGAGGCAGGAGAATCACTTGAACCCTGGAGGCGGAGGTTGCAGTGAGCCAAGATTGTGCCACTGCACTCCAGTCTGGGCGACAAAGTGAGACTCCATCTCAAAAAAAAAAAAAGTCACCATCCCATGCTTTGTCCCACTTTCCCCAGGCCTATCACTTGTGTCATCTTCATCTCCAAACCTCCAGTGCTCCTCCCAGGGCCTGGTGTACGGCTGAGACTATTTAGTGTTTGTTGAATGAATGAATGAGCACATGAGACTATTTAGTGTTTGCTGAATGAATGAATGAGCACATGAGACTATTTAGTGTTTGCTGAATGCATGAATGAGCACATGAATAACTGGATGCTTGGTGAAACACCCCTGTCTTGACCCCTGCAGATCAAGGACGTTGTGGGCTATAACTCTTTGGGCCACTGCTTCTTCACGGAAGATGGGCCGGAGGAACGCAACACTTTTGACCACTGTCTTGGCCTCCTTGTCAAGTCTGGAACCCTCCTCCCCTCGGACCGTGACAGCAAGATGTGCAAGATGATCACAGAGGACTCCTACCCGGGGTACATCCCCAAGCCCAGGCAAGACTGCAAGTAAGTGCCTGGACCCCTCTCTGTGTGCTGGGGGGAAGGGGTGTACATGTGTGTGCATGTGTTCACTCAGCTCAGCCCAGCACCAGACTTCTGCACTTCGGGGCTCTGAGGAGCTTGGGCCTCACAGCCCTTAACCACCTACGGCTCCAGCTTCCTGCAAAGCAGGTGGGAGGGAGGGTGTCTTCTCCCTTCTCCCTTCTCAGTTTGCCTCATGTGCATTTTTCTTGTCCAAAGAGGATCCCTGTTCTCATCTGTGGGGCTTCTCCTGATCCACACAGTGCTCTTTGATGAGAGGAAGTGGCTGACACCTCGCCTGCCACAGAGGCCCCGACCACACAGACCCTTTTCTAGATATTAGAGAGACAGAGGGACGGGGTGAGAGCTCTCTGTGCAGTCAGCCTTCCAAGTGCAGGGCCCCTCCCTTAGAAAGGGCTACTTTCCTGGGTTCTTCTGACCTGCATGTATTTTAGAGTCAATCTCAGACATCACTTGCACACTGCTTCTATTTTCAGGACCCATGCTCTTTTTAATTTCTGAATATTTTAAGTGCTTAAACTAGCACCACACTTTAATTAGAAAACTGGGTTTCAGATCAACAAGTCAATGATTTCTCAGATCTCTGATAAGAGACTATCAGGCCAATATCAGAGTGCCCAACCTGCACCTGCCATGTGGCAGGATGACCCCTGGCGGCCCTTTATCTGATCTCAGGTATCTCTGCCCTCCCTGCAGTGCTGTGTCCACCTTCTGGATGGCCAATCCCAACAACAACCTCATCAACTGTGCCGCTGCAGGATCTGAGGTGAGCAGAAATATTCCTTCTTTGGCAGAAAGTGAGGGTGGGGGCTGGAGTCAGGGAGACAGCCGAGGCTTACCTTGAAACATGTGTGCTCTGAGCCCCAAGCCCAGATATCCATGCAGACGGGCTTAGCTGTGGTGAAGAGGAAAACGACAGACTGGGGGTGGTGGGGCAGGGGGCGTTCTTTGGACTTGGTTTTAAAGGACAGCCCTGTCACTTCATAATACTGGTGACCATAGTTAGTGAACACTGAACGCTTTATGTATAATAAATCATTAGAATGCCATGATTTTAGCTTAGAATGGTACCTGACACATCAGTGTTGTAAGCTCACATAATTTGATTTTTGTAAGAACCCAGTGACGTAGGTATTATTATTATCCCCATCTGATGGGGGAGGAAGCTAAGGTTAGGAGAGCTGACATGCCCAGGGGCACACGTAGCTGGGAGGTGGTGGCCAGAGTGGCAGCACGGCACTCCATCCACACAGCCCTGCTCTCACCCACCCGTCCATGCTGCTGGCCTTCCATGGGACCCTGACCTTGACCTGGAACTTAGCTTCCTTATCTGTAGAATGAAGGGGAAAGCAGAGAACACTCATGAAATCCCCCCATTGTGTGTCAGGAAGAGGAGTTTCAGCCCTGCAGTGATTGAAACGCAGCATTTCTGAGCCATGTCTGATAGAGTAGGGCCCATCAAGGGCTTTAACTGTCATGGTGGGCTCTACTTTTCACTGTTTTCCCCCCAGACTGGACCACATGGAGGTGTGTTGGGGGTGGGCACCGAGGGCTCCTGTGGGTGACGGCAGTAGCTACTAGACCCATCTCCGGCGTGGGCCGCGTGGCCACCTTGCCCAGGAGCTCTCTGGGGCTGAACGCTGTGGCTTTTCCCTTGTGTCCTTCCCCAACAGGAAACTGGATTTTGGTTTATTTTTCACCACGTACCAACGGGCCCCTCCGTGGGAATGTACTCCCCAGGTTATTCAGAGCACATTCCACTGGGAAAATTCTATAACAACCGAGCACATTCCAACTACCGGGTAAGTCTTTCCAGGCTGCGCCTCTCTGGCCAGCCTCTCGGTCCCCTTCCCAGGCCTGCAGATGATTAGAGCCGGGACAGCCAGTTGGCGACAGCTGGGAACAACTGCATTCTTAATGCTGGTCTCGAAGAAAATGGAGCAGCCTTGCGAGGCCTCCCAGGCCATTGGCCACATTCTTCAACACAAATCTCCTGTGGTGGTTCCTGCACGGGCATGGACTGAGAATATGGCCAGAGCCAAAAGGAGCAAGTTGTGCCTTCACTCATGCTGACAGGGGGAGAGCTTCTCTTGGTGGCCCCTGAGCTGGGCACCTGAATTTGGTTTGCAATTCACTTGGCGGGGCTGGGTGTAGCCTCAACTATGAAAAGTTAGGCCTGATCCATAAGCTGAAGGAAATCAAGACGTGGTTCTGAAGGAAGGTGGAGGCAGCATTGGCATCCTCTCTGCTGTTCCCTCTTGTCTTGTTTCTTGGGAAATGAATGGGTTGCTGCATCTGCACAGAGCTAAGTGGGCAGGTGGGACACAAAGTCCTCAGTCATCTTCATTTGCTCATCAACATCTCCTAAGCACCTGCCGTTGTGTCCAGCACCAAGCTAGGCACTGGGGGACAGAGGGCATACCAAGATGACCGGGATCTCGAGTCTGTCAAGGACTTCCCAGTGAGGACAGCAGTCAAGACCAGAGTCATGGGGCATGGGATTGGAGCTTGGAGCATGGCTGAGACCAGAGACGCTCTTTGTTGGGGCAGAGGTGGTCTCAAGGATGCCAGGGCGGTGCGCAGACAGACTCCCAAATGCCTAGGCTGGTTTTCTGGTCCAATCCCTAATGGTACTGATAAAGAAAAACTGACGTTCCTCAAAGGGAACAATACATTCGGAGGCAAAAAGTAAAAAGATTTTTAAAAGCCCAACCAGAGAGAAGACCAAAAGGAAGAGATGCAGTCTCAGAATAGACCTGTGCTTATGCCTAGGAGATAGGGTGGGGCAAGGGGTAAGCAGTTGCAGGGTGGGGTGGCAGAAACAGAAGCAGAGTCCCCAGGCAGTGTCATTTCCCAGCAACTAGAAAAGAGGGTAGTGTCATGGGGCAGTGAGCAGAGGTGTGGAAGACAACAGTCTCATCTTGACAGAGGAGAATTAGTGCCGGGTAACAGAGAGGGCATTTCTGAAGCTGACATGGCCCTCAGAGAGCAATCTCCATACAGAGGGAGGTGCAGGGGGCATACTGCTGTTGGTGGCAGGGGGAACAGTGGAGAGAATGTGTTGGCTGCTTGTCGAGAAACCCCTCACACGCACCCCTTGGGAAGGCTTCCATGAGCAGGGAGGTGGGCCACATAGAACCTAGCAGGTGTGGAGAGGCTGGAAAGGGGAGGAGTGCATGCAGGTGAATGGTTTCTAACAAGCAGGCATGCAAGGGCTCATGGGTGCAGGTGGGGATGGGCCTTGAAGAAGGTGGCAGGTCTCATTCTCTGAGGCAGGGAGGGAAGGAGTGAAGAAGAACCTCCAGCTGGATGGATTCGATTGTCTAAGCCAAGGAGGAGGTCTCGTCCTTGGTGTTCATGCCCAGTAAGCCTTGACTCCACATCCACAGTGAGAGGGACCTGTTCCAGGAGGCTTCACCTGGGGTCTCTTATTGGGTCCTCATAACCATCCTGTGACATAGGTATCACTAGCCCATCTTGCAGATGATATGACTAAGGCTAAAGAGGTGAAGGGACTTGCCCAGTCATAGTTAGTGGGAGTAGAGCTGCGAGTCAACCCCACATCATCGGACTCACATCACCGCTGCTGAATTATAAGCCAGAGGGAGAATGAAACGGCCACAGTGCCCTCCAGTTATCTAAAAAAGAGAAATCTGAGTATGAGCATTCACAAGAGGCCACGAGAATCCAGACAGGAATGAAGACTGAATGGTGGCCTCCCTGGGCAGCATCACTCAGCTGCCTTGATTTCTCCCTATCCCATGGCTGACAAAGTGGACATGTTTAGAGTCAAACAAGAAAGCCAGATTCTCTCTTCAAGACAGGCAGGAGCTAAAATGAAACTGTGGGAAGGTCACTGACCCCAGCCCAAGGTAAAGATGGGACTTAGGTTCAGCATTTCCTTTAAATCACAGCAGATAAATTTCCTAAGAGTATATACCTGTTGTTCCTGACTTGGGGCCTGGGCTAATAACTATCTAAAGCAGTGTGGGTCTGCACATGGACTTTGCTATGTGGCCTTGGACAACATACATAACCTCTCTAGACCTCAGTTTCCAAATCTGCTCCTCAAAGAGGTCAAATATTCCAGATTTGGTCTGAGCAATGCAGAATAAGGCAGCATCTTCACCTCCCTTACTGTAGATCCTCTACTTCTGTTGATGCAGCCTGAGAACAGAGCTGGTTTTCCCGGAGCATTCAGAAGTATGCAGTGAGGCTGACTGTGAGACGATGCCTGTAGCCCACAGTAGAAACTAATGTGTCCCTGAATATCTCTTCCCTGCAGGCTGGCATGATCATAGACAACGGAGTCAAAACCACCGAGGCCTCTGCCAAGGACAAGCGGCCGTTCCTCTCAATCATCTCTGCCAGGTAATCAGCCATTGGGAAGACACAGTCCACGGTGACCTTGCAGTCCAGCTCCTGCCTCCCCCTCCTTCAATCACTCATTCATTCCCTGAGCATCTGTTGAGCCCTTGCTTTGTGCTGGGCTTTGAGCTAGTTGCTGGGGGTACAATGGTGAAAACCTGAGCAGGGTAAAGTCTGAATTAGGATTCTGGCTCCAGCAGCCAAAGGAAGATAGAAATTCCCAGAGGTTTCTAGATCCCTCAGCAAAGTGAATAGCTGGTAAGTCAGCAGAAATGAGCAGGGCCACAGTAGGTTGGGCCAGGATGAAAAGATGAAGAGAACAGAAGGGAAGAATTTTACCATCAGTTTAATGGGAAAGAACATGCAAGTCATGCCTATAAATAAGCCTACTGTTCAGCTGAAGGCCAGGGGCAACTTTTAAACCTCAAGGTAATTAGCAAAACCAATCTCCTTTAAAGAGACAAGTTGCTTGGTCTCCATCAAAAGTGGGTAACACTGGTAACATGATAGTGCACTCCGTTTTGTAGCTAAGAAGTGCTCAGAAAAGGCACTAGTTCAAGGTGACCTGCCAGTTAGTGGAAGAGCTGGGTATCTCCAGACTCTTCTCCTGGGCTACGAGGACTGTGTTGCATGACTTTGTGGGAATGGCTGTCTGAACTGTCCTCTGTGTTTTGGCCCCACTTGGGGCAGGTTCTTCAGTATGTGAGGAGCCTGCATGGGCTGGTGGAGGAGTGACTTCTTGCTTCTGTGATGAACTCAGAAAGTTCATTCAAGAGCCCAGGCAATGCGAATGGGTTTCTGTTCAGTCAATGCCTTCCTGGGCACTGTGAGTAGAGAGAGGCTCACAGAGCCCAGAAGGGAGTCAGCAGAGGCGTGCCCCCAACACCGCCACCTGTGCCCTCCCCATGGTTGTGCTGCAGATACAGCCCTCACCAGGACGCCGACCCGCTGAAGCCCCGGGAGCCGGCCATCATCAGACACTTCATTGCCTACAAGAACCAGGACCACGGGGCCTGGCTGCGCGGCGGGGATGTGTGGCTGGACAGCTGCCGGTGAGTCAGAGCGGCGTGTGGCTTTGGCACAAAGGGGGCATGGCGCGTCTTCCCCTAGCCCCCTACAGAGACAGGAGAGCAAAGCAGAGAGGGGAAGCCAGACATACTGACGTTTGGCCTTCTGGTCCCCCAGCCAGGCAGGGGCATAGAATGGCAGCAGGCAGTGGCCAAAAAAAACAAAACCTAAAAGCAGCATATTGGCTTCAGCCTACAGTGCCAGGTGCTGTGGGTTATGATTCGCTTCCAAATAGTCACTGGGCTTGGCTCTCTCAAGGTCATGCGGACCATCAGCTAAGGGAGGGAAGAAGAAAGAAGCCAGAACATTCTAGGCACTTACTATGTGAAAGCCTTGGTTGCATTTCTTTCTTACCATGTTTCTCAAACATATAAATTATGATCTCCATTTTAGAGACGATAAACTGAGGTTCAGTTTAGTGAATTTCCCAAGGTCACGCAGTTAGCTAGAGTTTGAACTGGAACTTGGAGCCACAGTTCACTGGACTCCAAGACCCAAATGAAAAAGGCAGGGAACGCTGAGCTCTCATATGAGGTCCCTATGTGAGTGACTGGCACATGCTGGACAAGGACCAGAAGGCACAGGCAGTGGAGCTGGGATTTGTTTTCAGGGAGTATTGTGAAATGTCTCCTTGTCTGCCTTTTGTGTTAAAAATGGGAAATCAGAAACCTATTAGGAAATAAACATATTTCTCTATTTTATTGTGACCAAGTAAAGGAGAAATAAAGGTGAAAGGGAACAAGAGAAATTGAAATGCGAGGAGAAAAGCAGAGACACAGCATTGACAGAGAGAGCAAGAGAGAGAGGGAAGGGAGAGAGAGAAAGGCTGCTCAGAAATGCAGAGATCTGGGGAGAAACTGACTTAGCATTGGAGCCCCAGGAAGATGCTTGAGAGACAGAGAAGGGGAGGTGCAAAGGCTTTTGGGTCCCCCAGCCAGGCAAGGACATAGGATGGCAGCAGGCAGTGGCCAAAAATAAACAATAAATTTTTTTTTAAAAAAGTCAAAAAAGCAAAACTTAAAAACAGAGGCAGAGAGACTGAGCGGGTGGGGGGGGGGGGTCTTCTTTTTTTTTTTTGAGATGGAGTCTTACTCTGTCACCCAGGCTGGAGTGCAGTGGTGCAAACTCAGCACACTGCAACCTCTGCTTCCTGGGTTCAAGCAATTCTCCTGCCTCAGCCTCCCGAGTAGCTGGGATTACAAGCGTGCACCACCACGCCAGGCTAATTTTTGTATTTTCAGTAGAGACGGGGTTTCACCACATTGGCCAGGCTGGTCGCAAGCTCCTGACCTTGTGATTCGCCCGCCTTGGCCTCCCAAAGTGCTGGGATTACAGGCGTGAGCCACTGTGCCCAGCCGCAGGGCCTTCATTTTGCACAGGAGAAAAGAAGTCATTCATTTTAAGAAGAAGGGAAGGGAGAAAAGGGAGCTGATTCTGGGTTTCTGAAGGGCATTTAGGGGAAGGGGGCAGGGTTGTTCTGATTGGCTCTAGAAGGCAGAAGTGATAGGCATGAAGCAGGTTTCAGCTCTGGAGAAGGAAGAACCTTCCTACCATATGAGACACCAATCTATGGGATAAGCTGCCAGGCTCCTCATCCCTAGAGCAGACCCTAGAGCATCCTTGGGAGGGGCACTACACAGAAGGTGGGTGGAAGCCCTGGGTTGAAGAGAAACTAGATGGTGTCAATGCCGAAATTCTTTGCAATATCCTAAGTTCGGTAAATCTCTTGGTTCTGGTTATTGGGCATTTCAGAGTTTAGGTCCCTTAAGAGATGGTAAATGCCAGATTTAGGGCAGCAAGAAAAATTGCGAAGACCCCTCCTGCCAAAGTGTGTGTGTCTTTTAATCCCCCACCAGACTCATTCCAAGGTAGCCTAGGATCTGCCTGGCACCAAGGCTGTGGTCCTACGTGTGGACAAGGTTGGTGCAATCGGGGCTGACAGAAGACAGGGATCCCTTCAAGGATTGGAAGAATGAGGGGACCAGGAGCCTAGCACTGGGGGACAGAAGCAATGAGGAAAAGCCATGGAGGGGCCTGGGAGATAAGACTCAGGAAGTTTGGGAAAATAAATGGATAAGACAGTGCCCTAATGATGGGACTGGAATGACTGATTTGAACTAAATGGGCTTCGGAAAAAGAAAAAGGTCCATGTGTCTGAAAGAGGGTGAGCAGAATATGAAAAAGTACATTGGGAATTAGAGAGCATGCCTGCCACCAGGACCAGCCTGGTGCAGCTGATGTGGATTCACCAGGCCCTTGAGCTTGGATCTATGAAGGATATAAAGCCACGGAAGTTTTAGGGACCAGAGAGGCTGGTGAGAATGGCACTTTGAGATGAGCCTGGCAGGGTGGACAGGACAGATGGAAGGAGCAGAGGCATAGAGACCAGTTAAATCTACCCCTGGGACACAGGAAGTGAAGGCGGCCACTGTATTTGGCCCTAGGGTCTGTGGTAGCACAGACCCAAGGCTCAGCTCTGGATTCTGTGTAATCCCTTGTCCCTCGCAATCAGACGCCCCCCAGAAGCATGCTCATCTGACCCCTAAAAAGGGCAGAGGTGAAAGGGAGCTGACGAGATGGCCCCAGAGCAATTGCAAAATGACTTCCTGCCCTTCTCAGGGTCAGCATCTGCCTGGCTTCCTGGAAACTTGAAAAGTAGCTATTGATGCCTCTCTCTATGGCTGAAACAGCAGTGAAGATGGTAAAAGAAAAAAAAAATAGAAGTGCATTCACATACTCCACCTTTCCCTGGTGCTGGTCCTGAGAGCGGAAGGCCCTTCAAGTTCTCCTGATCCAACCTCACACTAAGCCCTGGAATCACAGAGGATGGGGCTGGAGAGGGAGGCATATGGACCCCAGTCTGCATGCTGTCAATGCCGTTGAATGTGGAGAGCCACAGGGGTCACTGCTTTCTCTCTAGAGTCAGAGTGGGAGGGGACCCAGAAAATCCCCTTCCTGTGCAGAACAGGAGAGCCACAACTCCCTGAGCACGACTCTGCTTATGTAGAGACTCCTTCCTCTGCACGGTATTCAGTTTGACTCCAAGGGCAGGGAAGTGTCCTTCTCTCCACGACTCCACTGAATGTGAAGCCAGGGCATGCTCTGACTATCTATCTGCTCTTGCCCACAGGTTTGCTGACAATGGCATTGGCCTGACCCTGGCCAGGTAAGGGCAACTGTCATTGTACTTGGTCCTCTGTGGGATCTTGTCTCTGGGCATCTCACCTTAAACATCTTCTCTCTACAGTGGTGGAACCTTCCCGTATGACGACGGCTCCAAGCAAGAGATAAAGAACAGCTTGTTTGTTGGCGAGAGTGGCAACGTGGGGACGGAAATGATGGACAATAGGATCTGGGGCCCTGGCGGCTTGGACCATAGCGGAAGGACCCTCCCTATAGGCCAGTAGGTTTGCAACCATGTAGCTCCTTATTCTGAGTGGCTTAACCTAAGTGGCTGTGATGGAAGGGAAAAAGTTAATGGGTAGTTTCTACCTGTTGACTATGAATTCTTCTACCAGCCAGAGGAATCACTGAGGTGACTGAGACTAACAATTAAGGGATGAAATCTGGAATGGGGAGAGAGAAGTCAAAAAGTGGTGTTGAATATGAGTCAACAGGGTGACGTGGCCATCAAAATGCGTAATGCATTCCTGGGCTATGTTAATGGGAATTTAGTGTGTCTGGGATCAGGGACTGTGAGTCCTTTTCTCTGACAGCACTCTCACTTGGAGTGTAGCATCCACTCCTGAGGATGGCAGAGCAATAGAGTCAGGCCGAAGCACACTTAAAGGAGAATAACCAGGAGGGTGACAAAAGCCGAAGCTATGTCACATGCAGGTTGGGGTCTTCAACCAGAAGACAGGATCATCACTTTGGGGACAACATGGGGGATATTGTTACATGTTCTCAGAGCTGCTGTGCACATAGGGGATGAGACTCATTCTACACGGGCACCGTGGGTTAGGGTTGGTTTAGTGCAAGAAGGATGGATCTTTTTAATGTCAGATATGCTCAACAACAGAATAGCAGGACTGTCCTGAGGAGTCCTGGTTTCTGCGGCTGGGGGAGTTCAAATGAAGGTCAGACGATAAGCAGGTGGGTGGAGAATGAATGGGTGACTTGGAAGGGTGATGAGCAAACAGGGATAATGGACTCAGTCAATTCCTTGGAAAACCACAGGCTGGGTCAGTGGTGAGGAAATCTCCTTTCTTCTGCTGGTGTTTCTGCTCAGGTGTGAATTCAAGCCAGAGAGCAAGGCTCTGAGCCTGTGAGCAGCATGGTAGTCCCTGTGCTCCTGGTGATAAGATCAGCCCTTCTTGTCTGTCTGAGCTTTCTACTCTTTCTCTAGGAAGATATAATTTCTACTACTAGAGTCAGGACACAAAATACACATTGACCTAAAACTTCCAACCCAAGTGGACATGGAAAAGACTTTGCAAAGGCAAAATCATGGTCTCCTTCAGCATGAGCTGTGAGAAGCCCTTCCTTTTGTCTAACCTGAGTAATGGAGCAGTCCCTTTCAGCATGTGTATGAGTGACCCTGAATCCGCACGTTCAAGGTTTCTTTGCCAAGGGTTACCAGCCTCCCGGGGCCAGAATGCTCTGATGACTTCCAAAGGTGATCCTGTTTATGGAAACCTGTCAGACTGAGGCAGGTTCCTCAAATTGCATCTGCAAGTAGGAACCTAAGAGCCTGCAGTCCTAATCATGGTTGATCCATCTTGTATAGAGCTGGGTCAGGGTCTGAAGTGCAAAACCTAAGTATAGAGCTAGTAAAAATGGACTGTCCCTAAAATATGTGAAATGAAAAAATGCATGGAGCCACCCCTTGAGAATCAGGATTCTAGATCATGATGTTAATCAATTATAAACGTAAAAATATAGAAATGCAAGGAGTCTTTGGTGCCCACTGAAGGCATGTTACCGTGACTGCTGTGCCTAGGGTCTTCCTCAAGGAACCATATTGGAATGGAAGGGAGCCCAGGGTTGAAGATCAGGGACAACTGGAGTATGGTCTCTCCCTGTGGGCAGATATTTTTTCTGCTTCTTTTTCCATCTTTCTATTTTTTCTTCTTTATATTTGCTGTGGAAGACAATGTGCTTGACCCAGATACAGAGACACCAGCATAAGCATACATGTTGGGTTTGGAGAAGGAGCAAGCCTAGACTGGGGCCAGGCCCAAGAAGGACCACCAGGAAGCCCAGCCAGCCTCGCAGACCCTTGCTTCCTGTGCTCTGCTCAGGAGTCTGAGGCAATGGGAGAAGTGTGTCTGAGCAACCTACTCCATGCTAAGCCAAGGCAAAATCTTCAAGTCACCAGTTCTTGTCCAGTCTCTCCTACCTCCACGTCCAAGCCTGTTGCCGCTTCCCACCTCCTTCTGGGTCTCAGGGCCTTCTTGGGGTTCTCTGTCAGCCTACAGTCTTGCTTTTCAGTGGGGCCTCCCTTTCTTCTAGGGGTGCTGAAAATGTTGCCTTACAATTATTTTTATCATGTTTATCACCTTCCATTCTGTGTCCTTTTCCCCTCTGTTTCCCAAACCCAGCACACTGCCAATGTGAAAGGCTTACTCCCAGAGGAGAAACTCATGTGGGTCTTAATCTGATTTAATTGTTATAGCAACTAAAACTAAGGCGATAATGACTAACAGCTCTATCTTCCCAAGAAACATAATATTGGCACGCTCCAGTGGTATTTACAGTATTTACCCAATGACTCTTTATGTAATGGAAAAATTGGGGAAAATGTTGAAATACAGGACCATTCTCCAAACTCCAAACTAGCAACTAGATGGATATTCAACTCATCCATCCATTCATCCATCCATCCATTCACCCGGCAGTCATTCATTGACACTTAGTGTGTCTATACATGCTTTAAATTAATTAATGAATTAATAATTAATTAATAATGATCTGGGGCAGGGGGAGTTTCTAGAGGTGGGGATCAGGAATGGTTTTACCCAGGAAGTCTCTGCTACCATCCACCTCAGAAGGGGCAAACATGGCGTTTAGACTGACGTCTTACTTCCTTAACTCCATAGGAATGGAAAACATTTAGACTGACATCTTACTTCCTTAACTCCGTAGGAATTTTCCAATTAGAGGAATTCAGTTATATGATGGCCCCATCAACATCCAAAACTGCACTTTCCGAAAGTTTGTGGCCCTGGAGGGCCGGCACACCAGCGCCCTGGCCTTCCGCCTGAATAATGCCTGGCAGAGCTGCCCCCATAACAACGTGACCGGCATTGCCTTTGAGGACGTTCCGGTGAGTGAGGCGCCAGGGCAGACTCCCGGCAAACCCAGACTTTGGATGGTGATTCACAAGTCCCCTGGGTCCCAGAGTTTGAGCTATTGCCACCACCGCAGGGGTTGAGAAGCCTCCTCCAACTAGGCTGGGCCATGTCCCAGTTTGCTCTTCATCCAAACTGGAAAAGTACAAGCGTAGGTTGCCCCACAGGTCAGGTCTGGGTAAATGCCCGCTTGCTCTCTCCCTGCTCAAAACTCAGGCGAGCCTCTGGAGGAACCCGACGTGTGGACTGAGGTTCCTAGGCTGTTCCTCCAAGGGACTTGACTTTGACAAACTGAGTCTTCTGACCAGGCCACCTGAGTTGGCACAAAGAATCTAACAAGCCCCACAGTTTCCAAGGGAAGTCTTAGCTGATGATGTTCTGTTTAATCTCTCCCCGAGAGCAGACTATAAACAGAGGCCTCCTTGCCCTAGACAGAGAAGGCAGAAGAGGGGCGGAGGATTAGGAGATCAGGAGCAAGGGCTGCCCTGTGAGACCAGCCGGGGCCAGTCCTCCTGTGCATTTCCTTCAGGTTATGGATTCCCAGACTTTTCCCTCCTTCTCCTCCCTGCTCCTGCCTTTTGCCTGTTTGCCCAGTTCCTGGCAGGCTGAGGGAAACGATGTGAAACTGAAATGACTTAATGTCTTTACTCAGGCAACTGAGAGCCTGAAAGAGGTCAGTTATGGAAATCTGCAAGGGCTCATGCTGCAAAACTGTCTTCCTGAAACGTGCCACATGCATCTTCTCTCGCACACGGATGCCCCCGTGTATGTGTGTGTGTATGTGTAAAAGTGTGTGTACCCTTTCTCATACACACATCACCCCCACCTCCCTCTCACACACAGTCACACTCACAGTCCTCAGTCCCCCTCCTCCATCTCTGCAGTTGGTGAAGGCTGTGTGTCAGAGCAGTCTCCAAGCTCATCCACAGCAGCCAACCCTCCAGTGAGCAGAGGCCAAAAGCATGTGCTAGGTCTGGGAGTTGAGGCACAGTGAACCTTTGACTGTGACTCCGGTTGCATCGGAGGGGTCAGCCACGTGGTTTCTCTCAGTGCCCGAGAGCATCTTTGTTTTGGCTGGCTTGTAACGTCAGTGGAAATCGGAAACCTCGCCCTGGCCTGATGACGGCTGCAGTTTCCCTTCACCTTCTAGCCCTGCCTAACTTTCCTGGGCTCTGTTTAGATTACTTCCAGAGTGTTCTTCGGAGAGCCTGGGCCCTGGTTCAACCAGCTGGACATGGATGGGGATAAGACATCTGTGTTCCATGACGTCGACGGCTCCGTGTCCGAGTACCCTGGCTCCTACCTCACGAAGAATGACAACTGGCTGGTCCGGCACCCAGACTGCATCAATGTTCCCGACTGGAGAGGGGCCATTTGCAGTGGGTGCTATGCACAGGTGGGGACACCATTCTGGGGGCCGGCCACTCACTTATTCACTCATGCAACAAGCATTCAGTGAGTGTCTACTCTATGCCTGGCTCTGTTTCAGGCCAGAAAGAGATACAGAATTTTTTTTTCTTTTTCTTTCTTTCCTTTTATTTTTTCCCCTCACCCAGTAGGATTTTTACAAAGTTAAAGTCAAAACACTTGGTGAGCAAAATGCTTAGAAAAAAAGAACCCTCTGGGTCAACTGCTTCGATTCAAGTCAGGCTCCAACACTTACCATTGGACCTTGGGCAAATTACTTGGTCTCTTGGAGCCTCAGTTTCCTCACCTGTAAAATAGTTGAACTTTCCTAGCGAGATTTTGGGGGTGGCTTCAGAAAATACAAGTAAAATGTTTCATCAGCCTTATCCAATAGAAATATAATGCAAGCCACACATGTAATCTTAAATTTTCTGGTAGCCATGTTAAAAAGTAAAAAGAAACAGAATTTAATTTTAATAATACTTTAATTGTATTAAAAATACTATCATTCAAAATGAATCAGTGTAGAAAATCATTAAAAACACTTCTTGTTTTTTTTCTAAGTCTTCAAAGTCTACTGTGTATTTTACACTTATAGCCCACTCAATTTTCAACCAAGGGAAGTGTAGTCCTACTGAAACAATAACGTTGTGTTTAATGTGAATTTTTAATTTTATTTTTAATTTATTTTTGCATTTTTATTGCTATATCATAGTATATTCTCTTGGAGAATGTGTGATATTTGATATATGTATACAATGTGTAATGATCAAATCAGGGTAATGGGATAGGAAAAAATATTTACATTGCTTTTGTTTTGAAATTTAAATGAATTGAAGTTTAAAATTCAGATCCTGAGTCACAGTGGCCACATGTCCAGTGCTCAGTGGCCACATGAGGGACAGGGCAGGTCTAGATGGTGCCTAGAACAGGGCAGAACTTAAAATATTAGTTAGCTATTATTATATTATTGTTACTTCTAGTATTTTGATGAATGACTAATGAATAAATGAGTAACGGGAGAGAGGCCTGAGAAAATGAATTGTCAGGTTCACAGTGAGCCAGGTCGTCTCAGAGAATGAAGGAAACATGTATGAATAGCTGTCTTCACAACTATCCTACAAGGCAGGCATTATTATCACCACCGTGGGTGTCAGGAATTGGGGTGTTAGAAAGGAGCTAAATGGTGGTTTGGGGGTGGAGGAGTGATAGGAGAGGGAGATGGTGTTGGGCTGAAGGAAAAGGGCCATAAGGGGCAAAGAGGGCACAGGGTGCAGCTGGTGGGGGTCAGGTGCCAGAGTAGGTGGCAGGGCTAGCATTTAGCAGGAAGAAGGACCAGAGGAAGACAGGGCAGAGGGCAGGAAGCTGAGGGTGTTTCTCTCTGCAGTAGAATGTGATGTCATGTGCTGAGAATGTGGGGACTGGGCTTGAGGAAAGTAACCTCCAGAGAGCGATAAAGATTTGGAAGAGTTGCTGTAGAGAGTGGAAAATGTTGACAAGAAGCTTGTGGAAGGAGTGCCTGGCAGTGTTGAAAACCCAGTGGAGACTGGAGGCGGTGCATTTGCAGAGGCACCTCTCTCCCAGGCTGTGGGATTTTCTCAGCCCTGCTCAAGAGCCCTGGGAGAGGCGGAGCTGTGCAATGAGCCATGGGGTGGCTTCTGCTGTAGGTGTGGGCAGAGGAAGGGCCAAGATGCTAATGGGAGTGAGTGGTTGATATGATGATGTGAGGAAGATAAGAAGGGAAGTGGGGTCAGAAGGGAGCTGATGGAGGACAGTCATGTCCTGAATAATTGAAGGATGACCAAACCCTCAAGCCTGGCATCCACACTGTCAGCATTACACAGCCTCAGCTCAAGGTCTAGGTATCCCATATGGAGCCTTGATTTTCCTTCCCACACTTTCTTTCTGATATGTTGCTTATCTTCTGTGAAAAAAAAGCTCATCGTTAGAGCTTGCCAGATTATCATAACTGGCAACTGGTTATTAACGGTTATTCATAATATTTTCCCTTCACTTTACATCTTACAAAATGCTTTAATGTACGCTTTACCTTCTGATACTCAGGGCAACTTCCTAAGATGGGCAGGGTTGGTTCTCTTTCCATCTTATATGCGATAAAACTAGAGGGGAAGATAAGCACTTCCTTCCAAAAGCACAACATCATTGCACGTTGGTGTGATTGTCTCTCTTGGCCACAGTTATGGGGATATTGTCTTATGAATTTGGGATGTGCCATAAAACAGGACATGGCGTTTTTTTTGTTTTTGTTTTTGTTTTGAGATGGAGTTTCGCTCTTGTTGCCCAGGCTGGAGTGCAATGGGCAATGGCGTGATCTCGGCTCACTGCAACCCCCGCCTCCCAGGTTCAAGCGATTCTCCTGCCTCAGCCTCCCTAGTAGCTGGGATTACAAGCATGTGCCACCATGCCCAGCTAATTTTGTATTTTTAGTAGAGGCAGGGTTTCTCCATGTTGGTCAGGCTGGTCTCGAACTCCCAACCTCAGGTGATCCACCCGCCTCGGCCTCCCAAAGTGCTGGGATTACAGGCATGAGCCACCGCGCCCGGCCAACACAGTGTTTTAAACCAATGCTGGGATAAAGCATCCAGGCTCTTAGGTCCCTGGAACTCAATGGCTGACAGTCTTGCTTTCAGTTTTTCCTCTGAAATGAGGCACCATTTATTCATGCAGTGTGTTGTGGCACCACAAGGACTGGCCTCAGGGGCCAGACACTGAGAGGGAGTAGGAGGGAGAAGTAGGCCAACACACCCAGGCACTCTCTAAAATCAGGCAGAGCAACTGCCAGTTATAGGCGAGTTGCATTTTATGGTAGAATTAAAAAAGTTCTCTCTCTCTCTCTCTTACTCCCTTCCTCCTCCGTCCACATCTCTGTCCTTTGTCCAAAATTTGCCATCTGACTATTATGCAGACTCTTCTCAAATTTCCACTGGAAGCTCAACAGAGCACTTTTATGAAGATGAACAGAAAGCATTAGCTGGATTACACAGTAAGGCCTGGGCTGCGTCCATCAGCAGAAAGAGATGTCCCCTTATTTGGCCTTTCTTTCATTCAAGCCTTCTAAAAAGGGTTCTGTAAAGAGAAAGTGCCTTTGAAAGTGCGGTCTATAGTCAGATGTTAGCCAGACGCTCTTGGAATAATCCTTCGTAATAGCCTCATTGTGTGTTTCCTTTTTGGGTTTTAAAAGATGTACATTCAAGCCTACAAGACCAGTAACCTGCGAATGAAGATCATCAAGAATGACTTCCCCAGCCACCCTCTTTACCTGGAGGGGGCGCTCACCAGGAGCACCCATTACCAGCAATACCAACCGGTTGTCACCCTGCAGAAGGGCTACACCATCCACTGGGACCAGACGGCCCCCGCCGAACTCGCCATCTGGCTCATCAACTTCAACAAGTGAGTGGGTGTCCAGCCAGGAGCAGTGAGCTCAAAGCTGATAACGATGCCTTGTTGCAAAGTCCTGGACTTGCGTCTAACGAAACCACAGGCTAGCCCATGTGATCCATGCAGGAGTACCTAGAGGGGTTGACATCACCCAGGAGTTAAGAATTAAAGGACACAGGCCAAGCCCCCGCTCCAGCATGGGTAACCTTGGCCAGCGCACGTAACCTCTTGAGCCTGAGCTCCTTGATCTTTGAGTTGAGGATAGTATTACCTTGCAGGAGTGCAATGAGGACCCAAGGAGATAAGGTATGGCGGGCACCCAGGACCTGGCATTAGCCAGTGCTCGACAGATGACAAAAATATCTGGGTATTGTTGTTACCATCCTACAGAGAGGGAAACGAGGCTCTGCGAGATAAAGTGTTGAGGCCGAGGGCATCTGGATAGGGCTTCATATATTTAGATTCTAGTATTTTCTATGCACATTATTTACTTGTCACAGTATTTCTGTGAGACAGACATTTACCAGATGTGGGAAATGAGACCAAAGCGATGAAATCGGCCCTACAATCAAGCTGGACCCAGAAGGGGCTCAGCCTAGGTCCTTTGGATCCTGTGCTCTTTAACTACGAAAAGAATGTCTTTTTCCCAAAGTTCCATATGCAGCACCCCCAGGGTTGGCCCTGGAGACACACCAGTGAAGCATTCAGGCTCTTTGCTCATGGGCAGCCATTGTCTCTCCCTCTCTCCTTGAACACTGCAACTCAGTCACCACGACAGCAAATGTGCTTTCAAAATTTCCCATACAAAAGTGGAGGTGTCATTTGGTGGAGATTTTTTGGTCTCTTTCTCCAAGGCATGCTCCAAAGGCCCTGTGGCCTGGACACCCTTGCTTGTAACCTGACTCTACTTCCAATCCTAGGGGCGACTGGATCCGAGTGGGGCTCTGCTACCCGCGAGGCACCACATTCTCCATCCTCTCGGATGTTCACAATCGCCTGCTGAAGCAAACGTCCAAGACGGGCGTCTTCGTGAGGACCTTGCAGATGGACAAAGTGGAGCAGAGCTACCCTGGCAGGAGCCACTACTACTGGGACGAGGACTCAGGGTGAGCAGGCGCCCACTTGGCTGCAGGAAAGTGGCTCAACCTCATCTTGTCCCCTTGGCCTTTCCAATAAGTCTAAGAACAGCCATGTAGTTAATGCCAATTAATGTAAGACACCTTTCTAGGCATTTTGACTCTAAGGCTGACTGTCCCATACATTAACGACATTTTTAAAGCTATTAAGCTTTAAAAGTAAAATAAACACCCTATTAAATATACATGTGAATTGTAGGGAATTTACATATTTCAGAAAAAAAAAAGTGAAGGCAGTAAATCTTAGAATCCAGAAAACATGGTACATTATCTCAAATCCTCACAACAACCTGCTTGGAGCAGAGGATTAAGAGATGGGCAGCTGGGTGTGGTGACTCACGCTTCCCAGCACTTTGGGAGGCCGAGGTGGGTGGATCACAAGGTCAGGAGTTCGAGACCAGCCTGGCCAACATGGTGAAACCCCGTCTCTACTAAAAATACAAAAATTAGCTGGGCATGGTGGCGCGTGCCTGTAATCCCAGCTACTCAGGAGGCTGAGGCAGGAGAATTGCTTGAACCTGGGAGGCGGAGGTTGCAGTGAGCCAAGATACTGCCATTGCATTCCAGCCTGGGTGACAGAGAGAGTGAGAGATGGGCAAAGAAGGCACAGGGAAAATAGGAGAGACTTCCTGAGATCATAGCATAAAGCTGACCCAGCTGGATTTGAACCTAGATCTGTCTGTCTTCAAAGCCCTCACCCTTTTGCTAACCTGCACTAGGTTCTATTCAATAGAGATATAATGAAAACAGAGTATCTGTTTCTGGGAGTTCTTTGATCCCCTCTCTTAAAAAGAAATTTCGTCTAATGTCTTAAGAATGCCAACCCAGCTCCACAGCAACGTCGATAGCAAACTGTGAGGAGTAAGGGTAAAAGATCAGTTGATGGCCAGTTTTCTATTCTTATATGGAAGTCAATGATAAAGAAACTGATAACAGATGATCTATCTTATTTATGGCTCCATCAATTTGATTAAGGGAAAATTAAAATTTAGAATCAAAAGTATAAGTAAAATGTTGGGATGGGAGGGCAATAAAAAACACCTCTTTCCCCACACAAGTGCTACGCCAGCTGGGGGCAGACAAGCTGGCAGGGGAAGAGGAAGTGATCCACCTTACTGATGATAAAGCTGTTGGAGAATAGAGCTTTCCAATATCATCCCCAATTTTACCTCCTCCGCCCCAGGGAGCACTGGGCAATTACAGGCTCCCCACATAGGGCCCAGCCCGAAAACCTCAGAGCATGGAAGACAGACCAGAGTGCCCCTGCTCTACGGGCTGAGCCAAATACCCAAAACCAACCAATTATATGAGACACTCTCTTCCCATGGGAAGAAGTGGATGAGGGGAGGGCCCAGGGGCCAGGAGTATTTAGGAAAATCCTCCCATATGAATACCAGAGGAGGAGGAGTGAGATATGCCCCACATACCACTAGGAAATATTATGATTAAAGTAACAGATGTTGATAAGGTAAAGTCCCTGGGATACCATCCATGCAGATTTTCTTCTTTCCGGCTCATGAGTGAAATGTTCAAAAGATGTGAATTTTTCAAATGGAAACTTCCACTAAGTAAGTTGAACCTCTTTGATCAAAGTCTTAAAAATCTAAGGCTGGTCTGCTTGTCACCTTAAGCACATTTTTTGGTTGGTAGCATAGCTTAGCCCTATGCCTGTTGATCATTGTGTTGTGTTTCAATTCAGCAACGCCTTAGGGACCAGGAGTTGGGTTATAGGGGGTCTGTTTCCTATGGAGAAGGGCTGCAAACTCTTGGGCTTTTAAAAATCTTTCTGCCTTATACGTTTGTTGTTTCTTATACTCAGAGCACCTGCCTTTAGCAGCTACCTTCTAATAATCTACTATGGGCTAGGATACTTAACAACCAGCTTGCTATAATTAGGGGTAAAATTAAAATAAGTCAGCTAAAAGGGAGGGGATTTCAAAGTGTGAAATATATAAGCTCTGAATCATCTCTCATTTTTTCCAGGTTAAAAAAACTGTTAAGTGATTGTAGCTGTGTTCTGGATAGCTAAGTTTGCTTAATACCACCTCAGTGAATTCTTATAATGATTCTTACTAAATTATAAACAAGTACATTATTTAAGGTGCACAGCCATCAGTAGCGCTGCTCTGCAACATTACTTGGTCATAGCCAGGATTTGAGCACTGGGCTGGCAGATGCCCAGGCCCGTGCTCCTTTCATGCCTTCCAGGGCTTTGCAGTTCAGCCAGCTTGCACACATCCAAGTTGTAGGTCAGGATTAGGGAAGGCAGCTGCTACCTACCATGGGCTGGATGGTCTTTTAGGTCACTCCCAGTTTAGATAATCTGATATATAATGGCAACAAGGAAACCTGAATACTGTTAAGTTTTGTGCAGAAGCCTCAGGACCAATCCCATTTCTGTGCTTGGTCCCAGGAGTGGTTTGGAGCATGTTGGGAGCCTCCAGGGAGACGTGACCATGGGCAGCACTGAACTGCCTTCCTCCTAAGCTGCTCAAAGCGGGTGCTCACCTGCCTCCCCAGCTTCCCCACCACGCAGGGCATGGAATGCAGATATGGCTGCTCTGCTCTCAGCCCTGAGCACGAGGCCTCTGTAACAGTCAGTTTCTACTTTACTCTGAGATCACTTGATGTGGATGGCTTGAAACATAAAGCCTCTCAAGGAAGCTCAGATTAAGTGGAGGTGCTACAGAGAGAAGACCAAGGGGTCTTCAAGAAATAAAAACCCAGCTGGGCCTCATGGGCTCAGGTGCTGACAGCAACCAAGACAGCAGGGAGGAGGTAGCCTGCCTACCCCTTGTGTCTCTCCATCTCCCCATGTTCACACACATACGCACACACGCATGGCCTCTTGTTTCAGCTACTTGCTGCAAACTGCCTTCCTCTCGCGATTCCTTAGCAGGCATGGGGCACAACAAGGTTGTCAGCCCCAACTCCATGTGGTCTTTTAGTTCAAGCACCACCCGGTGGTGGACAAGACCTGCTGGGTCCCATAAGAGCGAGAATCTTGGTTACTGGTTGGCCAATCCATGGCCCCTCTGTGAGTCCAATGTGTGCCCCTGGTCTGAGCAGCTGTGTGGTAGGGGTTTGGGGGCGAGGGCATTGTGGTGCAAACCCAGCTCCCTAGTCTGACTGGACTCAGTGAAGGGTTGGTCCCCAGAGCAAGATGGGTGGTAGATACCCCATATCCTATCTTCCCATGTTTCAGATGCAGGACTCAGCCTGAAAGCGCTTTTCTGCACTAAAAGAACAATAATGAATCCCAAGTTAGTACTGTGTTTTCCTCATAATCTGACTCCCTGTAACACTGGGTCAGCTTCCTTTACAATAATAATTATTATTTTAAATAAATTATAAATAATTTTTGGAATAAATTATGGTTTGGAGAAAACTAGAGATAGGAAGACAGAGCATCTCCTCACCGGGCACAATGCTGGGATGGAAAATGCTGGCTTTGTCACTTCCCAGCTGTGTGGTCCTGGGCGAGTCACTTCACTTCTCTGAGCCACCATTTTCCCATCCAGGAATTCAGGATGATAATAGTACCTACTGGACAGGATTGTTTGAGGATTAAATGAGATATGTCGATTTACGATGTGTGCACGGCGTGGCACATAGAACGTGCTCAGAATAGAATTGCCATTCTCATTAGCTTTTTCTTCAATGCATTTGTTCCTTATTTCTCCAACTACATGCAACTCGGTGGTAGACATGGTTCCATTCTATAAGGCCGCTGGGTCTACCTGCTATGACCAGCTCAGAGTAAATGTCTCGGTGGGTGGGAGGAGAAGAGGGAGGTTTGAGTGTCCAAGCAAATGCCCAGCAATGCTCCTTGTGTGCAGGCTGTTGTTCCTGAAGCTGAAAGCTCAGAACGAGAGAGAGAAGTTTGCTTTCTGCTCCATGAAAGGCTGTGAGAGGATAAAGATTAAAGCTCTGATTCCAAAGAACGCAGGCGTCAGTGACTGCACAGCCACAGCTTACCCCAAGTTCACCGAGAGGGCTGTCGTAGACGTGCCGATGCCCAAGAAGCTCTTTGGTTCTCAGCTGGTGAGTGGCTGAGAGCAAAGCCTAGACCCCTTTGCCGTCCAGTCGGGCCTAGAGCCCTTTGCCGTCCAGTCGGGCCCAGACCCAATTAGGTCCCTCACTCAGCTCCATAAACCATTTCCTGTGACTGGGGATACGGGAAGAGGAGGGGAATGACTACCCAAACCTAACAATTACATTGGGTTCTATGTGTTTTCCAGAAAACAAAGGACCATTTCTTGGAGGTGAAGATGGAGAGTTCCAAGCAGCACTTCTTCCACCTCTGGAACGACTTCGCTTACATTGAAGTAAGTGCCTCTGGCCCCTGGAGGATTCGGGTTTGCTCATTGAGAGGTGATACTGTGTCCTGCGGCTGCTGGCACAAATTACTGCAAACTGGGAGCAAGGTGTTGGCAGGGGTGGTTTCCTCCAGGGGGCTTGGGGCGGGGAACCTGTTCCATGCCTCTTCTCGCTCCTGGTGGCTGCCAGCACTCCTGAGCATTCCTCAGCTTGCAGACACATTAATCTCTGTCTTTATGTGGGCTTTTCTCCTGAGTGTCTGCGTCTCACCTCTCCTCCTGCCTTTCTTTTGCAAAGGCACCTATCTTTGAATTTAGGGCCCACCCTAAAAATCCAGAAGGTTTAATCAAAAAATCTTTTAACTTAATTCCGTCTGCAAAGATTCTATTTTCACATAAGCCCACTTTCACAGGTTCCGGGTGGACATAACTTTTGCAGGGCCACTATTTGACCCACTACTGAGGGCTACGAGGAGTTAAGTGGATAATGGAGTTTACGCTTCAAATAGATGCATAGGCAACTTCTGCCTTCAGGGTCTGCTTGGGAACCACCTGGGCAGGAGAACCATGGGGCCTTGGCACCCTGCCTCACACCTGGATTGCTCTGGCTCTGTAGGTGGATGGGAAGAAGTACCCCAGTTCGGAGGATGGCATCCAGGTGGTGGTGATTGACGGGAACCAAGGGCGCGTGGTGAGCCACACGAGCTTCAGGAACTCCATTCTGCAAGGCATACCATGGCAGCTTTTCAACTATGTGGCGACCATCCCTGACAAGTGAGTCTGTACCTCTGCTTCTGGAATTGGCTGCTGGCACAGCAGACCCCTGGGCAAGGGCCCCCTCCCTCTCACAAAGGCCCTCATCACAGATCAGTCTGGAAAAGCTCAGGCAGTCTCCACAGCCTGCCCACAAATCATGGGTGTTGGACAAGAGCGTCCTTGCCTGTGGACTCTGGTGTTGGAGCTGGGCTGCTGTGAATGTAGGTCAGGCGGAGGCAGGCGGGACAGCCCCGCTGCACATGGGAAGGTTGCCCTGGCCCTCTTCACTACACTCCCAGCATGATCTCATCCCCTCCCACACCTTCAATACGATCCAAGTGCTGGTGGCTACTATCTCCAGCCCGGATCTCCTTCCTAAGCACCAGACATTCCAGTCCAACTGCTACTTGGACAACGCCACCTGGACATCTTGTATGGAACTGAATTCTCAGCCTTTTAAAATGTTTAACCTCCCAAACCAGCCACTCATCCTACTTCTTCAGTTTTGATGAAATCATCACAATTCATCCTGATAGCCAGGCCAGAATCTGGGCATTCTGTTTGTCTCCTCTTTCTTTCCTCCACATGCTATCATCACACCCTATCAATTCTGCCTGCAGTACTGCTCGCCTGCTGGTTCCCTCCACAGCGTCCTCTCTTCTGCCACTCTGCCCCGGCCTTTGCTGTTCATCACCAACACTGTTGGCACAGTCTCCTAACGGGCCTCCCTCTTCCAGTTGCCCCAACTCCAACCCATCTTCCATATTGGCCGCTGGTTTAAACTTCTTAAATGTAGGGAAAACCTGTGTCCCCTCTCCTTAGCAAACTTTGGTAATTCCCCAGTACCTTACAAGTCTCCCCACATCGCCTCCTCGGTGAGGTCTTTTCCGATCCAACCCAAAAGTTCTACCTTGGCAGGGCGCATTGGCTCACACCTGTAATTTCAGCACTTTGGGAGGCCGAGGTGGGTGGATCATGAGGTCAGGAGTTTGACATCAGCCTGGCCAATATGGTGAAACCCCATCTCTACTAAAAGTACAAAAAAATTAGCTGGGTGTGGTGGTGCACACCTGTAGTCCCAGCTACTCAGGAGGCTGAGGCAGGAGAATCGCTTGAACCCAGGAGGCGGACGTTGCAGTGAGCCGAGATTGCGCAGCTGCACTCCAGCCTGGGTGACACAGCAAGACTCCGTCTCAAAAAAATAAAAAATAAAAGTTCTACCTCTGCTAAAGCACTACTCACAATAGGTCTGGTGGACACATCTGTTGCCCCATCAAGAGTGTGGCCTTCTCAATGTTGGGGCCATGTCTAACTTCCCTTTGCATTTCTAGCACAGAACATGGCTAGTTAAGTGAGTGTACAGTTCACTCAGGAGCCACAACCTGGTGGAAAGTCTAAGCGCTTCATGTGGTACCTGCTACATAGTAGGTGCTTAGTAAACATTAATAGTTATTAAATGAAAGCAAATGTACTTCCCAGATGCTGACTCCATGAGGGGCACGACGTGAACTGGGCACCTGGCGAGATTTTGGATAATGGGATTTTGCTTAACCACATTTACTCCCTCCCTCATTCCCCCATCAGATGCTTCTTCGGCATTCTATTTTTCATATGCAGATTCAGACAGAGGACAAGGTTGACCAAATTGGGAAAAATAGTTATCCTCTAGAGATCATGACGTTTTGGGCAGAGAATTTTCTTTTGAAATGAAAGATGATGCAGAAGCTTGGAATAAGAAACTAGACTGCAGTGCTACTCTGTTTGGAACCATGTGCAAGGCTCCCACCAGCCCGAGCAGCAGCACCTCTCTGGGGGAAGCCCTTACTGGAATGGGCCACTCCCTGGGCTGGCGCTGGGCACCCAGGCAGGCATTGGTACCACTAGACCCCTCTCTAACCTCCTGGAAAGCAGCAGGGAATGAGGCAAGGTAGATCCTGTTCTACTGTGGCTGCGGGCCCTGCCTAGCCTGGCCCATGCTTCCTACCCCATCCAGCAGGCCACTACTGGCCCCAGGGTCCTGGGGAGAGAAGAGGGCAGCTGCTCACACCAGAAACATCTAGCATGGCTTCTGGGAGCTGCCTCTGCACTGCCACTCTGTGGGAGACTGTGCTGGCTGGGGCATGGGCTTATAGGCCATGAGGATGGCACACCAGGCAAAGAAGTGTTCCCAACATAGGTAGGCAGGCTTCTGGGCATCAGTGGGAAGGGGTGGGGACACAAGAAGCCCATCTCTCTGTCCCGCTCCTGTGAGCTAACTTAGATCCCCATCAGGAGGGCAAGACCTACATTTGAGTCCCCCAAGTAGGAAGGCTGAGCTCCAACAAAGGACCATTAGCTTTTGTTCTGAAATGAAACAATGCAGAAATATCCTCCTGAGAACAGATCCTGAATCTAGAGTGGAGGATGTGTTAGCAATGAGACCTGTCTCCTTAAGGGGCCTCACCCTACCAACCCTTTGGGCCTCCCTCTCCAGCCTTCCTCAAGGGCCTGAGGCAGCCCCAGCTCCCTTCCCATCTATCCTTATTTCACACAAGCCCTTCGCATCTTAAGATCTTTCCCGCTGTTCCCAGTGGGACACAAATGGGGGTAACAACAGGTTCCAGAATCCTATACAGTTTTTCCATGTCTGGACTGTGGTCTGTGGTTACAGAGTTCCTTTGAGATACAAACTGGACGCCCCATTGAGCTTCTGCCCCATTTCTATTCCCAAGGGAGGTGCTCACTTCCTCCTATCTGGCCCAGTGTGCTGAGTCTGCCACTGTGAAGGCTATTTTCCCAGCACTTTGGACTGAATACACCCCGAGGCAGGGGATAGACACTCCTTATTCCCAAGTCGAACTTTTGCAATTTGGGACCTTCAGGCTGGGTGCACACATTGCTCCAAACCTCTGTGTCTTTCAAGCACATTTCCCTTTGGTAGGTCCTCTGAGATACTTGGTAACTATTTGCTTCAATCTCCCCATTTGCAAAATAGAGGCAATAGCCCTGTGTTGCCTAACCAGAGAGAGGTGACGTGAACGTAAGAGGTCAATCTGAGCTCTTGGTACAACCCGAGCATCATGGTAACGACATGGTGTTCTCCCAGAAAGACTTCAAACCTGGCCATGCTCTTCCTGCAGCTCAGAGAAGGCTGGCTCTGGACTACACTAAGCCTGTGTCCATCAAAAGAAGACAGCAAAAGAAAGATGCGCTCCAAGAGAAATCTTCTAGCATGGGGCTTCTCGAGCTTTAATGTATACATGATCACCTGCAGATCTTGTAAAAATGCAGATTCTGATTCAGGAAGTCTGCAATGGAGGAATTCTGTGGTTCTAATGAAATCCCAGGGGATGCCAAATGGAGCTGGTCTCTAGAACCTTCAGGATCTAGAACCTTCAGGAGCTCCTGGATGGTTTTATGATTTGACAGATGCTCCCCTCCGCCTTCCCGCACCTCCTCTCTTTCTCTTCCCTTTCTCCTTCCTTCCTCCATCACCACATTTCTATCTGGTCTTACCTAACCAGGGTTGAGAACATTCAAGGGAAGAGATACATATCGAAGTCCTACTGTGTGCCGAGCCCTGGCATGGTACGCTCTGCTTACATCCTCTCCTCTGTTTGGAGAGAGACATGTAAACGCGGTGAGCCAAGTCCAGGCTTGGAGAAGGCTGTGGGCACCAACTGTGGCCAGATGTGTGGGAGGGAGCTCAGGATGTTCGTCACCACATGGAAAGAGCCCGTCAGCTCAGAACACAGGAGAGGCTGCCCTTTCCCGAATCCCTGGACAGGCCTCTGGGCACTGCTAACTCCAGTCCCACCATGCACAAACCAACATCCCTCCCCATGCCCACTTTCTCCAGTTTGCTCTCTCCCTCTGGTCTAATTGGTTTCTTCTCACACAGTTCCATAGTGCTTATGGCATCAAAGGGAAGATACGTCTCCAGAGGCCCATGGACCAGAGTGCTGGAAAAGCTTGGGGCAGACAGGGGTCTCAAGTTGAAAGGTAAGGGTTTGAACTGGGGTTTAAACTGACCCCAAAACCAGAGAAGGCAAATGCCTGGCATGGAGGGTGCTGTCATCTTTTGCTGAGTTGAGAACATGCTTTGTACTAAACGTGGGTACAACCTAAGAATCCCCCACACAACTAGTGGTCTACTGGAATGGATGGGCAAGATGCCACCTGTTTACCACCCCTGCACTGCAGCAAATTTATTATAACTTGCCACCAGCCACTGAAAGAAAATTGCTATATTTGTTGACTCATTTGCTTGGAAAGTGGCCCTTTATTCAACAAAAGTATCATAAGAAAAGTGGCTTAGTCTCACCCTCCTACCCAATTCCTGCTATTCAGACTGGCCAGGGGTCCTGCATCTTCTTCAACATTCTAGCTGATGCCTAGCGTTTGTACAGTCCTTTGCAGCTTGCAAAACTCTTATTTGTTCCAGAAAACTAAAGCCCAGAGAACCTACATGGCTTGTCCAAGGCCAGGCAGCTTCGGTGGTGAAGCCTAGCACAGGCTTGCTGGCTGTGCTGGAAGAAGCCATCCAGGAGGGACATGTCAGCATGACACCCATTATCATCACAAAAACTAGGTGCAGGGAGAGTCCTCAGAGAGGCTGTATGGGCGGCAGAGAAGCTCCACGGGCAATAATGATAATGATCATTGTGGTTGCTATTCAATGTTCAGCCTTGCACTTTGCACAACATGTTATAATTATCTCACTTACTCATTAATAACCTGTGCAGCAGGTACTATTATTTCCATTTAAGATGAGGACACCAAGAATTTAACAGCCAAGCCACTTGCTTAAGGTTAGGACTTGGATCCTAATCTTCCTAACTCAAAGCTGGGCTTCTTAGTTATACACCATCCTCACTATGGAAAACATCAAAATCAGAAACCCATCATATGGGGCAATGAGAAAAATCAGAAGCAATGCAAACCCTTCAAACCAGCCAAAGGAGGACATAAGGAAAAGAGAAGTATCCTTTCCAGCCCAGTCCTGAAATCATTTTGGAGCCTCTGTCTTTTAAATTAAGATCCCGGTTGCCAAAAGCTGATGTATGTAAGGTGACCTAAGTTGAATGGCACTTTCCCGGTGGTGATAAATGCATGTTGCCTGCCAAGATGGGCTGAGTATAGACGTGGATTCCCATGCCCCTCGGATGCTCAAGCTGTGAACTGCAAGATGGAGAGTGCTGTGTGGGTTTCAGGGGTTTAGAGTTCTAATCTGGGGTGCACCATTTACTCCACACTCTTGGTCAAATTTCTTCACCTCTCAGAACTCTTTCTAGAGCCACAGAGTGATAGAGTGGGGAAGGAGATCTTGTAGATCAATGCCATCATTTGATGGATGGGAACACTGGGCTTCAGAGAGGGGCAGGGACTTGCTGGTTGTCCTAGGGGCAGCTCAAAGGTAGGCAGGTTCCTAGGAGGTCTCCTCCCTTACAGTTTGCCCCATTTCCTGCTGTGCATGGCTCCCCTGTCTACAACAAAGCCATCACCCTGCCTAGGTGGCAGTGAGGCTCAGGTGAGACCCTGCCTGCCCCATACAAACACATGTCAGGCACCATCAGTAGCTGAGCACAGAGCTCTTCCCAAGGGGCCACAGTGCAGTGTGGCTAGGCGGTACCTGGTGGGCGTGGGGGGCTGGCGATGGGGAGCCATGGAACGGGGTGGGGCAGCCGTCCTCTCATAGGGCTTTTGCTCAGGAGACTCATCATTGCTTTTCAGAGCAAATGGCATTCGTTGGCTTCAAAGGCAGCTTCCGGCCCATCTGGGTGACACTGGACACTGAGGATCACAAAGCCAAAATCTTCCAAGTTGTGCCCATCCCTGTGGTGAAGAAGAAGAAGTTGTGAGGACAGCTGCCGCCCGGTGCCACCTCGTGGTAGACTATGACGGTGACTCTTGGCAGCAGACCAGTGGGGGATGGCTGGGTCCCCCAGCCCCTGCCAGCAGCTGCCTGGGAAGGCCGTGTTTCAGCCCTGATGGGCCAAGGGAAGGCTATCAGAGACCCTGGTGCTGCCACCTGCCCCTACTCAAGTGTCTACCTGGAGCCCCTGGGGCGGTGCTGGCCAATGCTGGAAACATTCACTTTCCTGCAGCCTCTTGGGTGCTTCTCTCCTATCTGTGCCTCTTCAGTGGGGGTTTGGGGACCATATCAGGAGACCTGGGTTGTGCTGACAGCAAAGATCCACTTTGGCAGGAGCCCTGACCCAGCTAGGAGGTAGTCTGGAGGGCTGGTCATTCACAGATCCCCATGGTCTTCAGCAGACAAGTGAGGGTGGTAAATGTAGGAGAAAGAGCCTTGGCCTTAAGGAAATCTTTACTCCTGTAAGCAAGAGCCAACCTCACAGGATTAGGAGCTGGGGTAGAACTGGCTATCCTTGGGGAAGAGGCAAGCCCTGCCTCTGGCCGTGTCCACCTTTCAGGAGACTTTGAGTGGCAGGTTTGGACTTGGACTAGATGACTCTCAAAGGCCCTTTTAGTTCTGAGATTCCAGAAATCTGCTGCATTTCACATGGTACCTGGAACCCAACAGTTCATGGATATCCACTGATATCCATGATGCTGGGTGCCCCAGCGCACACGGGATGGAGAGGTGAGAACTAATGCCTAGCTTGAGGGGTCTGCAGTCCAGTAGGGCAGGCAGTCAGGTCCATGTGCACTGCAATGCCAGGTGGAGAAATCACAGAGAGGTAAAATGGAGGCCAGTGCCATTTCAGAGGGGAGGCTCAGGAAGGCTTCTTGCTTACAGGAATGAAGGCTGGGGGCATTTTGCTGGGGGGAGATGAGGCAGCCTCTGGAATGGCTCAGGGATTCAGCCCTCCCTGCCGCTGCCTGCTGAAGCTGGTGACTACGGGGTCGCCCTTTGCTCACGTCTCTCTGGCCCACTCATGATGGAGAAGTGTGGTCAGAGGGGAGCAATGGGCTTTGCTGCTTATGAGCACAGAGGAATTCAGTCCCCAGGCAGCCCTGCCTCTGACTCCAAGAGGGTGAAGTCCACAGAAGTGAGCTCCTGCCTTAGGGCCTCATTTGCTCTTCATCCAGGGAACTGAGCACAGGGGGCCTCCAGGAGACCCTAGATGTGCTCGTACTCCCTCGGCCTGGGATTTCAGAGCTGGAAATATAGAAAATATCTAGCCCAAAGCCTTCATTTTAACAGATGGGGAAAGTGAGCCCCCAAGATGGGAAAGAACCACACAGCTAAGGGAGGGCCTGGGGAGCCCCACCCTAGCCCTTGCTGCCACACCACATTGCCTCAACAACCGGCCCCAGAGTGCCCAGGCACTCCTGAGGTAGCTTCTGGAAATGGGGACAAGTCCCCTCGAAGGAAAGGAAATGACTAGAGTAGAATGACAGCTAGCAGATCTCTTCCCTCCTGCTCCCAGCGCACACAAACCCGCCCTCCCCTTGGTGTTGGCGGTCCCTGTGGCCTTCACTTTGTTCACTACCTGTCAGCCCAGCCTGGGTGCACAGTAGCTGCAACTCCCCATTGGTGCTACCTGGCTCTCCTGTCTCTGCAGCTCTACAGGTGAGGCCCAGCAGAGGGAGTAGGGCTCGCCATGTTTCTGGTGAGCCAATTTGGCTGATCTTGGGTGTCTGAACAGCTATTGGGTCCACCCCAGTCCCTTTCAGCTGCTGCTTAATGCCCTGCTCTCTCCCTGGCCCACCTTATAGAGAGCCCAAAGAGCTCCTGTAAGAGGGAGAACTCTATCTGTGGTTTATAATCTTGCACGAGGCACCAGAGTCTCCCTGGGTCTTGTGATGAACTACATTTATCCCCTTTCCTGCCCCAACCACAAACTCTTTCCTTCAAAGAGGGCCTGCCTGGCTCCCTCCACCCAACTGCACCCATGAGACTCGGTCCAAGAGTCCATTCCCCAGGTGGGAGCCAACTGTCAGGGAGGTCTTTCCCACCAAACATCTTTCAGCTGCTGGGAGGTGACCATAGGGCTCTGCTTTTAAAGATATGGCTGCTTCAAAGGCCAGAGTCACAGGAAGGACTTCTTCCAGGGAGATTAGTGGTGATGGAGAGGAGAGTTAAAATGACCTCATGTCCTTCTTGTCCACGGTTTTGTTGAGTTTTCACTCTTCTAATGCAAGGGTCTCACACTGTGAACCACTTAGGATGTGATCACTTTCAGGTGGCCAGGAATGTTGAATGTCTTTGGCTCAGTTCATTTAAAAAAGATATCTATTTGAAAGTTCTCAGAGTTGTACATATGTTTCACAGTACAGGATCTGTACATAAAAGTTTCTTTCCTAAACCATTCACCAAGAGCCAATATCTAGGCATTTTCTTGGTAGCACAAATTTTCTTATTGCTTAGAAAATTGTCCTCCTTGTTATTTCTGTTTGTAAGACTTAAGTGAGTTAGGTCTTTAAGGAAAGCAACGCTCCTCTGAAATGCTTGTCTTTTTTCTGTTGCCGAAATAGCTGGTCCTTTTTCGGGAGTTAGATGTATAGAGTGTTTGTATGTAAACATTTCTTGTAGGCATCACCATGAACAAAGATATATTTTCTATTTATTTATTATATGTGCACTTCAAGAAGTCACTGTCAGAGAAATAAAGAATTGTCTTAAATGTCATGATTGGAGATGTCCTTTGCATTGCTTGGAAGGGGTGTACCTAGAGCCAAGGAAATTGGCTCTGGTTTGGAAAAATTTTGCTGTTATTATAGTAAACATACAAAGGATGTCATCATCTTGTCTGTTTGTTTCATTTTCTATTAAAATGGGCTTCATTTTATCTAGGGATAATAACTTATCTAAGGATAACCTAAGATAAACAGTTATCTAAGGATAATAAGGCTGATGAAATCACCCCATGTGTCTGCCTTACTTCCATGGCCTTATTCCCAAGAGCTAGTCATATGTCAAGATCCTACCTTGCCTTGCCCCAAGGCGGGGTGTCCATAAGAGCAGGTGGAGATGGTTCAAAGAAAGAGAAGATATCATTCATATGGCTGGCCATGTCCAGAACTTGCTGCGTCCTCCACATTTCTAAGCTGTCAGGAGGCTGTCACTTCAACTCCCCTCCCCGATGGGGAAGCCAGGCAGAAGCAGGACTCTCTTTTCCTCCCAGGCCCTGTTTGGCTGGAGGCCAAACACGTTTGACAAGAGCATGGGGGCTGAGGTGGGAAAAACAGGTCCAAATCAAACTGGCAGACGAGAGGCAGGCACAGGTAGAGGGCACCTCAGGCAGCACTGGAAGGGGCTCAGGGGTCTGGAAGGGAGAGAGTGAGAGGCAGAGGTTAGAGCAGGTGAACTGGGAGTGGTCCAGAACTGCCAGTCCAGGAGGGCAGCCACTAGCTTCATGGGGCTACCTACATTTAAATTAATTTAAATTAAATGCAATTAAAAATGCAGTTCCTCAATCACATTGGCCACAATTTTCAAGTGCTCAATGGCTATGTGTGTCTAGTGGCTACCATATAGGATAGAGTCGATATAAAACATTTCCATCACCACAGAGAGTTCTTCTCTTGATTTCCAAAGAGCTCCTGGGTCTTATGCATTGGGTTTAAAAACAAAACAACTATGTCTCGTGTGTGTGTGTGTGTGTGTGTATGTCTCTCTGTCTGTCTGTCTGTGTGCATCTGTGTATAGTCAATTCACTTAAAGGGGCTGGTACCAGATTGGTCGTTTTAAGCTGCCAATACACAAATATATCTGGCAGACTAGCTTTGGGCATAAAGTCAGCTGTGCAGTAGAGAGTACACGGCCTCTACCTTCAGGAAACTTTGCCAGGAGAAAGAGATCACACTTGCACACTCAGTCAACAAATATTTTTGCACCCCTGCTCTGTGCCAGGCACGGTGCACACAGAGGAACACAGAATGACCCCATGGAGAACATGAAATTACCTGCCCAATGAGTGGTGTGGCAGGCTTCTGAGGGCAGGGAGTGATCATCGCCTGGATTGGTCAGGGAAGGTCAGTGAGTGGAAGTAGGACAGGTGTTGGCCTGAGAGTCAGAGATGGATAAGAGAAGGGCCTTTTGTAAGAGGCAGAGTCTGACAGAGGGGCAGCTATCAGAGTGTGGGCTTGAGAACACCTGGGCATAAATCAAGGCTCAGTCATGAGAGGCAAAGTGGAAGGTGGGTTGGGCCAAACACAGGGTCAGCTTTAGGGCCCACTGGCTGTGATGAAAGAGGGTGGGGGGTTACTAGTGACTTCTCAGCCAGAAGTGTCACTGTGTGAAAGAGAGCACAGCCCACTGATTCAGTAGGTGCATAGAAGAGGCATCCAGGGAGGACTTGGAAAGCAGACGCCAACGAGGAACCGTCGAGCAATGGGACACTGCACCCAGCTAGACGCACAGCAAAAGAAGCCACAGAGAGGTTGGGGTGGAGGGACAGGCAGGCACTTCAGGGTCCTTCATTTGTCCCTGCAATAGTCACCAGATCCCACAAGTAGTCACTGCAATGCATTAGGTGACCAGTGGGCACCTTCCGTTCCTGTCCGCAGGGAGACAGACAGGATGATCTGCTCTCCCTCACCAGCCTGGGAGGGGACAGGTCAGAAAAGTGTGGCAGAGTTAAGTTTTGCAGAATGCATAGGAATGAACTAAGTGAAGAAGGGCAAAGAACATTCCTGGTGAGGGAATGGTGCTGGGAAGGCCTGGAGGCGATGTGTAGGAGTTGCTGGAGGAAAGGGGGTGGGGTTCCTCCCCACAGACAGGAGGGGTGAAGGCATGGGCGTTCACTCATGGAGGCTGGGGTGGCCTTAGAGGTCAGTGCAGTGACAGCTAACAACATCTGCCTAAAGAAAACGCAACGGCACAAAGCTGGAAGCAGGCGTTTGGGAGAATTTTGTTCCCATACCCACAGGCACACAGGGTATGCTGAGTTGGGCACACAGGCAGTCCCTGAGGTGGCATATGCCTGCATCTCCAATCTGGTCACCCATTCCTTCCTCATCCCCAATCCCCAGATGAGCCCTAATCCTCATCCCCTCCCACTGGCTCAAGGATCTTAGAGTCCTCATAACATGGTAGATGACCTGACCCACCCTGCCCTCTCTCCTCTCGGCTTGGCCCACGCCTACTCATGTTCCAGGGCGTAGCTCCACACAAAGCCTTCTCTGACCCATGCCTGGCAGCTTTCTCCTTCCTCTCCTGGGCCCAGGGCCCAGTGCCTTGATATTGCGCCCCCTGTCCCAGGCTAACATTCACCCCTTCCTCCAGACTGTAGCCTCCTGCAGAGCATAGGCCATAGGTTTTCCCATATCTGGCAGAGTTCTGTTGGGTAATGTGTGCTTGCTGTGTTGAACAAAGGCATAAAAGCCGACCCTAGCGCAACCCTCCTGCCTCCAGTACTGAAGCCAAAATCCTGAGCCCTTTGACCCCATCCTAGCTGTTTTAGCCTGGGGGCTAGGTAGGCGGCAGAGGTTTTCTCAATGGCAGGGAAAGGAGTAGGATGTGGGTGGTGGGAAGGGCTTAATCCTGGGAGGATCAAGTCCACAGGCACCTGGCAGTGCCCTCATGTCCTCAGGGCTGGGTTGGGGTGAGAAGGAGAGCAGACAGAGGTAATGGTGAGGGTTGGGGGAGGGGATGGAGGAAGGGAAGAGTTCATTGTCCCAGGAACTGCCCTCCCTCACAGAAAACAATCAGGAGCATCAAACAGAATCAACAACATGCATGACTCAGCTTTGAAAGCTATAAAGCAAGCTCGTCTAACCCACCGCCAGTGGGCTACATGCAGCCCTGGATGGCTTTGAATGCAGCCCAACGCTAATTTGTAAACTTTCTTAAAATATTATGAGTTTTTTTGCATTTTTTTAAAGCTCATCAGCTATCGTTAAGTGTTAGTGTATTTTACGTATGGCCCAAGACAATTCTCCTTCCAATGTGGCCCAGGAAAGCCAAAAGATTGGATGCCTGTGCTCTAAAGCCTGCTACTCAGTGTGGTCCATGGGCCAATGGCATCAGCATCATCAGCATCAGCTGGGGGAGGTGGTTCACACCTGTAGCCCCAGCACTTTGGGAGGCTGAGGCAGGTGAATCGCTTGAGCCCAGGAATTCAAAACCAGCCTGGGCAACACAGCGAGACCTTGTCTCTACTAGAAAAAAAAAAAAAAGTTCAGCACCACCCAGGAGTATAACCAGGAGCTGGTTAGAAATGCCCAATCTCGGCCGGGCGCGGTGGCTCAAGCCTGTAATCCCAGCACTTTGGGAGGCCGAGGCGGGCGGATCACGAGGTCAGGAGATCGAGACCATCCTAGCTAACACGGTGAAACCCTGTCTCTACTAAAAATACAAAAAAAAAAAAATAGCCGGGCGCAGTGGCAGGTGCCTGTAGTCCCAGTATTCGGGAGGCTGAGGCAGGAGAATGGCGTGAACCCAGGAGGCGGAGCTTGCAGTGAGCCGAGATTGCGCCACTGCACTCCAGCCTGGGCGACGGAGAGACTCCGTCTCAAAAAAAAAAAAAAAAAAGAAATGCCCAATCTCAGGCTCTCCCAGATCAGCTGAATCAGAATCTGCATTTTAAGAAGGGACCCAGGGTAGTTGTTTGCACAGTAAAGTTTGAGAAGTGTGTGTTTGTGCGTGTGTGTGTGTGTGTGTGTGTGAGAGAGACAGAGTCTCTTTAGCCCAGGCTGGAGTGAAGTGATGCAATCTCGGCTCCCTGCAACCTCCGCCCCCCAGGTTCAAGCGATTCTCCTGCCTCAGCCTCCTGAGTAGCTGGGATTACAGGCCTGAGCCACCACGCCTGGCTAATTTTTTGCATTTTTAGTAGAGACGGGTTTTCGCCATGTTGGCCAGGCTAGTCTTAAACTCCTTGCCTCAGGTGATCCACCCACCTCGGCCTCCCAAAGTGCTAGGATTACAGGTGTGAGCCACTGCGCCCGGCTGAGAAGTGTGGTTTTAGGAGTCTCTAAGAGACCAGGCACAGTGGCTCACACTGTCATGAGTCATGCATGACTCAGACTGGCAACATGGCAAAACCTCATCTCTACAAAAAATACAAAAATTACCCAGGCGTGATGGCTCATGCCTGTGGTCCCAACTACTCAGCAGGCTGAGGTGGGAGGATCACTTGAGCCTGGAAGGTAGAGTCTGTGGTGAGCCGAGATCGCGCCACTACACTCCAGCCTGGGTGACAGAGTGAGATCCTGTCTAAAAAAATAATAATAAAATAAAATAAAAAAGACCCTAAGAGCCTAGGCAGCCAGTTTAGAATGGATTTTATATAAGGCTGCCCAGCTATGATGACATGAAGTGTGTTGGACGGAGAGCTCTGGGCTAAGAATCGGAAGGCGTCCAACTGCTCCCCTCGACTGCAAGATTCCTTCTTTCTTCCCCGGTCTCCACACACTAATTATTGAAGACAAGGAACATGTCTACAGAAAAGTTGGGCTTAGGTGTTATTCATGGTGAGAGCAAAAGAAAACAGTTCTCGGACACACAAAGGCTTAGAAAGAGTAGCACGAGGGTGCTCTTCCAGAAAACATTGAGGTGTTCTCTAATCAGATAGAGAAACAAAATCAAGAATTTACAATTGGGGTAAGGGGAACAGGAAAAAAAAGCCAGCAGCCAACCCTAAAACCACAAAGATATTGCAATAAGTTTTATAAATATAAACACAGAATTCGGTGCAAAGCCAAAAGCAATTCTGAGATAGCCAATTGTTAATATTTACAAAGGAAAGTTGGGTTTTACAAACCTGGGATATATGGTAATAACAAGCAAAACAGATACAAGGACGGAGCATGCAGAGGGGGTGGCTGTGTTAAGCTCTTCATCTTCTCTCTTTTTTTTTGTTTGAGACAGAGGGTTTTGTTTTGTTACCCAGGCTGGAGTGCAGAAGCATGATCCTAGCTCACTGTGGCCTCGACCTCCCAGGCTCAAGGGATCCTCCTACCTCACCCCCTGAGTAGCTGGGACTACAGGCTCACGCTACCATGCCCAGCTATTTATTTATTTATTTATTTTTTTGTAGAGATGGGGTCTCACTGTGTAGCCCAGGCTGCTCTCAAATTCCTGAGCTCAAGCAATTCTCCCACCTCAGCCTCCCAAAGTGCTGGGATTATAGATATGAACCACCATGCTCAGCTTCTTCATCTTCTCTTGTGGGAGGAAATTGTCTCATGTTGTTTTAGACATTAACAGAGTTATAATTATAGGTTTAAGAAGGAAAACAAAAACTAATGATGATAATGAATAGCATTTAAAAATGAGACATCTCCCTACCACTGCAGAAGAAAAAAAAACAAAATACAGTCTCCATAAAGAGAGGACAGAAAGATGACATGAAAATGACCACACAACACCTGGGTAAAGAGGAGTCCAGCCACAACAGCAGTAACAGTATGTAACCAACCTAGGTTTCCCAGCTAAAAATGAAAGACCTTCAGGTTCTGCCAAGAAAATAAAATTAAATTATTTGTTGCCTACAGGCTTACCACTGTAAACACTGGCTGCTTGAGCGTGGTCAGTTTTTAGAGACCACCTTTCCTCTCTTCATATTTAGCTGAACTTGCTTAGGCTCCCATGATTGGAAGAAACTTGGCAATCCCCATCCACTGCAAAACACACACACACACACACACACACGAAATTGGCTCATGCAATTACAGAGACCAACAAGTCCTAAGACTGGCAGTCTACAAGCCTGAGACCCAGGAGAGCTGTGGTGTAGCTCCAGTCTGAAGACTGGCAGGCTCTGAAACCCAGAAGGAGCCAATGTTTCAGCTCAGCCCAAAAAGCAGTGTCTCAGCTCAAAGGCTGTCAGGCAGAAGGAACTCTCTCTTACTCAGCCTTTTTGTTCTATTCAGGCCTTCCACTGGTTGGATGAAGCGCCACCCACCCCCCCACCCCCATATTAGGGAGGGCCATCTGCTTTCCCCAGTCTACCAATTCCAATGTCAATCTCATTTAGAAACATTCTCACTGAAACTCCCAGTATCATATTTGACTAAATCTCTGGGTAGCCCCTGGCCCAGTCAAGTGGATACATAAAATTCACCATCCCAGATTGCCTCTTTTCTTCTTGATTTCCTCAAATTACACAAACACAAGGAAGTTATTTATAGCGGAATTTTGCTGAAGATTTAGGAATATGGCATAGCAACAGCTTCAAATAGAATATTAGTCATCATTTCCCAGAAGTTCCTCTACCCTCCCATTCGCCTACACACACCTTAAGTAAATTCCTGGGTCAGGCTGCTACTAGAACATCAGAATTCTCCTTGCCTTATCAGGTATAGAATTGTTGCTCTCTCATCAATAAAAAGATTGGTCCCAGGCATTTATTTTATTTCAATTAATTAATTAATTTAGAGATGGGGTCTCACTCTGTCACCCAGGCTGAAGAGCAGTGGTGCGATCTTGGCTCACTGCAACCTTCACCTCCCAGGTTCAAGCAATTCTCCCACCTCAGCCTCCTGAGTAGCTGAGACCACAGGCATGCGCCACCACACTCAACTAATTTTTTCTATTTTTTGGTAGAGATGGGGTTTTGCCACGTTGCCCAGGCTGGTCTCGAACTCCCGAGCTCAGGTGATCTGCCTGCCTTGGCCTTCCAAAGTGCTGGGATTACAGGCATGAGCCACCGTGCCTGGCCTTAGGCATTTTTTTTTCATATCCAAACACTCATCAAGGTGCTCTGCTGAGCAAAGAACTATCTCTCAGGGGTCACCACCCTTTAGCAGTATAAACAATCTGCAGAGGCCTTGCAATTGCAGCCTGTCTTCAATGTGATCAGGTTGGGAGCAGGATTGTCTTTTCAAGGTCCTTGATGTGTCAGTTTATGGAATGGCAATTGTTGAGGCAATAGATGACAGTTACCCCCATATTCTGAGGAAAAGCCCCTAGAGTAGCCGTGAAGGACTTGGTAAGAAGTGGTGACCCACCTCCAGGCTAAGGAAGAGAAGGCTGGAGAGTCATTGAAGGGGAGATGCCCTGAAGGAAATTTACAAGAGTCAATGTGCTATTGGGTTTCCCCTCTCTCAAAGGGTGCATCCCCTAAGCCCGGTGAGAGGCTCCAAGAGAACCCCTCTTGGGGAGATTGCGGAGATTTACCAAAGGAAGAGATTGACATTTTACTTCTCAGCTGGACACTTGCTGAGTGCCTAAAACTCACAGGTCATCCAGCTGCTGTTGGAGTTGGGGGAGACAGTTTTCCGGAGAGCCTGCCTTGCATGCCTGCCATGTGAGAGGGTAGAGGTTGAAGGTGCCTCTCGCCCAGAGATGACCGAAGGTAGATGGAGGCTGGAGCTGCCGCAGTGCCTGGAAGGATGAAGGGCAGCCTCTGGGTCAGTGCATTCACTCCTTTTGGCTGGGAGGATGTGTGAGGCTTCCCACGAGTCAAGTGTACATTGTGGAAATTAGTGCGGCCCTGGTGTGAGCTAGTTTGAAAGGGCCCTGTTCCAAGTGGCTGCCTGCTTAGCTGAAGGGGTTCCTGATAGAAAGAGGATATAGGGCAACTCCAAGGGGTTTCACCAGTATTCAGCTAGAAAATGTCTTGCTCAGATCAAAGTTGGTAAGGGGGATCTTGGGCATATTCTCCAAACATGCCAAACAGCCAATAAATGGACACCTGCCATAACGGAGAACACTTACGAACCCTCTTTCTACCATAACATAAATTATTAAAGATTTTTAACCCCTCTTCTTCCAATCCCCCCACCTTTGTGCCCCTGCAGGAGCCAGCAGGAATAGGAAGAGATGGAAGAAGTGGAGAGAAAAAGCAAAGTGGAAGAGAGAAGAATAGCTCATGTCCCCATTATCTCCTGGAAGTGCTCAAAAAGAAGTGGGTAAGAGCAGTGGTGTGCAGGTAAACTCAACTGGAAGCAGGGGGAGTGGGGCGGTGGGTGGGAGAAGCCCTGTTCGTAGTATTTGTTGATGCCCATAGTGTAAATTCTCCCATCATGGCTGATTTTCAGCTGCAATGGTTTCGCAACCAGCTTGTAAAATTCCTGTCTATTTAACAATTGGTTTTCACCAGCTGGTCCCAGCCAGCTCATCACTGACAGAAGGCTGAGTGAACAAAGGGGGTTTAAGACAGCACTGAGTCCAGGCGTGGTGGCTCACACCTGTAATCCCAGCACTTTGGGAGGCCAAGGTGGGCAGATCACTTGAGCCCAGGAGTTCAAGGCCAGCCAGGGCAACATGGAAAAAACCCCATCTCTACAAAAAACACAAAAATTAGTTGGGTGTGGTGGCACCCACCTGTAGTGCCAGCTACTCAGGAGGCTGAGGTGGGAGGATCACCTGAGCTTAGGGAAGTCAAGGCTGCAGTGAGCTGTGATTACACCACTGTAATCCATCCTGGGTGACAGACAACATCCTGTGTTTAAAAAAAAAAAAAAAAAGCACGGAGAAAAAAAAAAACTCTTTCCCAGTTTGTACCTTTCAAGATCAGCACATTCAACCAACCAATTACACAAAGTGGAAAGAAGGAGTACAAGGACTTACACTCCCTTGGAAAGAAAGAATTAAGCTGTTAAAATGAAATTCTACTTATTTGCATCTTTTAAATAATTATTTCTCCTTCAAATTCTAGAGGGAAAACACTTGATATATGGTTGAATAATGACACAATGTTGGGGATGAGGAACGCTTTCTTAAACAAAATATCAAAGGAAAAATCATCAAAATTGGTTGATATGCCTACATAAAATTATTGAAACTCTAAACAATATTGACAGGAAACGAGTTTAAAATACATATCCCAGAAAAGAAATTATTATCTTTGGGTGTCTAGTCATCTTCTGTTTGCCTCCAGATCAATTCTACACCCTTCTCTGCCCTGTTTAAGGCCCCAAGAGGCCGAGACATGTCCAGCAGCTGTTCCCTGGCCCTCTGGCTCCCTGTTGGGTTTGGCCAATTGGAGGCACCGTCAACAGATGGAAGGGAGGAAGGAAAGTCCTGGGTTAGGGAATTCATGCCACTGTCTCCCTTTTTACTGTGTCTCTGTGAGTTGACTGTATCCCTCTAAGGAAGATGAGAGCTTTGGTCAGGAGCCCTTTCGTGGTCCCAGTAATTGCCCTCTCTCTCAGTATCGCCAGGCTTAGGGGTGGTAACTGGCCCCCACTTTTGCAAGCCCAGGGCTATTGCACTACTCCTTGTTGGGATCCCTAAACTTTATGCACACAATTTGCAAACAATCCTGCCATTAAATGCTCCTTAACATGCCATCTGCTTTTTGCTGAGACTCTGCTGATATTTTATATGAGAGGCTCTTACAAAGCAGTAAGGAACAAAAAGAAAAAAAAAAAGGAAAAGAAAAGAAAGAAAAACAGCAAAAGGGGGCCAGATTACATAAGAAAAAATATAAATGGCAAAATGGCAAAAGATATATTCAAAAACTAAACCTTGTTGGTAATTATAAAATGCAAATTGAAACAACAGTGAGATGCTATTATCCACCTAGTAAACTAGAAAATATTAAAAAGAACTATAAAAGACAGAAGAAATGAATGCTCCTAGACAATGAGGATAAAAGAATAATTTGGTGCAAATTTTCTGTAAAGCAATTTAGTACTAAGTAAAAATGACTGCAAAATGTATTCAGACTTTGGCTCCAAAATTCTGTCAAAGAATTTATCCTAAAGAAAGAGCTACAGAAATGCACAAGAATTTGTGACAAGGATATTCACTGCAGCATTTTATATGATGATGAAAACTGTAAAACAACCTAAGTAGTCAACAGTCAGATATTGGCTAAATATACCATCACAAAGAAGATGAAAGAAAAAACATTATAGACAAGCAAATGCTGAGAGATTTTGTCACCACCAGGCCTGCCTTACAAGAGCTCCTGAAGGAAGCATTAAACATGGAAAGGAACAACCTGTACCAGCCACTGCAAAAACATGCCAAATTGTAAAGACCATTGACACTATGAAGAAACTGCATCAATTAACGGGCGAAATAACCAGCTAGCATCATCATAACAGGATCAAATTCACACATAACAATATTAACCTTAAATGTAAATGGGCTAAATGCCCCAATTAAAAGATACAGACTGGCAAATTGGACAAAGAGTCAAGACCCATCAGTGTGCTGTATTCAGGAGACCCATCTCACGTGCAGAGATGCACATAAGCTCAAAATAAAGGGATGGAAGAAGATCTACCAAGCAAATGGAAAGCGAAAAACAGCAGGGGTTGCAAACCTGGTCTCTGATAAGACAGACTTTAAACCAACAAAGATCAAAAGAGACAAAGAAGGCCATTATATAATGGTAAAGGAATCAATTCAACAAGAAGAGATAACTATCCTAAATATATATGCACCCAACACAGGAGCACCCAGATTTATAAAGCAAGTTCTCAGACACCTACAAAGAGACTTAGACTCCCACACAGTAATAATGGGAGACTTTAACACGCCACTGTCAATATTAGACAGATCGAGACAGAAAATTAACAAGGATATCCAGGACTTGAACTCAGCTCTGGACCAAGCAGACCTAATAGACATCTACAGAACTCTCCACCCCAAATCAACAGAATATACACTTTTCTCAGCACCGCATCACACTTATTCTAAAATTGACCACCTAATTGGAAGTAAAACACTCCTCAGCAAATGTAAAAGAACAGAAACCACAACAAACTGTCTCAGACCACAGTGCAATCAAATTAGAACTCAGGATTAAGAAACTCACTCAAAACCGCACAACTACATGGAAACTGAACAACGTGCTCCTGAATGACTACTGGGTAAATAATGAAATGAAGGCAGAAATAAAGATGTTCTTTGAAACCAATGAGAACAAAGACACAATGTACCAGAATCTGAGGGACACATTTAAAGCAGTGTGTAGAGGGAAATTGATACCACTAAATGCCCATAAAAGAAAGCAGGAAAGATCTAAAATCGACACCCTAACATCACAATTAAAAGAACTAGAGAAGTAAGAGCAAACATTCAAAAGCTAGCAGAAAACAAGAAATAACTAAGATCAGAGCAGAACTGAAGGAGATAGAGACACAAAAAACCCTTCAAAAAAATCAGTGAATCCAGGAGCTGGGTTTTTGAAAAGATCAACAAAATAGACCACTAACAGGACTAATAAAGAAAAGAGAGAAGAATCAAATAGATGTAATAAAAAACGATAAAGTGGATATTACCACCAATTCCACAGAAATACAAACTACCATCAGAGAATACTATGAACAGCTCTATGCAAATAAACTAGAAAATCTAGAAGAAATGGATAAATTCCTGTATACATACACCCTCCCAAGACTAAACCAGGAAGAAGTTGAATCTCTGAATAGACCAATAACAGGTTCTGAAATTGAGGCAATAATTAATAGCCTACCAAACAAAAGAAGTCCAGGACCAGACAGATTCACAGCCAAATTCTACCAGAGGTACAAAGAGGAGCTGGTACCATTCCTTCTGAAACTATTCCAATCAATAGAAAAAGAGGGAATCCTCCCTAACTCATTTTATGAGGCCAGCATCATCCTGATACCAAAGGCTAGCAGAGACACAACAAAAAAAGAGAATTTTAGGCCAGTATCCCTGATGAAGATCAATGCGAAAATCCTCAATAAAATACTGGCAAACCGAATCCAGCAGCACATCAGAAAGTTTATCCTCCACGATCAAGTCGGCTTCATCCCTGGGATGCGAGGCTGGTTCAACACATGCAAATCAATAAATGTAATCCCTCACATAAACAGAACCAACGACAAAAACCACATGATTATCTCAATAGATGCAAAAAAGGCCTTCGAGAAAATTCACCAGCCTTTCATGCTAAAAACTCTCAACAAACTATATTGATGGAACAGATCTCAAAATTATAAGAGCTATTTATGACAAACCCACAGCCAATATCATACTGAATGGGCAAAAACTGGAAGCATTCCCTCTGAAAACTGGCTCCAGACAAGGATGCCCTCTTTCACCACTCCTATTCAACATAGTATTGGAAGTTCTGGCCAGGGCAATCAGGCAAGAAAAAGAAAGAAAGGGTATTCAATTAGGAAAAGAGGCAGTCAAATTGTCCCTGTTTGCAGATGACATGATTGTATATCTAAAAATCCCCATTGTCTCAGCCCAAAATCTCCTTAAGCTGATAGGCAACTTCAGCAAAGTCTCAGTATACAAAATGAACGTGCAAAAATCACAAGCATTCCTATACAACAGGAACACACAAACAGAGAGCCAAATCATGAGTGAACTCCCATTCACACTACAAAGAGAATAAAATACCTAGGAATCCAACTTACAAGGGATGTGAAGGACCTCTTCAAGGAGAACTACAAACCACTGCTCAATGAAATAAAAGAGGACACAAACAAATGGAAGAACATTCCATGCTCATGGATCAATATCATGAAAAAGGCCATACTGCCCAAAGTAATTTATAGATTCAATGCTATCCCCATCAAACTACCACTGACTTTCTTCACAGAATTGGAAAAAACTACTTTAAATTTCACATGGAACCAAAAAAGAGCCCGCATAACTAAGACAATCCTAAACAAAAAGAACAAAGCTGGAGGCATCATGCTAGCTGACTTCAAACTATACTACAAGGCTACAGCAATCAAAACAGCATGGCACTGTTGCCAAAACAGATATATAAACCAATGAAACAGAACAGAGGCCTGAGAAATAACACCACACATCTACAACCATCTGATCTTTGACAAACAAGCAATGGGGAAAGGATTCCCTATTTAATAAATGGTGCTGGGAAAACTGGCTAGCCATATGTAGAAAGCTGAAACTGGACCCCTTCCTTACACCTTATACAAAAATTAACTCAAGATGGATTAAAAACTTAAATGCAACACCTAAGACCATAAAAACCCTAGAAGAAAACCTAGGCAATACCATTCAGGACATAGGCATGGGCAAAGACTTCATGACTAAAACACCAAAAGCAATGGCAACTAAAGCCAAAATTGACAAATGGGATCTAATTAAATTAAAGAGCTTCTGCACAGCAAAAGAAACTATCATCACAGTGAACAGGCAACTTACAGAATGGGAGAAAATTCTTGCAATCTATCCATCTGACAAAGGGCTAATATCCAGAATCTACAAAGAACTTAAACAAATTTACAAGAAAAAAACAAACAACACCATCAAAAAGTGGGCAGAGGATATGAACAGACACTTCTCAAAAGAAGACATTTATGCAGCCAACAGACATATGAAAAAATGTTCATGATCACTGGTCATCAGAGAAATGCAAATCAAAACCACAATGAGATACCATCTCACACCAGTTAGAATGGCGATTAAAAAGTCAGGAAACAACAGATACTGGAGAGGATGTGGAGAAACAGGAACACTTTTACACTGTTGGTGGGAGTGTAAATTAGTTCAACTATTGTAGAAGACAGTGTGGCAATTCCTCAAGGATCTAGAACTAGAAATACCATTTGACCCAGCAATCCCATTACTGGGTATATGCCCAAAGGATTATAAATCATGTTGCTATAAAGACACATGCACACATATGTTTATTGTGGCACCATTCACAATAGAAAAGACTTGGAACCAACCCAAATGTCCATCAATAATAGACTGGATAAAGAAAATGTGGCACATACACACCATGGAATACTATGCAGCCATAAAAAAGGATGAGTTCATGTTATTTGCAGGGACATGGATGAAGCTGGAAACCATCATTCTCAGCAAAATATCACAAGGACAGAAAGCCAAACACTGCATGTTCTCACTCATAAATGGGAGCTGAATAATGAGAACACATGGACACAGGGAGGGGAGCATCACACACCAGGGCCTATTGTGGGGTAGGGGACTGGGGGAAGGATAGCAATAGGAGAAATACCTAATGTAAATGATGAGTTGATGGGTGCAGCAAACCAACATGGAACGTGTATACCTATGTAACAAACCTGCACGTTGTGCACATGTACCCTAGAACTTAAAGTATAATAATAAAAAAAAAGAAAAGAAAAAACAAATTGGCTAAATTGAGGTATAGCCTCCTCCCCAAAATAAAGATTAAAAATGATTATTAAAATGTTGATAATTATTAGAACTGGGTGACAAGGAATGGTGACCCACTCTATTTTTTGTGTGTACATTTAAGATATTTCCATGATAAAGTTTTTGAAAGTTAGAAATAACCATTTTAGAAAATACTTAGCATAACCAATCAAGAACTTTAAAAGAATCATCATCATTTTTTTTTTTGGACCTACTAATTACATACATATCTGGGGATTTAGCCTAATGAAATAGAGCATGGGTATGAAGATGCTCATTGTAGCATTATTTATAATGACTTGACAGGTTCAAATAACCTAAATGTTCATCTACACAGAAATGACCAAATAAATTATGGCCTCATTTGATGAACTATTATACCTCATCAAAATAATATTTACAAAGGGTTTGTAATAACAAACTACTCATTTGCAGAGCCAGTGGCAGAGGCCCTTTGGTTTCTGAAAGTCACAGAGTATTACAGACAGAGAGACCTGAGAGCTCAACGGGCCCAGTGCTCCCCATATTAGAGGTGTGTTCACACACACATGTGCACACACACACAAACCAAGCTTCCACCCCTCCTGCTGTGCCACTGCCCCCAGCTTCCAGGCTGCCTCTGTGTCCACTCATGCCTGCTCAAATCTCAGCTTAGTGGCCACCTGCTCCAGGAAGCTTTTCTCTGGCCTCCCTTGGAAAATCCCTCTGTTGCAAGCTACAAGCACCTTGCATAGTTGCCACTGTACACTGTGGGTGTGTGTATTTGATTCAGGCCCTCTTCTTCCATACCCTGCTGCCTCTCTGCTCCACAACCTTTGCACCTCTTCTCTTCCTCCTGATTCTGCATCTCAAAAGCCCAAATAACTGGCTTGAAGTGGCCAACTCCTCCTTATTGGGCAGTTCCGCTGGTTAAATTCCTCTGGGAAATGCTGGCCCATTCCAACTGAGGCCCATCGAGGTGATGCGCTCAAGGCATTGATTTTAAAACTAGAAGTAGAAGCCCTTGGCCGGGCGCAGTGGCTCACTCCTGTAATCCTAGCACTTGGGAGGCTTAGGTGAGCAGATCACCTGAGGTCAGGAGTTCGAGACCAGCCTGACCAACATGAAGAAACCCCCGCCTCTACTAAAAATACAAAATTAGCTGGGCATGGTGGTGCATGCTTGTAATCCCAGCTACTTGGGAGGCTGAGGCAGGAGAATCACTTGAACCCGGGAGGTGGAGGTTGTGGTGAACCGAGATCACACCATTGCACTCCAGCCTGGGCAACAAGAGTGAAACTCCATCTCAAAAAAAGAAAAAGAAAAAAGAAAAGAAAAGAAGTAGGAGCCCTCAGGGAGTTTTAATTTAGAGCAAGGACCTCAGAGAATTTGTAAGGAAGCTTCTATCCTAAGGGAGTCAGGGACCTCCTTTGCATTAGAATAAGGATCCCTATTGTCTTGTTTCTTCCAGACCCTGGCATGTAAATCCCAGGCCTGGCAGGACTTGCCACCCTGTTTATAGAAGAGGTAAGGCCCAGGGAAAGCAAGTATGGCACTCAATGTCGTCCAACTTGGAGCTGAGGTAGGAGGCATGGATCAAAGGGGCCCCAGTGTTTCTAGGCCTATGGCTGAAGCTCTCTCCTGCAGGAAGAATGCGGGCTGGCCTGAAAAACAGATGCAAGGCAGACCAGATGTCCCTGGGCATTCTTCACATTCCACCAACTGCAGCCCTCCTTGGCTGAGAGCTGCCAAGTCTGGGCTTCCAATTCATCAGCTTGGAAACTTCACCTCAGAAACTTCGGCAGACTTCTCTGGAGAAAACAAAAATTGCCCTAGGTCTGCCAGGGAACAGTGGTCAAAGATTTAAAATTGCAAGTTGGGCTGCTGAGATCCAGAATTTGACAAGCCCAGGTTTAAGCTGATTCAACAAGATCTATGGAGAGTTGGCCAAGTGGCCCCAACTGCAGGCTCAGGTTTTCCCAGATGCTGGATCAAGTGGAAAGGGGTCCAACATCTCAAGTTTCTGGCTTGTGACACTTGCGTGGGACCTCCTGAAATCTGCCTACCAAAAATTTCCTTGTACCAGCAAGCAGCATGGTCAAACTGCAGTCTCCTGCAGACCGCTTGGACTCTGGCAGCTCTGCCCCTTTCAGGGCAAACCATCTCACCTGAGAGCAGGTCCTCAGCCATGCAGGTATCTGAGAGCAGAGCACCAAGGTGGTGGGAACGGCAGATGTTTCTGCCTGGAAGGAAGCTGACCCGCTCTGCTCTGGCATACCCTACACTGGGCAAGGTGGCCATTCTCCTTCTGGAGCAATCTCTGTGGCCCATGTAGAATTCCATCCCAGCCCCTCCCTTAGAGTGTCAAGCCACAGTGAAAACTGCAGTGCCTCCAGAAGAAAACAGCCCAGGCAGGATGTTATCCTGCCTTCTCCTAGCTGTGACTCTCAGCAAGGGGCTTAACCCCTACAAGCTTCTGTCTAGTCACCTGAAGCACAAAACACACACACAAATGATAATAGTTAACATGTACTGAAAGCTCTGTTGGCCAGGCACAGTGGCTCACACCTGTACTCCTTTGGAAGGCCAAGGTGGGAGGATCGCTTGAGCTCAGGAGTTTAAGACCAGCCAAGGTAAAATAGTGAGACCCCACCTCTTTACTTTAAAAATAAAATAAAAAAGAAAGCTGTGTTAAGTGCTTCACAGGGACTTGCTCATTTAATCCTTATAATACTTCTCTGAAATGGGAACTTTTATTAGCACCTACAGGCTTAGATGAGTGAGGTCCTTAAATAACTTGTCCAACATGATACAGCTAATAAAATGCAGAGCTGGGAAGTCCAACACCAGAACTGTGCTTCAAAGGGCCACATAGTAAATGTTAACTAATACCAACCTTGTGGGGTTGTGAAGGGTAAATGAGGTCGGGCACAGTGGTTCACACCTGTAATCCCAACACTTTGGGAGGTCAAGGTGGGAGGATTGCTTGAACCCAGGAGTTCAAGACCAGCCAGGGCAACATAGGGAGACCCTGTCTCTACAAAAAATATTAAAAAATTAGCTGGGTGTGATGGTGCACACCTGTGGTCCCAGCTACCCAGGAGATTGAGGTGGGAGGACCACTTGAGCCTGGAGGTCGAGGCTGCAGTGAGCTGCCATCGTGCCAGTGCACTCCAGCGTGAGCAACAGAGTGAGACCCTAACTGAAAATAAAATGAGAGTAAATGAAATAAAGTATGTAAAGACCTGCACACAGTGGGTAGCATGTCACAGTTAGGTAAGGATGTCCAGAGCTTGCACACAGTAGGCACACTCCATGCTGAAAGACATTGTGTGTCTTTTAATATTCAACCTGTAAATACCAAGAAGGCAGGGACCTTGCCTGCCTTGCTATCTTTATCTCCACTGCCTGCACACTTCCCGAAACTTATTGGTGTTCAGCACTTACATGGGGAGTGCTTGTATCAACACTTGGCACATGGGTCTGAGAAGAGGTCCAGAGAAGGGGAGCAGCCCCTCTCCCAAGCAGATTACAGTGGCTGGTGTCAGTTTTGGAGTCTGCCTGCCTGAGTTTAAATCCTGGGTTTGAGGCTGGGCATGGTGGCTCACGCCTGTAACCCTAGCGCTTTGGGAGGTCGAGGCAGGCGGATCAGTTGAGGTCAGGAGCTCGAGACCACCCTGGCCAATATAGTGAAACCCCGTCTCCACTAAAAACACAAAAATTAGCCAGGTGTGGTGGCGGGTGCCTGTAATCCCAGCTACTCAGGAGTCTGAGGCAGGAGAATCACTTGAATCCGGGAGGCGGAAGTTGCAGTGAGCCGAGATGGCGCCACTGCACTCCAGTCTGGGCGACAGAGCAAGGCTCTGTCTTAAAAAACAACAACAAAAAATCCTGGCTTTGTCACTGCCTTGCAGCGTGACCTTGGGGAAAATACTGAATGGCTATGTGCCTCAGTTTCCTTGTGTGCAAAATGGGGATGACAGTATTTACTGCATAGGGCTGCTTGCTATGAGGATGAAGTAAATTAATATTACTAGAACAGTACACATGGATAAGATAATCCCTTGGATTTCCAAGAGAATTCAGAGAGAGAGGTGTATGCAGATTTTCACAGATATTTTGCAAGCACAGACTGAGCAGTCTGTTAATTAAAATAATAGCTGAAGAATTCTCACCGAAGGATCAGTGGCAAATTAGAGACACATGGTGGGGAAGCCGTGAGGCACAGCTGGTCTCTGCTGCCCCCTAGTGGGTACATCCTTTAATTTTTAAATTGACTTTCCTTTAGGAGATGATAACCACTGCAGACAGCTTCCGAAAAAGGTTCTAGTCAAATCACTTTCCCAAGCTGTGCTTTGGTTATATGGTGGAGAGAATGAACAATTCTACTTCACTTAATAGGGGTCTTACGAAGTAGTAAAGGCACTCGCTGGCCTCGTGATCACTGGCAAATCCCCTTCCCTCTGGGCTCACTCACCTGTAAACTATCTACTCCTCCACTGCAGGGCAGGTGTGAGGCTCACATGCAGTGCATAATGGGAAGTGTTGTACTTTCTGACATCAAAAACGTGTTCTTCATCATAATTATCGTTGTCTTCCTCTCTGCTTCCCGGCCCCAAATGAACTCCGTAGCTAACTCAGCCACTCCTATTCTTCGGAACTTTCCCGCTCAGACCTAGTCAAACAAAATCAGTGTCTGATGGTAGTTACGGCAGTAAGAACAGATTTAAATCAGAAAGTACTGCAATAAGGGGAAAGAGACCTCAGTACAGAAGTGGGCTCAATTCTGAATACAGCATGCACAAACAGGTTTTTACCCCAGCCAAGGAGCAGGATGGGGGCAGTAGATGGAAAATGACTAAGAGGAAATGTCAGGGGTAGCACGGATTCTGGTTAAACAGACCTAACAGGATTATGCTGAAGGTAGGCCTGGGTGATCAGATATCACCTGGGGGCGGGGTGGAGGATGGAGAATTTGATCAGATATTGAGTGATTAGATATCAAGGGTAAGAAGTTCTCAATAAATTGATTAACAGGATTCTTGCTAAAATGGGCAACTCAAGCCCCACAAGAGCAGACACTGAAAGTCAATGCTTCAAGGGCTTCAAGGAGCCTCACTGGAGGCTGGTCAAGAAGAGAATATTTGTCAACTGCTACCCCAGAGGATTCCTACTGCAAGTCTTTGTGGAAGAGCTTGATCTTTGCCTGCTGTAAATGGCTTTCAGCTCCAAGCCCTGGCCTCACCCTACCTGGTCAACGAGGTACCTGACAGCCTAGCATAGGAAAACAATGGCCATCAGATTGCACAGTCAAGGGTTAATTTCTATTTTCAGTCAAGAGCATTCACATGCAAAGCCCTAGAAATGACAAAGACCCCTCCTTAGAAACTTTAGTTGGGCTCCTCTGAGCCATCTTCTCAGCTAGGCCTTGACCTTGGACTGCTGAGCCCAGCGTTAGCAACAATCCTAAGTCAGTTAATAAGAATCCCCCTGCCCCTGATATCTAATCAAGTTCCTCTTAGTAATTCTCCACCCACTGATCCCCTCACTCTGCTCCTCTGCTGTAAATCCCCAATTGTCTTCACTGTATTCAGAGTTGAGTTCAACTTCTTCCCTTATTCCAATAGGAGCAATAAAGTCTTAAAACAATTTTTTTTTTCCAGCCAGGGTCTCACTCTGTCCCCCAGGCTGGAGTACAGTGACACAATCACAGCTCACTGCAGCCTCTATCTCTCAGGTTCAAGAGATCCTCCCGCCTCAACCTCCTGAGTAGCTGGGACTAAACAATAATCAGGGACACAGGAAAAAGTAGGACCTGAGACAAGTAGGACCACGCCTGTAGTCCCAGCTACTTGGGAGGGAGGCTGAGGTGGGAGGATTGATTAAGCCCGGGAGGTGAAGGTTGCAGTGAGCCAAGACTGCACCATTGCACTCCAGCCTGGGCAACAGAGTGAGATTCTGTCTCAAAAAAAAAAAAAAAGAAATCGACACCAAAGGACTAATCTTAAGGAAGGAAAACTGCTCATTTCAACGTTATTGATAATTGTGGATAACTAAAAAAACTCAAATATAGAAAAAAATAGAGAGCACAGATACAGGCCCGGTGCTGGGGACTTTACACATGTGCTTCGTCTCACTCCCTCACATAGATGGATAAGTAGAGATCAGGAAAAGTTAGAGAGGATCAGACCTGCAGAAACCTCTTCAAAGTAGCCCTAGGGAAAAGTTTCTCATAGGAATACAGAGCTCTCAGAATTCAAGGAAAACTTGAATATCAAAACTCAGGAGGTCGAACACTTAGGGCAAGTGTAGAAACTTAACTAACACACACATTCTTGCAATTCACTGTGGCTGCTGCACTATTAATGCCTCAGCTATCAAATCATCCAGTCTCTGGCTGAGAGAGGATCTGATTTGTCAACCTGGTTGATGGTGACCTGGGTCAGATGCCCACCTCTGGTCCAAAAGACCATGACCATCCAGGGAGGGTGGGAGAGCAGGGCAGGGCTGTGCATGTAAACACAGCAGCCAGAGCTGTGGGTAGAAGTACATGCTCCTAGAAAGGGACATGGATCGTGAGGCAGAGATTGGACTCAGGCACGTGTAAGTAACAAAACCATGCCTGGTCCAGCCCTACTGTCTTCACTACATGAATCTGTTAAGTAGAATTATGGCACAGCAAGAGGACGGGAATATTACACAGCCACTAAAACGCTGAACGCAGAGACCAGGCAGCAATATAAAAACTTCATTACAGGTTGGGCGCAGTGGCTCACGCCTGTAATCCCAGCACTTTGGGAGGCCGAGGTGGGTTGATCACGAGGTCAGGAGTTCGAGACCAGCCTGGCCAACATGGTGAAACCCTGTCTCTACTAAAAATACAAAAAATTAGCCAGGTGAGGTGGCAGGTGCCTGTAATTCCAGCTACTTGGGAGGCTGAGGCAGGAGAATCACTTGAACCCAGGAGGTGGAAGTTGCAGTGAGCCAAGACTGCACCACTGCACTCCAGTCTGGGCAACAGAGCAAGACTCTGTCTCAAAAAACAAACAAACAAAAAAAACAAAAACCTTCGTTACTATATAACGCTGAGTGGAAAAATTGTAAACCAAATTCTGTTTCTGCTATGATGACAAATATGTGAATATAACGCTCAGATGTAATGGACTCAAAGGGATCTTGGCCAAATGAAAACAGCTTGGATAGCTGGGACGGTGTGATGGTAAATGAATTTCTTCCTTTTATAGAGAACTTTTAACATTGCTGTGCTATTATTTTAATAAAAATAAAGACTTCAAGGTGGGTGAATCACTTGAGCCCAGGAGTTTTGACAGCAGGCTGGGCAACATGATGAAACCTCGTCTCTCGAGAAAACAACAACAACAACAACAACAAAACCCCACAAAAATTCGCCGGGTGTAGTGGCGTGCACCTGTAGTCCCAGCTTCTCGGGAGGCTGAGGTGGGAGGATGGCTTGAGCCTAGGAGGTCAAGGTTGCAGTGAGCCATGATTGTGCCACTGCACTCCAGTCTTGGCAACAGAGGCCCTGTCTCAAAAAAAATAAATAAATAGTTCAGTTCTTACTATGAACACAAACCCTGGGATTCAGGGAATATGAACTTCTAAGCACAAGGACATAAATACCAACCACAGACTGCAGGAGAAGGTGGTGAATCTGCCCCTGGCCCTGCCAGCCCCGCCTCACTGCCTCACCCTATTCACCCCCTCGACAGATCCTGTCTTTATTTAGAATGCTCATCTTTTATTCATCATGGTTTTTGTTTTTTTTTTAAAGAAAACATTTTTTGGTTTTTAAAAATATTGCATTAAAATACTATTTAATTACCGAGTTTTGTGCTGCCCTTCAAATTGTGTGCCTGGGGCAAGTGCCTCCTGCCTTTGCCCAAAGCCACATATTGCATGACCTTTCTTCTCCGGAGATCGGAAGAGAAAGGGTTACTACAGAGTGAAGCAAAGAACATCCCAGCCTTTCCCTTCCTGAGGAAGGGACTCTCTGCTATCACGGGGGAACTCTCTGAAGTCTTGGCAATCATTTTTCCTTGTAATAGCAATTATGGTTCCCCCCCCCACTGGGGAGAAGAACCCTAGTCTAGGACACTCAGGAAAGCCACAGGAGAGCAGAGGCTACCTGTCAAGCAGAGCCACACACAGCCTTGTCTGAGCCCCTCTCCTTTCCGGTTCAGCTATAGGAAAGCTGAGAGAAGGCAGTACTCCGCCCTGGAACTGCAGCTCCTGGCGAAGCAGACAACGCTCAGATACGGAGGGAAAAGAGCCAGCGAGAATTCACCTGTGACACTTGTACAGGCTGAGGTCTAGGAAAAGCTGTGTCTGCCTAATAAGCATGAATAAGAGAGGGAAAAAACAAAGATGTGGCATCTACCCAAACATTTTGGAATTAGAAAACAGCAGCAATAAAAGAATGTAGCACACAAATACAGATAAATATTCAATCCTGGGGGAAAATATAACCCAAGGTGAAGATTCTCCATTTGGATTTTTTGAGTAATAGAAGTTAATAAAAACTTGAATTTTAATAAAAACAGCTCAAACATGAGATAAAAACGGAATATTTAAAAATATAAAATGTGTATCAGAGCTAAAAAAAAAAAAGAAACCCAAGATACCAATACAAAACTAAAGTTAACAGAAGATAAATTTTTCCAAAATAATGGGGGAGGGGGGAGCTGAATCTGCAATCAATTAGAAATTACACAGCATGCTCTAGAAGGATTAAGAAAAAAGATTCAGAAAAAAAAAAAACAACACTAAGACTTTTCCTAGAAAAATTACTAAATGTTAAGTATGAGTTGCATAAGTAAAAAGGAGCTGAATGCTATTTATTAATTTTAAAAAATTATTTAAAATTTTTAAAATTTTTCAATTAAAAAAAGAATGAAGAATCCCTAAGGAGTCTAAGAAAAAGCAGTCATAAAGGAAAAAAATTTTTAAATCAGTTACAAAATCCCCCAAAACAAACAAAGAAACATAAAATCAAATTTAAAAAAAGAAAAAGAGAAAAAGCAGTCACTTCTAGGGGAAAGACAGGGGTGGCCTCACACCTCTCCAGTGGAGCCATGTGTAAGAAGAGCTGAAAGGTAGAGCTGGGCGTGGTGACTCACAACTTAATACCAGTGAATCGGAGGCCGAGGCAGGAGGATTGCTTGAGGACCAGCCCAGGCAACATGGTGAGACACCTCCATTTCTCCAAAAAAAAAAAACAAAAAAAAAAAAACCTAGCCAGGCATAGTGGTGCATGCTTGTAGTCCTAGCTACTCGGGAGGCTGAGGCAAGAGGATGGCTTGAACTCAGGAGTTTGAGGCTGCAGTGAGCTATGAACACACCACTGCACTCTAGCCTGAGTGAGACAGCAAGAGACCCTGTCTCTTAAAAAACAAACAAACAAACAAAAAACTTCCAGGGAAAAAAGCAAGGCTCAGAAATGTCCTACCCTGCATGCTCTTGTCCAAGCATAAAGGCGGACACTGTGGGTGCAGAAGGTGGATATTATGTATCTTGTCAGTATACAAACACTATTAAACAATAATCAGGGACACAGGAAAAAGTTTGTGAGTTCCTTTCCCTTGTTCAGTGGTTAATGCATACTAAGTTGGTTTAATTTAAAAAAAAAAAAGAGGTTTAACAGTATAAGGGAAACCACCAGAAGTACAAAAGCCACAGTATCACCATCAAAACCAGAAAGCCTGAGGATGAAGAAGGAAAGATGTGTATATCTGATACAGGTTTCATAATTGATAGTCAAAAGATATCATCCAAATTTATTAGATCACTAGATATTAAAACAAACAAGACAAAAAGGAAGACAAATTCATTAAAAACAGGACATTTCTCCCAGCTATTTGGGAGGCTGTGGTGGGAAGATCAATTGAGCCGGTAGGTAGAGACTTCAGTGAGCCGTGATCCTACTGCACTCTAGTGAGGGCAACAGAGTGAGACCCTGTCTCAAAAACAAAAACAAATGACATTTCTCTTAAAAAATTTTTGTTTCGTTTTTTTGAGACAGAGTCTCATCCCGTCATCCAGGCTGGAGTGCAGTGGCCTGATCTTGGCTCACTGCAACCTCCGCCTCCCGGGTTCAAGCCATTCTCCTGCCTCAGCCACCTGAGTAGCTGGGATTACAGGCCCGCACCACCACACTCGGCTAATTTTTAGTAGAGACAGGGCTTCACCATGTTGGCCAGGCTGGTCTCAAACTCCTGACCTCAACTGATCCACCCACCTCGGCCTCCCAAAGTACTGGGATTACAGGCGTGAGCCACTGTACCCAGCCCAACATTTCTTTTGCTCATGAATCTGCAGACTGGGCAGACTGTTTCTCAGCTCAGCTTATGTTGGCTCCCCTCAGTGTCAACTAGGATTGCTTGAAGGCTGGGGCTGGAAATGTTTAAATCTTATCCACATGTCTGTGCCTGGGCTGGGAAGACTCATGCAGCTGGGGTTGGAGCAGGTGGGCCTCCTGGGTATCCCTCTCTCTACGTGAAACACTGTACGCAGCCTCTCCAGTATGGTGGCTTCAGGGTAGCCAATTAAGATATGGTTTTACAATCTATTAAACTGGTAAATGTGATGCCCAAGGCTGGCAAGGATAGATCTATTGTTGGCAAGGGTAAGCTGACTAAACCACTTGGGAGGGCAATTTGGCAATACACACCAAAATGTTAAATTCCGTTTGCTCTAATAATTCTACTGCTAGGAATTTACCTTTCAGATATAAACAAAAGTGTACCGAAATATTTTGTATGAAAATGTCCACTGCAGCACTGAATATACCAGCAAAAAATCTGAACACTCAAGTGTCCATCAGCAGGGACTATGCAGTGAAACAGTGGTTCAAACCTCACCATCACCCTGCTGATGTAGGACACCTTCAGCTATGGCCTGCACTACTGAAGCACCTCCCAGCTCACGGCTCACACCTGCTGGGGTCCTCTTCTGATCACTTCTCCTGTGCAACCAGTGCAACCTGGACTGCCTTTCACACCCACCCCATCACAATTAAGATCCACCAGGGCGTCCCAAACTCCTACCAAACTCCATGTGCTACGCTCCTCCAACCTGGGCCTGCACTGGGCCCCAGCCTCCCCGCTGGCCTTCCTGCTGCCTCTCCCTCTGCCACTTCTAGCCACAGGGTCTTAGCTCAGACTGTTTCCTCTGCCTGCCTTACTCTATTTCTCCTCTCCTCCTCTTGCCCTCAGAGAAGGCCTCTGGTTTTCTTAACCTGGTCAGGGAAGATTCTACCTCCCCCTACCCTGCCCCTTTCATACTTCTAACAGCTGCCATTTTACTTTGTACATTACTGACATTTGTCTTCCCCCACCGAATCATTGAGTTTTACGATAGCAGAGGCTGTATCTACACCGTCCTGGCACCTTGTAGTACCTAGTACATAACAGACACACAGAAACTACTGGGTGAAGTGGGGGCACACTGCACAGGAAACAATGAGACAGATCTGCACATTCTGACATGGGAAGGCTCCTAAGTGGAAACAGAAGGTACAGGGCGGAGTGAAAGCTTTGCTACCTTTTGCTTAATTAAAGCAATTATCTCATCAAAACAGCTGCTTTATACTGGGCCATTATGGCTATGCAGGACAGTAACCCCATCAAACTGCCCTGAGTACAACAGAAAAAGCCCACAGACAGGGCTTGGTTCAGCCACGGCATGATTCAGGGACTCGTTTATGCCACCAGGGTGTGGCGCTCTCTCCCCACTGTCAGACAGTTCTCTTCTCCAAGGGCGGGGCCTACAACAGCTCCCGCTCCAGGTTCAAGATGCAGGAGGAACAAGAAAAGCCTCTTTCAGGGCCTAGTACCCTAGTACGGTAGATCACACAGGCCTCACCCTGGAGAGGGCATGGCCTGGAGGGTGGGGGGACTGCAGGGCAAATGTCCCATCCAAAGCAGAGAACTGAGAATGCAGAGGGTGTGGTTCTTTCGAGGGAAATGTGAGCAGCTACCAAATTAAGGGGAAACAGATGCTGTGAGGCCAAAACAAACATACATCACCATAAGTACATTTACATAAGTAAATGTACTTTTTTTTGGTGGATGGGCAGGGAGGGGGATGTGGGGGCACAAATTGTTAACAGCAGCTTCCACTGGGACAAGCTACCACCGGCGGCAAGAGAGGGATACACTTTTCACTTTGTACCATTCTTTAACACTGACATTTTCTAACCATGTAATGTGCTACTTTTAATTTATTAAAATCACAATTGAGGGTTTTTCCCAAAGAATTTTAGTTCTTAGAAATGACATCTGTATATAAATGTTCTAACTCTTATTCACAGTAGGCTCTAACATGAACGGCAAAATCAGACATCAACAGTAGCACATCATGTTACTCTATACGAAAGCACAGATTTAGGCACTTTATCAAAGAAAAATGTTTAGAAACAAATGAGGTTATTGAGTCGTCTGTCACACTCTGCAAAGGACTCTGATTCCCTACTTAAATCCTTTAAAACTGTCACATTAAATGGAACATATAACCCCTCGACACCAGCAGTACTCTTTCCTAAATAAGGAAACAAAACAGAACCCCTAACTTTACAGACCACATAAAACCTGACAGACACCAAGAGTTCTCTTACTGATGAGTAAGATTCAAGTCAAAGAAATTCAAAACTACTTAGGATTTCAAGTGACATATTTTCTATTCTCCGCATTTCCTGCATAGATTTTGGATTTACACACCCTGGCTTCCTGGCTACAGACATCTGAGTTCACAAAGCATATTTTACCTTTAACATAATGAAAATGATGTATATGGCATGAAGAGTTTACTCAATTAAGTCAAGAGTTTTAAAGTCTTCTCTGATCAGAATTTGCTATCTGATCAGAGCAGGCCACCCAATCACAGCAGGTGCTTGGAGGGGAGTGGAATCTCAGTAGAGTTGATGACTCACCAAGTGTAAATGGGAAAAAGCAACACAGTCACATTTCCATGTAAGGAGATTTTATAGTAAACATGAATTTGTCAGTGTCCAGTATTAATTAGAAAACATCTGTCTTCTTACTTGAAGCCTATTAAGCAGTAATTCTTTGACCACAAACTGGTCATGTGGCAGACCCTTTCTAGAAGACACTAGAATGTCATCCGGTGTGCAGTTGCCTGAGACCACTCCCACCCCAGGAGCTGGGCAAAGAGCTCTCCACGTCCACCTGTCCCCCCACAGCGCGTCACTGCTGCCCCATCACAGGTCTTCTCTTTTATTCCCAGCTCGATTTTCTTCCTTGGAAGACCGAGATTTCAGATCTCCTTCCTTCTTTTTTTTGCCCTTGTCTTGCTTTGTTTTATTTTTCTCTTTGCTTCCTCCTCCTTTGCCGGGGTACACCTGGCCCTCCAGAGTTACATCAGCACACCTGTCTTGACCGACCAAAAAGTCCTTGATCTCCCAGGCGTAGCTCCCATCGCGAAGCATGAAGATAGCACGGTCTGATCCCACAATGAACCTTGGGCAGAGAGATGCAATCAGTCAGCCAGCACGTACTAGTAAGGTGCTAAGGGGTCAGAGCAATTCTCTGGCACTTATCAGTTTATTTCAAATTCTACATGAATATGGAATGAAAAATTGGATTTTCCAAAGCCTAGCAGCTACTGATATCTCATGTATTAAAATACTAGCTTGCTGAACTATTAAACATCCAGCTCAGATCAAAATAGAAACAGACACTGGATGTTCCTTTGTTGTATAAATGGATGCCCGTGTTAAAAGTGAACATTTGGAAAACCTCCCTAGGACACTGCAGAGGTGGCTCAGGGGCTGCTGCTGGGGAGGTAAAGAGGCAGCTTCGATCTGATCTGTATCTGTTTTATATTCTAGAGTGTCCAGTTACACTTTTATGGGACAAAAGACTTCTGCTGATAAAGGTGGAAAACCAATGGCTTAGAGTGGGTCATGATAAGAGGCTATGAAGGACTCAAGAGGACACTTGGTTGTTGGACAAAAATCCTAGCCCTTGAGCTTAGCAGCAAGCTGCCCAGCTCGTCCACACTCGAAAGGTCCCAAGGAACAAAGCGGAAAGAATGAGGCCTGGGTGGAGCCCTAGTGTGGCCAGCGGGCAAGATTCTTCTGTTCCTTAGGGACTACACCACGCGTTCCCCCTTCAGTTTCTAATGCTCCCACCACTCCACAGAGACCAGTGGGCCTTCTGGAGCAGACATCACCAAGACATTTATTTGTTCTGTCTAGGTGTCTATTTAAGCTAATTGAAAATATTTTGCTGGCCGGACACTCTCTAAGTACTCCTCCCATTTCTTGTCATTGCTTTTATATTTCCTAAACCAGAATATTTGCAGACCCCAAATTTCAGAACTGTTTTTGAGGAAAAAGAAGCAGATTTCTTAAAATTGTACCTCAGGACCATACTCAAGTGTGAAAACTGAGCCTCTTCATACTAAATTAGTTATCGGTTAACAGCATGGTCCAAGCTCTATGTGTGAACATAGCTACACACAAAGCACTTTCCACTGAGCAGAAACTTCTAGCTGAAGCTGTCAAACTATTAACTTTGTCCCTCAAAGAGTCTAAACTAAGCTATACACCCTTCTGTTCAGATGAAATAAAAGCTAAAGATCCAAAGATAAATAAAACTTTAGGATCAACTGAGATATTAAAAAAAAACACACACTAGGCATGGTTGCCAGTGACAGTAATCCTAGCACTTTGGGAGGTTGAGGTGCAAGGATCACTTGAGGCCAGCAGTTCAAGATCAGCCTGGGCAACATAGTGAGACCTCGCCTCTTCAAAAAATAAAAACAAAAACTTAACTGCTTTTACCAACAATAAATGCCCTTTTTTTTTTTTTTTCTTCCCCGAGATGGAGTCTTGCTCTGCCGCCAGGCTGGAGTGCAGTGACGCAATCTCGGCTCACTGCAACCTCTGCCTCCCAGGTTCAAGCGATTCTCCTGCCTCAGCCTCTGGAGTAGCTGGGATTACAGGCGTGCATCACCATGCCCCGCTAATTTTTCTGTATTTTTAGTAGAGACAGGGTTTCCCCACGTTGGCCAGGATGATCTTGATCTCCTGACTTCGTGATCCGCCCACCTCAGCCTCCCAAAGTGCTGGGATTACAGAAGTGAGTCACTGCACCCGGCAACGCTCTTCTTTACATTAAAAAAATCTAGATAGGCTGAGTGCAGTGGCTCACACCTGTAATCCTAGCACTTTGGGAGGCTGAGGCAGGCAGATCACGAGGTCAGGAGATTGAGACCATCCTGGCTAACACGGTGAAACCCCGTCTCTATTAAAAATACAAAAAATTAGCTGGGCGTGGTGGCAGGTGCCTGTAGTCCCAGCTACTCGGGAGGCTGAGGCAGGAGAATGGCGTGAACCGGGAAGGCGGAGCTTGCAGTGAGCTGAGACTGCGCCACTGCACTCCAGCCTGGGCAACACAGTGAGACTCCGTCTCAAAAAAAAAAAAAAAAAAAACAAACTAGATAGATAAATAATTTTAAAAGAAAACCTAGAAAGGAAAGGCAGAGGCCCTTGGGAAATACGGCCAGAAAGGACACCCTGTTAAGAGCCTCAGGAAAAGCCCCAGCACAGGGCCAGGTGTGGTGGCTCACGCCTGTAATCCCAGCACTTAGGGAGGCTGAGGCGGGTGCATCACCTGAAGTCAGAAATTCAAGACCAGCCTGGCCAACATGGTGAAACCCTGTCTCTACTAAAAATACAAAATTAGCCAGGCATGGTGGCGGGCGCCTGTAGTTCCAGCTACTCGGGAGGCTGAGGCAGGAGAATCGCTTGAACCAGGGAGGCGGAGGTTGCAGTGAGCCGAGATCACGCCGCTGCACTCCAGCCTAGGCAACAAGAGCAAAACTCTGTCTCAAAAAAATCATCATCATCATCATAATTAATAATAATAATAAAGAAAAGACCGAGCACAGCCTATGAGTCTCTCAGCTGGTTGTTGCTGCTTTACCTCTGGACGTCATAGTTGGCATTGAAAAGGCTGCCCTGCCAGAGGCTCGTAATTTCCTCTGTCTCCTTCTCAGTAGGGCTTCCTGATACAGTGACAAACATCATGAGAGTCTTCCCTTTTTTCGTCATTTTCAATATGCTTTCAGGCTTGCTTGGGTCTATCTTTGAGAAGTCGACAGGTGCTGAAGGTCTCTTGTGCTCTGGAAGATCTCCTTCTTCAATGTCATCATCTTTCTATCAGATTAGGGGAAAAGCATCAAACCTATCATCAGAATCTTGCTTTTCAACTGGCACAGGCAAAAACTTCTGCATGATGTCAGGTGCATGTATATGACTTAAATTACAACATAAAAAGGAAAACCAGGGGTTTTCTTCCTCTTCTTAACTTTCAAGATAGTCTAAGTTTCAGGCAGCACATACTACCCACACCCAGGTTACCAATCACAGAGCGCCCCCATGTGATGGGTTTCTAGAGCTTTTAAACTCTCATACAATCTACCCAACATGGTAGGCTGTAAAAATGGCCACATTCTGGTATGGTCACACAATGAAATACTTCACAGCAACAGAGAACAAATACTGATACATCTAACAAATCCCAAAAATGTTAAGTGACAGAAGCCAGATACAAAATAAGATTTACTATGCAATTCCGTTTATTTAAAATTCAAGAATGAGCAAAACTAATCTAGGGTAACAGAAATTAGAACAGTGTTGCCTGTAGAAGGGGGGACAAGGGAGGATTAACTGAGAATGGACACAAGAGAACTTTTCTGGGGTGATGAAAATGTTCTACATTTTGACAGGGGTGTAGATTACACAGATATATCCATTTATCAAAATTTATTGCAGGCCAGGCACTGTGGCTTACCTTGTAATCCCAGCACTTTGGGAGGCTGAGGTAAAACGATCACTTGAGGCCAGGAGTTCGACATCAGCCTAGGCAACACAGTAAGACTGTCTCTAAAAAAAAATTTAAAAGTAGCCAGGTATGGCAATGCACACCTGTAGTCCCAGCTACAGTGAGGCACACCTGTAGTCCCAGCTACTCAGTAGGCTGAGGTGGGAGAATTGCTTGAGCCCAGGAATTTGAGATCAGCCTGGGCAACATAGTGAGATCCCATCTCTTAAAAAAAATTTAAAAATTAGTCAGGTGTGGCGGCAGGTGCCTGTAGTCCTAGCTACTCAGGAGGCTGAGACACGAGGATCACTTGAGCCCAGGAGATCAGGGCTGCAGTAAGCTATAATTATGCCACTGCATTCCAGCCTGGGAGACAGAACGAGACCCTGTCTTAAAAGAAAAAAAAAAAAAGAAAAGAAATACTCCCTCTTTGCACTGTATACTTAAAATCTGCACTCCATGTATACCCATTTCACTTAATAGGCATTGTACAAAAATATTCAATTCCAGTTAGCAGGTTTGTTTTCTGTAGTGGTATGGGCTAGCAATTCTGAGACTATCTTATGTGACCTCTAGGATTGAGAAAAGGAGTAAACATATTGAGGGTAATGAGAGCCAGGTTCTTAACTTCTGGGAAGTAAGTTACAAACATGAAAGGGGGAAGAATGAGCCCTGTGGTATTAGGCTGGAATTGAAGGTATCAGGAGAAACTCATGGTTTTTCATAGATTAACAGATGAGTAAACAGATTAATGGATAAAAATATTTAAAAGAGCGTGGGTTCCTTGGAGAACAGGCTTATAGCAAGAGAGACAGAAGATGAGCCTAGAATAATCCCGCATCACAAAGTAGTAAAGTGCTCAAAGAATCGTGAACATGTCAAAATGCCATGGAAGCCAACTTGAAGCAGCTCTCATGGGCCAAAGTTGAAATAATCTCAACATCAAAATAAATAATAGTATGACTTACAACCCCTCAAACAAAATGAGATGTTGAACCCATAATGATCAAAACAAATGAATAAATTACTAATAGAAAACAGTAACTTTTTTTTTTTTTTTTTTTTTTTTTGAGATGGAGTCTCACTCTGTCACCAGGCTGGAGTGCAGTGGCACGATCTCGGCTCACTGCAACCTCTGCCTCCTGGGTTCAGGCGATTCTCCTGCCTCAGCCTCCCGAGTAGCTGGGATTATAGGCACGCACCACCACATCCAGCTAATTTTTGTATTTTTAGTAGAGACGGGGTTTTGCCATGTTGCCCAGGATGGTCTCGATCTCCTGACCTCGTGATCTGCCCACCTCGGCCTCCCAAAGTGCTGGGATTACAGGCATTAGCCACCATGCCTAATAAATAGCATATAGACTGACAAATAAAAAATCTTTAATAGAACCAGGTTCCTTGGAGAAAAGGCTAATGCCAGCAACCAAAAAAAATGAAGTACTGGCTGGGTATGGTGGCTCACAACTATAACCTCAGCACTTTAGGAGGTCGAAGCTGGAGATCACCTGAGCACAGGAGTTAAAGACCAGCCTGAGCAACATATCATGACCCTATCTCTACCAAAAAGAAAAAGAAAAAAGAAAAAAGAAATGAAGTACTGATTGATACATGAAAATATTATGCTAAGTGAAAGAAGCCAGATATGAAAGACTACACATTCTATGATTCCATTTATAGGAAATGTCCAGAATGGATAAATCTGTTGAGACAGAAGGTAGATAAGCGATTGCCCGGGGCTGGCTAGGGAGTTGGGAGAACACAGGGGAGGAGTGGTTGAAGGTTTCTTTTGGGGATGATAAAAATGTTCTAAAATTGAGTTTGGTGATGACTGTACAATTCTCTGAAGATACTAAAACTAAAATGTACACTTTACATGGGTAAATTGCCTATGGCATGTGAATTGAATCTCAATAAACCTGTTACCAAAACAAAAAACAAAAAAAAGCCCCTAAGTCACTCTTACTGAACAATATCTGAAGGGCCAAGGCTTAAGATACCATTAATAATGTACTATATTAAAAATAATTTTAGTAAAAAGTAAAAACGAAAGAATTCTACGCAGTGCTTGAAGGTGATCCATACCGACGTCAGACCTGGAATCTGGTTTCAGTTTTGCATAACTAGCTGTGTGACCCTGCCTAAGAATCCTTACGCCTCGAGGCCTGTTTCCTCATTTACAAAATGAAAAGCAGAACGAAGTGATCTCCAAGGCCCCAGTAACATGACCACACATAACACACTAACCTTCTTTTCCACTCTGCCACCCTCTCAACTGACATGTTTCTTCCTCACTTTGCTTTCAAAGAGCCACTGATGGTGACTTGCAGACAGGAGCATGGGCTGTGCTGTCAGACGGATGCGCTCCATCACTATGTGGCCTTGGGCAAGTTACTTAGCCCATCTGAAAATAACTTTCCTTACCTATAATGGAAAGCTGAGGGTAATAACAGCTTCTCCCTCCTAAGGTTTGTTTGGGGATGTAATGACTTAAAGGCAAGCAGAACTCAGTACTGTATCTGTTGGCTATGACACTGCTGACTCTTTAGGCCTCTGTGATCTGGCCTCCAACCACAATCACTGCATGGAAATTATACTCTCAAGTCACAAAGGACCTCCTAGTTGCCAAATTCACAAGTTGTTTCTGTCTTTATCTTAATTCTCCATAACATCGGTTATAGTCTCTTTAAAACACTTCAAGACTTCCAGTTGGTTCAATACCCTAGAATATTTGTATTTTTCAGATTGATTTCACTAATAATCATGAAATTAACTCAGTAGGTCCCAAGCAGCTTTTTTTTTTTTTTTTTTTTTTTTTAGATGGGGTCTTACTCTATTACCCAGTTTGGAATGCAATGGTGCTGGTGCAATCTTGGCTCATTGCAACTTCTGCCTGCCAGGCTCAAGTGATCTTCCTATCCCAGCCTCCAGAGTAGCTGGGACCACAAGTGCATGCCACCACACCTGGGTAATTTATTTTTGTATTTCTGGTAAAGACGGGTTTCACCATGTTGCCCAGGCTGGTCTCGAACTCCTGAGCTCGAAGGATTCACCCGCCTCAGTCTTCCAAAGTGCTGGGGTTACAGGCATGAGCCACTAAGCCCAGTCCAGCACTTCTTTGTTAATGCAAATATAATTAAATAGTCGTAAGTCTAGTGCATATAATACAGGTAAAAATTGTTTCAAGAGACTTAAAAAAAAAAGCAGCTTTAATTTCCATTGTATATGTGTGTGTGTGTTTCAGTTACAGAAAAGAAAATTGCAAAATAGTACCCTAATGAGCCTGGAGGACATTATGTTAAGTGCAATAAGCCAGACACAGAAAGACAAATACCGCGCATTCTCCTTCGTATGCGGACCTAAAATAGTTGTGTTCACATAAGTGGAGATTAGAATTGTGGTTACTAGAGGCTGGGAAGTGGAGGGGAGATAGGGAGAGAGGATGGTGAATGGATACAAAATTACATTAGATAGGAAGAATAAATTCTAGTGCTCTATAGCATTGTAGGATGACTATAGTTAACAATAATTTATTGCATATTTTCAAACAGCTAGGAGAGAATTTTAAATGTTCCCAACACAAAGAAATGATTAATGTTTAGGAGACAGATATGCTAATTACCCTGAATTGACCATTACATTTTATACATGTGTAGAAATACAACTCTGTACCCCATAAATATGTATAATTATTATATGTTAAAATTGAAGTGTAAAAATAGTACCCTAGATGTACATAATTATCCAGTTCTACCCTTAGTCTGGGTAACCTAACCTGTTATGATCAGTGTGTTTATGCTGAAAACAATCCAGTCTTTACCCTGAGGCAGAGCGGGGGGCCAGGGACAAGTCAGGCAGTCCCCTGACTCCAGTCCTAGCCCTGCCTCCAGGCCAGTCTTGCATTTTCAACTGGCTTTAGAGCTCCTTCATTACTGTTTGTCTAAGTCAGTAGCTACAAAGCTGAGCTCCCCTTTCTGCAAATCCTCTTCTTCCTCCCATGGTTCTTGATATTAATAATAAGTGACATCTACTAAGTAGCTACTAAGTCCCAGGCACTCTACATATATTATCTCCAACCTTCAGAACAATCCTACCCGGTTCCATTTAATATACAAGGAAGATGATGTTCAGAGAGGATAAATGATTTACTTAATTTACTCACATGCTAGAAGTGCAAACCACATTTCTGGCTCCAAATCCCTCCAACTGCCTCTTCCCATTATACCTGGCTATCATAATGTAAAATGTAATAACCACCTTTGGTTTTTCTACACCAATTGGGACTCAGAATTAGTTGTAACACAATGGAAGGAATTCTCACCTCTCCACACCTCTGAGGCACAGCCTCTCACTGAAGCACTGTTTCTCACACTGCTGGGGAAGGAGTGAGGGTATGGATTTAGAGATGGTCACAAGAGGAGAAGAACTGCTTCCTACAAAAAAAGCACCCACAGAGATGGATACGCTCTCCCACATAAAAAACACTGCTACTGGGGAAGAGTCCTCATGTCTGTAGAGCGTCTACAAACATTAACTCATTTAATCCGCATGGCACCCTGCAAAGTAGGGCGTTATCTGGCTTTACAGATACGTAAAACTAGGATGAAGTAGCTAGTGAGGGGTAAAGCTGAGTTCAAAATCTGTCTTTTTTTTTTTTTTTGAGACAGAGTCTCACCCTGTCGCCCAGGCTGGAGTGCAGTGGCATGATCTTGGCTCACTGCAACCTCCACCTCCCTGGTTCAAGCGATTCTTGTGCCTCAGCCTCCCAAGTAGCTGGGATTACAGGTGCCCGCCACCATGCCCAACTAATTTTTTTATTTTTAGTAGAGATGGAGTTTCACCATGTTGGCCAGGCTGGTCTTGAACTCCTGACCTCAGGTGATGCACCCGCCTTTGCCTCCCAAAGTGTTGGGATTACAGGCGTGAGCCACTGCGCCCAGCCAACCTGTCTTTTTACTACATTATGTGGCCCTGCTATTCACAAAATCAATCAATTGCCCAGGCATGGTGGCTCACGCCCGTAATCCCAACACTTTGGGAAGCCAAGGTGGGAGGACTGCAAAGGCCAAGAGTTCAAAACCAGCCCAGCCAACATAAGGAGACCCTGTCTCTATAAAAAATAATTTAAAAAACAAAATCAACCATCAAGTCCTGTTAAAAGTATAAAAATCTCACATTTCTCCCTTCTACTCTGCTCCTGCAGTTTCTAGCTTAATCCACGTCTTCCTCACTATCCTTCATTTGCACTTCTGTCACCAACATGTGTGGCAGTACAGGTAAAACAGTTCAAAGAACTGGCTCTAAAAGTCGCGAAAGAATTTGAAACTCAGCTAGCTTGCTGTGCGATGTGGAGCAAGTTATTTAACCTCTTTGTGTCTCAATGTCATCATCTAGAAAATAGGGATAAGTACCTCCCTCATGGATGGGGTAAAAGGATTAAATGAGATAATGTGTTTTTCTTGGCCTTCAAAGTCTCTCCCCACTCATCCATCCTGTTATCTACTGTTCCCAGTGCAATCTTTGTTCATCTCTTCAGCACCCTCTTCGTCTAGCTCAGGGTCTGAGTAGGTCAAGGGGAGGATTTCTCATGAGGTGATGTTCTCACTCTGGCAGATCAAAAGGCTTTATTTGCTGGAGTCCAAAAAGAGACAAGGAGATTGCAAGGGAGACGGTGAATGGGGACGTTCTCTCTACACTCAAATCTATCCCAATCTTTCCATCAGCTGTTGATGACCACATGAAAACACAAGCCTGCATTCTTCTAGTCAGATGCATCAGGTGGTATTTTAAACTCTTGTCTGAAAGTCTTTCCCTTCTCCCGTAACACACACAGAGATAATCACAAAATAACAAAACATCAGTGTTGGAAGGAATCTTAGGACCCATCCTAACCTCCTCATGTTGCAGATAAAGAAACCGAGGCCTAGAAACTAGACATAACCTGCCCAAGGTTCCACAGCTATGCAAGTCAACCAGGACGATACAATCACCTTAGGAAGGGGAAAAGGCAGCAATGTGGTTTTGGCCAGTAATCTTTACCTTAAAGCGTATTACACACTCCCTGTAACTGCACACTCCGGTGCGTCCAAGTGACAAACCAGAAAACTTACTCTCCTTTGAACAAAAAGCGTGAGTTTCACGATACAGAGCCATTAGCCATTGATACTTCTCCCCTCAGTAAAATAAATCCACCCACAAAAAGCACAAAATTCCCAGCAGGGACATATACCAAAATAGGAAGTCTAAAATTATACTGATTTAGAAGACAGCTGAGATAACCATTAAGGAAGACCATCTTCACTGCAACCCACTCTCCCACCCACTCACCGCAAAACAGAAGGAAATGCTCTTTAGTAGATTGGGAAAGGTCACTCTCCCTGTTTGCAGGGCTCACTGACCACAAGAATCAACGCAAAGACAACCAGGGCACTGAAGGGTGAAGGGAGAGCAAAGCTGAACAGTGAGGGGCAGATCCGTGATTGAAGTGGTTTGAGAAATGGCAGGAGGAACAGGGCACTGGAATGACAGAGGGCTGGAGCGAGGGTCAGCAGGGCGCGCGGGTCAGAGGAGGAATGGAGGGTCAACAGTGGCTTCAGTGGGTCAGTAAGGATTCAAGGCATGAGTAGAGGAGGTTAGGGGGTCAGAAAGGTCCCAAGACAGAACAGGTAAGGGGTCATAGGGAACAGGGTCCCGCACAGAGAAGAGCCGGGAGGGTGTGCGCGCGCCGCGGACCTCCCATTGCTCCAGAAGACGCGCCATGTCTGCATCATTGTAATCGCGAATATCCTTCTTCTTCTTCCGGGGAGGTGGGGTAGACTCGTCGGGCGTCCCGGGCGAGCCTTCGGCCGCGCAGGACCCAGGCGGTGGTAGCAGTAGCAGCAGCAGCAGCAGGTCAGAGGCACAAAGCAGGACCACGGCCTTGCGCGCCCACCTGGAAGCCGCCATTTTCGCTGCGCCGCGCAGCGCCCTAGACGCGCTTACCCGACCTGCGCGGGCCGGACCCCGCCTTGCACACGCCTTCCTGTCCGCCTTTCCGAGGCCCCGCCTCCCGGCCCTCGCTAGCCTACCGGGCCCCGCCCCGTACCATTTCCTAACCCCCGCCTCTGGAAGCCCCGCCCCTCCGCCATTTTGGCCCCGCCCCACTGGCTCCTCCTCTTGGTCCGGCTGAGGCGCTCTGTCCCGGCTGGGTGGGTCCCTGAGTGCTCATTTTTCGTTTTCCGTCAGAGGCCGACCTTTTTCTCTGGAACGCACAAGCCAGGTCCAAAAGTTCCTTCAGGGCCTCCAGGAACCACTAACCAACGTCCCTGTTGACCTCAGTTTCTCGCCTGTGAAATAAATTGGAACTGGAAGTTCTGGAGGCTGCCTCGGCTCTAAAAAAGCCCATTTCTGGATGTCGGACGTTTATCCTCAGTCTCTTGCAATTTCCTTTGAGAACAGCCAGTTAAAAAGAAGTGAGTGGCAGGTAGGGCAACTTTTTTCAGAAAGTCATAAATAGTTCGAGTCCACTGCTTTCCTCATCAATAAAGAGGATTCAGTTCAACCAGCTTTCAATATTTGTTTTTTTTTTCCAAAAAGATCATTACTATTCATCCAAAAAAAAAAAAGCTTGCCTTTCTTTGATTTCAACCTAATACTGTAGGCTCTAACTAATCCTTTTCAAGGCTGAATCACGCTACTTTTTGTTTCTTAAAAAGATTTTGGCCAAAGATGCTTTGAGATTCTTCTTGTTTTAAACGGCTCATCAGCTGATGTCTTTAAAATGTTTAATTACATAAGACCTTAAAAAACAAAAAACAAAAAAAACCAAAGGCCGCACGGTGGCTTAAGCCTTTATAATCCCAGCACTTTGGGAGGCTGAGGTAGGACGATAATTTGAGTTTAGGAGTTTGAGACCAGACTGGGCAATAAAGCAAGACCCGCATCTCAAAAACAACAACAAAAAACGCTTCATTCTTTATACTGCTGCACAGTTTTATTTGGTATTGTTAAATTAATAGTTTATTTTCCTATTGATGGGCATTTATTACCAATTTTTCTGCTATTACAACAAAAAAGAGCTGTAGTAAACCTTATTCAAGCCTTGTTTGGATAGGATTAGTAGGCTGCATATAAAAGAAAACTGACTTTTTAAGGTGGTTTAAACAAGATAAAAGGTTTTATTGTGATTGACTTTTCTTTCACAGAAGCAGTGTAAACTCGAAACTAGGGCTGGTATAGTGGCTTCTCAGCCATCTGGTACTCAGCCTCTTCCTCATCCTTCTATCATATTAGCCTGTGGCTTCCACCCTCAAGGTCAGAAATTCCAGGATGGCTCCTGGAGCTCCAGTCATCAAGATGACATTCAACCAGAGGAAGGGAGAAGGCAGGCCAAACCAAGCACACCTTTCAAGTGGAGTCAACTTCTTTTAAGCAGCCTACTTGAACATTGCATACATTTCTGTTTACATCTCATTGGCTGGAACCTAGCTCTCCAAGGGAGGCTGAGAAATTGTCTTCTAGCTGTATACATTGTCATCTCAAATGAAATTAGGATTGTTATAAAGGGAAAAGAATAAAGTGGAGGTTGAGTAGGCAACTACGCCTGCTTTCCTTCACTCTTAGGACCAGTGCAATTTAAATTCTCTCACACCGTAGGAGTGGCTGATATTCTACATATTCATGCATGCATCTGTATGTAAACACGCTAAGCTATGACCTTTCCTATTGACGTTGAGCAGAAACAACTCATAAGAAAAAGATTTTTTCTTTTGTGAAATCATAGGGGAAATGTCATGAGCTTTCTCCCCAGAGCACATTGCTCCACCCAGTGGCTTGGAGCCCTATCCTAGTGCAGTCATACTAAAAAACATGCACAGCTGTGGCTGATCATGTGCTCTACTGGGAGGGGTCACCCTGGTAATTCATATTGCCAGCTTCAAAGTTAAGGGGCAAACGTGTTGGGATTCTTGGCCCACATATCTAGTTATAGAGAATAAGATCATTGAAAGTTTTACAGAAATTGTTGGGAATGTGTAGAAAGTTTCAGGGCTACTGACTTTCCTCTAAGGAGGAAATCAATTCGGCATATAATCCACTGATATGAAAACATCTGGATCAATTGCATTTTCAACATTTGGATATTTGAAACTTACTTTAGTGTTTGGAACTTGATTCCATTCAACTTGGGGGGAATTTTATTTACCAAAGACCTATTGTTAACCAAGAATCAGGTGAGGCACTGATGCAAAAATGAATATAACAATATCCTTACTCTGGCAGAGCAGATAAACAATATGCAGTAAATTTCATGCAGATTACAGGAGATCCGGGCCCAAAGGGATGATGTGATGATGATGATAATCTCTCCAATTTAAATAAGAGGAAATCCTGGTTTTACAATTACACAATTTGTCTGAGGCTGCACAGCTAGTGCAGCGGCAAGGCAAGAATCTAAGCCGAGGTGTACTGGATAACAAGGTCCAGTCTTCTTGGAGTCCTTCTTCCGCCACAGCACCATCTAGGTTAATCAGTGAGGCACTCAGGATGGTTAAATTGGGAGCCAAATGGAAAATGCATTGAAAAGTCTGGAGCGAGGAGCACTCAGATGGGACAAGAGTCTGTGCCAGGTACCAGGTGGTGCAGTGTAGACTGGAGAGGACAGATGTGAAAGATTGTGTGCTCATGGCCTAAGTGAAGCCACAAGTCTCTTCAGTGCTCTGGGGTTAATACTAACCCCACCTCTAAGTGATTCAGTGACTGTGGATGGTAAAGTTGAATCTCAGATCTAATTAGTGTCTTAACCTGAGCTCATCCTGGCATGCATCATTCCACAACAGAGGAGGGTGAAGCAAGACTTTCTAGTACTATTTGGAAGCAGGCGGGGGTAATATTCAAAATGTTGAAAAACTGGAGTAGCACAATTACCAGTTAATCAGAACTGAGGCAGATGAGCTGATGGGTACAGTCACCATTGTGCCAAACATTAACCCTCTAATGACTGACTCATGGGAAGGCATAGGAGGAGAGGCCTGGGGATGGGCTGAGAGAGGTAATGAGTATTTACCATTTTGCACTTTTGTTGCTTTTTAATCCAATGTAAGAATAGACGTACTGCATACTTCCTGGGTTTTACCAGCCCCTAAATTTACTCACTTAAAAAATTTAATTACATAGACACGAATCATTCATTGTAGTTGCTAAATATTGGTAGCAACTAACTCGTTGCCTTTTGTTGGAATTTCAGATTTTCAGTAGAGAATGTGACTGGCCCAGTCTGAGGCAGGTGTCCATTCCTGGTCACCACCATTATTTTTGGGCAGAAGAGCATACTCACAGAGTTAAACATAATAATTAAAATTGTGTTTTCCTGGCTGGGCATGGTGGCTCATGCCTATAATCCCAGCACTTTGGGAGGCTGAGGCGGGCAGATCGCCTGAGGTCAGGAGTTTGAGACCAGCCTGGCCAAGATGGTGAAACCCCGTCTCTACTAAAAATACAAAAATTAGCTGGGTGTGGTGGCATGCACCTGTAATCCCAGCTACTCGGGAGGCTGAGGCAGGAGAATTGCTTGAACCCGGGAGGCAGAGGTGGCAGTGAGCCGAGGTTGTGCCACTGCACTCTAGCCTGGGTGACAGAGTAACACTCTGTCTCCAAAAAAAAAAAACAACTTATAAATCAATAAGAAAAAGATGAACAACCAAATGAAAAACGGTCTAGGACATGAATAGGTAATTCCCAAAAGAATAAATATAAATGGCCAGTTCACATGTGGCAAAAACAAAACAAAACACAGAATCTCTCTAATATCAAAAAATGCAAATTCAAACATGTTATAATTTTTAAATTATCAGTTGATCCTGGATAAAAATACAGACAGTATACACTGTTGACAAGGCTAAGGAAAGAAGTCTTCTCACTCACTTCTCGGGGGATGGAGTTTTCTGCTTGAAAATTAGGTGAAATGTATCAACTCCCCCTCCCCACAAAAAAGTGCATAATATGATTAGCAAGTCTACTTCCAAGAACTTGACTCTGAGGAAACAGACAATGAAAATAATAGTAATGTTAATATTGAGCACTTACTATTCGACAGGCATTCTGCTGAGTGCTTTCCGTGTATTTCTTCACTTACCCAATGTAACAATCCTATAACACTCTCCATGAGTGGGGAAAATGAGAACAACTCTAAGTGTTTCAAAAATTGTAGACTATAAAATCTACATTTACAGTTGCAAGCTGTATTCCACACATATGATGGATAATATGCAATCAAATATATATATTTGTTGCTACTAAAGATATTCATTTTATACTATATGATTTTAAATGCTATTAAAATTATACAGATATATATCTATGTATAGGAAAAGAGCTGCAAATATGTATACGATGGCTGTCTCTAAGCAGTGAGATTCCAAAATATTTTAACCTTTTCTCTGTATTTTCTATTTTTCTTCACATCTAACATACGTCAGTGGTGGTGTGTTGTTTTTGTTTGTTTGTTTTTTTGAGACAGGGTCTTGCTCTGTCACCCAGACTGGAGTGCAGCGGCCAGATATTGGCTCTCTGCAACCTCCACCTCTCAGGCTCAAGGGATCCTCCCGCCTCAGCCTCCCATACCACACCTGGCTAATTTTTGCATTTTTTTTTCTTTTTTGAGACAGAGTTGCACTGTGTAGCCCAGGCTGGAGTGCAGTGGTGCGATCTCAGCTCACTGCAACCTCTGCCTCCCGGGCCCCAGTTCAAGCAATTGTCCTGCCTCAGCCTCCTGAGTAGCTGGGATTACAGGCACATGCCACCATGTCCGGCTAATTTTTGTATTTTTAGTAGAGACAGGGGTTTCACCATGTTGGCCAGGCTGGTCTTGAACTCCTAACCTCGTGATCCACCCGCCTTGGCCTCCCAAAGTGCATTTTTTTTTTTTTAAAGGATGGGTTTTCACCATGTTGCCCAAGCTGGTCTAGAACTTTTGGGCACAAGTGATCCATCCACCTCGCCCTGCCAGAGTGCTGGAATTATAGGCGGGAACTGCCGCGCCTGGCCCACTTGTGCTTTAAAAGGAGAGACACACATAAACACACTGCTGCTTACAAAATGTGAATTGATACCCTTCTTTCCACCAATATGTAAGGGTGAAAAGTCTAATTTCAATGGAAATTATCAGAATAATACATGTAATTCAAATTATCTACAATAGTGCAATGGCCTTGAAAATTTGGGGATGAGATCTGAATCTCTGAAGAAGGCAGGACTTTTATCTGTGTCATCTGAAAAAATTACATGTACTTTGCAGCACAGATATATGCAGTTATGTTCAGAAAATTCAGTCTGTTTCCAAAGAATCACCTCCCTGGACTATCTCAAACAAGCTGTAAGAAAAATGAGGTGAACACACTTGCTAAGCAAACAGGCCTCAGGCCTCCCCTTCAATCTTAAGAGTTGTGAGCTGTTAGGTCATGACCAGACCTAGACTGTACCCCTGCTGTTGTTTCATGAATATCCATGACTTTCTGTCCGTTACTGAATAAAAGTTGTGAGCAGCCAGAGTTTGGTTCAATAAAAGGGCACCTTTCTTGCACAGAGACTTAACAGATAAAATAATTCATTAACTTATTAATGCCATAAACACTGAATACATTAAATGTGGGGGAAAGATGCATAGATCAAGTCCCTGCCCTTACAGAGATGATAGGGTTGTGGAGAGAGTTACACCAACAGTTACAAGTACTTGACGCCACTCTGAAGCTGAGCAGGCATCATAGTAGCTACAAGGGGGGGAAGAAATACCTGGGTCTGTCTGAAAGATCAGGGAACCTCCTTGTGAGGCACCAATACATCTAATCACTCTGTAGTTACTGACTACTAGGCACCATGAGAGATGTCAAAACTTGGTCAGGCATGATTAGTGTTAAGACCAGGGTGCCTGAAACTTAGCACTTGTTTTTTCTCTTCTTCAGGATGCTGGAAAATAGAAAATACATCCAAAGATGGCTGGCCAGTAAATGAATGGGGTACAGAATTTATTAATCTGTGCAAGCAAACTTTGCCTCCATGGAGGGTGCTCTGGTAAACTAATGCAGAAAATTCCAGCTCTCCTAGACTTCAGGACCTGCATGCTCAGGTGTGCCTGCCAAGGTATAACTGGTCCAGCACACAGGGCTCCCTCACACACCCAGCTGCAGGTGAACAGAGAGAAAGCATGGAGGGAGGAAGGGAGGGTGGAAAGTGGGGCTGGGGAGGAAATGGGAGTGATGTGTGAGGTACTGCCCAGGTGTTCTTACTGGATGGGAACAAAATATGCCAGAGAGCAAGAGGACATGCCAGGTAAGGAGAGCGAGGTGTTAGACAGTGATCTTGCTCCCTGGTGAACCAGGGGCTGTTGTCATGCATCACCTATGACAATGAAGGAATCTGGGGAAAAGAAGGAGAGATATAAATTCCTCTCTTTTACAACAGATAGTGAAAGGGAAATAATGCATATGTATAAGAAAGATAGCCTGAGATGTAATTGGCCCATCTGTGTGCACAAAAGCAAAACAGAGGGACATTGCTCCAAAGGGAAAAATAATTAGGGCAGAGAATGCCTCTTACTGACCAACAGGTGGCACTACAGACCAAACACAGCATGGTTGTTGGTCTGTAAAGTGTGGGGTAGTGTGAAAGTTGGGTATCAAAACCCAGAGTGGCCAGACAGGCTCACACCTGTAATCTCAGCACTTTGGGAGGCTAAGGTGAGAGGACCACTTGAGGCCAAGGGTGTGAGACCAGTCTGGATATCAAAGTGAGACTGTGTCTCTGAGACTTTCTCGCTACTAAATAAATAAATAAATAAATTTTTGATAGAATGAAAAGATCCGGAGTGCTTACAATGGAATACCGTTCACCCATAAAAAAGAAGGGAAATTCCCATGTATGCTATAATATCAATGAATCTTAAAGACATTATGTTAAGGCTGGGCACGTGGCTCATGCCTGTAATCCCAGCACTTTGGGAGGCCAAGGCAGGCGCATCACGAGGTCAGGAGATCGAGACCATCCTGGCTAACACAGTGAAACCCCGTCTCTACTAAAAATACAAAAAAAAATTAGCTGCGTGTGGTGGTGGGTGCCTGCAGTCCCAGCTACTCGGGAGGCTGAGGCAGGAGAATGGCATGAACCCGAGAGGCGGAGCTTGCAGTGAGCCGAGATCGCGCCACTGTGCTCTAGCCTGGGAGACAGAGCCGGACCTCGTCTCAAAAAAAAAAAAAAAAAAAAAAAAGATATTATGTTAAGTGAAATAAGCCAGGCACAAAATAACAAATATTGTATGGTTCCACTAACATGAGGTACCTAGGGTAGTCAAATTCATAGAGAAAGTAGAATGGTGGTTGCCAGGGACTGGAGGAAGGGGGAGTGGGGAGCAGTTACTTAATGGGTATGGAGTTTCAGTTGGGCAAGATTAAACATTTCTGGAGATAGAGGATGGTGATGGTTGCACGATAATGTACTTAACAATGGGTAAGATGATATTATGCTATTTTACCACGATTTAAAACATAAAAACAAAACAGAATGCCCATAATGTTCTCTTATACCAAGTGGTGGATGCACCTTCTAAAACAGGCAAGAGACGAGGTAAAAGATGTTTCCCCAATCCTGCCTGTCTCAACCTGTCAGTTCCTCTTGTCCTGCCCAAATCCTCAGTTCTCTCTTTGCAACTTGTTCACTTACTTTTCATCAGATGCCTATTTCAGTGTAGGCCTTGAGCCAGTATTGAGAATGCATTCTCTAGGGGCCAGGCCATTTACCAGCTCCCTCTCATCCACTCCATTTACCTTCCCTCAGCCAATCCTCAGTCCACACATTTTCCGCTTTCTTCTCTCACTCAACATCCATTAAAAAAAAAAATACTTAGTCCATTTGAGCTGCTATAACAAAATACCTTAGACTGGGTAATTTATAACTAATAGAAATTTATTGCTCACAGCTCTAGAGCTGGGAAGTAGAAGATCAAGGCCCCAGCAGGGGCCCATTCCTCATAGATGATGCGTCCTCTATGTTGCTGCATCCTCCCATGATGAAAGGGCAAAAGAGGTGAACAACTCTCTCACACCTCTTTTATAAGGCCACTAACCCCATTCAAGAGGGCTCCACCTCATGACTTAACCATCTCCCAAAGGCTCACCTTGTAATACTGTGACACTGGTGATTAAGTTTTAACATATGAATTTGGGGGTCAGATCACAGCAAATACTTTTGATTTATATTTATTTTAATTTTGAGAGGGTTAGAAGGGGTAATAGGTGGAGTTTTCTAAAGAAAAAGCCATTGCTTGAGTGACTCTAAGGGCAGACACCAACAAGCCATCCTCTAATTAGACTAAAAATATGCAACAGCAACAGACAACCCTCAAATCTCTGTGACTTAACACACCAATAATTTACTTTGTGTTCACATTGCATGTCCACTACAGATCAAGAGGGTCTGCTCCACATGGTCACCTAAGCTTACAGAGGCTCCACCAACTAGAATGCAGTCTCCGTGGTAGTTATAGGAGGGCAAGAGAGTGGAGAATTACAGATTGGCTTTTCATTGTCTCAGCCTAGAAGTAACCTGCATAGCTTCCCCTTACATTTCATTGGTCAGACAGAACCACATGGCCCTGCCTACCTACAAATATTGTATCTGTGAAGCCTGATTATCTCTGCTATAGGTTTTTTACTCTGTGCTCTCACTGTGCCAATAGTGAAATTGTGGCTGTTTCTTGTGAATCTACTCCTATCCCTGGACTCTAAAGAGTGGGGGCCTCATATTACAAATTATGTAACTTTGGTGCCTAGCACAAGACTGGTGCCCAGTGATTGTGGAGTGATTGAACAATCGGACAAAGTAAAGGTGAACCTAAAGAAAGGTGGAGGCAGTGCCTGGGAGGATCAGTTTAGGAGCTTCCCTATCTGAAAAATGAAGCAGGGAAGGCCGAGAAAACAATGCTATCAGTTTTAAAAATGAAACCAAACCTCACTGAATAGAGTGGACAGTCTGTGTGTAACACAACTCATTGTCGGGGTGGGTTTCCATCAACAACAAAACAGACTGCATATGTAGAAGAAAGGGAAAATGGGACCCCCAGGGGCACTACGTGGCTTTGGAAAAAAAATCTGATCTTAGAGCAGCCTCAAGAATAAACTAGGCACAGAACAGTCTGACTTCCCTCTCATAAGTTTTATTTATTTATTTATTTATTTTTTTTTGAGACGGAGTCTCCCTCTGTCGCCCAGGCTGCAGTGCAGTGGCGCGATCTCCGCTCACTGCAAGCTCCGCCTCCCGGGTTCATGCCATTCTCCTGCCTCAGCCTCCCGAGTAGCTGGGACTACAGGCGCCCGCCACCATGCCCGGCTAATTTTTTGCATTTTTAGTAGAGACGGGGTTTCACTGTGTTAGCCAGGATGGTCTTGATCTCCTGACCTCGTGATGCGCCTGCCTTGGCCTCCCAAAGTGCTGGGATTACAGGTGTGAGCCATCGCTTTCGGCCCCCTCTCATAAGTTTTTGGAGCTTAAGAAGGACTAAGGTGCAATCCCTGGGTCACCATGGAAAAACCTTGACTTATCCAGCTGTTTTTTTTTTCTCTTGTAGAAGAAAAAAAGGAATTAACCCTACATAATTACTTCCTATTTCAAGTCAGTTTTATTGACCTCGGTTTGCAAACTAAGTGGGCTCATCCGGATTCTAAAGATATTTAAGGATACTTTCAGTTATAAGTAGGATGACTATCCATCCAGGTTTGAACCTGCTGTTCATGGTTAATTTATTAATAGCATGTCTCACAGTTCATTCTCAGAAATGCTTGGATATGGCCGATAAATTGAAACGTCATCCTAGTTAAAAGTAACGTTTTTAACTGGCTGGAGAAAGGTGACTTGGGGTTCTAGGAAGGGACAGAGGAACAAACATTCTGTTGGCTCAGCACGCCCAGCCTGTGTTGGGCTGGGCACCTTAGAGGACCTGTTTCAGGACTGCGTGACTGGCGTTTTGCTGGGAGTAGCCCAGGTGTTTTAACCACTTCCTGAAGAACAAGGTTCGGTAAAAAGAGGCTGGGGCGTAGGCGTGGGTTCCTGTCCCTGCCATATGCTGTCTTCCTGATCTTCGGAAGTCACTTCAAGCACCTGATCATCAGTTTCCTTATCTGTAAAACTGGAGTAGTAATGTTTCCCTCCAAACGCCGTCGTATTTAATTCATTTAACAGCAGCCACTATTATTCCATTATACAGACGAATAAATAGACGTTATGAGAGGGCAAAGTGCGCTGATCAGGGCTCATAATAATTCTAACAGCTACTGTTTAGGAACCAAGTACTCAAGCAGCCTGTGCACAATCTCTAATTTCTAGAAGAGAAGACGGATACTTGGAAAGAGAACTTGAACAATGTCATGGAACTCATAAATGGCTTGAGAAAGGCTGATCCTAGGAAATCTGCTTCAGAACCCGCGCTCTCACTGCATAAGGCGTATTTCAAGGGAGGAACGGGCAGGCATCTAGCACCACTCTTCGGACTCCCCATCCAGTGCTCTTTTCCTCTTTTCGTTACACTGCACTGCTGGTCGGAAACCCATCGTGGAAGTGGATCAAACACAACAAAGGGCAGGGGGCGTTGGAAAACCGGGCGAAGTCGCGCAGACCGAGACGACCCACCGGCCCCAGCAAATCACCAGGGGCCGAAATCCAGTGTCCTCCTCCCTTCAGCCCAGAAGCCAGGTCACCTTTTAGACTTGCTCTCTTGGCGGGGAGGAAGCGTGGAGCCCCCTGGTCCGGCTAAGAGCTTACGTAAGGCCCGCGGGCGGCTGCGCCCCGGTCTCCCATGGGTGTGCGCAGAGCCCCCGGGCCGGAGCAGGCCTTCCCCTGTCCGCTCCCCCAGTCTCTCGGCCCAGGACCACGGGGGAGTTCAGGACCACCGGCCCCACGCCGGCAGCGTCCGCGTTGGGCGGCGGCGTCCCCCGCAGCCACCCAGCTTCCCGGGGGAGGAGCAGCGCATCGCGCAAGCATCCGGGAGCGGCGGAGGGGGCGGGAGGAAGGGCGAGAGGAGGAAGCGGGATTTAAACGAAAGGCGGTGACGCCACACAAAAGATTTCTATAGGCTCCAGGGAGGTTACGGCCGAGGCGGCGGCGGCGGCGAGCCCGGGGGCGAGGCGCGGACGGGAACAGGAAAAGCCTCCGGCAGCCCCTGCGGGCGGCGGCGCAGCCACGGCCGCGCTCCGAGGTGAAGCCGCGCGCGGAGAGGAAGCGGGTGTTTTCCCCTCTGCCTTTCGGCCCCCGCCCTTCCTTTCAGTTTCTGCCCGCTCGCTCGGAAGTTGGCGGTTGACAAAAATGGCAGGAGCCGGGGCCCGGGCCGGTTGCCGCAGCGCCGCGGGGACCTTCTGAGTTGGCCCGGTGGCAGGGAGACTCGTGCAGGGGCGTCCGATGCGCGGGGCCCGGGGCCTCGGGAGAGCTCAGCTGCTGCGGGCCCCAGACGAGGCGACAGGGATGGACTTGCGTAGACAGCCAGCGCCGGGCCGCCGGGCGCGCGGTCTGGGAGGGCGTGCCGCCGCGGCGCCGGGCCGCGCTCTGTGAACCGGCGAGGCGGGAAGGGGCCGCCGTGGTGCTCGGCACGCCCGGGCGTGTGGCGGGCGGGCGAGAGCTTGAGCGCGATCCGGGCGGCCGCTGTGCGCAATCAGTGCAGGCTCCCGCCCGACTCTGACTCGGCGCGGCCGCGACAGTGCCGGCCACACCCTCTGCCCCGCTGCCGCCGGCGCCGCTTCCCAAGAGCTGGAGGCAGGAGATGCGCCCGGGGCGGCCGCGCGTCCCAGAGAGCCAGCCCCGGCCGCCGTCGCGGGGAAGTGCCGCCTGGTGGGGTCACGGCGCCTGAAGCCCACGTGCGCCGCCGAGCCCGAGGTGGCCTCGAGCGCGGCGGCTGACAGCACAGCCCGCCTGAGCTGCCTCCCGCGCTCCTCCCCGAGGAAAGGATTTTGATTTCAAAGAAAGGAAGGAAGGAAGGACAACTCCCAGCTTCCCCGTCCCGCCCTCCCCGCTCCGAGGGCCGCGCCAGGCCATGCCCAAGAAGGCGGCGGCGGCGGCGAACCAGCAGAAGGGACTTTCCTGGCAGCCCGGCGACGAGGAGCGCGGACAGTGAGTTTGCTCTGCCCCGGTTCATGGTTCCTGCAAGCCCTCTAGGAGGCCGAAAGCTGCAGCCCCTCCCCTTGCCCCGAAGAGCCTTCCGCGTTCTCTCGCCCTCGGGCCCACCCCGCGCCGCCCGGGCTCCCGCCGCCGCAGCCCAGTGCCCTCTGCCCGCGGCGGTGGATGGCATGATGGTGCGGGGAAGGCACCGCGGCCTTGGCCAGCTGAGTCGCGACGGCCGCCGGGGCGGCGGCAGTGGCCGCGGCAGCGGCGGTGGTAGCGGGCTCCCCAGCGGCATGCCAGTGCCCCCCGGGCGCGATGGCTAGCGGCAGCGCCGGGAAGCCCACTGGCGAGGCGGCTTCTCCGGCTCCTGCGAGCGCCATCGGCGGGGCCAGCTCGCAGCCGCGGAAGAGGCTGGTATCCGTCTGCGACCACTGCAAGGGCAAGATGCAGCTGGTGGCTGACCTGCTGCTGCTGTCGAGCGAGGCGCGGCCCGTGCTCTTCGAGGGCCCCGCCTCCTCTGGTGCCGGCGCCGAGTCCTTCGAGCAGTGCCGGGACACCATCATCGCGCGCACCAAGGGGCTCTCCATCCTCACCCACGACGTGCAGAGCCAGCTCAACATGGGCCGCTTCGGGGAGGCGGGGGACAGCCTGGTGGAGCTGGGCGACCTGGTGGTGTCGCTGACCGAGTGCTCGGCCCACGCGGCCTATCTGGCCGCTGTGGCCACGCCGGGCGCCCAGCCCGCGCAGCCGGGCCTGGTGGACCGCTACCGCGTGACGCGATGCCGCCACGAGGTGGAGCAGGGTTGCGCCGTGCTGCGCGCCACGCCGCTGGCCGACATGACGCCGCAGCTGCTGCTGGAGGTGTCGCAGGGCCTGTCGCGCAACCTCAAGTTCCTGACGGACGCGTGCGCCCTGGCCAGTGACAAGTCACGGGACCGCTTTTCGCGGGAGCAGTTCAAGCTGGGCGTCAAGTGCATGAGCACCAGCGCGTCGGCGCTGCTGGCCTGCGTGCGCGAGGTGAAGGTGGCGCCCAGTGAGCTGGCGCGCAGCCGCTGTGCGCTCTTCAGCGGGCCCCTGGTGCAGGCAGTGAGCGCCCTGGTAGGCTTCGCCACCGAGCCGCAGTTCCTGGGTCGCGCGGCAGCTGTGAGCGCCGAGGGCAAGGCGGTGCAGACCGCCATCCTGGGCGGCGCCATGAGCGTGGTGTCGGCCTGCGTGCTCCTGACCCAGTGCCTCAGGGATCTGGCGCAGCACCCCGACGGGGGCGCCAAGATGTCGGACCACAGGGAGAGGCTGAGGAACTCGGCCTGCGCCGTGTCTGAAGGCTGCACCCTGCTATCTCAGGCTTTAAGGGAGAGGTCTTCGCCCAGGACTTTACCGCCAGTGAATTCCAATTCTGTGAATTAGCACCCCACCCCCATACCCCTTCTTCCACCCCCAGACTAAAGGAAGATACTTACTCTCTGCCCCTCTCCATTTATACCAAAGAAATCATAGGTGAAACCCCCTACCCTCCCCAACGTTAAATGCTCGAGAGGAATCTTCCACAAGGCAGGGCCATGCACGCAACCTGCACACGCACTTGGAGGGCCCAGGTGTCTCTCCACCAGCCCCCATGCAGTAGGGACTGGAAGATATGTCATCTGCTGGTTGTGTTATCACTCCCACCCCCTACCCCAGCCCGTCTTCCGGAATTTCTCAACTAAATTTCATTATTGGGCAGGAAGGAGGTCATGGGTTCATTTCATTTTTGTTTTTTGTGTTTTTAATTAAAAGAAAGGTTACCTCAGTTTTCACTCCTTAGACATGGATGTAGCTACCTTTTTTTGTATGTCTTTTTTTTTTTTAAGCAATCGTGTTGAATTAGGAGTATACTTGGTGTGGAAAGAGTATGAATTTGCCATGTGATTTGCAAATGGGGGGAAGCTACTGTGAGCGTGTGTTTTTTTAATTTACACTATAGAGTGATTTTTTTTTCCCCCAACGTCAAGTTTTTACCTTGCATGTACTGGAGTATTTATTTCATCTATTAAAATGTTATGTTTCTCAGATGGCTTTTTGCAATTATTGTTGATTTTTCAATAATTGTAATTTTGCATGCTGCATGTCATGTATGGGAAGGGTCTGTGGGAAGGCTATTTCAATAGTAGTGAGGCGGGCCCCCAATTCCCAGCCCTTTCTACTATTTCCTCAAGAAAAAGTACTGCTCAAGAAGTACTCCCTTGAGCAGCCTGGAACTGAAGAGAGGACTATGTGTAACGTTCTATTTTAAAAGGCAGGTGACACAAATGGGATTGGGTTATGTAGAGTGCTTGGGACGGTTTTGTCTCATTTTTCCTGGAAAGTGATTTAGCTCCCTTTGTCTCCACTTACCTTTCCATCATCATGAACAGTGGCTCAGGCTGCTTGAATTCTGATTTGTATTCTGCCTATCATTTTCAGATTAAATCCTAATCCTGTGTGGTATGCCAGCCTTCCCAACTCAGAGTCTCTGGATGGAACTCTAAAAGTACTGTACATCAAGTGAGAATAGTTAGCATCTTTTATGTACACAGGTCTATTCAGACAAGATCCTCATGATTTCAGAAAAAATATAGAGAGGGTCCTAGACTGCTTAATAGAGGAAAGAAGTATCCTGGAAAGCTTGTTAAGAACGTTCTAGAGCCACAACATGATTGTAGGCCAAGGGCTTGTTTTTGTGACCTTGATCTAAGATAATGCCATGGTTGATTGTATGTTGGAAGAATCTTTGATTGGAATTTGGAGTAATATTAAGGTAGTTTGTCTTTTCTGCAGACATTTTTAGGAGTCTTTTTGTGTGAGTGGTGGTGGAGTGTATAGTTTTGTTGAACCTAGTTAAATTCTGAATATCTTCCCACTAAAAGCACAACAAATCTATTTACAGTGCCTGAAGCCTGGGAGAGCCACATGAGTAAAAACTCGTACGTGGTTTAGATTTGTTCCATTTACATTTTTCTTGGGATTTGTTGTGCTTAAACCTTTGCAGTTCCCACAGATCTGAAAAGAAAGCATTTTTCACTGTAATACATTAAGAGAGAGAGAAAAAAGTCATATTGACTATTTTACTTGTTTGAATCGCTGTTTTTATTACAATGACATGAAATACAACGTGTAAAAGTCTTTAACCTGTGTTGGGTAAGGGTAGGACTGTTTCACCACCCTGAATTTGAAATTTGAAAAAGTCTTAAAGTGGTAGGGTACTTAAATTTTTAAAAAAATGACCATGGGAGCAGTTTTTCTCTGTTAAATCCTGGTAAACTTCGGGTTTTTGAAGACTTTAAAAGATGAAAATGACCTTGAGCATCTTTATTCCTTTCCTCTGCCCCTTAATGTTGGGATGGGGTTCAGGATGAAAGGGAGGTGGGATTCTAATTCATGTGCCAGTGACAATCCTGCATGCATATAGAAATTTTTATTTATTGAATGTACACAAGTAATGATGGAGTTTGATTATATGGTTCATTTTCATTTATCCTATGCAGATCACAAAGAGTAAACTGAAAGGAACAAACGCTAAGTAAAATAAGGGCCAGAAATCTGTAAATTTGGTATTAGATTAAGAAAAAAAGAATTGCCAGTTTTTTCCTGGACTCTTTCCTTGCAGAAGCGATTTTCAGGACAACTCAAGCCAATTAAAAAAAAGAAAATCACTTTCCCTATCTGTTTGGATGAAGTTAACTAGCTAGTCACTAAGTGAATTTTGAAACCTCTTACCTAAATGATAGCTGCTCTTGGTGTTTCTTTATGCTCTACGTTTGGTCATGTAACATGCATAATCTCTGTTCTCTGAAGTTGATTAAAGTTCTAAACTTAAGCGTTTTCACTGCTCCTGCACCCCCCACCTCCCATTTATAACATAAAGTTCAGGGCTTTTCTTCCAGCAGGTGTCTTGAAGTGAATTCTGCTTGTACTTTTTTTCTAGCAGATTTCAAGAAGCCAGAGTGAGGAATGCTAGGCAAGGGGATTGGGCACAGGTCTTTGACATTTTAACTTTTCTCTAATGTCCCAGGTTGCTAAACTTGTTTTTTAAATAGCCCCTGATGTTTAAAAAAAGCAGCGTCTCAGACCTATTTCATAATAGGGTTTAATAAGGTCAGCAGAGATACTGGTTCCAGGAATAAAATCAGAGTGGCCTGTTTTTTTTGTTTGCTTTTTAATTTTTAAACTAGGGTTAATTTAAGACATTAATCCTTGGGTTCTTCTGACTCCTGAGGGCAAGTTTTCTTACACAGGCTTAATGTGCATCATCTTGACCAGGGAATGTTGAGAACCTTCTTCCTTTGAATGGTCATGAGAAAAGGAAATCATGATTGCTAAGTTCTTTGAACAAAAGACATTATTTATGATAGTCAACTCAGTAAATGGAACAAAAACAGTCTTTCAAACATAAGACTTAACCAGAAAAAAGCACAACTCCATCTTTCTTTGCCTGTTTTAAGCATAGCATTTATGGGTGATGTTAGGAAACACAAAAATTATGTGTGTGTATTTGCTTTCTTCCGCACCCCCACCATCCTCATCTGATTGGTTATTTTACACACACTTTTTTTTTTTTTTGAGAGGGAGTCTCACTCTGTCGCCCAGGGTGGGATCTCGGCTCACTGCAAGCTCCACCTCCCGGGTTCATGCCATTCTCCTGCCTCAGCCTCCCTAGTAGCTGGGACTGCAGGTGCCCGCCACCACGCCTGGCTAATTTTTTTTTTTTTTTTTTTGTATTTTTAGTAGAGACGGGGTTTCACCGTGTTAGCCAGGATGGTCTTGATCTCCTGACCTCGTGATCCACCCGCCTCGGCCTCCCAAGTGCTGGGGTTACAGGCGTGAGCCACCGCGCCCTAACTTTTTTTTTTTTTTTTTTTTTTAAAGCTGGCATGGGGATTTAAAATATTTGGCAGTTTGGAACAGCTAATTTTAACAGAAACACCTGTTTTTCCGAATGAATGTGACTATGGTAACATGCAGATCAGGCAGAGGATTTGAAAAATGACTGCCAAAATTCTTTCTGAGCTTTGCTGAGTGAACGTGGAAGGATTTAGAGAAGAAATCCTTAAAGATTTAGTAGCATTTTCACCTGGGACTGTTCCCTGGGCTGCCTTGTGGTTTGCATCAACTGGAAGAGGCTTTAAGGAGACCATCTCTGAGTTTCCAGTGTGGGCACAGGTATTTGTGTTCCTCCCTGGCAAATTCTTGTCTTTACTTAATTTTTTTTTTTTTTTTTTGGTAGGAGTATGTATGCAATTAATTGCTCCATTTTGACTAAGCAGGGTTTTACTTTAGGGTTCTTTAGGTAGGTGAGTTGTCTGCTTCGACTTCAGTGGCAGAAGGCTTTAAGATTTAACTGTCCGGGTATTATAAGGAAAAAGTGTGATACTAGTGTCTATGATTGGGGTCAATTTAATTTAACTGTGGACCCCTTAAGGTTAAGGGCTATAGTGCCCAACATATGTGTAATTTTTTTTTAAATGAATCTGTATATAAGATACTTGGCAGCAAGTATACATAAGCAAGTAGTAAAATTGTTCCTGGAAATGAAAGTTATAATGGTCATTAATTCGGCAAATATTTACTGGGGACCAACTGTGTGTGCTACTAGACACTGCTGGTGCTGGTGTGCAGCTGTGAGTGAGACGTGGTTCCTCTTGGGAAGGCTGCTGTCTAGACTCAGTGCTAGACTCAGACCAACCTCAGCTTGGTCTGTGGGACTCTCAGTCTCATCCTGGGCCCTACCTTTAACGTATTCCATCAGAAACTCTTGAGGTGTGGCAATTTGTGTTTTATCAAGCCCTCCCAGTTGATTCAGATGCATGCCCACGTTGGAGAACCACTGCCCTACAGGGGCTGTGGGTTTCTTTTTTATTCTCTGTCAGGTCTGAGTCTAGAGTACTTCTCTATCAGGAAGCATCAGCGTTTCTGCAAATTACGTGTTTGCTCAGGTGGTTTTGTTCTCCTGGATATTTTGAGACCATTTCTCCAGATAGAGAAGACAAGTTGGTCTCTTGTTAATTTGAAATCTTTGAGAATCCAGGTTTTTCTTTTGGAGAGGGGGATGTGATTACAAGTTCAGGGTCCTTCCCTACCTCCCACCACCCTTTTGAGATGAACTGAAATCATTTAATAGTGAACTGGCAAAACAGCTTTCTATGCTTTCACATGTTGTTGACGCTTGTCCTGGAAAACGGAATAGCAGACAAGCTAATTAAAATTCAACCCTTTAGCTCTTTGGTTGCCCAAGAAAGAACACTTTGATACTGAGTTTGTAAAGTACTATATTCAGAATGAGATGTAGTATATAGACTTATCCCAAAGCTCACTTTAAGGATAACCAAAGTCTGCAATATACTCAGGAAATATACTCTCTAAGGCTGACCATGCACCAGGAATTAGGATGATCTTTTAGAGTCTCATTCCTCAAAAGGGTGGCCCCAGAAGCTGGCATTGGCATCACCCAGGAACTTGGTAGATACACAGACTATTGGCCCGCCCTGGCCCAGATCTACCCAATTAGAGCCCTCTTTTTGACAGGTCCTCTAGGTGATTTCTGTCCCATAAATATTTGAGAAGCAGATAAAAGCAGTGGCCATGACTGAATCATAGTTTCATTCTTTACTGTAGGAACCTAGGCATTTATTATGTTTACTTAGATCTTTTTGGTTTATAAAGTGCTTTCATGTTTATTATGTAATTGGGTCCTTAGTGCAATCTTGTGAGGTGGGCAGGTATTACCGTGGATGTCATCTAAACATTTGTGCCTTGCCTTTCCCATTATAAAAATTAAATGAATTCACATGAAATGTAAGCCCTTGTGATGAGCTTTAAGATCTTGTGATGAGCTTTGTAAGACAAGTACCTGCCAGGCATGGTTGCTTAGGCCTGTAATCCCAGCACTTTGGGAAGCTGAGATGGGTGGATTGCTTAAGCCCAGGAGATCGAGACCCACCTGGGCAACATGGCAAGACTCTGTCTTTCAAAAAAAAAAACAAAATGTTAGCCAGGCATGATGGCATGTGCCCGTAGTCCCAGCTACTTGGGAGGCCGAGGTGGGAGGATCACTTGAGCCTGGGAAGTCGAGGCTGCAGTGAGCCATCATCTCAGGACAGCACTCTAGCCTAGAGGATAGAGCAAGACCCTGTCCCCCCATAAAATTTAAAAAAAGACTAGTTCTGTCTTCTTCATAAAGTAAACAAAAGTATGATCTAAAAAAACTATGTTAAAGTCAGTTTCCCTTAATAACCTTGCCTTTACCCTTCCAGTAATTTGACACAGCAAGTATACTATAACATCCTCAAGGACGGCCCAGATGATGAGCATAGCTCTGTTTTCTCAGTCTACCTCTGGGAAGGATTCTGTGTGGTTTCAAACCTCCTATCCAGATTCTCTAAAACATTGGGTGTCTTATAATTTTAAAACCATGTCAGTCAAACATTTTAGACTTCAGGTAAGATTTGAATGCTAATTAAGATTTGTTAGCATAATTTAAAAGTGAATCCATTTACTGATTTTAAACTTTATAATTCATAGTTTGATTGGCAAGTCTGTTTAAATGTCGAAGATAACATGTATCCAGATTTTGCTGAAGTAGACATAGAGAGGAAATTTTTTAAATCCAATGTTTCAGGAAGGGAAATATATATGCTGTGCATTCAAGTTTAATGAACATACTGACCTGAAAAACTGCTGAAATTATAGGGCATCACCTAAGCTTTAATAGCTTCTGATTTTGTTCTAATTTTCCCAAATATTAGGTGGTACGCCAGATACTGTTTAAGTGAAAAATCATTTGGTTACCTTGGCTATCTTACCAACTTTTTAAGAGACCTACATTGATGATAAACCTCCAGAAATTGGAGATTATTGTAGGAAACCCAGGTCCATTTAGTGTTCACTGATGCCCTTTCAGTTTAACTTTTCTCATTTTGATGATCATCAGCTTCCTGTTCTAAAATTAACTGGCAAGTCATTCTAGCATCTCCCTTCAGATAGAATTTTGTGTTAATGATTTTTCTAAGTGTTTACTTGGCAGCTTGGTTTTACTTAAACATTCCTTCTCATGCAGGTTCCATGATGAAGATATTTCTAAAAACATAAGCATGCTTCTACTTTAGTTATCACTTTGAATTTGATTTTTAAGGTATGTGGGCATTTTGTGTTTGAAATGCAATGCAAAGCTGTCCGTAAAACTGACACAAATAGATCACCTGATATTTTAGCTGTCTTCATGATGGAATCATACTACTCTGGAGCAATTTTTATTATACTGTTTCTTTAAACTGGTTCTGCTGTGATTATTATGTAAGTGTGGCTGTGACGAAGGAGAGCCCCATGAAGATGGCTTTATATTCCGTTTGGCTCAGCAACAATGACTCTAATAAACCGGATTGAAATGGGAGTTTTTCTACCTGGATTATACACATAACTAAAATGGATAGGTAAACTCAACTGAATAGATATGAAATCACTTTAAAGATTCATCCTTTTTCTTTTCTTTTCCTTTCTTTTCTTTTCTTTTCTTATTTTTTTTTTTTTTTTTTTTTTTGTGACAGTCTTGCTCTGTCACCCAGGCTCCCAGGCTGCAGTGCAATGGCGTGATCTCGGCTCACTGCAACCTCCGCCTCTTGGGTTCAAGCAATTCTCGTGCCTCAGCCTGCCAAGTAGCTGGGACTAATTTTTGTATTTTCAGTAGAGATGGGGTTTCACCATGTTGGGCAAGCTGGTCTCGAACTCCTGACCTCACGTAATCCGCCCACCTTGGCTTCCTAAAGTGCTAGGATTACAAGCATGAACCACAGTGCCCACTAAAGATGCATCCTTATAGGTGGCTCAAGTGTTCCAGTTCCCCTCATCCCTCTCTTTCTGGAGGGCAAGCAAAGCTTCTTGCCCACAGAAGTTTCTAGAAACACTGGCAATTCTTGACTTCACTGGGACGTTTTGCTTCATCCTGGGCAGCCACAAAACACCTTCTAGATTCACATTAATAATAAATGAATGCATTAGCCCATTGTCACATAGGGGCAAGTTGCTGGTAATGACACTTACTATGCCATTCATTAGTTGGGTCTAGAATAGTGTCAGATTTAGCAAGGCCAATGGTAAAAGTTTCTGATTTAGCAAACATTTACTAGGTGTCTGGGGCAGTATTAGGCATGTTCTCTGTATTAAAATATTACCTTACTTAAGGAGTTACTCAAAGTCACACAACTACTGTTAGAAACAATCCTAGAACTAGAAACAACCCTAGAAATCCAGTCCTTTGTCTTCCCCAATAAAATCAATTTGAGATGCCGTTTGTCAGGCTGAAGACATTTTCCAAGTGCATCATCCTTTTGTGTTACATTTATGTAACTGGAGAAAACAGAGGCCTAGGAAAGCGTAGCATTGAGTACTCATTGTTCGGGTGACTGGGGAGTAGTATGTAGGCATTGGCATGACGCACCAGAGCATCTTCTCTTTAGGTGTGATAAATGGTTTAGGTTTGACTGTATCATGGGTGTTGATTCTTTCCTGGGTATACGAGAATTATTCACTTTAAATGCTACAAGGAAAAAGTTTTAAATGTTGAAAAAAAACTAAGCCTATTTGATTTTTTTTTCGTTTTAAACATGTCCATGAAATCCTGTATGGTCTGAACTTCTATGGCTTCTTGTCAGATTTCAGAGCTGAGAGACTAGATGCTTCTACCATCTTACAAATAGCTTAAGAAGTGAATTTTGCATTATCTATTGGGAGTTCACTTAGAGTTTTTGGAAGAACTTCCTAATTGCCTAATCTAAATTGTTCCTTTTGCATTGTTTTTCCCTGTGTGTGTATGTGTGTGGCTGAGAGAAGAATGACTCACAAACTCCATACAGAGTATAGGACATTAGTTGGAGCCTCCTGGGGATATCAAGATACTGGGATCTTCACCATGGATTTTTCAACAGTGTTCAGTAGACCTTTCTTAAGCCTGACTGTACAGAGAGGATGCTGTACTTAACAATAAGTGTTGGGAATATGGATAAGAGCTTAGAATGCAGTGGAAGTGATAGCAAGATAAAACACATTACAAGGGACCAGGATAAGTGCCATAATTTATGTTCCTAAGGATCTTCTAATCTAGATCTTTGGCTGTTTGGGGCCTCATAGTCCCTAGATTTGATCATCTGGATATATTATCCTGCTGACCAGGGAGAAGGATGTTGACATCAGAACCCCACTTTCCTACTCTCAGTGCCAGGCGACCGCATATAATGTAGGTGGGAATTCCATCGAATGTATTTTCTGTGCAGCCAGAGGGCAGTTTTTAGTTAGAGGTTTCAGGTGCCTTAAAAAGTAGGCTTTATTCCAAGGCTCAGGGATCATTTTCTGTTCTGCTCTTTGATTTTTTTTTTCCCAAGACAGAGTCTTGCTCTGTCGCCCAGGCTGGAGTGCAGTGGTGCCATCTCGACTCACTGCAGCCTCCACCTCCCAGGTTCAAGCACTTCTGCCTCAGCTTCCCAAGTAGCTGGGATTACAGGAGAGTGCCACCACGCTCATCTAGTTTTTGTATTTTTAGTAGAGGTGGGGTTTCACCATGTTGGCCAGAGGCTGATCTCGAACTGGCTGGTCTCAAACTCCTGACCTTGTGATCTGCCCTCCTTGGCCTCCCAAAGTGCTGGGATTTCAGGCATGAACCACTGCGCCTGGCTGCTCTTTAATTCTGAGGTGGTGTTGATGCAGAGTGTGAGGCTATTGCTGGATGGGATCTGCACTGTAGGAAGCAGAACAGCTTTCCCCTACTTCACTGAAGCAGCTAGCCTGGCCTTGGATCAGCAGCCATGGGTGGGGCCAGTGGGCCCAGCTCACTTGCAGAAGAGTCCTGAGCCTGGCTGCCCGCCATTGTTGTGGATCACCAAGAACTGAACTGGGCTCCTGAAGATGCACCTGGCCTGGAGAGTGCACCTGTCTGGCTGATAGACTGGGAGCTTTTCAAGGCAATCTGTTGTGTCTTTTTCATCTGTCATCCCTAGAAGGTGACCAGGATGCTAAATTGTTTGTTTAATGAAAGAAAATCAATAGCTGGCATTTTTTTGAGCTCCTGATGTATACGCTAGAAACTTTACATTGTGTTTCTCAGTCCTTAAAGCAACCCCTTTGAGGTATGAAGAGTCGTTCTCATTTTACAGATGAGGATGCTGAATTGAAACCACTTGCCTAGGGTCAAAGAAACTAGTAAGTAGGGGGATAAAGGTAAGAATCAAGGTCTTGTGACAGAGACAGCATTCTTAGCCACTTGGCTATAGTGAATGAATGATTTTTAGGATAGTGTCCCTCTGCCCATTGAGGCGAAATGCTCTTCAACTCTGTTAAATTTTTAATCTTTCCAATGACAGTTCCTATGGGTTTCTTCCTAAGCCTCACTTAAGCCTTTGGTCTGAGCTCCTCTTGGACCATTTGTGGAGGGCCCTGGATGCCCACAGGCCCCTTGTAAAGACTCGGGCAGAGTTGATTCCATGGACAGATGGCTTTCCACCTGCTTCATGATCCTGGTATCCTAAGGGATGCTTGAAGAAGATAAACCTCTGGTTTGTCAAGGAACTTCCACTTGGATTTCTAAATTGCAGCTGCCTTTGCTCTTCACCTACTTGGAACACTTCCATGGTTCTCCCGTGGACTTTAGGATAAAAGGCAAACTCCTCACTGAGGCATTTCTAGCAGGTCTGGTCTCTCACAGTCTACCCATAATTATACTTTTTAGAGGTCCTTCCAGTGTCATGCTGTCTTCTTGCCTCCAAGCTGTTGCACAAGCTGTCCCTTGGAACACTCACCCCACATCCTGCTTCTCCTTAACCCGCTTCCGCAGTCCTCAGCCTGGGTGGCACCCTCTCCTGCAGGTCCCTGTAGTACCCTGCACTTTCCCTATGTTAGTATTTATCAAGTTACTGTAATTCTCTGTTTACCTATCCATGTTCCTAGTATGGATCATCATCAGGTGGTGGCATCATCTTTTTATCTCCAGTGATTAACGCAGTTACCTAACACATATGAGGCTCTCAATAAACATCTCTGCTGAACAAATGTAGTGTTTATAAGTCATATCAAGCTTTTAGAGATGAAAAGCCCCAAGAGTAAAATAGTTCATTAACCTTTTCCTTTGGCTAGATTCCCTTCAGTCAGTTACCAAATTCTTTCAAATTCTCCTTTCTCATACCCTTGGCATCTGTTTCTTCTCCCCAGCTGCACAGCCAGCATCCTAGCCTAGGCCCCTTGTTGACCCTCACCTGAACAATGCTGCTTAATGAGTCCCTAGCTGCAGTCTGGATTACCTGCCCAAATTAGGCATGCTTTCATCACCTCCTCCCATCAGCCATGTCTTTTGTGTAGTAAATCTAGGCCCTAAACTGCAACTTCACATAGTCTACTTATTGAGTACCGACAGCATGCCACTGGACTGGTCCCACAGGGAATAGGACCAGGCCCTTATCAGGCCATGGCACTCATCTCCCACCACCCCCAGCCCAACCTCTGTTCCAGCATGATGGGCAGAACTCAGGCCTTTTTCCGTGCTGTTCTTATTCCTATATCTGCTTTTGCTTTTGTTGGTCTCTTTATGTGAAATATCTTTCCCGTCCTTCTGAACACGTGGTAACCCTTTGAGCCTAGATGACTCCAAAGACTAGGACTCTCCATCTGTGCTGCAGAACGGGGCGGCCTTGGCATGTCTGGTCTTTTGTGGACTTCCCAGGGATCTGGGTGGCTTCCAAGGCCCTGGATGGCCCAAATTCTCTTCCCTTAACTGGTCTAGGTACCCCAGGGCCTCACCTAAGTTTGAGCTCTGAGCTGGAGGACTGGATGCCAACCTGGTGATGATTCTTGCCTCTCTCCTCAGGGCGGTATTAGGTCCAGCAGGGGTCACGAAACAAAATGCCACCTCAAGAAGGGAGTCTTTTCCCACAAACGAACTTAGAACCATATTCCCTGGGGAGCCCTTGAAATCAGCGTGAGAACTGACTGAGGGAGTGAGTCCTGGCTTTGAGTCCCATAATTGTTATAATACAGAAATTACTCATGACTTTCCATAATCAAGTTTTAGTTATAACAGTGTACTTAAGCTGGGCTCTGGGGTGAGCAGTGCCCACTAGCAATCTCTGCCTACTTCTTTGCTTTCCAGGATCAGGCTCCTGTGAATGGAGGAAAGAAGCTAAAGCCTTAGGGAAGAAAAAGAGATCCTATGCCAAAGCCATCAGGGAATGCAGGGGGACCCTCAGGTCAGCAGCAAACTGGCATTTGGGCGTTTGGGCAAATTAAAATTTCCAATGTGCAACTACCCATTTGAATCATTTCCTTAATTTTTTTTTTTTTGCATTTTATCATCAAGACTATCTGGAAATAAAAGATTATGGTTATCTTATCTAAATTAAAGGGATTGTTTAAAACAAAGGTATTATATCTATTTAATTATTTAACTTCTTCCTTCCACATCCTACCTGCTCCCAGCCCAGCATTTCTAACCACTAGCACTGAAACTCTGGTTTCAGTGAAGTAATAAGCAGATAGAGTTACCATGGTCAATGGCCACTGATGATTTCCATAAAAAGTGGAATGCGTTGCTCATGTCCCCTTTCTGGTGGTGCGGATTGTGATGTGGATCATAATCACATTGGATGGGGGTGGGGTCACTGGGGCACAGCTGGAAGCCTTGCACTTGCCACAAGCTGAGTGGCTGTGGTATGGGGTCCTAGTGTGATGGTCACCAAATGACCCGGCCTCTCTCAGACTGCAATTTCCAGCTTTGAAAGGAATTCTGTGAGGACTCAGTGAAAGGAATAATGACTTTAGCGATCCAGCTTCAAGCACATGCAAAAGCTTGCCATGGGGCTGGGAGATACAATCTAGGCTCCTGTTCTCCCAGCACAAGGAGGAATCACAGCTCAGTATGAAAGGGCGATTGTGAGAGGTGAATAATCTGTGCTTTCTGTCTTTGGACCTCTCTGCCCTCTCCCCAGATAATCCTCAAATATTTCTTATCCTAGGATGCCTGCATCCTAATCCCTGAGATTAGCTCTTAGCAGCTGAAGACAGGCTCACCAACCTTCTCAGAATAGTCCTGCCTTTAATTTCCCCAAGAGAAGCCCATTCTCAGCTCAATGCGTTGCTTCCCGTCATGCTGGTCCACTGCCAGCCTGGGTATACTTGAGCCATTCAGCTTGCAGTTCCTGGCAACCTGCTCTGGGGCAGGCATCAGTGATATAAACGTAAGACCTAATCTGCATGCTCAAAGAGGAATTAATGGAATTACTGCTCATAGAACATAACTTGTTCTTCAGTAGCAATCACTGAAACCTTCAAATCCTGCAAGGCTCAGAGGAATAAATCTGAGGTAGTGCTTATTGGGGCAAAACATACTGGGACAGAAATCTGGACTCGGCACCCTTTGAATCACTCAACTGGCCTCTCTATGCCCTTTATTCTCATGATCCCGTCTGTGAGCACCAATTTCAAGCCTTGCCCAAGAGGGAAGATGTCATACTTGGCTCCCAGACAATCCATCCAACTTATAACTGAAACTGACAAAAAAATTATTGAGATTGTACTTGGTAACTTGTTCCCTGGGAGGGAAGTTCTCTGTCCCTTTAGCATTGTGATGGGGTCATCCTGGGAAGAGGGTGGTGGTTTACACAGGGTGTGACTTCTGTCTGTATAAATGGGCCTTACTTTTGAACGTTGGTAACAGCATACTCTGGCTTAGTTATTATTTTTGGTACTAAAGACTGGGGAAGTATGTGAATTCTTTTGTAGACATTAAGCCTTGAGGCCTGTTTGGAACTGAGATGTGGGGAGAAGTAGAATTTGTGAGTTGCAACAATTTGATGCTGAAAGTTATAGCAGTGCTTAGTGCTTAGAGGTTTCCACTTCTGGTACAATTTGGAAGCCTTTGGGTATTACATAATGTCCTGGGGAATAGGGAGTTGGCCTTAATTGTCACCTAGTTCAGTGGTTCCAAGATACTGGCTGAGGACCAGAACCTATGTGTGTCAAAGATTTCATCAATCTGAGCAAAATGGAAAACAGAGGACTGTGAAATGTCAAGTTACTAATAGTACTATCATGGACTTTTCTTTATTTGGAGATTATATCATTTCTTAGTCTTTGTTGTTAAAAGCTCATTTCATGAATGTAATGGTGTTAGTTTTAATTTTAAAAACTATTCTTGCATTGCAAAATTAATTATCAACCTTATTTTGGTGCTTCCAACATTTAAAAAAAATCACTGTGTTCAGAAATCTTAAAGTCTGAGAACTACTGACTGTGACTACCTATGAATGAATTTTTTGTGTTTGTTTTTAAGAGACATGATTTTGTTCTATCCCCCAGGCTGAATGCAGTGGTATAATGACAGCTAACAGTAACCTCAAACTCCTGGGCTTAAGTAATCCTCCTACCTCAGTCTCCCAAGTAGCTGGGACTACAGGCATGTACCACCATGCCTGACCAATTTTTATTTTATTTTATTTTTGTAGAGACAGGGTCTCGCTTTGTTGCCCAGAATCAGGCTAGTCTTAAACTCCTGGCTTCAAGCTATCTTCCTTCCTCCACCTCCCAAAGTGCTGGGATTACAGATGTGAGCCACTGTGCCTGGCCCCATGAAATACTTTGAGTCCTAGGGTATTTTCCCCCCAATATTCATTTGAGTTAGTGCAATCATTTTTTAAAAAGCATATGTGAAAATATTTCCAAAGGTGAATCCAAGTAAAGAAGCGTTTCTTAAGAGTGGGGACATCCCTTGTTACAACAAAACCACTACTTATTTTTGTTAGTAAATTCATCTTCAGTTTAACCAGCTTGAGGAAATATGCCTGTATACTCTAGATAGTCCAGGCCACTGGTTCTCAAACTTGCCTGTCCATCAGAATTGCCTGGAGGGCTTATTAAACACAAGCTGTGGGACCCCACCCCCAGTTTCTGAATCTGTAGGTCTGGGATGGGACAGGGCCTGAAAATTTGCACTTCAGACAAGTTCCAAGTGATGCTGAGGCTGCTGGATGGGACCACACTTTAAGAACCAATGGAGTAGGTCACTGATTATCAGCCTTGGCTGCACAGTGGATTCACTTGAGGAGTTAAAAAAAATACTGATGCCTGGATCCTATCCCCAGATATTTGAACACCAGGATTCTTAAAAGGGCCCCAAGTGATTATAGTAAGTAGCAAAGTTTGAGAACCACTGGACCATAGTGACTTCAGCACAAAAGTTTATTTCTCATGCCAGTGTAGTATGGGGGAGAGAAGGGAGAGAGACTTGGTCCATACAATCACCCAAGTACCCAGGCTGGTGGAGTTGATGCCATCTGGAATTCATCTTTGTGCCTGCAGCAAGGAAAAAGATAGCCTGCTGGTTCTTCAATGATTCCACCCAAAAGTGACTCGGAAGTGTTCTGTGTCACAGCTAATTGGTCAGAAACAGTCATGTGCCCTAGCTGCAAGGTAACTGGGAATTTAAAGAAGCACATGGCATTTGGGATCAGTAAATTTCTCTGCCTCAGTGACACTTCCCTGATACAGTGTAATCTTCTATGGGCCTTGTCTTAGACTACTTTATGTTGCTATAAGGCTGGGTAATTTATAAAGGCTGGGTAATTTATAAAGAAAAGGGGTTTATTTGGCTTACGGCTCTGCAGGATGTACAAGAAGCCTGGCACCAGCATCTGCTTCTGGTGAGGGTCTCAGGCTGCTTCTACTCATGGAAGAAGATGCAGGAGAGCCAGTGTGTGCAGAGATCACATGACGAGAGGGGGAATAAGAGAACGGGGGAAGATACCAGGTTCTTTTTAACAACCAGCTCTTGAGGGAGCTAATGGAGTGAGAACTCACTCGTTCCCCTCTTCCAGGGAGGGCATTAATCTATTCATGGGGGAATTCACCCCTGACCCAAACATCTCCCATTAGGCGCCACCTTCAACACTGGGAATCAAAAGTGAACGTAAGATTTGGAGGGATAGACATCCAAACTATAGCAGGCCTGATCAGATGCCCTTCTAAAAGATAGCTTCTCAACTGATGCTTTTACAGTGACCTTTTTCTGTCATAAGAATGCCTACCCACTGTAGACAACTTTTAAAAATTAAAAAAAAAACTAAAAAAAAAGAAATCTCTATAACATGCTACTACTGGGAGATTACCACTCTAAATTTCAGGCATATGTCCTTCCAATAATTTCTTTCTATATATATATTCTTTTTTTTTTTTTTTTTTTTTTTTTTTTAGACAGAGTCTCACTCTGTCACCCAGGCTGGAGTGCAGTGGCACAATCTTGGCTCACTACAAGTTCTGCCTCCTGGGTTCACGCCATTCTCCTGCCTCAGCCTCCTGAGTAGCTGGGACTACAAGCGCCTGCCACTACTCCCGGATAATTTTTGTATTTTTAGTAGAGACAGGGTTTCACCACGTTAGCCAGGATGGTCTCAATCTCCTGACCTCGTGATCAGCCTGCCTTGATCTCCCAAAGTGCTGGGATTACAGGCATGAGCCACCATGCCCAGCCCTCTATACATATTCTTTAACATGGTTAATTGCTTAGAATTTTTTTTGTAACCTCCTTTTTTTTTTTGAGATGGAGTTTCGCTCTTGTCACCCAGGCTGGAGTACAGTGGCATGATCTCAGCTCACTGCAACCTCCACCTCCCGAGTTCAAGTGATTCTCCTGCCTCAGCCTCCCAAGTAGCTGGAATTACAGGCACCCTTCACCATGCCCAGTTAATTTTTGTATTTTTAATAGAGACAGGGTTTCGCCATGTTGGGCAGGCTGGTCTCGAACTCCTGACCTCAAATGATCTGCCTGCCTCGGCCTCCCAAAGTGCTGGGATTACAGGTGTGAGTCACCACGCCCGACTGTAACCTGCTTTTTTTTTTTGCGTAGCATTTTACCATTTTGTTAAAATTAATTGAATTTAAGTGTTATTAAAATACTATTTTAATTCTATTGCATGGGTATACTACAATATAATTGGTCATTTCTTCCTCGTTAGAAATTTTGGTGGTTGTTTTGTCAATAGCTTACTATTGTAAGTAGTATTTGCATGAACATCTTTATGAACAAATTCCCCCCATATTTCTGATCATTTACTTGGATACATGAACAGGCTTATTTTAAGTTACCTATTATTGTACAGCAACTGTTTCTGTACTTAGTAACACATATTTAATAAGTATTAATACTGTGCAAGGCATTGATGGAGAAATGATTGAGCTTGATCCTTGCCTTCTCTAGTAGCTCAGCTTCTAGCTGGGGAATAAGATAGAAACACAAATAGCCCTAATCCCAAGGAGAAAGAGACCTAATGTTTCTTCAAGTGATTTTCCCAAAACCATCCTGTCTATGGTACACAAACTCCTGGAACAATGAGTCAGTGCTCTCTGGCAGTCAATGGCTAAGAGCTCTAGTTGGGGCTCAACTCTACCTCCCTGCATGACCTTGAACAAGCTTCCCTCTCTAGGCCTCAGTTTCCTTGTCTTTAAATGAGGGCATTAGACTAGGTCATTTGTAGTGGGGCCATTCTGTGCCCCCTAAATAGTTGAAGGGTATGAATCAGCATGACTGTGTACTTTCCTTTTTTAGGTGTCTAATTATTTCTAGCAATCTGGGACGGGCTCTTTAGGGACTTGTTGGAAGGCAGTGGGGTGGCCCAGGGTCCATTTCTGCCATGGGACTCTAGGATGACATCTTTGTGCAAACCAAATTAGTAATGAAAGAGCAGGGTCTGGGCTTATAGGCAAGGAGGAGCTGAGAGAAAGCTCTTAAGAGAAGGAGTTTAAAATGAGGGGCAGTTTTTTGGCATTGGAAGTAAATATTAATGCTAACAATAATCACCAGCTATGCTTGAGGTACCTCCAAACCCATTCCATACAATATTTCATTTGGTAAGTGTTTTTAACCCCATTTTAAAAATGGTGCCCTTGAAGCTCAAAGAGGAGACATGAACTGCTTTGTGGGTGTTGCCGCAGGGAAAGTCAGCTCATCGCCAGAATTGCAAAGAAAAGCAAAAAAAGTGAATTCTTTTTAAAAAAAATTTAGTTACTTTCTTTCTCTTTTTTCCTTTTTAAATTTATTTAAAATTTTTCCCTTTATTTTTATTTTTTGACTTTTTTATTATTTTATTTTTATACTATATTTTACGTGGTACGATCCCTACTGAAAAAAAAAGCAAATTCTCATTTTTTGAGTCTAAAGTCTGGGGTCAAAGTCTAATGAGGGGATTTTATGGGATTTCTTTGGAGGATAATTGTAATAACAAGCACTTTAATCTTAGATGCTGTGTTTAAAAAGGAATAGCCCTCCCTCCCCATCTTTCCCAAGACTCCAGTGCATTTTTCCCTCTGCCACAAACTTGCATCTGTTTCCCCTTACAGTTTTCTGTTTTCATTAGGATGCTTTAGGATGAACCAGATAAGGCCTTACCTCACATAACAGTTGATCAAAGCTGGTAGTTTGGAGCCTCAAGTGCATTTTGCCTGTGGAAAACGTACTAGAACTGCTGCTTAGAATCCTCAGGCAACCCGCACATCTTCGTGCACCAAAATGTGGCTCGGCTGTAGCACAGAAGCTCTTCTCCGTGTTGGCAGCAAAAGACGGTGGAAATGGAAATGGCCAGTTTGCAGAGAGAAACAGTGACTCTAGCCAGGCCCCTGAGTTGGGAAATGGGAGAATTTGTCTTCAGCATCATCTTCCTTGTAATTTCGTATCCTTTGCCCCAGGCTTTCCTAATAATAACTGACACCTACATGATACTTTCTATGTTCTAGGTGCATTTCCAAGCACTTAGAATTGTTCCTTTGTATCTGTGGGGGATTGATTCCAGGACCCCCTTGGATACTAACATCCCTGGATGCTCAACTCCCTGATGTAAAATGGTGTTGTATTTGCATATAATCTGTGCACATCCTCCTGTATACTTTATTATTATCATTTTGAGATGGAGTCTTATTCCATCACCCAAGCTGGAGTGTAGTGGCACGATCATGGCTCACTGTAGTCTCGACCTCTAGGGTCTCAGGTGATCCTCCCACTTCATCCTTCTGAGTAGCTGGAACTACAGGTGCAGGCTACCACATGGGGCTAATTTTTATATATTGCAGATTAATTTTGCAGATTGATAATTTACCACCAGCATGTGAATGACTCATACATATAGTCTTCATCTTCACAGATTAGCTTCTATTTTTTTTGTAGAGATGGGTTTCACCATGTTGCCCAGGCTGGTCTTGAACTTGTGGGCTCAAGCCTTCTGCCTGCCTTGGACTACAGAAGTGCTGGGATTATAGGCGTGAGCCACTGCACCCAGCCCTGTATACTTTAAATCATATCTAGATTACTTATAATACCTACTACAATGTAGATGTTATGTAAATAATTGTTATACCGTGTTGTTTAGGGAATAATGACAATATAAAAAAGTCTCTACTTGTTCAGTTCAGACATCAGACATCATTTTTTCTTTTCTTTTCTTTTCTTTCTTTCTTTCTTTTTTTTTTTTTTTTTTAAAGAGTCTCACTCTGTTGCCCAGGCTGGAGTGCAGTGGTGGATCTTGGCTCACTGCAACCTCTACCTCCTGGGTTCAAGGGATTCTCCTGCTTCAGCCTCCTGAGTAGCTAGGACTACAGGCATGCACCATCATGCCCAGCTAATTTTTGTATTTTTAATGGAGACGGGGTTTCACCATGTTGCCCAGGCTGGTCTTGAACTCCTGACCTCAAGCGATCCACCTGCCTTGGCCTCCAATAGTGCTGGGATTACAGGTATGAGCCACCACACCCAGCCCAGACATCATTTTTTCTTTCAAATATTTTCTGTCTGCAGTTCGTTGAACCCACAGATATGGAGCCCACAGATACAGAGGGCTGACTGTATACATTAACTCATTTAATCCTCATGATAACCCTAGGCGCGTTGGCTCACACCTGTAATCCCAGCACTCTGGGAGGCCAAGGCGGGTGGATTACCTGAGGTCAGGAGTTTGAGACCAGCCTGGCCAACATGGTGAAACCCCGTCTCTACTAAAAAATACAAAAAATTAGCCGGGTATGGTGGCAGGCACCTGTAATCTAAGGTACTTGGGAGGCTGAGGCAGGAGAATCGCCTGAACCCCAGAGGCGGAGGTTGCAGTGAGCCAAGATTGCGCCATTACACTCCAGCCTGGGCAACAAGAGCAAAACTCCATCTCAAAAAAAAAAAAAAGAACGTAAGGAAGCAAAAAATGTGAGGGAGTTTTTACGCATGGAGGGTTAATAAACTCAAGATGGCAGGGGTTCACAAAAGCCCATAGAACATACTGTCTATTTATTGGGCTCTTGCTATGTACTACACACTTTACATACATCCTCATTTCATACAGTACCTTGATGAAATATGCACATTTAAGAATCAGAGTCTAACAGACCTTAGGCAAGTTGTCCGAGGTCGTACAGCGGATGGGTGGCAGAGCCAGAATTTGGACCCAGGACTCTTTTGACTCCAGCATTTGCAATCTCAAATAGTGTTTCATCGGCCTTTTTATGGCTTGTGGATGACTATTGTTGTGAGGAGGATCAACGGTGCAGGGTCAGAAATGCAGTTTTGACTCCTATTGTTGGCAGTCAAATTACTGCTTGCTTCTGCTAATTTGCTTCCTGTCCTGCTTAGGCTGCAACCAGGGCAGAGTTTCGTTCGCTCCCTGGGCAGCTGTCCTGCCAGCATTACCTCATTCCATCTTGAACCCTCCCGCAGCCCAACAGGGAAGGGCTGAGAAGCACGTGGCCCAGGACAGAAGGCCAGGAACGAACTGCCTCACCAGGGACTCTAGCCTTGATTCTCTGAAAAAATGTGGTTTGCTCAGAGAAGCTTTTACCCAAGAGGAAGGAAAACTACGGCAATCGAGTTTCAGCTGACCTTAAAACCCCTGTGATCTTAGTCCCCGTCATTTAGTGAATTCTGCATATTACTCAGCTTCTCCATTGTGTAGCTGGAGGAAATATTCATGCTGTGTCATCTTTGGTAGTCAGTGGGCAGTTTTCTCCCTGCCGAGTTTACTTTTTTTGCATTTTGAAGTTCAAGATCAGGTTGGGTGTTTGAGTGATCTACGTCTGGGAGCCAGAGGAGGTTTTGTATTCAATGGTGACCAGCATGTGTTCCCAGCCTAAGCATGAATGAAAACAGTTCAGAACATTTTTTTCCTCTCCAGCTCCTTTCAAGGGGCACGTGCCCATAAGGCCAACCCTGAATGATTTGGGCAAGTAAGTATGGACAGCCAAACTCAGAGGAGAGAGGAATTGGATGAGGCTAATGTCAAGGTCTTATCGGGAAGGCTAAAGAAACCTGAGTTGGTCCTGGGAAGAATGAGCAAGATGGAGTGGGCTTGGGCTTTCTCTCCTGCTTGGGGTTGCAGGCAGAAGCCACAAGAGTGTGCTGACAATGAGGGAGGAGGGGACCATCTGGCTGGAGAATTGGCTCATTAGGGAGCACAGACTGGACGAAGTTGGAAGGGACGTGTGGCCTGATTTTTAAAAGGGCGGCCTGAGTGCCATGCAGAGAAGCTGCATTTTATCGCGGACTTGATGATGGTGGACTGGAAGTTTAAAAGGAGGATTATGATGAAAGCAGAGATCCAGAGCAAACACTTTAAAGGAGCTGGATGGGACAGACAGGAAGCAGGGAGCCCAGAGAGGCCATGATTTCATTCATAACAGGTCTGAGGGGTTGAGGCCCTGACTGGGGAAGTTAAGCAGGATGGGAGGAGACAAACGCCAGCCACACAGAAGAAAGATCCTACGAAGCCAGACTGTGGTGGAGGCAGGGGGAAGGAGGGGTTGGACACCTCCGAGGTGCTGCTGCGAAATCACTAACAGAAAAGAGGCTTTGATTTAGAGGTGAATGGTAAACTTTTCCTTTTTCTAAGTAAACTTTTAATTCAAGCGTAACATATATACAAGTGCACAAATCATGGGTATAAATGTCGATGAATCTTCGCACAGTGGACACACTTGTGAAACCAGCAGCTAGATCAGGAAACAACACAACCATCACTGCAGACCCGCTTTCCCTGTGTCCCCTTCCTTTTCCTCATGCCTTCTGCCAAGGATGCCGCCACCCTGACTTCTAAATACCTTGTTTTTCATTCAGTATGTTGTGAAATTCATCCATGTTGTTGCATACACTTGCAGTTCATCCTTTCCCAATATTGCACAGTATTTCACTACGTAAATGTAATACAACTCTTTTATCTCGTCTGTTGTTGGGAGACATTTGAGTTGTTCCCAGGTCAGCGCTGTTAGGAACAGGGCTTCTGTGAGCACAGTTGTGAACGTGTGCTCCTAGCCTACATGAACGTATGTCTCTTGGTTGTGTACCAAGGAGTAGGCTTTCTGGGTCGTAGGGCAGGCACATATTCAGTTTGCATAGACATTGTCAAACACACACATGGGATTTTGTTTTGTTTTGTTTTTGAGACAGAGTCTCAGTCTGTTGCCCAGGCTGGAGAGCAGTGGACCCATCTTGGCCCACTGCAACCTCTGCCTCCTGGGTTCAAGTAATTCTTATGCTTCAGCCTCCCAAAAAGCTGGGATTATAGGTGTGTGCCGCCACACCCGGCTATTTTTTGTATTTTTAGTAGAGATGAGGTTTTACCATATTGGCCAGGCTGGTCTCAATCCTGGCCTCAAGTGATCCGCCTGCCTCAGCCTCCCAAAGTGCTGGGATTACAGGCATGAACCACCACGCCTGGCCTGCACGTGGGATTTGATAATTGAATTTTAAGTAGCAGGTGTGGAACAAGTTGGTGAGTGGGATTAGGGCTGCAGCTCTTGATAGGTGAAAGACGAGTTCAAATTTTGTATCATGAAAGAAAGTTGAAGGAACATCTTACTTGCTTTTGAGACATAGCTCAAAGTCACTTTAGTCCTTGAGCAGTGTACTGGAGCTGTGTGAGAGGGGACCACACCCCATCCCAGCAAAGAACTGCCAACAGTCATGTTAGGTTTCCTAGACTCTCGGCTAGGAGGATCCCTAGGCCAAGTTTCTTTGTCTCTTCCCCTTAATGGAATATGTGGAAAGTATATATATTTTTTAGTTTTGTTTTTTTGTTGAAGTGTTGGGCTTTCTCTTGGGTTTATGACATGTGCTCCATTGTACTAATCCATTTCTCACAGTTCCATCTCTCATAGCAATTCATGTAATTGCTGCAATTTTAACATTTTGGAACGTATGTAGTGGGGGAGGGGTGCAAGAAGATCTGGCAGTTTCTGCTACAGCTAGCTAATGGCTAATGGGGGTGCCCCATAGATCTTTGTGGCAAAACAAAGAGTTAGACAGTGCAAAACAAGCTCTGGAAGGAACAGGGTCTGGCAGGAGAGATCTTCTTTCTCCAGGGAAGCTTTTGCCTGCAGACCAGAAAAGGAGTTTTCCGACTCCTTTGCATCTTAAAAAAAAAATTCTGTCTTCTGTACAACTAAATACTTATGTAGCCCAGATGTTAGCTTGAGGCCTCCCTACCCCACAAGAACTTTGCAAAATTAGCTCAAACCTCTACCAATTCTACGGTCCACAAAAGTTGAAATTCTTCCCCAAGATTTCTCCTAATTTTCAGAGAACTTATGCTCAGGGCCATGTGGTCCTTTAAGTTTTGTTACCCAAAGCGGGTCCAGAGACCAGCAGTGCTGCTATCGCCTGGGAGCTTGTTAGAAATGTAGACTCTCAGTTTCAACCCTGGAGTCTGAATCTACTGTTAGGTTATGAATGTGTCCCTTAAAGTTCACATGTTGGAAACTTATCCCTAAAGCAACAATGTGGAGAGGTGAGACCTTTAGGAGGTAATTAGGTCATGAGAGCTCTGCCCTCATGAATAGATTAATGCTGTTATAGCAAGAGTTACAAAGAATACATTATAAAGAAGGAGTTTGGCCCCTCATCCTCCACCTCTCTTTCCCCATGTAATACCTTCTGTCATGTTATGACAAAGTAAGGAGGCCCTCACCAAATGCCAGCCCCTTGATCTAGGACTTCTCAGCCTCCATAATCATGAGCCAATAAATTCCTGTTTGTTATAAATTACCCAATCTGTGATTTTCTGTTATAGCAGCACAAAACAGAGACACTTCCTGAATCAGAACCTGCATTTTCCCAAGGCCCCCAAGTGACTTGTGTGCATGGCATAATTTCAGAAGCACAGCTGTAGGGGAACAGAAGAAGCTCTAGCATCTAACAGATCTGGGTTCAAATCCTAGCTCTGGCATTTAGTAGCTGGTGACCTTGAGCACATCACTTTCCCTCACTGAGGCTTGGTTTCCTCCTCTGTGAAATGATGATTGCACTCTCAATGCCACAGCATATGGAAGCCAACAGATTACCAGGTGAGATAATACACAAAGCCAGCACATGGAGATTCTCTAAAAATATCCTCTGTCCTTCCTGGACTCACCCAGCCTCAGAAACAATGGAATGCATGCATCCTCTCATATCACAAGGCTTCTAGGGATCCCAGGGATGCCTTCTTGCCTGACTTCAGCAGGTCGGCATGCATTGAATTTTTCTGGAGATAATGACAGTGGGCATACATAACTGCTCATACTCTCCAGCTTCGCCCATTAATCTCAACACTTACTGTGTGGTACATGCCTGGGTATATCAGACTGAGAGGGGGACAGGGCTTTTCATTCCTTAATCTATGGATGGATGAATTCGATTGCTACCATCATAATATGGATGCAGGTAACCATGCCTCTATTTCCACTGTGTTTAAAATGTCACAATATTATAGCATAGCATAGTTAGGATGTGGGTCCTCCCACAGTAATGGTACCTAAGGAAGGAGGTGAGGCCTTGGAGAATGACTTTAGTCTCTTGGTTCCAGGCAATAGAAACCTGGCTTAACCCAGCTTGTACAAAAGTGGGTTGGTTCATGGTCTCCTAGAAGGGAATGAGCCAAAAAACAAAGGCATAGCAGGGCCTCAGGAAAAATCAAATCTTGGAACCTTGAATGCTTAGGGACTTGCTCTCCATTTTTCTTCCCTGTTTCTTTTTGCATGTTAACTTCATTCTCACCGAGCACCAGACTTTTCTCAAATGGTAAGAAACGTGACCACCATTTATGGTCCATATGATGGGAAACAGATATTCTATATCCGTGCATGAATAAATGATAGTTATCTATATCTATGTCTAGGTCTGTATTTATATCTATGATGATATAAAGTAGTTCTTCACACTAAAGGGTGAAATAAGCCCAATATATCAGAAGTGCCCTTCCTGTGAATAAAAGCAATCTGCATTTCACTCTCTCATTTGGGATTTGTTCCCAAGTTACCCACAGCTCAGATCCTTTCTACATGCCATCAGAAGGTAACCAACCCCCAGTGAAAAGGTAAAGAACAGTCTATAAATTTGGTGGTTGCAACATCTTAAAATGAAGAGGGGCAGTAGTGCAGAGAGAGGAGTCACCAGTGCAGTCTAGAGAAAGGAGGCTGGGGGAGTGGGCAATAAGAATCTTGGGAATTTGGGAGTGGCAGAACCAAATGCTACAATCTCTGCATTGCCAATCAGTAGGAGCGAGAAGGATAGTTTGATCCTGACAACTCCAGTGGGAATTAATACTTAGGGAAAAGAAGCATGTCAGAAACTGAGGATGCAAGTGAGCCTTGGGAAAGCATTCCAATATTTGTACCTTTACAAAAATCATATATTAAATTAAGATAATATCAGTAACATTTAGCATACTTCATATTAGTAACAGTAAATATTATGTAAGGAATTCTCATTTATCATTCCTTATTTGGTACAAGCTTTTTAGAAACTTCTTCCTCCTCCATTTTAACTAGATGGTCATAAATTCATTTTGTGTTGCTGCTAAAGATATGCATAATACACCAGCATCTGCACAGTCTCTGCACCCTGTTTAAAACCTCTCTATTTTTAAGATATAGGATTGCCAGGTTCTGCTGCCAGTTCTCACTGGGTTCCAAAAATCTCTTCCAGGTCTTCCTTCCCAACAGGGGTGTTCTGAAGTGCTCTACTGCAGGACTTCTCAAACTGTACTGTGCATGTGAATCCCCCAGGGATCTGGTTAAAATGCAGAGTCCTACTCCGCAGGCTTGCAGTGGGGCTGAAGGTTTGCATTTCTAATGAGCTCTCAGGTGATGCAGAGGCAGCTGGCACAGAGACCCCCACTTGGAGCAGCTCAGCAAGGCTCTCTGTGGGCTTTTCCTTCGCTGCAGTTGGCTTTATGCCCCCCAGTCCTTCAGCAGGAGGCTTCACTTCTTTGCCATCTGCTTGGCTTCTCTTTCTAGCCCCCATATTCTCATCTTCTAATTATCCCCAACAGGGGTGCTTCACTTAAATAAAATTTCCCCAGGTTTCTCAGGAATAAAATCGGAATGGCTAGAGTTTCTCACCAGGGAACCTCCCCAATGAGGATAAGGAGTGAAGGAGGGAAAGGCTGGGAGTAATTGGACAAGGAACATAGATTTTAGAAAAGGAGAGTCAGCAAGAAATAGGTGTCATGCTAGGGTCAGAGGATCTCAAAGGGTCTATATTGCTTCAGGACTGGGAGGGTCTGAAAAATGAAATTCCAGTCATGTAATTGTGACTCAGCCTGTGGAATGAACTTTGTGTGCTCACTCATACACGTTCTTTTCCTTCCTGGTACTCACTTGCCTACCCCCTTGTAGTTAGGTGGGGCCATGTGATGAATTCTGGCTGGTGGTTTGTGAGTGGAAGTAATGTGTATCACCCCTATGCTGAAGCATTTACCTGCTGGTATAAGACCCTTGAGCACTCTCTTGCCCTGCTGCATTGATGAAGAAGGCCACCTGTTTCAGTGGTGCAATATAGGATGTTGAGCCTTTGTCAACCTGTTTTGCTGAGTCATCGTTGCTTTGTCAGCCTATTTCGTGGGTCATCACTGGTTGAGTGATCAAGACTTAAACATTGTTTGTCATTGCTTTAACTAGGAGCAGTGTTTGTTATTGCAGCAAAAACTAGCTTATCCTGACTAATATATTGCACAGTGAGAGAGGGAAGGAGGAAGCATGGAGGGAATTAGTGAAGCTTCTTGGAAGCTCCTCCAGGTACAGACTTAGACCATATATAAAAGATGGAGGAAGCAGGGCTGCCTCCAAACAGAGCTCAGGAAGAACAGAGGCTTAAACTAGAGCTTGAGAAGAGCAGAGGCTTGGAGAAAATGCTGAACTCATCAGAAGGAGGTTTTATGGCTCTGTATAGATCAAGAAGAACAAGAAAAGGAAAGACACATTGTTTGGAGGAAATGATGTAAATATACCAGGGAACAAAGAGGAAGCAAAACTGCTCACCTCCTACTTTGCTTCCATTTTCCATAGCAAGGGAAATAATCTTTAATCTAAAAAGGATGAAACAAAAGGCATGCAGAGGGAAGTGGTGTTTAAGACATTAGACAATGAGCTTTGTCTCTTCAGCATCTAACATCGCACTGGCACAGTGGTGTTGCTCAAGAACGTTTGCTGAATGAATGAATAAAAATATGTGAAGGGGTAGGAAGAGGTTCTAACTTTTTTCATTGGATTTAAGTCCTTGGGCCCTGATGAATTAAATTCCAAGGTCCTGAGAGGAAGTGCAGCTGTGAAAGCAGAAGTAGTGTTAGTAATCTTCCAGAAATCAAGGGCAATGGGAAAGGGAGGGGTCAGATTAGAAATCTGAGTTCTTTTAATAAAGGGAGGAATAAAGGGGGAATCCAGAACCTCTCCAACAGTGAATTAATTTTAACTTCTGGCACGATTCTAGAAGCAGCTATTCCCATTTGTCTTCTAGAAATGAGTCTATTAAGTTGATGACTTAGGAACAACTGGGAAATAAAATAGTTATTGGGAGTCTATTTATACTTAGAATTGCTTATTTTTATTGAGGACTTACCTAGTGCCAATCAATGTGCAATCAACAATTGCACATTGATTATTTTAGTCAGCGCTCATCATCATCTAATGAGGCACCACATTCTTACAGTTGAGGACATGGATCATACCATCAAGATCCACATCCTGCTCTCCCTGACTCCAAAAACAGCACTCTCCACCATGAAGCTGCAAGAGCCCCCACAACTGGTGGAGAGCTGTTGGGGGAGGGGAGAAGACTGGCTGGAGGGTGGGATAAGTTAAAGCCCCTTCACCTGTGGCCACAGAGACCACCCTACATGCTTCCCTATGTTTACAAAATCAGAATAGCCTGGAAGTCAGCATGTGGCTGAAGCATCCCTCTTGACCAGGATGCACAGCAGAGCTTCACAACCACTGCCTAGGAGGATGGAAATGGCGGTCCTCACCAATTTGAAGGACATTGATATGAAAGAAGAAACAGGGAAGATAACCGTTATTGTTTGGATATTTGTCCCCTCCAAATCACATGCTAAAATGTGATCCCCAGTGTTGGAGGTGGACCTAGTGGGAGGTCATGGGGGTGGATCCCTCATAAATGGCTTAGTACCCTCCTCCTGGTAGTAAGTTCTCATTCTATTAGTTCACGTGGGATCTGGTTGTTAAAAAGAGTCTAGGTCCTCCCTCCTGTCTCTACTGCTCCCATTCTCACCGTGTGACACCCCTGCTCCTCCTTTGACTTCTGTCATGATTGTAAGCTCCCTGAGACCTTACCAGAAACAGATGCCAGCTCTATGCTTCTTGTACAGTCTACAGAACTCTGAGCCAAAATAAACCTGTTTTCTTTATAAATTATCCAGCCTCAGGCATTCCTTTGTAGCAATGCAAAATGAACTAGTGCAATATGTTAGCTTGAAATAGCCAATTTCCCTCTTGTTGATTGTCGTCTGTTGATTTTTTCCTTCTGTGCAGCCTTCACATCATTAGGGGAAAGCCATAGGCTGATTTGCTCACAGGAAGGAGAGGACAGATGCGTGACAGAGCTCATGGGGCAATGGGAAAATATTGTCAAGCAGAAATGAAGTTAGAAAGATGCTCAAAGGAAAGAAAGATGGGCAAGAGGTGCAAATGAGTATCTGCCAGTTCCTCAAACTCCCACGCTGCCCCCAAACACCACTAGAGTCGAATTCTTGAGTGGGGGTGGTGGCAAGTAAAGGCACACACGAGTTTGAGAGAAACCCAGAGCATGGCACATTTGCAGCTTCCCAAGGCATGTCCTGGTAAAATTCTAAGCCCTTTAAAGTCCACCCTCAATTCCCCAAAGCCAATACTGTATTAATATCTGGTCATATTTAAGGTGCATGACACATTGTTCCAAAACCCTTAGTGCAATTCCCAGCTTTAATAACTTCAGAAGTATAAATGAAACAAACTTACAAAAGAGGTTATATAAAAATGTAATTATTTAAATTCCATTTACACTTATTGCATTTGTGAATTTGAAGCAATGTATTTTTTAATTTGACATTTTAAAAAATGATAGACTCCTCTTGCAGATGGTAAGCATTGACTGAAACAAACAATTAAAAATGGGATTGTTCTAAATTCACAAAACTAAAAAGGTCTAAAAGAAACTTGAATAACTAAAACTTCAGATTTTTTTTTGGTAAAGTTTGCAACATTTATTTACACTTCTGCAATGATTAAAGCTTAGCACGGGCAGGGCATGGTGGTTCACACCTGTAATCTCGGCACTATGGGAGTCGAGGTGGCAGGATTACTTGAGGCCAGGAGTTTGAGAATAGCCTGGGCAACACAGTGAGGCCCCATCTCTAAAAAAAAATTTACAAAGTAGCTGGACATGGTGGCATCTACCCATAGTCCCCGCTACTTGGGAGGGTGAGGCAGAAGGATGGCTTGAGTCCAGGAGTTTGAGGTTGCAGTGAGCTATGATTGTACCTGCTGCACTCCACCCTGGGCACCTGTCTCCAAAGAAAGAAAGAAAGAAAAAAGAAAAAAGAGCTTAAAACTTCTCTAAGATGTTGGAAACACTGTATAAGAAGGCAGTTTCTCATTCTCCACTGTCAAGTTACTTTGCAGGCTGAATCTGCAAGCTGTGCAAACAGCATTCAGTACTAGGAGCTGTGGGTTGCTTATCAATGGCCAATCAAGACTTTGAACTTTAAAATTCTGTAATCATTGCCAAGTCCTCAGGCATATTTGGAGTTTCTATTTCTTTGGCTTCTGTTTCTGTTTGTTGGCTCGTTTTATGAATTTTGGTTTGTTTTGTAATTTATAAGGGCTCTGAGATCCAGGTAAGCCTATTCCCATAGTGAAGCAAAGGAGGTGCTGTGTGTGTGTTTTAAAAAGATTTTATCATGGAAGCTTTCAGAAATACAAAAAGTAGTATAAATCCCCATGACCCAACCCCAATCACTATGAATGTTTTATTTATTATTTTGCTGAAGTGTTTCAGAGCAAATAATAAATGTGTAAGGTTTTGTTGAGCTTAAAAAGACAGCTTCAATATTGGAAATGGAACCAAATAGTATTAGGGTAATTGTCAGAGAGAGAGAAAGAAAGAACAAAAGAGGGAGGGTGGGAGGGAGAGAAGACACTGAAATAGAAGAACATCCACAATGAGATTCCTATATTTATCCCCGCGTTCCTTCCTGGCCCCTTTCCACAGTTTTCTCTACTTCCCACCTACTTAGTTCTTTGCTTTGAAATATCAACAACCTTGGCAAGCAGAGGCATCTCTAAACGAAGGTTTTGTATCAGAATGAAGGAAAAGGAAGCCTGCACTCTTTTCTGCGTCTTTCTAGGCCTCTCTCCTGCCTGTCTTCCCTTGGAGTTTGCAGTCTCACTGCCAGGCCCTCAAGTTGCTGGGTGGCTTCCTTTTCCTTTTCTGTGCAGAAGGAACTTAACTCTTAATCCTGGAACATAGCCATTTTTCCTTTGCTAGCAAGGCTTGGGAATAGGGCAGGGAAAGGAAAACTCTATAGAGTGGAAGGGATCTGTCTTTCCTTGGGGACACCTCACCCTGGAACAGCATTTCCTCAAACTACAGTTCTATGAATGTCTAGAATTCTGATTACTGAAACTAGGATTTCCACTAATAAAGCTCCCCAAATTAGTCTGGGGCACAATATTTACAAGAAATATTAGGCTGTTAAAAACTTAAATGATATGCAATAAAAATAACCCTCTTTAACTTTGTCTTAGTTTAATAGTGGAACTTTTTTCTGACTACCTATTAATATCTCATTGTATATTAGTTTTTTGTAAAGCACAGTTTGGGGAATGCTGTCTTGAACTTATTCTTTCTGATCTGAAACAACAGGGTGGGATAAATCACCTCTCCCAGCTTGGTAAGGGACAACTGATTCCATTTGGATATTTCAATGTGATGGAAGGTCAGAAACCAGAGAGTCAGAGCTTACTAAGGCGATGTAGGGTTGTTAGATCCTACATGGAATATACATGGTGATTCCAGAGGGCCAGTGTGACTACTGGTTAAGGCAGGCAAAGCCGTCAGACAAAGCAGAAAAGAGGAGTACTCGGGTGCCCACTGGCAGCCTTGGAATTGGTGTGGGATCCTACAGAGACCCGAGATGGGGTCAAGGGAAGCTCTTGCTCTGGTGGCTCAGGGCATGGGCTGCTGAGGCTAGGGTGATCTCAGACCTGCTCCTAGAGGCCTATGGCCAAAGAGAACAATCATTCTTGAAACGGGAATGCAAAGACCACCAGCCCAAGGGAGGACACATTAGCCCAGGAGTTAGAAGAGCAGAGGAAAAATAACCCAACAATTATGTATATATGTATGTATTTTTACAGCATGTGTCTGTAAGGAATTTTTACATTTTCAAGATGTTTTAGAAGTAAATTAAAAAGCAATCTCAAAAGACACCATGATATTTAAAGATTTCATCACCCACTTTTAGCACTTTCAAACTATGTCTTTGCCATTCTTGAGATCTTAATTTTGATTCATTCTCAAAATTGTGCCACTCTTTTGTGAAGACTGCACTGTTGTTTTCTTGGTATTTAGCTTTGTAGAGACCAGCTTGACCTGTGTTCCTCTATATATAATTTGTTTTCTTTTAGAGGCCTAGATTCTTATGGAAATTTATTTTAACTTTTAAAACATTTTAAGCTTTTTATTTTGAAATAATAGACTCACAGAAAGTTGTTAAAATACTACATAAAGTACTGTGTATACTTCACCTAGCTTCCCCTAATGGTGACATCTTACTTAACTATAGTACAATATCTATTTATTTGTTTATTTATTTATTTTTAAATAGAGTTGGTGTCTCGCCATATTGCCCAAGTTGTCTCCAACTCCTGGACTCAAATGAGCCTCCTGCCTCGGCCTCCCAAAATGTTGGGATTACAGGCGTGAGCCTTGGCACCTACCCTATTATACAGTATCAAAACCAGGGCATTGACATTGGTACAATACTGTTAATTAGTCTACAGATTTTTGTTTTGTTTTGTTTTTTGTTTTGAGAAAGAGCCATGCTCTGTTGCCCAGGATGGAGTGCAGTGGTGAGATCTTGGCTCACTGCAACCTCCACCTCCTGGGCTCAAGTGATTCTCCTGCCTCAGCCTCCTGAGTAGCTGAGGTTACAGCACCACCAAGTCTGGCAAATTTTTTGTATTTTTAGTAGAGATGGGGCCTCACCATTTTGGCCAGGCTGGTCTCGAACTCCTGGCCTCAAGTGATCCACCCGCCTCAGCCTCCCAAAGTGTTAGGATTACAGGCTTTATTGTAATCCCAATCCTTTTATTGGATTACAATCCCTTTATTGTAATCACCATGAGCCACGACATCCAGCTGTTTTTTTTTAACCAGTTTTAATATGCATTCATTTGTGTATGTTTGTGTATGTATAATTCTATGCAATTTTAGATTAGATTCCAACATTTATCTTACAAATATTTTCCTTCCTTTGAGCCCTGAAGCCATTGCCTTAGTTCAGGTCTCACTGTTTCTCACCTGTAAGATTCCAATAATCTCCCAGCATCCTCCATTCTTTCCTCTATTCCCTCTCATCTCTCACGTACCCTCCCGGCAAAGTTAACTTTCCAAACTATAAACCCCTATTTATCTTCCAGCTTTAAGCCTTTCAAGTAATCCTCTATTGCTAAAAGATAAAGTCTAAACTGATTTTGGATTTTGCCCTTGTATTTATCTCTCTGACCCTACATCTTTCTCACTTATAATCTGCACTTCAATTGCTGGGAGCTGTCTTGCTGCACCTTTACTGGGCTTATTCATTCACACATACTTTTCCTTCTGCCTAGAGTACCTTCTTGCCTTTGTGCATCTGAAAAATTCTTTTTGCTCTGTCAAGAATTTGCTCAAATGCTGCCTTTTTCTGGGAGGATTTCTCTTGTTTGCTCCCATAATTTCTTTTTTTTTTCATTTTAATTTTTAAGTTCAGGGGTACATGTACAGATTTGTTATGTAGGTAAACTAGTGTCATGGGAGTTTGTTATACAGATTATTTTGTCACCCATTAGTTATTTTCCTGATCCTCTCCCTCCTCCCACCCTCCACCCTCCAGTAGGCCCCAGTGTGTGCTGTTCCCCTCTATGTGTCCATGTGTTCTCATCATTTAGCTCCCACTTTTAAGTGAGAACATGTGGTATTTGGTTTTCTGTTTCTGCATTAGTTTACTAAGGATAGTGGCCTCCAGCTTCCTCCATGTTCCTGCAGAAGACATGATCTTATTCTTTTTTATGCTCCCATGATTTATTTTTCTTGCCTGTTAATATACCACTTCTTGCATAGCTATTTTTATTCATGTAGGCATACATTAGAAATGTATTCAAGCAATAGAGTCCTGAGTACAAATGGTGGCTTAAACAAGTGGAGGTTATTTTTCTCATAATAAGATATGCAGACGTAAGCGGTTCTTAGGTAGGAAATGCACTCACCAATGTCATCAGGAACACAGGGACTTTACATATTACTCCTCCATCCATGGTCTCTGGCTTGTCACCCCTTCATCACTAGATGGCTGCTGTATCATGTCTACATTCCAGACAGGAAGCAAAAAAGCTGTGTGTGTAGCTGTCCCTCTTTTCGTGTTATAGCAAAAGCTTTTCCAGAACACCCCTCAGCAGACTTCTGTTTATATTTCCTTGACCTGAACTGTATTTCATAGCCATTTTTAGCTAGAAGGGAGAGTAGATAAACAAATATTTCACTCCGCAATCTCTATAACAGAGAAGGGCAAGGGAGAGGAGAATTGGAATTATGTGTAGAGTGAGTCAACCTACAGTGTCTACTACAAACAGTGTCTCTGATGGACTGAGAGCTACCTCCTAGAACACAGGAATATTCTATTAATACTAATTTCTGTTCTGAATTCTTTGTGTCTAGTATAGGATTTGGCCTTTGGTAAATACTATTTGAAATTCATAAATATTTGCTTTGTTTTTAAATTTTATTTTATTTTTTATTTATTTTTTTTTTTTGAGACAGAGTCTTGCTCTATTGCCCAGGCTGGAGTGCAGTGGCAGGATCTCAGCTCACCACAACCTCCATGTCCCAGGTTCAAGCGATTCTCGTGCCTCAGCCTCCTGAGTCGCTGGGACTACAGGTGTGCTCCACCACGCCCAGCTAATTTTTGTATTTTTAGTAGAGACAGGGTTTCATCATGTTGGCCAGGCTGGTATCGAACTCATGACCTCAGGTGATTCACCTGCCTCAGCCTCCCAAAGTGGGGGATTACAGGTGTGAGCCACTGCACATGGCTGAAATTATAAATATTTGAGTGAACACATGCATGCAGTATACCAAACATTAAGAAAAATATGAAGGGTTTTAATTTTTATTTTTTTGATGTACTAGAGAAGGTTGTTTTTCATTCACAATCTGAAGCTGTGCACAGGTATACAAACACAAAGAGGCAAAGATTTGTGTGCTATTAGGTAGAATAACAGTAGCAGTTAGGACCTAAAGCCTCAGGTCCATTCTCTGCCCTTCTCTGTAGGTTACTGTCTTACTGGTGAGAGAAGAGGGGAGGCTAGATCACAGGGCAACCAATAACCTTTTTTTTTTTTTTTAGAGGAGTTTTGCTTTTGTTGCCCAGGCTGGAGTGCACTGGTGCGAACTCAGCTCACCACAACCTCTGCCTCCCGTGTTCAAGTGATTCTCCTGCCTCAGCCTCCTGAGTAGCTGAGATTACAGGCGCCTGCCACCACGCCCAGGTAATTTTTTGTGTTTTTAGTAGAGACAGGGTTTCTCCATGTTGGGCAGGTTGGTCTTGAACTCCTGACCTCAGGTGATCCACCCGCCTCGGCCTCCCGAAGTGCTGGATTATAGGCGTGAGCCACCGTGCCCGGCCATAACCCTCTTGAGTAGCAAATGCTGACTGGACACATGGAGGAGGAAAGAGGAGGGTTGACTCAGAGAGGGGGAGCAATCCTGGGAACTGGGGTGTGCCCACAAACCATCACCCTCACTAATGGTCTTTAACTACTTGGGAGAGATTATATTCTTTTGGGTGGTGAGACTGTTCCTATTTTGCAAACCACTGTAAATTTATTCTACTACGTTGCAATTCCCTTTAGCTACCCAAGCTCTTCAGTAAAATGAGCCTCACACATACAGCCTTATGAGGTGGTGTTGTGGAGGCCAATAGGATAGTGAAGATTGGGCTTTCCCAGGTCACCCTCCCAGAGGCCAGTGTGGCAGAAGCAACCCTGCGTGGACACAGATAACCGTGAACTTGCTGGGGCTGGCGCAGCAGTGAAGATGGAATATTATGGAATTGTCAACAGCAGCACTGACAGAAGCAGGAGGGCACACCTGCCAAGAGAGCGACTCAGGATCAGACTCGGGGCTCATAGCAAACCCTATCATCTCCAAATATATTGGAGAAAGGAGTCTCTGGAATAGAGAGGAGGGATGAAGAGAGGGTTGCCAGGATCCAGTGTTGCATCTTATGAATTGTGACCTTCAGCAAGTTACCATCCTTTCTAAACCTTATAGGACCAACGCCACAGGGTTATTGTGAGGAGTAGAGGAGAAAATGCATAGAACGCACTGAGAACATAGTTAATGCTCAGCAGTTATTACCACTATTTTGGAAATCTTAAGTTCTACTTCTTATCCCTCATTATAAACAAGGGTAAGCTAAGCCAAAAGGTTGTAAAGATTGTTCCAAAGTACAGTGCTATGTTGCCATAGTACTCTAGGCATAGCTCCATGTCAGCCCTTATCATATTGCTCAAAAATTGTTTTTGTACCAGTTTCCACCACTGGACTGTTATTTGGAGGGCAAGGTCTGCCTAAGCCAGCTGACACACCTGACACAGGGCACATGCCACAGCATGTAGTATTGCTCAACTAATGTTTGTGGAGCTGAAGTGTGACACAGCCAACCTCTCCACACTCTCATTCCACACGCACTACCTCCCTTACCAATGTGACCTCTCCCCAACCTCTAACTTCTCCTCTGGCCGTTTGGAGTGTCCTGGAAAACCTTGAGCAGGCGTTTTCATTCAACAAGGACTTCCAAGGGACAACCACCCTTTCCCTTCCTGTCCGTTCTTGGGCAAGGCAGAAACTCTCAGTTCACAACAGGAAACCAATAGCTTTGTGCTATCAGAAGACATTTCCTTCACAGCACAAAATGTCTGAGTAATAATTTCAAGCTGGGCTTCACCCATTTCCTGTGAAAGAAGGCAAATTTGCCTATCCTTGTCCTACAGAGCCCTGGCTTTCCAGGCCTGCAGTGGTGCAAAGCCTTCTGCACTGGGAAGATGAGTCTATCTTCTCCCTTTCACATACCAGATCCAGCATCCTGTGTAGCAGACACTCTTGGGATGGCTTCTCAACATTTATCCAGAACACAGTCACTGCGACTAATTTGTGCCCTGTTCTGAGTATATTTCACAGGCAGCTTTGAGAGTACAAAACTCCTGGGTAATGAAAGTCATAGCTTTTTCTGAAAATCAAGAGTCAATTTGGCTACCAGTAATTAACAGAGGTTGGGGCCATGAAAAGTCTGCGGGGCTGATTTTCAGTAGCTCCTCTGTAACTGATTTTTGTCTGTACAGAAAAATGACCATAAAATTGTTTTTCCATGGACCATATGGTCATTCCACTGTCTTGGGACAGGAGTTAGAGCACCCGGGACAGATGACACTATACACTAAGATTCTTAAAATAATCTAGTCCTTCTTAGTGATCACATTCGGTCTTTTAATGTTAAGTCTGGAAAAGTTAAGGGACACTCTTATTCAATTGCTCCCATTTTACAAAAGGGAACACTGAAGCCTCCAGAGGCAAATGACTTCTCAGAAGCTGCAGAGCAGGAGTGTCAGAGCCAGGTTAGAATTCAGGTTTCTTCATTTTTGGGAACATTGCTTTCCCTCCTCCAAAGATGAACATTTTGAATTCCTCTCTTTTAGTATTGTCTTAGAAGCTTCTTATGCGGGTAGCAGAACTCCTTGTATTTCTACAAGAAAAAGCCGGCAGGAACTCCTGGGTTTTAGGGAGAATTTAGACCCACCTTTTTCTTCCCAAATCATGTTAAGCAGGAACGGAAGGAACAGGCTTATTTTGAGCAGCCCCAGGCAAAGATATTTAATCGTATGAAGTAGAAAGAGTTAATGAGGGAGGCAGTGACCAGTCAGCTTACCGTCATGGTGGAAGGTGAGCCTGTCAGCAGCAGTCAAAGCAAAGTATGCCTCCAGTTTCTACAGCAGTGGTCACGCCTAACCCATGGGGGCTGAGCTGGAGAGACCAAGCAGAAAGATCAAGCACGCATTTATCTGTGGTAAAACTGGCATTGGAATCATTCAGTTTAGAGAACAAGGATGCAGAACCTGTAGAAATCAATTGGCCGGGTATGGTGGCTCACGCCTGTAATCCCAGCACCTTGGGAGGCCTAGGCAGGCGGATCACCTGACGTCAGGAGTTCAAGACCAGTGTGGCCAACACGGTGAAACTCCGTCTCTAAAAATACAAAAATTAGTTGGGCATGATGGCGGATGCCTGTAATCCCAGCTACTTAGGAGGCTGAGGCAGGAGAATTGCTTGAACTCAGGAGGCGGAGTTTGCAGTGAGCGGAGATCGCACCGTTGCACTCCAGCCTGGATGACAGAGGAGACTACATCTAAATAAATAAATAAATAAATAAATAAATAAATAAATAAATAAATAAATTGACTGAAAGAGGCACTAAAAGCCAAGACTAAGAGTAGTAAGTAAGTTCTCTAAAGCAAGAAGGGGAGGTCCCAGATCTTGTGGGATAGGAATAGTGTAGGACATACAGGTAACCATGTGGACTAGACCAGAATTGTTTCTCTCACCACACTGGTTACAGTGCCTCACCAGTGCCTTAGGAAGGAGAAGCATGTCTGGATGCTTGAGTCTAAGCATGTATTCGGTTGGTGCAAAAGTAATTGCAGTTTTCCCCATTACATACATTTCCAGTTTTCAGTTCAGGGAGTGAGCTTCACCATTTTCTGTTTTCTTTTCTTTTCTTTGTTTGGGGATGGGGAAGATGGGGACTCTGTATGTTACCCAGGCTAGAGTTCAGTGGTTCTTCAGAGGGGCAATCAAAAGGCACTATAGCCTTGAACTGTGGTGCTCAAGCAATCTTCCTGCTTCAGCCTCCAAGTAGCTGGGACTACAGGTGCGCCACTACGCGGGGTAATTTTTTTTTTTTTTTTGTAGAGATGGAGTCTCTCTATATTGCCCAGGCTGGTCTTGAACTCCTGGGCGGCTCAAACAATCCTCCCATCCCAAAGTGCTGGGATTGCAAGCGTGAACTACCACAATTGGCTTCTGCATATTTTTAGAGACAAATGCTTTATCAAGAAGGGTCCTGAACAAATGGCATAGCCAAATTTGGATAATTTGAGAAGGATTTAATAAAGAGAGAAATTGCAAAGGTGTGGAGATTAGGGAAGTAGTACCATCATGTGGGGCTTGTATGGCTCAAAGGGACAAGGGAAGGGAGCAGTGGGGAAACCTGGAAGGAGACAGTCTTATAAAGGAAATTCTTTGAGGAGAGCAATGACTTTTGGTCAAGGGACACAGTCACTTGCAGGAAAACTCACAGGGAGAAACCCGGAGAACAAATGCCCTGACCTCACTTTCCTCTCTCCCTCTTGCTGGGCCTTCCCATTGGCCAAAGCCAACAGGAAGCCAGAGAAGCAGGGAGCTGATTGATGCAGTGCACACAAACCAGCCTCCTAGGCATGACATCAGGGGTGGGAAAATGGGGGAAAGGGGATATCTGGAAGGGTCAATGGGAGTCTTCTGGCTTGGTTACTTGGACTGCACAGTCCCTAGCTGACGCTGCTATTAGCTATGCCACTTATTGTGCCCAAATGTCTTTAGGGAGATTTGTGCAAAGAGAACAGGGCCAAGCATGTTTTATTTATTTTCAATGAGGGCTTTGGACTCAAGTCCCTCTGTGGACCCCCTGGCCCAGGTGAGCTGCCCAGGAGCCCACTTGAACTACAGACCTCTCCCAGCACCTCTGGCCTAAGCCAAAACTAAATAAAGGCTGAGTGGCCTCCTCAGCCCATTGCCCTAAGGCCCACACCCTAAACTTGGTCCTTGCCAACCCATGAAGAGAAGAGGCATGGAGGACGAGGAGGACAGTCTCATTAAGGTGAAGAGAGTGTCTCATTTATCTCTAAAGTTTGGAGCAGCTAAGCCACCCATTGCCATGCTTTTCCTGGGGTGGGGCCGGTCCCAGGTGGGAGGCAGCCCCAGGCCTGTCATGCTCCACATGCACAGGAGTCAAGTTTGCCGGTGTGAAAATCCCAAGAGAAAGACCATGCCATTACAGAGCATTAAGGAAAAGATTGAACTACCTTTATAAGTTATAAAAGTAATACATGCTCATGGTAAAAATCTCAAAATTAAAAATACAGAATGCTGTAAAACAAACAATAAAAAGACTTTTGCCCACTCACCACTCTCATTTCCTGGAGTTAAAAAACTGCCCTGGTGCCAGGTGCGGTGGCTCACACCCATAATCCCAGCACTTTGGGAGGCCGAAGTGGGCAGATCACGAGGTCAGGAGTTCGAGACCAGCCTGGCCAACATGGTGAAACCCCATCTCTACTAAAAATACAGAAATTACCCCGGCATGGTGGTGCGCATCTGTAATCCCAGCTATTCAGGAGGCTGAGGCAGGATAATTGCTTGAACTCGGGAGGCGGAGGTTGCAGTGAGCCAAGATCCTGCCACTGCACTCCAGCCTGGGCAACAAAAAACAAACAAACAGACATGGAAGAGCAAAGGGGAAAGGAGGAGAGACACTATCTTCACTACAAATAAAATATGGAATTCCAAACACATGGTGGTCAGGGCACAGAAGATGAATTTCCATGGTTTAAATCCAGTGGGAGAGCAATTTGTGGCAGTAACTTAGGAAAAAGATAACAAGGTCCTAAATGAGGGAGATGGTGGTAGGAAGTTGGTAGGAGTTGAAGGGAAGCAATAAAGAAATATTGGGAAATACACTTGACAAAACTTGAAAAGCCATTTAATGGGCAAAAGTAAAAGTGTTGAGGACAACCTGCAGTTTTCTGTACTGGGCAGCTGGGGTAGGGGAGATGTTCACAGATCTAGAGAATGCTGGAGGGGAGCAGCTTAGCGGGGAGGATGAGGTCAGTTTTGGACAGTCGAATTTGGCATACTAGTGGGATGTCTGGAAAGGGGATTTCTAGCAGAATTGGATATGTAGTCCCAGAGCTCAGAAGAAAGATCTAAGGGGGAGATTGCTAGATGTTGAAATCATGAGTATAATAACTGGTAAACATGACAGCAGGTGATAAATACACAGTGGAAATATGTATGCACTGAGGATTTATTATGTTCTGTGGCTGATCTGTGTGCCTTATATGTATTATCTTATTTAAACTTAAGCAGTCTTAAAAAGGCATGCATTATTATTATCCCCATTTTAGAGGTGAGGAAACTGAGACAGAGAGGGTAAGTATTTTCCCAGAATCACACAGCATGGATTCACAGAGCTAGGATACACACCCTGGCATGTTAAACCCCAAAACATGGAGCCTGGGCCTCATGAAGGGAATGAGATTGATCTTAATCCTAGTCAACAAATCAAAGGACATAGAAGAGTTTTCCAGGTTGGAGCAAGTGCTTCAACAAATTCTAGGAGCTGGGAACGAACATTTCAGTGTTGGTGAGCAGGGAGGATCTGATCTGGGCTGGAGTAGAAGCTTCATCTTGATGTCAGGCACATAGCATGGCTTGGCTTCTGAGACCATGAGCAGGGGTTTCCCTTTCTCCAGCCACAAGCTCCTGTCATCTTATCTGTAAGCCACAGTCCAGCACCTGTATCTTGAGTGTGCATGCAGTGTGTTAAGTGTGAGAAATGTGCAGAATTGAATAAAATGCCTGGTTAGGTCTCCTGCTTTGTATTTTACTCTAAATACAGTAGTTAATATTTCCTGCCTCTCATCAAATTGGTTTGGGCCTGTATCCCAGCATGCCATGTTCATTCTGACACTATCATTTGTTGGTTCAAATAGTTTTCATGAGTGAGCCATCTGCAATCTCAAAGCCTGGCAGTGGGCCTCTATGGCATATATCAGAGGCAGGGTTTGGCGTGGAATCAGGAAATATGGCTTCCATGCTTAACTCTACTCCTCACTAATCATGTCACCTCGTGCAAGTAAGGTAATTTCTCTGCCTCCTTGTCTTTTAATCGAGCATAGTAGCTCTTACCTGAAGGTACAATTGTGAGTTTTAGATAAGATGATGTGACGATCGAAGCGGGATGCAAAGACAGCAGTGTAATTGATTCAAGTCCCTGCTGTGTTCTTGTTAATTCCATACGCAGGCCTCACAGTGATTACTTCCAGCCTTCTCTTTCTACCTTAGATTCTCAAATCGACACACTGCCCACCCAACAAATGGCTGTACCTTCTATTTCATTTGCAGTAGTGAATTATAGTTTATATACTTACTATAGCACCACTGAATATGATAACTGAAGATGATGCTTACCTCCTGCCATGATTTATCCAGAATCATATGTCCAGGAAGTGAACAAGTCATGGCTCAAGCCCACTCCTGTTTGATTTCCAGCCATCCTGTCTAAGCCTCATCTTCCAAGTCCTCAATTTCTTCTTCCTTTTTAGAGGAAAATATGTTCCTTCAGCTATAAAGTTTCCCTCCCTCCTCTGACTCAGACCCCATATTTATCAGTCACCATAGCCATCTCCCTTCTCTCTTTGCCTTCCTTCTCCCTCTTTCCCTTATGGATTTGCTACTGAGAAAGCACAGGCTCACTGCCTGACCCACTTAGAAGCCAATACTATGTCACTAGCTTTTGAGAGAAGAAAGGCTTTATTGCAAGTTGACTGGCAAGGAATTAGGAGGCAGCGCTTACATTTGTCTCCTCGAGCTGGGGACTGGGACAGGTGTTATAGGCAGAGGTAATGAGATGTGATCTAATTGGATCTTGCAATGAGGTGATGCCAGGTGTGATCTGACTGGGTCATGCTGTGGGAATGATGCCAGGGCTCAATCTGATGGGATCATGGATCCTTCCATGTGTCTGCTTCTTAATTCAGTTCCTTATTCTTTGGTCTGAGCACTTAGGTTCCACCTGTGTTGCACACTTGTTTCATCTAGGTATGCTCAGGTTACATAACTTGCAACCTGGGGTCCATAGCAACTGATAAACAACTCACAATTTTATTACACGAAGTTGAACCAGATTGGGCTGGTACTGCAGTTACACTTTCAAAGGTACGCAGGCCCACCCTTTCCTGGGAAGACATATGTTATGTGGTTAGGCTTTGTGCCCCCACCCAAATCTCATCTTGAATTATAATCCCCATAAGCCCCATGTGTCAATGGAGAGACCAGGTGGAGGTAATTGAATGATGGAGGCAGTTTCCCCCATGCTGTTCTCATGATAATGAGTGAGTTTTCATGAGATCTGATGGTTTTATAAGGGGCTCTCCCCACTTCACTTGGCACTTCTCCTTCCTGCCGCCTTGTGAAGAAAGTACCTTGCTTCCCCTTCACCTTCTGCCATGGTTGTAAGTTTCCTGAGGCCTCCCTAGCTGTGCTGAACTATGAGTCAATTAAACCTCTTTCCTTTATAAATTACCCAGTCTCAGGCAGTTCTTTATATCAGTGTGAAAATGGACTAATACAATATGCTACCCCATTGTGCTTCTTTATGGCTGAATCCACAGTTCTCCTCTTTAACTACCAGGTTTCTGGGAAGCAGGGTTGGCTTCCTCAGTCTTCCTTGCTCATTGCTTATTTTCTCCTCCTCTCCTGCAGTCTGGCTTTACTGCTTCCCTCCCCTGAGCAAGGACCCTTTGGCAGCTCATGAGCTGTCCACATAGGCAATCTCTTTAGATCACTGGGGACTGCTGATCATCCTAGCTTTGGCAAAACTTTCTCCTCATACAGCTTCCATGACACTTTTTCAATTTGGGGTATGTGAAACAGGTTCACTGTGCACTGGTTACCAACTTGTCTGAGTCTGATGAGACAGAGCATACTCATATGCAACAAGTTACCAGAAGTGGATTTATTCCTTAGAGGTAGGCAGAAGGGACAACAGAAGCCTAGGATTCATTACAGCCTGGTCCTCCAAGGCTCAGGAAATCTGCCCAGGGTAGATACAGTCTCCTCTGCATGTGCCTCATTTGTACTCTAGCCGAGGAACCCCAGAAAAGAGACCATCCTGGGTTTTATACTCTGGGGATACGTGAGTCACTGGGTTAAAACACTGAAAGGCATCTTGCTTCTAAGGGCAACTGAAACAGAGCCTGGGTTTTTCTGGCCAGCTCCCCCTTATCTCAAGATATTGTAGCCAGGTGCAGTGGCTCACAACTGTAATATAAGCACTTTAGGAGGCCAAGGCAGGAGGATCACTTAAGGCCAGGAGTTCAAGATCAACCTGGGCAGCATAGCCAGACTCCATCGCTACAAAAAATTTAAAACTTAGGCAGGCATGGTGGTGTGCACCTGTAGTCTGAGCTACTCGGGTGGTTAAGGCAGGAGGATTGGTTGAGCCTAGGAGTTCAAGGTTACAGTGAGCTATGATTGCACCACTGCACTCCAGCCTGCTGGGTGGAAGCTGAGTGAAGCCCATGTCTCAGAAAAGAAAGGGAAAAAGAAAAGAGAAGAGAAAAGAGAAGAAAAGAAACATGTTACATCCCCAGCACATTCTGAAGTTGTTCTTCAGAACTACAACTGAGAAAAGAGGGAGACAACTGGTTTGGTTCAAGGCCACCCAGAGGACTGTCCTGCAGGGTGTCTGTGGTTGTTTGTGTGTGTGTGTGTGTGTGTGTGTGTGTGTGTGTGTGTGTGTGTGTGTGTGTTTGCCAAGTAGAAGCCACAAAATAGCTCCCAGAGTGCACCTCTGAAGCTGCCCCTTGCCAGACATCCAGATATCTAGCTTTCTCTAAGTTTCCCGTGACATTCTTGTTATGGGTCTAAGATCCAAGTGTTGTAAAAGGAAGGGGATATTGTCTGGCTAACTGAAATCTCAATTATCTGATTGCTGTGGAGGATACTGGCTGTGGAGTGGACAGTGACTTTTGCCTTTAAAAGACCGCTACATTTAGAAGGCCTAGCCCCCCAACTGTGGTTAGTCTTTAGAAATAAGCTATACTACATTCAGTCCAAGGACATCCCAGCTGAACCAGCCAGGATCCACTGGGTTAAATTATTCTCACTTTGGGCCAGCATCACCGGGTATCAAGCTTTTTTGTGGCTCAGGGATGGGGTGGTGGTGGAGTGTTTCCTGGGGACAAGAAGAGGATAAAAACAATCAGGAAAGTGACTAGGCATGATGCTCTCAGGGTCAGAGCTGGGACTCGGTGGAGGATGGTGGGTTCTGTGTTTTTGTGTTCAGGCTGCCACAAAAGATTCTGAAGCTCTCGAAACCATTTTTGATTCCTCTCTCTTCCATGATTCCCAAAGCCAATTTTACAATGAACTTTCTCCCAGGAGTCTTGTCTCTGTCCCTCTTCCTATTCCCACTCTCTGGTTCACTACCTCTTTTATGGCCTTTTCCAACAAAAGAGGCCTTTTCTAAGTAACATCTCAAGCTCTTATTTCTCCCCAGTCTAATGCACCTGCACTTCCACAACCAGATTAATCTTTATGAAGAAGCTACCTGTTTAAAAACCTTGGCTCTCAAAGCCTACTGAATAAATCTCTAAACTCCTTAGTCAGACCCTTGAAAAATCTACCCTTGGCCATTCTTTCTGTCAGCATCTTCTTTATTTCCAGTTGCATGCCCTTTTCTTTGTTTGGACTCAGAATATATTTGCATATTTAGCAATAGTGGTCAAAGCCTGGCTTCCAATGTGGCTCCAGTAGCTGAGATGGCATCTTTCCCAAAAGTACTCTTTAGGGAAGAGCTATGCAGAGGGGCTGCCCATGTCAAGTGCCCACAACCTACGACAATGACCATTTCTCAGTATAGAGAGGCACGTACATCAGGCCTTGAAGAGTACGAAGACCACCCATGGACATATGGGCCAGACTCTGAGGACCCCCTGGCCACTCAGCCAGGGAACAGGGTTGGGGCAAACTCTGGGCTAAGATTTAGGAAAATCCCTGGATTTGGTAATAGAACAGCAGAATAGCAGAGCTGGCAAGCCTCTTAGAGTCTCCTGGTTCACCCCTATTCTACAGTTGGGCAAAAGGAAACTCAGAGAAGTGAAAGTCTGTTTTGTTTTATTATTTTTTGAAGATATGTTTGTATTTACATTTATGAAATTAAGCCTGTTTGGGAATGACCTCCTGCCCCGTATCTTAGTATTTTGTGTCAGTAAATTCCGTGGGACAGTAGGGCCCTTTTGCTGATCTCAGACGGCTGCTTTGTCTGTGGGAAGCTGAAATCAGCCGTCTTCACCATGAGGCTTATTGTCTGTCTGAAGTCAGCAGCTATTGCTGTCACCAGGTTCTTCAGCTGGTGATATACAGGCACCTTACACACAAGCACCTCCTTACATACAAGCACCTCCTAATAAGCCATCCAGTGAAAATCCTTCATTGGGAATAAGCTGTACAAATGAAGCTCTTCACTAATAGCCTGGTGTCTATTTTCCTGGGCATTTCTCCGTGAAGAATTTACAAAGGACACCAACCCCCCAAATGCCCCTTCAGCTCCACTTCTTCTGCAGTACAGACTTCTCTTTTCTGAGATGACAGGGGTCACTGTTGCAGGTTGTGGGCAGGTGATGGGGTAGCCCATCCACATAGCTCTTTCCTGAGGGATACTATCAAGGCATATGCCAACACACCGAGTGGAGAACAAGAGAATCCTTTTAGGAACAAATAGCTTATTTAAAGCTTGGCTTTGTTGTGGTCTTTGTTGTGGTTGTGAATGTTTATGTCCCTCACTCCCCCTGCCCTCCCCACTTAAACATTGAAAACTTAACCCCTAAGATGATAGTATTAGGAGGTGGGGACTCCGTGGGGTGATTAGGTCATGATAATAGAGTCTTCAAGAATAAGATCAGCGCCCTTATAAAAGAGGCCCAAGGGAGCTTGTCCGCCTCTTCTGCCTCTTCCACCATGTAAAGACACAGCAAGAAGGCACAGTCTATGAGGAACACACCCTCACCAGACACTGCATCTGTCAGTATCTTGATCTTGGACTTCCCAGCCCCCAGATCTGTGAGAAATAAATTTTTGTTGTTTTATATGCTACCCAGTTGATGATATTTTGTTATACAGCCTAAACAGACTAAGACAGCTTTAAAGTCAAACTATTGGCTTTGAGGAGAGGAGAGTTTAATGTAATTCTTAAAGCACCAAGAAACCCACCCCACAGACTTTCCCTATGAATCCTGTCCCTACAGAATAGTATTCCAGATACACTATTTTCCATTTCAACACGGCGCTCGAATTTGGTGACTGATTACAATTTTCTTTAAATAAATCATCTTTAAAGTGCTATCCAAATTATTCAACAGGATTTTTATTACATCTGGTGCCCACTCCGATATCTTTTTTGGTGGTGGATCATCAAGAAGAAAGCATAATACGACTTACAAATATTCGCTTTTCAGACAAAGTAGCCGATAAGTTGCATGCTTTGGAGTTTGGTTGGAGATCCTCTGGACAGACACAGTCAGAGGAACGGCGATTACAATGCAAGGTTTGTCTGCCCCCCCCCCACCAGCTCCTAACATATGTGGGGTTGGCCAGGAGGCCTGCAAAGGAGGCATCTGCCAGCTGGGTTTCTTTTCTGTGGAAATGAAAAGAGAAAGGAGTGTCCTTGTTAGGCAGACACCCTCATTATTGATGGTCAGTAAATAAGGGCAGGAGGAGGGTTAGCTGTCTGTACAATAACCAATTCAAGATCATGTCAGAATGTGATTGCTTTGGGGAAAGGCCAAGCAAACAGTAGGAATAATGGAATTATTGTTACTTTAAGGTTGCTTATAGCATCTGTTAGCTGTTGTTTAATTACAGGAAAGTATAAAGTAAAAAATATGACTCTGGATGTACTCACACACATATATACATAAATGAACACACTGAAGAATAAAAAATAAGAACCTCTAAGCAGATGGAATAGCATGTGCAAAGGTCCTGGAGTGGAGGTAGCATTGTGAGTGTGAGGGAGTGAAACTGAGGGTGGAGTGTAGCCCAAGATAAGGCTGGAGAGGCAGGTAGGCTAGACATGGCAGTACCTTGTAGGTCATGGTAAGGAGTTGGGGTGGGTTTTATCTTGGAGCAGTGGAAAGACTTCAAAAGTATGTTATGCAGTGTGTGTGTGTGTGTGTGTGTGTGTGTGTATGTGTGTGTGTGTTTGTGTGCACATGCATTTGTAAAATGATTAGATTTTCATTTTGAAAAGACACCTCTGGCTACAAAATGAGGAATGGACTTGGACAAGGTGGGGAGAACAATAGAGGACGTACGAGGAACCATTTACAGGCTACCGAAAAATCCAGCCAGAGGTCATGTTGGAGGCATCCATATCAGGGTGGTGGGGGAGGCGGTGAGTTATTTAATCTGTCCCTTGGTATTGGCTTTTTTGGTTGTTTTTATTTATTTTGTCTGGCTTTTATATGAACCAGCAGTTGGCCAAGAGCATTCTTGCTCACATGTTGTCTTGGTAGTCTTTGGTCAGTGTAACTGTAGGGTAAATTTCTAGCTGTGGAAGATGCATGTGTTTCACAAATGAATGAGATGTTGGCAGCTATCGCCCAAGTGCCATTCCAAAAATCTGCCTCCATGTATATGCTGGCTGTGATAAGAATGCCAGTGATTTCATGCCCTTGCTAGTGTTTGTATTTTTGCCAATCTGAAGGATGAAAAATGGTATCTCGTTTTATTTTCTGTTTCATTTTTTAAAATGATAAATGTGGTTAAATACTTTCGAATGCTAATTTAGTCGTTTGTATCTATTTTTCTGTTATGAGTCTGTTAACACACTTTGCCCACTTTTTAATTAGATTGATGAGTTTTTTCTTACTGATTTGTACACATTCTTCGTAAATTAAAAAATTATCTTGTTTTTGTTTTCTTATGTGCTTCAAATATTTTAATCAGTTTGTCATATATATTTTGGTTTCATTTGTAAATGTTTTTGTTGTATAAAAGCTAAACATTTTTCTGTAATGAAATTAATTTTTTCCTTTATGTCTCTGGGCTTAGTAGGTGTTCATCCTAGAAGATTATAATACATTATTTATTTAAAACGTCTTATTGTTTGTTTTTTGTTTAAAATTTTGATCCATGGAGTATAATTGAAATTAAGGAATGTGGTGCTTCCAGCTTTGTTCTTTTTTTTTTTTTATTATACTTTAAGTTTTAGGGTACGTGTGCACAATGTGCAGGTTAGTTACATATGTATACATGTGACATGCTGGTGCGCTGCACCCACTAACTCGTCATCTAGCATTAGGTATATCTCCCAATGCTATCCCTCCCGCCTTCCCCCACACCACAACAGTCCCCAGAGTGTGATGGTTTTTGTTCAGGATTGCTTTTGCTATTCAGGCTCTTTTTCGATTTCATATGAATTTTAGGTTTTTTTCTAATTCTGTGAAAAATGACATTGGTAATTTGATAGGCATTGTGTTGAATCTATATATCGCTTTGGGCGGTGTGGTCATTTTAACAATATTGATTCCTCCAATCCATGAGCATGGGATATTTTCCACTTGTTTGTCATTTATGATTTTGTTCACCAGTGTTTTGTAGTTCTTTGTGTAGAGATCTTTCACCTGCTAGGTTAAATGTATTCACATATTTTATGTGTTTTTAAATAGCTATTGTAAGTGGGATTGCCTTTTTGATTTGGTGCTCAGCTGGATGCAGTAGAAATGCTACTGATTTCTGCACAATAATTTTGTATCCTAAAACTTTACTAAATTTGTTGATCAAATCTTTTTGGTGTTTTTTTGGTGGAGTCTTTAGGGTTTTCTAGATATGAGTCACATCATCAGCAACAAGAATAATTTGACTTCCTCTTTTCCAATTTGGATGCCTTTTATTTTTTTCTCTTGCCTGATTGAGCACGTGAGGACTTCTAGAAGTTAAATAAGAGTGGTAAAAGTGGATATTGTTGTCTTGTTCCAGTTCTTAGAATGCTTTCAACTTTTCCCCATTAAGTATAATATTGGCTGTTTGTCGTAGATGGCCTTTATTATGTTGAAGCATGTTCCTTTATGTCTAGTTTGCTGAGAATTTTTATTATGAAAAGATGCTGAATTTTATCAGATTTTTTTTCTGCATCTATCGAGATGTTCACATGGTTTTTTGTCCTTAATTCTGTTAATGTGATGTTTCATGTTTATTGATTTGCATATGTTGAACCATCCTTGCGTCACTGGGATATATCTCACTTGATCATGGTATATTATCTTTTTGATGTGTTATTATATTCAATTTGCTACTATTTTGTTGAGGATTTTTGCATCTATATTAATCAAAAATATTGGTCTACAGTTTTCTTTTTTTGTTGTGTCCTGGTCTGTTTAGTATCAGAGTAATATTGGCCTTGTAGAGTGAGTTAGGGAGAATTCCTTTCACCTCAGGTTTTTGGAATAGTTTTGGGAGGATTGGTATTAATTCTTCTTGGTATGTTTGGTAGAATTTGACTGTGAATTCATCTGGTCCTAGGCTTTCACTGGGGGAAGATTTTTTTATTATTGATTCAGTTTTGCTACTCAATATTTGTCCGTTCAGGGGTTCTATTTCTTCCTGCCTCAATCTTGAGGGGTTGCATGTTTCCAGAAATTTATCCATTTCCTCTACGTTTTCTAGTTTGTGAGCATATAGTTGTTCATAATCTTTTGTATTTCTGTGATATTAGTAGTAATGTCTCCTTTTTCATTTCTGATTGTATTTATCAGGATCTTCTCTCTTCTCTTGGTTAGTCTAGCTAGTGGTTTATCAATTTTTTTTTTTTTTTTGAGACAGAGTCTTACTCTGTTGCCCAGGCTAGAGTGCAGTGGTGCGATCTCAGCTCACTGCAACCTCCGCCTCTTGGGTTCAAGTAATTCTCCTGCCTCAGCCTCCCAAGTAGCTGGGATTACAGGCACGCACCATCATGCCCAGCCAATTTTTTGTATTTTTAGTAGAGACAGGGTTTCACCATGCTGGCCAGGCTTGTCTCAAACTCCTGACCTCATGATCCGCCCACCTAGGCCTCCCAAAGTGCTGGGATTACAGGTGTGAGCCACTGTGCCCGGCCATGGTTTATCAATTTTATCTTTTTGAAGAACTAAATTTTGTTTCATTGATCCTTTGTATTTTTTTTTGTCTCTATTTCATTTAGTTCTGCTCTGATCTTTGTTATTTCTTTTCTCCTGCTAACTTTGGGTTTGGTTTGTTGTTTCTTTTCTATTATACTGCAAAGCTGTAGTAACCAAAACAGCATTATACTGGTATGAAAATAGACACATAGATCAATGGAACAGAATAGAGAACCCAGAAATAAGGCCACTTATCTACAATCAGCTAATCTTCAACAAAGTCAACAAAAATATACACTGGGGAAATGACACCCTATTCAATAAATGTTGCTGGGAAAATTGAATAGGCATCTGCAGAACAATGAAACTGGACCTATACCTTTTACAATACAAAAAATTCACTAAAATGGATTAAAGACCTAAACATAAGACCTGAAACTATAAAAACCCAAGAACAAAACCTAGGCAAAACTCTCCTGGACACTGGCCTAGGCAAGGAATTTATGACCAAGTCCTCAAAAGCAAACACGACAAAAACTAAAATAGACAAATGGAACTTAATTAAACTAAAAATCTTACGCACAACAAAATAAACAATCATTAGAATAAACATAACCTACAGAATGGAAGAAAATATTTGTAAACTCTGCATCCAACAAAGGGTTAATATCCAGAATCTACAAGGAACTCAAGCAATTCAATAAGAGAAAACAAAAGAAAAAAACAAAAAACTTAATTAAAAAGTGGGCAAAGGATATAAACAGACATTTTCCAAAAGAAGGCATACAGTTGACCAATGAACATGTGAAAAAATGCTCAACATCACTAATCACCAGAGAAATGCAAATTAAAACCGCAATGAGATACCATCTTATACTAGTCAGAATGGCTATTAAAAAGTCTAAAAACAACAGATGTTGGCAAAGATGCAGAGAAAGATGATGCAAAGATGTTGGCAAGGATGCTTGTACACTGTTGGTGGGAATGTAAATTAGCACAACTTTTACGGAAAACAGTATGGAGATTTCTCAGAGAACTAAAAATAGAACCACCATTTGATCCAGCAGTCCCACTATTGGGCATATACCCAAAGGGAAAGAAATAATATATCAAAAAGAGACCTGCACTTGTATGTTTATTGCAGTACTATTCACAGTAGCAAATATGTGGAATCAACCTAAATGTTTATCAGTGGAGGAATAAATAAAACGTGATATATATATATATATATATGCACACACATTAATATATAATGTATTATATATTATGTATGTATATATACACATACATGATATATACACACACACACATACACCATGGAATGCTACTCAGCCATAAAGAAGAATGAACTCATGTGTTTTGCAGCAACATGGATGGAACTGGAAGCCATTATCCTAAGTGAAATAACTCAGAAGCAGAAAGTCAAATACCACATACTCAGTTATAAGTGGGCGCTAAACAATGGCTACACATGGACACACAGAGTGGAATAATAGACATTGGAGACTACAAAAGGTGGGAGGGTGGGAGTGGGGTGAGGATTGAGAAATTACCTATTAGGTACAATGTTCACTATTTGGGTGATGAGTACACTAAAGGCCCAGACTTCGCCACTGTGCAATATATGCATGTCAGAAACCTGTACTTGTACTCCTTAATTATAGAAAAATTAAAAAAATTAAAGTACTAAAAGAAAAACAAAGCTTTGATCCATTAGTTATTTTGATATGAAGAGTAAAGTAGGGATCCAGATTATTTTTTTCCAGAGACTCAGTTATCTCTACATCATTTATTGGCTAATTTTTAATTTTCCTATTTTAAATACTAACTATATTATAAATTAAATTCCTGTATGTATTTAAGCCTGTTTATGGGCCCTGTATTCTGTTCTACTGGTCTATTTCTTCTTTTGTAAAAATAGGTTTTATTATTATTGTTATTGTACCTTGATAATATATTTTAGGAATAGTTCTTTCCATTCTCTACAAGTCCATTACTCTTTTTTTCCATAAACTACCTGAGTATTCTACATGATAAATTTTATTTTTACAGATAAATTATAATTCTTGTTCAGTTTCCAAACAAAATCTCTTGATACCATATTTTCCAGATGGATTTTCCAGATAACTTTTCCTAGATAAATTTTGATTCTTAAGTTTCAAAACAACCTTTTTGATATTGTCTTTGGAAACTCATGACTATAGAAATGATTCAAAGAAAAAATAAACATTTCCAATCAAAGATGAAGATATGTGTTTCCATTTACTCGTATTTTAAAAGGTTTCTTTTTATAGGTTCTAAACAAATTCCAGCCTAGTTTATTACTAAGTATTTTGTCTTTGTACTTGTTGTTGTACCACGGGAGATTTTTTCCATTATACTTTATTATTTCAATAGAAAAATAATTTTTATATATCACTTGTGTAACTAGTCACCTTATCAAGTTCTCTGATTTTTTAAATTGATATTTCTATTAAGATATAGTTCACATTCCATAAAATTCACTCTCTCAGAGTATACAATTTAGTACACTTTAATATTCACAAAATATGCAACCATCACCACTGTCTAATTCGAGAACATTTCATCACTCCACAGTGAAACCCTGTACCCGTTAGCAGGCACCCCCAACCCCTTCCCCAATCCTCAGCCCCTGGCAACCATTAATCTGCTTTCTGTCTCTATGGATTTGCCTATTCTGGACATTTCATATAATGGAAATCATTCAATATGTGGTCTTTTCACCTAGCTTCTTTTACTTAGTGTGTTTTCAAGGTTCATCCATGTTGTAGCATGTATCAATATTTCATTCCTTTTTATGTTGTATGGATATAACACTTTATCCATTTATCAATTGAAGGAAACTTTGGTTGTCCTCACTTTTTGGCTATCTTGAATTCTGCTACTACGATCATTTGTGTCTTTGTGTGGACATTGGTTTTTATTTATCTTGGGTAGATATCTAGGAGTAAAATTGCTGGGTCATGGTAACTTTGTGTTTAACTTTTTGAGGAACTACCAAAATGTTTTGCAAAATAGCTGTAACATTTTACATTTCCACCAGCAATGTATGAGGCTTCAGATTTCTCCACATTCTTGCTAATAGTTTTTATTATCTGTCTTTTTGATTATAGTGGAAGTGAAATGATATTTTATTGTGGTTTTGATTTGCATTTCCCTAATGACTAGTGATGTTGAACATCTTTTCATGTGCATATTGGCCACTTGTATATTTTCTTTGGAGAAAAATCTATTCAGAGCCTTTGCTCAGTTTTTAAAAATTTTTTTATGTTTTTTATTTTTTTTATTTTTTTTTTGGTTTTTTGGTTTTCGGGTTTTTTGAGACAGAGTCTTGCTCTGTTGCCTAGGCTGGAGTGCAGTGGCACCATCTCTGCTCACTGCAACCTCCACCTCCTGGGCTCAAGAAATCCTCCCATCTCAGCCTCCCGAGTAACTGGGACTATAGGCATGTGCCACCACACCCAACTAATGTTTGTATTTTTTGTAAAGATGGGGATTTGCCATGTTGCCCAGGCTGGCCTCAAATTCCTGGGCTCAAGCGATCTTCCTGCCTTGGGCTCCCAAAGTGTTGGGATTACAGGCATGAGCTGCCACACCTGGCTGTTTGCCCAGTTTTTAGTTGGGTTATTTGTCATTTTATTATTGAGTTTAAGGGTAATTTACATATTCTAAATACAAGTACTTTATCAAATATATAATTTACAAGTATTTTCTCCCATTCTGTGGCCTGGCTTTTTACTTTCTTGATAGTGTTTTTTGCAGCACAAAAGTTTTAAATTTTGATAAAGTTAAATTTATCTATTTTTTTTAGTTGCTTGTGTTTTTAATGCCATATTTAAGAAACTATTACCCAGTCCAAGGTCATAAAGATTTACACCTATGTTTTCTCCTAAGAGTTTCACAGTTTTAGCTCCCACATTTAGGTGTTTTTTTTTGTATTTTGTTTGTTTGTTTGTTTGTTTTTGAGATGGGATTTTGCTCTTGTCCAGGCTGGAGTGCAATGACACGATCTTGGCTCACTGCAAACTCTGCCTCCCAGGTTCAAGTGATTCTCCTGCCTCAGCCTCCCATATAGTTGGGATTACAGGCATGCACCACCATACCCAGCCAATTTTGTATTTTTAGTAGAGACGGGGTTTCACCATGTTGGCCAGCCTGGTCTCAAACTCCTGACCTCAGGTGATCCACCTGCCTCAACCTCCCAAAGTGCTGGGATTACAGGCATGAGCCACTGCGCCTGGCCTTACTTAGGTCTTTGATCCAGGTTGAGTTAATTTTTCAGTATTGTGTAAGATAGGGATCCAACTTCATTGTTTTGCATGTAGATACTCAGTGGTCCCAGCAGCATTTGTAGAAAAAGTTATTCATTTCCCATTGAATTGTTTTGGCACTTTTGTAGAAGATCAGTTGACCTCAACCAAATGTGAGGGCTTGTTTCTAGACTCCTGATTCTGGTTTATTGATCTATGTGTCTCTCCTTGACCCAGTACCACACAGTCTTGCTTACTATTGTTTTGTAAGTTTTGAAATCTGGACGTATGAGTCTCCCAACTTCAGTTTCCTTTTAAAAATTGTTTTGGCTGTTTTAGATTCCTTGCATTTTCTTTGAGTTCTAAGATCAGCTTGTCAACTTTTGCAAAAAGCCATCTGAGATTTTGATGGAGATTGCATTGAATCTGTAGATCAGTTTGAGAAGTATTGCCATCTTTAAAATATTAAAGTCTTCAATCCATGAACATGGGATGTCTTTTCATTTATTTAGGTCTTCTTTAATGTTTTCAATGATGTTTTGTGCTTTTCAGTGTACAAGTGTTGTGCTTCTTTTGTCAAATGTATTGTGAAGTAACTTATTTCTCTTGTTGTTTTGGATACTTTTTTCAGTTGATTCTCTTATATTTTTAAATTATACAGTGATGTCATTGGCATATGGTACAAATGTAGTCTTGATCTGTCCAGTGTTTACAGTCCCTTCTTCTTTGGTCTAATTGTGTTAGGTAGTTTTTCTAGAAAAATATTAAACAAAAAATGGCTATATAAGCATCCTTGTGTTATTTCTATTTTTAAGGGTATGTTTATATGGAGATCACATACACACTCCACACACTTTCTCACATTAGGTGAGTTTAGGGGACATAACGTTGTTTCTATCTGCAATGTATTTCTTTAGGGAACCATCTACTGCTCATTCCAGGTGGTTTGAGTGGGAATGATTCTCAGCCTCCTAAAGTGGTATTTGACTCAGGCTTTGCCAGTCAGAAGACTTAATTATCTTTAGCAGAATTGGTTCAGCCATGTACATGTGTTTCAAGCTAAGCCAATTAGAATCCACTTTGGAACTTTACTGCTGAAACTGTGAAGAATGACATTCTTTTTTTTTTTTTGGTACTCATAAGCTTTGAGCTTGAATTAAAGCAGAGCTTCTTACAGCCATCTTTCTTAGCTACAAGGACAAAGCCATCTGCAGCTGGGCCAACATTAAAGGAGAAACAGAGACCAGTTGTAGCAAACTAGTCACAACTGAACTATTGAAAATCTGATTTCCAGTCAAGTCTTTTTTTTTTTTTAGGCAGAGTTGCTCTGTCGCCCAGGCTGGAGTGCAGTGGCGAGATCTTGGCTCACTGCAACCTCTGCCTCCTGGCTTCAAGCGATTCTCATGCCCCAGCCTCCTGAGTAGCTGAGGTGTGTGCCACCATGCCCGGCTAATTTTTGTATTTTTAGCAGAGACGGGGTTTCACCATGTTGGCCAGGCTGGTCTCGAACTCCTGGCCTCAAGTGATCCACCCACCTCACCCCGCAAAGTGTTGGGATTACAGACATGAGCCACTGCGCCTGGTCTCCAGTCAGGTCTAAAGCAAAGATATACCTGGGCTTTTCAAATGTGTGAGTTGATACATACTTTTTATTTTTTTCCTTAAAATAGTTTGAGTTTTTTTTTTCTTACAATGAAAAATACTGAGCAATCTAGAAAATTGATGCATTTCTTTTCTATTAAGGGTTATTTTTGTTTGTTTAAAAAACAAGAATACATATGGGAGTTTGTAAAGTGCCTACTGGAATTTTCTTATGCTTTTTCTCCTTTGATCTGTTAATATAATGTGTTACATTAATGGATTACCTAATATTGAACTACCGATAGATCTCATTTGGTCATTTTAAATTATTCTTTTAATGAATTGCCAGCATTCATTTGCTGACTAAAAAAAAATTAGAGACTGGGTGCAGTGGTTCATGCCTATAATTCCAGCACTTTGGGAGGCTGAGGCAGCAGGATCGCTTAAGGCCAGGAGTTCGAGACCAGCCTAGGTGACATAGCAAAACTCTGTCTCTATAAAAAATAAAACAATTAGCTGGGTGTAGTGGTGCATGCAGGTAGTCCTGGCTAGTTGGGAGGCTGAAGTGGGAGGATCACTTGAGCCCAGAAGTTTTAGGCTTCAGTGAGCTATGATTGTGCCACTGCACTCTAGCCTGGGTGACAGAGCAAGACCCTATCTCTGAAAAAGAAGAATAATAAAATTAATAAAGATTTTGGGTCAATATTTATAAGTATACTTCGTCAATGGGGAGAGATCCAAAAACTGATTGACTATGGGCCACATTCAGTCGGCTGACAAATTTTTTGTCCTATGGGTATTTCAAAATAGGGGCATTAAACAGAAACACCTGGATTTACAGCTTTTCTGGATTAACCATGTTGCTTCACTGAAAAGGCTGTCTGGGATGGAAAGGTGGTAGTTTCCTTTGTACTGCCGATGCTCTCCAATCTCCAGTATCGCCATTCACAAATGTGCAGTCCTGTGCTTTTAGTTGGTCAGTGTCACCCGTCTTAGTCACCTTCCTAGACTGTGAGGCCATTTAAATTTGTGACTTCTCTCAGTTTTCTTTTTTCTTCTGTTGTTTTCAGGTATTTGTGGCTGTGGAACAGTGAAAGTGATGTCAGGATGAAGTGTTCTTTGAAAGATTGGAAGAGTCACTTGTGAAAATATTGATGTGGTGCTTATTAGTAGTAGTATCTCTTTCACTTTTTAAAAAATAATTTTCCCTCTCCCAGCTTGTCTGAGTCTGTTGGCCCTCCCTGTATGGCTATGGTCTGAGAATAGCTTACAGGCTCCTCTGCCTTCCTGGACCCAAGGATACAGTGTGGGAAGGAGGAAATGTCACAGAGTTTTTGCACAGCCTTGACTGAGGACCTGGACTTGACTCTGATCTGAAAGATTGTTTATCGGGCCATTCCAGGGCTCCCTCCACAAGCAGGAGGGGGTGTATCTTTTTCCTGGGAGATTGCAGTGGGGGACCCCTCTTTAACCTTCGTGTCACTCTTCTAACAGCTTTGAGCCCTGGAGTCTGTTCTTACAGCCCTCAGGCCCCTTCCCCATTCCACTGGGTGCCCAACTACTGGTGTGGTAAGTCAGGGCCCTACTGACATTGGTTATTATTGTACATTTTTCCCAGGCCACACGATCACCCACTTAGATCAATGTCACTCCAAACTGGAGGCTATCAGTGAGTGTTCTCAGGCCTCTCCTCACCCCACCAACTTCCTCAGCACCTCCATCCATACAGTGTGGAGAGCAGAGGAGTGGGTTGGGATTTATGCTGCATTGCTCCAGCATCTTTCATCTCTTCCCCTTGTCATCATTTTTGAAAGTTTGTGGTTTCTGGGGTTAAGGAAGGTTGAGTTTGTGGAAGTCCGTGTAGTGGCAGCAAATTATCATAAATGTTTTTCACAGTGGAGATGCTCTCTGAATAGATCTAAAATCAGAGAAGGAAAGTTGACTTGTAGAGTGATCTAGAACAGTAAACTTTAGTTATCCTATAATCACCAGAAACAATTTGCTTAGATTAAAATTCAGCCTTCTGCACAAAGTGTTTTGTAAAAACAACAACAACAAAAAGATTCAATTGCATTGATTTTATGCTTGCTTGAGAAAGGACTCATGAGTCTATGAGGGTGGAACACAGATGAAGCAGTCTTAGATATTTCTTAACCCAGACCTTATGCCTCTGTGGCCATTGTAGCCAGAAAGTGCACTTTGAGGACCACTTTTTCAGGGAGCAGTGACTGAATAAACACGAGCTGTGGTGGCAGGGAATTGTAGACCTCTATTACTTTTGTCTGCTCAGCTCTTCTCCTTGTTACATAGTAACAGAGCTTGACCTCCTGGCCAAAAGGATGGGCACACAACCCAAGCTAGGGGAATCAAAGTCCTCTTCTAGGATTTTTTCAAATTGGAGCTGGGAGAGAGCTGCCTGCTTTTCTTAATGTCAGAGTGCTCTGAAGGTGTAAGCCATGGTCCACAGTGAAAGTGAATCTGAAGCGAATGAAACCAGCATAAGGAACCACAAGAAGAAGAAAGAGCTCAGGGTTCCAGTAATTTCTGAAGCTGGCTCCATCCCTGCTTTTCCCATGACTTGGTTATTGAGTTGATTAATTCTGCTCTTGACTACGCTCATTTATATTGGGCTTGGAGAGTGTGCAGTGCCTCCTGACTAACGGAAGGCAGAACCACTCCTCAGGGATGCAGATGTATGAGACTGGATAACTGTACAACCACATTCATCACCTTGGCCCTGCACTCTGATTCCTAAAGAATCTGAGGCATTGCTTGTCATGGGAGACTGGAGTGCAGATTCTTTGAATTAGCATTTCAGTGTGACTGTTGTTGCTTTAGTAAGCCTGGTCTCTATTCTTAACTTTCGATATTTGATTTTACAAAAATGGTTATTAAAGTAGATGATTGAGAGATTAAGGTATCAGAAGAAAGATGAATCTATTCAGTTTTCCTGTAGAGAAGGCTAATCCTCAAGATGTGTAATGTGGCTGTGGTGTCAGGCTGCTGTGAGTAGGAAGGGCCCTGAGGAACTAATCCTCATCTCCTCAAAGCCATTGTAAACCCTTCATGGGGCCGAGCCATTCCTGGTCCTCAGTGTTGGCCAAGGGATCCTTCAAGTTCGCTCAGGCTTGATCCCACTGCCTTTCCCTCCTAGGCATGTGCATCTCTACAAGGGGTTGGATGTAAGGTATGAGTGAAAGAAGGGACATGTGGATGGCCCTACCCTAGACCAGTAAAACAGATTCTCTAGGAGGTAGGATGAAGTCCTCATAGGGTTTCCCAGCTCCTCAGATGATTCCAGTGGGCAACCAGGGTTGAGAGCCATTGCATTATGCTATGCTACCTGCCTCAATGCTATTTCTAGTTTCTCAGAGTCATCTTCACGTCCCCTTCTTTACTCTTACCTTACATTCAACCCCTAGCATATCCTGTTGGACTTACCTTCAAAAATGTGTCCAGAACCCCACCACTGCTTATGGTCTCCACTGCTACTATCCTGCATGCATCTCCTAGCTGGACTATTCAGTTGCCTTGTTTCTGATCTTCCTGCAACTATCCTCACCCTGCCCCACAGTCCTCTATCAATACAACAGCCTGATGATTTTGCAGTATGGGAGCCATCTCATCAGAGTAAAACTCAAAGTCCTGTCCAGGGTCTACAGTATCCTCTCTGATATGGCTTCCTTTCCTCTCTGGCTTCAGGTCCTACCAATTCTCCTCCCTACTTTCTCTGCAGCCAGACTGGATGCTTAGCTGTTATGGAGCATGTAAACAGTCTTCTGCCCCAGGGCCTTTGCACTTGCTATTCCCTCTGCCTCACAGCTCACTTGTTCAGTTTCTTTGTGTCTGCTCACATATCCCCTTTTCTAAGAGGCTGTCCCAGACTACCCATCTACAGTAGCAGCCTCTCACTGTGCTATATTGGTCTCGCTCCCTGGAGAAGCCTTTACTCTCCATCCCTTCACCTTTCTTCTTGGCACCTAATACCACCTAATGTATTTATTTATTTTGTCTGTCTTTCTTCACTAGAATGTCAGTTCCATGAGAGCAAGGACTTGGTTTTGTTCACTGTTCTCTCCCTAGAACCCAAAATAGTATCTCTTCAATGATCATTTGTAGAATAAATGAATATTATGCAATGTTGTTTTATTTCTTTTTTTCTTTTTCTTTTTTTTTTTTTTTTTTTTGAGATGTAATCTGGCTGTGTCACCCAGGCTGGAGTGCAGTGGCGCGATCTCGGCTTACTGCAACCTGCGCCTCCCGGGTTCAAGCAGTTCTCCCTTCTCAGCCTCCCAAGTAGTTGGGACTACAGGCACACACCACCATGCCCGGCTAATTTTAGTATTTTTGGTAGAAACAGGGTTTCACCAAGTTGGCCAGGCTGGTCTCAAAGTCCTGACCTCAAGCAATCCGCCTGCCTCAGCCTCCCAAAGTGCTGGGATTACAGGTGTGAGCCACTGTGCCCGGCTGCAATGTTGTTTTCTAATATAAGAAATTAAAAGAGAAAATATGGCTAAGAAAAAGAAAATAAATCTATGGGCAAAGTTAATGCACATATGAGATATAATTCCGTATATCTCATATGTTTCACTAAAAGGTTTGAATGCAAATTTGGCTTTTGGCTTTTAGCAACAAAGGTAAAAAGGAAGACAGCACTAATTATAGAATCTAGTGTCCATAAAAAAAAATAAGCCTGCTACACAAGTGAAACGGAGCAATTCCTAATACTAAGATGTAAGACACATCATCAATTTAATCCTCATTAGAGGATACAGTGTGAGAAAGTGAATAATATCCTTGAAATAAATACAGTGAATTTCTCAAAGTTCTTTGATCCTTCGAGACTGTGAAGTCAAGATTGTTGTTTGAGGGAAGTGCTCTATTTGCTTTTAACCGTATTTAAATATTTACATTAAACCTATATCTAGCTGCCAGATAAAACTATTTTTTTCTAAATTCCTCCGATATCCAGGTTTTTGTCCAATTCATCAACAAACCCTTCTGAGCATCAGAGAGGATGCCCTATACTATTGCCAAAGGAATTTGGATCCTCTCCAGGGTGACCAAACATCCTGGTTTTCCTGGGACAGGGGTTACTGGGATGTGAACCTTTCCATGATAAAACCAGGAAAGTTCAGGCACACTGGCATAAGTTGGTCACTGTACTATTTGTTTCTGATTTGTTGCCTTGCTTCTCTTGTGAAACGTTCATGGAGTTAAAGAATGGAATACTTTGAGTCTTTGCAAATGGAGGCATGTAGTGGTAGGTATGCTGAGCTCTTATGTTCTTTTTCTGACCCACACATAGATAAATAGAGCAGAATTTGAAATGCAAGATAACATTCTGGAACCCAAGATCAAGCGTTCAAAAATAAGTGGAAGCCTGGGCACAGTGGCTAATGCCTGTAAAGCCAACACTTTAGGAATACAAGGCAGGAGGATTACTGGAGCTCAGGAGTTCGAGACCAGCCTGGGCAACATAGTGAGACCCCCATCTCTACAAAAAATAAAAAGAATTACCTGGGCATGGTGGTGTGTGCCTGTGGTCCCAGCTACTCAGGAGGCTGAGGTGAGAGGATTGCTTGAGCTTGGGAGGTGAAGGCTGCAGTGAGCCATGATTACACCACTGCATTCCAACCTGGGCAACAGAGTGAGACCCTGCCTCAAACAAACAAATAACCACAACTGAAAAACCTAAAATGTAAATGGGTAAGCAGAAGAATATCAGGCAGTTTGAAATGCAAAGGCCTACAGGTGGGCTCAAGTTAAGGGAGATGTACAGCACGTGGTGACAGGACAGCAGGAGACAAACAAGGCTACAGGAGGCCAAGGAAGGAGAGAGGCCCCTGTTCTCTTGGTGGTGGGCTGGAAAGCTACACAGGAAGGAAGCCTCCATCTGAGGGCCTCCATGCTGGGTGTAGAGGCTGCTTTACTTTCAGCTATGAACAGGGCAGCTCAGCAGAGGCCTGTCTTATACCATCTTAAATCCATTCAGAAATGGCAACAGCGGCCACATTAGAGATTTAAACAGGATGGGCTTAGGTTGTCATAGTTAGGTTCCCTGACCACTGGACCTGTTTCATCATTTAAAGTCTCAGGCTCTTTCCTGCGACTCACAGTGAAGCCTTGGGTTTCAGGAAATTCTTAAAGAGGTGTTCCTATGTCTTTGACTCAGTTATATACTTTCTAAAATATAGGGTAGATAAAGAAGGGAAAAAAATGACTGTCTTTTAATTTCCACAAGTCCAGAGATGATGTCGATATTTAATAAATGGGTCTTCCAGTTTTTCATATGCATAGATATTTTTAAAACCTGAGGTGATATTATTTTATGTTATAACCTGTTCATGTGTATGGTTTCTAAGCATAAAATATGCACATAGATAGACACATGAAATTAGAAGCACATTGTATACCTAATTAAGGATCCTGCTTTCTATATTTGTAATGTGCCAATTTTGCATGTCATTATTATGTCTCTTGGAAATATACCTTTTGTGGTGCACAATATTCCTTCATGTGGTATAAAATGATCTGCTTAAGCGTCTCTCTATTGGGCACTTTAACTCTTTTCAATTTTTTTATATTAAATGTAACACTGCAGCATTGTTTTTTCTTTTTTTTTTGAGATGGAATTTCACTCTCACTCAGGCGGGAGTGCAGTGGCTCGATCTCGGTTCACTGCAACCTCTGCCTCCCAGGTTCAAGCAATTCTGTCCCAGCCTCCCAAGTAGCTGGGACTACAGGTGCACACCACCAGGCCCAGCTAATTTTTGTATTTTTAGTAGAGACAGGGTTTCACCATATTGGTCAGGCTGGTTTCGAACTCCTGACCTCTGGTGATCCACCTGTCTCAGCCTTCCAAATTGCTGGAATTATAAGCATGAGCCACCGCGCCCAGCCTAGCATGTATTTTTGAGTAAATCTTTGTGCACCTCCCCATTGACTCCTCAGCTAGTTCCTAGAAGCGAGTAAAGGAAAATGATGCACATATTAAAGACTGTGTTACATATTGACAGACTGTTTTCCAACTCAACCAGTTTATACTCTTGCCCTTAATGAATGAGAAATTCTTTTTATCTTTATTGATTCAACCTTCCAATTCTTGCTAGAGTTACATATTATCTTAAGAAAATATTTGCCAATTTGATGGGTTAAAAAAGATATTTTAATTTGCATTTATTTGATGATTAGTAGTGGGTTAATTTTAAAACGTACTTATTCTTTTATGAATAACCTGTTTACTTTTACCCACTATTTTTTCTAAATAGGCTATTGATTTTTCTTCATGAGCTCATTATGAATTATGATATTGATTCTTTGTCATTTTATTGCAGGTTTGTTTTTAAATTCAGAATATTTTTGTTCTAAATTTGAACTGTTTAATACTAATTTTCCTTTCTGTGCTTCACTTCTCAGTGCACACTTATACTGTTTTAAAGTCGAATTTATCTTTTTATGTGATTTTTTCATTGCATTTATTCATAAAATGTTCCTTTTTGTTTTTATATTATTTACTTATAAGTAAATTTTGGTTATTTTGTGATTTAATTTTTTAATATTTGAATTACATTTTTTATAATTTTGAAGTAATTTAAATATAGAAAAAGATGAAGCCTAATTTAGCAAATACCCATTTAATTCTGCTACTGAAATGTAATAGATGCTATCATCTTGTTGCATTTTCTTCAGATTTTTTAAATGTAAGAAATAAAATATTCTTGAAATCCCCTTTGTAGTTTTTGTTTGTTTGTTTGCTTGTTTTTTTGAGACAGAGTCTCACCCAGACTGGGGTGCAGTGGCGCACTCTTGGCTCACTGCAACCTCTGCCTCCCGGGTTCAGGCGATTCTCCTGCCTCAGCCTCCCAAGTAGCTGGGACTACAGGAGCATGCCACCATGCCCGGCTGAGTTTTGTATTTTTAGTAGAGACAGGGTTTCACCATATTGGCCAGGCTGGTCTCGAACTCCTGACCTCAGTTGATCCGCCCACCTCAGCCTTCCAGAGTGCTGGGATTACAGGTGTGAGCCACCGCACCCGGCTGTGTGTTTTTTTTAATCCTAATTCTTCCTTTCTCTCCTTAGAACAAACCCCATCATGAAATTTGTGGATGCCCTTCAGGTCTGTGCTTTTTATGCTTGTATTACATTTTACATCCATGAAAACAATAGATAGTATTATTTTTGCGTATTTTTTAATAAAAAAAGTATTGCATATATTCTGCAACTTCTCTTTTTTTTAAACTGAAGATTATATTTTTGAAATTTTTCCATTTGGATACTTAGATTTAGTTTATCTAATTGCTGTGTAATAGTCCAATGAGTGAATATATTCCATCTTTTTACCATTCCTCTATTGTAACATCTGGTATTGCCTGATCTTTATTTTATTTTATTTTATTTTATTTTATTTTTTATTTTATTTTATTTTATTTTTTATTTTATTTTATTTTATTTTATTTTTTATTTTATCTTGTATTTTATTTTATTTTATTTTATTTTATTTTATTTTATTTTATGTTATTTTATGTTATGTTATGTTATGTTATGTTATGTTATGTTATTTTATTTATGACAGAGTCTTGCTCTGTTGCCCAGGCTGGTGTGTAGTGGCACAATCTCGACTCACTGCAACATCTGCCTCCTAGGTTCAAATGATTCTCCTGCTTCAGTCTCCTGAGTAGCTGGGATTACAGTCACATGCCACGATGCCCAGCTAATTTTTGTGTTTTTAGTAGAGACAGGGTTTTGCCATGTTGGCCAGGCTGGTCTTGAACTCCTGGCCTCAAGTGATCCCCCTGCCATGGCCTCCCAAAGTTCTGGGGTTACAGGCGTGAGACACTGCTCTTGGCCATTGCCTGATCTTTAGTCTCAGAGACTTTGATTCTGTTCTCTTCCAGCTCACCATACAGAGAGTAGTGTAATCTCTCTGAAATATTGTTGTAGGTCGCATTTCCTGGGTGTAGTCTCTGAGCTGGAGACTAGGAGGAAGGAAATTTATTGGAGAGTACTCCTGAAGCTTACACTGGTGGAAGAGATGGAAAGGAAGCAGGATGGGCAGAGGGAAAAATTGGGCCATGATGCAGCCTCAGGAGGTCCCAGCCAACTGCACAGCAGCATCTGAAGCTGGAATATCCCTCTGAAGTTGCCTGGAGATGGGGTGAACATCTAATAGTCACTGGAGGTGAACTGCCCTAGAAGCGGGTGTGGACTTTGGGCAAAGTGGTTCTCTTCAGCTCTTTCCAGAGAAAGCTGACCAGTGGCTGCATGTCCAGCAGCAGTGGAGGGGGGTGCTCAGTTCTTCAGTCAACCTGAGCAGCACATCTCAGCATCCACTGCGGTTGTCTTGTTACTTCACTGCCTAGAGAATCAGGTGCTTCCTGCAATTGTTTGGAGGGCTGAGATTTCCAAGGGAAACTGCGCCATGGATGGCCCTCTCCTCTAGCCCTACTGATCCAGGCCTGGGAGTGTTTTGTAGATCTGCTGCAGATTTTGTCCACTCACAGTTTAGGAGTGCTTTTTCCTTACATGCTCAACCTTATTTGGTCTTATCTGCGCTCTATACTGAAAAAAAAAAAAGGTCTTGAGTAACTGGCATATGGATTAATTGATTAATGAATTCATCTGTACATTCCCAAGTATTTACCTTGTACCTACTGTGCCCAGGCATGGTTCTAAGGGTTAGTCACAGTAGTCAGAACGTACATTGTAAAGGGAAAGGCAGGCAGAAGCTAACAGATTAATATATAACATAATGATAGATAGGGATATGTTAAATGAAAACAAAATAAAATCAGTTTACGGGGATAGAGAATGGGGGAGGGAGAGGACATTATTTTAAATAGTGACCTTGATAGGCATTTCTGGCAAGGTGACATTTGCGCAGAGACTGGAAGGAAATGAAGGAGTGAAAAGTATGAGTATCTGAGAAGAGTGTTCTAGGCAGAAGGCCCAGAATGTGCAAAGGTCCCAAGGCAGGAGAGAATCTGGAATGTTCAAGGAACATTAGAAAGGCTAAGGTGGCTGGAGTGGAGCGAGGGGGGGAGGTGTAGGAGGAGATTGTTCATAAAGGCAGAGATATGGTTAGGCTTTGTGCCCCCACCCAAATCTCCTGTTGTATTGTAATCCCCATAATCCCCACGTGTCAAGGGAGAGACCAGGTGGCAGTAATTGAATCATAGCAGCGGTTTCCCCCATGCTGTTCTCACTATAGTGAGTTCTCACAAGAGCTGATGGTTTTTATAAGGAGCTCTTCCCTGCTTTGCTCAGCACTTCTCCTTCCTGCCACCTGGTGAAGGAGGTGCCTTGCTTCTCCTTTGCCTTCCGTCATGATAGTAAGTTTCCTGAGGCCTCCCCAACCATGCTGAACTGTGAGTCAAGTAAACATCTTTTCTTTGTCGATTACCCAGTCTCGGGCAGTTCTTCATAGCCGCGTGAGAACAGACTAATACCGGCAGCCAGAGTGAGATCAGGTAGGGCCCTGTAGACCATTGTCAGGATTTTTGTCTTTTACTTGCGTTGAATAGGAGCCGTGGTTGAGTGTGAGGATACAAGTGATGTGATCTGACTTAGGTTTTAAAAGGAGCATCCTAGCAGCCATGTGAAGAATAAAAGCAGGAGGACAAGAATGAGGGCGGGGATCGCAGTAGTCTGAAAAGACGTGGCTGGACTGCATCTAGGAGGACGCATGAGCTATATAAGAAAGCCCTAGGACTGGACACGTTCCACTAGGGGGTGTACATAGATGGTGGAGAGTTCCCAGGACTGAGTTCTTTGGCTCCCCAGCATGTAGAGGTCAGGAAGAGGGTGAGGATACGGGAAGAGAGGCCAGCCAGGTGGGAGGAAAACCCGAGATTGGATTGTCGGTGGAAACCACGTGAAGACGGCATTCCGAAAGGCAGGGAAGGACCAGGGGGGGTCAGACACTGCAAAGAGCTCACCCTTCCCAATTTACTACTGCTGGTGTGGCATTTCCCAGATTACAAGTTTTCAGCCATTTCAATTAGCATTTGGGAGGTAGGGGAATTAAACTCAAGCTCAAATCTAGATCCTGATTGCCATTGTTGAAAGTGATCAAAGGGAATTGAACGATGTATTTTGAAGAAAGAGGTCACTGTGTGGGGCTTTTTCTCTTTTTTTCAAACCTGTCAAGGACTCTTTTCTGGATGTCAGTTTCAAGGCGGTTCTCTCACACGGTGATGCCTGCCCTTCCTTCTAGCACCCTGCAACGGGACCTTTACATACTCAGCCTTTTGTTCATCCTGGCTGCGCTTGTCCACGGCATAGCGGTTTTCCTCCACTGTAAACTACTTCTGCTGAATAACTTTGTTCTACTCATCTTTACATCCCTCATGGCTTGAAGCCCAGTTTTCCACACTCAGTGCACTCTCATTATATATGGAATGTAAAATTTACTTTTCCTAAATATAATTTTTTTCCTTTATTAAGGCATCAATCCAGTCTTTGGCAGAGGATACATTGGGCTGTATTTATTGGCAATATTATTATCTACTTAAGCAAAGAGAAAAGAAATCAGAGCCATTTAATGAGGTTCAAAGACAAGGAAGTCCCTGGAGTTCCCTTTGGTCTCTGCCTTTTCAAATTGCAGTTGAAACTATTATTCCGGGTAAAGAGAAACAGAACCCAGGATTCCCTTTGAAGAAGGGAAACCTTGTGCTTCTTGCCTCTTGAGGACATCTACCAGCCTCTCTCATGCAGAAGGAAGGAGCACCCCTGTGCCCAATCAGATGTTAAGTTCGTCCCCTGCATATTTGGCAGAGTTTGCTTCTTTTTGTTTGGGAGACATAGCTAGCCTAACTAATCATCAGTCTGGGGCCAAGAGTCAGGCTTCCCCATATCACACACCCCTACAAGCCTGCTTCCTTGCAAAGAAGTGTGCCCTGAGGTTCAGTTTATTCTGGCTGGCTCACACTCCACAGTGCCCCAGCATGTTAAGAAAGAGAGAGAATAGAGCATCAGGACATGGGAAAATTATGACATCAGACTCTGGGAAAGTGACCGAAAGCCTCCACAGCCACATAAGTTAGTTCATATTTTTGTAAAGCTTACCACTGCTTTCATACCCTCACATTAGTTCACTTGAGCTGCCAAGATCCCAAGTAGATTAGGCAATATCCATTTCCATTTATGACAAAAACTGTCTGCATTCACTTTTGCCTGCTAGGAGATTGGTATATTTCATACAAAGTGATGGCTTTTTTTTTTAACTTTAATTTTAGGTTCGAGGGTACATCTGCAGGTTTGTTATATAGGTAAACTTGTGTGATGGAAGTTTGTCATACAGATTATTTCATCACCCAGGTATTAAGCCCAATACCCAATAGTTGTCTTTTCTGTTCCTCTCTCTCCTCCCACCTTCCATCCTCAAGTAGTCCCCAGTGTTTGTTATTCCTTTCTTTATGCTCATGAGTTCTTATCATTTAGCTCCCACTTGTAAGTGAGAACAAATGGTATTTGGGTTTCTTTTCCTGCATCGGTTTGCTAAGGATAATAGCCTTCGGCTCCATCCATCTTCCCAAATGACATGATCTTATTCTTTTTTATGGCTGTGTAGTATTCCATGGTGTATATGTATGGCATTTTCTTTATCCTGTCTGTCATTGATGGGCATTTAGTTTGATTCCATGTCTTTGCTAATGTGAATAGTACTGCAATGAACATTCACATGTATGTGTCTTTATGGTAGAATTATTTCTATTCCTCTGGGAATATACCCAGCAATGGTATATATACCATTCAGTCTGTCAGTTGAGGCTAAAATCATCTCACGACCCTACTAGGGCTTACACATCTGCTTCCAAGCTCATCTGCGTGATTGGTATATACAGAGAGGAATAGAAATCATTCTACCATAAAGACACATGCACGTGAATGTTCATTGCAGCGCTATTCACACTAGCAAAGACATGGAATCAACCTAAATGTCCATCAATGATTGACAGATCGAATAAAGAAAATGTGGTACATATATACCATGGAATACCCAGTAATGGTATATACCCAGCGGAATAGGTATATTCTTATACCTGGGGATAAGAGTGGTATCCTATTCTTGGGATACCAAATAGATAACCTGGGTTATCTATTCCTGGAATCCTAGGAATAGGATACAGAAATAGAATAGGATACAGGTAACCTGGGTCGAATGGTAGTTCTGCTTTTAGCTCTTTGAGGAATTGCCACACTGCTTTCCACAATGGTTGAACTAATTTACATTCTCACCGTGTATGTGTCCCTTTTCTCCACAACCTTGCCAGCATCTGTTATTTTTTGACTTTTTAATAATAGCCGTTTTGACTGGTGTGAGATGGTGTCTCATTGCGGTTTTGTGACTTTTTGTTGAGGAAATACCTTAGTGAGGTGAGGCTGAGAAAGAAAAAGCCCGCTAGGCATAGCCTAAGTAGCAGGGGTGAGTTGAGAAAGCACGAAATTGTTTGTATTATCTTGGAGAAATCTGGAAGCCTGGAAATTGGAAACACTTGGCATACACCCTTTTAATAGATGGGGTAGCTGAGCTCAGAGAAGTTAAATAATCTGCCTAAAATATTTTAGAAATTTGAGTAAGAACATTAGGCCTTGGTCCAAATCTTCTTTCTGCTTTGGGTTGTTCTCTGCCCCTTCCTTCCTTCCTTCCTTCGTTCCTTCCTTCCTTCATTCCTTCATTCCTTCCTTTGTTCCTTTGTTCCTTCCTTCCTTCTTTCTTTTTCTTCCTTTCTTTTCTTTTCTTTTCTTTTTCAAGATGGAGTCTCAATATATTGTCCAGGCTGGATTCAAACTCCTGGGCTCAAGTGATCCTCCTGCCCCAGCCTCCTGAAGTAGCTGGAACTACAGACATGCACCACCATGCCTGGTTTCTGTCCTGCTTATTTGTTTTACAGGTGGTCACCTTTTGTCTCTTCCTTCCTAGGCTCTGACCACTTCTGTTTGGGCTATGGCCTCACTTTATTGAAGTGCAAAATAAACAGAACAATATGGTGGGTTCCTAAATAACAATTTACTAAACTACCGTGAACACCTTATTCTCAAAGGAAGAGCTAGCGCTCATCACGAAAGTGTGGAATTGGGGTGAGGGGAGCAAGGGAAGCACTGGATTGGGAAGCAGGAGACTTGAGATCTTACTTGGTCTCTGCCCCATCTCATTGTTTGATCCTGGGCGAGTCACTTCTCCTCTGTAGATCTCAGTCTCCCTTTGGGGAAGGTGAAGAGGTCAAATGAGTTAATGTCTAATGTCCTGTGAAAAATCTTTCATCATTCCTCCTAGTATCTGTAGCTCTTGGGGTGATCACTCATCCCAGTTTGCTTGAGACTCAGAGGAGTTCTCATGATACAGACTTTCTGTTTTAAAACTGGGACAGTTCCGGGCAAACTGGGATGAGTTGGACACCCTGGTGAACCTAATCCTCCCAGAACCATTTGGATGGGTGTGGAGCCAGTCTCCAAGAGGATGCCCTATGATCCTCACTGCCTGCTATTAAAGTAGTCCCACATTGTACCAAGGTTGGTTGGGATGACCAATAGCATATGGCAGAAGCAATGGTATTGGTTATAGTGTCTTCCATCTGTCATGAGCTCTGCTGTCTTAGTCAATCTCTCTCTGTCTCTCTGATTACTCACTCTGTGAAAAGCTAGCTGCCATGCTGTGAGCAGCCTTGTGTAGAGGCCCATGTGGTGAGGAACTGAAGTCTCTGGCCAACAATCAGAAAGGAACTGAGGCTTGCCAATAATCATGCAGATGAGCTTGGAAGCAGATCCGTCAGCCCCAGGAGAGTCCTGAGATGATTTTGCCATCAATTGAAAGATTGACTTCAATCTCATGAGAACCCTGAGCCTGAACCTCCAGCTAAACCACTTCCAGATTCCTAGACCTCAGAAACTGAGAGATAATAAATGTTTGCTATTTTAAGCTGCTAAGTTTTAGGGTAGTTTATTAGATAAAATAGATAATGAACAGATAAGTAGTTATGAGAAAATTCTCAGAAAAAAAACCAAACAGAATTCCAATGCTCTTATATGGACAGGATAGGGACTTATTTCCCTGGCTATAGTCAATGGTTTGGGATAAGCATCTGATCTAGCACTGGTCCAATCAGAATGAACTTGGATATACTGGTACACAAATTCTCTTTTCTATTTGGCTTTTGGTGCTAAGTTGTGAGCCATAAGAACAGAGCCTGGAACTGTCCAGGATGCGGGGAGGTGTGGAGGTGAGGGGTTAGAGGAGGACAGTGGAGGTGAGCATGTGAAAGCAAAGTGAGCATGGATTCTAGTCATGTGTGAGTCCCAGGTCAGATTGCACCTGAAGTAGACCCTTGGCCTGTTCAGCTATTTATCCCATCGACTCCCTGTTGTTTTATTTTAACAAGTTGAGTTTGATTTTCTGTCCCTAAGGATGTCTGTCTGATTCAGTGAGTATTTCCATTTTATAGGTGAGGAAACTGAAGTTCAGAGCAGTGAAGTAACTATCCCAGGGTTATGTAGCAAACAGGTGTCAGAGTCAGAATTGGTTCCAGGCCTTCCTGACAGAGCACCTGCTGTTTTTATGAAGCCATTCTGGCCGATGAATTAGCTTCTGAGAACTCTGGTTTCTAGGAGCTTGAAATTCCTGGAAAGATTAAATAGATCAGAATGAAAAAAAACTATGAGGCGGGTAAAGTTCATTCAAAATGAATCAGTAGCTCCTTTTGGGTTCTGGCTGCCATCCTTGGCAGAGGAAATGACCAGGCCCCAGAGAGCCTGTGCATGAGCATGTTTTCAGTTTTCAGTGGAGGTCTGAGAGCAGAGCCACAGCATCTGTAGCAGGTTTTAAAAAAAAATTTTTCTGGCATTGGCTCTGGAGCAAGAGGAAAGCAACTTACAAAGGGTATATGAGTTTCTATAGGCCAGTGTTCTAATATGAGAAAAGTTTATGTCTTGCTTATAAAAGCCCCCTGCAGATGTTTCTGGTGGGACAGCTCTTCTGGGCCAGCTTCCATATAAGCACTGACTCAGAGGTTCAGGCTTTTTCCAACCTGTAGTTCAGCCACCTTCAACACTTGGCCTCCAAGTTACTATGGAGGGAGAAACATGAGTATAGAGGAGGCACCTTTATTTCTAACTGCTCTGGACTGAAAGTGATGCATCATGACGGTTCACTTTGCATTGGTGAGAACTTGTCATATGGGTTCATTTAGATGTGAGTTGGGAGATGCAGCTTAGCCACATGCCCATAAAGAAGGAATGGGCTTGGTGAGCATCCGCCAAGGTTGTGCCGTTTATACCCAGCAGAGGTGGGTGGCTAGAGCAAAAATCCAGACCTTGTTTCTCTTGCCACGTTGTTTTTCCTGGTAGAGGGTCACATCAATCCATAGGAAAGGAAACCTGCTTCTTCTCACAAAGGGATAACTTTTGTTTTCCTCATGAGTCAACTTGAAGGATAACTTTAAAAAGTTGGTCCATGCAGCAGAGTGAGACTCCGTCTCAAAAAAAAAAAAAAAAAAGGTGCATGCAGAAGACTATCTTTTTCCAATTTGTATAAGGGAACTATGTAAGTTCACTGTAGCTCTGGGTATCCTCAACCCACAGATCTGGCAGGCAGCTTGCAGCCCATCTTCAGAGGAGGGCCAAGTGTCCATTCAGACTCGGGTATTTCCACACTAGCTGTCTTTGAGTTCCATCAAGTAGATAGAGAACTTCTGATCCAAGGGATTTTATAGAGATTACAACCCTTTTCAAGCTTTATAGAATGTCTGAACTAGGATTGGTTTTAGAGATTACGTCCTTCTCCTTCCTAATTTTGCAATTGAAGAAACAGTGCACATCATGTGTTTGCTGTTATTGTTGTTATTGCTGTTATTATTACTGCTTCCATATGAGAAGCATATGCGGGTCAAGTCTCAGATCTGTATTCTAAGGGCAAATCGAGAGGCCCATTTTTCTCTGTCCCTACTATTTTGGTACCCAGTGGATTATGAGATAGAAATCTTGGTGCTGCCGATACAAGCGCATCTTCAGAGTACTCCCGATGTCTACCTGAATCTGAGGATTACTATCTTTTATCGGTTCTGAAAAATTCTTAGATATTATATTTTTGTATACTTCCTATCCTCATTCTCTCTTTCCGTAGAGTAGCTGCTCTTTCTGGAACCCCAGTTACATATATGTTAGACCTTTTCACTCTCTCTTCCATGGCTGCCAACCTGTCTTTCATATTTTCATATCTTCTATTTCTGTATATTTGTATGTACTTTTCTGCATAATTTCTGCCTTCTGTCTTCTAATTGACCCATTTATTTTTCTTCAGCTGTGTCTATTCTGCTGCTCAAACTATAGATGAATTTAAAACCTTAATTCACCCTTTTTTTACTTCATTTTTTTTTCTTTTCTTCATAACTACTTACTCCTTGTTTATAATCTCTTGGTTCATTTATCATATTTTGGCATCCACTTTTATTTATCAAACACATTTGCTTTATGTTATGTAAATGATGGATCTGATTCTGCTATTGGTGATTTCTGCTGCCTTTTACTCATGATGGCACATTTCTAGCGTGTTTTATGATTTATCATTGGGAAAATCTTGGGGCCTTAGCCACAGAACAGTTTTGAAGCTTGGTTCTAACACATGTTCATCAAGAGACAACATGAATTTCCTTTTACCAGATGTATAAGAGCACTACTAACTTTTGGCCCAGCGTGGTGGCTCATGCCTGTAATCCCAGCACTTTGGGAGGCCGAGGAGGGCAGAGATCACTTGAGGCCAGGAGCTGGTGTGCAGCCTGGCCAACATGGTGAAACCTCATTTCTACTAAAAGTACAGAAATTAGCTGGGTGTGATGGCACACATCTATAGTCCCAGCTTCTCGGGAGGCTGAGGCAGGAGAATCACTTGAACCCAGGAGGCAGAGGTTGGTCCACAGCACTCCATTCTGGGTGGCAGAGTGAGACTCTGTCTCAAAAAAAGAAAAAAAAAAAGCACTACTAATTTTTAAAGAATCACTTTAAATGTTTAAACATTAAAAAAAAATCACTTTACCCATGCCTATGTCCTGAAAGGTATTGCCTAGGTTTTCTTCTAGGGTTTTTATAGTTTTAGGTCTAACATTTAAGTCTTTAATCCATCTTGAATTAATTTTTGTATAAGGTGTAAGGAAGGGATCCAGTTTCAGCTTTCTACATATGGCTAGCCAGTTTTCCCAGCACCATTTATTAAATAGGGAATCCTTTCCCCATTGCTTTTTTTTGTCAGGTTTGTCAAAGATCAGATGGTTGTAGATGTGTGGTATTATTTCTGAGGGCTCTGTTCTGTTCCATTAGTCTCTATCTCTGTTTTGGTACCAGTACCATGCTGTTTTGGTTACTGTAGCCTTGTAGTATAGTTTGAAATAAGATAACGTGATGCCTTCAGCTTTGTTCTTTTGGCTTAGTATTGTCTTGGCAATGTGGGCTCTTTTTTGGTTCCATGTGAACTTTAAAGTAGTTTTTTCCAATTCTGTGAAGAAAGTCATTGGTGGCTTGATGGGGATGGCATCGAATGTATAAATTACTTTGGGCAGTATGGCCATTTTCACGGTATTGATTCTTCCTATCCATGAACATGGAATGTTCTTCCGTTTGTTTGTGTCCTCTTTTATTTCGTTGAGCAGTGGTTTGTAGTTCTCCTTGAAGAGGTCCTTCACATTCCTTGTAAGTTGGATTCCTAGGTATTTTATTCTCTTTGAAGCAATTGTGAATGGGAGTTCACTCATGATTTGGCTCTCTGTTTGTCTGTTATTGGTGTATAAGAATGCTTGTGATTTTTATACATTGATTTTGTATCCTGAGACTTTGCTGAAGTTGCTTATCAGCTGAAGGAGATTTTGGGCTGAAACGATGGGGTTTTCTAAATATAGGACTTCATGACTAAAACACCAAAAGCAATGGCAACAAAAGCCAAAATTGACAAATGGGATCTAATTAAACTAAAGAGCTTCTGCACAGCAAAAGACACTACCATCAGAGTGAACAGGCAACCTACAGAATGGGAGAAAATTTTTACAATCTACCCATCTGACAAAGGGCTAATATCCAGAATCTACAAAGAACTTAAACAAATTTACAAGAAAAAAATCAAACAACCCCATCAAAAAGTGGGCAAAGGATATGAACAGACACTTCTCAAAAGAAGACATTTATGCAGCCAACGGACACATGAAAAAATGCTCACCATCACTGGCCATCAGAGAAATGCAAATCAAAACCACAATGAGATACCATCTCACACCAGTTAGAATGGCAACCATTAAAAAGTCAGGAAACAACAGGTGCTGGAGAGGATGTGGAGAAATAGGAACACTTTTACACTGTTGGTGGGACTGTAAACTAGTTCAAGCATTGTGGAAGACAGTGTGGTGATTCCTCAAGGATCTAGAACTAGAAATACCATTTGACCCAGCCATCCCATTACTGGGTATATACCCAGAGGATTATAAATCATGCTGTTATAAAGACACATGCACAAGTATGTTTAATGTGGCACCATTCACAATAGCAAGGACTTGGAATCAACTCAAATTTCCATCAATGATAGACTGGATTAAGAAAATGTGGCACATATACACCATGGAATACTGTGCAGCCATAAAAAATGATGAGTTCATGTCCTTTGTAGGGACATGGATGAAGCTGGAAACCATCATTCTGAGCAAACTATCGCAAGGACAGAAAACCAAACACCGCATGTTCTCACTCATAGGTGGGAATTGAACAATGAGAACACTTGGACACAGGGTGGGGAACATCACACACCAGGGCCTGTCATGGGGTGGGGGGAGGGGAGAGGGGAGAGGGATAGCATTAGGAGATATACCTATTGTAAACGACGAGTTAATGGGTGGAGCACACCAACATGGCACATATATACATATGTAACAAACCTGTGCGTTGTGCACATGTTCCCTAGAACTTAAAGTAAAATAAAGAAAGAAAAAAAAAGAAAGAAAAACTACCTATTGGGTACTATGCTCACTACCTGGGCCCAACATACCCATTTAACAATCCTACACATGTGCCCCTGTATCTAAAATAAAAGTTGAAATTTAAAAAAAAAAAATCACTTTAAATGTTTGATTTAGGGGCCGAGCACAGTGGCTCATGCCTGTATCCCAGCACTTTGGGAGGGCAAGGCGGGTGGATCACCTGAAGTCAGGTGTTCGAGACCAGCCTGGCCAACACGGCAAAACTCTGTCTCTACTAAACATACAAAAAATTAGCCAGGCATGGTGGTGGATGCCTGTAATTCCAGCTACTTGGGAGGCTGAGGTGGGAGAATCGCTTGAACCCAGGAGGCAGAGGGTGCAGTGAGCCGAGATCGTGCCAGTGCACTCTAGCCTGGGCAACGGAGCGAGACTCCATCTCAAATTAAAAAAAAAAAATAGTTTGGCTTAAGGTTTTTCTGGACATGCAGATAATATAATTCTGACCTGAGGTCTGCATGTTGTGGGGAAACTTGTGGTTATGAATTCTCAGTGGGACTGTTTTCTTTTTACTTCTTTTTTCCAGAATCAGGCTGAATAGCCAGTTATCCCCGTAAGAGATATAAGGTAAGACATGACCCAGACTATGCCTCAATCACTTGTCATCATGGTAGTGATGACAAGTGATTAAGGCATATTCTGATTTATTTCAGGGGAGACCATTGGCATGAAATGTACGGATCCACACCAGCCTCTGCTTATGGTTCATTGGCTCCCTAAGAGTCTCTTGGCGTCTGCAGTGACTATGAGTGAATAACAGGTCACCCTTCTTGCTTAGTGAGTGGTTAAACTAGATCTAGATCTCAGGAACATGCATTACAAGGAGAAAGGGACCACCAGGTTCCTCAAAAAGTACATTCAACCTGGGCGTAGTGACTCATACCTGCAATCCCAGCACTTTGGGAGGCCAAGGTGGAAGGATCACTTGAGGCCAGGAGTTCAATATCAGTCTGGGCAATGTAGCAAGACCCCATCTCTACTATACACACATACACACACACATATACACACATATTCACATACATACATACACACACACACACACATTCACTGGAGTAGTAGATAAGAAATGATACGAGTGAAAGTCAACTGGGATTAGGAGGTTAATTTGGCTGCTTAGAGATATGGTCTAGAAGTTGTAAGGAATAAAATGTAGGGATGCCGATCCGAACAATTGTCTGATTTTTCTCTAGCTCGGCTTATCCCAGGGTGAAGGAGCAGAGATGGCAAATGCTTTAATTGGTGCCGATATGGGCACGAGAAGTTGCTGATGAGAGAATGGGTTGTGTGGCTGAGAAGGGGGCTCCACCAGTATAAGGAAGGGGGTGCAGCCAGGTGGAAGCTGTAAGGGCCTGAGGTCTTGAGGTATGAGGTAAGAGCTGATGTGGAGGGAGTGAGAGCACTAAAGAGATGGGAGGCTGTCATTTGGATTTAGTCTGAGAGAAGAGAAACAAAGGAGTCACCATGGGTAGCCCTGGAAAGATACAGAGAAAAAAGTGGTTAAAAAAATTAGAGAAGCTGAGATGAGAAGGCAACAAGGTCCCTCTTCAGGAAGCTTTTCATCCATGGTGCAGCCAACCCATTCTTCTTTTACCCACCACCATTTCTGGTCTCCTTGTAGGGACCAACTTCTGTATTGACAGAGATGAGCATGGAGGAGGCTCTCAAGTGCCCAAGGAATAGAAAATGGCCATGCTGTGTGATTCTTGTTCTTCCATCCCTTTGGCCAGTAGTCAAACTGTCACAAATAAAAATGTCATGGACTCCATCTGGCTTCTTCTATTGGATTTTTTTAGGAGTAGAGCAGATGGTTCACCCCGCAAGAAAGAACACTTGAGGTCATTTGCAAGTGGAAAGAGATTTGCATTTGGGCATGGAAAGGGCCGCTAGTATGGAAACATTCACACATGTAAGTTATGCTGAATCCTGTTTGAGGCTTACATGGAGTCTGAGAAGGATTTCCTGCTTCATCAGATTCCCCAGGTGTCATCTGAATGTTCCCAAGTTCTTCAGCTTCATAGAGTTGCTCTTTCATGTAATATGTCTTAGTTTGGGTTCCACCAGAAGTAGATCTTGAGACAAGGAATTTGAAGCAGATGTTTTATTTGGGAAGTGAACAGAGGGGTTGGGGGTAGTGAGACTGGGGAGGGAAGGCAGCCAATTAAAGGTGCTTTATCAAGCCAGCTGTCACCAAGAGTGACTAGAGCTTCACCCAGAGGGAAATGTCTGAAGCAAATGTAAAAGTACAGCTCAGAGTTGGCCCCTCATTAGTGGCAAGGGAGCTGGGGTATTTATATACTGGCTCCCATCAGTCATTGGTTGAGGGTTGCTCTGAGGTGCAAGCGGAGGCTGTGCTTTGATTCCCCTGTTCTTCCATCCCACTGCAATCGTCATCAAAAAGGCTGCAGTGAGAAGAGAAAGCCCCAAACCAGAAAATGAAGGGCCTGGCATTTGTAAACCAGCAGGTGTTATTCACTGAAGTGGGTAAGGTAAGGGTACTACCAACCTCTGCTAGGATAGTCAAATAAAATAGCTGGAACTCATCTACTTCACATGCTGGGAAGTCCAGCAGCCTCTTCAAAAGTCTCAGAGGATCCTGGGGCAGGGAGTGGGAGGACTTGTATTCTCTTGTTTGCTTCTTACTCTGTATTCCTGCTCTTGGTGCATTTTCATCTCTCCATTTGCCAACCCTCCTGCAATGGGAATTGTGATGGCTGCTATTTTTGATTTGCTTTATCAACAGTATGTACAGTTCCTTTTCCTGAAATCCTCAAAGCACCAATAACACTTGTGCAGATAAGGGACATTTACTAAGGAATTAGGAATCATAGAGGGGAATTAGAAAACAGCTCAGACAGATAGCATGCTTCACTTTCTGCTTTTTTTCTACTTCCATTTATTTCATGTTTATTTTGAAGATTCAATGGGCTCATCAATGAGTGTCACGGGAGACACTTAAGAAAATGCTGATGCACAGAAGCTCAGAAGAGGCAATTGCTGCCCTACCTTCACTCTGGACCACTTCTTCACCAGGTACTTTCTAGATTGCACATCACAGCCTTGTAGCTGGGTTCTATTCTCCTTGGGAGAGATGTCTCCATCTTTCCTCTTCTCCAAGGCTTGGAGACCACACCGTCCTTACGTCTTTTTTTTTTTTTTTTTTTTTTACATAGGGTCTCACTCTGTTGCCCAGGCTAGAGTGCAGTGGTGCAATCTTGGCTCACTGCAGCTTCGACCTCCCGGCTCAAGTGATCCTCCTGTGTCAGCTTCCCTAGTAGTTGGGACCATAGGCGCACACTGCCACACCTGGCTAATTGTTTATTTTTAGTAGAGACAAGGTTGATGAGGTCTCACTGTGTTGCCCAGGCTGTTCTCAAATGCCTGGGCTCAAGCAATCTGCCCGCCTCGGCCTACCGAAGTGCTGGGATTTTACAGGCACCATGCCCGGCTCCTTACGTCTTATTCTGTAAGGGAACAATCCCCAAATTCCTGTTCCTATGTTATGCAGCTCATTTTCTATTTAGGCTCACCTTTTATAGCTTAAGAAGACTCATCAACATGTTTTCATGAACAGAAAAGGAATAATTTTCTCGTTAAAAAACAAACAGGCTAGGCGTGGTGGCTTACGTCCGTAATCTCAGCACTTTGGGAGTCTGAGACAGGAGGACCACTTGAGCCCAAGAGTTCAAGACCAACCTGGGCACCATAGTGAGATCTCCATCTCTAAAAATAAATTTAAAAAATACAATGAAAAATAAATAGATAAACCAACTAACCAACCAACCAAACAAACAAAAGTGGGTCAAATGTAGCCAGCTTTTAAAGCAAATTTTTCCTTCCCTATGACAAGTGGCTACAGCGTGGCATGTGGATGAGTGCATTTTATCAATGATACTCTTGCTATCCCTGGTCAGCCACACCATGAGAGACAGGCAGCATGCTTCACTTTCTGCTTTTTTCTACTTCCATTTATTTCATGTTTATTTTGAAGATTCAGTGGGGCTCATCAATCAGTGTCATGGGAGACACTTAAGAAAATGCTGATGCGCACAGTTTCTGATTGATTGCAAAAGACATGGCTTTTGTATTCATTCACTTAACCTTTTCTGGGCTTCTACTCAATGCCAGGGACATTGACAGGTACTGGGGATGCAGATATGACAAGATGGTGTCACTATCCTTCAGATCCTACCGAATGGAAAAAAAGAGAGACACAATTCAGAGAGATGCACAGTGCTCATTTTGGAGTCAGAAGACCTGGGTTTGAGACCTAGGCCTGCTTTTTGCTAATCTCAACACCCTGGAGAAGTCTTACACTTTCTTTGAGGAAGATGTGGTCCAGAAAGCTGAACGTTTACCCTTGACTCCCCACAGGGTAGGGCCTGGAACCCAGGCATACCAGTGCCTGGTTCCACGTTCCTTTCACTGGACCATATGGCTTCTCGCTAGCTGGATGGTCGAAGAGAATTCCCAAAGTAGAAAAACAATTGTAAACATGAGCTTGCCTTTATGCCCAGAAGGCTTACATATCATACAAGTTAAAAGCACACATTTTCTTAAGCATTATTTTTCATGACTATCACTCTGATTAATAAAACAGAGATTTGGAGAGAAACACTCTTCCACTAACTGGGAAATTCATTAGACCAAGGATACCAGTGGCAACTTCATGCCAGCACATTTGTGGGATGTGGAAGAAAACAGAGAAACCCATTTGAAGGATGATTCTAGCTGCACAGCAGCTCCTGATCTGTTTTCCCTGATTCTTACAACTTATGAATAATTTGTTGAACAGTCTGAACTTGTTGTTGAGACATTTTTTAAAAAATCTCTACTCCTTGCCTTCAACTGTTCTATGACAAATCCCCAATTCCTCTTCCTTGTGGCATCTGGGGCAGATCTGAATGAAGCCTTGGTTGAAAAATCATCATATTGAATTTAATACTTTCTTCCTCCTCACTCCACCTGGCTTAGGCCTGCGGGACCTGGGACAGATGAGATTAGATTTCTCTTTTCCCTCCTCTCCCTCCCCCGGGTCACTCTTTTGCATTGTGTTGGGGGCTGGTGCTACTGTGGTGCTCTTTATGTCGATGGTTACTGCTTTTCCACCACGGCCGTTGGGTAGCAGATGCTCAGTGGCAGCCCCTCTGAGGGACTCACATGGGTATCTTGTAGTAGGCCCTTTAGAAAGAAGCCTCTGGCCAGACACGGTGGCTCACGCCTGTAATCCCAGCACTTTGGGAGGCCGAGGCGGGTGGATCACCTGAAGTCAGGAGTTCGAGGCCAGCCTGGCCAACATGGTGAAACACTGTCTCTACTAAAAATACAAAAATTAGCTGGGTATGATGGTGGGTGCCCGTAGTCCCAGCTACTCAGGAGGCTGAGGCAGGAGTATCACCTGAACCAGGGAGGTGGAGACTGCAGTGAGCTGAGATTGGTGCCACTGCACTCTCTCTCAAAAAAAAAAAAAAAAAGAAGAAGAAGAAGAAGCAGCCTCTGATCTGCACGGTTCCCTTATGTGTGAGATGCATGTGAGATGCGTTCTGGCCTGACCTCCTATCAGCTCCACCTTGATGGTGTCTAGAGCTTCCCCTTGCTGCGGTTCCCTCACCTGCTGGCCATTGCTTTTGAGTGGCATAGTGGCAAGAAGGCTTGGTCCTGGCTACTTGTATTGTGCCCACCACTCTAGGACAAATGTACATATCTTTGATTCTCCAAATAGTGGGAATTTAAACTGCCACCTGTTACCCTGCTTTTCATCTGCGATTGTTTCTTCAATTCTCTCTCCCCCGGCTGCTTTAGGCATGGAAGCATGACACCTCTTACACTGCACAATCACTCAACTTAGAGTGAGACATTAGTTCTCCTCCTTTCAAACCACCCAGTCACTATGAAGGGTTCTCTTGGACCACCCATTATTTGGTATGGGGGTTAGAAAACCCCCAGAACTTCCCAAATAGTTCTATGACTTACGATTCCAATGACTCTCCAGATTTCCTCCCCACCACACCCCAGTCCTTATCTCCTTAATACAGAGACTAGAGGGGAAGACGTGGTAATGGGCTCTGCTTCCTCTTAGTCATCTCTGGAGGGGGATGATAATTATTCAGAATGCAAAAGTCTATTTTTTCCTCAGCATAATTCTAGATGCAATAAAAAATCCCACACAACACCCTAATACAATTAAGGTAATGAACAATTCTCACTCTATCAAAGTGATACAGGAATGAATTCAGGGTGATGCACAGATGAAGAGAATGAAGCTTAGGTCTCAGATGCCTTCCCCCATGCAGACCCCTTCCAAGGCCCTGGGGAGGAGCCCTCATAATGTGTTCACATGTTCTTATGTTTTTATACAATTTGAACCAATACATATTTTAAATCACATTTGATTAAGACCACCATTGCTATCCACTCTGGCTTCCCCTCTGTTAATTTCCGCTTGTGTCTGTTGATGTCAGAGCAGCTGCAGGTATATTTAGGATGTAAAATTGGCTTAGAAATACATCTATTAGGTGAAAAGTAATCACAGTTTTTGCCATTTCAAGTAATTGCGAAAACCGCGATTACTTTTGCACCCACCTAATAGTTTGAGTTTGATGGGATATATTTATGTCATTCACAGCCACTTCCATGTAGAGTTAAGTTATTGTTCCCTATTCCTTTATAGGAATGGTTTTTGGGAACACGCCTACCATTCATTGTCTGACTCAGTGCCACCTTGTCACTAAGGTGCAGGGCGGGGGTTGTAGCCCATAGGTACACATCCCACAGCAGCCAGTGCAGGAAGTATGTGGGTACTGGTGGAAAAACAAGGTTTGAAATACATTCAGACTCAGCTTAGATCATCTTCTCATGCAGCTGTAACAGAAACTCCAGTGATCTGTCCCAATTGGGAAAAGAAATTCTGATTTAAAAGTTTGATAAAACACCCTCCTCTGACAAAGACAAGTTCCTCTCATATACAAAAGAAATTTGACTGAGGGTTTTCCAGATTGTATAATTCTAAAACTCTATGCAATAGAACTAATGCGAAGTTGTGAAATGAAAAGAAACCTTTATAATTTATTAAATGGTAATGAACAAATTTTGATCCACCAGGCCAGATGAAAGATTAAATTAGCTTTTTATTCTTGCTACAGAAGAAGATACTGAAAACTGTCATTGTGTGTGAGGAGATCAATGAATAGGCAGCCAAAAATGTAGGAAAAAAGGGTTGTAGAAGCAGTTAATTAGTAAAAATTAGATTTTTTCAATTTATAAATTTGTGGCATTTCTGGCTTTCTAAACATTTGTGATTTGTTTCAGTTTTTTCTCTCATTTGAAAATATCCCTTTCATATCTAATTATATAATTATATGTTGGTGGTTTTATATTCTTTCTCTTAAAGACAGTTTCTTAATTTGTTTAAACTTTAGGAATCAGAAGGTTGGATTGGCTATTGGTCGTCTATTGTGTATTTTGGTGCTACAAGATGTCATAAAGGTGCCAAACTAGTTCCATGCATGTAGGAGTTTTAGGATCTCATTAAAATAGTTTTGTTTTGTTTTGTTTTGTTTTGTTTTGTTTTATCATGGAAGAGAGTTCTAATGAAGTGAGCACTTTTCCACACTGCAGGTGGAAGTATAATTGGCTGGACTCTTTTGGGTTTGATTCTTTTAATGATACGTAACAAAAGCCAAAAATAGTGCATGACCCTTGACCTACACTCCTGAGAATTTATCCTAAGCAAATAATTCATAAGAAAAACAAGCTCCAAACCTCACTACAGCTTTACTTTGTAAAATTTGTGAGGCAGCTTAAATATCCAGCCATCAGGGAGTCATTCAGAAAATGATGATGTCTCAGCCTTCAGTTAGTTCATCAACATGAAAAAAATGCTTACAATATGTTGGGTAACACATTACAAAATGTTTCCCATACGGTGACAACAACATGCCAAAACAAAAAGGTCTGCATTTGGGCAATGACTAGAAGGGAATACGATGGTTGTTATGTCTAAATGATAGGACTAAGAGTTTGTTTTCTTTTTGCTTTTGTTTTCTTTCTGAGATCGAGTCTTACTCTGTAGCCCAGGCTGGAAGACAATGGCGCAATCTCGGCTCACCGCAGCCTCCACCTCCCGGGTTCCAGTGATTCTCCTGCCTCAGCCTCTCAAGTAGCTGAGACTACAGGCACTCCACCATGCCCAGCTATTTTTTTTATATTTGTAGTAGAGACAGGGTTTCACCATGTTGGCCAGGCTGGTCTTGAACTTTTAACCTCAAGTGATCCACCTGCCTCAGTTTCCCAAAGTGCTGTGATTACAGGCGTGAGCCACTGTGCCCTACTTCTTTTTGCTTTTTTTTTCTTTAGTGTCATGTTGAGTTTATGTTTTTTGGTAAAGTGAAAAAAGAATCCAAATGCTTTGGGTGTCTGCTGTCTGGGCTCTCCCCACTTTACTCTTTCCTTTCCCCTGCACTTTCTGATCTCCCTCACCCATGCATGCAGGAACACATACATACACATGCACCCACACACACACACATGCACACACACAGGTGCATTCTCATATACTTTCACACACATGCACATGCTTTCACACATGCTCACACATTCAGACACACTCACATGCCCTTTCTCCAACTTTATTCTCCCTGCACTCTGGGATCTACAGTGTTTGCTCCATAAACAACTCTGGACGGCCTTAACCCCTTACATGCCACTCTGTAAGGGCTGTTTTCTGAGCTCAGTAGTGTCCTACTAGGCATTGTCCAGGTCTCTTCACACTGATGAGTCTACAGGCTGCCCTTGCAGGAGTTGCTCTGATTTCCACCATCACTCTTCCCCGAACCTCTGCCTAACTGCCTCACTGGCCCCCCAAAACCTGTATACCCTAGAACTGCTTTTTGTTTCTGTAAGTTTCCAGAGGACTTCACTCATCTCTGTAGGTTAACTAGAAAGGTTCACAAAACATGTCTGGTATCATCACGGCATGTTGCTTAAAGTGATGGCTTCATAGCTGGGGTCAAATCAACCCAGAGCCTACCTCACTGCTTGTTTGCTACATGACCCAGGAAAATCGCTTTCCTTCAGGTTCTTCTTCTTTAAAATGTAAGAGTTGGATCAGAAGGTTTGTAACATCCCTTCTAGCTCTGATTCCATGATTTATAACCCGTGCATATTTCTTATTAGTTCTGTTTTGTAGTCTGCTGCAGCACTGTGCGATGGGATGGCTGATACTGCCTGGGGAAGTTTTCAGAGGCCGTGGGGGCACAGCTGCTAGGGCAGAGCGTGGGGAGTGTGAGTTTCTGCCTCATATGGTCTGGGGCTCCAGGTCAGCTGTTTTTTATGCAAAGGATGGTATTCATTTTGGCTTTTGAGTGCAGAGAAAATCTAAGAGGCTAAACATTTGTTTGTGGATAAAAATCACGTGCTTAATGGAATAACTTAAGAACTCTTGTGATGCAGGGCCAGACTTCCAGGATGGAGGCAGCCAAGACAAGACAAGGAAAAGAGACTTACATGCACTTTCTAGCAACTTTATTCTCCCTGCCCTCTGGGATCTACAGTGTTTGCTCCATAAACAAGTCTGGATGGCCTTAACCCCTTACATGCCACTCTGCAAGGGCTGTTTTCTGAGTTCACTAGTGTCCTACCAGGCATTGTCCAGGTCTCTCCAGACTGATGAGCCTACAGGCTGCCCTTGCAGGAGTTCCTCCGACTTCCATCATCACTCTTCCCCGAACCTCTGCCTAACTGCCTCACTGCCCCCCAAAAACCCGTATACCCTAGAATGTCTTTCTTTTACTGAAGGCAATGAAGTAGGCTGTAAGCATATATGCTGGGAGCCTAAGAACTCAGTGAAACTTGCGTTTAATGAAATAGTGTGCTTTGTGGATAGGATTGTGGTTACCGAATACAGAATGAAGAAAATGGAAGACCTTTTTTAGGGAATGAGCATTCCTTTATTTTGTAATAAGTGCAGTCTGACGAACTGTGTACGTAAAGTAAGCCTCTGACAGAGAAAAAAGACGAGTTATAAGAAGGGAACTTGGGGAGAGCATAGTTGTAATTACCCTAAAAGTGGGCACCCAGATGAGATGAGAGGGTTGAGGGGAAGTCTGGGATAGCCAGCCATTTAATGACACTGGAAACATTTAGTAGACATTTTTCCCTCTGGTTCTCTACCCCTTACCCTGGGACCAAGATTTATTAAGGATAGGGAGGATCTTGGTCATGGATTTGTACTGAATCTGTACTGGCTCGGGACCAAGAAGGGAGCACCCCTGGTTATGGGAAGGAGTCAATGCTTTTGAGGAACCCATCTCTTACTCTTCCCCAGACTGAGCCAGATAGTTTATTGATTAATTTATTTATTAATCTTTATTGAGTCAGCCTTTATGGTGATGGCTACTGCTGGGGATATAGAAACAATGTGTCCTTCAAGAAGCTCTTGAGCACTTTGATGAGAGTTCTATGACATGAGGTATAGGCAAGAGAGGTAAAGGCAAGATTAGGCAAAGGCTACTTAGGGGAGCTATGTGCACAGCTGACCCCAGGTGAGAGACACCCTCAAGGAGGTGTGGCTCACTAATGCACACATGCTTTCCACCGGGGACAACTGCATTGCCAAGGACAGACAATAACAAGACTCGAAAATAGGACCAGTTGCTGGTAGAGTTATAATTCAAATTCAAGTTTGTATGTAGCAATTGTAACACAAACCTATGTTCAATGCCAAATTCTTCAGAATGGATACAGAAAATCTATGCCCAGTGAGATCATAGGGTGAAATATAAGTAGATTTCTTATTGCATTACTGTACTATTGACCAATTGTTCAACAGCTTCACTGGGGAGAAAACATGTAGAAATGGGCTTGCGTTGTAATGAAATAAAAAACATTCAGGTTAATTGAAGGAGGAAGAGTCATTATTAAGTAACTAAAATGTACACAGACTTTGCTCCAGGAGATCTGGAAGGATGGAATAAAGAACTCTCAGGAGTATAAGCCTGGCTCATGGCAGAAAACTAAATTGAATGTCCTCTAAGTTGAAAATGCAACAGAGATCACTGTGGCCTCATTTTAAATTTTCCACATCATGAGCTTAGGGGATGGAGCCCCAGAGTTAAGAGTTCTTCCCACTCAGTCCAGCAAGAAGTGGCTTGGATAGGAGAAATGTAACTGGGACCATCAGGCATAGGACCTGCAAGAAGCTAAGGGTTAGAATCCTGTCCGCCTCCCAGATACCATGATTCCATTTATTTGAAGTTAAGAATCAGCAAAACTAATCCATGTTGATAAAAATTAGAACTGCAGTTGGCTAAGGGGTGGACTGGGAAATTGACTAGAAAGGGAAACATGGGGGCATTTTCTGGGGGTGATGGAAGTATTCTTTGTCTTGATAGGGGTGGTACCTTTTTCAAAATTCATTAAATTATATGCATGATATCTGTGCATTCCACTGTGTGTAAATTTTACCTCATTAACGATATAGAATTAGTAGGGGAAATTATTTAGAAATATTTCTGAATGGCAAAGCAATGGCAACAAAAGCCAAAATTGACAAATGGGATCTAATTAAACTAAAGAGCTTCTGCACAGCAAAAGAAACTACCATCAGAATGAACAGCCAACCGACAGAATGGGAGAAAATTTTCGCAACCTACTCATCTGACAAAGGGCTAATATCCAGAATCTACAATGAACTCAAACAAATTTACAAGAAAAAAACAAACAACCCCATCAAAAAGTGGTCAAAGGACATGAACAGACACTTCTCAAAAGAAGACATTTATGCAGCCAAAAAACACATGAAAAAATGCTCACCATCACTGGCCATCAGAGAAATGCAAACCAACACCACAATGAGATACCATCTCACACCAGTTAGAATGGCAATCATTAAAAAGTCAGGAAACAACAGGTGCTGGAGAGGATGTGGAGAAATAGGAACACTTTTACACTGTTGGTGGGACCGTAAACTAGTTCAACCATTGTGGAAGTCAGTGTGGCGATTCCTCAGGGATCTAGAACTAGAAATACCATTTGACCCAGCCATCCCATTACTGGGTATATACCCAAAGGACTATAAATCATGCTGCTATAAAGACACATGCACACGTATGTTTATTGAGGCATTATTCACAATAGCAAAGACTTGGAACCAACCCAAATGTCCAACAATGATAGACTGGATTAAGAAAATGTGGCACATATACACCATGGAATACTATGCAGCCATAAAAAATGATGAGTTCATGTCCTTTGTAGGGACATGGATGAAATTGGAAATCATCATTCTCAGTAAACTATCGCAAGAACAAAAAACCAAACACCGCATATTCTCACTCATAGGTGGGAATTGAACAATGAGAACACATGGACACAGGAAGGGGAATATCACGCTCTGGGGACTGTTGTGGGGTGGGGGGTGGGGGGAGGGGGGAGGGATAGCATCGGGAGATATACCTAATGCTAGATGACGAGTTAGTGGGTGCAGCGCACCAGCATGGCACATGTATATATATGTAACTAACCTGCACATTGTGCACATGTACCCTAAAACTTAAAGTATAATAAAAAAAAAAAAGAAATATTTCTGAATGGCCCATACTTCAAAAGGGAAACAATAAATCCTCCGGCTAAAGCCCTAACCTTTAGAGGGTGATGTCAGAAGGAACACCGGAGACTGGACGCCGGAAGACCTGGGTGCTAGACCTGGCTCTGCTGGCCTTTCATGATGGGGAATTCTGTTTTCCTCTTTACCCCTGCTTTGTGTATCACTCAAGGAGTTTTACGAGGAGATCGCTAAGCTCTGACATTGCGAGACACCTTGTCCCTACTTTCTGAGACAGAGGTTGGGCACGATGACCCAGAGGTGAGAGTTGATTTGGTGATTCTTGTGATCTGAATCTCTTCCATATGTCTAGTGTCAGCCCAGCTCAGGGAGCAGAGAACACGGGCAATCTGATACCTCCAGGAAGTCCAATGCTTCGTTGTTGCTAAAATTAGAACCAGGCTGCAGCTTAGATCAAGGCCATTCCTTTCCCAGCCTCACGGTGAGCTAACTCTTCTCCCTCCACCCTGCACCGTACAAATGTGCCGGTAATTATAGCAACATGAGCACCAGATGATTCATCTTGGAGTCTGGAGGAAAAAAGCAGAAACCAAGTTAGAGCTTTACAGAGATCCTGACCCTTATAGACAAGGAGATGAGAGTAGGCAAAAGGAGAAAACAAATGAGACAAGAGGGAAGGAAGAAGGAAAGAAGGAGGCAGAAACAATTGAAGAGAATTAACTTCTTAGCCTGGACAGGAACATGAGCGGAAGACCTAGTTAGTTCCTACTTACCCTTTGCGGCTGTGTTGGCAGCGTACCAAATGACTTCCCCAAGGACAGTGGTCCATTCTTTTTTGAAAAATAACTTCAAAAAATGAAATCATGATCTTTCCTGGTAATGCATTTCAGTAGCTTGCTTGTATCTGTGTGTCAGTACGAATGGAGCTGGAGCTAGGCTTGATCCCAGCTTTGATACAGATTAACCATGATCTCGAGCAATTTACCTAATTGTTTGCACCTCATTTTCTTTGTCATAAAACAGAGAGATCTACCTCAAAGCACGCTGCGCAGCTAAAATAAGGTCAAATATATGAGACTGCCTGGAAGGTTCACACAGGTTGGCCCAACCTAGGTTTAGCTGAAAACATATGTAAAAAAGATTGTCTAATCTAGGTGGTCTTTGTTTCTGCCTCTGGGGATCTTAATTTATCATAGGTATCCATTTCTGAGGTTGTTCTGTGGTAGTTTCTTTATCCTATATTTCTCTAATCATCCACTAGGTTTGCATGCAGATGGCAAGACTAAAAGTTCCTTTCCCTTCTGGTTGACAATGGAGTGGCAGTTAGCTTTTTAGGAGCTACCCTATCTTGAGCCTGTGCTGTCCAAGCTCTCTGTGCCATTTCTTCTGCTGTACGAGGGGATAGATCTGTCCTGCAGGGCTGTTGTGGAGATTAAAAGCAATATCAAATGTGAAGTGCCTAATATAGTGGTAGATACATAATAGATGCTTAGGATGAGAAATGTTTAATAGGATGAGTTATTAGGAATTTTAAACATTAGTTATTTACGCCTGTAATCCCAGCACTTTGGGAGGCCGAGGTGGGCAGATCCCCTGAGGTTAGGAGTTCAAGACCAGCCTGGCCAACATGGTGAAACCCCGTCTCTACTAAAAATACAAAAATTAGCTGGGTGTGGTGGCGGGCGCCTGTAATCCCAGCTACTCAGGAGGCTGAGGCAGGAGAATTGCTTGAACCTGGGTGGCAGAGATTGCAGTGAGCCAAGATAGCACCATTGCACTCCGGCCTGGGCAACAGAGTGAGACTCCATCTCAAACAACAACAACAACAACAAACAACAACAATAAACATTAGTTATTTAATTAGTAAATTTGCTGCCCTGGATTTTTAAGCAGAATAAGAAAACTATTTTTCTCTCCCCTGCAAGGTCCTTTGATGGTCATGCCTTAGTGTTCATGAAGACTGGACTTCCTCTCCTCAGTGGGAGTGATACTCCCCTTGGCCCACCCCGTCCCCTTAGCTCTTACCTTTTCCTGGCACTTTGACCTGACTTCCAACTTCTAGCACCTGTGTCTTTCTTTTATCCTTTTTGCTTGGGGACTGGGGACTTTCCTAGCCACCTGAGCCCACTCTGTCCCCACATGGTTGGAAGTGCTTAGGAATTCGTACTCTTCGCCAGCAATCTTCAACCAATGACTGGTGGGAGCTGGTGGATAAATACCCCAAATCCCTCCCTCCTCAGGTGGGATACAGTTGAGGTTTGTGTTCTGTGTTACCTCCCAGAGTTCCCCAGAGAGATGAAGCCCCAGTTGCCCACAGTGGAAATTTATGTGATGAGGTGCCCTTTGTAGGCTCCTTCCATTCCCCGTCTCACTTCCCTCCGCCCCTACTAGGGTCCTGGGATCGCTTCCCATTCACCTACTTACACTCATTCCTTTTCTCAGAGTTGGCTCCTTGGAGAATTCAACCAAGAAGACTCCAGGGAAGGCTTTGCTTTTGAAAATTAAAGACTCTGAAGGGCAAACTTCTTCTACTGTGTGAGGGGATAGATCTTCCCTGCAGGATGGATTAGCCAAGGGCTAGGGGTTGCAGGTTAATGCAGTGAGAAGAGGGAAATGTCTCAACCCTAGATGATGGGACTTGGATCCCAGGTAAGGAAGCAGCTTCAGATTGATTGGGAAGGAGACCAGGGCACAAGATCACATGCCTTCAAGGGTCAGAACCTCCCAGGGGATATATGTGTGGGTGTCAGTGGGGGACTTGGCATAATATACCGGTCCCTTGAGGCCTAGAGCAAGGTGCCAGGTGGCCAGGTTGGGAGGAAAGGCACAACTGATGGAAGCATCTCACCACTGCAGAGGACTTACCCTGCTGGATGAGTATTTGGGCAAGCAAGAGGGTTTCATCCAGAACCTCACTGTTAGACAGTTGGGGAATGGCTAGTATGCAGTAGTGGCTTTGGGGGAAACAAGAAAAAAACAACAGAAAGATGCCCCCACACAAAGAAACATTGTTTTTGGACACCTATCAGTTGCCTAGATTTCTCTATGTTTGGTCATAGGGAAGAATAGTTGATTTTGGACTTCATGCCAATCCTGGCATATGGAGAGATTAAAACACACCTAATTTCTTTTGGGGAAATACAAGCCTCAGTTTTGTTTTTCACACACACACACACACACACACACACACACACGAGACAGGTTTTTTTTTGAGACAGGTTCTCGCTCTGTCACCCAGGCTGAAGTGCAGTGGCGTAATCACAGCTTACTGCAGCCTCAACCACCAGGGCTCAAGCGATCCTCCTACCTCAGACTCCTGAGTAGCTGGGATGACAGGCATGCTCTACTACACCTGGTTATTTTATTTTTTTGTAGAGACAGGGTCCCACTATGTGGCCAAAGCTGGTCTCAAACTCCTGGGCTCAAGCGATTCTCCTGCCTTGGCCTCCCAAAGTGCAGGGACTAAGACATGAGCCACTGTGCCCGGCCTATGCCTCAGTTTTGTACTTGACTGCCAAGCTCTTCACACTCATAACACCATTCTTATCATTGTTGTTGTTAATAGTAGTAATAATCATAATGGTAATGATAAGAACAATGGGTTGAGGTTTTGCACTCCTGGTGAGGCAGGACTGAGCTGCATCTTTAAGTGACACTCCCTGCACAGTGGTTCTGGTGCCCTCACTTCCGGTGGGCTCCATTTGCAGTGTGTCTTCAATCTTATTGATTGGATGTGTTGAGCAAAATTCAGAGAAAGTGCTTCACAGAACTGCCCTGGCGGGGCTGCAAAATGGCCACACGAGGCTACCCAGAATGAAGCTACGACTTCTAAGCGGGGAAGGGAATACAGAATTACTCTTCCTTCTGGGCATCCTGGCCGCCCCCTCCTCTGACCTTGTGATGCTCTCTCTCTGTCTCGCTGTCTCTCTCTGACCTCTCCCTTCCCCTGGCACTGACTGATAAGGACAACAGAAGTCTGTTTTTGCCAACCTCATGAGGTCTGTGGTGGCCTAAAGTGACTGTGGGGTCTTGACCCTCAGGTCTCACTAGAGTCAGATATACTGAGAGACCAACTTCCCAACCAGAAATAACTTCAGAGAGACAGGACCAGGCTTCCGGAGTCACAGGACTGAGAGAGACTGAGCCAGCTATTTCAGGAGGTCTTCATAACAGCAGACACAAAAACGGAAGACTGAAAACAGAGAGAGAGTTCTTTCTAGACATAAAAGTCTCAAGCTGAAAACCCTGGGGCTATCTCAGCATCAACTCTTGGTGAGGCGCTGCTGTTCCTCAGGTGTGTGGAGACCCAGAAGACAAGTGCTCCCTCTTTTATGCAGAGACAAGCAGCTGTCTTAGAACTGATGATTAGGCTGTGCGCGTGGCTCACACCTGTAATTCCAGCACTTTGAGAGGCAGGTGGATCACTTGAAGTCAGGCGTTTGAGGCCAGCATGGCCAACATGGTGAAACCCCGTCTCTACTAAAAATATGAAAATTTATCTGGGCATGGTGGTGCATGCCTGTAATCCCAGCTACTCAGGAGGTGGAGGCAGGAGAATTGCTTGAACTCGGGAGGCAGAGGTTGCAGTGAGCCGAAATCACACCACTGAACTCCAGCCTTCCAGCCTGGGCAACAGAGTGAGACTCTGAAAAACGAAACAAAACAAAACAAAATACTGATGACCACAGGAATTATATCTGTGTAGCCACAGATGCGAGCCCTTGGGCGTAAGTTTCTCTCTGTCAGTCTAGGTTCTTCCCATCATAAAGTAAGGAGGTCAGTTGAGATGGTCAGCTCCCACCTCTCCTTCCTGCTTCTGAAACTCACAGATGGATACCCCAAGGTGCCCACGTTCTGATTCAGCCCCACCTGAGGCTGGTTCTTTTCTGTCATCTTGATAGTCTTAGAATTCAATTTTCCTGGGGGTCTGGTGTTACCATTATGAACTATCATTCCCTAGGACTCTTTCACGGCCTTCCAAGACACCTATTAGCCTCTCCTTTGAGGCTAACCAGGCTTGGGCATCCGTCCTGATGAACAGGGGGCCCACTGATGTCATCCCTGTGGAGGGACAGACACTGGCTATTGTGGACACAGAGCTCTGCCTGCCTCAGCCCACACTTGTCCCAGCTTTCTGCTTGCTCCCTGCCTCTTCCTGCCTTGAGGTGTTGCAAGCTAGCCACCAGGATCCGTAAAGGAAATCTAGACATGGCTTTTATTTTTTAATTTTTTTTTTTGAGATGAGGTTTCCCTATGTTGCCCAGGATGATCTCAAACTCCTAACCTCAAGCAGTCCTCCTGCCTCAGCCTCCTGAGTATTGGGACCGAAGGCACGTGCCACCATGCGTGGCTAATTTCCTTTTCTTTTCTAGAGATGGGGTCTTGCTATGTTGCCCAGGCTGGTCTCGAATTCCTGGGCCCAAGAAATCCTCCTGCCTTGGCCTCCCAAAGTGCTGGGATTATAGAAGTGAGCCATTACACCCGGCCTGGAGGTGGGCTTTGAGATCGGATATTAAGCAGACTTACACCAACTTTTCTTTCTTTTAGGTTCTCAAGGCATCTCTTACAAATGTAGAGAAAGCCCTGGCTATGGGCCACGTCTCATTTCCTTGCAGAAACCCCTTCTCTCTGAAATACGGTGGAATGTAAGAATTGCCCATCTGAAGACCTTTGTGTCCTTTTCCAACACTGCTGTTGGAGATGCTGCTCATTGTGTGACCTCATGTCTGTTATATAAAGATCCACTTGATAAATTTCTCCTTAAACACAGTGCCAGGAAAATTTTCTTTTTCCAATCGGATTCCAAAGTTATTGTACAATGAGAAGTATATGAGCCAGTGTGTTTCCCTTTTATCCAGGAAACTCAGTGATAAATCCAGGGTTTAACTGTAGTAAACAACATCCCAGGTGCCTTGAAACGTATTGTTCTCTTTTTACTCTAGCTCATTGGTCCTTGAGTTGTGTTCTGTTTTTAATGTTTCCTTAGACTCCTTTGGGAAATAGTAAGGTGTAAATTTTCTCCAAAAAAAATCCATGCATACAAGCACATATACATGAGACAGATGGCCTCTTCCTGTCCCTTTCTTACCATCACCACTGCTATGTCCCCAGCCCAGGCTAAATGCCAGGCACTGGGAATGCAGTGATGAAAGGCGCTGCCTGTGAATGATTCATGGTTAGTCTATTGCAGGGATAAGCTGGCACAGAAAGAACGCGAATGTAAGGCGGAATAGGGTCAGTGCCGACATCAAGGAACAAAGAAAAAGCTAGAGGGGTTCAGAAGGAGAGCAATTGATTCTGCAAAGAGACATCAGAATGTGGAAGCCTTCTGGGATGGAAGGGAATTTCAACTGGACTGGGAAGGATGGAAAGGATTTTGAAGGCAGAGATAGAGGAGGAACATCTCTGACTGAGAAAACAGTTTGAACAAAGACTTGTTCTGGAAAAAAAGTAAATCGTCCTCCACATTTGGCAAAAACACTAACTGAGTTGGTTGGCAGGTAGGATACATGAAGGAGACAGTGGGAACTGAGGATAAGATTCTTTCACATGATATCTATTTTGCAATTTATAAATGGAATTTGGGTTCAAGCCTGTAGTCCCAGCTACCGAGAGGCTGAGGGAGGAGGATTGCTTGAGCCTAGGAGTTCGAGACCAGCCTGGGCAACAGAGCCAGACCCCATTTCTTAAAAAAAAAAAAAAAAAAAGATCTTGGGTTCAATATGTCCTTTTGTTCAACAACCCTGTGAAGTAGCAGAGGAAATAGGATTATTTCCTGTAATGGATCAGGTAACCCGGTTACAGGGCAGTTAATTCATTCTAAGTGACACAGGCTGTAAGTGAGAAAACCAGCACCAAATTTCACACTAATTTTACTACATTAAGTTTCATCTCTGGAAATCAAGAAGAGGTTTGCAGGGCCAAGCTAGTTGAAGCTCACCGTGGACTAAGAATCAAAGTTGGTTTTTTTTTCCTTTCTTTTCTTTTCTTAAGAGGTGGGTGGGGGTGTTGACAAGGAGGAAAGGGAGGAACCCACAAATGTAATTTCAGCAACAGTTCCCTTAACAACGCCCGCAGATGGATGAATTTCCGCACAGTCTGGTTCTCTGTTCCTTTTCTGTTCCTGAAGAGAAACAATTGAGGGAGTGAGGGATATGCAGTGATGTTTATCTTTCCAGCTCTGAACTTTCAAATTCTGGAATCCCCCAGGGTTGGGGAAGGGTGGGTGTAGTCACTTCCCACCGTTGCAGAGGGATGGGAGATGTAGCAACTCCTGTTGGGGCATGGGGCGGGGTGTGTGATTTCCTCCCAAATCGGAAATTTATCTCCCGAATGGGAGGCTGCAGAGAGTCATCAAGGACTTATCTCCAGGAGCAGACACCAGAGAGGAGCCCTGCCCAATCCTTTACCCCAAAGGGGGCGTGCTTAGCCCGAGGAGGAAGAAGAGGGTTTCCAGCTAAGAGTCAGCACCAAGGGCACCCGCTCTCATTCATGTGTCAATGAAGAATTCCTGCCAGACTTCCAGTACTGTCCTCGACCATGGGCAGAATCCCAGCTGCCCCTCCCAGAACACTCCATGCCACTGGAACTCAGGAGCGCAGGTCAGTTCTGCAATTGAAAGCAAAGGGGAATTTTGGTCCTTTCCTTGGATTGAGTCCAGAATTCTGGGATGAACAGCTCAGCTCCTAGAAATTATGCTCTGGAATTTCCAAAAGCTCAACAAATAGCCCCAACATGCAGGGTTGTCTGTTGAGATGAAGCATCCTTTTACTACCCTTAGAACATTACAACAGGAAGGAAGTCCCATCCCTTTTTTATAGATGAGGAAACTGCAGGTTAGAGAGGCTAAATATATATTAAATCAAGCATATTAATTCTAGTATTTAAATTTTCTAAGTGCTTATTTTATTTTAAATCTGTTTTATTAGACCTAAAGGTAGGTAAATCTTCCTCTCCTACTATCTTCCTCCTCACGTATATTTCCAAAGGTTTTTTTTCCCTATATTTATACAAGTAATTAGCTTCCGTCCATTTGTTTCATCACCTATAAAATAGGAATGATCTTTGCCTCATAGATGCATGAGTATTAAAGTACATAAGATAATACATGTACGGCATTTAAAGCAGTTTGCAAACACTCAATAAGTGTTATAAGAGGAGAAAATTTCCACTTAAAACTTCTTCCACCTTCTCTGCCTGTCTGCATCCCAGGTTTTTGGTATAGTCTGGGACTTTTGACAAAGTTTAATGCTCGTTACCATACTGATGTATTTTTTTTCTCCAAGAATTATTTAACATCTGCATTATTTTGAAACTGTATTCATAATACTTATTTCATCTTAGTTCTAAGTTTAAATTATTTCAGTGCTGATTATCTGTCCTACTGTAATACAGTCTTCTATTATAGAGTTCTTTATTTTGACGTACAGATCAACTGCATAGTATTTTTATGGAAAGGTACGGCAGAGGCATATTGAGACCTTACAGATACCTTAGAGTGTCTTTCTATTGCTTTAAATAATGAACAATGGATGACTTCTTGGGGTTTGAAATCTTGCTTTGCAAACTTTCCCCCTCAGAATTTTATGTAGCTGCTGGAGTACACTGAGGCTAGCTCCATTTTTCTTCCATTGCCTACAATTTTCTACATGCCTAGATAATAATAGGCATCTTCCTTTATCCTTGAAATAAAAAAATTATCTACTTTTTATCTCTTAAGAATTCTCATTCTTAACAAAAAGAGGTTTAAGTTGGCCAGGTATTTCCTTTTCCTCTCTCTCTCTCTTTTTTTTTTTTTTTAAGAGACACAGGCTCGCCATGTTGGCCAGGCTGTTCTAGAACTCCTGGGTTCAGGCAATCCTCCTGCCTTGGCCTCCCAAAGTGCTAGGATTACAGGAGTGAGCCACCATGCCTGGCCCCAGAATATGTCTTTGTGTCATCCTTTGGTCCTCACTGGATTTGTCCTCCTGCATGCTAGTAGCTCCTCTCATTTTCCTCCAGGTAGAGGGCTGGCTGGTTAAGTCTGTGTTACTAGTTCAATAACTTGGCCACCAACTTGGCTGGCTTGAGGAAGGAGTTTAGAAAATCCCTAGATGTGTATGCTTGGTTTTGTTTTTGATAATGCTGCTTTACTGGGGCAAACATTCCACATCTCATTTCTGATCAATCCAGCCTTCCTTCTGTGAATGGGTCCTGGCAAGGTTGGCAATGGAAATATTTAACAACCTGCCCTGACTAATCAGGAATAGGCAGAGGTAGTGTTGAGGCAGAGGCCTAGAAGCCCCTCTTGTGCCAAATATTTACCCTTTGTTAAATAAAGGTGGTGGTGGTGGCTGGGTGCCGTGGCCTGTCATCCCAGCACTTTGGGAGGCTGAGTCTATTGGATCACCTGAGGTCAGGAGTTTGAGACCAGCCTGGCCAACATGGTGAAACCCTGACTCTATTAAAAATACAAAAATTAGCTGGGTGTGGTGGCAGGCACCTGTAATCCCGGCTACTTGGGAGGCTGAGGCGGGATAATCACTTGAACCCGGGAGGTGGAGGTTGCAGTGAGCTGAGATCACACCACAGCACTCCAGCCTGGGTGACAGAGTAAGACTCTGTCTCAAAAAAAAAAAAAAAAAAAAAAAAAAGATGGTGGTGGTGGTGGGGTGATTCGTGAGTGATCTGAGAGGGAGAGGCTGGGAATGTTATTATAGTAGGGAGCATGCAGGAGGCTCTGGGCAATAGCTCTTTGCCGACCAGCATGGAAGTATAACAATGCATTAACACTCAAAGAGCCAGCCAGTGCATCTAGTGATGTCAGACTGAAGTCCAGCCCACAGTGTCAGGGACAATTCCTGTGGAGCTGGCCCCCAGGTGCTCTGTCAGTGTCTCTACTTGCTGTTGTCCTCTGGCAGGGATGCTTTGCAATGCTGTTTGATTGCAATGACATCCCCCCAAACTCAGAATCAGGATGGTTGTCTGACATTCTCCAGGAATCTAATCATGTGCCTGGCCAACTGACCTCACTACCTCACTGCAGACTACACCACCACCCTCTTCCAGGACAAAAGGTGTAGCTCTGAGGGTACACTTGGAGACGGCAAGTACCATCTGTAATATTGAACTGAGATTGGCATTTAGTTGTTATTGAATTTCATCATTCCCTGGAATTGAGCCAAAGAGTGGCTCTATCATGTGGCAGCCAAACTGTTAGGAGAATGGTGCCAAGTAGTGCAAATTTGTTCAGCACAAATAGCAATTGTGCTCAGAATATTCTCACACAAGGAGAGGATCAGGAAAAGAGTGGTTCTGATCTAGGTCCCTGAGCTGCTGGGTGAGGGCTGGGTCTGAGAACGTATCAGGACCAGGCCACGTTCACGTTTTCTAGGCCAGTTCCAGCACAAGACCTTTTGCAGAAAATTCAAGGGGAGGTGATCTATGCAGAGTGTTATGTAAATCCAGTCATAGAAGTGGGTCACAGGGCCCAGTGCTGTGGCTCACACCTATAATCCCAGCACTTTGGGAGGCCAAGGCCGGGAGATTGCTTGAGCCCAGGAGTTCAAGACCAGACTGGGCAACATAGCAAGACTTCTGTCTCTACAAAAAAAAAAATAAAAAATTAGTTGACGTGGTGGTGCACATCATTTCAGCTACTTCAGAGGCAGAGGTAGAAGGGTTGCTTGAGTCCAGGAGGTGAAGGCTGCAGTGAGCTGTGATTGCATCACTGCCCTCCAGCCTGGGCAACAGAATGAGATCCTGTTTCAAAAAAATTAAAAAGTAAGCCACAGATATTTTATAGATATGTGTATTTCTTCTGCAGAGGGCAGGCTGGTATCTGTGGCAGGCAAACCCAAAGAGACACCGGCTTAGCTTGCAGATACCTCAAGCCCCAGGACTCACATGCCAGGACAGATGATAGGACAAGAAATGTAGTTGATGTTGGATCATTACGTTGGGTATTAATTTGGAAGGGAAGAATTTGATCTATGGGGTTGAATCAATGAGGAAGTTTTATAGACATAGAACATCCAAAAGATTGATAATAAAGGAGGATTTTGGAGAGTCTGCCAGACAAGCCTTTAAAATGTACCTGGGTTGAAAGACCAAATATCTTAGCCTCACTGAAGGGCAGCCGCTGGAGAAAGAGAAGACCGAGGAAGCACATGATGATGATGATGATGATGGTGATGATGGGCAACTTTTATTGAGCACTTAGTATGAGCCTGGCACTGCTCACGTCAAATTTATATGTATTAACTCATTAACTCATTTACTTGTTGCAGTAAGTGAACAAAATAGATAGTATTACTGTAGTGTTGTGATAAAGACTGGTTTTCATCTATGATTCCTGGCTCATAACTCCCATAACACAAGTTACAGGCTTTTGTTATAATGCTGGATGTGTTTGGCCTCAGGAAACAGAATCTCCTGCCCTCCTTTCACTTGCCCCAAGGCAGGACTCTAGTCTTTCCCCACCCTTCTGATTGGAGTCTCAAGATCCTCCCCAGGGAGGATCCCACCCTATATCCTGGAGAAAGGATTGGGGACCTTATGAACCTTCCATAAAAACTCAAGAGGAAAACAAAAAAAACCCAAGAGGACTGTGAATTTGGGGAGCTTATGAATAGAATAGCTGACCACCTGGAGGTTCCTGGAGGGTGGTGTGCCCAGGAAGGGCATGGAAGCGCCGCGTCCCGTCCCCCATAGCTCGCCATATGCATTTCTTCACCTGTATCCCTTGCAGTACTCAGTATAATAAGCTACTACCTGTGTTTACCTGAGTTCTGTGAGCTGCTCCAGCAAATCTCAAACCTAGAGGGGATTATGGGAATCCCAACTTGAAGCCAGAAGGTCACATGCTCTGGAGGTCTGAACTTGCAACTGGTATCTGGCTTGAGGGGTAGTCTTGGGAACTGAGTCCTCAGTCCATGGGTTCTGACACTATCTCCGGATAAATAGTGTTGGAATGAATTGGAGGGCACCTAGCTGGTGTCCGCTGCTTGGTGAATGGGGGAAAACCCCCTCATGTTTGGTCACAGATGTCCTCTTCTATGTTGATGGTTATTGTGGTGGTATGAGAGGTGAGGAAAAACATGATTTCAGAGAGTTTTTCCCTAAATAATTACTATCCCCATTTTCCAGATGGGAAAATAGAGGCACAGAGAGGAGAACAAAAACTGCTCAAAGGTGACAGAGCTAATAAGTGATGGAGCTGGTTGTCAAGTGCTTTTCCACTAAAGAAAAAGAATGGGCAGCCTTCTAATTAAGTAATGAAAATCAAAATTTTTTTCTGCAAGGCAGAGAAAGTAGCAGTAGAATTCAGCATGGAAAACAGGGACTGGTTCAGTCAAATGCTGCCAGGAGGCATCCACAGACAGGAGCTTTTAGCCAACTTCAGTTTTCGCCTTCAATTTTCCCTCTAGTGCAGTGAAGCTGGGAAGAGACTAGAAAGCTGTGACAGTGAGCATGGGGCAGTAGGGACTGCTTCCTAGGCCTTACCCAGGTCGTCTGAACTGAACAGGAGCGGGCCAAAGTTCTGGCAGCTACTTTAAAGACAGCAAGTATTCCACAAGGAGCTGCAAGGAAGGTATCCTCTCCCATGAGTGGGACTTAGGCTGTGCCAAAGGGATATGGTATCCAAGGGAGTTACAAGGCATCCTTTTGATCTTATTTGGAAGGTTCTAGAAAGATTGCATTTGGATCTCACAGGCTGAGGAAATATATAAAAGAATTCTTTCCAAATATCTTATATCTAAGTCTTAAGTTATTCCAATCTGAAAGTGTGGAAAAATCATCCCAAATGCCACTAGTCAGAGGTTATTTCCAATCCCAATCTGGAAAACATTCTTCCAGGCATCCCTGTAGGCTTCTATACATGGGTATAAAATTTTACATAAATGGCACCTACTGTATATGATATTCTCTAGTTTGCTATTTATATGGCATGTTGGTTTTCTAGGGCTGCTGTAAGAAATTGCCACAAACTTGGTGGGTTAAAACAAGGGAAATATATTCTCCTATGGTTCTAGAGGCCAGAAACCTGTTACCAAGATTTTGGCAGGGTTGGTTCCTTCCGGTGACTCTGAGGGAGAATCTGTTCCATGCCTCTTCTGGCAGCTTCTGGCGATCCTTGATGTTCCCTGTCTTGTAGCTGTGTCACCTCAATTTTTTGTCTTTCTTTTCTTTTCCCTCCCTCCCTCCCTTCCTTTCTCCCCCATACCTTTCTCCCCCCTCCCCTCCCTCCCTCCCTCCCTCCCTTCCTTCCTCCCTCCCTTCCTTTTTTCCTCCCTCACTCCCCCTCCTCCTTTCTCCCCCACCCTCCCCCCTCTTTCTTTCTCTCTCTCTCTCCTTCCTCTTTCTCTTTCTTTCTTTTTCTTTTTTCCTTCCTTTCTTTTCCTTCCTTTCTTCCTTTCTTTCCTTTCCTTCTTCTTTTCTTCCCTCCTTCCCTCCTTCCTTCTTTTCCTCCTTCCCTCCTTCCTTCCTTCTTCCCTTCCTCCATTCTTCCCTCACTCCTTCTCTTCTTTCTTTTCTGAGACGGGGTCTCACTGTGTCACCCAGGCTGGAGTGCAGTGGCCCAATCACAGCTCACTGCAGCCTTGACCTGCCAGGCTCAAGCAATTCTCCCACCTCAGCTTCTGAGCCAAGCAGTCAGTGGCCACTGGAGAGGTTGGTTGGCAGAAGTGGAGGGATAGCAACTTATCTGAGACAAATAGAGGAGGGTTTCCTGCAATTCTGGGGAAACTGAGACCTGCCTATTGCAGCAGCTCATGACTAATGTATTAACACTTCCGGGCTGCTATGAGATCCAGATGGACAGGCATTTGAAGGCTGACGCAGGCAGAAGATTATTAAGTCCACGTGATGTGCAAACACAGGTTTTGGAGGATGGGTAGCTGTGTATTTCCAGTGAATAAAATTTATGATAATATGAGTGTTTGTACTGTACTACAGATGGTCCCAGGAGTGTGAAAAAGAAACTGAACAATTCACTGATGTGGCAGGTGCTTTCAAATATCCCCTTGTCTATCAGGCATTGTCGCTGGGGCTAAGGCTATGTCGATGAAACAAAAAGACCCCTGTCTTTATGGGGCTTACACTAGTCCAAGTTGCTCATTGCTAAGAAAAATTGCCCATAATAGGGATTTGCAGAGAAAATGCAAAGTGTCATGAGAACCAGGGAGTAGCAGACAGCTTAATCTGGGCTGGGGATGTTGCTGAGGGAGATGACTTCTAAGATGGTCTTGATAGATGAGTAGAAATCACACGGAGAAGAAGGGTCTTGAGAAAGTAAATTCAAATAGAGTTAAAAGCAAGGGCAAGAAAGACATAGTTTGGGGGAGTCTCAAGGATTTTGATATTTTTAGAACATAATGTGAAACAGGATTATTTGCAGGAGTGAAACCTAAGACTATTGCAAGTAGACAATAATTTAATAGGCTTCCGACATCAGACTGACGGGGTTTCACCGTGTTAACCAGGATGGTCTCGATCTCCTGACCTCATGATCCGCCTACCTCGGCCTCCCAAAGTGCTGGGATTACAGGCATGAGCCACCGTGCCCGGCTGGCTTTTAACCTCGGTGTTTATTACAGTGAGAGAAGATGTATCATTAGTTCCAGAAGCAAAGGTTTACAACTCCCTTTGGAATCAGAGACCCACTTGTAAACTGGAGTCTTCTGAACTGAGCCTGGAGAACACCTTGCTGTCACTGCATCATTTTTCTAGTCACAAATCAGAAGCTGTACCCACGAATTGCCACATGAGGGCACACTTGCCCAATTATGAAATTAAACACGCTCTTTCAAAGGTCAGGGAAGCCCTTGTCCTAAACATTTCTTCTGGATGAGACATTACTTTTGAGCATGAGAAACAGCCCAGTGTGGCTGTGTGGTGGCTCAAGCCTGTAATCCCAGGACTTTGGGAGGCCGAGGCGGGTGGATCACTTGAGCCCAGGAGTTCAAGACCAGCTTGAGCTACATAGCAAGACCCCATTTCTACAAAATATTTAAAAATTAGCCGGGCGTGATGGTGTGCACCTATAGTACTAGCTTCTCAGGAGGCTGAGGTGGGAGGATTGCTTGAGCCAAGGAGTGCAAGGCTACAGTGAGCTGTGATCACACTATGACACTCCAGCCTAAATACAGCAAGACCCTGTTTCAAACCAACCAAAACAAAAAACAAGCCCAATGCGACTATCTAAAACCTGCAAACATCTGCTGAATGAGGTGCCTGGAGGAATTTGAGCAGAAAACTGGTTCCCATTCTTGGTCTGCTGTCAGACTTTTCATAATAATAAGCAGTAGTATTTACCGAGTACTCACTGTGTCCTAGGTACTGTGCCAATGTGTCACACACGTCATCTTACATACATATCCACACTCATCATATAACGTGAGTGAGGTTATTTCTCCATTTTACAGATGAGGCAACTAAGTCATAGACTGTGATTCCACCCAAGGTTTACACAGCAGGTGAGTGCTTGGTTCTGCCATTTGGATTGAGAATATCTGACTCCAAAGCCTGTGATTTAAATTACAGAGGCTGGGCACAGTGGCTCATGCCTGTAATCCCACCACTTTGGGAGGCCGGGGTGGGCGGATCACCTGAGGTCGGGACTTTGAGACCAGCCTGGCCAACGTGGAGAAACCCCATCTCTCCTAAAAATACAAAATTAGCCAGGTGTAGTGGCGTGTGCCTGTAATCCCAGCTACTCAGGAGGCTGAGGCAGGAGAATTGCTTGAACCCAGGAGGCGGAGGTTGTGGCGAGCCGAGATCATGCCATTGCACTCCAGCCTGGGCAACAAGAGTGAAACTCAGTCTCAAATAAATAAAATAAAATAAAATAAATAAACAGAGCTGGTCATATAATATTGAATTATTTTCTAACCTCTTGTAACGGAAGTACCCAAATAAAACTGATGTGTATAAACATGGTCTGAGACCCACAAATGCTATGAACACATGAGGAAGGCTTTATTTTTCAATGTTTTCTTTCTCCTTTCCTCCCCTCTTATCACATTTTTTTTTTTTGATGGTGGGTTTTAGTTCTGACTCCCATGTTAACTTATGTTTTCCCATACTATCTCTGCACTTCCGTTTCCTCGTCTGTGAAACTGAGACACACCCTATCTTCTCCCATCAGCTTAAGGGAACCGGAGAAGCTGACGGTTTGGGGAAATGAGTCTGCCTTGATACCCTTCTGTGCACATTCATCCAGTATCTTTAAGTTCCTGGAAATGGTCTCTTTCTTAACTTTACCCTATTGTACTGTAAGTGAATAATTGCATTGCTTCCAAACCTTTTATAATTGCTGACTTTTAAATTGCAGAAAAATAGAAATGGACCCAAACAGATTCATTCTTGTTGCATTCTGAATCTTATATTCAATATGTGAAATGCTTTTATTTATATTTTTCTGAAGCCATAAGGGCCAGCATTTTTTTTTTTTCCCAACCAGCAACAGGAGATGAATGGGTCAATGAGAATCAGATGAGTGTTCCCACAGTTGTGGCCAGATAAGGGGTAGGAAGTAGAAAAGGCCCTGGACAAAAAGTCAAGTGACATTAATTCTAGCCCCTGCTCTTCCTCCTGAGGGGCTTGTGGTCCTCAAGGGTTTGGACCCACTCTGGGCTTTTATTTTCTCAGCTGTAAAATTAGAAGGGCCAAACTAGATCGGTGGTTTTCAATCTATGCTCTACAGATTCTTAGGGCCCTCTGGTGGGGCAAGGTGGAAGTTTTGGCCCCAACTCACCCTTTGAGTCTATCATAAGACCACCCTTTTTAAATCTGTGAGGCAACTTCAAAAGTTCTTGGGAAAATGTAATTAAAAGGTAAAAATAAAAAATATAAGCTTTATTTCTCAACATAACCTCCATCATATTCAAGACACTTTTGTAAGCAATGTTACCAGCCATTTAGTCCAGCTGTAAAGAATTGAGGTTCCTGGGAATTTAACCATGTCAATGCTGTCTTTTTTACATTATTAACTGAAGAAAAAAGGGTTTCCTTTAAAAGTTTTTCAAGATTCGGAAACAAAAAGAGGTCAGAAGGAGCCAAATCAGGACTGTAAGGTGGATGCCTAATGATTTCCCATTGAAACTCTCACAAAATTGCCCATGTATGATAAGAGGAGTGAGCAGGAGCATTGTCACGGTGGAGAAGGGCTCTCCAGTGAAGCTCTCCTGGGTGTTTATCTGCTCATGCTCTGGCTAACTTTCTCAAAACACTCTTATAATGAACAGATGTTATCATTCTTTGGTCCTCCAGAAAGTCAACAAGAAAAATGCCTTGAGCATCCCAAAAAACTCTTGCCATGACTTTTGCTCTTGACTGGTCCACTATTGCTTTGACTGGGCCACTTCCACCTCTTGGTAGCCATTGCTTTGATTGTGCTTTGTCTTCAGGATCATACTGGCAAAGCCATATTTCATCTCCTGTTGCAGTTCTTCAAAGAAATGCTTCAGGATCTTAATCCCCCTTGTTTAAAAGTTCCATTGAAAGCTGTGCTCTTGTCTGCAGCTGAGCTGGGCACAATGGTTTTGGCACCCATCAAGTAGAAAGTTTGTTCAACTTTGCTTTTTTCGGTTAGAATTGTATGTGCTCCAGCCTGGGCAACATAGTAAGACCCTGTCTCTACAAAAAATTTAAAAATTAGCTGGGTGTGGTGGTGTATGCCTGTAGTCCCAGCTATTCAGGAGGCTGAGGCAGGAGGATCACTGGAGTCCAGGAGTTTGAGGCTGTGATGACCTATGATTGCACCATGGCACCCCAACCTAGATGACAGGGTAAGACCTTATCTCAAAAAAGAATTGCGTAAGTTACCAATTGAGATGTCTATGATGTTGGTTATTGTTTCTACTGTTAATGTCAATTCTCTTTAATCAGGGCATAAAGAAGATAATATTTTTCCTTCCAAATTGATGTGGATGGTCTACCACTGCAGGCTTCATCTTCAACATTGCCTCATCCCTTATTAAAATTAATTATTCATTTTTAAACTGCTGATTTCTTTGGGGCATTATTACCATAAACTTTCATAAAGCATCAGTGATTTCACCATTTTTCCACCCAAATTTCTGCATAAATTTGATGTTTGTTCTTGGTCCAATTTTAGCAGAATCCATGTAGCTCTGATACGAGATCTTTGCAAACTGATGTCTTATCCTTCTTAGTGCCTCAAAATAGATCCTGTTCAGACATTCAGTACAGGTTAGTGTGAGTTTGTTTTGGTGCAAAATTTTTTTAAATCCATGTATAGTTTTTTCATAAGATGTGTCTTCCATGAACTTTTTGAAGACCTCTCATATTTGTTTTATGTAATTGAATTCTGTCTTGCTTTTGTTTAAAAGAAGTCTCCCCTGCTTAAAAGGGGGCAAAAATTTAAAAAATTTTCTGGTGATTTTGAAGGACAGCATCCTCCTATAACGAAAATATCAGTTAAAGGTCTCTATGTTTTTTGATATCTAGAATAAATGACTTGAAGCCCCCCACTCCCTCCATCCCCTTTATGCCACTTAGAAGTCTGAAACCCTCCCCAGGATATCTGTGAATTTCCAGGAGGGTGCTGTTCTCCTGGTCACCCTTGCCTCTGGGTGCTTCTGGAGAATGCATCACCACAGATGGGAAACTTCATTTCTTTTCACTCTCTTAGGCAGACTGAGACTAAACACTACTCTGGGTCCATGCCGGCATTCCCATACCCACCAGAGTGTTAACTACAAAAGGGTTTCCCTTTTTAGAAGCCAGTGGAGAAAGTAAATAGTAAGAAATCTCTTCCGCTCTCAGGATTTCATAGTATAAGCAGGCATATTACCCAAGTGGTCAGCTTCGGTGGAAGGGGACTGGAGACTGACCACCAGATGATCAAGGGCACTAAAAAGGGGATGCAAGACCTTAGGCTCATAGTCCTGTTCCTGGGGACGAATGCTGGGCTCTGGTGGCCATGCTGGGCTGCGGAGAAGCAAAGGTGCATTGTTGGTGTGATATTCTTTCCCCCAGGGGTCTGCTAGAAGCTGAAGGCAAAAATAGATGGAGACAAAAAAGACTAGGAGACCCTTTCTATGTAGAGACATCACTCTATGTTCTTTGCAGAGAATAGGAATACGTGCCTTTGATCAGATGAGCTATTAAAAAATGATTATGTAGTTCTGTTAAACTGGATTATTTTCAATATCCTGTCTGCTTTTTCAAAGGACTGTTATTTAGTGGGAAAACATTGCTGAATTCCTTTCAGAGAAATCCTCCCTGTACTGACCCTTCGGCAACACACCTTACACATGTAACTACTTGTTCAGAACAGTCTTCTCCTTCTGACTCTCCACAAAGGCGGGGACCATGAGTATCTTATTTCCCACTGCATCCAGAAGGCTGAGCACAGTGCTTGACGCACAGTGAATTTTGGTTGAATGAACAATTGAAAGGATTTGCCCATTGCAGTGTCATTTTTCCAAGACCTGACAATATCACTTTTGATTCTTTTCTTATTTAGTTCCACCTCCTTATCCCCGCTGCCACTGCTTAAGTCAGCACACGGCATCACCTCTCCTGGGGCTATCTTTAACTAGGCTTCCTGACCCCCTACCCTGGCCTGTCTGCTTTAAATCCAGGCAATGGCCTGTAGCCCCAGCAACCTTCCGAAAGCTCTACTCTCTGTCCCTTGTCAATTTCCTCTTCTGAAAGTTTCAGGGGCTCTCCACTACTTGCAGAAGAAAACCACCAACTCTTGCCTCGATGCTGAAGGTACTTTCCCATCATCTCCCCTCTGCCTCTCATCACCCTGTGTCCCTCCTGGCCCTTGCTTTCTTGCTTCTGTGCTTGGCCTCATCCTCCTTCCTCTGCCTGGAAAGTGCTTACCTCTGTTCTTGCATCTGCATGTCCAAATCCTATTCATCATTTCTATTATTATGTCATTTAAGTTTCAAAAAGTCTCTGAGTCATTGTTCCTTAAATAGCAGTTTTAAAAGGTGATTCTAAAGAAAAGGATTTGATGTTGAAATTAGCTTAGGAAGTGTTGTATGGATTATTGCCATTTTGTAGATTTATAGTGCAGGCCATTAATTCAAGGATCTGAGAAGATCTGCAATCAAGAAACCTATTTAACTCAGCATTTCTCAAATTTATTTGACCATAGAACCCTTTCCCCTTTCACACCTATTAACATATTGCAGATTATTTTGGAAATACTTTCCCGAGAGTTACCAGTAATATCTTTAATCTGTTTTTAATGATGAAGATGCTGAGGCTCAGAGACAAAAATACTTGCGCAAGCCGAGTGAAAGGAGCTTCAATCTGTTTTTTTTTTTTCTTTACTACACTGTGATGACTTACATTTGTCATCCAACAAGAACTTTTAAACTTTCCGAACTATGGAAAGTAAGACAATAGCCTGTATTTATCTTTCCTAATATCTGAATTTTGTCCCACTTCTCTTTTCTAAAAATGATTATTCCCAAGTTTTTCTTTCACTTTTCTTTCCTGCCAGATGTTTTACAAGTAATGAAAGGCTCCAATTAAATTTTCCCAAGAGCTTCATCAAATAATGAAAACAATACATAGAGCATGTTATATCTTTATGAACTTAAAATTAAAACATAATTTTGAGATTACATATAGGTATAATAAAACTATATAAAAAGAAAAGCAAGTGGATAATGAACACAGGATTTAGGAGATGGTTACCTTGGCTGGAGGTAGGGAGGGATGGGGAATGAAAGACTCTTATATTTAGATGTAGATTATTATCAAGATCTTAGCTTTTATTTTGGGGTTATAGGTTTACAAGTGCTTATTACATTATTTAAAAATAACCGGCTAAATAACTAGAGGACCACTGCTGAGAGTGTGTCATAATCCAATTTAATGTACCTGAGACCCTAAAATAAATACATAAATCATAAAAAAGAAAACAATAGCAAATTAAGTTTTCTAGTATATAGCTAGTTTATGTCAAAATAATACTTTTAAAGCGAGGTGAGTGGTGGCCTGATTTTAAGGGGATATTTATTGCTAAGTAATACTGAGTAAATTGCACAGCATCCAATAATGTATGAGTGCATTTCTGTTTTAATCTTGGCTTTGAGAGTTTTTGAGGAATGTAAATTTAAAACTTGATATAATCACATGTAAAATGAATATTTTATGATAAAAAGAGTAAAAAGTAATAAAAGGAGAATTTAAAAAATCCCTTGCATATTTATTATTTTATTATCACCTGGCTTTTAAATTCATCTGCGTTGTAAGTTGTGAGATGATTCTTTATGTTACTTTGTTTATCTTGTTAAGATTCATTTGGGGAGTCAAGGGACTCTGCTCATGCCCAAGTCTGTGCCCTCTAATGAGTAACACCAGAGACTGCACAGTGTCCAGGAAATAGACTTCAGCAAACTAGTCTAGCCAAGGTCACTGGAGTGTTTTCCAACACTAACAACCAATTATTGATTCTCCAGACACCAACTGGGTGTCCAACAATTAAATTCCACTCTGACATTAACTACCTGGAGTTAGTGTCAGATTTCACAGGCTAAAAGCGTTCGGTTTTACAAGACTGCCTTCACTTCAGATGCCAAGTGCAAGTCCTGGGCCACCCATACTTCTGGCTGTAAAATCAGGAGTTCCCATGGCCCCCTCCTCAAGTTCAATTATTTGCTAGAATGACTCATAGAGCCAGGAAAGTACTCTGCGTTTACTGATTTATTACAAAGGATGTTATAAAGGATACAACTCAGTAACAGCCAAATGGAAGAGATGCATAGGGTAAGGAGTGAGGAAAGGGGTGCAGAGCTTCCATGACTTTTCTGGGTGCCACCTTCCCAGCACCTCGATGTGTTCACCAGCCCAGGAGCACATCAACATTTATTGTTCAAGAGTTCTCTCAGAGCTTAATCTCCAGCCCCTCACCTTTCTTCTTGGAGCTGGGTCAGTGGAGCTAAAAGTCTCCACTCTCGAATCACTTGGTCCTTCTGGTGGCCAGTCCCATCACGAGGCTATCTAAGGGCTCCACCCTAAGTTACCTGATTCGTATAAATTCAGTGTGATCAAAAGGAGCTTATTATGAATAACAAAAGACATTCTCATCATTCAGGAAATTCCAAGGGTTTTAGGAGCTCTGTGCCAAGAACAAAGAAGAAAAACCAAATATGTTTCTTATAATACCACAGTTGCCAAACAAATATACTAGCAAACAAGCAAACAAAAACAATGAGCCCTGGGCATGGAGAAAAAATAGACAGAGCTGCTACAACATACAGGCATACCTCAGAGATAACGTGGGTTTGTTTCCAGACTGCTGCACTGAAGCATATATTGCATTAAAGTGAGTCACATAGATTTTTGTTTTCCCAGTGCATATAAACATTTATACTTACACTATACTGTGGTCTATTAAGTGTTCAATGGCTTTATGTCTAAAAAATGTACATATCTTAATTTAAAAATAGTTTACTGCTAAAAAATGCTTAGAGCCATTTGGGCTTTCAGTGAGTTGTAATCTTTATGATAGTGGAGGATCTTGCCTTGCTGTTGTTGGCTGCTGACTGTTGAGGGTGGGGGTTGATTAGGGTGGCTATGGCAATTTCTTAAAATAACACAACAAAGAAGTTTGCCACATTGATTGACTCTTCTTTCACATGTCAATCTAAACAAACAGAGAGAGGCTCTCTGAAAGAAAAGATGTATGTTTGGGGATAGAACATCGCAATGGGAATATGCATGTCATAGTAAACTAAGTGCATATTCATGGAGGTAGAGGAAGACGAGGGTTTTTGTTTGTTTGTTTGTTTTAAGACGGAGTCTCGCTCTGTCGCCCAGGCTGGAGTGCAGTGGCGCGATCTCGGCTCACTGCAAGCTCCGCCTCCCGGGTTCACGTCATTCTCCTGCCTCAGCCTCCCGAGTAGCTGGGACTGCAGGCACCCACCACCACGCCCAGCTAATTTTTTGTATTTTTAGTAGAGACAGGGTTTCACCATGTTGGTCAGGATGGTCTCTATCTCCTGACCTTGTGATCCGCCCACCTCGGCCTCCCAAAGTCCTAGGATTACAGGCGCAAGGGTTTTTAAAATAAAAAAAATGAGGATTGCATAATTGTTTTGAAACAATTATCCTTGGCTAAAAAGATCGATAACAAGGGTGATGCCAAGTCCAAGGTGGGACAGGCAGTTGTTGGGAAGATGTTTTTGCAGAAGGATTTTTTGTATAAGTTTGTGACGACTTTTGTGCAAGGTTGTGGTTTGTGCAGTCTTTTTTATTATCAGGCATACAAGCATGAAAACTCTTTCTTCATGGCCTTCTCTGGCTCTACTTGTCAGGGAATTTTTTCTTTTTTTAGCATTAGTGACTCCATTTTGATTCTGATAACTTTCACATTTCCCGTTTTTGATCAATATCTTTTTCCAAAAGCATCACTGAACAATCAACCTGTAGTTAGGTTTTGATGTCTCTGGATGCTGGGATGAACCTGTTCCAGTGGTTGGTCTTGTGTCACACTGGGAGCAGTGGAGGGGGGTAATTGGTCACTAGTAGTCAGTGTCAAAACCCTTTTAGCTACATTTGCGTAAAGAGGAAGGTTGGAGGAAGTGGCTTTAAGTCAAGTCTGCTAGAATCCATTACTAAGCTCAATTTTGCAATTATGTCAAAGTGCTGAGCCAGTATTATTTCGTACTTCTGAAGACATTTAATAAATAACAGATCCAAAGTTTAAAAAGGGAAAATACAAAGTAAAAATTAATAATTATATGACAAAATTCTAGTTTGCATAATGGGTTTCAGCTAGAACCTAGGCTTTTGTTTTTCATTTGTTTTGAGACAGGGCTCACTCTGTCACTGCAGCTGGAGTGCAGTGGAGTCATTGCCTCTCACTGCAACCTCAATCTCTCAAGCTCAAGTGATCTCTTATGGTCAGCCTCCCAAGTAGCTGGGACTACAGCAGGTACCACTGTGCCTAGCTAATTAATTTTTTTTTTTTTTTTTTAACAGAGACAGGGTTTCACTATGTTGCCCAGGCTGATTGCGAGCTCCTGGGCTCAAGCAATACTCCCACCTCAACCAGAATCTAGGCTTAAAGACAATTAATTGAATGAATCAAATGACTATAGGGAATAAGTGAGACCTGTTGTAACCATGTGGCCTGTTTTCTTATGTTGTAAACATAAGTCTGAACTTTTCCAGAGAAGAATGTGTTTAGGTACAGCATGTAGTATTAGCAACAGTACAGACGTTTTCTTATTTAACCAGTGGTTACTAAAGGATTTCTTAGAGTAGGTTCCGTTAGGTTACCAGCTATTAACTGTGGAATTTCGGTTACACCATTTCACTTGCCAAGTGAAAAAGGTTACATTAAGGGAGGTAAAAGTCTCATTATGTTATGGAGTCATTTCTTTTTTAAAAATTTTATTTTATTAAGAACAAATTTTTTGAGATGGATTCTTGCTCTGTTGCCCAGGCTGGAGTGCAGTGGCACAATCTTGGCTCACTGCAGCCTCCGCCTCCTGGGTTCAAGTGATTCTCCTGCCTCAGTCTCCCAAGTAACTGGGACTACAGGCGCACGCCATAACGCCCAGCTAATTTTTTTTGTATTTTTGGTAGAGATGGGGTTTCACCATGTTGGTCAGGCTGGTCTCAAACTCCTGACCTCAGGTGATCCACCCGCCTCAGCCTCCCAAAGTGCTGGGATTACAGGCTTGAGTCACTGCGCCTGGCCTGGAGTCTTATTTCAACATCTTGGGAAAAGCTGTTTATGGTGTGAAAACATCAACTTTTTCCCCTGGTTTGTAGTGTGAGTATCTCTGGTCATGACATTGGGTGGCTTGGTGAGTTTTTTGTGTGATTCATACACCGAGCATGAGGCTTGTTTCTTAAAATTTGTCTAGTTTCAGCTTGTAGGGCTTTAGGAATAGGGCAACTTTTGTTTTTAGTTGGAGAGTTGTAGCCAAATATTAGAGAAAATTAGGAGAATTCAGGGTCTAGTCTAGTCTACAGGTAGATAATGAGAACTTGTAAACAATTCACAAGGCTGCAATCCAATACAGATGGCTTATAGTGTTGTTTTTGGAAAACTAACCTTTTCTCTCTGCACTGATCACTTAGGAATCTCATATTAAAAAACCTTTTGGGGCTAGGAATCCATAGGAAGGCAGACTTTAGATTTTTACATACAGTTTTAAGGTTCTTGGACCTGCCAGGAAGTGACAATTTTTACTCACTGTGAGGCTGGGAACTCTGGAAGCCAGGCATTTTCTGCACATTCTTAAATATGATATTTTAGTCAAAATCTTGGTAATATAACCAATGTTTCCAATTGTATCATACTTATAAAGAGATTATACATATATATATAATATACACTATATATATTCAGTGTTAAGATTTTATTTTCAAAGCTTTTTTGTTGTACAGAAAGTAAAAATGCTGTCGCAATCTCAGTGTAATTGGTAGCCACAGATGGTTGACTCACCAATCACAGCTATCCACGCTACAGCAAGAGTCTCACACAAAAAGCTAACAATGCTTACAATTTTGTTGGGGTGAAGTCCCTAAGCTCGGTGGTAGATTACCAAGAGGGACTAAATGGAGGAAGGCAGAATGTCACAGAACCTATTCTTTGGCTCTTTGGGTGGGTGGATGTCCTGGGGTTTGTATCACAGCTACTTTTTTTTTTTTTTTTTTTTAAACAGCTACCAAATCCATGAATAGTCCAAACAATACTGAACAGTTCTGTTTCTGCAGGTGGTCTGGGGTCTTAACCATCTTCTTCATCATCTGTTTCTCTCTTCCTGTTTTCACCTTTTCCGCTTTCTTCCTCCTCTTCATCCTCATCTTCATCCTCATCCATCTTCATCTTTATCAAGTCCAAATTCTTCTTCCTCCTCGCTGACTTCATCTTTGTCATCATCCCCTTCTACATCTTCGTCTTCATCTTCCTCTTCATCCAACTCCTCTTCTTCACCATCCTCATTCTCCTAGTCCTTCTCATCTTCTCCTTCTTCATCCTCCTCCTCTTTATCCACACCATCCACCTGGGCATCTGAGTCAGGGGCTTCCTGGTCCTCTGGGTCATAGGTATCCAAGCAGGTCAGCTGAGGCAGGAGCTTGAAGACACTCTCTTGGTAGTCATTCAGGTTAATAACCTCACAGTTAAAGAGGTCCAGGCTTTTTAGACATTCCAACTTTTTCAAAGGTTCCAAGGTGCTGATATCTTTCAGTTTTTTTCCACTTAAGTTTAAATGTGTGAGATTTGGAAGTTTTTCTGCAGACATATTCAGACCTCCAAAGATTCTATTTTCACTGAGTACAAATTTTTTCAATTTAGGCAGCTTGGGGAGATTTGAAATTGAAATCAAACCTACATTTATTAAACGGAGGAACTCTAAGTTCACAAATTCAGCTGTTAAGCTCTCAATTTTCCAGTCATTTGATTTGCAGTTGTCCAAGACATGTTCTCGAACCCTCTTTAAACACTCTTACATCTCAGCTGAAAAACGTCGAGCACGCCAGGTAAACCTGATGGACGAATTCCCACAAGTTCGCGGCTTGTTAACCACAGCCACCTGAGGGCACGAAACCCGGCTGCTTGTGGGACCGGAGCGGGGTGGGAGGCCACGCGGGGCCGCCCTCAGCGGGAAAGCCACTCACCCGCTGGGGCGTCCGCCTGCAGCGCCACCTGGCCCCGCGCTAGTCCGCGGGGGGCTCGCGGTGGCGGGCAGTCGCGCTAAACCCGGGAGACCAAAGGGGCGATTCCTCCAGGCCGGACCAGCGCACACGCAGCCGCGCCCCACGAGGGCCGCACCGGGCTGTACTCTAGCGAGGCCAGAGGCTGCACGACCCGCCAGCGGAGCCCAGCTGAGGCCCGCCCCAAACCACCCAAGAGAGAATGTATTTTTATTGAACTTATATAAATAAAAATACTCACGAATAGTTTCTGAATTTTGGAAGAATCAGGTAGGGAGAAGAAGCAATTGCTTCTATTTTTGTATACGTTACCAAATTATTATAAACTATAGATAGCTTGTGAGATAAAATTTCCTGAAATCTGGAAAACATTTAAGTAAAGAACCAATAAGGTTTTAAATAAGAGTCGTCAGAACATTATTTTTATCAATTGCTTAGTTTCATGTATTTTGTTTTGTTTTGCTGGATGTTAATTAGCAGTTTTATGAACCCATTGGTTTTTAAATTAGGGCTCTGGAAATTTTTATTGAGTCCATTGATCTTAAAGTTACCAGATATCTGTTGTTAGAGTGTTTTCCATGAAAAGCAATTTTAGACTATAGCTGATTGCAAATACTTTTAAAGAAGAATTCAAAACAATAATTATAGATGACAAAAACTTAGACTAGCCATGATTAAAATCTGATGAAAGTTCCCAGTTGACAAAGAAATTTATTTATTTCTACTACATGCAGTATTTTAAGATAACAACCAGAATCATGACTGAGAGTGTCACATCAGGACTTTTATAAATTTTTATAATCTTTTATAAATTTTATATTATCGTTAGAATACTCATATTAATAAGATAGCCACACAAATACAGCTTTAGAAAACATTCAACATAGCAATAAAATTATGACTTTTAATAAATTAACAGATTTTAATAACGTTATATAATTTTTGAAACTTTATATTAATAGCATACCCATAATTGTAACTGAAAGAAGATCCAGCACCACTTACCATTTGGCAATGGCTCCCATACAATTTACCTAAGTCTAATCATTTAGTATCTCTACAAGATGAGAGAGACATTTTTTGGGGCTCTCTGGAGGCCCACCCAGAAAATCCCAGTTAATTTTAGGTCAAAAAGAGATAATTTAGAATATTGATTCTGGGGAAACCTGCCAAAGACATTAAAAGGTTCAAAACAATTGATCAAAACCCAATCACAGGCCCCAGCCCCCATGGTGGTTCATGCTTGTAATCCCAACATTTTGGGTGGTCAGTGCAGGAGGCCAGAAGTTCAACACCAGCCTGGGCAACACAGCAAGATCCTGTCTTTAAAAAAAAATTAAAAAAATAAAAATTTAAAAAAACAGAATCACCAGTCACTATAAAATAAGTTATTATCCAGAGTGATAAAAGGCTCAAAAGCAGTACAGAAAGTTGCATGGATATTAAAACCTTAACCTCTTTAAAGCCCAGTTTTCCTAAATAATAAAAAACTTAATAAAGACAAGGCAGGTATTATCTTCATAAAATGTAAAAAATATATATTTTTAAGGCCAATTACCAAAAAGCTAAAGAAAAACCTCCTGTAGTGTGATTGCTCTTCCTTAGGTGAAGCCCATTTAGATAACCTGGAACTCAAATTAATCAGACACATGAAGGGTATATCCTGGATTATGACTGTATGCTATGTTATAGAGAAATGTAAACAAGAAAACTAATACCTTGACCAGGAGAATGCATGGCTCTTAGTAATAGCATGACAAGTTTCCTGGCTACAAGGAACAATTCAGACACCTCAAGGAAAGCCAAGAGTATGGAATCAAATTATATTGGAGGAAAACATTGCTTTTCTAGACCTCCAAAATAAAATGTCAGCATCAGGTCATAACAACAGAGCTAAAACTGAAAAAAATGTTACAGCCATTGGCCAGGCCCAATGGTTCCCACCTGTAATCCCAGAATTCTGGAACACTGAGGTCGGAGGATCACTTGAGGCCAGGAGTTCAAGACCAGCTCTGACAACATAGTGAGACCTCGTCTCCACACACACACACAAGTTACAGTAGTTGACAAAAAGGTTGAAGGAGAGAGTTATCACCAGAGCCAAGCAAAAAGATACACCTTTTCAAGGGAAGAAAGAGCAGAAGGCAATGACGTATGTCCTACAAATCATATGCAGTGAGGTGCAGCAAAAGTTGAACTTATATAAATCTGAGAAGTTTCAAAAAGGAAAATTTTACCTCAAAAAATGAAGTTACCATTCTGAATGAAAAACACAGCATTTTCCAACCTAAAACTAGATAAACTAATTAGATATCTGGATGAAATAGAAACTGTCTGTAGTTTAGAAGATGGCTATTAAAGAAACGGGTTTCAGAATTAAAAATCAAAACCTCTTGCAATTCTACTAAGAGTAAATCAATACTTTAAGAAAATCTTGTTTTTACATGGAGAACCACATTTTAACATTTTGGATTAATGCATTTTTAAGGTCCAAGTTCAATCTTTAGAAAAACTTTTAAATAATTTCCTTCTAATTATAGCCAATTTGATCACACAAACAATTCCTTCTATAAATTATTTTTGATGAAACTTACTGCAACCTACTCAGACCACTGATGACATACTTGGGCTTTCTGCATTTTCCTATACTTCCTCTATCTTAAATAACCAATTATTTTACTTTAGGACAAAATTTACCATGCAAGATTCTTTCTTATTCAAAATTATTCTCTTTTCTTTTTCATGTTCTTTACCAAAAACATATTTTCATATTTATAACTTTACATTTCTATCTGCTACTTGCTGGTTCCATTTTATTTTATTTCTATTTCCTTCCTAAATCTGTATTTTAAAACAACCTTCAAATAACCTCTGAATTAGACAAAATTACTCTTTCTTTCTCAACAGAGAGCATATTTGTATACTTTTCTTATAATTTTTTTCATCAAAAACACATCTGACTTTTTTGGTATATTTTAAATACAAAGTTATATATATATATTAATTAGAATGTTTAACTCTTAGCAACCTTAAATTTTTAGCAAAAACCTGGGAAGCAAGAAATCTTGACTTGTCTGTTACATATCAGTATTTTAGAGATCAGAACTATTTTATAAGTTTTAGAAATATGTTTCCCCATAACATATTTTTTTTAACTTTTAAGTTCAGGGGTACATGTGCGGGATGTGCAGATTTGTTACATAGGTAAACATGTCATGGGGGTTTGTTGCACAGACTGTTTCATCACCCAGGTATTAAGCCTAGTATCCATTAGTTATTTTTCCTGATTCTCTCCCTCCTCCCACCTTCCACCTTCTGAAAGGCCCCACTGTGTATTGTTCCCTTCTATGCGTCCATGTGTTCTCATCATTTAGCTCCTGCTTATGAGTGAGAACATGCAGTATTTGGTTTTCTGTTCCTGCATTAGTTTGCTAAGGATAATGGCCTCCAGCTCCACCCATGTCCCTGCAGAGGACATGATCTCATTCTTTTTATGGCTGCATAGTATTCCATTGTGTGTATGTACTACTTTTTCTTTATCCAGTCTATCATTGTTGGGCACTTAAGTTGATTCCATGTCTTTGCTATTGTGAATAGTGCTGTAATGAACATACACATGCATGTGTCTTTATAATAGAATGATTTCTATTCCTTTGAGTGTACCCAGTAATGCGATTGCTGGGTCAAATGGTATTTCTGTCTTTAGGTCTTTGAGGAATGGCCACACTGCCTTCTACAATGGTTGAACTAGTTTACAATCCCACCAACAGTATAAATGCATTCCTTTTTCTCTACAACCTCACCAGCATCTGCTATTTTTTGACTTTTTAGTAATAGCCATTCTGACTGGTATGAGATGGTATCTCATTGTGGTGTTGATTTGCACTTCTCTAATGATCAGTGATGTTGATTTTTTTTTCTTTCTTTCTTTCTTTTTTTTTTTTTTAGATGGAATTTCACTCTTGTTGCCCAGGCTGGAGTGCAGTGGTATGATCTCGGCTCACTACAACCTCTGCCTGCCAGGTTCAAGCGATTCACCTGCCTTAGCCTCCCTTGTAGCTGGGATTACAGGCACGCATCACCATACCCAGCTATTTTTTGTATTTTTAATAGAGACAGGGTTTCACTATGTTGGCCAGGCTGGTCTCAAACTCCTGACCTCAAGGAATCTGCCTGCCTCACCCTCCCAAAGTGCTGGGATTACAGGTATGAGCCACCGTGCCTGGCCGATGTTGATTTTTTTCATATGATTGTTGGCCTGATGTATATCTTCTTTTGATAAGTGTCTGCTCATGTCTTTTACCCACTTTTTAATGGGGTTGTTTGTTTTTTCTTGTAAGTTCTCGATTAAGTTCCTTATAGATGCTGGATATTAGACCTTTCTTGGATTCATAGTTTGCAAAATTTTTTCCCCATTCCATAGGTTGTCTGTTTACTCTGTTTATTGTTTCTTTTGCTGTGCAGAGCTTTTTAGTGTAATTAGATCCCATTTGTTAATTTTTGCTTTTGTTGCAATTGCTTTTGGCATCTTCATCATGAAATCTTTGCCCATGCCAATGTCCTGAATGGTGGTACCTCATTTTTCTTCTAGGGTTTTTATAGTTTTAGGTTTTACATTTAAGTCTTTAATCCATCTTGAGTTAATTTTTGTATATAGTGTGAGGAAGGGGTCCAGTTTTAATCTTCCGCATATGGCTAGCTAGTTAGTTATCCCAGCATTATTTATTAAATGGGCATCCCCCATTGCTTGTTTTTGTCAGGTTTGTTGAAGATCAGATAGTTGTAGGTGTGCGGTCTTATTTCTGGGTTCTCTCTTCTGTTCCATTGGTCCATGTGTCTGTTTTTGTACCAGTATCATGCTGCTTTGGTCACTGTAGCCTTGTAGAATAGTTTGAAGTTGGGTAGTGTGATGCCTCCAGCTTTGTTCTTTGTGCCTAGGATTGCCTTGGCTATTTGGGCTCTTTTTTGGTTTCATATGAATTTTAAAATAGTTTTTTTCTAGTTCTATGAAGAATGTCAATGGTAGTTTAATGGGAATAACATTGAATCTATAAACTGCTGTAGGCAGTATGGCCATTTTGATGACATTGATTCTTCTTACCCATGAGCATAGAATGTTTTTCCATTTGTTGTGTCATCTCTGATTTTTTTGAGCAGTGGTTTGTAGTTCTCCTTGTTGAGATCCTTCACTTCTCTCGTTAGCTGTATTCCTAAGTATTTTATTCTTTTTGTGGCAATTGTGAATGAGACTGTCTTCTTGATTTGGCTCTCAGGTTGACTGTTGTTGGTATATAGGAAGGCTAGCAATTTTTGCACATTGATTTTGTGTCCTGAGACTTTGCTGAAGTTGATTATAAGCTTAAGAGGGTTTTGGGCTGAGACGATGGGGTTTTCTAGATGTAGGATCATGTCATCTACAAACAGGGATAGTGTGACTTTCTTTCTTCCTATTTGAATGCTTTTTGTTTCTTTCTCTTGCCTGATTGCCCTGGCCAGAACTTCCAATACTATGTTGAATAGCAGTGGTGAGAGAGGATATCCTTGTCTTGTGCCAGTTTTCAAGAGGAAGGCTTCCAGTATTCCCCTTTCAGTATGATATTGGCTGTGGGTTTGTCATATATGGCTCTTATTATTTTGAGGTATGTTCCTTCAATACCAGGGATATTGAATTTTATTGAAAGCTTTTTCTGCATCTATTGAGATAATCGTGTGGTTTTTGTCTTTAGTTCTGTTTATGTGATGAATCACACTTATTGATTTGCATATGTTGAACCAACATTACATCCTGGGGATGAAGCCTATTTGATCATGGTAGATAAGCCTTTGATATGCTGCTGGATTCAGTTTGTCAGTATTTTGTTGAGGATTTTTGCATTGATGTTCACCAAGGATACTGGCATGAAGTTTTCTTTTTTTTGTTTTATTTCTGCCAGGTTTTGGTATCAGGATGATGCTGGCCTCATAGAATGAGTTAGGGAGGAGTCCCTCCTTTCTAATTTTTTGGAATAGTTTCCGTAGAAATGGTACCAGCTCTTCTTTGTACCTCTGGTAGAATTCAGATGTGAATCCATCTGCTCCTGGGCTTTTTTTGGTTCAAAGGCTAATTACTGCCTCAATTTCGGAACTCATTATTGGTCTATTCAGAGATTCAGTTTCTTCCTGGTTGAGTCTTGGGAGGGTGTATGTGTCCAAGAATTTATCCATTTCTTCCAGATTTTCTAGTTTATGTGCATAGAGCTGTTTATAATATTCTCTGATGCTTGTTTGTATTTCTGTGGGGTCAGTGGTAATATTCCCCTTATCATTTCTGATTGTGCATAACATAATTTTTAATGTATATTAATAGACTCATATACTTTAGTCTTTCTATAAAACTTAAGCCAAGAACAAGCTTTTATTTGTGTTTGGCAATTTGTTTCAGTTAAAAAATTTTTTTTATTTGGAAATGACCCAGGCATAGATACCAGAGTATCTATTATTTATTTAACATAACATAACTTTAAGATTTCCAATTACAGAAAAAGTTTATTTAAAAGAAAAGTAAAAAAGAAAAAAAAACAATAACAAGTTCATTTATAAGCATTTATTTGATTTACATTTACTTGATTTTTTAAAAACAGTTTACCTAGACTACTTATGAGAACTGAAAAGTAGACAAAGCCCATCACCATTTCAAGTTATTTCCCTATTAATCATTTTAATAGCCTGTATTAGGTATTTAAATGCAAACCTTAAAGTTAAATATATGAATGTGTTGCTGGTAAATATTCAGCAAAATGTATCAGAAGATACATCTGTTTTCATTAAACTGACAATATTAAAGTCTTATTTGTCAGGAAATTACCCAAACAGATAATTCTGTTTTAGGCTGGATTTATAGTTTTGTAAACTTTGTGTCAAACCCCTATTCCTTAAAACATCTAGCAAAGACAACATAAAACTGACCAGTAAACTTAAGCAAAAATGCATACTGACAATTTTGAAGACATTTTTATTTTTATGTTATCAGTAATTTAAAAACCAGTTTATTTACTAAAGGTTTACTTTAGTCATGTGAACTAAAAGGTATCTGGGCTAATGGCTATATACATATTATATTTTATATGAGTACTCATTTATCCTTAGAGGATTTCTGACCAACGACATCAGATTTTACTATGTAAACACAGCATACAACATGATAAATGTACATATCCGTAACACATCTAAACACATATACACACTCAAATAAAAATCATATAGCTTTCATTTTAGTATTAGAGTCATGAGATAGTATAACAACTCATTGTTTTTTTTGTTTGTTTTTGTTTTTGTTTTTGTTTTTGAGATGGAGTCTCGCTCTGTTGCCTAGGCTGGAGTGCAGTGGCACAATCTCAGCTTACTGCAACCTCCGTCTCCCGGGTTCAAGTGATTCTCTTGCCTCAGCCTCTGGAGTAGCTGGGATTACAGATGCACATCACCATGCCCAGCTAAGTTTTGTATTTTTAGTAGAGCTGGGGTTTCACCATGTTGGCAGGCTGGTCTCAAACTCCTGACCTCAGGTGATCCAGCCAGCTCAGCCTCCCAAAGTCCTGGGATTACAGGCGCGAGCCACCATGCCCGGCCAACTCACTGGTGTATAAAAGAAAGTGAGATCCAAATTATATTTCTAACAAAATTGAGATTTGTTCACATTGCTAAACTTTATTTGCCCTGATAGGTAATTGAATGAAGGCTGAAGATCAAAATTTTGGGTAAAGCAGTTTCCATGTCAGTTTGATTTTGAAAAACTTCCTTCATCTTATTTTTTTTTAGCTTCAAGTGAGTTCAAGGTTAAAATTTCAATATTTACATTTTATCTAGGATTGGCTGAATTGTATAAGAAAAATGAAATCTCCAGGTAGCCTTGAACAAGTAACAAATCTATTTGCTGATCTGGTTTACTTCATTAACAAATGTGGGCAGGGAAGAATTTGAGCAGTTTATTTTTCTCTTTTTCTCAGCTTTTTCCTTTTGGCCTCAGTGTAGCCAAAAAGTAAAATTTTTATGCTGGACAGATACCTTACGTTATTGCTCTGAGCTCAAGATTTTGACCTGTTTGATCTGAGAGCCTAATTTTTATAAATATTTATCTATTTCTTTTCACTTTAGATTATTAATTTGTCAGTTAAGTATTTTATCATTGCACACAATTGTTAGGCAAAACTATTTTATGTTTCTAAAAGATATCAGGGTTGTTGGTTAGCACGGAACTATTGGAATTTGCAAAACCATTGATTTGAAAGTTCTTAAAGACTTTTAAAAATCTTTGCTTGAATGCCATAAGTGGTGAGTTTTATCTTAACACCAGTGGAAAAGTCAGCAAATTCAAAGTAGGTAGAAAAAAATAGAGAGATAGAGAACATGTAAGACTCTCCATTTTAACTCTATATTTGCAGGTTTTTTGAATAAAGACCGTTCGAACTCTGAATTTTCCTTGATAGAATTTGCCTATCAGTTTGAAAATGTACACAAGAACAGGCCATAATATGTAGCTGGCTGGAGTCCCAGAAAACCTGGCATGCCTTAATGTTTGTGAATCCCATTCTGTTTCTTATTAATCTCTCAAGAGCAAGGAAAATCCAAAAATCATGTCAGAGAACATCAGGAATTTAGACCCGTGTTTTAGATGATGGTGATTGCCCTGTGGCTTTTAATTAGCCATCCTGCACCCACCATCCAGAGTGTTTATTTTTACTCTCAGAAGATTTTCAGAAACAAGTAAGGGAAAAAGTCAAACAAAAGCAAAAAACCCAGATAAGAATGCTCACAAACATTTTAACCTAGGTGTGCAGATCACACAAAACATTAAACTAGGTATGCAAGCTAGACCAAAATTAAATTTACCAGAAGATATGCCTCAGAGACAGAATGTAAATTCTGTGGAAACCAAGAGTACTCAATCTGGAAAAAAACATTTGTATTTATACCAGAAAGGACATATCAGAAAAGGCAAAAAGTCTTTTTTCATCCCAAGAATGATGTATGTTTTTTCTTTTTTTATTAAGGTGGGCTTATCTAAATCAGATCCCAAATAGTATTTAAAAAGCCTCTACCAAAAGAAGAGGAGGGGCTCAACCTGAGAGAAAACTCACCAGGGCAGAAAAGATGACAGCCATGGAAGCAGAGCTCAAAGGACTGAAGTGAGTACCACACACTGGTTCCAAGAATCACTGATTCTTCCCAAGACTGATCTTTTTCAGATCCCACTTTTGACACCATATATGTCACCCTCAATAACAAATAGAGAGAGGCTCTCTAAAAGAAAAGATACTTATCTGGGGACAGAGCATTGCAATGGGACTATGCATGCCATAGTAAACTATGTGTGTATTCAGGGAGGTAAAGAAAAGATAAAGGTTTTTAAAGGAAAAGATTAGGACTACATAGTTGTTTTTAAATAATTTTCCTTGGTTACAAAGATCAATAACAAGGTGACACCAGTCCAAGGTTGGATAGGCAAGTGTTGGGTAGATGGCCTTGTAGAAGTATTTTTTGTATAAGGTGGTAATGACCTTTGTGTAAGGCTGTGGTTTTTGTAGAATCTTTTCGTTATCAGGCATATAAGTGTGAGAACCCTCTCTTTATGGTCTTTCCCAGCTCTATTTGTCAGAATTATCTTAACATTAGTGACTCTGTTTTAATTCTGACAATTTTCATACATGAAAAATTTCTCTGTAGCATGTGATGATGTTTGATAGCATTTCACCCATGGTAGAACTTCTTCTGAAATTGGAGTCAATCCTCTCAAACCCTGCTGCTGCCTTATCAAATAAGTTTATGTAATAGTCTAAATCCTTTGTTGTCATTTCAGCAGTGTTATAGTATCTTCACCAGGAGTAGATTCCACCTCCAGAAACCACTTTACTTGTTCATTCATAAGCAGCAACTCCTCCTCAAGACTGCAGCTCCATTTTTAATTCTTCCCAAGAGTGATCTTTTTCAGATTCCACTTCTTCAGGCTCCATTTTTAATTCTAGTTTTCTTGTTATATCCGTGACATCTGCAATTACCTCCTCCATTAAAATATGGAACTCCTCAAAGTCATCCATGAGGATTGAAATCAATTTCTTCCAAACTCTCATTAATGTTGATATTTTGACCTCCTCCCATGAATCACAAATGTTCTTAATGGCATCTAGAATGGCAAATCCTTTCCAGAAAGTTTTCAATTTACTTCACCCAGATTCATCAGAGAAATCACTATCTTTGGCAGCTATGGCCTTAAAAATGTATTTATTGGCTGGTTGTGGTGGTTTATGCCTGTAATCCCAGCACTTTGGCAGGAGAATCGCTTGAACCCAGGAGGCAGAGGTGAGCCAAGATCACGCCACTGCACTCCAGCCTGGACAACACAGCAGGACTCTGTCTCGAGAAAAAAAAAAAAAAGCATTTCTTAAATAATAAGACTTGAAAGTTGAAATTACTTCTTGATCCATGGGCTGCAGAATGGATATTATGTTAGCAATCATGAAAACAATATTAATTTCCTTGTACATCTCCATCAGAGCTCTTGGGTGACTAGGTGCATTGTCAATAAACAGTAATATTTTGAAAGAAATCTTTTTTTTTTTCTAAGCAGTAGATCTCAACAGTGGGCTTAAAATAGTCAGTGAACAAAGCTGCAAACAGATGTGCTGTCATCCAGGCTTTCTTCTTCCAGTTATAGAGCACAGGAAAAGTAGATTTAGCATAATTCTTAAGGGACCTAGTGTATTATTTTGTTTTCATGCTGCTGATAAAGACATCCTGAGACTGGGTGATTTATGAAGAAAAAGAGGTTAATAGACTCATTTCCACATGGCTGGGGAGGCCTCACAATCACGGTGGAAGGTGAAAGGCACATCTCACATGGTGGCAGACAAGAGAAAAAAGAGCTAAATTAAAGGGGAAACCTCTTAAAAAACCATCAGATCTCATGAGACTTATTCACTACCACGAGAACAGTATGGGGAAAACCACCCCCATGATTCAAATATCTGCCACTGGGTCCCTCCCACAACATGTGGGAATTATGGGAGCTACAATTTGAGATGAGATTTGGGTGGTGACACAGCCAAACCATATCACCTAGGATTTTCAGAATAGTAAATGAGCATGGGGTGCATTAGCCACTAACAAGATACTCATCCTGTTCTCTGAAGCTTTGAAGGCAAGCATTAACTTTTTCCTCTATGAAAGTCCTAGATGACATCTTCTAATGTAAGTCTTTTTTGCCTACATTGAAAATCAGGCATTAACTTTTTTCTCTGTGAAAGTCCTAGATGACATCTTCTAATGTAAGGCTTTTTTTGCCTACATTGAAAATCAGGCATTAACTTTTTTCTCTGTGAAAGTCCTAGATGACATCTTCTAATGTAAGGCTTTTTTTTTTTTTTTGCCTATATTGAAAATCTGTTGTTTAGTGCAGCCACCTACATCAATGATCTTAGCCAGATCCTCTGGATAACTTGGTGCAGCCTTTACATCAGAACTTACTGCTTCACTTTGCAGTTTTATGTTATGAAGATGGCTTTTTCCTTAAACCTTCTCTCAGTCTTTATAGACTTGAAAAGAATTAGAGCCTTGTTCTGGATTAGGCTTTGGCTCAAGGGAATGTGGTGGCTCGTCTGACCTTTTATCTAGACCAGTAAAACTTTTTTCATATCAGAAACAGGCTGTTTTACTTTCTTATCATTTGTGTTTTCATTGGAATAGCACTTTTAATTTCCTTCAAGAACTTCTCCTTTGCATTCACAACTTAGCTAACTGCTTTATGCAAGAGGCCCAGCTTTCAGCCTATCTTGGCTTTTGACATGTTTTCCTCACTCAGTTTAATCATATCTAGCTTTTTATTTAAGAGACAGACTTGGCTCACGCCTGTAATCCCAGCACTTTGGGAGGCCGAGGCAGGTGGATCACAAGGTCAGGAGAGTGAGACCATCCTGGCTAACATGGTGAAACTCCCTCTCTACTAAAAATACAAAAAATTAGCTGGGTGTGGTGGCATGCGCCTGTAGTCTCAGCTACTTGGGAGGCTGAGGCAGGAGAATCGCTTGAACCTGGGAGGTGGAGGTTGTAGTGAGCCAAGATCGTGCCACTGCACTCCAGCCTGGGCAACAGAGCGAGACTCCATCTCAAAAACAAAAACAAAAACAAAACAGAGACAGACATTTGGCTCTTCCTTTCACTTGAACACTTGAACACTTAGTGGCCATTTTAGGGTTATTAATTGTCCTAATTTATATATTGTTGTGTCTCAGGGACTGGGAAGGCCTGAGGAGAGGGAGAGAGATGGGGACATGGCTGGTAGGTGGAGCAGTCAGAACACCTAACATTTATTGATTGGATTTGCTATCTTATATGCCCATGGTTCATGGTGCCCCAAACAACTACAATGGCAACATCAAAAATCACTGATCACAGATCACCATAATAGATATAATAATAAGGAAGTTTGAAATATCTTGAGCATTACCAAAATGTGACACAGAGACGTGAAGTGAGCGTATGCTGTTGGAAAAATGGCTCCAACACACTTGCCTGATGCAGGCTTGCCAAAAACCTTCAATTTGTAAAAAAAAAAAAAAAAAAAGAATCAATATCTGCAAAGTGCAATAAAGTGAATTGCAATAAAATGATGTATTCCTGTATCTAAAATGTCTAGTTTTCAACAAAAAATCATGAGACCTGCAAAGAAACAGAAAACTGTGATCCACAGACAGAAAGAAGATAAAAAACAAACAAACAAAAAAGTCAACAGAAACTGCCTTTGACAGAGCCCAGATGTTGGACTTAGCAGACAAAGACTTCAAAGCAGCCATTATAAATATGTTCAAAAAACTAAGGGATACCATGATTAAAGAATTAAAGGAAGGTATGATGATAGTGTTTCATTATGAAATATAAAATATCAATAGAGAGAAATTATAAAATATAACCGAATGTAAATTCTGTAGTTGAAAAGTACCATAACCAAAATAAAAAACTCACTAGCGGAATACAGCAGTAAGTTTGAGCCAGCAAAACAAAAATTTGCAAACTTGAAGACAAATCAATAGAAATTATGCAATCTGAAGAACAGAGAGAAAAAAATGAAGAAAAACAAATAGCATCTTGGAGGAATGCAGGATATCAGTAAGTGCATCAATATACACATGATGGGAGTTTCATAAAGACAGAAGACAGACAAAGGATCAGAAAAAATATTCCAAACAATAAGGCCTGAAAATTCCCCAAATTTGATGAAAAGAGCATTAATTTACATATTCAGGCAGCTCAAGCAGGATAAAAGAAAAGAGGTCAATATCCAAATATATCTAGTTAAAATATTAAAGACAAAGACAAAAAAAATCTTGAAAGCAGCAAGAGTATGTGTAAGGGAAGCAAAATAAGATTAATAGCTGATTTCTCATCAGAAATAATGGAGGCCATGGCTGGGCAGGGTGGCTTATGCCTGTAATCCCAGCACTTTGGAAGGCTGAGGAGGGCCGATCACTTGAGGTCAGGAGTTCAAGACCAGCCTGGCCAACCTGGTAAAACCCCATCTCTACTAAAAATACAAAAATTACCCAGGCATGGTGGCACATGCCTTTAGCCCCAGGTACTCAGGAGGCTGAGGCATGAGAATTGCTTGAACCTGGGAAGCAGAGGTTGCAGTGAGCCGAGATTGTGCTGCTGTACTCCAGCCAGGTTGATAGAGTGAGACTCTGTCTTGGAAGAAAAAGAAATAAGGGAGTCCAGAGGTAGTAGGATGGCATATTTAAAATATTGAAAGAAAGAAAAAAACGCTATCAACAAAGAATCATGTATCCAGAAAAAGCATCTTATTAAGGTAAGCAAAAACCAAGAGAATGTGTTGCTAGCAGACCTGATTTATAAGAAATATGGAAGGAAGTTATTCAGGTTGAAAACAACACAAAGCAGTAATTTGTGTTCATAGAAAAATACCATAGAGCACCAATAAAGATATTTCTTCTCCTGAGTGATTTAAAGCAATTGTATAAAACACTATGTATAATTGTATTATTGGGTCTATTATATATAGAAATGTAATATACTTGTCAAAAATAGCACTAAGGAAGTAGGTGGGAGCAAAGCTGTATCAGTGTAAGGACTTACTGAATGACCCAATCATTAGAACCTTGTTAAAAATGTAGAGACTAGAGCTGCTTTGTTTTATTCTTGATTTTATGAGGAATATGAAAAATACTTAAAAGGAAAAACAAACAAACATGACTTTGGAGTCGGAAAGTTTGGACTGAGTCCTTTCTTTGAGCAACTTTTAGCAGTTTGAATTTAGACTGCTAGCTTCTTTGAGTCTCAGTTTCTGAATTTATCAAATGCAGTTAGTGGTATACTATCTGATCTAACTGCTTTGTCCTATGTGTCCTTCAGAAGTATCCTCGAATGTGGTGATATATTGACAGAGCTGGTGGATTCATCAGAATGTGGGAATGTTCCTATTTTTATTCTACACTTCAGCCTGCCAGTTCAAATCCTTCCCAGTTCAGCTCCAAAGCAGCCCCTCTCCCATCACTCAAAGGCCATCCAATTCCCATTCTCACAGTTCCTCAAGACAGAAAGGATCCTTCAACTCCATGGCCCTTCATCAGCATATATATATATATATATATATATATATATATATATATATATATATATGTATTTTTTTTTAAATTGGAGATGGGGTCTCACTATGTTGCCCAGGCTGGTCTAGAACTCCTGGGCTCAAGTGATCCTCCTGCCTCGGCTTCCCAAAGTGCTGGATTATAGGCTTGAGCCACCACGCCAGCCCATCAGCACATCTTTAATTGCATTTTTCCACAGTCTTCCTTAAGTAATTCGTTTTCATGAACTATCTTTTCTTTTAGACTGGGTTTGCTGAAGGGAGCGGAGGCTCCTGTCTTCCATTTCAGTCATGTCTTACTAGACACTAAATAGAGGTAAATTACTGAATGCATTCAATCTGCATCAAGCCTCCGGTAGTCCTACAGTAACTGGTATCCCTCCCCTCCCCAGAAAATAATATTTTGTTTTATTAATGCTGGCTACAGCAGAGTCTGGTTTTCTTAAGAGTTCCTGCAAATCACAGGTTCGTCCTTTAACTTTGAGACCCAGGGAAGGAGGGAGCAAGGGAGGGAGGGAGGGAGGATGCTGTCAAGTCCGCAAAAATATGGACAACCTCAGAAACCTATAAACAGAAATATACTAACATGGTATATTTCTTACTTTTAAGGCCCTGAAATTATTAATTTTCCTTTCTTCTTTCTATGCGATTTTGGTTTCCAAATGTGTACATTGAGCAGGTATTGTTTTATGATTAGGGCGAAATTGCTGCTGCTGCTGCTGCTGCTGCTGCTGCTGATTACAAAAAATAGGCTGCAAGCAAGCCGTGCTTCCATTTAAAAGCTCCTCTTTGTTGCCTCGACAAGCAAGGGGTACTCGATAGCACTTTTCGGTTAGATTCTAATAGAAAGAAAGCTTTAAATTTCTCTCTCGGAAGCACTTTGTCAGCCAGGGTTTTCCCTCTCGCCCACCCTGCAGTTAAGGAAATCTAAGAGGTGGAAGTGGGGCGGGCTGGAGGGCCACAGACAGCCGCTGACCCAGACGCCCCATCTCCCGCCCCAGGGCGAGGGTGCGCGCTGTCGCTTATTGGCCAGCAGGGTCCCAGACCTTGACCAATCGCCTGGGGCCGGGTCGTCATGGCGACGCGCCACGCTAACGCATGGTGTCGGAGGGAGGCCCACTTGCTGAACAGCAGGGAGCGATGGCGCAGAACGTGTATGGTCCGGGAGTCCGGATAGGCAACTGGAATGAGGATGTCTACCTGGAGGAGGTACGCAGGGTGTGGCCAGGCGCAGACCCGCAGCTCAGGAACTCCCAGACCCTGCTCTAAGTTCAGTCTCCTACTTTGAGCGCCTCAAGCCTCCTCTCTCTCCCAGCATACAGCGAATACCTCTAAAATCCCCCACTTCTCTAAACTCCCAAGGAATCTCACCTGCCGAACTGCAAACCCAGGTCTCACTGACCTCTACTCCGAGCACCCTGACTTTTCTTTCTCTGGGTCCCTTGGCCTCCCAAAGTCAGATGCCTTGACTCTCAAGCCCCTGGCCTGTGTCTCCCGCTTAGTCTAGAGCCCCACTAAGTCCCCCGTATTCCTTAGAGTCTTACAGTCTCAGGCTGCGGGCCAGGTGAGGACACAGGTTCTAGGTAGAAATAATATCCCTCCCCACTCCAACCCTGCCACGCTTGCCCTCTTAAATGACCCTGAGTATTCCTTTTATTGACGTTGTACTCACTCACTGCCTCGTATTCTCCCAAGGGTGGTCTTAACAAGGCTTTGAGCCATTCGTATACGGGTCAGATTGGGGAGGGGTGAACTTTCTAGTGTCAGTCATCATACGGTCAAGGGAAACCCCAGCAGGGGAGACATGGCCTCCAAATGTCATTTAGGATGGTATCTGGCTGGAGTAATTACTGGTGATGTTTCTTTTTCTTTGTTTTGCCTTTCTCATTTTTCTAAACATTCTATAATGTAGTAAAAATATTAAAGTAGTGCTAAAAACGTTCCATCATTCCAATTATGCTCACATCTCTTTTTTTGTACTCAAATTTTGCTTTTTCAACTTGGAAGAGCTTCTGACCTAAAAGTTATTAATACTAACATCTATATTATTCAGGGCTACTTTTGTTGATTTTCTGTTTAGGAGCTCATGAAAGACTTCTTAGAGAAGAGAGACAAGGGGAAACTTCTCATACAGAGAAGTAGAAGACTAAAACAGAATCTCTTGAGACCGGTAACTTTTTTTTTTTTTATTACACTTTAAGTTTTAGGGTACATGTGCACAACGTGCAGGTTTGTTACATATGTATACATATGCTATGTTGGTGTGCTGCACCCATTAACTCGTCATTTAACATTAGGTATATCTCCTAATGCTATCCCTCTCCCCTCCCCCCACCCCACAACAGGCCCCAGTGTGCGATGTTCCCCTTCCTGTGTCCATGTGTTCTCCATTGTTCAATTCCCACCTATGAGTGAGAATATGCGGTGTTTGGTTTTCTGTCCCTGCGATAGTTTGCTCAGAATGATGGTTTCCAGCTTCATCCATGTCCCTACAAAGGACATGAACTCATCATTTTTTATGGCTGCATAGTATTCCATGGTGTATATGTGCCACATTTTCTTAATCCAGTCTATCGTTGTTGGACATTTAGGTTGGTTCCAAGTCTTTGCTATTGTGAATAGTGCCGCAGTTGGTGGGACTGTAAACTAGTTCAACCATTGTGGAAGTCAGTGTGGCAATTCCTCAGGGATCTAGAACTAGAAATACCATTTGACCCAGACATCCCATTACTGGGTATATACCCAAAGGATTATAAAACATGCTGCTATAAAGACACATGCACACGTATGTTTATTGAGACCGGTAACTTTAAATTCAGACATTGTTTTCAAAATTCTGTTGAACTTGGTGTGAGTATATGTTAAGCAAGAAAAAAATTTCATAACTGAGTTACCATTTGGAAAATAACAGTTTTTAAAAACAATTTGCAATGTTTTAAATTCTTCTAAGATTTTAGAAACATAAACAGTCTGCCCTAAATCATGTTTACCTGCATTTTACAAATAAAGAAATAAATGAGTTAATATGTAAATAAGTAAAATGCCCCTTAGTTGGTAATCGACAAATTTTTCAATGAATGTTGAATTTCTAGGATAATGAGTAAATCCATGTGATTTTAACCAGCTTTATTCGACTTCATTTGGAATTATTGGGAGCTTTGCCTTGGCAAAGGGGAAGGGAAAGGAAGAAGGAACTAAGGGTTCGAGGGAATCCAAGTGAAATCCTGAATGAAATGGGTACTAGTCCGAGAAGGAAGAAAATTGCCTTGGCAGTAACTGTTGAGGAATTGCATGGTTTATGTAATAAACTACTATCAAAATTGTAGATGCAACTTTCCGTAACTGAAGATGGCTATATTCATTACGGTGACAAAGTGATGCTTGTGAATCCTGATGATCCTGACACAGAAGCTGATGTGTTTCTGCGTGGGGACCTGAGCCTGTGTATGACTCCAGATGAAATTCAGTCCCATCTGAAAGACGAATTAGAGGTACCCTGTGGCCTGAGCGCAGTTCAAGCCAAGACCCCAATTGGCAGAAACACTTTTATCATTTTGAGGTAAAGAGACTTTAATTTTCAGTTCATTTTCATCATAAATATGTTTCACTTGTAGCTTAAAGATTCCTGGGTATTGGAGCCACTGAGTGGAGGGAAAGGTTTTGTGAACATTTTTCGTGATTTTCATCTTGCTTTGCTTACCTTGAGAATTATTGTCAAAGGAACTTTACAATCCCTTTTTACCTTAGACAGCAGGATAATTGTGTTCAATTCAAAATGCTTAAATCATGAGTATAGGATCCAGGGAATTAAATCCATATTCTGCCTGGAAGCAAAGTAGGTTTTCCCTATAACATTTTGGAACTTTTTGAGCTCATTTGAGTGTTTTCATTGTTCTTAATACGGCTATTTTTTTTTTTACAATAAAAACGTGTAGTTTAATACAATGTGGCACTAGATGGGATTTTCTCTTTTAAAATTAACTGTCCATTAAAAATGTATTTGAAGAGATTTTGAAAATGAACAATTAAATCCTTAGAGAAGAAATAGATACATGATCACAATTAAAAACTATTACTAATTCGTATGACAGCAATGTAAGCATTGCAAGAATATATGGACCCAGGCAAGGTACAGTGGCTCATGCCTGTAATCCCAATACTTTGGGAAGTCAAGGCAGGCAGATCACCTGAGGTCTGGAGTTCGAGACCAGCCTGGCCAACATGTCGAAACCCCATCTCTACAAAAAATACAAAAAATTAGCTGGGCGTGGTGGCAGGCTCCTGTAATTCCAGCTACTTGTGTCACTGAAGCATGAGAATCACTTGAACCTGGGAGGTGGAGGTTGCAGTGAGCCAAGATTGCACCACTGAACTCCAGCCTGGGGGAAAAAAAAGAATATATAGACAGTTCTTCAAGTTCTAATTTAGATTTCCTTTGAATACATATGTTAAGACAAGTAAAAATTGATCACAACCTCTGTTATCCTGAAGGATTAAGAGGGAACCGTATTAAATGTCTACAAATGTGTTACCTTGGTTCTCTCTGAACATGTCAATGCACTTGACCAGAATTCCTTAGTATACATTAGCAAGATGTGCTTAGTTTACTCTAACCAGAGGCTCACAAAGTGGGGATGCTTTGTGTGCTAGCTATGGTGCAGGGCAGGGAGTAGGGTGCTAGCTGGATTTTAAGACCAAAAGAAAACACCTTTTATTTAATTACCTAATTCAGTTACAGTATGTGAATATAAATTATCAAAAAACTGATTATAAACAAAATTGCATGCATAAAAAATAGAGTCATAGAATGATTCTAATACAGAGAGTTTACATTTACATTATACTTATTGTCCACTGACAGTGTACACAGAGATGCCACTGGTCAAGTCCTTAGATATGGGCAGGACTTTTGCCTGGGGATAACAGGAGGATTTGACAACAAAATGGTGAGTTATCACTTTGCATATCTACTTTGGATCAGTCATTTCTGTTGCCCAAAATGGGATCATAACTATCTACTGAAGTGGACAGAGAACTCCAGAGTCATGGGCTCCACCTCTGACTTCACTATGGTGTCAGCTTGCAGCTTTTCACAGGCAGTTTTGGGCCAAGCCAGTCTTTCCTTTTAACTTCCCAAATTACAAAAACTACACCCTTAAAACCTAAACAGTAAGGGAGGAAAACCATTTCACAATGCAGCTGGCAAAAAGCAAAAGTTTATACCACTTCCACCTGTAAATTAAATGATTGAATTCATTAATAACCATCTGATACCTGTCAAATGTTGCCAATGCTAGCAAGGCATATTATCTGACAACTTTTTTATTTAAACTTTTGATGATCAGACTTTTGCTTAGTATGGGAGTAGGGACAATATGAGATGCTTAAATTTGCATAAATCAGGGAGCCTTGGGGATTAGGAAGTATAATAGAACCAGATAGATTTGGGTTTGAATTTCAGGTGCGTACCTATGGGATGGGAATTTGGGTAAGTTATTTAATGCTTTTTGAGCCTGTTTCTCATCCATAAGATGGTGAGTATTAATCTACCTTACTACATGCCAGGCAGTGTTGTAAATGCTTCACATATTTCAACTCTCCTAATCCCCCAAACTTGCCTTTGAGGTAGGGACTATTTTACCTTTAATTTACTGATGGAAAAACTGAGGCACCAAGAGGTTAAGTGATTTCTGACTCAAGTCACTCAGTTAGCAAGTAGCAGAGCTAGTACTATATCACATTTTTTATTGAATTAAAAATCCATTTACTATATGATGTAGCGTTATTATTATTATTATTTTTGATACCACTAAGAAAACACAATGCTGCCTGCTGGGTGCAGCGGCTCATGCCTGTAATCTCAGCACTTTGGGAGACCAAGGCAAGAGGATCACTTGAGGCCAGGAGTTGTAGACCAGCTTTGGCAACATAGCGAGACCTCATCTCAACTAAAAATTTTAAAAAAATTGGCCAGGTATGGTGACGCGCTCCTGTAGTCCCACATACTCATGAGGCTGAGGTGGGAGGATTGCTTAAGCCGGAAGGTAGAAACTGTAGAGTTTGCACCACTGTACTCCAGCCTGGGTGACAGAAAGAGACCCTGTGTCAAAAAATAAAAATAAAAATAAAAAATAAAAAGAAGAAGAAACGATGCTACCAATTAAACTTTGACACCCCACAGATGGTAAGTTGCAGCCTGATAAATATTGACTTACTGAAAAAAGGGAGTAAATTACCATTTCTTAACCAGAGATTAGCACCATTAACATTTTGGTTTATTTTTACTTTCCTGTGTATTTTTTTAAAACTTAGATAAATATACAGATAGGTTATTCTTTCTAAAATAGCATTTTTAAAGCTTTTTAAAATGACGAAATCATTTAATGAGAGCATAAGATATAATTGTGTGGCGGTATCATAATTTACCTAGTCTTTCTTCTACTTTTGGGCAGTTGGGTTTGGTCCAATATTTCTCTTTTATATGTAAAGTTCCAGTGTGCATTTGTGTATAAATGCTTAAATCTTCCCCTCTCAAACTTCAAATTAGGAATTCTACCTTTAGGATAGATTTTTGGGCAATGAATTACTAAGTCAAAGAATATGAACACATTTAAAAGTATTGATACATATAAAGAGTTCTTTTTGTAATGGGGTGTACCAATTTGCACTCTCAGCAACAGTAAGAATGATCATATACTGCTTCATTAATTGTATTAAATATCATAATTTAAAACTTTGCTAATTTGACAAGCAAACAAAATGAAAAGAAAAAATGATATGTAAATGTTGTACTACTTGTAATTTCTCCTATATTTTAAGTTTGTTCTCTTTCCCTTATCTCTTCCTTTCTCTCTCGCTTCTTTTTTCTTTCTCCCTCCCTCTCCTCTCTCCTGCAAATCATCCGTTTTTTGCCTTTGTGTTGATTTGGGTTTATATACCATTGATTACTAAATTTTGTCATATGTGTTGCTAATATTTCCATTTGCTGCTTGGCTTTTAAATTGTAGTTGTTCTAATATTATATTTTTGAGTAAAATGTAATTCCTTCCATTGCTTTTATGTTTTTAAGACTGCTTCAGAGATCTGATAAAAAGAAAAACTAGAATTAGCTTCTAGATGTTTGCAATTTGACTTTTGCTTACATTTATTATTTAATCAACTTGGGATTTATTTTGATAAAGGGTTTTATGTGAACATCTCATTTTGTCCCAGATGACTGGTCAGTTATATCTATTATCCCTTGAATGATTATTCCTTTCTCTACAGGTGCATGACATTTCCCTTAGCATATATTAAATTACTGTATATACTACCCTGTGCTTCTGAGCTTTCTATTTTGATCCATTAAACCCTAGTTGTCTATTTCTTTTTTTTTCCTTTTTTTTTTGAGACAGGGTCTCACTCTGTCACTTAGGCTGGAGTACAGTGTCACGAACATGGTTCACTGCAGCTTCCACCTCCCAGGCTCAAGCAATTTTCCTGCCTCAGCCTCCTGAGTAGCTGGGACCACAGGTGCACACCATTATACCTGGCTAAGTTTTTAAAATTTATTTATTATTTATTTATTTATTTATTTTTGTAGAGACGGAGTTTCGCCATGTTGGCCAGGCTGGTCTTGAACTCCTGAGTTCAAGTGATCCTCCTGCCTCCACCTCCCAAAGTGCTGGGATTACAGGCGTGAGCCACTGCACCCAGCCCAGTTCTCTATTTTTATTCTAGGACTATAGTGTCTTAATTATTAGAGCTTTATGATAGGGCTCATAGCCCTGTGACCTTGACAGCTCATAGGGCTAGTTGCCTCTCATTACACTTCTTTGTCTGAATTATGTTAGGAATTAATTTCTCAGTTAAATATAATGGTTATTTTTTTCAAGTCCTTCTGCCCCTGTGGGGAAAAGATTACTTGGTATTATATTTTGATTGGCATTGTAAAATTAAGTAAATTCACATATTTAGTAACTTTGCCATATTTATTCTTCTGAGATGTCTCTCCATTTATTCTGTCAGCAAAATTTTCTATCACCCAGTAAGATTTTGTGGTTTTCTTTACATGGACTTGACAATGATTTTGTTAAGGGTTTTTCCTTGGTATCTTGTATTTTCAGATGCTATTGTAGAGAGGTCCTTTTGATAGAATAAGGATAGAACATTTGATAGAATAAAGGATAATTTCTCTTATAAAAATATAAGAAGGCTATTGATTTTTATATTCACCTTTGATGAGATCACTTACTCTTATTAATTCTATAGTTTTTTCAGTTGATTTTTTTATGTTTTCTGGGAAGACAGTCATTTAATCTTCAAATGATGACAATTTTCTCTCTTCCTCAATTCTTATACCTCGAATTTTGGTTTCTTGTCTTTGAATTAGCAAACCCTTCTGGGGCATTCATAGAAGCGTTGGTGAAATAGTGGCCTACTGGGTTAGTTCCTGATTTTATTATGGTTTTACTTTAGGTGAACAAGGCAGTTTGTGGTTTGAGACAGATAGTATTTGCCTTTTTTTTTTTTTTAAGTTGGTGTCTCACTCTGTTGCCTAGGCTGGAGGGCAGTGGTGTGATCTCGGCTCACTGCAGCCTCTGCCTCCCGGGTTCAAGCGATTCTCATGCCTCAGCTTCCTGCGTAGCTGGGATTACAGGCACCTGCCACCACACCTGGCTAAGTTTTGTATTTTTAGTAGAGACAGGGTTTCACCATGTTGGCCAGACTCTCTCGAACTCCTGACCTCAAGTGATCCTCCTGCCTGAGTCTCCCAAAGTGCTGGGATTACAGGCATGAGCCACTGTACCTGGCCTTATTTGCCTTTTTAAATTCTGGTTTTCTTGTTGCTCTGAAAGGCACCATCATCCAGGGCCAATGGCGAATCTATCTTGGGCCCATCTCCCTTCCCCACCCACGTCCAGCTGATTACCAGGTCTCTTCCGCTGTTCCTAGGCTCTTTTCTCCCTTCATACTGCACTTTGGCCTGTTTCTCTTGCCCCAGTGCAGCCCCTCAGCAACCCAGGCCCCATTGCTTTGCCCTTTTAGTCTATCCTGACTTCAGACCATACTAGACAGGGTGCTGCCAGGTTGATCTTTTTTTTTTAATTTTCATTTTAATTTTTAAAATTTATTATTATTATTATTTGTTTTTCAGGTTGATCTTTTACAAGCACAGGTCTGGTCACCCCCATCCTCACTGGAGTCAGCAGTGGCTCCCCATTGCCCTTTGAATGAAGTTCTGCCTGTTTGCTGTGGCATTTGAGGCCTTCTGTAATACATCCTCACCCTCTCTGTGTTCACCCCCTCTGGCTATCCAGCCTCCTCCTCAGAGCCTCTTTTGATCCCCCAGGAAAGCACCGTGCTCCTACCTCTGCCTCCCACAGCTCATTGCAAATCTGCTGGACCTCCCTAACCAGAAAGCTGCATGCAGGTGCTTCCCATTTTTGTGCTCAATCACCTCTTCTGCTAGGTGGAGAACCTCATGAGGATAGTAACTCATCTCTGCCTTCCCCATAGTGCCTCACAGCACAGCCTTGCATGGGAAAGGTGCTTATTGGAAACCTGTCAAAATATGCAGAAACTACCTCCACATTCAGGGCGGGGCTGAACCAGTGAAGAACTAGCAAAGGACTAACATTTTGGACTTTTCAGCAGGATGGGGGTTGTTTCCTGGCAAGGTTACAGGCAGCCAGATAGCCGACATAAATTTCCAGCATGGACATCAATTCCAGAGGGGTGTGGGTCACCTTGAAGGCTCACAAATGAATATCAGCTGTGAGGATATTGATTTGAAGAATAATTCATTTCACGTGATGAGTTTAATGCAACATCATTTATATTAAATAAAATATTAGTCCATGGCTGGGCATGGTCGTTCACACCTATAAACCCAGCACTTTGGGAGGCTGAGGTGGGAGGATTGCTTGAGACCAGGAGTTCAAGACCAGCTTGGGAAACAGTGGGATCCTAGCTCTACAACAAATAAAAAAAAATCAGCTGGGCATGGCAGTGTGCACCTGCAGTCCCAGCTACTCGGGAGGCTGAGGTGGGAGGATCACTTGAGCCCAGGAGTTGGAGGCTGCAGTGAACCATGATTGCCACTGCGCTCCAGCCTGGGCAACAGAATGAGACCCTGTCTCAAAACAAAACAAAACAAAACAAAACAAACCCATTGGTCCAGTTCCTATATCCTGAAGGGGAACAGGGGACAGGGAGTAGGAAGGAGAGAGGAAGATTGAGTTTGGTATTCAGAGGAAGGAAAAGTAGTTGGAGATGTGAGTGTGTGTAGGTGTGTGTGTGTGTCTTGGTCTCAGCATGCCAGATGGCATATCTAAGGTAGAGGAAAATTGTGCTTTCTCATACAATCAGTAAGAACAGAGTTTTTGAGAACTGCTTTGAATGTGCTTGCCGTCCAGCCAGTCAATTGCTTCTTTATTCTCCAGCTTTTCACAGAGCTCTGACTTAGTGCATCTGCTTGCTGTCATTTTCAGTTGTATTTGTCAAGTGACCACAGGACCCTCCTGAAATCGTCTAAGAGGTCTTGGCTCCAGGAAGTGTACCTAACAGATGAGGTCTCCCATGTGAACTGCTGGCAGGCTGCCTTCCCTGACCCCCAGTTACGCCTGGAATATGAAGGCTTCCCCGTCCCGGTGAGTGCAGCATCGGGAAGACATGGGTGTCTAGGCTATGAAATGGATGCAATTTATTCCTGTCTATAACACACAGACTTATAGCTCAAATGCCTTATGACTTTCTCTCTCTTTTCTGTCTTTTTTTTTCCATTTATAACACACAGACTTATAGCTCAAATGCCTTATGACTTTCTCTTTCTTTTCTGTCTCTTTTTTTCCATTTATAACACACAGACTTATAGCTCAAATGCCTTATGACTTTCTGTCTCTTTTCCGTTTGTAACACAAGTTTGGGAGGTACTAATCTACCCCATGGCAGCATCCTGCACTAGAGTTTCTCACCTCTGGCTGCACGTTAGAATCGCCTCAGGAACTTTCTAAAAAGCTCAGGCCCTGCCCCTGTCATCAGGATAAGAACCACTGATGTGCGATCATGAGCGTTGTGACACTGCTTCCTTCGCACTGTTTTCGCTAAGGCCTCCGCTAAGTACTATTTTTTAAGGACTTTGAGCCCAGGTGCGGTGGCTCACGCCTGCAATCCCAGCACTTTGGGAGGCTAAGGCGGGCGGATCTTTTGAGGCCAGGAGTTCAAGACCAGCCTGGGCAACATGGCAAAACCCCTGTCTCTACAAAAAATACAAAAATTAGCCGGGTGTGGTGGCACACACCTGTAATCCAAGCTACTCAGGTGGCTGAGGCATGAGAATCTTTTGTACCCAGGAGACAGAGGTTGCAGTGAGCCAAGACTGTACCATCGCACTCCAGCCTGGGTGACAGAGTGAGACTCTGTCTCAAAATAAATAAATAAATGAATAAATGAATAAATAAATAAATATTAGCCAGGTGTGGTGGTGAGCACCTGTAGTCCCAGCTACTAGAGAGGCTGAGGTGGGAGGATCACCTGAGCCTGGGAGGTCGAGGCTGCTGTGAGCTGTGATTGTGCCATTGGACTCCAGCCTGATCAACAGTGAGACCGTGTCTCAAAAAAAAAAAAAAAGAAAGAAAAAGAGCTTAGGGAGTCTTGGAGAAGCCAAGGAGACAGCAGGGTAGCCACATAGTCAATGCAGTGGTCCTGCAGGACGGCATCATTCTCATTATCACTGTGCGACACTTTCTCCGGATGCTGGGACCCATGGGACTGGAACCTGAGGCATGGTCCTGACGGGAAGGTGGGAGGTCTTGTGGGCACAGAGTAGGCCTCCCTATTTCAAGGACCAGAGGCTTTCCTGCTCACGAGGCATCCAGCAGACATGTGGATGTGTTGGTAGCCACTGCGTTGACTATGGAATTAGTAGCAAGCATGGCCAGGGTTCGCTTGCTACTGGCCAGGAAGTGGCCGCAGTTGCAGGCCACTGAGTCCACCCGATGCAGCATGCCTGTCCCTCACCTCTGCCAGGTGGACCCTGACTTCACAAGGTTCTTTCTCTGAGCATGGAGGACATATATATTATCTACAATGAAACAGGCTTTACAAATTATTCTCTTTAGATGTCCTTTGCTAAGCTTCGCTCTTCTGAGAATTGCCTTCTAGTTCCACAATTTAAACTGCCAGTGCCTCAGTTTCCCTATCTAAATTTGGGGTGTTAATAGTACCTACCTCATGAGGTTTTGTGAAGACTAAATGGTTAGTACATTTAGAGTGCTAATTCGAAAAGTGCCTGGCTCACAGAAGCCACCCACAAGTGTTTCTTGTTGTCATGACTGTTGTTGTTATATTGTTATTGTTGCTGGTTTTTTTAAGAGGTTAAGGGAGCAGTCAGTGTTCCAGGCACCAGGAGTTCTTTTCTCCATTACTGATTCACCTTATGGCTTCAGGAAAGTCTCCCCAGGCCTCACTGAGACATGGTTACACATCTGTAAATGGGAAACCCCAAACCTGTCTGAGCTACCTTGCACATGTCAATGACCTCTGGCTAGAGAGACCACCAGGAACAACTGTGGTTTAACAGGTTGGGTAGATTACTTATTGCAGTGAGGGAGAACACACACCATGGGGAAGCATGAAAGAGGGTGTTAGGATGCTTATAGAATTTGGGCTTTGGTTGGGTGGTGTTGGAGAGAATCCCGAGAAGTGAGGCTTTGCTCTGGACTGGATGCTGTCAGGAAGTGGGGGATAACTCTATCATTGGTTATCTCAATAAATCTTATCTCTAGGGAGGGCCAGACTAGAGTGAGGACAAAGCTGTCATTAGTAAAGAAGCAGCAGTCAGTCGCTCATATTAGCTGGGAGAGGCCAGTGTTTGGTATTTAGTGGCTTAGCCAATGTTTGTGTTTTGTGTGTGTTCAGATATGATTATAGAGTGCTCTTGTTTTTGTTTTGACCCCTCATGATCACAGAGTAGCCTTGTCTGATGTGGACATTCTGTGAAGTTGATTCTGTTCCCAGGAGAACACTAAAGCCTACTTGTCAGTGCCAGGCCAACCCCTGGATGGCAGGGCTGCCTTTTCTTTCTTACACAGCTTTTAACTTACATGAGTCAGGATTTTGAAATAATATATATTTTTCCTGATTATAAACATATGTTCACTTATGAAAAGTCAGGAAAGCAAAAAAATAATATGAAAATTACCAGTAGTTCCATTTCCAGAGAAAGCCATTGCTTATCATTTCTTTTTACAAGATAGGACATCATGAAGATACTTCTTTTTTTCCATTAAATAACATCATTGACCATATCTTGTGTGGCAAAGATCTTCTCCAATATAACTTTGAGTGATGATTTCATCATACAGATATCTACAATAATGTATTTCATCCATCCATTATGGTTTGGCATCTAAATTTTTCTGTGTCTGTGTGTGTATAAATATATATACAGTCATGTGTCACTCAATGATGGGGATAAGTTCTGAGAAATGCATCATTAGGCAATCGTGGTCACCCTGACAATGATTTTGTCATTGTGTGGACATTGTGAAAGGAAAATGAATCTTGGGACCTAAACTCACTATGTCAAAGGGAAAGTCAGGCTGGGAATGGGGTCATGCAAACCTGCCTCCCATTTTGCTCTTAAATAGGATAGCTACAAATATATATATATATATATATATATATATATATATATATATATATATATATATTTAAAAAGCTACATACATCCCTCACAATTTGCCCACAAGGAAATTCCTTGTGGGAAGATCTTTACCTTAAAACAGTTATGTGGAATGTTACCCTGACAATGTAAAGTGGTAGCTTATCTTCACAGTGTGGGACAAAGGACAGAACTAAAAAGTCATCCTTCCTCTCACCTGAGACAAAGGCATATATGAATGCTCCCTCTGCCCTGTGTTTATTTCATCTTACGTAAAAATGCAGATTCACCGAGCACAAGACGAATGCATAAGTAACTATTCCTCTACCGCCCTCTCACATGTAAAATGTGTATTTGGTGAACACTGACTGAAAACTCAAAAGAACGCAACTGCTTGCCTCTTTTATTTACCCTCCTTTTTTGGTTGTTGTTGTTCTTTCTTTCTTCCTCTCCCCCCCAGTACCCGCTCTTTTCACTTTAAATATTGAGGTCCCCGGACCCTCTTCGGGAAAAAGCATGGACCACCGATTTTTCCTGTTGGCCTGTGTTCTTTTTGGTGGACGCATCTTTGACCTTGGCAAATAAACCTCTTAAAATAATTGAGACTCGCCTCAATAATTTTCTTTGATTTATACATCATAAATGTACTTACACAAACCCAGATGGCATAGCCTACTACACACCAAGGCTACACGGGATAGCCTCGTGTTCCTAGGTGTACAAACCTGTAAGGATGTTACTATACTGAATACTGTAGGTAACTGTAACACAGTGGTAAGTATTTGTGCATCTAAACACAGAAAAGGTACAGTCAAAATAGGGTCTTACGGTCGCATAGGTGGTCCTTTGCCAAATGAAATGTTGTGAAGTGGCACATGACTGTGAATATATATAATTTTTTTCTACTAAATTGAAATAAATGTATAGTATAATCCCAAATTTTTGCTTTTAGGTAAGCTTTTCCCTAAAAGCAAAAAAAAAAATGTTTAGAATGCTAATAACACATTTTCTTTATCTGTTAAGGCAAATGCTAAAATTCTCATCAATCACTGTCACACAAATCGGGGACTGGCAGCCCACCGGCATCTTTTCTTAAGGTATTGTATTTCAGGGTACAACAAAATGCTGTGATTGGGGCTGGGGGCCATGAATATAAGCAAAGAAGCTCAATTGATAGTGTATGGCTGCACATACAAAAAATGTCCTTTGCTGATGAAATACCGCCACATAGAACTTCAATGGTGTGAAAAATCCTATTAGAGCCCCTTCTTTTATACAAATCCTACCCCTACAAGAGGACTTTGGTTCTAATGGGATCCTACTGGCCTAATCTTTGCCCAAATAAGGTGTAACCTCCCTGCAAACATGTCCCATTTTAGAGATTCCCTAGGGCTTTATCTAGCAATCCGCTTCTTAAGGTGCTTTCGAGATTAAATTATTAATAACAGCTTATTGAGAGTTGTTATTCAATTTCAAACCACAACTGATTCTCTCTTGCTCCAGCACCTATTTTGGAAAGGAGGCTGAGGTTGTAGCTCACACATACCTGGATTCACATAGAGTTGAGAAACCAAGGAACCACTGGATGTTGGTTACTGGGAATCCCAGGGATGCCTCGTCCTCCATGTTGGATCTGCCCAAACCACCCACAGAGGACACTCGAGCCATGGAGCAGGCCATGGGCCTTGACACGCAGTAACACGCCAGGCACGTGCATGTTTTCCCTGGTCCCGCTCTCATCAAATGTAGCTTTAAAAGAAATTAACAACCTTGGTCATGCCTCAAGCTATTTTTGAATCAGATGTGGGACTCTCTGGGCACTATATTAAAATAAAGATTACATTAAGATTATTGAATTTGTGGTGGGAGTCTAGGGCTGAAGAAAAACAGCTCTGGAGAATAATTAGTATTTGAAAGTGACAAACAATAGCCTTTTGTTGATAAACAAATTCTGAAGAACTCAGCTTCCTCTACTTATATCCTTCATTGTCTACAAGGACAGTGCGTTACTTTTTAAAGTTATGTCTATGTAATAAAGCTGTTGGACCTATACTGAATTTTTGGTACCACAGTTTCCCTCTTGAATGTACTAAAACACAAAAAACTGACAGCTCTGAGCTGTGGCCTTACCTTGGAATTAAACATTTCCACCTTTGTAAAACATCCTATTTTTGTTTCTACCTTTGGCTTTCCAGGTCAGGACCTCTACCTGATCAGTAACCTATTATTTTGTAATGATTTTTAAGCTGCAGAATCTCTACCTTGTCTTTGAAACTGGCACATTAGTTGTGGCACCCATGTGATTAGATAGTTCCTGACAAAATAAATGTATGTCCTTCCATGTATTTGTTCATCTGTTCATTCCTCATTGAGTGCCTGTGATGTGTAGGGTATTATAAAGGGATGTAGGGTTTCCAAGTCTTATAGATACAGGTAAACAGGCCGGTTCACAAATATGTATACTGAGAGGTAGAACATGGGCTGTAAATGTGTTTTAAATAGATGCAGTTTCAGTCAATGCAGACTGACCCTCTTCAAGAAGGCAAGCATTTTCCATCAAGTACTGCAGGATTTAGGGCAGTGGTTCCAGCCTTGGCTATGCGTTGCATTCACTCTGGGAACTGTAACAATTACTGATTCCTGGTCTGAGCCCAGAAATTCTGATTGAATGGTCTGGGGTACAGCCTGGGCACTGGGCTTTGTCAGTGTTCTTTAGATGGTTCCCATGTGCAGCCACAGCGAAGACCCACTGTGTTAGGAGGTGGAGGAGGAAGCAGTGGTTCCTTAGGGTGGTCAGAGGAGGCTTTCCTCAGCAAGTCTCTCTGGCTGCACATTAGAATCTCCTGAAGAATACTGAAAAGCCCGCGGCCCAGGCTGCACTCTGGACCATTCAATCAGCATTTCTAGGGTAGGACATTAAAAAAATACAGATGCTTGGGCCCACCCCAGAGCTTCTTATTTTATTTGAAGTGGAACCCAGGTATTCGTATTTTTAAAAACTCACTAATTTATTTGATTTAAATTTAATTAAAAATTTTAAAAACATTTTTAATTTTTAATTTTTGTGGGTACGTAGTAGGTGTATATATTATGCGGTACATGAGATTTTTATTTTATTTTTTTTTTTTTTGAGATGGGGTTTTGCTCTTGTTGCCCAGGGTGGAGTGCAATGGCACTATCTCCGCTCAACACAACCTCCGCCTCCTGGGTTCAAGCGATTCTTCTGCCTCAGCCTCCCGAGTAGCTGGGATTATAGGCATGCACCACCACGCCTGGCTAATTTTGTAGTTTTAGTAGAGATGAGATTTCTCCATGTTGGTCAGGCTGGTCTCGAACTCCTGACCTCAGGTAATCCACCCACCTCCCAAAGTGCTGGGATTACAGACGTGAGCCACCGCACCTAGCCATGAGATGTTTTGATACAGGCATGCAATGTGAAATAATCACATTATGGAGAATGGGGTATCTGTTCCCTCAAGCATTTATCCTGTGTGTTACAAACAATTCAATTACACTCTTTTAGTTATTTTTAAATGTACAATTAAGTTATTGACTATAGTCACCTGTTGTGCTATCAAATAGTAGGTCTTATTCATTCCTTGTAACTATTCTTTTTTGTGCCAATTAACCAACCCCACCTCCCTCTCAGGTCCCTAGTACCCTTTCCAGCCTGTGGTAACCATCCTTCTACTCTCTATGTCCATGAGTTCAATCGTTTTGATTTTTAGATCCCACAAATAAGTGAGAACATGTGATGTAAAACTTGCTAATTTATTTTAATGTGCAGTCTGGGTTGAGAACCTCTGGCTTAGCTGAGAGTTAGGTCTGCCTGTGTGTCTCCAAGGGGTGAGACCAGGTGGGTTTGGGCTTCAGCTGGGGAAAGACATTCTTTAACAGTGTGAGCCACCTGAAAGCATCTAAACCAATTTCAGTGCATTCTTGCTCCTACCGTAAGATATCCACGGAAAGCTTCAGACAACATCAGGGCTCTTGATCCTTTCCTAAGTGATCCTCCAATGGCTTCTTGACTGAACACCGAGAGGTTTCCACCAGATGGAAAGTCTTGACTATGAGTTTTCCAGGTTTTTGGCACGTTGAACAAAGAATTGAACAAAGTGCACAAACAGAGCAACACAAAATGCACAAAGTGACAAAAGAATGAAGCAACGCCATAAGCAATACAAGCACAGATTTATTTAAGTGAAAGTACACTCTATAAAGCACAAGCAGGCTTGGGCAAGAGGCTCAAGAGCCCCGATTACAATGTTTGTTAGGGTTTAAACTAAGCTAGAAGAATTTTGGTAACACCCCTTGGTGCCCTGTGGAGGGTTACACCTTATGAATAATTGGCCCACGACCAATCAGAGGCTGAAGTGGAGACTTGGCCCATGACCAATCAGAGGCGGAAGTGGAGACTGCCCGCAGCCAATTAGAGGCTGAAGTAGAAACTTGTTGTCTTGTTATCACAGGAGTGAGGTTGTGGCCTCTATGCTGCCTAATCTTGCCTAGAACCAAGGACTGGTGCCATATCAAGGGCTCAGTGTTGGTCACTGCTGCTGGTAAATTGGGCACTTGACCTGTAGCCAGGTCAGCCTTGGTGAGTGGAAGTCCATGTTGCTGAGCCCATGCCTTAACCCTTGGTTACCCTAACTCCCTATTCTGTCTCAGTTTTAGTGTAACCAGGAATTAGTGCCACCGACCAAGTTCGCACTCAGGTAATCAGTGACTGACTACAGTGACTGCTGGGGGCGTGACTGCCGCCTGGCTGACGGTGATTGTGAAGCACTTCATTTTAATGTACACAGACAGAGTTCAGAGACGTTAAAAGATGGAAAAGAGAAGTCTGTACTTCTCAGAATAGAAGAAAGACAATAAATAACTAGAAAGTGAGCACCTACATGCATCACCTCGTGTTATTTACAAATCAGTATTTCTACCTTGGGTCTGTTGTGCACCTCAAAATTATAAAGGGCTTTTATACTCATTTTCTTATTTAATTTTCACTACTCTCTGGGGTTAGACCAGGTCTTGTTCTTTGCTGTTTATCTCCATTTCCTGGGAAATATCTGTTAAGTGAATGAATGAATGAATCAACAGATGAATGGATCCGTAACTTTTACAGAGGAGCCAGGCTTAGAGATTTGTTCAGGGACACAGCTCCTAAACAGCAGAGCTGGGGCAGGACCAAGTCAGATTCTTCTATCCCTTCTTCTGGACAAGGGCCTTCTAATCTAATTTTTTTTCTAATTCTTTGTTGTGGTTGCTTTCCTGTGCATTATAAGATGTTTGCCAGCATCCCTGGCCTCTGCTCACTAGATGAAGTAGCACCCCTCCACTCATGACAACACAAAGCGTCTCTAAACATTGCTAAATGTCCCTGGGAGGGGTCTGCTATTTAAGGACCAATAGTCTAGACCTACTTCTAGCTGTTTTTTATTTGCCATTTATAAAGGATGCTGTAAAATGGGTATTTATCTCTCTCTCTCTCTCTCTCTCCTTCCTTTTCTTTCTTTCCTTTTTTTGTGTCCTATAGAGATTAGAATATGTGGTCTCTAACATGACTTCCAGATATATTAATAATCTGCTTTTAGCATCTGAGCTGGACTTTGATGGAAACTTAGAATATTGGCAGGGGGAGACTGGCTCTCCAGGATGCAGCCGCTGTATGGACCTGTGTACAGTGACTTTGGCACACAGCACCTCTGCAGCGACCTCCAGTGTGGGGCACAGAGATGCTCATTGAGATGTGAAAAGAAGAGTTTAGAACTCTGCGTATATCATTATTTTATCCTTTAAAGTGCATTAATGTGTGTGTGCTTTATACGATCCAAAATAGTTTTTATTTTTTACCTTTAAAAAAGTTTATCTTTTTATTTTTACACTTCATTGTGTAAAATTGACAAAATATTAGTTTTTTTTCTTTTTTTGAGACAAAATGTTTTTAAATGTACATGACATTTTAGCTTAATGGGCATGAGTAAAATTTATTAATAGAATTACATATAAATGTATGTGTGTAGCAAATACCCAAAAGGATTGCTTATTGGGAAGGGTGCACAATCACAAATTGTGGAGAGCATCCTGCGTGCTGTGTGCAGTCATTCATTATACAGAAAATGCCACTGAGTCACTTGCTGCAACGATGCCTGCACAGCTTTGTCCTGAGTCATGGACAATGGGCTCCTCCCAGCTCTAAGGTTCACTTTCTTTCAATTGAACAAATGTTTATGAATTGTTTGACAGTAAGGAACAAGGTAAGGACTCTGCAAATGCAAGAGAGAGGGAAGAGGAGACCATCTGTGTGATTACGCACAGGCCATGCTGAAATCCCAGTAGAAGGACCGCATTACTTATACCTGGAGTCCAGGGAAGCCTGCCTTCAGATGACACTTGAGCTGGAAAGGACACACATGGGAAGAGCATTCCAGGCAAAGGAGACTGCGTTTGCAAAGGGCCAACACCTCTCCTGGGGAGAAGTGGGGACTGGCAAGAGACATTCAAAATGGGCTGTGTGCTGGTACACTCAGCATGGCTATACTGGCTGTTAAAATACGATAATGTCTCCAACCTGGTTGGAAAATAGCTACTGACTCAAGCCCCTAAAGTGCCCCCTGTAACCCTGGCACCTCCCTGGAGACCCTTGGATTTCCCTACAACCAGCAACTAAAGGGTTAATGTTCAGCCCAATGGTGGGGCCTGCAAGACCCTACCCCACCATGGTGCCTGGAGTTTGTTTTATTTGGCTAATATCCAGTGATACTCAAGAAAAACTATAGAGGTGGTTAACTATTTTGAATATCACTCTTGGCTTCATGTATCAATTATCGAACTTGAATTTGATCTTGAAGGTGATGGTCAGCCTGTGAAAGGCTTTGAGGAGGAAAGTGTCATGATTTTACTTTAAAAAGATGATTATGGAGGCACGGGAGGAGGAACTGATGCGGCTTTGAACTAAGGCAGTGTCAGGAAGCACTGGGAAAAGGGCATGGGTTAGAGAGAGGCCAGGAAGAGAGAGACAGGACTCTATAGCTTGGTGGGTATAAGGCCAGGAGAGAAGGAGAAGGTGGACACTCAGATTTGGGGCACATGCCTCTCCCTGAGATTCAAACCCAGTAGGAAAAACAGGTGCACAGGAAAGGTGACAAGCAGTCATCTGGGAATGTCTGGTCCCTGAGTGGAGGTTGTTTTGGTGTGGATATAGCTGCAACCCACCTACAGTGCTGTCATCTGCTAGGCTGTTTGTCTCTATCACACTCACCTAAGTCTTGGGTAACTGATAGCAAATACAACTTTGGGATTGAAGAGCACCTTTAGCATCCTGCCAGCGGGAGCAAGGAAGAAACCAACGAGCCCAGTGGCTAGGGTTCTCCATGTCCTAGCTCCAAGAACTTCACCTTTGAGGGCTTCTGAGAGGACTGGATATGTTAGCTACGCAAAAGCAGGTGCCCACGTGTGAAAGGGCCTCTGTTGCTCCCCCTCCACCTTCCTATGAATTTAATATGTGTACATCCCAGTCAGTAAGTGAGTTCATCTTTATCACATTTGGTTCCATACCTGGAGGAGGACTCGACTCCTTTCCCATATACAGTAGACATTTTTGCATTCAACCAGATCCAGCAGACATCATTGACTATTTTATACCAGGTCTTGAGGTAGACACTGGGGATCCAGTGGGGAGTAAATGTGTTCCTACCTTTAAGGCTTCCACTGCAGAGAGGGTCAGAAGGGAGATGAGACATTGAAGGAGGTAGAGGGGTCAGAGTGTGGCAGTCTATATTAATATATGGAGCATTTGGGAGCCACCACATATTTTTGAGCAAGGGAGAGATAGGACAGGAAAGGAAGGTTAGTCTGGGAGTGAGGGGTATGAGGTAATTGAAGGAGGTCATTTGTGAGTCTGAAATTACAGTTGGTGAAAGCCCCCAAAGGCTTAAACCTGAGGAGAACAAAGCTGAAGTCTGATTAATGGGTTTTGGCAGATTTTTTTCCCCAATATCCCTTCAAAGGCAAAAAATAATAGAGACACTGTTTTTTCCATTAGTAAATACACTCAACGTCTCCTTATTTGTCTGTAGCTGTTTCAAAAGAAAATAGCTTTGTTTTTAAGAGCAACTGTGTAGGCCCCGGTGTAGCTCATGCCTGTACTCCTAGTACTTTGGGAATTTGAAATCAGTCTGTGCAACATAGAACCCATCTTTACAAAAAATTAAAAAAAATTAGCCAGGTGTGGCGGCACATGCCTGTAGTCCTAGCTACTTGGGAGGCTGAGGTGGGAGGATCACTTGTGCCCAGAAGTTAGAGGTTACAGTGAGCTATGGTAATGACACTGAACTCCACCTTGGGCAACAGAGCAAGATCCTGTCTCAAAAGAAAAAAAAAAAAAAGAACTACAACTATTTATAAGTATTTCTATATTTGATAATAATTCAATATAAATTCAGTTATCTTGAAGACTTGGCGTAAGGAGAGCCTGGCTAAATTACTGGGTTCAATTCCTATGGGGAGATGATGTCGCAGAGAAGTCAATTGGTTAATATATAAGGAACTCCTACAAATGCAAGATAAAACTGTAAACACCCCATTAGAAAAATAAGGCAAAGGCTTAAACTGGCAACTCTAAAAGAAGTAATTCGAGGATCCAATAAACATTTCAAAACATGTTCAAATGAAGACAGCAATGAGATACCATTTTCCTTTCATCTGATTGGATGGCAATGACAGAACCATAGAGTGTCAGAACCTACAAGGACCAGCTGATTTGGCTTCCCCGGTCATTTTACAGGTGAGGAAGATAGGCCCAGATAGGAGAAGGGACCCACCTAAACCCAGGGGTTAGACAGAGGCAAATTCTGAACAGATCCCCCTCTGGTGACAGTGTCTGCTGAGAAGTCGAGACTGATGAACCTTGAAGAGGTTTTGCAACCTGGAAGGAGGCCTGGTTTCTGTCCTGCCAATTTGATCTTGCAGTTTTCCAAAGTGGCCACGAGATGTCAATGTTAATAATGCTAACAAGTCAACACTTGCAGTTGCTCAAATATTGAGCTTATTGCAAAATACGAGGGGGTTTTCAGTTTTCAAAATGTACATTCTAAGAGGGGAAAAACCATAAAAACACTGTGGTCAGAGTATGAATTCAATGTTTTTTGACTTTATAAAGAAAACCGTGTATTAGGCACGTGTAAAACCTGAATAAAACAGCATTCCTAGGGTTTGCGACAAAGGAAGTTCAGGTTAGCCTACAGCCCCTTTGGGACTTTTTATAAACATTGCATCTGGAGCCTGGAGGTCCCTCCAAGAAATTGTACCCTAAACCCCAGGTCCAGGGGTCCTGCATGATGTGCCGAATAGTGATTTCAAAGCCCTCGCTGCTACTTACCATCCTCAGCTAAGCCACTTTGCCCTCGTGAAGCCTCAGTTTTCTCTATAGGATTACTAGCTCCCTCTCAGAGTTGTTTAGAAGATTAAATAGAACGAGACAACGTATTTGAGAGAAGCAGGAGGAGATCATGGTTCTGAGTGCTGGCTCTGGGATCAGACAACTCAGTGTGGACACTGTTCGCTTCCCAGCTGCATGTCTTTGGAAAGTCATTGCACCACTTTGGGCCTCCATTCCTTCATAGGTTAAAAAGAGGGCTAAAATATTACCCATCTCTCAGGCTTCCTGTGCAGATTAAGTGGAGTTGTGTGGTTAAGCACTGAGCATCCTGTCTAGAACTACGTCAATAAGAATAATAATTGTCAAGACTGCTTGGGTCTCTTGTATGTATCTCTGCCTTGCATTGCTGCATTCTAATTTTTAAATATTTGTCTCTCTTCCACTTAACTATGAGCCCCTCAAATACAGATGCTGTGGGTATACACATATGATTTTAATATCCGCATCCCCCATGTTCAGCCCAGGGCTTGGCTCATACTGCTAAATGCTAGTTCTTCCTTCTCCCTCATTTTACAGGTAAATGAAAGCTTGGAGAGGTGGACTGATTTGTCCAGTGGAGCACATGAGTTAGTACTTCCTCTCTTACAGCACTTGTCACTCTGAATTGTATGGTGTGTTTACCTCTGTCTACCATGCTTGACCATAAGCTCCCTGAGGGCAGGAAAACTTATCCCAAGTTATGTCTCCAGGGTTAAAATACCATCATTAGCATAGCTAACATTTATTGAGCACGTACTATGTGCCAGACACTCTTCTAAGCATTCTTTTTCATGCATTAACCAATGTAATTCTCACGTATAACCTGTAAGCCAGGTACCATCATTATCTGAGTTTTACTGGAGTAGAAACTGAGACATGGAGAGATTAACTTACCCAGTGTTGCACAGCTGGTAAGTAGGAGAGCCAGCCACTCTGAATCTGGGGCCAGAACACTTCACCCGTAACTTAACCTCTCAGGCAGAAATCCTTCATGAATTTTTGTTGGCTAGAATTGAATCAGTAAGATTGGAGATTGAGCAATACTGTAGTGTATCATGGGGAGTGACCCTAGGTGTGCCCTCAAGTTCCATGTTGAGACCTGCTTCAAATGTACCATCCAAAGGTGACAGGAAGAGCCATGTCTGCAGGGAGAACGTTCTGCAGAACCATGTCTGAGTGAGTGGGAGGGAAGGAGGCAAGGTGCCAGGGGAACTGCTCAGCTCAGGTACCATCCAGTCTTGGGGAGCAGGGAGCAGTGGTGAGGACTGTGGAGGAAGCCTGGGAGCTGGGCATCCCCCCATCCCTGCTATGAGTCTATGGTGGGACCGCAGTTGTTTGTGAAGGCATGGGTGAATCTGGAGGACATTAAGTGAAATAAGCCAGACACAGAAACATAAATACTGCATGATCTCACTCACATGTGGAATCTGAAAGAGTCAAACTCCCAGAAGCAGAGAGTAGAATGGTGGTTCCCAGGGACTGGGAGGTGAGGGAAATGGGAAGATATTGTTCAGAGGATACAAACTTTATACGATTAACAACTTCTAGGGATCTCATGTACAGATCCACGTGGGTGATAAGAGATGTGCTATTTGGTTTGATTGAGCACTCCTAGGGTCACTCCCCATGATACACTACAGTATTGCTCAATCTCCAATCTTACTGATTCAATTCTAGCCAACAAAAATTCATGAAGGATTTCTGCCTGAGAGGTTAAGTTACAGGTGAAGTGTTCTGGCTCCAGATTCAGAGTGCCTGGCTCTCCTACTTACCAACTGTGTATCATTGGGTAAGTTAACCTCTCCATGACTCAGTTTCTGCTTCCGTAAAAACTCAGATAATGATGGTACCTGGCTTACAGGTTATATGAGAATTACATTGGTTAATGCATGAAAAAGAGTGCTTAGAAGAGTGTCTGGCACATAGTACGTGCTCAATAAATGTTAGCTATGCTAATGATGGTATTTTAACCCTGGTGACACAACTTGGGATAAGTTTTCCTGCCCTCAGGGAAACTTACACAGTGTATATTTATATCAAATCATAATGTTGTATACTTTGAATGTATACACTATTTGTCAATTAAATTTTTTTTTTTTTTTTTTTTGAGATGGAGTCTCGCTCTTTCGCCCAGGCTGGAGTGCAGTGGCGCGATCTCGGCTCACTGCAAGCTCCCAGGTTCACGCTGAGAGGTGACAGTGTGCTGGCAGTCCTCACAGCCCTCGCTTGCTTGCTCTCGGCGCTTTCTCTGCCTGGGCTCCCACTTTGGCAGCACTTGAGGAGCCCTTCAGCCCACCGCTGCACTGTGGGAGCCCTTTTCTGGGCTGGCCAAGGCCGGAGCCGGCTCCCTCAGCTTGCAGGGAGGTGTGGAGGGAGACGCGCGAGCGGGAACCGGGGCTGCGCGTGGCGCTTGCGGGCCAGCTGGAGTTCCGGGTGGGCGTGGGCTTGGCGGGCCCCGCACTCGGAGCAGCCGGCCGGCCCTGCCGGCCCCGGGCAATGAAGGGCTTAGCGCCCGGGCCAGCGGCTGTGGAGGGTGTACTGGGTCCCCCAGCAGTGCCAGCCCACCGGTGCTGCGCTCGATTTCTTGCCGGGCCTTAGCTGCCTTCCCGCGGGGCAGGGCTCGGGACCTGCAGCCCGCCATTCTGAGCCTCCCACACCCCCCGTGGGCTCCTGTGCGGCCCGAGCCTCCCCGATGAGCACCGCCGCCTGCTCCACGGTGCCCAGTCCCATTGACCACCCAAGGACTGAGGAGTGCCGGCGCACGGCGCGGGACTGGCAGGCAGCTCCACCTGCAGCCCCGGTGCGGGATCCACTGGGTGAAGCCAGCTGGGCTCCTGAGTCTGGTGGGGACGTGGAGAATCTTTATGTCTAGCTCAAGGTTTGTAAACACACCAATCAGCACCCTGTGTCTAGCTCAGGGTTTGTGAATGCACCAATGGACACTCTGTGTCTAGCTACTCTGGTGGGGCCTTGGAGAACCTTTATGTCTAGCTCAGGGATTGTGAATACACCAATCGGCACTCTGTATCTAGCTCAAGGTTTGTAAACACACCAATCAGTACCCTGTGTCTAGCTCAGGGTTTGTGAATGCACCAATCGACACTCTGTATCTAGCTTCTCTGGTGGGGCCTTGGAGAACCTTTGTGTCCACACTCTGTATCTAGTTAATCTAGTGGGGACGTGGAGCACCTCTGCGTCTAGCTCAGGGATTGTAAACGCACCAATCAGCACCCTGTCAAAACAGACCACTGGGCTCTACCAATCAGCAGGATGTGGGTGGGGCCAGATAAGAGAATAAAAGCAGGCTGCCAGAGCCAGCAGTGGCAATCCGCTCGGGTCCCCTTCCACAAGAAGCTTTGTTCTTTTGCTCTTTGGGTCCACACTGCCTTTATGAGCAGTAACACTCACCGCGAAGGTCTGCAGCTTCACTCCTGAAGCCAGCGAGATCACTGAGCCCACCGAGAGGAACGAACAACTCCAGACGCGCCACCTTAAGAGCTGTAACACTCACCGCGAAAGTCTGCAGCTTCACTCCTGAGCCAGCGAGACCACGAACCCGCCAGAAAGAAGAAACTCGGAACACATCTGAACGTCAGAAGGAGCAAACTCCGGACACGTCGCCTTTAAGAACTGTAACACTGACCGCGAGGGTCCGAGGCTTCATTCTTGAAGTCAGTGAGACCAAGAACCCACCAATTCCGGACACAACGCCGTTCTCCTGCCTCAGCCTCCCGCGTAGCTGGGACTACAGGTGCCCACCATCGCGCCTGGCTAATTTTTTTTTTTTTTTTTTTGTATTTTTAGTAGAGATGGGGTTTCACCATGTTAGCTAGGATGGTCTGGATCTCCTGACCTTGTGATCCGCCCACGTTGGCCTCCCAAAGTGTTGGGATTACAGGTGTGAGCCACTGCGCCCGGCCCATTAAATACTTTAAAATAAAAAATGTCTTAAGAAGGTGGTTCTTAGTTCCCTGAGCACCCACAGGTGCCTCAGCACCCCTGGAAACTCAGTCGCCCGCCACATCCCTCCAGCCCGGACGGACAGTGCATGGGACTCGTCTCCCCAGCTCTGTCAATGGGTAGTGGTTCTCCGGAGCCCTGTGCTGAAAAAGATTAGAGAAATGTCCAGTCTCTGTGGGAAGAGCATTCGAGATGCCCTCTTGTGTCCAGGAGGGGATCGTGGGCCACATGTTAGCTTGTCCTGCCCAGGCCCTCCCTTTCTGATAAACCCAAATTCTTGCAGCTTCTGCAGGCCTCCCTGGGCAGCCAGGCTGGCATTGGGGTTGTGGGCTTTGTCTGGGGAGCTGAGAAAAACAGGCGGATCCCCCCAGGACTCCACCCTAGAATACTGGCACTATGCGTCCCATGCTCTAACTCACGCATGCAAGTCATGCATGAACACTCTGCCTCCCTCCCACCCAGAAGGAGCTGGAGATGGTGTCTCCTGTGGCCATCCCTAGCTGCTAAGCAAGTATCCTCCCTTCCTCCATCCCTGCATCGTCTCTGTGCTGTGTTATTGTTGGCTGACATGGACAAGGTTGAACATTTGCCAAACATCTGCTCACGTCTCCTGAATGTGCTCCCAAACAGACGGGCAGGAAGCAGCACCACCCTTGAAATGCACTGCCAGGGCCTGTGAGCTGCCACACCAGGACACTGCCTGGCTTGCTTGGGGCTGGCGGGATCCCCTGAGCTGAGATCTGGTCTCCCTTTGGGAAGGGTGGGAGAATGGTGAGAGAAGCATCTTGGTTTTACATCCTTCCTTCCCTCCAAGTAGGGATAATGCTATGGGTTAGAGACATTCAACAGAGGCCTGCCGCAGGTGGCTGGAGATGGAAAGAGGAGGAGGTTAGGGTCCCCCTGGGAGACAGAGGGGAGGGAGTGGCCTCTACTTCTGGGATAGAGATGGGAAGCAGACAAGGATGTGAGTGCAAACAGCTCATTTGAGAGGTGATATGAGACAGGAAAGAGAGGCAAGTCAATAAAAGGTGCTTTTTACCAAGCAGGTAGCACTGGGGGCAGCTGGAACTCCATACCACTACAGAACCTGAGAGGCAGGATGTGCCTCAGCAAAACCCCACCTGAGGGGTGAGCACGTGGGGAGATTTGCTTCTCATCTCACATCTGTCTTTGATTGAGGACTGCTCTGGGGACGGGAACTCCTTGGCTTTTTTGTCCTGCTGCAGGGAGTGGGCTGAGAGAAAGCCCTAAGGGGAAGCCCCAGGTACTTGCAGTAGGAAGCCACAGAGGAAATTTGGGCAGGACAGGACAGTTCCTGTTACAAGTGGCAAACAAAAGTCGAAGATAAAGGGTAGATGGGGGCATGGACCCGTTGCTTATTTCTCTCCTCCTCTCTTCCTGTGTCTTCTTTTTCTATTACTCTTAATGGTTACTTGCTCACCTCTTCTCTCTCCTCCCCTGCCCGTCTCTTCCCTGCCACTTCTCCTATCTCCCTTTCTGTTATCTCTCTTTCCCTATGTACCTGCCTCTCCTCCTTTCTGTTTTCCTTATGTATCCCAGACATGGAACAAGCAAGTAATGGATTGATAAAGTGCCTTCATTCCTACCGCCCAAGCAGGGGCCCTTTAGTCTAGTCCCAGGGAGACGCTTCCTCCTGTCCCCAGGATGAACGCTGCTCCACTGGTCCCTTAGCTGGTAAAGTGATCTTGGACCACTTTATGTTGCCAAACACAGGCTCAGTTTAGGCAATTACAATGTTGTTTTTCCGTGTCATAATGAAATTCTGAACTTAATGTGAAGTTGAATCTTTCCTCCTCCTCCAGCTCGGCTCACTGCTGTCAGGAGGCCCCTGGTAGATTTGCTTCTCCACCTCGCCAACTGCAGTTTCCGACCCTTTTGGGGTTGAAGTTTGAGGGCAGGAAAATAAATGAGATCATCAGGAAAGTTCTTTCTCGACACCAGTTCTGAGAGATCTAGCTTCTGGGTTCTCTGGTCTTGGCAGATGGCCAAGGTCACTGTCTATCTTGAGTGTTTTGAGACTTCCTTGGGGATCTCCCACTCTGTGGGGTCTTTCCTAGGGTTTCTATGGAAGGCAGATTGGTCTCTCATCCAACTCATTGCTTGCTCTCAGCCTCCGGGCATCCCCCATACTTTTGGGTTCCTGCTGTTGAGGTCTGTCTTCTCTTTCAAGGATACCACTTAGATGGGGCTGAGGATGATCCCACATTCTCTCTCTCTCTCTCTCTCCTTCTTGTAGCCCACATCTGGCCCAAAGGAACAGCCACGGACTCTTCCAGCTCCAACAAATTCTGGGTGCATAGATCCAGCCCCATGAAGCCACTCTTTCTTCTTGCCACCAAAGCAGCAACTCAATATTTCCTCATTTCTCTCTCTTTTTAGCCTTTCCAGGTGGGAGTCAGCACCAGTACTGGGTTTCCTTCAAATGGCAGAAGGTGCTAATCAATATCCCTGGGTGACCTCCTTGAAGCTCTCTTCTGTTAACTTCAGGTAGAGGGGGACATATTCTCATCCCTCTTTAGGGATGACGAAAGGACAGAGAACACCACCAGTTTTCTCCAAAAAACCCTTTTCTCATCTCTAACTCTTATAAATCTCTATGAATAGAAAATGTAGGAGAAAAAAACTCACAATAAAAAATAATAATACGACCATAAAAAAATAATATGAGGCCGGGCGCGGTGGCTCACGCCTGTAATCCCAGCACTTTGGGAGGCCGAGGCGGGCGGATCACGAGGTCAGGAGATCGAGACCATCCTGGCTAACACGGTGAAACCCCGTCTCTACTAAAAATACAAAAAATTAGCCGGGCGTGGTAGCAGGCGCCTGTAGTCCCAGCTACTCGGGAGGCTGAGGCAGGAGAATGGCGTGAACCCGGGAGGCGGAGCTTGCAGTGAGCCGAGATCGCGCCACTGCACTCCAGCCTGGGCGACAGAGCGAGACTCCGTCTCAAAAAAAAAAAAAAAAAAAAAAAAAAAAAAAATAATAATAATAATAATAATATGAGGCAGGACATGGTGGCTCATGCCTGTAATCTCAACTCTTTGGGAGGCTGAAACAGGAGGATTGCTTGAGCCCAGGAGTTTGAGATATTGCAGTGAGCTTTGATTACACCACTGCTTGGGCAACAGAGAGCTACCCCATCTCTAAAAAAGAAAAAAATAATAATACAAATAAAAACCAACACAGTATAACAACTGTTTATATAGCATTTACATTGTATTGGGTACTATAAGTAATCTAGATGTGATTTAAAATATATAGGAAGATGTGTATGGGTTATATGCAAAGACTACACCATTTACTTGTAGTTGGAACATGTACTTGCACTGTAGTTTTTTTTTTTTTTTTTTTTTTGAGATGGAGTCTCACTCTGTCACCCAGGATGGGGTGCAGTGGCGCGATCTTGGCTCCCTGCAACCTCCTCTGCCTCCCAAGTTCAAGCAATTCTGCCTCAGCCTCCCAAGTAGCTGGGACTACAGGTGCCCACCACCACGCCTGGCTAATATTTTTTAATTTTTTTTTTTTTTTTAGTATAGCCGGGGTTTCACTATGTTGGCCAGACTGGTCTTGAACTCCTGACCTTGTGATCTGCCTACCTTAGCCTCCCAAAGTGCTGGGGATTACAGGTTTTTTGTTTTTTGTTTTTTGATAGGATCTTACTCTGTCACCCAGGCTAGAGTGCAGCAGTGTGATTGTAGCTCACTGTAACCTCGAAGTCCCACTGCCTCAGCTTCCCAAGCACCTAGGACTACAGGTATGTTCCATGCCAACTTCACACTACAATTTAAATGTGCAAAACAAAGGACTCCTATTCTCTACAGCTATATGATTTTCTTAACAAATCTCTACCACCTGGCAAAGGTGTGATGGGGAGGAGATGAATTAGATTTAAATAAACCATAAAATCTTATTCTGATGCAATAATTCAAACAGTCCCTTTAGGTAAAATTTTTGATCTCTTAGGTTTGTCCCCACCATCCTTCCCTAACCCAAGATGGTATGTAGTGCATGTGGAGGGCTTACAAACTGTGCATGACAGCAGGGGAAAAGGCGGGTTCTTGAGTCCATGAGTTGTCCTGGAGGGTCCTTGCTGAGCTCTGCCATGAGGCACCTGGACTGCTCTGGGCTGGTGACTGCTGAAGGCTGACCAGCTCCCTCTGCTGATACTGGCCATAGTTGTCTGTGGCTGGAGTGATTAGTGATCTGGCCTGGTCAGTACTGTATAGTCCTTCTTGGTTGACCAAACCTCCCCTCAGTTCTCGATGGCACTGTGGCTGCCCTACTGCCTTCAGGTACAGGCCACTTTCTCCCTACAGCAGGGACCTCCTCTAGTAAACTCTCCTGCTGAATCCTCAGCTAACTTCTGCTTATCTTCTTCCACAAATTGAACTTTTCAATCATGAGCACAGCACACAGGAATGAAAAGCAGCTTGTTTGTGCTCAACTCAAGCCCCATCTCCCTGATCCTGCCAAATCATGAGTTTACTTTGATGTGGTTTCCCTTTAAGTTCTGCAAGTCATGATTTCCCTATGGTTGTATATGAGAGGCGACTCCAGCTTGAATTGGGCTTTCCTCTGAAGTCAAGTCACCTCTCTGCCTCTCTCCTCCAAAGTCAAGTTGCCTGTCCTCGACATCCAGCTGCTTCTCCCATCTACTGGCTGAGTCTGGGGCACAGGATGGAGGGTGGGATGGGCTGTAGGTAGTTTTGGAAAAGGCAATATTCAGTTGGTAAAAAGACATTATTCAGAAAGAACCAATTGGGAAAGAGTGGGCACACAGGGATAGAAGTTCTCATTTTGGGCCATGAGTTTCATGCTTTTCAGCTTGAATATCGAGCTTTGCCAGGGACCCTCCCCTGCTTGCCTAGAGATTCTCTACTTCCTGTTTCTATCTATATATTAATCCTGATATTTTAGGGAAGTTTAGGAAAATGCCCCCACCTGGATGCTGCTATGGGGCCTGCACGGAGTTGGCTCCTGCCTGCGCCAAAGTGGCTGGCTGGTTCTAGCACTCGCTCACCTATGCACTCCCTCCCATGAAGCGTGGGGCGCAGTGGGTCCGAGTAAATGGAGTTTGATTCTGCTGGCACTGAAGCAGCCTGCACTTGCTTTCCTACATGCTCCCTCCCATGAAGGGTTGAGCATGGCAGGCTGAGTAAACAAGACACCCCTGTCATGGGTCCCATGTAGGGGTCAAGAAAACAGCCTGTGTCAATATTATGCCCCTTTTTCCTTCTCTTACCAATCTCCTCTTCTGTCCATTATTCTTTGAGACCAGAGATGTTAGCTCCAATCTCTACTTCTTCTATGTTATACCATCTCCCCTAGGGTAGCATCTTAGGCCGTTGTCTCCCTCCAAGGCCGAAGGTATTTGCTTTCTATTATGGAATGAATCATGAAGTTTAGCAACCAGGCCTGCCTCCTAATAAGCCAAAGAGGAATGGGGGTAAGAAAACCAATTGGTTTTCTTTCTTGCAATAAATCTAGCTTATAGAACTACTGCATGGCTGGAGATCCAGAAAATCCTATGCAGATGCCAGAAGCTGAATGACTCGTGTTGCCTTCCTACTCTACTGGTCTGTACTTGCTTGCCTCTTCTCCCATCTCCAGGCAGGTGTATGCCTCACACTGCCTAGGAAAAGAATGGAAACAGAAATGCAAAAAGAAAAGCATATTCCTATATTATAAAATAATATACAATATCTAAATGCTGTAATTACACAAATAGGAATGTGAGAGAACAGAAGAGGGAGAGACTCAGGGATGCTTCGTAATTGGGAAGACTTCATAGAGTGAGGGCCATTCCAGTAGAGAGAGGGGCCTATATACTAGTGTGTAACTTTTTTACTTCTTTAGTTTTTTGAGACAGGGTCTTGCTCTGTTGCCCAGGGTGGAGTGCAGTGGCATGATCTAAGCTCACTGCAACCTCCATCTCCTGGGCTCAAGCAATCCTTCCACCTCAGTGTCCCGAGTAACTGGGACTACAGGTGTGCACCACCACACCCAGCTAATTTTTGTATTTTTTTGTGGAGACGGGGTTTCACCACATTGCCCAGGCTGGTCTCTAACTCCTGGGCTTAAGCAATCCTCCCACCTTAGCCTCCCAAAGTGCTGAGATTACAGGTGTGAGCCACTGTGCCTGGCCTAATGTGTAATCTTGAAAGACCCATTCAGAGGACTAGACGTCAGAAGAAAAAGTCAGTTAACTGTTAGGAACCATACCCTCCAAGCAACTGAATTACCTATTGACTTTAATATTTGCAAATTTTTCTGATTAAAAAATAATAAATGCTCACTGGATTAAGTAAATGCTCACTATATACTTATACTGGATATAAGTACCTGTACTGTTAATTTTTCATGTGTCTCCTTAACATACATTTTATATGCCATAAAGAGCCATCAAACTCATATCAGACTTCCTATGAGAAAACACGTTACTTGTATAAACCCCTGAATATTGGGATTAATTTGTGATGATAATATTTCCTGACTTGTTCTAATTAATTTAGAAATTGGTAGTAGAAATGGAATGCTGCGTTGACAGATTGGCTAGGCAACAGCAGTGAGGAAAAAAACTAAAATATGTGCATTGACAGATTGGTTAGGCAGCAGCAGTGAGGAAACAGAATCAGACTGAAAACCCTGCAGCCCCTGCTGTACAGTGGTAAAATATTTGTAAGACTAGCCTGCGATAACTTGGAAGGCTTATTCACTTCCTAATGAACTTGTAGCTCTAGGGGAAGGGGTTGAAAATAGAATGTTGGTAGCATGTCCTGATTATTACTGTGCTTAACAAAATTTACAAGGAAGAGATAAGCACAGAAAATAATTGACTAGTTTCTAGGAGTAATAAAAGAAAATAAAGGCCAGAAATTAAAGTTGAAAAGCTAACTGCCTTTAGATGATAAATGCTAAGTAATGGAATTTAGAAAGATTTTAAATGGCCAAAGGCAAATATCAAATTAAGGGTGTGCTTTCCAGTTGGAATTAAGGCAAATTCAAATGAAGGGTGTGTTCCATACCTATTGTTAAAATTTCCCTCTGGCTACAATGTATCAGAGCAAATATTAGATTAAAGCTGTGGCCTTGACACCTATGGCTCCAAGTTGCCTCAAGGTAGCCACCAACACATTGAGCGAAAGAAGCTGGGGTGCCCAGACTGAAGAAATAAGGCAGATCTGGAAAACAAGCCTTCTAAGAACAATGGGTGTGGTTCTTGGAAGAGGAACTGACTGCTAAACTTAGAGACTCATACACCAGTACACCAACAAAACAAAGCAACCTCCCCTCGCATGATTCTGGCCTTAAAAGCCCTGTGATTATTTGGGACCTATAACCACTCTTGAGACTCCAAGAGGCAAACAGGCTGGGAAAGCTATGCAGCCCCCCAGGAGGACACATTTTCTGAAACCTACTTCAGATGAGGCCAAGGAGGCAAGGGAAAAGGAAGAAACTTCTGAAATATGTCCTTGGAGGACAATAAAAAAGGGAGTGTCCTCCAGAGAGCAGCGTAAAGGGTAAAGGACTAACTAGGGAACATCTCCCACCCTCGAGGTCAGAGGTCCTCACAATGGCTGTCCAGTAGGATTGCAGAATTTCTATGGTTCTATGACTGCTGGAGTCTCCCATTTTTCTCCTCTTTGAATGAGAGTCCTTATGGCTATTGTCTTGTCTCTGTTCCACCACTGAATACTGGTACGTAGAAGGAAGGTAACTTGACTTTTCAGATCAGCAGTTGACAAACTATTGGCCACTGGCCAAATACAGCCTACAAGCCTTTTGCCTATTTTTTATTCTTCTTTTTTTTTTTTTTTTTTTTTTTTTTTTGAGACAGGTTCTCACTCTGTCACCCAGCTGGAGTGCAGTGGCACGATCTCGGCTCACTGCAACCTCTGCCTCCCAGGTTCAAGCGATTCTCATGCTTCAGCCTCCTGAGTAGCTAGGACTACAGGCATGCACCACCACACCTAGCTAATTTTTTGTGTGTGTGTGTGTGTTTTCAATAGGGATAGGGTTTCACTATGTTGGCCAGGCTGGTCTTGAACTCCTGACCTCCAGCAATCTGTCAGCCTTGGCTTCCCAAAGTGCTGGGATTACAGGCATGAACCACTGCACCTGGACCCTTCTGGCTGTTTTTGTAAATAAAGTTAGATTTATTTACAAAAGCCAAGCTCATCATTTGCATACTGTCTGTGACTGCTTTTTGTGCTACAATGGCGAGTTGAGGAGTTGCAACTGAGATGTTATAGCCTGCAAGCCTTACATACTTACACTTTGGCCCTTTGAGGAAATATTTGGTGACCCCTGTTCTAGGATGATAGTCCCCTCGACCATGAGGAGCCACATCTGACTCAATGCAGAGACCACCGTGCATCTTCTGGAGATTCTAATCTTTTGAGCTGGGTGCCTGGACGGGATGGGACTTTGTGTTGTCTCTCATGGAGTAACAGTGAGTGTTTGTTTGTTTTGTGGAGAAAGGAGGGAGAAGAGGGACATTTGGTGACCAGAATGTGGCTGAGATAATGAATACTCACTAAATATCCATATGCTCTTCCTAGCTGCTTTGTAGTTGGGTGTGGTCAGAAAATAAGTTCTAGGCAATAGATCATGAGTAAAAATGTCATATATCCACTCCTGGCCTGAGGCGTTGAAAAACTCTTGTATAATTCTTTGTGCTTTCTCATCCTCCAATGTGGAGCTCTGAAAACACTGTGTTAAGATGATGGAGACACAAGGTGGAGACAGCCTGGATCCCTGAGTCACTTTGGAAGGTCTGACTGATAACAATAAACATCACAGCTAAGTCATAATTTAAATAAAATTGAGTTTATACTTATATATTATTGATAGTGACAGGAGGCAGAGAAATTCTAGGCAGACAGGGGCAGATCCCTGGCGAAGCCCCACTCTCAAGTCAAAAAGCCTGAGACTGAGGCCCAAAGTGAGAACTTCTATCCCTGTTTTCCTGCTCAAATGTTGCCTTTTCCTAAATTACCCATCGCCCCACCCCATCCCATCCTGTGCCTATAAAGACCCCAGACTCAGCTGGCAGAGGGTAGAAGCCACTGGACGTTGGGGACTATGGCTGGACATCAGACAGAAGTGACTAGACTTCAGAGAGCTTGATGGCATAACTTCAGAGAAGAATCCAGCTAGAGATGGCTGGACTCCAGGGGGAGATTACTTACTTGTCCCATCCCCTTTTCAGCTCCCCTTCCCACTGAGAGCCACTTTCACTGGGGACAATAAAATCCCCTGTATTTACCATCCTTCAATTCATTCATGCAACCTCATTTTTCCTGAACAATAGATAAGAGCTCAAGAGCCATGAGTGCAAATACAAAGGGCCCACTGAGCTGTTAATACTTAAGCCATCTATGGATGGCAGAGCTAAAAGAGCTCTGGGGCTTCAGGGGTTGCAGGCATCACCCACCCCAGATGCTGCTTCAGGGCCTGCACAAAGTTTGTTCCTGCCTGCATAGAAAAGCACTTGCCCTGCTCCCACACCTGCCCACCTGCGTGCTCCCTCTCATGATGGGTAGAACACAGTGGGTCCCAGCGAGTGCCGATGCAGGAGTGGCCAGCTGGTTCCAGCACTCATATACCCTAGTTCCCACCTTGTTTGCTCACGTGCTCCCTCCCACGAGGAGTTGAGAGTGGTGGGCTGAGTAAACAAGTCCCTCCTACTGTGAGTCCCACTAAGAGGTCAGGGAAATATCCTGTTTTGTTATCTATATTTAATAATGCAATTATATTTATGTTATTAATAGTTTCCCATACTATGTAAAATAGTCTTTGGAAACATGATTTGTAATAACTTTATGTTATTCCATTGGATTATTTCATTGATGATGCTCCATGCTTGGAAAGGTATCCTGAGAAAGACAAGTTCATTCACTGCCTGTAGGAAAACAATTTAGTGCAATTTTTCTGAAGTGCATAATAAGAGATGTCAATTAGCCGGGTGTGGTGGAACACACCTGTAGTCCCAGCTACTCATGAGACTGAAGCAGGAGGATTGCTTGAGCCCAGGAGGCAGAGGTTGCAGTGAATGGAGACAGCACAACTGCACTCCCACCTGAGTGACAGAGTGAGACCCTGTCTGAAAAAGTAAATAAATAAAGAGATGTGAGCAAAAATTTATCAACCAAGATTTTTGTTTTAGCTTAATTTGTAATAACAAAATTGGAAATGACCTAAATGTCCAACAGTAACCAATCTGTTTAATAAATGACAGTGCATCTCCAGGCATTGCCTGTGTGTTGATATGGCTTCTTTAGCATCAAGTGGCTGGAACTTGAGACATAGAACATGGATCTGATCTAACAATTGGCAGCTTGAATGCTCTGTCTTTCACACTGTACCTATTCATTTCCTGCCGACTGCCTTGGATTATAGATAGGGCTGGCTGAGGTTTTTCTCTTAATTTTCTTGGCAACTCATGACTTCTGGCTGCAAAGACTTTTCAGATGGTCTCTTGGACATCAAACAGCTACAGACCAACATTTGGTTACATAAAGTGCAAATGAATCATGAACATGTGGATTATATTTCTATTCAAATACACAGCGATTTCAAATTATGGGAAATGGACTATGGGCTGTACAAATTAGCACGAGGTTTGGGAAGTCAATGGAAATGCTGAACAGATTCTCAGTTATGTCCATCTACTCTTCCCCAAAACATTCTTCCTTAGCACCCTAGAAATTACAGCTATTTAATTCAAGGGAACGCTGAACGCTAGTCTTTTCTGCAAGAGAGAGGGAAGGCCAAATGAATTTGCCCAAGGTTCTTAGGGTTTATTTATTTTGTCCCAAAGCCAGCAAAGACTGAACAACATGCAAAATATATCCTCCCTTCCCCTTGGCTTCCGTGTTGGAACTTTCTTAATTTTATCTCTCTTCAGTCTCTTCCCTGTCTTGGTGTTGCATCTCTGTTGGATGTCTTTTCCATTGCTTGTTTCTTCAATGTTGAAATTTTATAAGGCTTCATGCATAGCCCATTTTTTTTGGTATTGTTGTTATTTTTGTTTTCTTCTGTCTCTGCTGCTTGAATCAGAACTTAGTCCATTTTTCTTACTGTGCTTTCTATATTGTTTTAAATCAGAACCTTTGACTTCAACTACTTTCTATACACCAGTGATGTTCATATTTCTATCCCCATCCCAGATCTCTCTCCTGACCTCCAGTTCCTGCATCCATATGCCCATCAGACATCTCTACTCTCTGTAGCCCACAGATGCTCCAAACCATATGTCCAAACTGAGCTCATCATCTTTCTCATCATTCCAGTTTTTTTCCCTGCATTCATTATTTTAGTAACTAGAAGTATCAGTCACCAATGCCATTATTTAATTAGTTTAGGCAATTTTGAGTCTTCACTCAATGCCTGACACTGTATGCCAGACACTGAGTTAGATCAGGGAACACAAAGATGAATAAGAGCTAGTATTTGGCCTCAATGTGTTCACAACCCAGTGGAGAAGATGGACATGTCAACAAATAATTACAGAGAAAGCCCAGCATTAGAAATATGCAGAGAATCTTAGTAGCGTGGGAAAGGGGCATGAATTATATCAGTGGTGGGGAGCATTCAAAGGAGAATTTTAGAAGGGTGATCCCTGAGCTGGCAATCAAAGGGTGAGAAAGGTAAAGGAAGAGAGGGGACAGATGCACAAAAGCATGGAGGTGACAGACAGCAGTGAAAGCAGACAATTAGCACAATTTCGGCTTTGCTGGAGCCTGGCATTTGAAGCAAGTAGACAGGGCTTAGTTATATAAAGGCTTACATGCCTTATTCAGAAGGTTTGGGATTTTTTTCAGATAGTTTATATAGTCTCTCAGTCGAGTGTTCAATGGCAAATATAAAGGTCAGACTTCTTCCCCTCCTCCTCTTCCTCTTCCTTCTTCTTCTTTCTTGAGAGAGGGTCTCCCTATGTTGCCCAGGCTGGTCTTGAATTCCTGGTCTCAAGCAATCTTCCTACCCCAGTCTCCTCTCTTAAAGTGTTGGGATGCAGGTGTGAGCCACTGTGCCTGGCCAAAAGGTCAGATTTCTATGGTTATGAGAGAGGATGAATTTGAGAGAGTAAGAATGGATAAAGGTAGAGAAATTAGGAGACTCTTGGGTTATTCTGGCTGAATAGTATGAAAGCCTAAGCCAGGAAGTGGCAGAGAAGTCAGTGGGTCTGAGAGATGTTTAGAATATATAACTGTGAGGGGCCAGGAACAGTGGCTCACGTCTAATCCCAGCACTTTGGGAAGTTGAGGTGGGCAGATTGCTTGAGGCCAGGAGTTCAAGACCAGCCTGGCCAACATGGCAAAACCACATCTCTACTAAAAATACAAGAAAAATTAACCAATCATGGTGGTGTGCACCTGTAATCCCAGCTACTACTGAGGCTGAGGCACCAGAATCGCTTGAACCCAGGAGGCAAAGGTTGCAGTGAGTCGAGCTCGAGCCCCTGCACTCCAGCCTGAGCAACAGCACAAGACTCTGTCTCAAATAATAATAAAAAAAGAAACAAAGAAAATATAACTGTCAGGAATTGAGCTGAAAGTTGAGATAAGGAAAAAAAAAAGGAGTCAGGGATAGATTGTAGCTATCTGGGTTGGGTAATGTGGAATATAGTAATGGTGCTAGCAGAGAAAACACAAGGCGCTCAGAAATATTCTTGATATATTAGACTGTGGTTCCTTGAACTCATCCTCCTATTTCCTGTCCTTGTACCATGGTGCATACTGGTGCCTGTGACTCAAACATGCCCATCACCCTTTTCCAGCTGGCCATCTCACCCGAGGTTCAGAGTCAATTCATTCGTCTATCCAGCATTTATCTGACCTAACTCAGCAGGGTCTGTGCCTTCTTCTGTGCTCCCACATCTCCCAGGGCTAAGCTTTATCCCCCAAATCACCCCACTGTAATGTACTTGCCTCTGTCCCCTCTGTCAGTCTCCAATAGAGAGGTTTTGAGGACAGAAGCCCAGCAGCCATTCAGTTGCTCTTTGCTGACTACTGAATGCATCTTGGGAAGAAATGAAGTTTGTTCTTTTTAGTTACAGAATTGAAATCTAATGCATCAGAGAAATGAGGACAACATAGATGGCATCTGAGCTTTGATTTTTCTTTCTTTCTTCTTATTATTTTTGGAGATGGGGCTCGCTCTGTCACCCAGGCTGGATTGCAGTGGCACAATCACAGCTCACCACAGCCTCGACCTCCTGGGCTCAAGTAATCCTCCCACTTCAGCCTCCAGAGTAGCTGGGATTACTGGTGCATGCCAACATGACCAATTAATTTTTTTTTCAGAGATGGGGGTCTCACTATGTTGCCCAGGCTGGTCTTGAACTCCTGGACTCAAATAATCTGGCCACCTTGGCCTCCTGAGCTTTGATTTTGTGACAGTTGTAACCAGTATGATCTCAGGGAAAGAGGAAAGATACAGGCAACATGTTCTATGACCATCTAACAATGTGATTTGGGGCTATAACAACTTCTCTGGCTATTAGGTGAGTGGGAAGTTTCACTTGTGTGAGTGAATGGCCAATACCCTGGAAGCAAAGCATCTGGGCTCAGGCCTTTCAGGGACCAGGGTGGGAGGAGGATGGCTGATGGAAAGCAGTAGCACTGGTGAAAACAGTAAGGTGACAACAGGAGGCTCCAAGGAGGAGAGCTCAGTCACAGGGCTCTAGGTGGGCCTTTCCATTGATTCCTTAACAGTGCAGGATGGGTGTCAGCTGCAAATGAGATTCTTGTAAAGGGCAAGGACAGGAACAGGCTAAGGTTTCAGGGGCAGAGGAAGAAGGAGCAGCAGAGGGAGGAGGAAAGATGAAAAAATGCCTCTAGAGAAACAGTGGAGCTGTTGGAGCAGAAATGGTGGAGGCACAGAGAGAGCAACCTGAGTAGGAATTCCTAGCCTGCAGTGGGGCTGGGTCCACTGTGTATGGTGCAGACATGGAGACAGCAACCCAAGTGAGCTCCAAGCCTACAGTGGGCCTGTGTCCACTGTGTCCATAGCAGATGGTGCAGGCATGGAGACAGCAACCCAAGTGAGTTCTAAGCCAACAGTGGGGCTGTGTCCACTGCAGATGTTGCAGGCATGGAGCCAGCAGCCCAGATAAGCTCCAAGCCTACAGTGGGGTTGTGTCTACTGCAGATGGGGTAGGCATAGAGTCAGTAACCCAAGTGAGCTCCAAGCTTAGAGTGGGGCTGATCTGGGGGAGCCTCCAGAACTTGACAGCCTCACTACTGATTTATTTTGGCTCTGTGGTCGATGTAAAGGAAGAGAAAAGTGTGAGATGACCTGGAAGGAGTTGAGAAGGCATCCTGGGGGGACTGGAAATACCTTTGAGGCTAAGCCTAATGTCATCCCCTCTGTGAGGTCTTGTCTGTGTTTTCATTGTTGGAGTTCTTCTTTCCCTCGAGCTCACTCCTGGCCTTTAAGTCATCCAGTCTACCCCCACTCTGTGTTCTTAGTTCTGCAGTCACCACTTTTGGACATAGGGCTGAGATCTGATCTTTGCAACTTGACTCTGGGGCCTTCCTTGAGAACAGAGCTCTGGCCTTTTGTGCTAACTCTCTGTACTTTAAACTGCCTCAGTGAGTAGATCTGGCCTTGGGTGGACCATTGGCCTCTTTCTGGTTGACATCCATCCAAACACATTCAGTTTCCCTTGGAGAGGTGGAATTCAGACAACAATCCTTTGTCCCCCCTGGCTTAGCAATCTGTGGCAGCATGAGCTGGAATACTCCGCATTCCAGCCAAGCCTCTGCCCCCTCCAGGTTTTCCTAGCTAGAACAACTCAATAATTTCTGCAAGACAAAACTGACTTAAGGTAGGAAGAGCAGAACTTACTTACCATCTTCCAAATGATGTACTTATTACTTGCTTATCTCCACCTCAAGGGGGAGCAAAGATATGATGCCCCAGGGATTAACCCAGGACTTTCATGTTAGTTCTGGTTCCTAACTCATTCCTGGGTGCCATGTGTTACTCTCTGGGTCCCCTATTGCTTCTTGGGTCCCTGTAATGGGCTGGTATTGGAGTCACTTTACTTTTTCCCTTTACTACAACAGACAATCCAGATGAACCTCCACAGTCAGTCAGCCAGCCAGATAGTGGCCATAAGTGTCAATTGATATTTGTCAGTTTCTTTCCTGCTCTTGTCTAGTTTGGAGGAGATAACCAAACTTTGATGGCATTCTACAATGTGCTGCTGACCACAATATGCCTTAATTCAGAGAGGTAATACAGGTGAAGTGATTAGCACAGTACCTGGCACAGAGTAAACACTCAGGAAATGGTAGCTGCCATCACTACCATCACCATCATCACCATCATAAACACCACCAGCTACCACCACCATCATCACCATCATAAACACCATCAACCACCACCACACCATCATCACTATCGTCCCCATCATCACCACCACCACCACCACCACCATCATCACTATTATCACCACTACCATGATCACCATCATCACTATTTTCAACACTACCATGACTGCCATCATCATAACCACCACCATCATTGCCATCATCACTACTACCACCATCACTCAGTCTGTGCTTTTGCCCTTCTTTGAATGTTGAATGAGGCTCAATTTGTCCTTCACATGAATGTTGAAAAATAATAAAGCATTTAAAAATCCATAAATTGATATAATGGCCTGCCTCTATAATGTTCTGAATGCAAAAACAAATGATGAAGGCAGTGAACATTTTAAAACTAATGAGCTGGTTGAATAAGAACATTGATTATTAGGTGCACTTACCATCCGCAGAGTTGAAGGCATTGGGGTTAATGATTACACATTAGACTGAAAAATAGTTTACTGGCATTTTCTGAGCCAGCCCCATCTCCCATGCGGTCACTGTCATGTAAGTTGTCACATGTCACTCCATTCAGTGTGGCAGCTCTCCATGGGAATGTGTGGGAAGTGGCCAAGGGTTTGAGAGACAATGCTGGCTCTTCTGATGACAGGGCCTGGAAGATGTTGCAGGCCATTTGCTACACAAGGCCCCGGTGGAGAATGAAGAAGCCAAGTTTTAGAGGTTTGTGATCTTGGGATGATGCTGGCAGGCAATGGCTCAGCTCCTGAAGTGTTAAATGTGATTTGACAGCGTCAGCTGAGAACTCAGAGGTCCAGGCAATGGGAAACGGGAGGAAGTCGGCTGTGGGAACTGGTCCCGGGGCTGCTGTAGGTCTGGCCCCTCGGGAACACTACAGATCCATTATATAACAGGGAGTGGTGCAGTTGGACTGGATTTGGGCTGTCTGCCCCGCAGAAGTGGCCTGTGCTGAATCTGGTAGGGGCAGTAACTTGTGGCTTTGGGAGAATGAAGTAGGGGCCGACTATACAGTCCAGTCTCTACGCTAGAGGCCGCTAAACAAGAGGGAACATACGGCCAAGGGGCAGGGTTTAGGGCGGGCTCCAGGCCCAACAGGGAAGGCACAGGCCAGGCAACAGCAGCGGGAGGCAGGCTAGGCAGACCAAGTCAATACATGAGACCTGGGAGGACTCAGGGCTCATTCCAGGCACAGTAGATCCTATGCCCACAGCAGTGCAGGTCACTGCGGGCCTCGCGTGCCAAGCTCTCTGAGCCCCCCAACATCCTGGCAGCCCAGTCACAATCAGCTCAGGGCTGGGGAAGGCCCGGTAGCAACTGGAAGCATCTGTGTCCATAGCCCTGAGGGGCTGGGGGGCACAAGGACTAGCTGAGGAAGGGGACCCAATCATCTGAAGGGAGAACAATCCAAGGGACTGTTGAGTGTGTGGGGGACACCAACAAACTGTCAGTGCTAGGGGCCAGTAAGGGGTGCTGCTAATGGGGGCACAGCCAGCGGCCAAGAGGGAACAGAAATTGGAATGTGTATGGGTGGCTGAATTTTTTTTTTTTTTTTATTTTTTTTTTGAGACGGAGTCTCGCTCTGTCGCCCAGGCCGGACTGCGGACTGCAGTGGCGCAATCTCGGCTCACTGCAAGCTCCGCTTCCCGGGTTCACGCCATTCTCCTGCCTCAGCCTCCCGAGTAGCTGGGACTACAGGCGCCCGCCACCGCGCCCGGCTAATTTTTTGTATTTTTAGTAGAGACAGGGTTTCACCTTGTTAGCCAGGATGGTCTCGATCTCCTGACCTCATGATGGGTGGCTGAAGTTATGTCTCTCCCAAGGTGGTTTAACTGGTAAGAGGCAGGACCTTTCATTCTTCGTTATAGACAGTTGGGTGTAACAAAAACCTGTTCCCTCGGCTCCTTTTATGCAGGGGAGGGATGGCAAGGATTTGGGTTTGTGTATGGGAAGAGGTCATATAGAAAGAATGAAAGAAATAGAGAGAAGACCTCCCCAAATGTGGTTTCTCCCCAACCCCCTAAAGCTCATTCCAGCTTTCCAGCTTTTCTAATTTGTGGTTATAATTGGGATGGTGCCATTCTGACCCCCACCCATTCTTCCAGGTTGAGGGACATAGTCTAGAGAGGAAGGAGGTGTGCAAAGAAGCTTGGTGCTTTGGGGTCTCTTCCTGGGGCTGGTGGTAGAAACTCAGAAGTCAGTGTCAAGGACCTTTCATCTGAGATGCACATGCATGAGATTCCTAAGCCAAGAGGCCAAAAACAACAGGCCCACAGCTCTAGCTTAATTTCAACACTGCTGCAAACTCAGAAATGTTAACCTCAAAAGACATGGTGTCTGGCTAGTGATTCCCAATGTAGCCTCCTGATCTTCCCACCAAAGTCCCTAGGAACATACAGAATAAGATAAAAGCTTGTCATCAACGCTGGAAACTAGACATCTAGGTTGTCGTAGAGGCATGTGAATTGTTTGAGGAAGTCATTCAACAAATATTTGTTGAGCATCTACTCTGTGCCAGACATCGTTCTAGGCACTTGGGATAAATCGGTGAACAAAACAAAGATCTCCTCCTCATTGAGAATACAATCTCTTCATAAATGCATAGTTCTGGCCTCCCAAAGACTAGGGCTTCCCATATTTTTATACAAATGTATATCCCCTCCCCCCTGTTTTAAAATATATGTAATATATAATATATATTTATATATAAATATATATATACACTTTTTTTTAAGAGACAGGGTTTTGCTATATTGCCCAGGCTGGTCTCAAACCCCAGGGTTCAAGCAATTCTCCCACCTTCGCCTCCCAAAGTGCTGGGACTACAGGTATGAGCCACCATACCTGGCCCTATTTCCTCCCTTTTTGTCAAGGAACAAACATGTTTCTTTTGGCAAAAAATAAATTAGCAAATACAGAAAAAATAAATAATCCCACTAGCCTGAGATAATCTTTGTTCAAACATTGGCATACAGCCAATAAGCTATTAACAAAAAAAATTATGTACAAACATGCAACCTTATTTATTTCCATGTGATTGAATGTCGACTCTTAAATCTCCATTGTTGTGGATGATGGAAAGTTAATTTTGTCAATTCAAAGTAAATTTAGTCACTCTAAACTTAAAACACAGTCTCCTCTGGGTAACTACTCACTCAATTCAGGATTTTCCCTGCTGGGCTGCTGTGTAGTATGGTGGTGTTTGGAAGGTGCACACAACTCGCAGTTGCCTCTCTGCTGGAATTCATTGCGGATGTCACCTGTCAGCCTCTCCTTTGTCCAGGGAGGTCCCATCCTCACCACATGGGCTGCCGAGACATCTGGTTCTCTGATCCGTGAAGGTCATCCTGCTTCCTCTGTGTCTGACTGTCAAGAGCTCCCTGGGGCAGCTGGCACATCAGGACAATCCTGGGTACCTCTTCAAGGCACAGGAAACTTTCAGCTATACTCCCACCCCCAAAGGAAGACTCGGGAGAGTGTCCCAGAATCTTTGTCTAAATATCCCAGGTGGATATTTCTACTCTGTGTAGACTCACACTCAAAGAGGCTCTTTTCTCCCAGAATCTCAGGCAGGGAGTGGGATACAGGTCTCTGAGCAGTTTTCTCCAGTGTGGATGGCCCCTATCTCTCGGTGCCGACTTCGGAAAGGAGCAGAGTGGGCAGAGACCCTCTCAGGCTCCAACCTGTGGCCTTTGAACGTCACCCTCCCTTCAGCTGGGCAGACTTTTATCTGCTTTTGGATAAGAAGAAAGCTGCTCAGATAGCATCTCATGTTCTACCCAAGTTCGTGGTTAATGACATAAATTTTGCGCTTTGCATCCTCCAGGCTTTTCTCTTTGTAGTCAAAGCCAAGCTTTTTGCATCAAAGAAACAAACAAAATAAAAACAAATCAAATATATTTATCTGGATAAGCCACACAAGTTTAGTGGCTTAAACAAGGCAAAGTTATTAGCTTACATTTCCGGAGGTCAGAAGCCCAACATGGGTCTTCCTGGGCTAAAATCAAGGTGACAGCAGGATTGCACTTCTTTCTGGAGGCTAGAAGGGATAATCCATTTCCTTGCTTTTTCAGCCTCTGGAGGCCACCTGCATTCCCTTGGCTCATGGTCCCTTCCTGCATCTTTAAAGTCAGCAGCAGAGCATCTTCAAGTCTCACTCTGACTCTGACCTCCTCTTCTACCTCCCTCCACTCTTAATATAAAACACAGTCTCCTCTGGGTAACTACTCACTCAATTCAGGCTTTTCCCTGCTGGGCTGTTGTGTTTGGAAGGTGCACACAACTCGCAGTTGCCTCTCTGTTGGAATTCACTACAGATGTCACCTGTCAGTCTCTCCTTTGTCCAGGACCGTCCTCACTATATTAGCTGCTGAGGCATCTGGTTCTCTGATCCTTCCACTTTTTTTTTTTTTTTTTTTTTTGAGATGGAGTTTCACTCTTGTTGCCTGGGCTGGAGTGCAATGGCATGATCACAGCTCACTGCAACGTCCGCCTCCCGGGTTCAAGAGATTCTCCTGCCTCAGCCTCCCGAGTAGCTGGGATTGCAGGTGCATGCCACCATGCCTGGCTAATTTTTGTATTTTTAGTAGAGATGGGGTTTCACCATGTTGGTCAGGCTGGTCTTGAACTTCTGACCTCAGGTGATCTACCCACCTTGGCCTCTCAAAGTGCTGGGATTACAGGCAGGAGCCACTGAGCCGAGCTGTTCCTTCCACTTTTAAGGATACTTGTGATTACACTAGGCCAGCCTGGATCATGCAGGATGATTCCTTTATTTCGAAGTCAGCTGATTAGCAACCTTAATTCCATCTGCAATCTTATCCTCCCTTGTCATGTAACATCACATATTCACAGGTTCCCAGGTTCAGGATGTGGACATCTCTGGAGAAGCCATTTTTCTGTCCATCACACTTTTGTCAAAGGCTTGATTCATATCATTATGAACCATGGTTTTCAGTATTATGGTCTTTGCTACTGATTTAACAAAGTCTATTTAGAAATTCTAAAGCCAATGCTTTGACTTATTTTTTTTTAATAATCATATAGATGGCATGAATTGAAAGTGAAAAGCCCAAAGGGATATTGAAAAGCTCATGGTGAAAATAAAAATAAAAAACTCAATTTTATTCTCCAGATCTGATCTTGTTTCATGTATGTGGATCGTATTTACACCATGTTTTTTTGTAAGCGGTTTTATTCACTTAATAATATAATGCAGACATCTTTCTATGGCAATACATCTTATTTTATCACATCATCTTAATTTCTTTTCTTTTCTGTCTTTCTTTTTTTTTTTTTTTTGAGACAAAGTCTCACTTTGTCACCCAGGCTGGAGTGCAGTGGCACGATCTTGGCTCACTGCAATGTCCACCTCCTGGATTCAAGCAATTCTCCTGCCTCAGCCTCCCGAGTAGCTGGGATTACAGGCACATGCCACCACACCTGGCTAATTTTTGTATTTTTAGTAGAAATGGGGTTTCGCCATGTTGGCCAGGCTGGTCTTGAACTCCTGACCCCAGGTGATCCACCCACCTTGGCCTCCCAAAGTGCTGAGATTACAGGTGTGAGCCACGGTGTCTGGCCTCACATCATCTTAATATCTGCAGAGTACTCCCAGAATTTATCTAGCCTATTGCTTATTGTTGCTGCCATTGGGTACGACTAAAATGCAAGGCCAGTTTCTGGCCCTCACAGTGCTCCTGGCACAGCTGCAGCATCCTGCAGTTTCAGAGCCTAGGCAGTTCATTCAATAATCAGAGTAAGGAAGGGTCAGGAAGTGCCAGTGTAGGGTCCCCACCCTCACCCAGGGGTGATGATGGCTCTCAGGGAGCTGTTCTGACTCCAGGTGCTGATAGCAGAGTTTCTCTGGCAACCTGTAGCACTGCCTTGAGAAATGATTATCTAAAGTATATTTGCATGGGGGTGAGGGGTGCAGAGGGAGTACGAGAGTCACAGTGTCTTGGCAGTGGATTGAGCAGAGTGATGGTGATGCCAGTGGCCACGACTCTTTGGAGCCCTGAGTGGTAGCAGTGATATTGAGGCCAGAGGCACCACGGCAGGGGGCCCATCCCAGAAAGACCTGGGGCCCTTGGCTGGTGACAGATAACTCAGGGACTAGACCAGGATCTGTCTCACTTGCTTTCCTGGTAAGTTTTTCTCTCTATCAAACAGAGCAGGTTTTCCCTCCCATTCAGTCTCACATTGCTATGTCCAGAAAATCATCACACTCTTCCACCAGAGGGGTGGATATTACTTTCTCAGTTTTCAGTTTTGTTTGCCCACTCACTGTATATTCTTTTGGTCTTTCCAATGGTGATCCAAGGATTTATTTAACCCAGCAGTCAAATTGGTCATTTTAAATAATAGTACATCTTGTCCAAGTCCAAAAATAAAATGTCCTGGTATGAGAAGGCAAGCGGAGGAAATTGGGTAGAGTAGGCTGAAAATGTTTTATAGCACCATTACCCGGAGCCCAAGCCCCTTTTTCATTTATCCCTTTTTTGTCCCGGCATGGCAGGAGTCAGAGCGCCTTCTGTTTGTCTTGATTAAAGTCAGCCTCCACCTTCCCCCGAGCCCAGTTGCCCTTCTCAGGACACAGGCTGCATTCACCATGGGTCTCTCTGCCCAAGCTCTTTGCAGATTTTATGAAAGGCGTTTTCACTTGGATTAAACAGGCGCTGTGTTTGTGTGTGGTGTGTGTGAAGGAGAAAATGAATCACTTCAACTTTGGGCAAGGATTTTAGGTGTAGTGTTTGTCCCATGCAATTACATAAACACACCAGAACTCATTAAAAAAAAAAAGTAGAAGAGGGGGGCAGAGATTCAAGTGCTTGCGATGATCTAAACAGTGCGGCACATTTTCCATACATTAGACCTCAGAAAGGGTTGTGTTCTGCCCTCTCACAACAGACTCCAAGTCCAAAGGAAAGTTTGAGGTTTTACATTTCTGTTTGTGGTACAGGAAAAGGCTTATGCTCTGAGGGCTTGATTCAGTGAAATAACATTGCCTTTATACACATTTGCTTCTCAAGGAGGGCAGGAGTTGGAAGCGACCGTTGTGAAACGTTAAAGATTTTCTGGCAGAGGGAAAGGGATTTTTTTTTTCTCCCTCCCTGCCGAGGAAAAAACAGTTCTAACGAGGAGTTACTTTGTAGTTTTAACTCATATTCAAATACTCCCAGCCGAGAAGCTGCCATCGATCCTCCCATGGACCCCTGATCCTGGTTTGGAGGAACTTTTCACAGCTCTCTCTCCCTCCCTCAAACCCTGTGCAATGAGTTTGCAGAAGAGAGTCTTCCCGAGAAGGCAGAACGGTGAGTGGAGCTCCTTCTCCTATCCCAGGGGACTCAGGGGAGGTTGGAATGGAGGGGTGGACCCTTCCTGACATCCTCCCAGGGGAATGGAAGCATGGTTTTGGTCCCACTGTGTAGTATATGAGTGAGTGTGTGTGTGCACACGTGTGAGTGTGTGTGCACACGTGTAAGTGTGTGCACACGTGTGCTACAATAGGACACAATGCCTGTCTTTGCAGAGGCTGGCTGAGTGCTCACCAAGTGCTTGGCAGAGAGTTCGGGAAGGGCAATTGCAGGACCCCCACAGGGGAGGAGAGTGAACCCTGGCCAGGGCAATGGTTTTCCATGTGCCCCGGCTTCCTCTTCAAGGGGCAGAGGCATCAGTGTCTAAAACGCTAGCTGTCAGGGTCCCCACCAGTTCCGCTCCAGTTTCAGCAGAAGCAGAACAGAAGAGGGAGCTGCTCAGCTCCGGGAGAAGTGAACGGAGTGCTGGTCTCTGGAGCAGATCTGAGAACTGGGAGGGGCCTCCATCCAGATCCCCTACCTTCCTGCAGGTACAGCCCAACAGATGAGAGCATTTCTTATTAAAATCTTCTTCTTTTGCTCTGGAAACATAAACAGGCATCAGGGCAGAACGTTTTAACCCTTCTGCCCAACTTTTAAAGTTAACACTGGCGAAACTTCAGCTCTGTTGCAACTTTGGCATAAGAGAGTAAACACATGGTTTTCCTTAAAAAGGAGAAGTAAGCAAGTCAAAGGCATATTCTGACTTTTCTAGCTACAGAAAGATATGGCTAGAACCCTGGCATCTACTTGCTTAGGTTGCATTAAGGCATCCGCTGAAGTCTGAAGAAAGGCAGTGGGGTGTAGGGAATAAGAACCTGGGCCATGGGGCGTGGCCACCTGGGATGGAATCTTGGCTCTGAGGGTAACAGGCTCCTTGATCTTGGAAAAGGCATTCAAAGGCTCACTTTCCTCCTTTGCAAAACGGTGGTCATAAATTCTTACCTCAGAGGACGGCAGAAACAATAACTAAGATAAAGTGTGTGAAATGACCCAAATGGCATGTACGTATTCAGAGGATATGTCAGCTCTCCTAAGCAGGCTGCTCCCCTCTTCTCTCACAGCAACCATCATAGATATACAGGCTTGAGGATGAAGAAAAGAGTGCTTGAGGGCCCAAAGTAGCCCTGGCTCTTCGTATAGCAGAAAGTAGGGTGAGCATTCAGGCGGCCTCCCTTTGGAGGCAGATGACATGGATGCATTTACTTCCACTGGGGATCTTCGAGGGTGGGACTTGACCTGGTGTTTACTAGGTGCTCCGTGTTTGGTGAAACCATTTTATTCACTCTGATTCACAGGGAGGTCTTACCACTTCCTACCCTGGCTGCACTGCCTTTGGTTGGGTTTCCCTGGTAACAGATGGTGAGACAGAGATTTGCGCATAGGAAGTTCATTGGTGTGTGCTCTGGGAACAACACCAGCGTGGGGTGAGGGAGACAGAACCAGACAGATGGAGAAGTTGGGCTGTGATGCAGTTGCAACACTGGCCTCAGCGGATCCAGGGGATCTTATGGGGTTTTGTATCCCTGCAGTGACCAGTCATTGCTTGTGGGCTGCCCCTGGAATCCAGGCATAACCTTGGGTGAGGCAACTGTCTTTGGCTGAAGGCAGTTTCCCGAGAGGGACTCAGTTGTGAGTTGTCACAGGCAACACTTATGTCAGCTGTGGGAATGAACACCTCGGTCCAGGGGTGAGGAGCTTATCCGGGCGATGCCCCATCAACTACTCAATACATTTGACACAGTGCCTTCTTTCTCTGAGTTAGGCTGTTAGAAGATTGGGCATTCACATGCAGGGACACCTGTCCAGTTAAATCCTTGCATAGAAGTGTGCCTTTGGATAAGCCCCTTTCCATATCTGGGACTCAGTGTCCCTGTCTATAAAGTGGATGGAAGGGTGTTGGACTAGACATGGCCTCTAAAAACACTCCAGCTCTGCTATTTCACATGTGCAGATTCTGAGCATGTGGTCATGGTGGTTGGATGTGTCCTCAATAATAGTTGGGTCCTGTGGTCTCCACCATAGGTGCCTTGACTCCTTCTGCTGGGAAATAGGAATCGAGTCACCTGGGGATCCTTGGGACTTGGCCCCTGTCAGCAAGGAGGGGCTGGGCCTGTGGGAAGCAGAGGGAGGCTCTGCATAGGGCTGGAGGGTGGGGCGTAGGGTTTGAGGAGGATTCTGCTGCACACCTTCCCCCACCATCCCCCCAACGTCTCTCCAATAAAAAAAGTAAAACCACATGACACACTGCCATATGTCTTTGATAGTTAAGAGCTATGTAATGTTGCCCGGGACAAGCATGGATATAGTTTTATTACTCTCCGTCTCCTCCTAATTTCCTATTTACTTTTCAATATACAAAGAGTGAAATCACTTTCCCAAACACTTGGAATTCATTTTCATTGCTTTTTTTCTTTTCTTTTCCTTTTTTTTTTTTTGACAGGATCTCATCTGTCGCCCAGGCTAGAGTGCAGTGGCATGATCATGGCTCACTATGGCCTCAACCTCCTGGGTTCAAGTAGTTCTCCCACCTCACCCTCCTTAGTAGCTGAGACTACAGGAGCGTGCCACCATGCCTGGCTAAATTTTATTTTTTTGTAGAGATGGAGTCTTCCTATGTTGCTCAGGCTGGTGAGCCACTGTGCCCAGCCTGGAATTTATTTTCAACAAATTATTTATTTAGAGTATTCTAGGCTTCAAGCACTGTGCTGGGCTCTGGGGATCTAATGGGACACATTAAACAAACAACTGTACACACATAAATATAACGGCAAAGAGGGTTAAGTTCTATGGGAGGCTGTAACAGGGAACTGGCCTAGTCTGGCAGATCAGCGTGGGGCTTCCCTGAGGAGGTGCTATTTGAGTTGTTTTCTGAAGGGTGTGTGGGAGTTACACTGGGGCAGAGATGGAGAAGCAAATGGGCGAATTGTAGAATAGGGATGGGAAAAGAAAGTGTTTTAAATCTTACCAGCTTAACCTAGCCACTGTGAGTTTTTTAAGTGTACATCCATCCAGTCTGTTTTTCTTGCAGCATCTTAAACAAATTATGGTGACTTGTTAGCTAAGGGAATAAGATCTTTTTGCTGGTGGGGCAAGGTTTTGCCTGTGTATCAGCCAGTTGTCTCTGTTCCCCACATCTGGCAGCCAACCCCTCAGTGTGCATCCCTCACTACCAGAGGCCTCGCCCTGAACCCTGGAAAGCCCTCAGTAATACCAGCAGCTCCCTCTTCCTGAGTGCTTTCAGCACCAGGCATTGATTTAGGATCAACCTGCATGAGCACTGACTCATTTGATCTTACCTACAGCGCTTTATTTTTATTTTTATTTTTTATTTTTACCTACAGCACTGTGGGGTACATGCTGTTGTCTTTACTTCTCAGGTGAACCAAAACAAGACACAGGGAGTTTAACCAGGTGGTGAGTGGCAGGACAGATTTGAACACAGGCGGGTCTATTCCATCCTAAAGCCTGTACTCTTAGTAAGCAGTATGCAGCTGAAAAAGCACGGTGAGCTTTCTACATATCCATACTGCTCACATGCTGATGCTTCCACTCGACATTGGGTTGTGGATAACTTCTCAGTTCCGACAAAGTTATCTGAACCACCAGTCTTACCAACCTCAGAAAAACAGATCAGATGCCTGTGCAGTAATTTATTTAACCATTCCCCAATTATGGACATCTTGGCTTGCTTTCAATTTTATGTTTTCCAAAATATCATCATAAATATTTTCAAACATATGGAAAAGAGGAAAGAATTGTAGTCAACATACCTATGTCCACTATCTAGATTCTACAAATAACATTTTAGTATATTTGCTTTATCACATCTATCCATCTCTCCATCCCTCTGTCCATCCATGCATCCATCTTTTTTTTTCATTTTTTTCTTTTTTAAATATAGAGATGAAGTCTTACTATGTTGCCCAGGGGAGCCTCGAACTCCTGTCCCCAAGTGATCCTCCCTGCCTCAGCATCCTAAAGTGCTGAGATTACAAGAGTGAGCCACCATGCCTGGCTATCCATCTCATTTTTGAATGCATTTCCAAATAAGTTGGGGATTAAATAAAGAGTACCTGAGGGCCCAAAGTAGCCCCCCTGGCTTCCTCTCTAGTAGAAAGTAGGGTGAGGATATAGGTGATCTCCCTTTGGAGGCAGACTATGTGTGTGCACTTACTTACACTGGCGAACCTTCCAGGGTGGAACTTGACTTCATCATACATCTAACTTTCAATATTTGTTTACTGTTGTTCTTTCAGGTAAGATTTACATACAGTGAAATGTATGTATCTTAAGTGCACTGTTCAGTTCATTGTGAAAAGTGTATATCCCAGTGTAAAGCACACCCCTAGCAAGGCATAAAATGTTATCATCACTGGCTGGATGCAGTGGCTCACATCCGTAATCGCTACACTTTTGTAGGCTGAGTAGGGAGATGGCTGATGCCCAGGAGTTCAAGACCAGTCTGTGCAACATAGCAAGACCCCATCTCTAAAAAAATTAAAAATTTGCTGGGTGTGACGGTGCACACCTGTAATCCCAGGTACTTGGAAGGCCGAGGCAGGAGGGTTGCTTGAGTCTGGGAGGTTGAGTTTGCAGTGAACTATGATTGTATCACTGCATTCCCGCCTGAGTGACAGTAAGACTTTGTTCACCCCCACCCAAAAAAATTACCATCATGATCACCCCATAAAGCTCTTTTGTGCCCTTCTCAGTTGCTTTCAATTTTTGCTGATAATACACAACTTGTTGCTAACTTTAAAGACCTGATTAAATAAAGTATGGCACCTGCTTTGTCCTCCTTTGACCGTGGGGGCAGAACCTTTGCCTGCAAAGGCCCCCAGTTGTGGTGAGCAGACCTCATGATGAGTTCAAGTGCAGACTTTGGCTGGGGGTTCTGGGATAAGAAAGCAGCACCAAGCCATGGGTTATTCTGGGCTAAAGGGCAACAAGGTACGGAGAGTGGTCCTGGCTATCTCTGGGCTTGGGATTAGGGTTGCAGTTTTGGGTTCTGACAGTGAGGTTAGAAACAGGCCAGGGAAGAGGAGATGGAGCAGGGGCCCCATGGGTGGTGAGCACTGTATTGAGGCTTTGTATGTCCTTGTTTATCCTGAGGGCCTCACCTGAGCCCCCATGGACCCTAAGGCCCAGTGATGGGTGCCAAGCTGTTCCCACTAGAGTTGTCCTCATATTTCCTGCTGCAGTCCAGACTAGAATGGGCATTGGAGGCAATGCATGTACCTTTCGCTAGCAAGATGAATACAAAAACAGCACAAAATAGATTGCAGGTAGTGTCGGGCAGATGTGCTTTCAGCCGTCTGAATCGCTATGTTGTTATGAGGTGGAGAGGGGGAGGGTATAGACACAGGCATTTCTGGCTCTTGCACACTGCTGTTCTTTTCTTCCCATTGCAGAGGGTGTGTGGAGCACTGCGGGCGAGATGGAGCTGAGGGAAGGCAGAGCTGGTACGTGTTGAACGTCCACTGTATTTCAGGCAGTGAGAGCGTTCTGTATAAGTCTTATAATAACCCATTTTACAGATGAGGAAGCTGATGCTCAGAAAGAGGACTGGCTTCCCTCAGGTCAGACACTAGTCAGCAGCAGCCCAGGGGATAGGTACTCAGGCTGCTGGACTCCTGGACCAGTGCTCTTTTCAATGCAAACCCCTCCTGTGACTAGGGTGTGCACGTGCATACGTATGCCTGTAACAGGTTAGATCCATGTGTTGATGTGTCTATATTGTCTCTGTGTCTATGCATCTGATCACAAAGAATCCCTCTTTCCCTCCTTCCTTTGCCCTTCTTCCTCCCGGCCTTTTTTTCTTCTTTCTCTTCCTCTTCTCATCCCTTCCTCTCACAGCTACTTAGCATCCAGTTTGTGTCAGGTACTATGCTCAATACCAGGGCTACAAAGAAAGATATGGCACAGCCCCTGGCAGCAAGGCTTTATTCTCTTACTGGTAAGGCAGACACACGGATGAGAGAACTCAGCATGGAGTGCTTTGGGAGGACAGAAGGGCAGCTCCTTATTTATTTCTTATTTATTGAAACAAGGAGTGCAGTGGTATGATCAAGGCTCACTGCAGCCTTGACCTCCTGGCTTAAGCCTGGGCTTAAGCAATCCTCCCGCCTCAGCCTCCTAAGTAACTGAGACTATAGGCACATGCCACCATGCCAAGATAATTTTTTTTTTTTTTTTTTTTTGAGACGGAGTCTCACTACATCACCCAGGCTGGAGTGCAGTGGCACGATCTTGGCTCACTGCAACCTCCACCTCCTGGGTTCAAGCGATTCTTTTGCCTCAGCCTCCCGAGTAGCTGGGATTACAGGAGCCTGCCATCGTGCCCGGCTAAGTTTTGTATTTTTAGTACAGACAGGGTTTCTCCATGTTGACCCAGCTTGTGTCCAACTCCTGATCTCAAATGATCCACCTGCCTTGGTCTCCTAAAGTGCTGGGATTACAAGCATGAGCCACTGCACCTGGCCCATACCAAGCTAATTTTTCATTTTTATTTTTGTAGGGACAGAGTCTTGCTGTAGAGACAGGGTCTTTCCCAGGCTGGTCTTGAACTCCTGGCCTCAAGTGATTCTCCCACCTCAGCCTCCCAAAGAGTTAGGATTACAGGTCTGATCCACTACGACCAGTCAAGTGATTTAATGTGTGAGTTGGGAGGGGGTGTCAGGGAAGTCTTCCTGGAGGAGGTGATTCTGAGCCAAGCCTTGAAAAACATACAAGAGTTCACTGGAGGCAGGGCTTGTTGAAGCTCTTGCTTAGAAAGGGCAGAGTGTGCTGACATGTGGAGGTGGAAGGATGCACGAAGCATCTGGAGGAACTTCAAGCGTCGGAGAGACAAGCCTGTGTTCTTGGGCAGGGATTTAAAATTTTTACTTATTGAGTCAGTCATGTCATGACAACAACAAATTAAGAGAAGAAAGTAGGGATTTCTTAATCTTTAAAAATGTTGCTTTCTGATGCAAGGCAGGAAGCGGCGTTCCTCAGATACTTGTGTGGGCAGAAAGACTGAAAGCGTGGGACAAATAACTGCTTTGCACAGCTGGGCACCATCCACCTCGAACTCCACCCTTGTCCTGTCTGAAGCCACGCAGGCCAGGGCCCCTGGCCAGGGCATCTCGGACATTCTGTGACAGCCAGAAAAGACGAGGGACTCAACTGCCTCCACACCCTTGTAAAAGGCAAGACCCCAAACTGAACACATGGTTCCTGCCAAAGTCTTGCTGAGTGGAAACATTCTCCCCCTTCTCCCCCGGGTGTGTCACTCATTAATACCTGGCCTTTTCTTGTTGCCAGGTGGTGCTGTGCAAACCATCCTAATATTGGCCTTAAAAATAGCACCACCCAGGCACTGACCACTCCCTCCCAGTGTGGCGTTTAACCCTTTCTAAGCCCACCCATGTGATAGGGCTGAAGGGGATGGGTAGGAATCTACAGATGCTCAGCACGGCAATGTTTACTTACTCAGCTTTTGTTACAAGGACAAGAACTGACTGGATTTTGTTGTCAGATAATCCTGGGTTAACATCCTGGCTCTGTACTTTGGGCTTTGAGTTGTTTTACTCCCTGTGATGTCTCTTCCTCCCTTTCTTATAAGAAAAAGGGGAAATCATTATGGTACCAACCCTCCAAGTGAATTGTGGAGCTGGATACTGTGTGGATGGTACTTAGCCTTGTGTCTAGCTGTTCCATGGTGAGCAGGCCTATGCAAACCTACCCCCAAAGGCTGAGGAAGTTGAGGGGCCAAAGAAAGAAGCTGAAAAATCCAGTTTCTTAGAAAGAAATGTTGAATAGGGACTTATGTCCAGAAGCCATGTCTGTGTCTAGGACGGCGAGACAAGATGGTGAATCCCCACAATTACACCCCAGACCCAGGGTTTATATATCATAGGAGAAGGGTACAGTGCTTCAGAAGGAATGGGTAGGGTGATTGCTCAAGGTCAGGATTTATGGTAAGTACAATAACATCAAGATTGTTTTGACCTAAGGGTAGGATAAGTACATGCTCTTATACAAGGAACAGTAGATAGACTAGAAACCTTACGAGACTTTCCTGGAACTGGAGTTAATCAGAATCCAACATGGGGGATTAGCACCCAAGATGGAGTTGCCTCAGCCTCCACACTGGCCCACAGCAAGTGCTGCACAAATGCTTGTTGTTGCTGTTATTAATCAGCCAAGGTTCTATATCTCTGAGTACTTTTTATTTGTTTTAGAGCCATGAATTAAACCAAGTGATTCTTCTTGTCATAACCGGAGGGTCATGAATGCTCTTGGAACTAAACTCTCTTCCCTTGGAGAGAACATTCTGTTTCCTAATCTGTGGCTTCTAGGAGCTAAGAGAGATACTGTGAATATGTTTTTTAAGTTCCATTTAAACCTGGGCCTAATCACATAAATTACGCTAAGGAAATGTCTGGAAGAGCTCTTTGTAAACTGAAAACTACAAACAAATGTAGAAACTCATTACATGGCATTAGTCATTTATTCATTCATTTATGCATTGATTCACTCAGTAAATGTTTATCAACCCTTTATGGGCCAGGCATGCTCTAGTGCTGGGGACCCCACAGTGAACAGGCTGATGAGGTCCCTGTGTGGGACCTAGATGGGGCGGATGGGTGGTATGTAAGTACCCAAGCAGACTAACAAGACAGCTTCAAATGCTGGCAAGTTCTATGAAGAAAATAAAATAAGGAGAGGTAACGGTGAGTGCCTGGTTTAGGTTGAGTGGTCAAGAAAGATCCCACTTAGGAGATGGAGTCAGGGAAGAGCCAGCCATATGAAGATCTGGAAGTGGAACTTTCCTGTAAGAGAAAACAGCTAGGGCAGAAGTCTTAGGGTGACAAGGGCATGGCTTATTCAAGAAAGAGCCAGAAGGCCAGGGTGGCTGTGGGATGCAGCGAGCAGGAGAGGCAGAGGTGGAAGCTGGAGTTTGGGAGATAAACAAGGGTGAGATCATTTAGCTCCTTTGGGACACTGTAAGGAATTTGGGTATTATTTTGGAAAACAACGCAAAGCCTTTGGAAGGGGTGGAGCACAGGGCATTTTTGGGGCAGTAAATATATCTCTCTGTCTGATACTACAGTGGTAGATCCATAACGCTATGCACTTGTCAGAACCCATAGAACTGCACAACACAATGGGTGAACCATCACGTAAGCCATGAACTTTAGCTAATAATCATGTATCAGTATTGATTTATCAATTGTAAAAAGGTACCACGCCAATGCAAGATGTTAATAGTATGGGAAATTGTGTGTGTGGAGAGGGAGATCAGTATTCGGGAGTTCTGTACTTTCTATGCAATATTTCTGTAAAGCTAAAACTGCTCAGAACAATAAAGTTTATTAAATTTTTAAAAAAGTGGTTGGGTGCAGTGGCTCATGCCTATAATCCCAGCACTTTGGGAGGCCAAGGAAGGAGGACTGCTTGAGGCCAGGAGTTCAAGACCAGCCTGGGCAACACAGAGAGACCGTGTCTCTACAAAAAAAAAGAAAAAAGAAAAAATAGCCAAATGTGGTGGCATGTGCTTGTTGTCCTAGCTACTCGGGAGGCTGAGGCTGGAGGATTGCTTGAGCCAGGAGTTTAAGGCTGCAGTTAGCTATGATCATACCACTACCCTGCAGCCTGGGCCACAGAGCAAGATGCTGTCTCAAAAACAAACAAACAAACAAAAAACAGTTTTTAAAAGTAATTCAAAGCCCTTGCAAATTTTATGCTGATCCAATTTATATTTTCAAAAAGCCTACCTGCTATTATGTGAAAAATGGATTATGAAGGTCTGCATAGGAACCAGAATCCCAGTTAGAAGGTGAAAGCTATAATCAGACAAGAGGCACTGGTAAGAGGAGGGTGGCGGCAGTGAAGATGGAGAGAAGCGGAAAGAAAGTGGGATAGCTTCTGGGGATAGAGCCAACGAGAATCACTGATAAATTGGATGTGATGTGGAAGGTTAGAGAGATGGAGGGATCAAGATGAATAAAAACTCACAGAGGGCTTATTCTGGCAGGCACTGTTCTAAGAACCTTACAAGTATTACCATATTTAGCCCAAACAAACCTTGTGAGGTGGATGTTAGTGCACTAGCCAGCCTATAGATGACAAAACCAGTCCACAGAGAAGTGCCTTTTTGCCTGCCTATGATCATGCACTTGGGCAGGGACAGACCTGCGAGATGAACCCAGGAATTTTGGCTTCAGAGCCTGTGCTATGTTCTTCCCACCTTGATACTGAGGATTTTGGCTTGGGAAATTGATGGATGCTAGTGACAATTACCAAAATGTGGAAGTTTAGGGAAGAAACATTTTATTAGGGGGGGAATCAAGAGTACTGTTGGCAGTGTTCCTTTTTTTTGCCTCACTGAATAACAGCCAGGCAATGTTACTTTTGAAATTTAAGTTAAACCCCAGCTGAAGATGTTAAGCAAGTGGTAGGAAAAAAGAGTCAGAATTCAAGGAGAAGTCCAGGCCTGGAGAAGTGAATTTGGGAGTTGTTGGCATGTGCGTGGTATATTTGCTTGTGGACTGGCTTCAGTTGCTTGTCGTGATTGTAAGTATCTTAGTGATGGAATATTACTTTGAAAGGATGCAAGCCTGATGGACAGTTTGAAAGAAAAAAAGGCCAGAGAGAGGGCAGCATGGTCTACATGGAAGTCAGCTAGAATTTTCGTATGAAGTTAAAACCCTTGGTTTGAATCTATATGTTGCTGTGGGCCAGGGAAAGAGGGGAAGAGAGCCGGGGAGCGGGAATCAAGGGACCAATGGCTTCTGACTGCACAGCCTTGGACGTGCACTTTTTGGACATGTAACTTCTCTGAGTCTCAGTGTTTGCATCCGTAAGTGGGGACGTACAATAAAATCATCAAGTTTTGGCCTCAACATTCTGTCTAAGTTGAAAGTGCTAAATGCAGAGAGAATTTATTATCATCATGTCCATTACTGTCAGGTTACATTACTAGTAACATTACATTACTAGTTAAAATTGTTACATTACTAGTTAAAATTGTTAAATTATATTCTGCGTCATGTTACATTACTAGTTAAAATTGTTACATTACTAGTTAAAATTGTTAAATTATATTCTGCTCATGATAATACAGTTCGCATGACCAAAAGTGTACAGCATAAAGAATTCCCAAGGCATTTTATAGATTGCAGGACAGCTCTTTGCTCAGACCTCTGAGCAGCCCTGTCAGATTATTGGGTTATTGTTTCCATTTTGTGGACATGGAAACTGAGACTCAGTAAGGTAAAAGGACTTGCAGTTGACAGAGCCGCTTAGTACAGAAGCTGGGGCTTATTGCTCTGACCCTAAGCTCTTTATTTTGCCATTGTTTGAACAGAATAGGAGATGACCCTGTTGTGTCATTTTAAGGACACACTTTCTTTTTGCCTTCTGAATATGTTTACTTGCCACAACAAACATGTATTACTTTTATAACTAAAATTTTGAAATTAAAAATTTTTGTAATTTTAATTTTTTAAATTAAATTTAAATTTGTAATTGTAATTTTAATTTTTAAAAATTAAATTAGAATTTTTAAAATTAAAATTTTTTAAATTAATTTTTCAAAATTTATAATTTTAATTTTGTAATTAAAATTTTTGTAATTAAAAATTTACTTTTGGAAATAAAATTTTGTAATTAAAAAATAGGAGAATTAGAAGGAAATACAGGTTATTGATTATGAAACTTTAGCAAGCATCAGAATCACTTGTTGAACAGATTTCTCAGTTCCGTGGGCTGGAAGGGCCAAAAAGGTGAGCAGGCTTCTGCTTGGTTAGCTGTTGGCAGCATGCTTCCTCCTCTATTGCCTCATTCTCTCAGTAACACTGTGCAGTAGAAGTTTCTAATTTCATCTGGCAGACAATTAATTTCATCTAATTTTCATCGTAGCAAACTAAGGCTGTGAATGACCAAGATCACACAGGAAGCTCTTGGTTGAGCTTCAAGTGGTGCTTGAACTTCCTAGTTCTAACCAGGGCGGGGCTCTCTCACCTGCGTCTTCCTCCCCGTCTCTTCTGGCTTGCAGTGAGCTGGACTATGGAGTGTTGGGCAGGGTGGAGACTCTTTCTGCAGGATGTCCTGAAGGGCAGAGGGGTGATAAAATTTCCACCTTGAAGCACAAACCACCCCGTATTAGGAAAAATCAGGGCCAAGTCTCAACTACACTTTGGAATAAATTTACCTTCTGAGAGTGAGAAAGAACAGATCTTCGGAAAATAGAGGGAGAGGCGGGAACTGGATTCAGGTGCCGATGACAAGAGAGAGCTTAGACTTAGTGGAGGAGGGGGGCTGTGGGGCCCTCCCAGGCCTCAGGATCCAAGAAGGGCAAGGCCAGCCCCCATAGCCCTGGGGTGCTGAATTGCTCCTCAGCCTCTCTGCCAGAGCAAGATGGAAGTGGGGCCTGAGTCTGTCCTGGCCCCACCGCACCCAGGCCATTGTGAGAGAGATTGTGGGTGTGAGCTGAGCAGGCGACACTGACAGAGGCGCTCACTCTCTGCAATTTAGAAATTCCTTCACTGCACTCCAGACTCACTCCAGACTCAGCCCTACAATGTCCCCTGTGCCTGCTGACAAAGGCAGCTTTATCCCCAGAGTGCTCCCTCCTCCCGTGCTTCCCTTGGGACCGTGGGCCTGTGTTCTCCAGCAGCAGCGGCTAGATCTTTGCAGCCTTGCATGGAATTTCAAGGGCTTCCTACAGGTTGCACCTACACCCTCATTAAAGCCCCCAGGAAGCCCTGAAACATTTGGTGCTGAGCGTTGGGAAACATTCCATTCTTTAGAAGAGAGGTCCATACAAAAACCTCAGCCTAGCATGTACACAGGGCTCACAGAGACTGAGCTTAGGAGAGATGTGTGGGATGCTCTTTGCGGGGCAGATGGATTAAATGCCACCTTATGATTAGATTCTCCAAGGGGCTACGTGGGGGAAAGGCACTCTGGTCTCATGACACTAATGCCAACAGGACACACACAAAAGTGCCCCATTCTTTTATGCTGCAGTTTTCAACATGCTCTGTATACGTTAGGTCATGGGCTCTCGCACCTGAGCACGCACCAAAATCACCTGGAGGCTTTGTGAAAACAGAGTGCCAGAGGTGCTGCTTCAGGAGGTCTAGGCCAGGGCCTGAGAACTTGCATTTCTAGCAGATGCTGCTGATGCAGCTGGCTTGAGGACCACTGAGTTACATAAGCTTCTGAGAGCCAGTCTGTTGTTTTTGGGAAAGGGTGGCACAGACAAGAAATGAAATGCTATGGAAAAAGCCTGGGCTTTGGAGACAGGTGGATTTTGACTTGCTAACTTGCTAACTGTGTGACCTTGGGGAAATTCCACGGCACGTAGTAGGTGTTTAATGAACGTTTGTGCAGTGGCTTTCTTTGTCTGCAAAGCAGGTGATATATTTACCAGATTGATGGCAGGATTGTATGTGATGACTTTTTTCCTCTTTTTATTAAATTTTTATATAATTTGAGAGGAGTTCTTGCTATGGTTTGCCCGGGCTTGTCTTGAATCCCCCGGCTCAAGTGATCCTTCTGCCTCAGCCTCCTGAGTAGCTGGGATTATAGGCACGTGCCACAGCTTCCAGCATGTGATGAGGTTTATAGAAAGCTCCTAGCAGCGTGCCAGGCACATTGCAGGCACCGAGTCATGTCTGCTACCTTTCGGCTCTCCTAGTCATTTCTGTGTTGTCCAAAGAAGGCAGGGGCAACTGGGCTGGACCAAGGAACCTCACTGTGGTTCTGTGGCTCTGCACTGGGTTTGCCTCCTGGGTGTTGCCGGCCAGCCCAGCAGATGGTGGACCTTGTTCTGAGGCTGAGCTTCTCAGCACTGGCAGCCCCCCTTTTTGGATCAAGCCTTTTCACGTGGAGCAGTCAGATGGCTCAGATCAGGAGTCTTCGAGCAAATCCATGCCAGGTGGGACACATTTGTCCTGAGTCACCTGTCCAGAGCAGGTGGTGAATATTGTGTCCTACTCACGGCATCTCAACTATCGGAGCCTGGGATCTGACTCAAAGGCCGGCCTCCGTCTGAGAACTGAGCGTCCATTTCTCAATCCTTGCCGGCTCTGACCCAGGCCTGGGCCACAGGCTGTCCGGGAATAAGTGGTGCTGCAATCCCTGCTGGGCAGATGGAGAGAGGAGCAAGGGAGATGGCAGCCCCGGGGGACTGTGCATAGGGAGGTAGGTGGGCACCAGGTGAGTGAATGTCTGTCAGGCAGCTGCTCTGTCCAGGTGGCCGTTACCGGAGGGAGGAAGCTGGCCTCTCTGACCTGAATGGGGAGGGTCTTGGTTGCTAGGACGTAACTTCATATTTGGAAGTGGTGCTGGGGTCAGGGGCAGGAGCAGAAGCCAGGATTGTGTTGGTAGGAATCTCTGTGTCACCATGTCACAGTTAGGTACAGGAGGAAGCAGCTTCAGAAGGCCAGAGCGGGCAGAGGGATATCGCTTGACCTGGCTCTGCAGCACGGGGAGAATTTGGTCCTGAGATTTCTGACTTTTCAGCCTCGTCTCATCCTTGGCAATGGGGTGTGGAAGGAGGTGGAGGAAAGGAAGGCAGCAGGAGAGAGAAAGGCCACGGGGCACCTGATGGGGGCTTCTCTGCTGCCTGGCCAGACTCCTTTTCTCCAAAGTGGGCACAGCGGGTGGGCATCTCTGCAGATTGACCATGGGAAAAGTGTTCACTCTGCTTGCTTTTTGATAAGGGTCCCGTGACTAATTCCTGCATTGGTAGGTCCCAGGATTGGTGTTTTTTTGTTTTTGTTTTTTGTTTGTTTGTTTTTTTCTTTTTTGGTCCATAGCAAGTTTGCTTTCTGTAGCTGGAGAATGAGGTAACAGCATAAGAATAGAGGTTCCCTGTGGAATACAGGGAAGCATCTTCTCCTCCTGCCCTTATCAGGTGAAATCCTCCCACTTCAGGCTGAGCCATACAAAGACGACCCCTTTGTCCCAGGAGGCCAGTTCAAGCTCCCACTGGGTTCCTGGAAGCAGCCTGGGAGCTGCCGTCTCTGTGGCTCCCCTTCCTATTTCTCCAGTTTCCCCCGGAAGGAGAAGACCGTTCAGCCTTTTTCCTCCTCTGTTCTCCTTCTTTACCCTGAAGTTAAGTGATGGTCAACATTTACGAGCACAGTAGAAGGCACCTCCCCTGCTGCAGATATGACGTGGGCATGAGCCGTCAGGTGGGTCAGACCCTTGAAGCCTCTACTGCTCATTTATTCAATCCCCAGTGAGTCTTTTAAATAAAACTTAGTACCCCAACCATTTCCTGGCCACTCTTCAAGCCCCAGGCACCAAGCTAAAATATTCACATACCTCATTTAATTTAAACCTTACAACAACCTGGAGCTTAGGGAGTATATCCCCAAACCGAGAGGTGAGGAGGCTTGCACAGGACCACTCAGCTAGACGTTCCCAGGACCCAAACCCAGCTTGACTCCAAAATCCATGCTCTCACTGGCTTTGTGGCATGCCTCAATAAATACTTGAGTTTCCTCAACACAAAGATGGTCATATATCCATAGGGTTAAAAAATAATCTCTGTTGGATGCAATTGACTATAGAATTATTATTTTCTAATTGTTTGTATTCATGGAAACCTTTTTAGAATTAAAATCTATCATGAAAACTCATGTATAATCAGTTAAGGCAGAATTATTTTGGCAGAGGCAGACCAGGACCTTGAGACCTGCCCTTTTGTCAACCCCTCCCCCTTTCTGGTTCCCAGCAGTGGCCCAGGGGTATAGGAGTGAGAGGGAGGGAGGTACACTTTGAATTGAAATCTACTGGCCAGGTACAGTGGCTCACGCCTGTAATCCCAGCAATTTGAGAGGCCGAGGCGGGCGGATCACTTGAGGTCAGGAGTTCCTGACCAGGCTGGCCAACATGGTGAAACCCTGTTTCTACTAAAAATACAAAAATTAGCCAGGCGTGGAGGCACATGCCTGTAATCCCAGCTACTCAAGAGGCTGAGGCAGGAGAATTGCTTGAACCCGGGAGGCGGAGACTGCAGTGAGCCGAGATCATGCCACTGCACTCCAGCCTGGGTGACAGAGGGAGACTCCATCTCAAAAAAAAAAAATATATATATATATATATATATATATATATAAAATACATATTTTTTATTGTGCATTTGAATTGGTAATACATTTTCATATATAGGTTACGTTTTGCTATTAAAAAGCAATTCATTGTGAATAGCAATATGCTCATAAACACGGGGAGAAAATAGGCATGGGGCAAAATAAACAAATAGTTCCAAGAACTTGGAGTTGTGGTTAACTAGGAAGGCAGCTTGAAATCAGGAATTTACTTCAAGTTCTTCTTTTGAATTCCTGTTGAAATAAGGACGAATCTATGTCAGTCTTGTAAACTAGACAGTGTTGCTCAGTGTGTGCCAGAAACACTGAGAAGTCTCAGTGGATGTCTCAGGTGGATGTGAAGGACGTTGGGTGGAAGGGCGGAGCCCATCAGGAGGGAGGCGCTGTTCTTGCCACATCTGGAGATGCTGGAGGAGAGGTTTGCTTTGAGTGGGAGCAACTGGTAATGCTGGACAGTGACCCGATGCTGGGATCCCGCGTGGAGATCTCCATCGGTCTTGCCCCTGGCTGAGTCTTGGCATGTGCAGCTGGGATGGAAATGCTCCTCCAGTGGACAGTTACAGCAGCTAAGACATGGCTACCTTGCTCAGCCAATAGGAGGCGGTCACCTACAAACATCCCTTCCAAAGGTTCAAGGCTCCCCTGAGAACTTGGATGCTGGGGAATGGTGCACCTTCCCTGCTGCTCACTGCACCTCTCACCTGGCAAAGAAAAGCCACAGGAAATCTAAGCCCTTTCTGCAGTCTGGCATCGGCATATGAAAGATTCCAACGAGGAATTTCAGAACTCATCCCAGCTCCCGAATCTGAGTAAGCACAGACCTCTTGAGTAGGGCTGAGCAAATGCGGCAAAATCAATGCACATATGACAAGATTCAGTGGCCCAAAGAAGGGAGCTAAATGAGGAATCAAAGCAAATACCCCATATGGAATTGCTGTAAAAAATCAGAGAAAACCTGAAAGTAGTGGTTTTCAAGCATGACCCACTAGTGGATTGAAAATCAACTTAGCGGGTTGGAACCAACTTCCTTTTTCTAAAACAAAAAAAGAATAGCATACATCAGATTGCATCAGGTTCTTAGCAAAATCATATTTTATATTATCTTTTTCATACCAAAGATATTTTATATTATTTTTATTATACCGTAGTAAAGGTATTGTTTCATGAAAGTTTTTAGTTATATATATTTATTTATTTATGTATACATATAAATCTTATGTGTATGTGATCCATGTACTATGATGTAAAATGTAAATTATTATGGTAAGTCAAGATTTTTTTAATTTTTAAAATTCTTTAAAAATTATTTTTATTTATTTATCTATTTATTTTTTGAAACAGGGTCTCACTCTGTTGCCCAGGCTGGAGTTCAGCAGTGCAATCCCGGCTCACTGCAGCCTTGACTCCGTGAGCTCAGGTGATTCTCCCCCTTCAGCCTCCCGAGTAGCTGGGACTACAGGCACACGCCACCACACCTGGATAATTTTTTGTATTTTTATTAGAGATGGGGTTTTGCCATGTTGGCCAGGCTGGTCTCAAACTCTTGAGCTCGAGTGATCTGCTCGCCTCAACCTCCCAAAGTGCTGGAATTAAAGTCGTGAGCCACCATGCCTAGCCTAGGTCAAGATTTTAAAAGTTTCATAAATAGTCCTGTAGAACACTGGGTGGAGTTTGGAATGGTGAAAATGTGTCAGGAGAGTATTGTAACTGAAATATTCCTGATCTTCTCTTTCAAAAAGATGGCCTTCTTCCCATTATCCAAGGCAAGGATTTCAGGCCTGAGTCAGCCATAAGCTCATCTGTCTTTTTTTCTGTACTTACCTCCTCATAAATGGATTAAGAGAGCCTCGAGCAATGGTGAGGGTTGGAGAAGGTGGACAGGTGGCCCAGTCTTATGCGCTTTCCCTCTCTTCCTTCCTTCTCCTCATCCTCCAAGGATGGTTGTAGCCAACTCCAGCCAAAGTGCAGATGCCAGAGAATCCTGCAGCAGTTGCTGAGAACACAGGATACCTGTCACATTTACTGAAGCAGTGGCAGGACAATGCATCCCCTGCATTGAGCTAGTTGTCAGAAGCAGAAAATAAAAAGTGTGTGTGTGTCTCTGTGTGTGTGTGTGTGTATGTGTGGTGAAAAAGAGAAATATATCTAAAAATAATCTTAAAAGACATGATATGTAATTTCTTACCAAAACTCAAGCCAAAGCAATCACACATACACCCACACACATGCACGCACACACCCCCATCCACACACACACACACAGAAGTAAATGACAGCAGTTGGACCATCAAAATCTGAAAAATTCTTTCAGGCCAAAGACTCCATAATGCTCTATAGCTGTTATTTTGCATTTCTTTGAATCTCCTCTCAGTTCTATTTAGAGATCACGAAATGTCTAATTTAATGGCCCTGCCCTTAGTTCTCCAGGAAGGAGATCTTAGTTGTTCATCCACGAACAACTTTTTGAGCCACTTTCCTACTTCTATTTCTTCCAGTAGGCAGATCATATTTTGGGTTTCTTTGTTTTAAGTTTGTGGTTTTTGTTTTTCCCTCTTTTTCTTTTTAGGTTGTAGTTAAGTGGTGTATACAAATTTATTAGCAATTTATTATATTGCCACTTTGTATTTTAATCTTTAATATTAAATTTTGTGTTTGGTAAAAATGCTGTAATTAGTAAAATGTAGAGTAATCAGTTTTTACCCATTCTCTGCTCTTCAATAACAGCTTGTTGAGTATTCTCTCTGATTTATTCTAGCATCAGACACACACACGCGCACACACTGTGCTGCAGCATGTTTTGTTTTCCAATTCTATGTAGCACAAAAAGACTTAACCTCATTCTTCTCCATATCTCAACAGTATTCCATGTATCTTGATGATCACTTACAATATAAGGCAAGTAAGCATAGGCAATTCATCAGATTTGAACCAGAGATGGGGTTACTAAGTGAACTATTAGTTCCCCAGAAGAATTAGCCCAAGCAAAGGTGTTGTACAGTATGTAAAATGTCTTTTCCTACTTTATACATTTTATCTGGCCAGAGAACACCTTTAAACATTAAATGCAATCATCCTTAGTCATTCAACAAATATTTACTGAGCAATTGATAGAGGCCATTCGCCAAGCTAGGCCTCATGGATCAACTCGAAATATGACAGACAGACTCTGCCCTCAGGGAGCTTAGAGTTCAGTAGACATGACCAGTGGTGACACAAGCCACTGGAGTAGCATCAGATGAGTGCTTTGGTAGTGGAAGAACCTGTTCTCAGAGCACAGACAGCTTTGGGGGTCTGTATTGGTTTGTGGTTTCATTTTAAAGAAGTGTTATCCAAAAATAGGGTTTGAAGAGTGATGAAAATTTAGCATCATCAAGGACTATAGAAAATTTGGAAGGCATATCTCCTAATGCTATCCCTCCCCCCTCCCTACACCCACAACAGTCCCCAGTGTGTGATGTTCCCCTTCCTGTGTCCATGTGTTCTCATTGTTCAATTCCACCTATGAGTGAGAACATGCAGTGTTTGGTTTTTTGTCCTTGCAATAGTTTGCTGAGAATGATGGTTTCCAGTTTCATCCATGTCCCTACAAAGGACATGAACTCATCATTTTTTATGGCTGCATAGTATTCCATGGTGTATATGTGCCACATTTTCTTAATCCAGTCTATCATTGTTGGACATTTAGGTTGGTTCCAAGTCTTTGCTATTGTGAATAGTGCCCCAATAAACATACGTGTGCATGTGTCTTTATAGCAGCATGATTTATAATCTTTTGGGTATATACCCAGTAATGGGATGGCTGGGTCAAATGGTATTCCTAGTTCTAGATCCCTGAGGAATCGCCACACTGACTTCCACAATGGTTGAACTAGTTTACAGTCCCACCAACAGTGTAAAAGTGTTCCTATTTCTCCACATCCTCTCCAGCACCTGTTGTTTCCTGACTTTTTAATGATCACCATTCTAACTGGTGTGAGATGATATCTCATTGTGGTTTTGATTTGCATTTCTCTGATGGCCAGTGATGATGAGCACTTTTTCATGTGTCTGTTGGCTGCGTAAATGTCTTCTTTTGAGAAGTGTCTGTTCATATCCTTCACCCACTTTTTGATGGGGTTGTTTTTTTCTTGTAAATTTGTTTGAGTTCATTGTAGATTCTGGATATTAGCCCTTTGTCAGATGAGTAGGTTGCAAAAATTTTCTCCCATTCTGTCAGTTGCCTGTTCACTCTGATGGTAGTTTCTTTTGCTGTGCAGAAGCTCTTTAGTTTAATTAGATCCCATTGGTCAATTTTGTCTTTTGTTGCCATTGCTTTTGGTGTTTTAGACATGAAGTCCTTGCCCATGCCTATGTCCTGAATGGTATTGCCTAGGTTTTCTTCCAGGGTTTTTATGGTTTTAGGTCTAACATTTAAGTCTTTAATCCATCTTGAATTAATTTTTGTATAAGGTGTAAGGAAGGGATCCAGTTTCAGCTTTCTACATATGGCTAGCCAGTTTTCCCAGCACCATTTATTAAATAGGGAATCCTTTCCCCATTGCTTGTTTTTGTCAGGTTTGTCAAAGATCAGATAGTTGTAGATATGCGGCATTATTTCTGAGGGCTCTGTTCTATTCCATTGGTCTATATCTCTGTTTTGGTACCAGTACCATGCTGTTTTGGTTACTGCAGCCTTGTAGTATAGTTTGAAGTCAGGTAGCGTGATGCCTCCAACTTTGTTCTTTTGGCTTAGGATTGACTTGGCAATGCGGGCTCTTTTTTGGTTCCATATGAACTTTAAAGTAGTTTTTTCCAATTCTGTGAAGAAAGTCATTGGTGGCTTGATGGGGATGACATTGAATCTATAAATTACCTTGGGCAGTATGGCCATTTTCACGATATTGATTCTTCCTACCCATGAGCGTGGAATGTTCTTCCATTTGTTTGTATCCTCTTTTATTTCCTTGAGCAGTGGTTTGTAGTTCTCCTTGAAGAGGTCCTTCACATCCCTTGTAAGTTGGATTCCTAGGTATTTTATTCTCTTTGAAGCAATTGTGAATGGGAGTTCACTCATGATTTGGCTCTCTGTTTGTCTGTTATTGGTGTATAAGAAAGCTTGTGATTTTTATACATTGATTTTGTATCCTGAGACTTTGCTGAAGTTGCCTATCAGCTTAAGGAGATTTTGGGCTGAGACGATGGGGTTTTCTAGATATACAATCATGTCATCTGCAAACAGGGACAATTTGACTTCCTCTTTTCCTAATTGAATACCCTTTATTTCCTTCTCCTGCCTAATTGCCCTGGCCAGAACTTCCAACACTATGTTGAATAGGAGTGGTGAGAGAGGGCTTCCCTGTCTTGTGCCCGTTTTCAAAGGGAATGCTTCCAGTTTTTGCCCATTCAGTATGATATTGGCTGTGGGTTTGTCATAGATAGCTCTTATTATTTTGAAATACGTCCCATCAATACCTAATTTATTGAGAGTTTTTAGCATGATGGGTTGTTGAATTTTCTCAAAGGCCTTTTCTGCATCTATTGAGATAATCATGTGGTTTTTGTCTTTGGTTCTGTTTATATGCTGGATTACGTTTATTGAATGCTAAATGACGAGTTAATGGGTGCAGCACATCAACATGGCACATGTATACGTATGTAACAAACCTGCACGTTGTGCACATGTACCCTAAAACTTAAAGTATAATAATAACAAAATTAAAAAAAAAAAAGAAAAAAAAGAAAATTTGGAAGGCATTGGAAGCAGCCTGCACCAAGTCCTGGAAGCTAGAGAGCGCATGGGACATTCAGGGGACTGAAAAGGTTTAGTGCTGTAATAGAATGGAGTTCAAGATAGGGCAGAGCAAGAGCCTGGAGGGGTTGGGGGAGCAGACCATGATGATAAAAAAATTGACAGGCCACAAAACAAGACAAATTTTAAGTCTCAGTGACGGTTGTTAATACGATTTTGAAATAAAGCAAATGATAAATCTTAGACCGGGCGCAGTGGCTCACACTTGTAACCCCAGCACCTTGGGGGGCCAAGGTGGGTGGATCATTTGAGGCCAGGAGTTCAAGACCAGTTGGCCAACCTGGTGAAATCCCATCTGTACTAAAAATACAAAAATTAGCCGGGCATAGTGGCACGTGCCTGTCATCCCAGCTACTCGGGAGGCTAAGGCAGGAGAATGGCTTGAATCTGGGAGGCGGAGGTTGCAGTGAGCCGAGATCACACCATTGCACTCCAGCCTAGATGACAGAGCAAGACTCCATCTCAAAAAAAAAAAAAAAATCTTGAGAGATGATATATAATGATCTATGATGTCCCCTAAATAGTCAATCACTCTGAGAGCACCTAGCACCTCACCTCTTGCATAGGGAAGAGGCATCAGATAGTGCCATTCTTGCAATCAATGAAGAGGAAAAATACAGGCTCAAATATTGCTTTGAAAAATTCTTTACATAGCCACCAGTAATATCAAATAAAATGAATGAAACCTATGATTCATTAAGAAGGAAAAGAAAGTGTGAATAAGTTGACTGGAAAACAAGAAAAGGAATAATTAAGGAGCCATAATAAGAAAAACAAAACATGTGAGAAGAAAGATGAATCAATTAAGCTCTGTAGTAAGATTACACATTAAAATAAAAGAGACTCTCAGATTCAGTTTAAAAAAGGGAAACAAAAAAAGCCTAAAGAAACAAACTCTCTCTCCCCAGTCCAATTATATCCCACTTTCAAGAGACACATTTAAAACTTAATCACATAAAGTTACAAATAAAGGGATAGGAAAATACTGTGCAAATGCAAATTAAAAGAAAGTGAGGTGTCAGTGTTAATTTTGTCAGACAAAATAAAAATTGAGGCAACTATTAAATAGATCAAGAATTACTTTTTTACAAAATGATAAAAAGAGCACTCAATGAAGGCATGAAAATCAGAAAACTTTGGGTAAACATAAAGCGTCGAAATATGTAAAACAAAAAAATTAGAGATATACTCCAAATATGGTGTTAGATTTCAATGTACACCACTGTTAAGATTTTTTCAGATTAATTAGACAAAATGTACATAAAGAGCTTGAATTCTATGACTTACAAAATTGAATATGTGCTTACATATATATGCAGTCATGTGTTGCATGGCAATGAAGATAAGTTCTGAGAAATTTCATCGTCGTACAAACGTTACATAGGGTACTTAAACAGACCTGGATGGTATAGCCTACTACACCCCAAGGCTATATGGTATTGCCTACTGCTTCTAGTCTACAAGCCTGTACAGCATGTTATTGTAGGCATTTGTAACACAGTGGTAAGTATTTGTGTATCTGAACATTTGTAACAAAAGGTACAGTAAAAATATGGTATTTTAATCTTATGGGACCACTATCATATAAGCAGTTCTTTGTTGACCATAATGACTGCATTTTAATATCACATTTGAATATATACATATTTGAAACCCAAAACACAGAATAATCATTCTTTTCAAATGTGCACAGAACACATAAAACACTTAGTCACATCACATACTGGCTAACAGAGTAAACCTCAATGAATTCCAACAAATAAAAATAAGACACATCCTGTGGCACGATGCAATTAAACTGGAATTTTCTAATAAAAAATTGTAAGAACAGCAACACTAAATCTGGGAAATTTAACTACATGAAATTAACAATAACACCAAAAATCTCCTGAAGAACTGAGTTTAAATTGGGAATCAAAACTGCAATTACAGACCATTCCTAAAATAACATTTAGAATATTGTATTTCACAATTCCTGGGTTGGGGCCAAAAGGATGTTCAGAAGAGAATTTCGGGCTTTAAATAATGATGATGATGATGATGATGATGATGACGATGACATGGTGGCAATAAAACCACCCAACAAACCATGCTAAGAAATTTACATCCAGGCCAGGTGTGGTGGCTCATGCCTGTAATCCCAACACTTTGGGAGGCCGAGGCAGGTGGATCACGAGGTCAGGAGATCAAGACCATCCTGGCTAACACGGTGAAACCCCGTCTCTACTAAAAAAACCACAAAAAATTAGCCAGGCGTGGTGGTGGGCGCCTGTGGTCCCAGCTCCCCTGGGGAGGCTGAGGTAGGAGAATGGCGTGAACCTGGGAGGCAGAGCTTGCAGTGAGCTGAGATCATGCCACTGCACTCCAGGCTGGGCGACAGAGTCAGACTCTGTCTCAAAAAAAACAAAAAAAAAAAAAAACAAAAAAAAGAAAAGAAAAAAGAAATTTACATCCAATATTTCAATTTATAATCACAGTGTTGCTGTGAGATGGCTAATCATCTGCATCTTACAGATTTTTAAAAAGTGATTCACAAAAAGGCTAAGTAGATTATTTTAAATTTCAACTTTATTTTAGATACAGGGGATACATATGCAGATTTGTTACATGGGTATATTACAACTAGATAGTGAGCATAATACCCCATATGTAGTTTTTTTAACCCACGCCCCACCTCCCACCCACCCCCTCTAGTAGTCCATGGTGTCTGTTGTTCCTCTGTTTATGTTACTATGTGGCCAATCTTTAGCTCCTACTTACAAGTGAGAACTTGAAGTATTCGGTTTTTTGTTTCTACATTAATTTGCTTAGAATTATGTGTGGTCTCTAGCTCCATCCATGTTGCTGCAAAGGACATGATTTCATTCTATTTTATGGCTGCATAGTATTTCATGGTGATACGTACCACATTTTCTTTACTCCACCGTTAATAGGTATCTAGGTTGATTCCATGTCTTTGCTATTGTGAATAGTGCCACAATGAGCATACAAGTGCATGTGGGTTTTTTTTTTTTTTGGTATAATGATCGGTTTTTCTTTGGGTATATATGCAGTAATGGGATTGATGGGTCGAATGATAGCTCTACCTTAAGTTCTTTGAGAAATCTCTGAACTGATTTCCATAGTGGCCAAACTAGTTTACATTCCCATCAACAGTGTATAAGCATTCCCTTTCCTCTGCAACCTCACCAGCATCTGTTGTCTGTTGACTTTTTAATAACTGTCATTCTGACTGGTGTGAGATGATATCTCATGATTTTTATTTGAATTTCTCTAATGATTACTGATGATAAGCATTTTTTCATATATTTCTTGGCTGCTAGTATGTCTTCTTTCAAAAAGTGTCTGTTCATGTCCTTTGCCCATTTTTAATGGGGTTATTTGGTTTTTGCTTGTTGATTTGTTTAAGTTCCTTATAGTTTCTGGATATTAGACCTTTGTCAGATGCACAGGTTGTGAATATTTTCTCTCATTCTGTAGGTTGTCTTTTTACTCTGTTGATAGTTTCTTTTGCTGTGCAGAAGCTCGTTAGCTTAATTAGGTGGCATGATCTCAGCTTACTGCAATCTCTGCCTCCCAGGTTCCAGCGATTCTCTTGCCTCAGCCTCCAGAGTAGCTGGGATTACAGGTGCCCACCACCATGCCCAGCTAACTTTTAAAATATTTTTAGTAGAGATGGGGTTTCACCGTGTTGGCTGAGCTAGATTCAAACTCCTGACCTCAAGTGATCTGCCCACCTTGGCCTCCCAAAGTGCTTGGATTACTGGCATGAGCCATCACACCTGGTCCATATTTTGGTTTTAAAAATGTTTTTGCAACTCTTATCTCATTGTCTCCTTTTCCCCCAAACCTTGGGAGGAAGGTAGTAGAATATGTTAATGATGCATATTATCAAATATACATATAACAGCAGTATTGCTATTTCTGAAGGGCAATATGGCACAGGGGTTAGGTGTGTGGGCTCATTAATCTGCCGGGGTTGTGGTCTGACTTTCTCAGTTACTAGCTGTGTAATCCCAGACAATCCACTTTACCTCTCTGTGCCTCAGTTTTCTCACCTGTTAAATGGAGAAAGTTAAAAATAGTATATATCTCATATGGATATTATAAGGATAACATTATAGGTACTTATATGAGAAAATTCACCTAAAACAGAACAGTGCACATAGTAATTGCTTGATAAATATGATGATGATTATTATTTCTATTTTAGCATGGGGGCACTAATTCTGAGGAATTGAGCACTCAATGAATTCAATCACATTTATTGAGTCCCTTCAATGTTCCAGACAGTGTGCAAGAGTTATGGTTGATGGTGCTCAGAGGATAATGATGGAGACAGGGACAAACCAGATCATTCTTATTTCTGATGTGGCCAAAGTGCAGGCAAAGACATGTCAGGGAAATCATGGGTACACCGAGGAGGGCAGACAGTGTGGGGAGGGGCGTCCTGGGGGAGGTGGCTGTTGAAAGCAGGATATTCCAGGAAACCAGTCTGGATGGTGGTAAGAGGTGGGAATGGGCAGAGGGATATGGGCTCGCAGGGGCTTGCAGGAGCTCACAGGGGCTTGGAAGAATTTGCTGGAGGTGGCAGAAGAGGTGATGAGCACAGTGGAGTCAAGTCTGAGGCAGGGATGAACTGGGACAACAGAGAGGGGCATTGTCCAGTTCAGAACCTGAGCTCTCTTGTTCTTTTTTTTAAGGAGCACAGGTGATCCTTAAAGATCCAAGAGTGAATTCTAAGCAAGGGAGGGTTTCAGTTGTCTAAGCAAGTCCTGCAATCAAAGGTTCCAGGTCAGCAAGGCCAAAGGTGACAGCAGGTCCTCATATCCTTTCTGGAGAAGCTCGGAGTACTCAATAGCCCACACCCACTCACTTCTCCCTTCTCACGGGGACACTCTAGTCCATGTCCTGTCTGCCTACCTCCCTGCCTCCCCTCGCCAGTGGCCCTGCACCCAGGCGTGACTCAGTTGGCCCAGATGAACTCTGCAGGCTCCAGCAATGCCATGGTTACACTGATTTCAAAACAACATCTGGAATTGTCACTTCTTGTTTTTGTTGCAATTGCTTTTGGGGACTTGGCCAAAAATTCTTTGCCAAAGCAGATGTTGACAAGGGTACTTCTTAAGTTTTCCTCTAGGATTTTTATAGTTTGAGATCTTATATTTACGCCTTTAATCCATTTTGAGTTGGTTTTTGTATATGGTGAAAGGTAAGGTTCTGGTTTCATTCTTCAGCATATGGCTAGCCAGTTTATCCAGAAACATTTATTAAATAAGGAGTCCTTTCCCCATTGCTGGTTTTTGCTGGCGTTGTTGAAGAGCAGATGGTTGTAGGGGTGCAGTTTTATTTCTGAGTTTTGTATTTCGTTTCATTGGTCTGTGTGTCATTTTCTATACCAGTGCCATGCTGTTTTGGTTACTGTAGCCTTATAGTATAGTGTGAAATTGGGTCATGTGATGTTCTTCTGTTCTTTTTGCTTAAAATTGCCTTGGCTATGTGGGTTCTTTTTTGATTCCGTATGAATTTTAGAATAGTTTTTCTAATTCTGTGAAGAAGGACACTGGTAGTTTGATAGGAATAGCATTCAATCTTTAAATTGCTTTGAGCAGTATGGCCATTTAAACAATATTGATTCTTCCAGTCCATGAGCATGGAATATTTTTCCACTTATTTGTTTCATTTCTGATTTCTTTCAGCAGTATTTTGTAGTTCTCCTTGTAGAGATCTTTCACCTTCTTCGTTATTCATTTTCTTTGTGGCTATTACAAGTGGGATTGTGTTCTTGATTTGACACTCAGCCTGGACATTATTGGTGTATAGAAATGCTACTGATTTTTGTACATTGATTTTGTATCCTGAAACCTTGCTAAAGTTGTTTATCAGTTCTAGCAGACTTTTGTTGGAGTCTAGGGTTTTCTAAGTATAGATTCATATTGACAACGAAGAGAGATAGTTTGACTTCTTCTTTTCCTATTTGTATGCTTTTCATTTTTTTCTTTTGCCTGATTGCTCTGGCTAGAACTTCCAGTACTATGTTGAATAGGAGTGGTGAGAGTGGGCATCCTTGTCTTATTCCAATCCTCAAGGGGAATGGTTCCAGCTTTTTCCCATTCAGTATGATGTTGGCTGTGGGTTTTCATAGATGGCTCTTATTATTTTGAGTTATCTTCCTTAGATGCCTAGTGTGTTGAGAGATTTTTTGGGTTTTTTGTTTGTTTGTTTGTTTGTTTTCATAGACAGAGTCTCACTCTGTCACCCAGGCTGGAGTGCATTGGTGCAATCATCGCGCACTGCAGCCTCAACATTCTGGGCCTGAGTGATCTTCCCACCTCAACCTCCTGAGTAGCTGGGACTATAGGCACATGCCATGCCTGGCTAGTTTTTGTATTTTGAATTCTTTTTTTCTTTCTTTTTTTTTTTTTGTGAGACAGAGTTTCACTCTTGTCACCCAGGCTGGAGTGCAGTGGTGCAATCTCTGCTGACTGCAACCTCCACCTCCCAGGTTCAGGCTATTCTCCTGCCTCAGCCTCCCAAGTAGCTGGGATTACAGGCATGCACCACCATGCTCAGCTAATTTTGCAGTTTTTAGTAGAGACAGGGTTTCGCCATGTTGGCCAGGCTGGTGTCAAAATCCTGACCTCAGGTGATCCACCCACCTCAGCCTCCCAAAGCACTGGGATTACAAGCATGAGCCACCGCGCTTGGCCTAGTTTTTGTATTTTTAGTAAAAACAAGGTCTCACTATGTTGTCTTGGCTGGCCTTTAACTCCTGGGCTTAAGCAATCTGCCGCTCTTGGCCTCCCAAAGTGCTAGAATTACAGGCATGAGCCACTGCACTTGGCCATGTTTAGGTGTTTATTATTATTATTGTTATTAAGGAATGTTGAATTTTATCAGAAGTTTTTTTCTGTGTCCATTGAGATGATCATATGGTTTTTGCTTTTAATTCTGTTTATATGGTAAATCACATTTATTGATTTATGTATATTGAACCAATCTTGCATCCTAGGAATAAAGCCTACTTGATCGTGGTGAATTAACATTTTGATATGCTGGATTCAGTTTGTTGAGGATTTTTACATCTATGTTCATTAGGAATATTGGAGTGGGGTTTTCTTACTTCATTGTGTCTCTGCCACATTTTGGTATTAGACTGATTGTGGCTTCATAGGATAAGTTAGGGAGGAGTGCCTCCTCCTCAATTTTTTGGAATAGTTTCGGTAGGATTGATACCAGTTCTTTGTACATCTGGCAGAATTTGGCTGTGAATCCATCTTGTCTAGGGCTTTTTTTTTTGGTTGACAGGTTTCTTATTACTGATTCAATTTCAGTGCTTGATATTGGTCTATTCAGAGTTTCAATATCTTCCTGATTCAATCTTTGGAGATTGTGTGTTTCCAGGAATTTATCTATTTCCTCCAGATTTTCTAATATGTTTGCATAGATTTGTTCACAGTATTCTCTGAAGAATGTTTGTTTGTCTGTGGGATCAGTTATAATACCATCTTTATTTACTTATATATACATCTTATGTGTGTTTATGTGATCTATGTACTATGATATAAAATGTAAATTCTTACTGTAAGTCAAGATTTTTTTTAATTTTTAAAAATTTTTAAAAATTATTTCTATTTATTTATTTTTTGAGACAGGGTCTCACTCTCTTGCCCAGGCTGGAGTGCAGTGGTGCAATCCTGGCTTACTGCAGCCTTGACTCCCTGGGCTCAGGTGATTCTCCCACTTCAGCCTCCCAAGTAACTGGGATTACAGGCTCCCTCCACCGCACCCAGCTAAGTTTTGTATTTTTAGTAGAGATGGGGTTTCACTATATTGGCCAGGCTGGTCTTAAACTCCTGACCTCAAGTGATCTGCCTGCCTCAGCCTCCAAAAGTGCCAGGATTACAGGCATGAGCCACCATGCCCGGCCCTTCTCTTTTTAAATATAGCTAGCTGTCTATCAATCTTATTTATTTTCTTGAAAAAACAATTCTTGGTTTCACTGATCTTTTGTTTGGATTTTTGCACCTCAATTTCATTCAGTTCTTCTCTAATTCTATTTATATCTTTCCTTCTGTTAGTGTTGGGGTTAGTTTGTTCTTTTTTTGTTCTAGTTTCTTTAGGTGCAAAGGCAAATTGTTAATTTAACATCTTTTTAATTTCTCGATGAAGGTGTTTAGGGCTCTAAACTTTCCTCCTAACACTACTTTAGCTGCATCCCAGAGATTTTGGTAAGTTGTATCCCTATTTTCATTAATTTAAAAGAATATTTTAAAATTTCTGCCTTAATTTCTGTGCTCATCCAGGAGTTATTCAGAAGCAAGTTGTTTAATTTCCATGCATTTATGTAGTTTTGAGAAAGCTTCTTGATACTGATTTCTATTTTTATTGCACTGTGGTTTGATAATGTGCTTGGTATGAGTTCAATAACTTATTTGAAGTTATTGAGACTTGCTTTAGGACTTAACATGTGGTCTATGTTAGAATATGTTTCATGTGCAGATGAGAAGAATATATATTCCGTGATTGTTGTGTGGAGTTCTATAGATGTCTAGTAGGTCCAACTGTTCAAGTGCTGAGTTTAAGTCCAGAGTGTCTTCGTTGGTTTTCTGCCTTGATGATCTGTCTAACATTGTCAGTGGGGTGCTGATGTCTCTCACTATTATTGTATGGTTGTCTAAGTCTTTTTGTAGGCCAAGAAGGACTTGTTTTATGAATCTGGGTGCTCCAATGTTGGGTGCAGTATATATTTAGGATAGTTAAATTTTCTTGTTGGATTGTATCCTTTATTATTATATAATGCCCTTCATTGTCACTTTAACTTTTATTGGTTTAAAGTCTGTTTTAAAAATAGTGACTCCTGTTCTTTTTTGTTTTCCATTTGCATAGTATATCTTTCTCTATCCCTTTATTTTAAGTCTATGGGAGCTACGTGAAATAGGTCTCTTGAAGATAATAAATGGTTGGGTCTTGTCTTTTTATCCAGCTTGCCCCTCTGTGCCTTTTAAGTGGGAACATTTAGTCCATTTACATTTACAAGGTTAGTATTGATATGCGTGATTTTGATCCTGTCCTCATGTTTTGATCCTGTCCTCATGTCCTCATATAGCTGATTGTTATATAGATTTGATTGTGTAGTTGCTTTATAGTGCCTGTGGGCTATGTGCTTAAGTGTGCATTTTGTTTTTTTTTTGTTTGTTTGTTTGTTTTTGTGGCAGTAGGTATTGTTCTTTTGATTCCATGTTTAGCATTCCCTTAAAAATCTCTTGTAAGGCTTGTCTAGTTAAAACAAATTCCATCAGCATTTGCTTGCCTGAGAAGGATTTTAGCTTTCTTTCACTTATGAAACCTAGTTTGCTTTACTTATAAAGCTTAGTTAGCTATATGCTTAAGTGTGTTTTCTGTGGTAGCAGGTGTCATCCTTTTAATTCCATGTTTAGCACTCCCATAAGGACTTCTTGTAAGGCTGGTCTAGTTTAAACAAATTCATTAAGCATTTGCTAGTCTGAGAATGATTTTATTTTTCCTTCACTTATGAAGTTTAGTTTGGCAGGATATGAAATTCTTGGTTGGAATTTCTTTGCTTTGAAAATGCTGAAAATAGGCCCCCAATCTCTTCTGACTTGTAAGGTTTCTGCTGAGAGGTCTGCTGCTGCCTAATAGGGTTCTTTCAGTTTATGATTTACCCTACTCTCTAATTGCCTTTAAGATTTTTTTTTTGTTTGCATTGACCTTGGTGAGTCTGGTGACTATGTGTCTTGGTGATGGTTGTCTTGTGTAGTATCTAGCCAGGGTTCTCTATATTTCTCATATTTGCATATCAACCTCTAGCAAAATTAGGGAAATTTTTGGGGACTATATCCTCAAATGTATTTTCCAAGGTGCTTATTCTCTCTCCTTTTCTCTCAGGAATGCCAATGAATTGTAGATTTGATCTCTTTACATACTTTCATAATTTTTAGAGATTTTGTTCATTTTTCTTAATTCTTTTTTCTTTCCCTTTATCTGATTGAGTGGATTCAAGGAACCAGTCTTAGAGCTCTGAGATTCTTTCCTCAGCTTGATCTATTCTGCTGTTGATATTTCTGATTGTAGTATGAAATTTTTGTAGTGAGTCTTTCAGCTCTAGAAGTTCAGTTTGGTTCTTTCTTAAAGTGGCTATTTTGTCTTTCAGCTCTTGTAACATTTTACTGGATTCCCTGGATTGATTGGGCTCCAACTTTCTCAGGAATCTCAGTGAGCTTCCTTGCTATCCAGATTCTGAATTCTATGTCTGTCATTTCAGTCATTTCAGACTGAGCAAAAAACCATTGCTAGGGAACTAGTGGACTCATTTGGAGATAAGGGGACACTGGCTTTTTAAATTGCCAGAGTTGTAACTGGTTCTTTCCCATCTGCAAGGGTTAGTGTTCCTTTAACTGTGGTGTAAGTTGATTATACTTAGTTGGCTTTGTTTCTGGATGTTTTCAGAGGATCAGAGCTCTGCACAGGATCTTTATGCTTGGGTGAATTCTTGTGTTTGGTTTCACAGATGCATATATTAGTAGGATAATTTTTGGTGTTGCAGCTTAGGCTGTGATCCAGTAGATGGTGTGGAAGAGTGATGGCCAATAGCTAGGCTGATAGCCAGTCACACTACTCTTTTGTATCTCCTCATGTTGGCAGGTGTGCTCTGCAGTCGGGGGTGGAGACAAATGGCCCCTTCACCAGGTCTGCTCATGAGCCTTGGGGAGACCCTTTTGATCACCAGTTATGTGCCCGTGTTTCTTTTGTTAGGTGTTCCAGGATGCAGGGCCCCCTCTGGGAAAGGCTGTAACAGGAAGATGTTCTTCACCCTTTCTGGATTGACCCTGTGGAGGGAGGCATAGCTTGTTCCCACCCTGGCCCGGGAACCCATTTGTCTCACCCCTTGCCACACTCTGAGGGTGGGGGATCCTCCCTCACTCAAGTGCCAACCACAGATCCTGGCTTTGTATTCCTGAGCTGCTGTACTGTGGCCCTGGGGCACCAGAACATCCCATGGCTCTGTCTGAATCCATGGTTGGATTCTGGCTGCACTGGGGATTCTATGTGCTCCAGATCACCAGGAAAGTACTCAGGTGGAGCAATGCGCTCAGGCTGGGCCAAGGAGGCTGTGCTGTGCACCTGCTCCTGCAGGGTGGCTAGGCATGGGCCCTGGGAAGGGCTAGCATGTAGGAAGGCTTGCAGAACAGATGTGCATCATTCCCAGGGAAGCCAGCCCTGCTCTCTCCTGGCTGGAAGGTCAGCTGGGGCCAGCGCCTCCCAGAGGGGAATAGAGAGTCCTGGGGGATGACCATCTGTGGCTGCTCTCTGCTGGAGCTGTCCTGTGCACACAAACTCCTCAGCTCCATGCTGTCTGAAGGCCTGTCTTTGCCTGTTCCCTGGGGAGATCCCCCTCCAGCTCCCACGTCCTTGTGTGATGCAGGGTCCCCTGTAGCTAGAATCCCAGAGGCTGGTGGCAAGAGTGAGGCATCCTTCAGTTCCCTCACTCACTGCTTTCCCAGGAGCTGTTTGGGCCAGGAACTAGCCTAATAGCGTTTGGGTACCCCTGCAGGGTTCCCAGCTTCTTCCCTCTTCAGCCTCAGCTTCAGCATCACTTCTACCCACCCCTGGCTTTTTCTTTTTGAAGAGCTACCCAAATTATGGTGGCTTACTTGATAGTTTGGTCTCTCTCAGTGGGAGCAACACATCCTGGCTGCATGTAGTCGGCCATCTTGTTTCCGCCTCCTGCTGTCTTTGAGGAATGCTCAGCCACCATCCAGCTGGGCCACATCTGTCTGTCTTAGCAGCAGCAGCAGCAGCAGCAGCAGCAGGAGGAGGAAGACAGCAATGATGAGGCTGCCTACCGAGCATTCATGAGGACCTCCTATGAGAAGAACCCAAAGCTGTTAGCATCCCTGGCTGCTGAATAGGTCTACTGTGCCTGGCACCCCAAGCAGCCCTCCTTACAGCCTTGCAGCCAAGCCTCTTCCAGCCTCCCTCCTCTCCACTGCATACTAAGTAGATTTCTTCAAGGTCAGGCATAGTAAATTGTTGGAGTGGGATTGACACCTAGGTCTACTTAGGCTGTAAAGCTACAGCATGTAACCACGACATGATATGCTATCATTTCTAAAATAGAATAAATTTAAGGAAACTAAATATTCAATTCTTGAAGATAGAAAAAAAATAAAACAAATAAAAGCAAGAAGGAGAAAAGTAGCTAAAGCAGAAATAAATATGTTGGAAATCAAACCCCAAAAAGCAGATGTTTTCACTGCTTCTAAGAATGAGTCCTTGGAAAGGACTGATAGAACAGATAGCCCTCAGTGAAGACAAAGCAAGGCAAACAGAAGGGGAGGCCAACAGAAATGCAGAGCACTGGTCAGGAGAGCATATGCACAGATTTTAGAAAATATTTAAAATTATGAGTCTGTGATGGACAACTTTATACTAACAAACCTGAAAATCTGGATGAAAGAGTACTTTTATGACAATGTAAGTGATCAAAATTAACAGAGGAAATTTTTTTAAAAATTAAAATAGACCAACCAAGGAAGTAATGGAAAAAGTTTCAAAGAACTACCTAAAGGGGATGCCAGGACCAAAAAATTTTATGGAAAAAATATTTCAAGCTTTTAGGACTAGGTGTACTTTAAACTATTAAACTATTTCAGAAAGTAAAAGAAATGTCCAGCTTCTCTTTGCTCTTTTTATAAAACCTAAGACAACCCAAATGAGATGGCAGACCATTCCTATTTGTGAATATAGATATAAAAGTCCTAAATAAAATGTTAGCAAACTCAATCCAGTTATCTATTGAAAGAGACGCACACTGTGATCTAATGGGACTTAAAACAATAACAAAATATAAGTAGCTCAATTGTAAGAAAGGCATTAGTTTATTTCTTCATTTTGACAAATCAAAAGAGGAAAGACACCTGATAGTGCCAAACAGCTAAAAAAGCATTTAATAAACAACCACCCGTTCTTGATGAAAATGCTTCCAAAATTATCATTAGTAACATGTATTTCCTTAATATGATAAAAAAATTATGTCTCAATATATCGGTCAACATTCTACATACTAGAAAACACTGCAGGAATTTCCATTAATGTCTGGAAAGAGAAATGAAAATCCTGTATTGTCATCATGATTTACTAAGGTTCTAGAAACTTTAGTCAGTAAAATTAGAAAACAAAATGAAATAAGTGACCCAAATATTTGTAAATGAAGCAAGTTTGTTAATGTTCAGAGGTTACATGATTGAAAATTCAAAATAACCTACTGAATAGTTATTAGAATTAATATGAGATCTGCAAGTTTGCAAGTTATGAAGTAAATATACAAAAGTCACTTATGTATATACAAAGACTAACCAATTAGAAAATATATTTTACAAATAATTCAATTCAAAATAGAAAAAAATGTTCCGGAAAAATGTAATTAAAAATATTTAGAGCCCAAATAAAGAAGAGTGTAAAATGTTATTGAAAGTCTGAAAAGAAAATTTGAACGAATATAGAAACAAAACAACAATTTTCTAAAAAGTCCCTGGATGGGAAGACTTTCTCCCCTAATTCATCTATAAATGCAAAGCAATTCCAATCAAAATTTCCACCAGACATTTTAGAACCTGATAAAATTATTTCACAACTACTAGCTGACAAAATTAAGCATAAATTTCTATTTTGTTCCTGCAAATAGCAAATCTTTATTTTCTCATCATAATTGAGACGTGATTGTTGTAAAAAGAAATCAAGTGTAGGAAATTACGCAGAAAGGAAAGACTCCTTGTAAATATCATCCCCCAGCACCTTGCTGTACCTTCCCAAAAAGTTATTAATAGTTTGATTTTATTGATGCAAGTAAGTTTTTTGTAAATAAAACTCAACTCCAGCTATTTTATGCTTTTTCAGCTTTACAATATATTGCAGACATATTTCCATATCTATATATGTATCTATTTTATTGTTGTGATTGGCTGCATGGTATTCCATCATACAAATGTATCATAATATATTTAACAAAATCTCCCATTCATATACATTTAGGTTTTTTCTCCTCTTTTACTGTTTTTTTGAGTAACAATTTTTTTTTTTTTAGTCCATACTACGTGCAAGGCAATAAGCTAAGTATCTCTCAGAATTATTTTCTTTAGCCTTCACGGTCGTTAGCATTGTTACCTCTAAGCCATAAAGGTGTTAAATACTTTGCTTAAGTTGTCCAGATACTAAGCAACAGATCTGGCATACAGAGCAAGGTCAATTTCAGAGCCTAAGCCTTTAAGCGGTATATTTATAATTCTGCTTGTCCATCTTCCCAATTATTAACAATTACTAATTAACGACACTGTGTGGACATCCCTATGTGTAGCTTTGTGCAGTTGACCTCTCATTTCATTCTGCAGTGACATTGACTGAGTGCGTCCTAAGTGTGAAGTCCTGCTGTGGGCACTGGGATTCCATGAGGAATGAGCTTTAGCCAGTCTTTCAAGAACAATGATGAGTGGATATGCCCTTATCTATCTGGGTGGAAATGCCTTTATTTATCTAGCTCCTTCTTGCGATTGACTATATAGCAGGCCTTTGGAGGTAATATATTACCTCCATATTGGAGGTAATATATACTGATTGGGAAATCCCTTTCCTGACTTATCCTGTGCCCCAGGGGCCTGGATCTTGTTGAGGCCCACCTGATGCCCCGCTCATGCCTGTGCACTGATGGTTAGGTTCTCCTTCCAGGATGCTGAAAGTGCAATGGTCCCTGTGAGGGGCTTCTCCAGGATCTTAAGGACTTTTCTGAGGAGCAGCATTGAGAATCTTCCCTGATGGCTCTTGACTTGTCTTCTGCTCTGAGGTCAGCCCACTGTGGCTCCTTGTCACTCTGATGTTGGTTGGTTACCTGGAGTGCATCATTCTGTGGTCCTAGCTGAGATGGTTTCCTTGAGAACACTTCACATGATGTTGGTGCAGGAAAAGTCTGTTGGAAAGGGCCTCTGAAACACTCATCTGCCGTTCATTCACTGAACATGCAAATGCCCCTTCTTTGTGTCAACCCCCATCAAAGCTTTGGGGACAAAAAATGAATGAGACTATGTCTATCTCTCCTCTCCAGGAGGTAACAGTATAGAGGAAGAAAGATAACAGATATGAAACTAACTTCAACACAACTTGCTTAAATTACCAGTTGGGAAACTGAGGCCCAGAGACACTGTCTTCCTAGTCCTGTGTACAATGTATAGAGACATACACAGAACTACTCCCAGCTGCAGATCCAATGGAATCCTATTAAAGATACTTCTTTTTTTTCGAGACAGGGTCTCACTGTTGCCCAGGCTGGAGTGCAGTGCTGTGATTTCGGCTCACTGCAGCCTCCACCTCCCAGGCTCAAGCAATCTCTCCATCTCAGCCTCCTGAGTAGTTGGGACCACAGGCACATGCCATCATGCTGGCTAGTTTTTTTGTTTTTTGTTTTTTGTTTTGTATTTTTGGTAGAGACAGGGTTTCACCAGGCTGCCCAGGCTGCCCTTGAACTCCTGAGCTCAAGCAAATCACCCACCTCGGCATCCCAAAGTGTTGGGATTACAGGCTTGAGCCACTGTACCCCACCTAAGATATTCTTTTAGAAAGAGAAAGAACCATACATTTCTTCATTTCTTATCATTGAGTTATTCTTTAATTGACAAAGACAAAAATTACCCCCTGGGCTAGAGTGACCAAACTTTAAAAATTGCCTTTGATGTAGGACACTGTTGGAGAATTCAGCAATTTGAAACACATTTTACCAGCTAGTTCTTCTCTCTCCATGTGGTTATTTACCCTCCCAAAGATCTCCAGTGAGTTAAATGTATTTTATCCAGGTGGAAATACTGTGGCCTTTCCTCCGGTAGGTTAGCTTTGCCTAGCACAAAAACAGGCACATGACAGTTTCTCAACAAGTGCTTGTTGAATGAAAAAAAAAAAAAAATGAAAAGGAAGGAAGGAAGGAGGAGGAAGGGAGGGACAGACTAACAGATCCTGCTTCACAGTACATATTCTGCAAGTTTTTTGAACTTCTTTAAAGGAGAGGAACTATCCATTTCTTTTCAATTCAGCTCTATCCTTTTGGCTCTGCATTTTCTAAATAAATGACAGCTCTGCCATGGTAAAAACATATACTGATAACTATGATGATGAGTCAGTCCTGCCCCACTTTTTTTTTGGCACAGTGTCCTTACCCAAGATGTGATGGGGAGACCCCTTCCAGATCTAGTATTCTGTGGAAGATATAACCAAAGAACAAATACACTAGCTCTGTTGGGGAGGTGTGGGGAAGCCTCCAGGGAGTTGGAGAGCAGTTTTCTAGGGAGCTGCAGAACTTCTCGGTTTTTCTGCTTGGAAGTAAAACAACTGATCGCATTAGCTTAGCCATGTTAGAAACCTTCATTGTGCTTCCCCCCCGGAATCCTCTGGAGGAGACCCACAAGGCTGTCTTGTGGAGGGCCCACCAGAGGCAGAGAAAATCTGGCAAGAGTTTGACAAGTCGTCATAGAGCCTGGGGAAAGATAAGGGAAAGCTCATTAGTTCCAACCTTTCGAAGGCAGCTGGACTGGAGGAATGGCATGGGCTTGCCCCCCAGCTCTGCTGACATTTGGTTCCATTAGGGAGCAATAGCTGGTTCCAATGTCCTGAGCTCAATTACTGAAGCTAAGCTGAACCATGTGACCACAGCACTGTGTTTTCAATTATTCTCTCTCCCTTCCTCCCTCTCGATGCCAGGCCTGGAGGGAAGGCAATCTCCCACAGAAGTCCAATTCTGGCTTCTCTACTACAGCTCTTTTGCAATTGTTCTCTTCCTTTAAAAAAAAAAATCCATAATGACAAGGCTCATTTTGAAAACTGCCTTCACTCTTAACCAAAGTGTTAATGCCTTGCCCCCTGGTTCATTGCCATCTCCCATCCCATGGGCCCTGCCATCCCACATGAGAGCCTAGGTCATGAAAGTGGTGATTCTCTTGGGAAGAGCTTGTTTTTTCAAAGCTGCCGGTACTCATCAGACACTCCTGCAAATGGTGCATTGGGATTAGCACAGTTTCCACCAAGGAATTTGATCCCTCTGTTCTCTTAAATGCTACATGCAGCCAACTATTCCACCACTGAGTGAAGCACACAGCCTTGCACCTAGCCCCAAAGGCCCCCAAATGTTTTTTTGTCCTGGAAAATGCCTAGTGAGTGACCTTACTATTGCTGGGACAGTTATTGTACATTGGAAGAGGATGTGGAAGGGAAAGGGAATTGGGTTTGCATTCCAAGAACCCATGCAGACTGTGGCAATTCTTGGTGGGACAAGAATGCGAGAGGCTGTTATACCAGAATCTGACACTGGAGGATGAAGGGGGCAGAGTTGAGGCCTTGACTGGGTATGATGGCTTCTCTCCTAGGCTTGGGGTGGGATAAGAGAGTTTCAAAAACCCTCTCGGCCCTTGGATGTCACTGTTTTCCATGCCTTATGCCAGCAACGGCAAAGAGAAGAGCTACTATTCCAGGAGGGTTTTTTTTTTTTTTTTTAAGCAAAAAGAAAGTCTTTTGGTTTGCATAACTGCATAGGTCAATGCAGTTTCAGGCATGGCTGGATCTAGATGCCCATATGATAATGTCTGAACTCAGTCCCTCTCAGATTTTCTCTCTGTCCTCCTTCCTTTATCTCTACCTCTCTCCCCACCTCTATGAGTTCTGTACCTTCTGTGTTGGCTTCACTCACAGGCAGCCTCTCTACATGGTCGCCCTCAGCATCCCCATGTTTATATCTTTCCTGTTTAGCACCAGCAAAGTCCAGAAGGATTTTAACACAGCACTGATTATCTTACAAATTTCCAAATGCCTAATGGACCAGTGTTAGCTGTGACCAACACACACTCACAGACACACACACACACACACACACACACATACCCACACACATCTTTCCCTGTGAAACCCTGGTGAACTATGGAACTCCTAAGGAAGTGATCAAAATGGAAAGAAGTTTGGACATATTAATATTTATAGCGACATTTGTGTGGAGAGTTACTAGTTTTGGGAAGTGGAATTGGCAGGATGCAGAGAAACTCTTGGATTGGGGATGGGGGCAGAGGAACATTCACAATTTGCATTTGGAAGATGACATCTGGAACTAAAGGCAATAATGAGGTAAAAGAGAAAACTACTCTAAAAGCTTAAAACGTATGTATTCTTCTGCCAATGGATCTGAGCATTGATATACTGGTTAACAAATCCTCTCAAAATGCAGCAAGCTTTTTAACCAAGCAGATTTGGCCTCTGGACTTTGGTTCATGGCACTGGGGTTTGTAAAAGGCAGACCTGATACAACAGTTTCAGTGGCTGTAGGGAAAGGAAGCTGACTCTGTGGGCTGAGGCTTGAAGAGGAGGTAAGCATGAGGGGAGGAAGTACAAAGTGCAGAACATTTTCTCAAGAAGACATGAAGGGGATAAAGGAAAAGCAAGTGACAAGAGGAGGACATGGAGTTAACATATAGTGTTTGAAAGACAGAAAATGTTTGAGTGTGTTCATGTGCTGAGGATAAAGATCCAGCACAGAGGAAGAGACTGAGGCTAAAGGTGAGAAAGGCAATAATCAATGAGACGGTAGAGCCAGGGTAAAGCATGCAGGCTTAAGAGCCAGATTGCCTGGTTTGATTCCTGCTTTTACTGAGTCCTAGCTGTGTGATCTTGAGAAAGTCACCTAACCTCTCTGTGCCTTAGTATCTCTTCTGTAAAATGAGGATATTGATGGAGGCTACCACAGAGTTTATGAGAACTAAATAGTAAAGCAATGAGAGCAATGCCTGGCACACCATAGTGAAGTTTTCAAACAGACATTGTTGGAAATGTGTTATCAAGCTGATTACTGAAACAGTACTACTGTTGGCCAGAGCTGGAGGCCCAGTTGGTGGCCACGAATGTTTCATGATACCAATCTGTTCAGGAGTGAGAGTGTCTCCTTCAAGGCTTAGAGACCCACAGTCAGGCATGAACTCTGCAGAGGCTTGGATTTGTCTGTGATTGGAGTTTTACTATCATTTGAGATGGAAGGACATGGAGTACAAAACTTAGGCATGTTGACAAGAGGGTGCTTGATAAAATGGATCAAAACCGAATTAATTTATACTAAAGCATCAAACACAGTGCCTGATATATTGTAGACTTTCAATCAATCATTAATTCATTTTTGTTTATTGCTATTGATTACTGGGATGGTTGGTGAATAAATTGATAAAATCAAAGAGCTAATACAGAAAACAATAAATGTGTGCAATTCGAGTGCTGAAAAACAGTCTATTTTTAGGCAGAAATTCTCCTTTTGGAGGATATGTGAAAGGGTTTTGATGTAATGAAATGTTATTAGGTCTCTGCTATTCCTTATTCAATACTGGATGTGCGCAAACAGCAGTACCAATGGGCCAAGAGCATCCCACAATTTGTTGTTCTGGCCACAGCCTCTCTTTTGTGGCTTGGGCCTGAGTCAGAACTTTTTAGGATACAGCATCAGGGCTCCTTTCACCACCTGCTTCATGGAAACTGAATCCATGGGAGGCTCCTCTTGGCAAAGCTGAGCCAGGATGTTGGCCTGACTGGAAAGCCCATCTTTGGTCTCTCTGGCTGTGAGAGTTTGACCCAGTGGGGATAGGTGATGAAGCAGGAGCCCCTGGGCCTGACTGTGACTCTGGCCAAGTGTTTGACTTTAGGCCTGGAGAAAGGCACTCATGTTTGCCAGGAGCCTGTTATGTGCTCATCCCTTTGGCAGGCACTTGCCAAGTGTCACCTTCTTTTATGCTCACATCAACTCTGGCAGGTCAGTGTTAGGTAAGACTTCCAACCTTCCTAGCCTTGGGCTCTTCATCTGTCAATGGAGGACATAAGACATCAGTGGTCTTCAGACTCAGCTCCATGGATTCTGGGGTTTCTTTGGAGATGCCATGGGAGTTATCAAGGGTGAAGTTACCAAGGGGACCAGGAAAGTGGAACTTAGTTTTGGTTTTCCCATCTTTGGTCTGCTCTATAGACTGGAGTTCACTGCACACTTTTGTTTAAAGAATGGCTTCCAAGTTTAAAAACCTCACAAAGTACTGGCCTCTAAGATCCCTAAACTGTCTCCTGTAACTTATTACTGGCTCTTCTGCTAGTGCCTTGGGTTGGTACTTCCCCTCTCTGCACCTCAGTTCCCTTGTCTATAGAATGAGAAGCTCTGGGGCTAGGTCTCCATGACACTGGGAGTGGAGTGGGTGTTAACCGCTTGGGTTAACTGAGCCCCATTTGGCTGGCACACTGGAAGGGCCAGTGATCTTAAAGGATGATCTGCCCATCTGTCCTGCTTCACGGGCACCAAGAACCCGTGGCTCAGATCCAGGACTCGTGTGCAGCTCCACTTGTCAGCAGCAAGTCACATTGCTTCTTCCCATTTCCTCTTTCCTCTAGGGACTCATGAAGTGGCAGCTAAGCCCTGTCCAGTGGCCACCCGTCAGCCAAGGGCCAGAGACCAGGAAAGGAAGAAAGGCAGCTTCACTTCCTCTTTGAGGATGGAGTCGCACAGCCGCGCTGGAAAGAGCAGAAAATCTGCAAAATTTCGGTCCATCTCCAGGTCCCTGATGCTCTGTAATGCTAAGACCAGTGATGATGGCTCTAGCCCTGATGAGAAATATCCTGATCCCTTTGAGATTTCCTTGGCCCAGGGCAAGGAGGGAATTTTCCACTCATCTGTGCAGCTGGCAGACACATCGGAGGCTGGGCCCAGCAGTGTTCCTGATCTAGCACTGGCCTCGGAGGCTGCTCAACTCCAAGCAGCTGGGAATGATCGAGGCAAGACCTGTAGGAGGATATTCTTCATGAAGGTATGCCCAGGCTTTGCAGGCCTGAACTAGCCTGCAGTTGGTTTCTGGTGCTGTGAATTAAAGTCTTTGAATCCATTTATTCAAAAATCATGAAGCTGCAGAGTTATAATTCTGAAAGAGAGCAAGAAAAAAGTTGAGGCAGGGCCCACTGGAACTGTAACAATGAGTATGGGAGTGAATCAGGCTCAGTTAACACTCTTGCTTGAGAGGTTCAGGGAAGCACTATGTCACTCCAAGGTAAACTGAGCCTAGATCCCTGATGGAAAATGCCAGATGCAGTAGTCAATACACTGGGAAGCTCTTTTCTCTAGACAGGCATTATAGAGCATACCATAGGCAGGCCAAATCACATCTTTCTTGTAGACTTATAGAAACAGACTTATAGGGCCTGGGCAGAGAAGGAGGCCTTATGGCAAGCAAGGTAAGGGGTGCCGGATGAGTGAGTTTGTTCCCTGAATGCTGACTGTGAACATTTTCCAGGTACCTTCTGCCATTTTCAACATAGGTGTAGATGCTGAAGGTGGCAAGTGGAGCCATCAATAGGGGAGGGGGAAATAAGCAGTGTCTGGGGACCTGCCAGAATTCAGAATGTTTTCCTTTCTGTTATATCATATTTCAATTTTTGTCATCATAATGAGATGGAGATTGCAGAATACCAGAAATCTAGACCAAGTAAAATATTTTGCTATCAAGTGCTGTGGCTTCTATCAAAGGTGAGATTTTTCAAGAGTCCAGATGGCCCTAAACCATGGGATCAGTGCTGCTAACGCAGTGATAAGCCAACATACAGACATTTCTCCTATAGCCTACTGCCAGTCTATGCATTTAAATAGGGAAGACATTCCAGTACCTTTGAAAGGGGTCTGTCACCTCTGTACAGCTTGCCTTCTTCAGGAGGGAAATCACTATTTAACACACATAATAAACAACATTTGTGTTAAGGGCCTTAAGGACTCCACAGCATCCTTAAGAGCCTCACCCAGCCCAGTCTGCTCTATAACCCATGATGTGACTTCTATTAATATGTCCTGCACTCACTTAATTGGGTAGAAGGAGAAGCCATCAGCCCAGTGGGTTTGGGGGAGGCTCGCCAGGCTCCCAGGCTGCCATTAATGATGTGAAAAAATCTAATCCACCAACTGAGAGTCAAATTTATTAGTGACATTATGAATGTATCTAGATTAGCGCTCACCTAAATGAAATTCAAAAAGTATTTCAAGACCTCAGCAGAATCCTAGAATGGATTATTCACATGCTTCCTCTTAATATCATAGGTATTTCCTGAGCACCTATTATCTGCAAGGCACAGTGGGGGTCCAGTCTTTGCCCCGAAATAACTCACTTAAGATAGAGTGAAAAATACACTACAAGAGGGGTGTAGGAGGGCTGTGGGAGGCTCAAAGGAAAAAGGCATCATGTCTCTGGGGATGCTGTCATTCCTTCCTTCATTCAGTAAATACTTAAGCCAGGCACGGGAGTGAGCAAAACAGACTCAGTCCTATTGCAACTTTTATTCTGATTTGGGGATATAGATAATAACAACTTGATATATAATATAATATTATATTAAGTAGTGAAGGACTATGAAGACATATTAAGCAGGATAAGGGGATAGAGAGTGATGAGGAGGGGTTACTGCTTTTTATTGAAAAGGTAATCACAAAGGCTTCTCTAAAGATGTGACATTTTGGCAAGGACCTGAATGAAGTGGAGGGGGGTGCATCACGTGCCCACCTGGGGAAGGGCATTGCAGGCAGTGGGAACAGCATGTGCAAAGACAGGAAGCAAGAGTGTGCCTAGGAGCATCAAGGAGACCGGTATGCCTGGGGTAAAGAGGAAAGAGGAGGATGGTAGAAGACCAAGTTGAGGTGGCAGCCAGGGACCAGAACAAGGGCTGTGGCAAGGACTTGGAGTTTTATTCTACGAAGGATGGGAAGCCATGGGAGGATTTTGAGTAAGAAAGTGACATGCTCAGATTGGTGCTTTAAAAGGAGCACTCTGACTGCTGAGTGGAGAATGGAGTGTAGGGAGACCAGTGAGGGGGACTGCAGCAATAACCCAGGCCAGAAATGACGTGGCTTGGACTGAGGTGGTGGTGGTAGAGGCACTGAGAATGGCCAAGGTAGGGATTTGTTGATGCAAGGATGTAGCATGTGAGAGAATGAGAGAAGTAAACTTCAACTGCAAGTTTCAGCCTGTGAGCACCTGGGGGTAGAAGTTTCAGCTTGAGCACCTGGGGGTAGTAGGGGAAGGAGGTGCCCTGTCCCAACATGCAAAACAGGAGGGGCTGGAAAAATGGTCAGGAAAATGGTGAGTTGTGCTCTTAAGGGTGCGCAGTTGTACTAAGCAGAGGTGGAGGGGAGAGAATTCCAGGCGAAGGGACATGCGTCTGCAAAGACAGGCGAGGAGAGGTCTGAATGCTTATGCTGGGGTCTCCGGGCACAGGTGAGCACGTCTATCACTCTGTCCTTGTACCTATTCCACAGCAGGAGGCTGGATACTTGAGAATGGCTAGATGGCATGGGGAAGGAGTGGGCATGGGGAGGGACCCGGGCAGGGGAAAGAACAAACTTCACCTTTTCATCTCTTTGTGATTCACATGTACAACACATTTTTTTTTTTTTTTTGAGACGGAGTCTCGCTCTGTTGCCCAGGCTGGAGTACAGGGGTGCGATCTCAGCTCATTGCAACCTCTGCCTCCTGGGTTCAAGTGATTCTCCTGCCTCAGCCTCCAGAGTAGCTGGGATTACAGGAGCCTGCCACTACACCCAGCTAATTTTAAAAATATTTTTAGTAGAAATGGGGATTCACCATGTTGGCTGAGCTGGTTTCAAACTCCTGACCTCAAGTGATCTGCCCGCCTTGGCCTCCCAAAGTGCTTGGGGGAGTGAGCCACCACACCCAGTCCATATTTTGGGTTTAAAAATGTCTTCACAACTCTTATCTCATTGTCTTCCTTTCCCCCAAACCTTGGGAGGAAGGTAGTAGAATATGTTAATGATGCATATTATCAAATATACATATACTAATATAATAATAGCAATATTGCTATTTCTGAAGGGCAATATGGCACAGGGGTTAGGTGTGTGGGCTCATTAATCTGACTGCCTAGGTTGTGGTCTGCCTTTCGCAGTTACTAGCTGTGTAATCCTAGACAATCCACTTTACCTCTCTGTGCCTCAGTTTTCTCACCTGTTAAATGGAGAAAGTTAAAAATAGTATATATCTCATATGGATATTATAAGGATAACATTATAGGCACTTACATGAGAAAATTCACCTAAAACAGAACAATGCATGTAGTAATTGCTTGATAAATATGATGATGATTATTATTTCTATTTTAGCATGGGGGCACTAATTCTGAGGAATTAAGCACTTAATGAATTCAAACACATTTATTGAGTCCCTTCAATGTGCTAGACAGTGTGTAAGAGTTATAGTTGACAATGCTCAGAGGATAATGAGGGAGACAGGGACAAACTGGATCATTCTTATTTCTGATGTGGCCAAAGTGCAGGCAAAGACATGTCAGGGAAATCATGGGTACACCGAGGAGGGCAGACAGTGTGGGGAGGGGCGTCCTGGGGGAGGTGGCTGTTGAAAGCAGGATATTCCAGGAAACCAGTCTGGATGGTGGTAAGAGGTGGGAATGGGCAGAGGGATATGGGCTCGCAGGGGCTTGCAGGAGCTCACAGGGGCTTGGAAGAATTTGCTGGGGGTGGCAGAAGAGGTGATGAGCACAGTGGAGTCAAGTTTGAGGCAGGGATGAACTGGGACAACAGAGAGGGGCATTGTCCAATTCAGAACCTGAGCTCTCTTGTTCTTTTTTTTAAGGAGTACAGGTGATCCTTAAAGATCCAAGAGTGAATTGTAAGCAAGGGAGGGTTTCAGTTGCCTAAGCAAGTCCTGCAATCAAAGGTTCCAGGTCAGCAAGGCCAAAGGCAACAGCAGGTCCTCATATCCTTTCTGGAGAAGCTCAGAGTACTCAATAGCCCACACCCACTCACTTCTCCCTTCTCACAGGGACACTCTAGTCCATGCCCTGTCTGCCTCCCTCCCTGCCTCCCCTCGCCAGAGTGGCCCTGCACCCAGGCGTGACTCAGTTGGCCCAGATGAACTCTGCAGGCTCCAGCAATGCCATGGTTACACTGATTTCAAAACAACATCTGGAATGAGGCCCTGTGATGTTAGCCTCTCCTCTGGAAACGCCTAATATAAAAATTAAAGAAGAGGAAGTTATATAAACAGCCAACTTTTTTTTTTAAAGCCTTATTGGATGGGTTGTGTTTGGCCCAGAAAAGACTGGGTAAATTAATGCCCCAGGATGTGCCAAAGCGGGGCATGGGCGTGAAGAATCCAAACTAATTAAGCATTTGAATCTGTGTTGTGCATGAAAGTACTGATTAGGGCTGTTTGTTCTGGGGGAGCTTCTAGACCCCTGGAGATGAATTCAAATGGGAGAATGTCAAAAGTCAGGCTTCCTAAGTTAATAAACAAAAGCAAATACAATTTATCAGACTTAGAACTTTGAAAGAAGGAATACAGGGACTTACTGGCTACTCCAGCCCCTGTCTGTTTGCAAATGGGAAGAGTATTTTTAAATGCCCTTTAAGTAGGATGTTAAGGCCAAATGGAAGGCAGCTCAGTTAGAGGGAACGAAAGGTCAAACTCTCCCTCTCCTCTTTCCTCTCTTCCTTCTCCTTTCTTCCTTATTTCTTTCTCTTTCTTCAGACATTGGCAGGGACTTGTTATGAGCTGTCCTCTGGAGATAAAGAAATAGATTTGATATTATACCCTCAGGGAACTTGCAGTCTAGAGAAGGGGGCAGGTGTAAGCATAGTTAATTCTGTCCCTTATCTCTTCCCCAACCTGAATGGCATTCCTTGCTCAGTTTTCTTAAGGAAAGGTCTCAGCCAGAGAATGAGTAGTGGGGGAATTATATCCTACAAAGAGACTTCTAGGTTACCTTTCATTTCCCTAGAATATTCCACAATAATAGGATTTACACCCTTCATTATGGAGCTTCCCTAGAAGGAATGGGTACAGCTAAGATTTCTGTGAAATCTAAGCAATCTTAGAAATCAGCAAATGAGCTCTGGTCAAGCTGACTCTCCTGTCCACCTCTCCAGGAGGCTCAGTATACATGGGTGGCGGACAAAGGTAGGATTCCCTGGAGAGTTAAAGGGCATCAGAGCATGGGGGATGCAGGTGAAGACGGAGGTGAAAATGCAGAGGGAGACAGTGGAGGAAGGGGAGAGAAAGCTGGAGGCAGGAGTGAGAGGGATCACTCCTACATCTCAGAAGTCAAACCTGGCCCCAGATTCACAAATAAATCATTTTCTGGCTGGGCACAGTGGCTCATGCCTGTAATCCCAGAATTTTGGGAGGCTGAGGTAGGTGGATCCCTTGAACCCAAGGAGGTTTTGAGACCAGCCTGGGCAGCATAACAATATAACATAATATAACAATAACATAACATAGCAACATAACATAACAATACCTTGTCTCTGAAAAAAGGAAGGCAAGCAGGCGGGCAGGAAAGGAGAGGAGAGCTGAGGAGACCAGAGGAGAGGAGGGGAGGGGAGGGGAGATCTACCCAAGGTCGGTCTGTCTCTCTCTCTCTCTCTCTCTCTCTCTCTCTCTCTCTCTCTCTCTCTCTCTCTCTCTCCCTCTCTTAAGACAGGGTCTTGCTTTGTCACCCAGGCTGGGATGCAATGGCATGAACATGGGCTCACCACAACCTCAACCTCCCAGGCTCAAGTGATCCCCCCTTTCAGCCTCCTGAGTAGTTGGGACTACAGGCACATGCCACCATGCCTGGCTAATTTTTGTATTTTTTGTAGAGGTGGGGTTTCACCATGTTGCCCAGGCTGTTCTCAAACTTGTGCATTCCAGCAATCCACTCACCTTGGCCTCCCACAGTGCTGGGATTACAAGAGTGAGCCACTCTGCTCGGCCTACCCAAAGGTCATAAAGATATTTCCTCATGTTTTTTCTAGAAGCTTGGTTGTTTTATCTTTCACAATTGGATCTTTAATTCACATTAAATAAATTTTTGTATATGTTGTGAGTTAGCTGCTAACTTTTTTCCTACGTGAATATCCAATGTAGTCAACACCATTTTTTGGAAATCCTGTCCTCACCCCACTGCATAGCAGTGTCATCTCTCTTATAAGTCAAGGATCACATATGTATAGGTCTATTTCTGGTTTCTCTATTCTGATCTATTAGTCTTTTATTTTTCCTATTTTTGCACAGTTCAATTTACTGAAGCTTTCTAATAAGCTTTATGATATTTGGTCATGTAAGTCCTCCACATTTGTTCTTGTTTTTTTTTTTTTTTTTTTTTTTTCTTTTTTTTTTCACATTTGTTCTTAAAACTAGACTTGGTTTTTCCGTTGGAATTTTTATTGGAATTGCTTTGGCTTTATAGATCAATCTGAAGAAGACTGACATCTTTACAGTACTTGATATTCCAGTCCCTTTACATGATATATTTCTGCAAAGTTTGATTGGAGATTTTTGTTGTTGTTGTTTATTTTTCAGCATATCCAATCGTTACCTACCATTTCTGAATAAGCGGAGCTCTATTTCTCCCCTTCCAATTTTTATACTTTTTTCCCCTTTATTTTACAGGCTAAGGCCTACAGTGCAATGTCGAATAGAAGTGGTGATAACAGGCATCCTTGTCTCATTCCTAATCTCAAGGGGAAAGTTTCATTATTATTATGTCTGTACATATGATGTTTGTTGTAGTTTTTTTGTAGCTACCCTTCATTAGATTAAGGAAGTTTGCCTCTGTTCACAATTGGCAGAGGTTTTATTTTGCCCGCCACCCCCACCGCCAACATAAATTGTTGAATTTTGTGAAATGATTTTTTCCTGCATTTATTGAGATGCTCGTATGGAGTTTTATACTTTACTTTTTCATGTAGTGAATTGCACTAATTGACTTTTTTGAATGTTGAAACAACTTTGTCTTCCTGGAATAAACTCAATTTAGCTATGATGTATTGTCCTTTTAATATAACTCTGGATTTGATATGCTAATATTTTGTTAGTAATTGTTGCCCCTTGTGTTTATGAGAGAGATAACCTAAAACTTTCCTTTCTGGTAATGTTTTGGTCTGGTTTTCAAACTATGGGTATTTTGACCTCATGAAATGAGTTAGGAAATACTTTCTCTTTTCCATTTTCTGGAATACTTTGACTTACATTGGTGCTATACTTTTTTAAAATGGTTGAAGAATTCACCTATGAGCCGTCTGGGACTAGAGATTTCTTTTTGGAAAGGTTTTAAATTATCACTGTATTTATTTAGTAGAAATAGGACTATACAAATTTTCAACTTCTTTTGATATCAGTTTTGGTAAGATGCATTTTTCTTCTGAGAATTTGTTTCATTTGAATTTCCAAATTTATTAGCATGAAGTTGTTAATAAAAATCTTATATTTTTACTCAAATTTTGAGATAGTTGTAGATTTACATGAAGTTGTAAAGAATAATAGAAAGATCCTGTGTACCTTTTCCCAGTTTTCCCCAAAAGTAACATTTTGCATAACTCTAGTACAGTAGCACAACCAGCATATTGATTTTGATGCAAACCATTAACGTTACTCACATTTTCTCAGCTTTACTTACATTGATGTGCGTGTGTGTATACTTGTTATTTTTTAGGCATTGGTAAAAACCATAGTGATGTTCATTTTTCATTCCTAATATTGATACATATGTCTTCTCTTTCTGTGTGTGTGTGTGTGTGTGTGTGTGTGTGTGTGTGTCTTGATTGATTCCTAGACTAATTGTTCCATAGTTAAAGAAGAGAATGTATTGCGAATGATTTTAATCACTGGAAATTTGTTGAGAATATATATACATGCATATACACACACACACATATATACACACAAAAAATGTGTATATATGTCTGTGTATGTGTATGCATATATATATCTGTATATACATATATATTTGTTGAGTGCCATCTTCTATATTTGTCTATTAGGTCAAATTCCACAATAACCATTAATTTGCATGAATAGTCAAATAGAGAAGATATTTGTCTACCCATTTCCCCTATGAATAGCTTGTTAGCTATTTTCCCAATCTTTTTTAACTTTATCAATTCCAGCTCTCAATTATTTGCTGAAAGAAGCATGTTAAAGCCTCTCATTATTATTGTAGATTGGTCTGTTTCTCCTTTTAGTTCTGTCAATTTTTGCCTTATATATTTTGAAGCTATACTCTATGTGCATAGACCTTTATAACTTTTTATGTTTTCTTGGTTGATAAATGCTCTTACAATTTCGAAATATTCTTTTGACTAGTGCTGATTTTTTTCTGAAAAATTGTCTGATACTAGTATAGCTTCACCACTATCTTTTGGTGAGTGGTTGCGTGGTATATCTTTTTTCCTTCTTTATCTTCAATCTGTGTTCACATATTTAAAGTATATCACATGCAAGCATCATATAATTATGTTGTTCTTCCTTCAATCTTTGTCTTTAGAATTGTAGGTGTTTACACTATTTACATTTAATATCATTTCAGATGTGTTTGGATCTATGTGTACTCTCTTATTATTTAGTGTCTAATTGTCTCAAGTGTTTTATATTCTGTTTTCTCTCTCATCTTGCCCTCTTTTGGACTAACATAATTTTTACTATTCCATTTCCCCTATGATTAGCTTGTTAGCTATAATTTTTTTACTTTTTTAATCATTAAAATATACAACATACAGTCTTAATATATTAGTCTTATATAAATTTGTACTTTTTACTAGTTCTCAAATAATGCTAAAACCTTAGGACACACAACTCCATTTATACTTGCCCACTTTTTGGTATTATTGTCATGCATTTTAATTCTACATATATTTAAAACTCCAGACTATATCATTATTATTCTATAGAGTCAATATTCATGTACATTAATTTAAATGTTTACATTTTCCATTATTTTTCATTCCTTCCTGCATTTATGTGTTTCTCGGTAAGATCACTTCCTTTCTGCCTGCAGCAGGCTGCCTCTAATACAGGTAGGCCCTAGAATGAAAGTACACATGAGATCTACATGTTAAGTGTCTAAAAAGTTATAAGTCAAGGTAAAATATGTTAAAAATACATGTTCTACCTTCCTACCTTGACAAATATACCTTGATAAGAACTTGGATGGCCAAGTTCAACTGATTTCTTGGACTCCTCAGAGTTTTCCACTGGAAGGTGATGGTGTAGGAAAAGCCATTTCATGGCTCCTGGCTGCCAGCTAGGATTCTCTTTCTTGTACCACTCTCAGCACTGTTCATCACCACTAGGGGCCATAAATGCATGTATGTGAACACCTGTAGTTCTCTAATCACTGCCCCCATGCCCAGTAAACAGCTACCCTGGTACCTCTCCAGCCTTGAACTGTGCATACCAGTGGTGTGATTCTCCATTGATAGCACAGACCCAGAGAAAAGATAAGGTTGGGGGCTGTGTTAGTCCATTTTGCATTTCTATAAAGGAATACCTGAGACTGGGTAATTTTTAAAGAAAAGAGGTTTATTTGGCTTACCATTCTGCAAGCTATACAAGCATGGGACCAGCATCTACTCGGCTTCTGGTGAGGTCTCAGGAAGCTTTTACTCATGATGGAAGATGAAGAGGGAACAGTTGTGTCACATGGCAAGAGAGGGAGCAAGAGAGAGAGAGGAGATCCCAGACTCTTTTTAACAACCAGATCTCATGTGAACTCATGACCACAAAAAGAGCACAAAGCCGTTCATGAGGAATCTGCCCCCAGTGACCCAAACACTTCCCACTAGGCCCCCCCTCCAACACTGGGGATCACCTTTCAGCATGAGATTTGGAGGAGACAAAACATCTAAACTGTATCAGGGGCACAAGCTCTCCTGATGGAGTCTCATGCCTCCCATTTCTCAATTTCTCTCCAGTTGAATGTGAGCAGGTCACAAAGTAGACCTGGAACCCCATGTTTTACGACACGGTGGAGCACAGAACTGAATGAGACTGGGAACGGCACATAATAATGGCTCTATAAATGTTTGTGAAAGGAGTGGCATTATACCCATAAAAGGGTATAATGAGACCACCCTTAAGGCAGAGAGTCTATTCACATGGCCCAAACTTGCATTTGTTTATTTGAATCAACACATGGCTTTACACTGAATATTGCTTTGGGCATTCCCATTGGGTGGGATATGGAGTTACAGGACACTCGATCTGGAAGAAGGACAGCAGCAGATGAGACCGAATGTGTGGGAGGTCCCCACTTCAGAGCTGCCCTCCTAAAAAGATGTGAAATGCTTTATCCACATGAGAATGACCTCCATAGAGTGGAAAATCTTGCTTTCTTTAAAAATTCAAAGTAATTGGTCAGACAGTGTCACCACTCATATAGCATGACTCAGGATTTGATGAGGTCAGATCAGTCGTCTGAATCTCTGGCATGTGCTGTGGTTGGAGAAAAGGTGGTCAAGGCCTTCCTTCAGCAGACAAAATCCTTTGCTTTGCTGCCTGTGAGCAACTCAGCCTGTGGCTTTGGGGCCTGGGCCTTCTTGGCAAGTGGGAAACCCAATCTTTTGGCTGCCTGCCTCTTCCTGCCGCAGAAGAGCGACTTATGGATGCTGAGAGCAGCCACTGAGAGGGAAGCTTAGGGCTCCATGACTCCCACAGAGCCAGCTGTATCCCCTGAGTGTGTGGGAGGATGAGCAGGGAGGCAAGGGTGGTCCATGTGCAGGAAGCAAGGAGGGGCTGCCCACAGGTATGATTAATCTTCACTTGCTGACTGTCTCCCCAATTCAATGTGATTTCTAGTTGCTGTTTTTATTGCCAGAAAACATTTTGTACTATTCCTGAAAGCTAGTTTTAGGAGTTGGCCTTTTGAATTTCATTAGCTCTGGCAGAACTTCATTTGGTTAGTGAAGAGGTGTTAGGTAGAAAAGAAGAGGAGAATAAGGCCGGGCGCGGTGGCTCATGCCTGTAATTACAATACTTTGGGAGGCTGAGGCGGGTGGATCATCTGAGGTCAGGAGTTCGAGACCAGCCTGGCCAACATGGCAAAAATCCTGTCTCTACGAAATACACAAAAATTAGCCAGGCCTGGTGGTGGGTGCCCGTAATCCCAGCTACTCAGGAGGCTGAGGCAGGGAGAATTGCTTGAACCCGGGAAGTGGAGGTTGCAGTGAGCTGAGATCGCAACCATTGCACTCCAGCCTGGGTAACAGAGGGAGACTCCATCTCAAAAAAAGAAAGGAAACTGGGAAGAAGTAGTAAACCATCTACCTTTCCAACTCTATTTCTCAATACGGCCCTTCATTTGTACATTACAACCCATGTAGGCTTCTCCCTGTCCTTCACATATAACCCACTGGTTACTGCCTCCAAGCCTTTGTCCTTGTGGCTCTCTGCCTGGAATATCTTCCTCACTCTCATCTTTATGAACCCAAGTTTTAGTTATCCTCTAAGGCTCAGCTTCAGTGGAGCATCCGCCATAAATCTTTTCCTGATCCTCCTCTTATCCTGCACCCTTAGTTTCCACCATCCCTGCTTGAAACAACAAACAATTAAGAAACTTACATATTCCCATTGAAGAATGGCAACTAGCTGCAGGTAGGAGGAATTTACTGTAACAATTTGTGTTTCCACCCCCAGTTTAGAAGAATGTCTGAAAAAAGGTTTAAGGCTGCATGAGATTCTATACATCACACACATGTATCATAGTTTATTATTTTAAGATCTTCAAAGTATTTTATTAAATATTGAACATATAAAAATGAATTTGTAAGATGTATACACACTCTAAAAAATAAAGATGCCCTATACACCGGTGTGTCAATTATCAAGTTTAAGAAACAAACCTTACCGTTAACTTTGAGATTATTTGAATGTTCCTACCTGATGCCTTTCCATTCTCACTCCTCTCTAAGGTAACCACTTAATTTTGGGTTATTATTCTCTTGCTTTTCTTTATACTTTATTATACCTGTTTGTATATCTGAATGTTTTATTATTTAGTTCCACTTATTTTTGATTAGCATTTACATGGTGTCTATTTTTTATCCTTTTATTTTCAACCTATTTGTTATGTTTCAAGTGAGTTTCTTATGGATGGCATATAATTGGGTCATTTAGAAATTTTTATTCACTCTACCAGTCTCTTTATTTTATTTTTTAATTTTATTTATTTTATTTATTTATTTATTTTGAGACGGAGTCTTGCTCTGTCACCCAGGCTGGAGTGCAGTGATGCAATCTCGGCTCACTGCAACCTCCGCCTCCCAGGTGCAAGCAATTCTCTGCCTCAGCCTTCCGAGTAGCTGGGATTACAGGCACCTGCCACCAAGCCTGGCTAATTTTTGTATTTTTAGTAGAGATGGGGTTTTACCATCTTGGCCAGGCTGGTCTTGAACTCCTGACCTCGTGATCCACCCACCTCAGCCTCCCAAAGTGCTGGGATTACAGGCGTGAGCCACTGCGCCCGGCCTAGTCTCTGTATTTTAACTGGTGTATTTAAGCAATTTATATTTAAAGTAATAACTTGTATGTTAGAACTTAAGTCTGTCATTTTATTATTTGTTTCCTGTTTGTTCCCTTTATTTCTTGTTCCTCCATTTATTTTCTTTTGCCATCCGGTGTAATCCTTGAACATTTTAAAGAGTTCCACTTTGATTTATTTATTATGCTTTTGAGTATATAACTTTTTATAGTTTTCATAGTGGTTGCTGTATATATTACCATATATGCACATAACTTGTTATGCAGCCTATTGGTACTGACATTTTACCACTTCGAGTAAAGTGTAGAAGTCTTACTTATATTTAGATCACTTTACTTTTCTCCATTTCTTAAATATTATTGTTTTAAGTACTTTCTCTATATCTATTGAACACCTCATTAGGTGTTGTTATAACTTTTGCCCCAACCATAAAATATAAGTAAAAAAACTCATAAAGGGAAAGATGATCTATTATGTTTATTTATATTTTTACTCATTCTATTCTTCTTCTTTCCTTTCCAAAGGTTCCAGACATTTTATCATTTTCTTTGTATTTGAAGAATTTCCTTTAGCCATTCTTTAAGGGTAGGCCTGCTAGCAATGAATTCTTTTAGTTTTTTTTTTTTTTTACCTGAGAATATCTTTATTTTCCATCATTCCTGAAGGGTAGTTTCAATAGATATAGGATTTATGGTTGACATGAATTTCTTTATGCTTAAAAAAATGTGTCCTGACTTCTGACCTTCATGTTTTCAGATGTGAAATCTGCTGTCATTTGAATTGGTGTTCTTTTTTTTTTTTCTTTACAGGTAATGTGTCATCTTTTTGTTATTTAAACAAATTTTCTTCATCTTTAGTTTTTAGAAGTTTAATTATGATGTATCTAGTTGTTGATTTATTTGGGTTTATTTTAGTTTATCTTTTCTCACATGACTCGTGAATTCTCAGTTCTTGACATTATAAGTGACTCAATTGTATCTTGGACATTTTGATTATTATGTGAGAAGACTCTTCATCTGACTTAGATCTTTTGTTTTAGTAGGCAGCCACTCTGTTTAGGATTAGCATGTAGTTCTGGCCTACTCTTATGAGCTTTTGTTACAATGGCATTTCAGTGTTCAGAGCCCTTGCAGTGCTATTCTGGTATGCTTCATTTTCTGGCACTACCAGTGGTCTTGCTCAATCCCTGCAGTTCTGTCTACTGGGGTGAAAAGACCTTTCCTGGGCTGCCTGGTACCACTGGGTGACCATCTGCTGCTTAGGTTTGGGGACAGAAAAAACCTACAGGGCCTGGGCCTCTTTTTCTACTAGGTGGAGAGCAGAAAAAAATGAAGCACTCAGCTGATGCTGCCCCTGAAGATGAACTGGACCACTTGCCAGTGCCCCAGTGATAGAGTGGGGCTGAGTTAACCTAGGATTTTGCTGCTGCTAAAGTAGACATATCAGACCACATCTTGGCACCCTGGTTGTGGAACAGAGGCTGGGATTCCCCACTAGGTCTTTGCTGGTCTTCCTCCTTTCCTGGTGTTTTAGCCAGGCTGGCGAGAACAGGCTTGTCTTTGTTTGTTTGTTTGTTTGTTTGTTTGTTTTTGGCTTTGCCTATTGGCAGTTCTGGGTTGCAGGCCTCTCCAGCCTCTAGTTTGGGGTAGATAGTAGATAGAAAGAAAATCCAGGGAACTCACCCTATTGTTGTTTCCCAAGTCCTGAGGTAACTAACCAGTTCATTCTGACTTTCAGAATCTTTATATTGTTGTCTATTAAATAATTCCCAGGGTATTTAGTTGTATTTAGCAAAGAGGAGGAAAGTCAGTCTCTACCATCTTGTCCTGGAATTGGAAGTCTCCGTTCTTCTTATTTGTGAACATGATATCAATGCTATTGCACTGTGATTCCTCTTTGGTAAATTTGTTTATGTTATTCAATATTATGTTCCAGGAATTCATTCATATTATTTCATTTTGTTGTAGTTCATTGATTTTTCTCTGCTCTTGAGTTTTCCATTGTGTGAAAACCACTCAATTTATCCATTCTACTATTGGTGGACGTTTGAGATATTTCCCCTTTCCCCTCACCTACTTTAAATTAGAGACTATACTTCCATGGGCATTCTTGTACATACCTCCAGTGGCATCTGTGCAAGTTCAGTAGAGTATAAATCTAGGTGTGGAAATGGTGAGTCAAAGGGTATGGGAATTTTCATATATACTAGATAAAGCCAAATTATTTTCTGAAGTGGTTATACCAATCTACCCTTCCATCAGCAGGTGTAAGTTTCTTTGTTCCTTTGCATCCTCATCAATCCTTGATAACATCAGATTTTAAACTTTCTCCAATCTCAGGGCAATGAAATTGTTTCTAATTTTAGTTGCAACTTTCATTTCCCTGATTACTAATAACGTTGTACGTATATAAACCTTTTTTCATATTTTATAGAAACTTCAATGTTATATACTCATTCAAACCTTTTTCTATTTTTCTTTTGGCTTGCTAGTCTTCTTCCTTCTTTTCCCAGCTTTCTCTATTTTCTCCCAGCTTTTAATTTGTCATTTTTACTCTTTTAATCGATGAGTAGAAGTTCCTAACTTTAATGTGGGATTTATCAATCCTTTCCTTTATACTTTATGCTTTTGTATCTTATTAAAAATTGTTACCATTTCCTAAAGTAATAAACATTATTTTATAATGTCTATTCTTTTTTGTTGTCTTCTAAACATCTTAGAGTTTTGCCTTTTGTGTTTATGTTTTTAGTCTACCTGGAATTGATGTCTGTGGGGTATAGGGGTACATTATTTTTTTTCCATACAGTTAGCCCATTGTTCCAGCGCCCTCTGTTGAAAAGTGTCTCTTTCCCCACAGATCTAAAGTATTAGTTTTGTCAGAATTCAGGTTTCCTCTTATGAACATGGGGTTGTTTCTAGGCTCTCTATTCTATTCCATTTGGTCAGTTTTTAAGATTTGTATGCCAATAAGCCATTGTCTTAATCACTATATTTTAAAACAAGTATTGTTCTCTTGTATGAAAGTATCTCCTTCCTAGTGTTTATTTAGATATACTTATTTATTTGAGGCCCTTTGCTTCTTGATAAATATTTAAGGATAAGCTTAAATCTAAAAAAAAAAGACTTGAAAGTTTGATACTGCATTAAATTTGTAGATAAATTTGGGGGAGAATTGACATCTATTAAGCCTACCACTTTAATAGACATGATATATTGCTGCATTATTCAGGCCTTATTTAATGTATTTCAGCAATTTTTATAATTTTCTTCAGCAAGGGCTTACATATCTTTCATTAGATTAGTTCCCAGGCATTCCTCATTTTCTGGTGCATTGTAATTCTTATCTTTTTAATAATTCTATTTATGAACTGCTATTTGCTGGCATATGGAATGCAATTTTTAAATAGTTATTTTAATTAAACATTTTATTTTGCAATTATGGTAGATTCACCAAAAGTCACAAGAAAACAATACAGAGAAGTCTGTGTATAATCCAGTTTCCCCCAATGGTAACATCTTGTAAAATTATAGTAGAATATTACTGATGTTGATGCAGCCAGTATATAGAATATTTCCATCATCGCAAGGTTCCCTCATGTTACCTTTATATAGCCACAGTCACTTCCCTCCCAACCCCACCTCCACCTTTTCTCCTATTTTTTCTAGAAGTTTCATAGTCTTACATTATACTTGTAAGTCCATTTTGAGTTAATTTTTGTGTGAAATGTGAAACTTAAACCAAGCTTTTTTTTTTTTTCTCTCCTGTGGATATCCAATTATAGCACCATTTGTTGAAAAAAACTATCTTCCATTGAATTCCTGCTGCATCTTTGTCACATATCAGTTTGGTATATGCTTCAGGCTTATTTCTGTGTTCTCTATTCTATGTATATCTCTTACCAAATATCACACAGTGCTGAATTCTGTAGCTATACATTAAGTCTTAAAATTGGGTAGACTGATTCCGCCCATTTTATTCTTCTATTTCAGTCGTTTTAGCTAATGTAATCCCTTTGCATTTACATATAAATTTTGGAATAATTTTGTCTATATCTACAAAAAGTCTTACTGAAGTTTTGGTAGGAATTGCGTTAAACCAGCATATCAGTTTGGGAAGAATTAATCTTTACTATGCTGAGTTTTTCAATCTATGAATATGGTATGTCTCTGTATTTATTTAGATCATCTTTCATTTCTCTCATTAGTGTCTTTGTAGTTTGTAGCATACAAGTCCTATACATGTTTTGTCAGATTTATGCCTAAGTATTTTGCTTTCTTTTGAGTGATTATAAATGGTATGCATTTTAATTTGGGTGTCCAAATATTCATTGATAGTAGATAGAAATACAATTGATTTTTGTAAGCTAATTTTATACCTATGAATTACTGAAACTCATTAGTTCTAGGCATTGAGTTTTTCTGTGTAGACAACAACATCATCAACAAACAAGGACAGTTTTATTTCTTCCTTTCTGATCTTTATGCTTTTTATTTTCTTTTGTTTCCTTATTGTAGTAAGTAGAACTTCCAGTAGTATGTTGAATGAGAGTGTTGAGATTGGGCATTCTTTCTTTGTCCCCAGTCTTGGTGAAAACGTTTAGTTTTCATTATTAATTATGGTTTTAGCCACAGGTTTTTTGCAGATGTTCTTTATGAGGTTGAAGATATTCTCCTCTAGTCCTAGTGTACTGACAGCTTTTAATCATGATTGGGTACTTAATTTGGTCAAAAAATTTTTTTGCATTCATTGATATGATCATGTGATTCTTCTTGTTTAGCCTATTAATAGAGTGAATAACATCAATTGATTCTTGAATATTGAGCCATCCTTGCATTCCAAGAATAATTCCACTTGGTCATCATGTATAATTCTTTTCATATATTGATGAATTCAATTTGCTAACATTTTGCTTATATATTAGCTATATAAGTATATATATATATATATATATTTTTTTTTTTTTTTTTTTTTTTTTTTTTTGAGGCAAGGTCTTGCTCTGTCACCCAGGCTGGAGTGCAGTGGCACAATCATGGCTCACTGCAGTCTTCACCTCTCAGGCTCAAGAAATCCTCCCACCTCAGCCTCTCAAATGGCTGGGACCATAGGCATGTGCCACCATGCCTGGCTAATTTTTATTTTCTTAGTTTTTTTTGTAGAGAGAGAATTTTGCCATGTTGCCCAGTCTGGTTTCAAACTCCTGAGCTCAAGCAATCCACCTGCCTCAGTCTCCCAAAGTGCTGTTGTTATAGGCATGAGCCACCATGTCTGGCCATGCATCTATATTTATGAAGACTATTGGCTTGTAGTTTTCTTTTTTTGTAAATCTTTGTCTGGTTTTGGTACCAAGATAATATTAGCTTAATAAGATGAATTGGGATGTATTTTCTGCCATTTTCTGGAAAAGACTGTGTACAATTTATGTTAATTCTTTAAATGTTTGATAGAATTCTTCAGTAAAGCCATCTGACCCTAGAGGTTTATCATTTGGAAGTTTTGAAATTACAAATTCAATGTTCTTAATAGTTATAGAACTATTCAAATTATGTTTTTCATATTTGTAGAGTTGTGGTAGTTTGTGCTTTTTGAGGAATTGGTACATTTCATTTAGTACATTTATGTGTGTAGAGTGGTTTGTAGCATTTCATTATTATCCTTCAGAAGTCTTCAGGGTTTGTAGTGATAGCTTCTCTTTTATTTCTGATATTAGTAATTTGTGTCTTCTATTTTTTATTGTTTTAATGTTGCAGTCTTGCTAGAGGTTTGTTTCATTGATTGTCTCTATAAAAAATCTTGTATAGCTTTTTTAGTTGTTGTTGTGGGCTTTACATTATATAGACATAACTCATTATAGTCTACTAGTGATCATTTTACCAATTCAAGTGAAGTGTAGCAAACTTATTTCCCTTTACCTACCTCGTTTATGCTATAATTGTCTTAAAATATTTCCTTTACATACACTTAAAACCACATCACAGTGTTAACATTTTTTGCTTCAACCATCAAATACAACTTAGAAAACTCAAGAGAAGAAAAGTCTATTGTATTTACTCATATTTTGTTTGCCATGTGTTTTTCCTTCCTGACGTTTTAAGATTCTTTTTGTTTGTTTGTTTGTTTTCCTTCTGTTTCGTGAATGTGCTTTAGCTGTTTTTTTGGGATAGTTCTGGTGGTGACAAATTCTATTCATTTTCCTTCATCTCAGAATCTCTTAATTTCTCTTTCATTTCAGAAAAAAATATTTTTTGCTACATAAAGGACCTTAGGCTGACAATTTTTTTCTTCCATTACTTAAAAATATACCACATCCTTCTGTCCTCTTTCAGATAAGAAATCTACTGTCATCTGAATTGAGTTTCCTTTATAATTAATGTGTTATTTCTTTCAGCTTGTTTTTAAGATAATTTTATGTGTCTAGTTTTTAAAGTTAAATTATAATGGGCTTTTATGTATGTTTCTTTGGATTTATTGTTTGGAATTCTCTAAGCTTCTTGAATCTGTAATTTCATCTCTTTTCCTAAATTTGTGAAGTGCTCAGCCATTATTTATGAATCCCATTCTCTTTCTCTCTCCTTCCACAACCCTATGACACAAATGTTAGCTCTTTTGTTATAGTATCACAGATCCCTGAGGCTTGGTTCATTTTTTTCCCAGTCTATTTTTCTCTGTCTTGTTCAGATTGAGTAATTTCTGTTATTCCGTATTCTGATTAATTGATTCTTTCCTCTGTCCCCTGAGTTCATTCCTTTAGTTTATTTTGATAATTATATTTTTTAGTGATAAGGTTTCCACTTGATTCTTCATATCTTCTATTTATTTGTTGAAACTTTCTTTTTCATTGTTTTGAGCATGTTTGCAATTGCTTATTTAAAACATTTTATGACAGCTGCCTTAAAATCTTTGTCAAATATTTCTATATTTTCTATCATCTCAGTGTTGGCATCTATTGATGGTTTTTCTTCTATCCTGTTCAAAATATTTCTGGGGTTTGGTATGATTAGTAATTTTCAATTGAATCCTGGACTTTTAAAAATTGTTATGAGGCCCTGGATCTTATTCAAACCTTCCATTTTAGCTGCCTTTGACATTATTCTTGCGAGTGTGGGGAAGGGGCCACCATTTGTTACTGCCAGGTAAAGGTAGAAGTCCAGCTTCCCCATTCGGTCTTTGTTGACACCCAAGGTGAGGGACTTCTCATTAATGTTGTATAGAGATGTGATTTACAGTTCTCCAGATGTTTTACACTAAGGCTGTGGGTGAAAAGGGCTTTTTGCCGTATGGCAGGATGAAAGTCCCATCGCTCTACTCAGCCTTCTCTGACAGTACCCCAACGGCCGGGTTGGAGTAAGTTGTTACTACCTGGGAAAGATGGAAGTCTAGCCACTGCTGGCATGGGTGGGACAGGGCCCCATTTTTCTTTGGTGGAGTGGAGCAGTTATTGTCTAATGTTTTCTGTCTCGCTGAACAGTCCCTTCATGGTCTTTTGGCTAGAGAGATCAGACTTTTGTTTTGGCTTTTTTTTTTTTTTTTTTTTTTTTGCCTGTACCTACTGGCAATTCCAGATTGCCAGCTGCAATTCTGGAATACATGAGGCAAAAGAATTCCTAGAGAAGTCATCTTGTCATTCCTTGGGTACCAAGGTTCCTATCTGATCTGTCTTCTTGCTACCTTTCAGAGTCTTCTTATGTTTGTTTAACATCAAATATCTAGAGTTTTTAGTTGTACTTACTGGGAGAAATAGGGAAAAGTCTGTCTACTCCATCTTCCCAGAGTGGAACTGCAATTTATTTTTGTTCATTGTTGTTATATTCAGCATCTTCAGGCTCTTTGCAAATCTTTTATCTATAGATTTTATTTTCTACATAATCATATCATCTATGAATAATAATGGTTTTGTTTCTTCAAACCACCTTTCTTTTAATTTTTTACAAGCCTGTAAAAATTAAAGAAACAGAGTGGTTTTAACTCTTTCCGCAAAGAAGTTTGCCACCCTTCTAAAATGCGAGAGTTTTATGAATTTTAACATATGCAGGGTCGTGGAACCACCACCACAATCAGGATACTGAAGAGTTGGTTCTGTCACCTTCGAAAGTTCCCTTAGGCTGCCCTTTTGTCCTCCAACCATCTCCCCACCCCTAACCCCTGGCAACCACTTACTTTTCTATTCTCTCTTTCTTTTTCTGCCTTTTTCAGATAGCGTATAAAATGAATACATACACTTTGTGATCTTTTAAGATAATTTTTCTTCTTAATCTGTTAAAGTGGTAAATGATTTCATTTATTTTCCAGTGTTCAACAAATCTTTGAATCCCTGGATTCAGTCGACTATGATTTTATTTGTAATTTTTATATTCATGAGTGTGATGGCCTTGGAATTTTTCTCCTGTACTGGTTCCAAGGTTACACTGACCTCACACTGATACCATGCTCATCTCTTTTACTGATATCAATGTTTTCTTTTTACTTGCCAGGTAACTAAGTTTGCCACCCTTCTAAAATGTGAGGTGTGGTTTCTCATTATCTACATTCTGGAATTCGTATTCTAGGTTTGGAATTATTTATTTCTTCAATGATTTATAGAACTTACTGTTTAAAACCATCTGGTACCAGTGTTTTCTTTGTGGAAAGAGTTAAAACCACTCTGTTTCTTTAATTTTTACAGGCCCCTAAAAGTTTCCTTGTCTTTCTTGAGTTGATTTTGATACAGTTTATTTTCCTCAGAACTTTCTCATTTAATCTAGTTGTTCAAATTTATGCTATACAGTTATTTGTAATATCTTCTTGTCATCTTTTAATCTTTACTGTATTTGTAATTGTGTCCCCTTTCAACCCTCATTTTATTTGTGTTTTCTTTCTTTTCTTTTCCTTTTTTTTTTTTTTTTTTTTGATCTTGAGTGACCTTGCTGGAGCGTCATCAGTATTTTAAAATCTTTTCACAGAACCAGCTTATAATTTTGTCAACTCCCCTATTATACGTGTATTTTTATTTAATAAATTTTGTCCATATCTTTATCGTTTTCTCTACTTTCTTTGATGATTAGCCCATTATTTTCAGCTTTTCTTCCTTTTTAATATAAGCACTTGAGATAACTTTTCCTGTAAGCACTGTTTTATCTTTAGCTGCATTCCACAAGATTTAATATGTAAAATTTTATTATCATTCAGTTCTAAATGCCTTTAAATTTCCAGTATGATTTCTTCTTTGACCCATGAGTTATTTGGAGGTATGTTTCTTGATTTTCAAATATGTAGTTATTTTCCAGTTACCTCGAAGACAAAAATCAAAACCTTTTTCTTTTCGAGTAACTACATATTCACAAGAAGTTGCAAAGATAGTACAGAGAAATCTCATGTACCCTTCACCCAGTTTTCCCCATTGGTTCCCTCTTACATAACTATAGTAAAACATCAAAACCACAAATTTGACATTGCTATGGTGTGTGTGTAGTTCTATGCTATTTTATCACTTGTAACCTCTACTTCAGCGAAGATACCAAAGTGCTCCCTCGCCACTAAGATCTCCCTAATGCCACCCTTCAGAATCACACCCCACCCCTCTTCCCACCATCCTTAACCTCTAGCAGCAACTCATCTGTTTTCTCTCTCCCCAGTTAACATTTTTAAGTGCCTTATAATTAATTGTGGTGTTGTCAGAAAGCATGGAGTGGGTCATTCCAGTTATTCAGAATTGTTGAGAATTATTTGATGACCCCGTATAAGATTATTTTCATATTTTGTTTATGTTTAAAGAGACATTGTATATAGCTATTAACCTTACTGCTTTTTGTCTGCTTGATCTATCAGTTTCTTAAGGAGTCGGTTAAAAATCTCATGCTAGATTTTCCTTTTAGTTATTTCAGCATTATGAGGCTATGTTATAAGGTGCGAACATTTAGAATTGTTATATATTCTTTATGATTGAAAGCAGTTATAATTTATATCCTGAGTTTATCTCTATTATTTTTGTTTGAATCTACCTTGTCTATAAAGTGGTACTAGCTTTAATTTTATTAGCAGTTGTCTGAGCTATCTACCCACCTATCTGTCTATGTCTGTATCTATCTACTTCTATCTAGTTTTTATTCTTTTGTTTTCAACTACACACACACCTACTTATGTATGTGTGAATGTGTATGTGAATGACTTTTTCTTTTTGAACTGTTTGTCTTCTTTTATTTTACCTGTATATTTCTTAAATGGTTTATGGTTGGATTTACAATGTAAATCTGTCTTGACAATCTTTGCTTCTTAGATGAATCTCTTTAAAATTATTTTTATTATTATATTTAAAATTATTAAAAATTATCTTTAAAATTATATTTATCTTTAAAATTATATTTAACCTCTTAAATTATAAGTAAAATTATTTCATGTTTAATACTTATTCCATTTTCCCTGTTTTATTCTCTGCTTTCTTATCTTTTTATTGATTATATTTTCTCATTCCCTTTCTCCTCCTCTATTGATTCTGTTTCTAATTCTATTTCTGTGATTTTTTTTCTTTCTTTCTTTTTTTTTTTTTTTTTTTGAGGCAGAGTCTCACTCTATCACCCAGGCTGGAGCGCAGTGGTGCAGTCTCCATTCACGGCAAACTCCACCCCCTGGGTTCAAGCCGTTCTCCTGCCTCAGCCTCCCAAGTGGCTGGGATTACAGGCGCCCACCACCACACCTTGCTAATTTTTGTATTTTTAGTAGAGTTGGGGTTTTGCCATGTTGCCCAGGCTGGTCTTGAACTCCTGAGCTCAAGTGATCTGCCCGCTTCTGCATCCCAAAGTGCTGGGATTACAGACAGACATAAGCCACCGCACCTGGACCTATTTCTGTGATTTTATGGTGAACTCAGAAAATTTGGCATGTATATGAAGGTTTTCAAAGTGCAAAAGTTATTAATTTTTACTTTTACCCTCTTCCTGAATAACAGAAAAACCATTGAATATTTTCACCCCAATAGTATGTTTTCCTGGTTCATATCCTTTTGTTAATAGGTAAATTGCTCCATTTTTATTTGTAAAACCATAACATATTATTATTACTTCAGTCACTTTTTGTTTAGATTTACCTGAATATCAACTCTTTCTTTTAATCATCATTCTTTGCCTCACAGGCCTTCATCTTGGGTCACTTCTCTTCTTTCTAAAGAAAAAAATATTTTTGGAATTTCTTTTAGTGAGAGTATATTGGTGGCAAACTCCCTTGGGATTTTTTTTTTCTGTCTGTAAAGACCTTTATTTTACTCATTTTTGAAGATATTTTAGCTGGTATACAATTCTATGTTGATGATTACACTGAACTAATCATTACACTGCTATATGACTTATACAATTGCTGTTGAGAAATGAGCTTTAAGTTTGATTTTTGCCCTTTTGAAGTTAATCTGTCTTTTCTCTCTGGCTGCTGTTTTAAAATCTTCTATATGTTTTAGTGTTTTGCAGTTTTGCTAAGAACTATCTAGATATGCTTTTTTAATTTATCTTATTTGGGATTTGTTGGGTTTCATGAATTGATGCATTTCTTCAGGACTGAAAGATTTTTAATAATTACGTGAAGTATAATTCTACCTTATTATTCCTATTCCCTTCTTGTGGAACACTGATTAGATGTTAGGCTTTGTCACTCTATCTTACATGTTTCTTTACCTCTCTTTTATGTTTTCTTTATGTTGCCATCTGAGTATTTTGTTAGATATATATTCCAATTCTTTCATCCTCTCTTTAACACTGTCTAATACACTTTTCATCCATCTATTTAATTTTTAATATGAATAATTTTTTTAAATTTTGTGCTTCTTTTTCAAGTTGGCTGGGAAGCCTTATTTTCTCTCTTCTCAAATTTCTCAGTCACTTCTTTTTTGTTTTAAAAATATTAAATATGTATTGTATTCTGTGTCTGCTCACTCCATAATTGGAAGTCTTCGCAGGTCTGATTATGGTGTGTTGCTCCTTGTAGTTCTCTCTCTTAGAATCTTGTTTTTTGTTTTGAGACAAAGTCTTGCTGTGTCGCCCAGGTTGGAGTGCAGTGACGTGATCTCGGCTCACTGCAACCTCTGCCTCCTGAGTTCAAGTGATTCTCATGCCTCAGCCTCACGAGTAGCTGGGATTACAGGCATGAGCCACCACTCCTGGCTAATTTTATTTCTTTTTTATTTTAAATAGAGATGGGGCTTCACCGTGTTGGTCAGGTTGTCTCAAGCTCTTGGCCTCAAGTGATCTGCCCACCTCAGCCTCTCAAAGTGCTGCGATTACAGGTGGGAGCCACCACACTTGACCTAGGACCTTGTTTCAATGTGTGTTTTATCTTATGTTTTATTTTGCTTTGATTTTTTTTTCTGTGACAGCTCATATGTTTTGTCATCTTGTGGGGAGTTTTGTGACTGAAGTCAAAGCTGGTTCCTGCAGAGAAGATTCAAATTTGTTTCTGCCAGGTATTGGGGCACCACCAGCCTGGAATCATTTTAAACTAAATTCTTATCTAGAGGCTTTAAAAAGATGTCCATATGTATTAATTAGGGTTGCCAACTCTTGAAAAGGCCATCTGGTAATGATTATTCCTCTGGGGGGAAGATTTTCCTCCTTCCATTCAGGGTCATTTCCAGATTAATTGTTTTTATGCATTTCCTGAGGGAGGGGATTAATTTATTTCCAATTCAAACTTAAAATGAAGATATAATCCTTTGGGGCTCCCTTTTTATCCAAGAGAAGTATCCTGTTAAACTCTCTTTCCTAGGAAGGGACTGGTATTTCTCTTCTCTTCCCAATATCCCATAAGGCTATGAAAGACAAAGTTCAAGTTCAACCAGTTCATCAAATTATCTCAGAGCAACCTCCAGCTTCTGGGCTCTGCTTGTTTCTCAGAAAAACTATGGTACAGCTTTTATTTACTTTTTGGCCTCCAGGTATTCCTTACCCATTTGCTATTTTGTTGATACATTTACATCCCATGCAACCTTTCTACTTGTTTTTGTTTTTGTGTTTCTAGAGACAGGGTCTCTCTCTGTTGACTGGGCTGGGATGCAGTGGTGTGATCATACCTCACTGCAATCTCAACCTCTTGGGCTCAAGTGATCCTCCCACTTCAGCCTCCCAAGTAGCTGGTACTACAGGTTCGTACCACCACACTGGCAAAATTTTTAAAAACTTTGTAGAGATGGATCTCACTTTGTTGCCCAGACTGGTCTTGAACTCCTGGCCTCAAGCAATCCTCCAACCTTGGCTCTTTTCCTTTTATTTAGCAGAAGGATCCACTGTACTACCAGACATAGAAGTCTCCTGTCATGACACCTTTAGTTATTCTCCTATCATTGAATGTCCCCCTCCATGTTTTCTATTACAAACAATGTGATGATGAACATCTTTGTATAGACATCTTTGTGCACCTTGTCCAGTTAGTTTCTATAATAAATTTCTAGAATATAAAAAGAAAGCGACAGAACTGAGGAATATTTGGAAAATAGCTTGGCACTGCTTGTAGACTAACTAGATTCTTAGGGCTCTTGATAGTCATTGCATATATTACTTTGCTTACTCCTTTCAAAAATCCCACTGGAACTAGCATAATGGAAACTCTACTGAGAGTCATTTCTATTAAGTAAATAAAAATATAGACACTGTTTCTGGAAAAAAATAGCCAATTATTTTAATATTACCTACAGTTTTTTTTCAAGAGGAACTTCTCCCAAATTATTAACAGAAATAATTTCTTAGTAACATAATGCTGTAATGTGTTTGGAAAAACACGTAAGATGAGTCAAGATGAAGAGCAATGAAAAACTGGTCCTATCAGGTTTGAAAACAACTGTAAACAACTATGGATATTTTAATCCTTCCTAGGGTCTGATTGGTGGAGAAGTCCATGGTTTTCTCAGGAGACAGCTATTTGTCTGGGGACATCACTACAAAGGTTCTGTAAATCAATTCTAAATTGATTCCAGAAGGATGAAGGAGAGAATGGATGGGTAACTATACAAACAGCAGGAAATACCAGGATTCACTGGTAGGAAGTGGACTAACAAAGTGCAATGGAGATTTGGGGCTATCTGGGTAGTGTCAGAGGAGAAGGGATGTTGAATGACATACCAAGGGGTTTGGATTTGGACTTGAATTCGTGAAAGACAGAGCCATTAGTTTTAATCAGAAAGTTTCATGGGTAGCATTTGCATTTTTATAAAATTATGCTGGCAACAAGGTGCAGAGGAATTTAAGGGAGAAAAGATTAAAGGCAGGGAAATTAGGAATAGATGAGTGAATATTCTATTTTTTAATGGTTTTATTAAGATATTAACTCACATACCACACAATTAAACCATTTAAAGTGTAATGTTAAATGGTTTTTAGTATATTTACAGAGTTGTACAACCACACCACTGTCTAGTTTTAGAACATTTTTGTCCCCCGAAAAAGAAACCTCCTGCCCATTAGCTGTTACTCCTTATACCCCTCATTCCTGCCCGATCCCTAATTACCCACTAATCCACTTTCTATCTATAGATTTGCTTATTCTGGACATAATATAAATAGAATTATACAATATGTGGTCTCTCGTGACTGGCTTCTTTCGTTTCATTTAATGTTTTCAAGACTCATCCATGTTGTAGCATGTATCAGTTCATTCATTTTAATTGGCAATCTTCTATTATATGGATATATTCCATTTTATTCATCCATTTATCAGGTAATGGACACAGGTTGTTTCTATGTTCTGGATATCATGAATAATGCTGCTTTGAACTTTTTTGTACAAGTTTTTGTGTGGTTTTATGTTTTCATTTCCCTTGGGTATATACCTAGGAATGGAACTGCTGCATCATATGGTAACTCTATACTTAACTTTTTGAAAAACTGACACTGTTTTCCAAACCCCCTGCTCCATTTTACATTTCCATCATCAATGTAAGAGCATTCCAATTTCTCATATCCTCCTTACACTAGCAGGTATAAAGTGGTTGTGATTATAGCCATCCTAGTGCATGCGAGTGGTATCTCATTGTGGTTTTGATTTGCATTTCCTTGATGGCTAATGATGTTGAATATCTTTTTATGTGCTTCTAGTCTCTTGTATATCATTTGAAAAAATGTCTATTCACATTTTTTGCCTATTTATAAAAATTAGGTTATTTGTCTTTTTATTTTTGAGTGGTAAGCATCCTTTGTATACTCTAGATACACAAGTCCCTTATCAGATATATGATTTGCAAATATTTTCTCCATTTCTGTAGGTTGTTTTTTCACTTTCTTGATGGTGTCCTTTGAGGCACAAAAGTTTTAAATTTTGATGAAGCTCATTTATCTTTTGTCATTTGTGCTTTTTGTATCGTATTGAAGAAGCCTCTCCCTAACCCAACCCAAGATTTACTCCTATATTTTCTTTAAGACTTTTATAGTATTAGCTCTCACATATAGATCTATGATCTATTTTGAGGTCCTTTTTGTGTATGGTGTGATAGAGGAGTCCAGCTTCACTCTTTTGCATGTGAATATCTGGTTGTCCCAGCACTATTTGTAAAATATATTTTTAAAATAGTTTTTCTATACCCCCTAGGGCATTGTATTAATAATAGTCCAATCTAAAACAAATATCCTGAGCTATGCCATTGGCAGTGGGAATGGGTGTGCTGGGGAAGGTTGAGAAGGTAAGATTATAAGGACATGGGAACTGCAGTCATGCAGGGGTCGGAGAGTAAGAACTTGAGAAGTTTTAGATTTCTGGTTCCCAACCTTCCCCTCCATATCAGGAGATCTGTGGCCTCATCATCCCACATGACATGTGGCCATCCCAGAACCAATCTGCTGGGGCCTACTTGTTTATCCTCATGACTGGAGGATCAAAGCCTGTAGCCGTATGATCAATTCAACCACAGGAAATAAGCCTCAATCAGGAGGACAGTTGAATTCTATTTTGTGGTTCTCTTAGACTGGAGCAGCTATGGCATCTGAGTTCAAAGAGAAAATGGTAAGGTTTGGATGGAAGGGGAATGCAGTCAGCCAACTCCAGAAGCATCAGGCTTCTGTCAGTAATGCCAGTGATGTCAGCCAGGGCTGGCTACATAAAAAATAAACACTCCTAACAGAGCAATGGAATTGTCATGATCTTTGGGGAGAAGTTTAGGCTTTGGAATCACCTTGTTTGCAGGACACAATGCCCCAGAATTCTCCATCTTCATTCTGGGTCCATTCCTTGGTTGCATGAGAATCTTGTTTGTTTTTGTTTTTTTCCCCATTTCTTGGAGTTGACTGTTTAGCCCTAGCAGTCACATGACCAATCCTAACTTTGGAAAAAATATTTAAAGAGTTCTCTGGACAGTTGACCCCATTTCTCGCTCAGTTGCCATGGGGACTGGCAGATGGAGAGACTGCTACCCAGGTAATTACGGGGTGTATCACCCACAGAACCTCTGCCCAGGGCCACAGTCTCTGATGAGAATAGGGAAAATGTGTTTAGAAATGATTTTGACAGCCCCTGACCTCGATGACAAATCCTCAGCTCTGACAGCAGCCCCACCTTGAGAGCAGAAACAGAAGAGTTCTGTTCTGTGTGCTGGGAGGGAGTCACACTGTGCAGACGTTCGTGGGGCTCCTACAGAGAATCCTTTGATGAGAAACCTCTCCACCCAGGACATACTTGCCAGAGAGAGACCAGATGCTTTGTTCTTATGTAAGATGTTCTGACATGTGATCATTTGAGAGAGGTGCCCTTTAAACATAACCATCAGTTACTATTAAAAGTAAAGAGCTGAAAGTGATTTTAGAGATTGTTTAGTTCACCCCTTAGCTTTACTAAAGAGGAAACTGAGCCCAGATAATTGACAAGCTCAGAGTCATGAGAGAGTTAGTGCTGCTGGTCTCATGACCCTTTCCCTACGACTCATTTCTGATGAAGAAACTGTTTAGCTTGAACAATAACTTGAAATAGTCCCAGAGTATAGATGAGTACTAGACCCTTGTTGGTGTCGAGAAAACAGAAGGTCCAAAAATGTGTGCACTGCCTCTGTTTCAGGAACCTTTAGGAGTCATATGGCTTTATATGTGTTTCATAGGAAATTGCTACTTAGACCTCAACTTGGGTCGAGATAGAACATTTCTATTCTCTCCTATAGTAGCCATCTAATGAGCCACTTCACACCACGGCCATGTTGAAGTGAAGCACATCAATTTCACAAAACTGTCAAAGAACTTGATTATAGCCTAGTGAGATACACCTTACTGGAGCCTCCAGCTACTTCAGAGACTGGCTGCATGGCAGTGGGAAGGGAACAACCTTCTGTCATCTGTGTCTGAGATGGCTTTGGTTGGAGGATACAGACTTGTGAAGGAAGGAGAAGGACTCATCTGCATAGCCTTGCGCATGCACAAGAGGCTACACCTCCCTGCATGTGGAAACTGAGATTGCTGTTCCCAGGTGCCATGGAAAGAAGAGACTGAGCCACTGAAATGTGGAGAACTGAGGGGCCAAGTGGGGACCCAGTCGGTTCAGTGTCTTTTGGATAAGGCCTTCTACAGCCAACATTGAAACCCCCAGAGAAAGCTTTCCCTCTAACACGGCATTAAGTATTTACAGCTAATCTGGGTGGGCGGGGCAGGGAGAGGCTCCACTTCCTATGATTCTCCTGCCATCAATTGGCTTTACAGGCCAGGCAATTTCCAACTGTGCCTTGGACTCAGGACTTACAAAGAGGATTAAAAGAAAGATGTTTAAAAATAAGCAGGCTTTAAGTCTACCAATGTGACAATTGAAATAAATGTAAAAGTAATCATTTATTTTTGGTTTGATTCTAAAAGTAGTATATTCTCTCTATGGAAAATATAGAAAATACAGAAACATGTGAAAAAATAGTATTCATAATCCCATCACCCAAACCCACTCTTGCTAATTCATGAGAGCAAGACCTTGTGTTTCATGTCTGCTGTCACATCCTCAGTACTTGGAACAGTGCCTGGTACAGAGTAAGTGCTTAATAAACATTTGTTGAATGAATGAGTGTTACTGTTTTGGTATACTTATTTCCAGCCTTTTTGCCCTTTTTCTATGTATATTTTACATGATTGTAGTCAGTCATCATCATTAGATAATATCTTTTTTTAACTTACTATGATAACACAGGTATACCTATGTCACAACTCTTTACAAACTTTTTTTTTTTTTTTTTTTGAGACAGAGTCTCGCTCTGTCACCCAGGCTGAAGTACAGTGGCAGGATCTTGGTTCACTGCAACCTCTGCCTCCCAGGTTTATGTGATTCTCCTGCCTCAGCCTCCCAAGTAGCTGGGACCACAGGTGCATGCCAACATGCCGGCTAGTTTTTTTGTATTTTTAGTAGAGACAGGGTTTTGCCATGTTGGCCAGGGTGGTCTTGAACTCCTTGAACTCCTGAACTCCAGTGAACCCCCCAATTTGGCCTCCCAAAGTGCAGGGATTACAGGTGTGAGCCACCGCACCCAGACTCTACATTTTTAAAGGTGCTTAGTATTCGATGTATTGTGTACACATCATTTACTTATTTACGCTCATGCAGCTAGATATTTGAGATAAAATACAAATTTCAAAGATCCTTTGCACATAGGGCTTGCTCCTCATGGATAAGTAGACCAACTGGCTGTTTTACTAGGCTTCCTTATGCTCAATGGACCCGAAAAAATTAATAAAATCACATTTTATTTTTTACTTTCATAGTCTTACTGGATTACATAAAGAAGTTTTCACTTCTCAGTGCCAGAGGGAGGTCTTGAAATTAGAATCAGGACATTACCTTCTCAATCTACTGTAACTAAGAAATATCTTTTGCATATTGTGTTTTATGAAGCATTGAATTCAGAGAACGACTCATTATGCTAAGTTCTGGCAATACAGAGTCTCAAGAATTCAACTGAACTCAACTACCTTCTCTATAGTCACTGCTTTCTCCCCTTTAAAAGAATTCCCTGGTTAGCCTGGTTATAGAAGGTAATTTTGTCCAAGTTAATATAGCACCATCTGCTGCTGAAAAGGAGTCCTTCAGGATGAGTTCTCTAGTTTTAAACATTGACTTGTTTAAGAAATAAAAGGGAATTGACATGTGGTTTCTTGCAGGATCCCCTTGTGTCAGAACTGGAAACAATCTTTTTCAAAAAGACTGAGTGGACTTCTGGCTCCAGTTGGCGACAGAGTACACTTGATTAACTCCTCCACCTGTTAGAAATTTCTATCAAAATTCAAAAGGAATATACAAATAGGGAGAAATGCATGTCAGAAACAGGAAACCATGGAAAGGGGCCAACACATTCTGGAACTCATGAGAACTTTCTGCACGACAAAGTGCAGGTGAGATTGGATTGAGGGAAGGGCTCATTAGCCTGCCATTGACCACATAAGAGGGAAAAGCCAAGGGAATGAGGGATTCCAGCAGAGCCCCTCAATACCTACTAGCTCACAGTGGCAGGGGCTGGAGCTGAGGGTGGGTTATTTGGCACACAGCGAGAGGCAAGCATAGATCCTCCCTCTGCTCTGGAAAATGCACCAGGTGCTGGGTTCTGCAAACCCTTGGCACATGAAATTAACCAGGCATTGCTAAGCCTGGCTTCTAAGAAATGCAGTTAAGTCAGTTAGGATAGAGTTATAATAGAGTGTCAGTGTCTCCAACAAACTATACCCTGAAACACTAAGTCCCAGAAAGCATTTAAGCCATCTAGTTTCCAAGTTGAGTAACCAATATCCAAAGATTCTATACTCAGCCAATCATTCACATGTGACAGCCACAGAAAGACATCCCTAGACATGCAGATATTCAGAGAGCTTTCCTGAAAGAAAACACACACACAGACACACACACAGATGTACACACACACAGAGCATGTGCACACACATACAAGAATTATGGTAGAGTAATAAAACCAATATAACTCAAGAGTTAAGTGAAGATCATTGTGGCTAACAAAGTTACAAAATAGAATAACCAGAAAACAGCTTCAGGAAGAGAAATAAAGTAATTAATACCATCATCCTCATTATCAGTCTCTATCCCTATACCCATCCCTAAAATCTCAGGATGAGGAGAGGGAAGAAAGTAAAAGTTGTCTCAAAATCTCATCTTAGATGAGGGAGAGTCATGTTTTCTGTTTCATTACTGACCCTGGTATGGAAATGAGTCCAAGTATGTTGTTTAATATACTGCTTACATACTCAATACTATAAAATATTTTCTAAATTATTAGTATAAAAAGAGAGCAAAGAAAATTTGATTGTCTAGTCACGATGACTCACGCCTGTAATCCTTACACTTTGGGAGGCTGAGGTGGGAGGATCACTTGAGCCCAGGAGTTTGAGATCAGCCTGGGCAACATGATGAAACTCCGTCTCTACAAAAAATACATAAACTAGCTGGGCATGCTGGCATGCATCTGTAGTACCAGCTACTCAGGAGGCTGAGTGGGAGGATCTCTGGAGCCCAGGAGGTCAAGGCTGCAGTGAGCCGAGATCACACCACTGTACTCCAGCCAGACAACAGAGCACCACCCTGTCCTGACCTGCTCTCTCTCTGTCACTCGCGCACGCGCTCTCTCTCTCTCTCTCTGTCACTCGCTCTCTCTCTCTCTCTCTATATATATATATTTGTGCATATACGCACACACAACATGTGCACACACACACAAGGATTATGGTAGTGAGTAATAAAACCAATATAACTCAAGAATTAAGTCAAGATCATTGTGGATAACAAAGTTATAAAATAGAATAACAATCAGAAAACTTTCAGAAAGATAAAATAATTAATACCGTCATCCTCATTATCAGCCCATATCCCTACACCCATCCCTAAAATTCCAGGATGAGGAGAGATATATAATAAATTAACATATATATATTTGATTGATACAGCAAGGTAGAAAAAGGATAAGAGAACCATAAGCAAGTTTAACAATATTGATTTTTAAAAGCCCTAAATTAAATATTTGCATATAGTAATAAGCAATATAGTAAAATCATAATACCCTTAATAATGCATGGATAGTTCAATATTAAGAAATCCATTTATATAACATTCATTCCGCAAATAGTTGCAAGTGCCTGTTATGTGCCAGGTATGCCAGAACAATGTAACTTGCTCGATCTTTCTCTCTAAAACATACCTTCCAGGCTCCCTATCCACATTGCTCTCTAGTTCTTTTCTTCAGAGCACTTATCATTCTCTGTAATTATCTTTCACCTTTATTTTGCTTGTTTATTGTCAGTCATCTTTCACTAAAATGCATTTTCTCCAAGATCAACATCCTTGTCTGTCTTGGTCACAGCTATGTGCACAATGTCTAACAAAGAACTTGACATCTAATAGCTGAAGGATTCATTCAATTTGTGTCGCATTAGTTTACTATTAATGTAATCTATTCATTCAATATTTGTAATTAAACAAATGAATGTATGTCTATGAGTGAAAGGATGATGGTGATTCTAAATCCCTGCTCTTATAGTACTTATCATTTCAGTAGGGGAGACAGATAATCTGAGTACTTCTATGGTCAGTGTCAAAATCCAATTTTGCTAAGCACAAGTTTTCTATTCTAACTTGCTGAATAAAAAGACGGCAATTGTTTTGCAGGAATCTTCCACAGCTTCCTCTCGAGAAAAGCCTGGAAAACTAGAAGCACAAAGTAGTAACTTCCTGTTTCCTAAAGCCTGCCACCAAAGGGCACGCAGCAACTCAACCAGTAAGTGTCTTCCCAACATGTCTTCAGGAACAGAGCTCAGCTGTTCCTGGATAGCAGGACTATTGGGAGGATAGCGGCTCTCTTCTGGTCCAGTTGGAGTAAACTAGCATTGGAGTCTGCTCAGCTTCATAGTGTGTGCATGCTCTGGCTAGCCAGAGTTCTGTGTTGTCTAGCCAGCTCTCCTCATGGCTCCAAGTGCCATGCTGGAAAGACCTGGGTGTGGGGAAGAAGAGACCGGGCTTTACTCCTGCTGTGTCTCCTAACATGCTCCTTGGTCTTGGGAAGGCTTCTGTCTCTTAGCTGCAATATGATGGAAGTTGAGGTTGGAAGAGCTCATGATTTTTATTAGCTGAAAATAGAAGATGGCTAGTACAAAGTCAAGAAAATGTGAAGAATGCAATAATACAGAAAAACCTGAAGAAATTAAAATCACACCAAATCATAATATTAGAGATCATCTATGTTAACATATTCAGTTATTTCCCTTCTATGCCTACATATGCTATAAAAAACTTCACACACGCATTTATTTATATATAACTATTTCAGGTCATCAGAAACTCTTGAAAACACCATTTTTTAGTGGATCCATGGTATTTTATTATATGAATTTATGAAATCTAGTTAACCAACTCCCTATTATTAGATATTTATAAAATCTACTTAACCAAATCCCTGTTATTAGGTATTTAAGTCATTCTCAGGTTTTCACTAGTCTAATCAAGTTGCTGAATAGGTACATGAGATTTTGTCTGAGTTTGTGATGATCTTTCAAAGAAAATACAGAAGGCAGTGGCCTGGTTAAGAGCTCACATTTGGGAGCTAAGGCACTTGGATCTGGGTCCCGCTTCCAGAACTAGTGACCTATGTGATCTTGGGCAAGTCCCCTCTGAGTCTCACATGATTCTGCTGTATGATGCACCATCCTTAGTGATTTCCTATTATTGGAAATAAAAATATTTTTAAAAAGTTACTTGCTTTTTTATCATCAATTTTTACTTATTCTAGCATAATTTTCTAGAAATGGAATTTGGGGTTAAACGGTAGATGTAGTTTAAGGCTTTTTATCTGTATTGCCAAATTTCAGTAGCTAATATTCTTTCAATAATATATATGAATACCTATTTCTTCAATCATAGCTCACATGGGATTATGATTTTTGATAAATATTTGCTTTACAGCAATTTACAGATTTACAGGTTTTTCTCCTTTCCCTTTCTCCCTCACCCATTCTTTGCTTTTTTACTGTTTTGTTTTGCAGCCAAGACCAGCTATACAATTGGTAGGACTCACTGTAAAATGAAAAGGCACGATTGCTGTTCAAAAAATATATGAATAATTTCAAAAAGGTAGAAGAAAATCTTTGAACCAGGTTGGGATTCTTCAATCACAGGGCCCCAGGTGACTGTGCAGGCCACGTGCCCCTGAAGCCAGGCCCTCTTGCCCCCTGGGAGCTGAACCCCGCAGAGCTCCCTGGCTCCCTGGCATCCCCAGGGCTCCCTGGCTCTCTGGCTTCTGATTGAGTTCAGTCAATGACAGGCATCAATGGAGGACTGGCAGGGGGAAGAGAGCCACCAGGGTGTTTCTTCCTCTGCTCCCCCACCTTGGTGCTGCAGTGCTGGTGGTGGCTGTGCCCCTCTATGACAGTAAATTGTGTTAGGGTGGCCTGTCGGTTCCAGTGCCCACTGGGCTCTGGTAACACCATTTCCCCACCTTACTCCTTCAAGCCTGGGGTGGTAACAGTGTCTGGTACCTCAATAGGCCTCGTTATTTTTCTAACCCGGCCCACCCCTCTGTGTATGGCTCCTTTACCCAATTCTCAGAATCCCAACTGAGTGTGCCTTTTGTTTCTTCCCAAACCCTGATTGATACACTGATAAAAATAGATGGAAAAAAAAAGTACCTAGGCTGGCTGCCACAGCTTCTGCCTGTCATTCTAGCCCTTTGGGAGGCTGAGGCAGGAGGATCGCTTGAACCCAGGAGTTTGAGATCAGCCTGGACAATATAGTGAAACCATGTCTCTACAAAAAATTTTTTTAAAAAAAGAAAACCCACTAGGCATGATGGCTCGTACCTGAGGTCCCAGCTGGTAGGAGGATCCCTTGAGCCTGGGAGGTTGAGGCTGCAGTAAGCCATGATTGTGCCACTGCACTCTGGTCTGGGCAACAGAGTGAGAGCCTGTCCTGCCCCCCCGAAAAGAGGTGAAGTTAAACATTCATACAGGTGAAGTTAAACATTCCTTCATTTATTTATTTTGTTTTTGGTGAGTTTGCCTATTCTTTACTGAAATAATCATCTTTTTATCATTAATTTATAAAAAGCCTCTTGGTTAAATTAATATTTGACGTCATACTTGTTGAAAATACTTTCTCCAGTTCGTTGCTTTTATTTTAATTTTTTAACATTAAGGTGTTTTAATCTTTATGTAATCAAGTTTACTGATCTTTTCTTTTTTAATGTGAAAGTTACTTCCACATTCAGATAACTATTAAGTCTGTGACTATATATACTTCTAATTTGTAAATGATTTATCTTTTTTCCCTCAAATTTACTGTATTATCTGTAGTTTATTTTTGGTGTTTGATATGATGTAAGAATCTAGGTAGATTTTTTTTTTCTAAATGAATAGAGAATTATTCTAGCATCACTTATTTACAATCAGTTCCTTTTATTTTGCGTTTTTTGTTTGTTTTGTTAATCTCATGCAAACGATATGCAGTTAGGTCCCTGAAAGCAAATTTGGCAATTTTTTTAAGAAGAGAAGCTTAAGGCCGGGCGCAGTGGCTCACGCCTGTAATCCCAGCACTTTGGGAGGCCGAGGTGGGTGGATCACCTGAGGTCAGGAGTTCGAGACCAGCCTGACCAACATAGAGAAACCCTGTCTCTACTAAAAATACAAAATTAGCCGGGAGTGGTGGCACACGCCTGTAATCCCAGCTACTCAGGAGGCTGAGGCAGGAGAATCACTTAAACCTGGGAGGCAGAGGTTGTGGTGAGCCGAGATTGTGCCACTGCACTCTAGCCTGGGCAACAAGAGTGAAACTCCATTTTAAAAAAAGAAAAGAAGCTCAGATAGTTGAAATCAGTGTTATAGATCATATTTATTTTTACTTAGCTCTTTTTATGCTTTTTATTTTGATGATTCCTTGCCATTTGTTTGTTCTTGGCCTCTTGCTATAATGATTGTGAAAGGTTTATTTAATTATTGTCTCTACTTCTGATTTCCTTAAGTTTTAATTAATTACCCAATTAAGTTTAATCAATTAATTAATATCTGACATAACATTTTCCAAATTGTCCCCCTCATGAAAGATGAAGAAGTTAGCTTGGTGTTATTCATCCCTTTTCCATGGATTTTTCCATTTTGTAATTCAACATAACTTTATAAACTCATGACAATATGTAGCTCTAATATAGCTTTTTTGTATATAATCATGACAATATATAGCTCCCCTTTCAAAAACTATTTTTTTTTGTTTTTTTTTTTTTTGCATTGGGTTGTAATAACCAGCTTTCAGTTAACTCACTTAATACTCTACACTTAACTGGTTTAAACTTCCCCCAATGGAGATGATAATTTTGGTACATTTCCTAGTTGGCTGGAGTGCGTCAACAAGCAATGTTCTGAAACAGTGGGCCGAAGTGGGCACAGAAATCGACCCCAGACCAGGGAGAGTTTTGGAGAACCCACTCTGTCCTGACTCTGGTCTGCGTCCCCACAGATCTGAATGTCTAGTGGGAACTGGAACCCCCACACAAGTGGAGCTGGGTGTGGCCTGAGCAGTTGCACTGGGCTCTCCTGTGGCTCTGAGGTCAGGTTGATCTGCTCTGTGAACCATTCCAAGTTGGCAGCCTGTTTGTTCATCCTCATTCCCTCTGAACCCAAAGCATGCACCACTGGCCACCTTCAAGTCACAGGTCACCCTTGCACTGCTGTGGATGGAGAGAATGCAGGGAGACTGGGATTCTGGAGGCTGAGGTCATGCCTCAGACTGTTTCTTCACTGATCCGGAACCCTCTGGGCTTCCATTTCCTCACTGATAGAGGAAGGAGTAACTCCAGCAGGGTTCCCAAAGGACAAATGACGAGCCACCTGCATCATCTGCACAGGCTGACAAACATACAGGTTTCCCCAGACCCGAAACGTGCAGATATGGATCAATAGGTTGGGTGGAGCACTGAAATCTACCTTTCTATTAAACACTCCGGATAAATATAATGCACAGGCAGAGTTAGCACTAGAGGATGTCTAGCCTCTCCTCTCACCCCCCTTTCTTGATTCTGTGTCCTCTCTTTGCAGCGTGTGGTTTTCTGAATCTTCTGGCTTCCTCTCCCTCCTGGTCCATCTGGGAGCAGTTGGTCCCTGTAACTCAGAGAGGGCCACCTACTTGCGCTGAAGCAGCTGCTGGGAGCAGCTGTTCTTGCAGGGGCAGGTTTCCCCAGCCACTCTCTGGGCCCCGATGGACCAAAACCTCTCCCTTCTTCACCTTGTCTTTGTTCCTTTCCTCATCCCCTTTTAGGGATCTCACACCCTCAGAGATACCACTCCTCTTTTCTTCTCAAGCTACCCTGGCCAGTGGCTTCCTCTCTTCAGCCTATAAATAAGCTTAAGTCTTTCCCATCCTGAAAATAAAAGCAAACCCAACCCTGCTCCATCCTGTGTTTCCTTTGAACTACCACCAATCTTACCTTTTCCTCTAGGGGAATTTTTCACAAAAGCCTGTCCATTCACTCGAGCCTCACTTGGCCCTCAGGATACTAGGCAAACCCTGCCCCTCTCCTGGCCTCTAGAACGGAACTGCCCAACACATTAGCCACATGTAGTCTTGAGCACTTGAAATGTGACTTATTCAAACAGAATGTGCAGAAAGTATCAAAGACCCACTGGATTCAAAGACTAAGTGCAAGAAGAAAAGGATGTAAAATATCTCACTAATAATTTTACATATTATTTATATGTTGAAAGAACAATAGATATAACAGACCAAATAAAATATATTATTAAAATTAATCTCTCCTGTTTCTTTTCACTTTTTAAATGTGGCTACTAGAAAATTTTTTAATTACATAGGTGGCTGGCATTATATTTCATTTGGGAAGCACTGTTGTAGACAATGACAGGTTAAATCAGATCATCTGTGAAGGTTTTCCCAGCTGGATGTGGTAGGGTAGGGAGGTAGGGTAGAGTTCCCGGTTGGATGAAAGGAAGTCTGTGGTTTCCACAAAGTAGAGGAAGCCTGTCGCTTTGCATTTTTGCAGATATCCAAAGAATCAAGAGTTGTCTCCGTGTGTGTGTATCCCTGTGTGTGAGTGCCTGTGTAAGAGCCAGTCAGATAGGATCTCCCCTGCCCCTGTTCCTACTGGGTCTCGCCTGTTTGTGCTTGTCCTCGGAAACCTTTGTGTTTTCCTCCTTTCTCTCCTTGGTTGGGATTGAAAACACCGGGGCCTGGATCTGATGCAGCATTGTGGTTTCTGAGAGCTCAGCACACTGATTGACTTGCAGGAAATGCCTGTCAACTCTTGTTGCATTGAATGGAGGTAAAATGGAAGTGAGAGTCCCATCTGCACCCTGCAGTACAGACAGCATGCGTGGAGATCATGACAATGCTGCTCATGTCTTCCGCGGCCACCTCTCCCCACCACGCACCTGGCACAGGGTGTTAAGTGGTTTACAGTCACACTGGCCCCTGGCTAATGAGGGGCTGATATTGTTCTTAGTTGAACTTTGCATTTTGAGAGCACAAATGATTTCTTGCTGTTTTTCCTCTTCTGGTTTAGGTGTTAATCCCTATTGCACAAGAGAAATTGATTTTCCAATGACCAAGAAATCTGCAGCGCCCACGGACAGGCAGCCTTACTCTCTCTGCAGTAACAGGAAGTCCCTCTCTCAACAATTGGACTGTCCAGCAGGAAAGGCTGCGGTAAGAATGGAAGGAGGGAAACTCAGAGAAGAGTTTCTCCCGGGGAGAAGGGAGGGGCCCAACATTAACAGTGGCTGAAGAGGCCTTCCCAGTAGTTTTTTTGTCCGCAGAACTACAGAGGAGAGGGTCTCGCTTAGTAGCTGCAAGAAGGTACAACCATCTCTGGGCTGAGAACCGCATTAGAAATGGTCATCCATTGAGCGCCCCCTTGTGCCAGGCACTTGCAACTGCTGCCACGTGTGTGCTATTAAGAGCTAACATGTAGAGAACACGGCACGCGGGGGGACCCTGAACTATGGCTTTGCGTGGATCGCTTTATTTCATCTGCACATACTCCTAAGAGGTAGAAGAGGGAGCTACAGCTTGGGCAAGTTAAAGGATTTATGCACATTCACACTGTTGAGGAGAAACAGCTGGGACTTCAAGTCTGATCTTTATGACTCTGAAGCCTGTGCGAAAAGGCTTTTCACTCCTATAATCTAGTGACCTGCTTTACCAACATTGCCTCTAATTCTTAAAACAAGCTTAGAAAGGAATATGTTGTTAGTCCCATTTTATAGTAGGACACTGAGGCTTGGCAAAGTGAGTAGCTGGGTTTATGCATCTTAAAACCTATAGGACCAGAATTTAAACTGCCCTGTGTGCTCCTCAGTCCATGACCTTCCCACTACAGGTGTCAGCTTGCAGGCAGAGAGCTAAGCAGATATAAAGCACAGTGTACCCTACACACGTCCCACCAGCTTGCCTTTCAGCCCCAGCCAAAGCACGCTGTGCTGCACGCTGCCACTTTTGGTCACACAGCGCCCTCTGTCTGTAGCATCTCACCCCTCCTTCTCTGATCTCTATCTCTAGAAACTGCCCCAGCCTTCAAAAACCTTCCTAAGGTTCTCTTTTGCCTGGGAAAGCTCCTGATCTCTCCAAAGGCGTGGACTTCACATTTTCCCAAATGCCCATCAGGAAGCAACTGCACTCCTCTCACAGTGCTCACCCAGCCTGTCTTGTGAGTGTCATTTATGTTAGCATTTCATCTCACCAACTGACTCTCCCAAGGAGGGTCTCCACGGTCAAGCAATGTTTCCCTGCATAGTACATAATAGATGCTCAGTGAATTTCATCTCTCTCTTCCCTTCCTTTCCTTGAGTCAATGTGTTTTTCATTCCCAAACTGGGAGTGTGGTGTCCTAGTGTTAGAAGAAGGTGGCTTCCCTGGTGCCACCCTGAGCTGAGAACTTTCCCAGTCCCTGGTTTTCTGCACATCTGGGGTCATACAGGAGTACACTGGAGCCCTCCAATATCTGCAGCCAGCGCTGGGTCCCTGAGGATTGGGCTAGCGGGTACTTCCTGGGGGAAGCTGCTTCCTGTCTTTGCTGCCTCATGCACTAGGATCCAGGTCCTTGGGAACAGGAGGCCTACCTGGCCAGCAGGGATGGGCTAAAGATCAGCCAGTAGTAGCTGCCTGGGAGGCTGTGCTGAAGAGAATTGAGGGGTTACATTCCACCAGGAAGGAGTGCTTCAGGAGATTGGCAGTGTTTTGGGGACAGGAGTGGGAGACTCAGTTATTCCCTCTACTCAACTCCTCAAAGTTTAGGAGGCAATTAGACACTATGTTAGTTGGAGACAGAACCAATAAGAGATGTATAGATAGACACACATACACATACGCAGACACACATACACAGACACACACACACACACACACACACACAGAGAGAGCGAGAGACTGATCATAATGAATTGGTTGGTTTATGGGATTATGAAGGTAGGCAGGTTCCAAGATCTTTAGCATGAATTGACAAGCTGGAGACCCAGGGAAGCCTATGGTTTAGACCTAATTAGAGTCTAAAGGCCTGAGAACCAGGAGAGCCAATGGTGTGGTTCCCATCCAAAGGCCAGCAGGCTCAAGCCCAGGAAGGGCTGATTTTTCAGTTGGAATATAAAGACAGGAAAAAGGCTGATGTCCTAGTTCAAAGGCAGTCACGCACGAAGGATGCTTTCTAACTCAGGGGAGGTCTGTCTTTTCTCTATTCAGGACTTCAGCAGATTGGATGAGGCTCACCTGCATCAGGGCAGGTGATGTGCTTTGGCTACAGATTTCAATGCTCATCTCATTCCAAAGCACCCTCATAGACACACACAGAATAATGGTTGACTAAATATATGGGCACCCATGTGGCCCAGTCAAGTGGACACAGAAAATTAACCACCACGGATGTCCATGCGTGATTTCACATTGTCTTCATAACAGCCCTCCAAAGGAGGAGGAGAGGGAGTTATCAGAGGAAGGTTGTTTCTGGGAGAGAAGAAGAGAAAGTGGGATCCACAGTGGACGGGAAGGCCAGGGAGTGGCTTACAGGACCTGGGTATTTCCTGGGTGACTTTGGAGAGAGCGGCCCATCAGGTGTGGGCAACTGCAAGCCAACAAGAGAGAGGGTGATCCAGAGAAGAGCAGCTCGTTATCCAGGGAATGCTAGTAATAAAGAAAACATGCATTCCATGTTCGCTGCCTTCCAGGCATGAGGCGATGTGTTTTACAAACAGCTATACAGCCAAGGGAGTACAACCCAAAGAGCTAAGTACTGTTAATATCCACCTTTGACAGATACAGAGGCCAGGCTGAGAGAAGTTAAGTGGCCTTCCGAAGGTCATCTAATTCATAGCAACAGGATGGATATGAACACAGGCAGCTCAGAGCCCATGCCCTGCTGCTTCCTCTGCCCAGGTGGCATGGGGACAGCATGGGCCTGGGAGTCAGCAGCCCGGGATCCTGGTTCTGCCTTGCGGCATCTCCGATATCAGAGAGCAGGGAGCAAGCAGCTACCTCCACATTCACAGCTGATGTGTCTGCTTTCGTGGACATGCAGGAAGCACAGCCTTCAGCCCCAGACTCTTTCCAAATATTAAATGCTGAAAGTAGCAAACAGTCTTAGAATTTATAATAATGACAAGAAACATTTCTAAGGCACTTGCTATGTGTCGGGCACCATTTTAAGCACTCGCATAGATTTATTCTTCAAAATGACACTATTAGATAGGCCCCATTAGGACCATGCTTTTACAGCTGAGGAAACTGAGGCAGAGAGGGCTAAGTCACTAAGCTAAGGTCACCCGCCAGCTGATAATGGGCAGAGTCAGAAGAACCCAGACAATGGGGTTCCCAAGTCTAAGCTCTCACCACTAAGCCGTATTTCCCCTCTGCAGGGCGGCTTCCTGTGGCACATAGCTCTGGTTCTCATTCATGAATAGTTAAGCCTGTCTGCCTACCCCAAAATTACATTCTGAGTTTTGAAGTCTTTGGGCTCCGCCCCCTTGCCCACCACCTCCTGCCTGGCACAAGGGGAGTTCTCAGTAAATGTGTCTTGGATTGAACATAGTCTCAGGGCGTTCTTGGTAGCTGGCTTCCCAAATTCTGCCTGAGACCTGGCTTATGAGGACTTGTCCTGGAGGCAGCGTGTTCTGTGATGTTAACCTGGGCCCTACTTCCTTGATAAACCTTAGTGAGCCTTTTGGCTGCTCATCTACATCAGGCTCAGCAAAGCAGGCTCCTAGAACCAAGGAAGTCCCTCCCCACCATAATCCTACCCACACCCCACTAACCACATTCTGGTTGTTACGCTGCCTGCCCTTAGGAGAAAGAGGACTTGGTTCCTCTCTTTGGCTGGGCTTTTCCCCTTCCTTGTGAGGCATGTGCTGCTGTCCTATGTGGCTAATCTTCTGCCTACTCTGGTTCCTTGTTGCAGGGAACTTCGAGACCAACACGGTCCCTGAGCACAGCTCAGCTCGTGCAGCCATCTGGGGGCCTCCAGGCTTCAGTCATCTCCAACATCGTGCTGATGAAGGGCCAGGCTAAGGTGAGAAGGGATTGTGGCCAACAGGAAGTCCTGGGGGGCAGCACCAGTCTCCAAGGAGCTGCTGTGTCCAGGGAAGGATGGGAATAGGACTACTGGGGTGTCCTGGCGCATCAGAAGAGACAAACACAAGAGTGGCTAGTCTTAAAACTCACACCTGGCTGAGTCCAAGCAGCACACATTTTTCTAATTAAACAAAGTGATTGTTTTCTTGTAAAGGATGCCAGTCCCTGCCAGCTGCCTTAGCACTTTCAAAGCTTGTTCTCTAATTCATTCCTGGCACAGTAGTTTCCAGGACTTAATTTTACCTGATACATAAATCCAAATTGTTTACATAGATTTCTGGATCCTGAGTTTACCTCTGCCATTCAGATGTTGGCATAATAAAGCAGGGACCCATATATTAATTTATAAAAACATATGCTACCTACTACATGTGGGAAATTCAATGGTTGATAGTGCTTTTGGCTGTCAATTGTAGCATCTGGAAGAGTCAGAACTAACTCTACCTCTCTCAAGATGATGAAACATCATACTGATCTCTGCTTCATAATGGAGATATAGCCAAAGGGGATACAAAAGTATTGGTGGTGATGGTGAGATAGGGGGCGTACACAGGTTTGCACTGCTCCCAGAACATGCCACCTTGTGCGTGAGGTTGACTGCAAAGCTCTCAGGCCAGCCCAAGCAACCCAGGTGCTAAAGTAATGAAAGGGTGGTTTCTTTATGTAATATAATTTTTTGTGTGGTGTGAGAGGAGGACCTAATTGCTACTTATGGTCTGTCCAGGGGGAGGGGCCCCACCATACACCTCAAGTCCTCTTTCCCTCCATCTCCTGTCCCTTCTGTCTGCTGGGAGCTTAGCAGGAAATAAAAAAGAAGAGAGACATGAGAGATGCTGGGACGAATGCTCCTCTGATCACAAGGGAGTAACTGTCTTCTATGCTGACTTTCTCTGAAGGACCCATTTTCTGATTAGTAAATCACGATGCTTTTTCCCCTTCAATTTAGGTAGTAGTATTTTTTTGGATTGACTTTTAAATTGTTTGCAGTGCCCAAAAGAAGGTGAAATGGTAAACGCCACCAAAACTCATGTGAAGATGACCAAAAATGGTTTAAGTTATCTTGGTGTGCACAAAATATGCATTCAATGAGTAATCTTTATGAGGCCGGGGGGTGGAAGAAGATGAATCATTTGATATAGAAATCCTCATGTACAGAGCAGTGATGATGAGTTCAGAAATAAAGCAGGCTTCCCACTATCTGGCGATAAAACCTACACCCCAAGATCTCGTCACTAACAGGATGACAAGTAGCAGTGAAGCAGGGGGAGGAGGAGTTAGAGCCAGAGGGATCAGCAAGTGCTTGAGGTAGAGTCAAAAGCAAATCACACAATAAAACCAGCCACCAAAACCCGGGCATTGTGCTATGGGCTTTGCAACCATAACTCCTTTAATCCCCACAACAACCCTCCTATTATCTCCCTTTTATAGACGTGCAGCCGGGCGCACTGGCTCACGCCTATAATCCCAGCACTTTGGGAGGCCTCCTGTTTGAGTCCTGGAGTTGGAGACCAGCCTGGGTAACATAGTAAGACCCTGTCTCTACAAAAATAAATAAAATAAAATAAATTAAATAAAATAAAATAATAAAATAAATAAATAAATATATAAAATAATTAACCCGGTATGCTGGCACATGCCTGTAGTCCCAGCTGCCCAGGAGGCTGAGGTGGGAGGATTGCTTGAGTCCGGGAATTTGAGGCCACAGTGAGCTGTGATAGAGCCACTGCACTCCAGTCTGGGCAGCAGAGGGAGACGCTATCTCTAATGAATATCTCTGTGTGTATGTGTGTATATAGATATGGAGACGGGGGACCTGGGAGGTTGCAGGACTCGTCCAAGGTGACTTGGTTAGTGAGGAGCCGAACCAAGGCAATGACCCCAGGCTGTCTGACCCCTGGGCCTTGTTCTTAACCATGACGCCATCCTGAGTCCCCAGGATGGGTGAGACTTTGAGTCTAGAGCAGCCGTCTCAGCCAGGACAAGGCTAGGGGCCCGTGGAGGAGCCCTGAAGGGGCTCCTACCTCACCTTTTCCTAAGCCTGTGCTACTCCCGGACACCATTTGTCCTGCCCATCCTGGAACACACACCACCTTCACCAGAGGCTTAGAACAGCTGCTCATCCCCACGGCTCTCCCACTGACTCCCTACAGTGTCAAGAAGATGGAGGACAGCGTGTTGTCTCTGTGGCACGGGGTGATGCTCCTAATCAGCGCAGCGGCTCTGGCCTGAAGTAAACTGCCCATGAGCAATGGTTCTGTTACAGCAGTGGCCATCACTTTAAAGGGTCTGTCTAGGAGCCAAGCTACTGGCCACTGCCTGGCATGCTTGTACGTTGGACCCAAAAGCCTGGCCTCCAGGTGCATTTATGCCTTTATCCTGTAATACGTGCTTCTTGAGCACCTGCCTGAGGCCAGACACAGAAATAAGATGCATTTACTGTCTTCAGAGAGCTTATAGTCTAGAAAGCTGCTTATTAGACTCAAGCTATGCCCTCTAGGGCGGCATGGGGTGCCTTAGTCCTCAACAAAATTGAGCAAGTCACATGGATTTCCTTTGCTGCTTTTCAGGTCTGCCAGGCCATTCTGTGAACTCACTGGCCGATTTGCAGGGGAAGCTGTGCCCACCCTCCCTTCTCTTCCTGCTGTAGACCTCACTCAACCTTTCCCGGGACTTATTCCTGTTTGGCCTTCTCTACTGCCTTCTGGCTGCTCCCCAGCTGGAACTATCTGCTGAGCTATGAGTTTATTCTCCCAGAGCCACCTGTACAATTCCAGGATATGTTTGTTGGCTCATGGGAATCACCTAGGACAATGGCAGATAGAGCAGGTGCAGGAGGGAGAGCACGTGATTGGAGGGATGTCCTTGAGAAGGGGATTGAGAAGGCCTTTGGTGGGAGAAGGGCTACATTGTAAAGCTGCTACTATTATTACTATTGTTGGTATTTTTATGATTGTTGCTAGGCATTTTACTTTCAAACACAACCCTGTGAGTTAGGTAATATCATTATTATTTTAAAAGGAGGGAAACTGAGGTTCAGAAGCAGAAAGTGATTGGCCCAGGATTGCCAACTGGAGGGACAGAGCCAGGGTGCTGGTCTCCATCCAGCCTCCCTCTGTGTGGGAAACTTCAGATTCCCGCGAAAGCTCCAGACACTACCCAGCCCAGGCTGGCCTTCATGCCGCTGCTCTTCCTATTTTTGTTGTTGTTGTTGGTGTTGTTGTTGTTGTTGTTGTTAACCTCTGAGACCTCTGAGACCAAAGGCACCTTCTCTCCTTCCCAATCCCTTTGTTCAGGGCTGAGGCAGGCCCTCAGAAGGCATCAGGCCAATGAGAAGCATGGAATACTACCCCTAAATCAGACCTTCTCTTTTTTTCCCCAGGGTCTGGGCTTCAGCATCGTTGGGGGAAAAGACAGCATTTATGGCCCCATTGGGATTTACGTCAAAACCATTTTTGCAGGGGGAGCAGCAGCAGCCGATGGAAGGCTACAGGAAGGTAGGCTTCCCAGCCCTTTTCAGACCATGGTGGAGGAATCAGAAGCAGAATCCAGAATTGCTGGGGCCATAGAAGATGTTGGGAATGCAAAATGTGTCTTGAGTTGTCAGGATACGGCCAGCATGCATCCTGGGGTCTGCAAGCAATGGGGACACAGCTCCCCCGAGGGGGTCTTCATTATGACTGGCAGGTTGGTTGTGCATGTTTGCACATTTAGCCCCTGGCACCGTTACCCCTTAGCTGGTCTTGGGGCCAGCCTGGGTGGGACTGAAGTCTGAGGGGTCTGTTTCTGACCCTTCCCTCCTCTCACCCATTCTCTCGGCTGTCTTTCCCTTTCCATCCAAGATCCTGTCTCAGTTGCTGGGATCCGTTAACACCCCCTCTCCTTCATTCTCCCTGTCCTTCCTAACCCACAACCATAGGGAAACCAGGTTCAATGCTTCCAACCCTTGTAACGGATGAGTCTGATAAACATTTGCTAGGAGCCTACTGAATCCTAGGGTCTAGGAATACAGATAGAAACAATCAGGCATGATTCCTGAAGAGCTCATGATCTGCCACAGGGACCCTCTCTTCCACTCCCCACCCACCTTTCTTCCATCAACCCACCCCCTCTCAACTCTTTCATATCCTCACAAGACAGAAGCCTCATCCATCCTGGGAGTGAGGGGCCAGGGAAACAGAGCTGCCTGTCTTCTTGTCCTGTAGAGTCAGGGTTCCCCCCACCCCCACCTCCACCCTAAAGTCATTCATGGATTATTGAGCAACAGGTTTGGCCCAAAGAAATTGCCAGGTTTCAACTCAGGAGGCAAAGTTCAGGGGCTGGAAGTCACAGGGCAGAGAGTACCCACTGCAGGCCAAGGACTGGGCCATACACCAGAGGTCTGAAGAGAAGTGACTTCATAGCATTTTCACTCTTCTCTGTCAGCTCGCTTTCTATAAGCTATGCTGGGAGCCTAACCACCTTTAATCATCTAACTTGCTTAGGGCAGGGTAGGCACACTACAGTCTGTGGGCCAAATCTGGCCCACCGCCTGTTTTCAATGTCTCATGAACAAAGAAAGGTTATTACATTTCTAAATGGTTGAAAATTTAAAAGTGTTTTTGATTATTTTATGATATGTGGAAATGAAATGAAATCCAAATTTTAGTATCCATAAAAAAGCCTTCTGGGGACTCGAGCACGCTCATCCACGTACCTGTCATCCAGGGCTGCTTTCATCTCAGCAGGGTGCCCCCATCTCAGCCTCACAAAGTGCTGGGATTAGAGGTGTGAGCCACAGTGCCCAGCTAGAAAAAGAAACCAGAGAAAAAGGATGGATCATATACAATGGAACCATGATTAGGTGACAGCAGATTCATCAGTAACGACCAGGTCCAGAAGTCAGTGTAAACATAGTATTTATATCTGAGTTGCTTGGTGTAATGTTGAATTCAGAGAAAGTGCTCCCTGTTTGTGTATTGAACAAATTGAAAGAAAGGGAGAAAGTGGTTTTCTGTTCACATAGAAATGGATTTTATGTTACAGCATAGTGTGGAGTGGTTGCAGCTCACAAAGGTTAAAACTTTTACCATCTGGGTCTTTACAGAAAAAGTTTATCAACCCGAGCACTATGCAGAATTACACATACAGATTTTAGGGTGTGGGCAATGGCGAGCCTTTGAAGGTTTTTATACTATGGGAGGGACCTGCTGTGACCAGGGTTTTCAGAGGCTTCAGGAAGCAGAGTGTAGGATGAAGTGGGCCATTGTGAGCCCCAGGCTCCAGCTCCAAGGACTGCACAGAGGCGGTAACCCTGGGAGGAGAAGGGAGCAGATGAGAGAAGTGACAGAGCCTGAGCAGAGGTCGCAAAGGGCGGGGCGGGTCAGAGAGAACTGGAAGGTTTCTGGTCTTAGTAAACTAGAGAAAGACATTGCCTTATATAGAGTAAGAGGCACTGGAGGAGGAGGAGGAAAAGGAAGGCAAACCAGGATGTGTAGGTTTGAGTGGCAGAAGGGAGAGCGATGTCCCTGGATGACCACGAGATGGCGCTGTCCAGCAGGGAAATGACATCCGTTCTCTCTCCGTTCAGGGAGTTAGAAGTGAATGCAGACATTTGGGGAGCATGGACATTAGAAAAACAGCTGAAGTTACCAAGCAGTTGACGGGGGAGGAGGGGGGGGAGGGGAGGGGAGGGGAGGGGAGGGGAGGGGAGGGCCCAGATGCCGTTCTAGGGGAATAGCTAAATCAAGAGGGTGGTGGAGAGGAAATGTCAAAGAGAGGAAAAAAGAACAGTGGGATCAGAATTGGGAGTGTGCCATCATGTGTTTTATTATCTTTTGTACTTTTCTGTGTTTAAACAAAGGGGTGGGGGAAGGGTTGAAGTGGCAAGAAAAGAGAATATTGTGTTTTGTTCTCTTTCCTGAATGTAAGCCTGCCCAAGCCAAACTTTTTATTTTTTCTGAGCATTTGCCTCCCTTAATTAACAGCAATCATAAAAATTGAAGATTTCAATGAGTCAAGACTCTCAGCTAGTATATGATCCCTGATTCTAGCCTCAAACATTGACCAAATCATCTTTTGTAACTTCTTTTAAAAGTAAATATTTGAATCTTGAATTCAGGGCAAATACATTAGTTGCAACAAAAGTTTGGTGTACAGATCAAGGCTACTAATGTTTTACTTTTATTCCCCTTCCAAGAAACTATTGTGTAAGATTTATTTGGCAAAACCTAATCAGCCAGCTTTTACCAGATATAGCCAAATAAGGACAGGACATTCCAAAAAGCCCAGAGCTGGGCTGTGTGGCCCCAGTAAGATGGACATTCTAATAACTTAAAGAGAAGTCTAGCCCCTTAGGTAATTAAGAATGGACATTCTGAATTTTTGTTGTCTATCCTTCTTTCAGCACACATGTAATTATATTCTGATGTTTTAAATGTATCTATTTTCCTTCCCAGACTTGGAGTCTCACAATGACAAGGACTGGTTCCTTTTATTTTTCACTTTGGCTCCAGCAACCTAACAGACGGAACTGATCTGAATACTCTCCCCACCCTGCCTCCAGCCCCTGTTTCCAATACGTAGACTTGTGAAATAATATAGCACATCCAAAATCAAAATAAAGACGTGGAAATGCCCAGCTGCTAAGAAACAAAGAAACAACTTTAAATCTAAGAATGGCAGACTCAGGGGTTGATGATGTGGCGGGGAGGGCTGCTGGATGCTTATAGACCTTAAGGGCTGGAACTCAGATTTGAATGCCCACATGGGCAGAGGGGACAGAGCCTTGGGTCCATGTGAGGCTCTGAGAACCTGCACACAGCCTTGATAATGAAAGAGTTTCCCCTCAGTAAAGCCAACAGGCCCCAGGGGAGCAACAAGGAAACTTAACTTTACCCATGGCTCCTCAGTTGGCCAAAAACATCTCTCACCAAAAAGTGAATATCAAAATTGTGTCATATATGGGCATGCAGGTTACATTTATAGTTCCTGTAAAGCAAAGGTAATGCCAAGGTAAGAAATTAATATGAAAACTAGTCCCAAACCAGTGAAAACCTTGGGGTGCCAAATGGAAATAAAGGAAAAACTGGCAGTGACCTGGGGTGTATGGGAATCCCATAGAAAAACAGAATATCCTGAAAATGAGTTTATAAAGATTACATACTATACTACATCAGGAAATGTCCACTGTTGAGGAGAGTCAGCAGAAATAACAAAGAGGAGCGTTAGCCCTTAACAACTTAACAGAACAATCTAAAAGAGACTATAGAATTGCTATGTTTAAAATCATTTTAAAAAGATAAAAAAAGGAATATAAACTGTAAGACAAGACCGGAAACAGTAAAAAAAAAAATAAGTGGAAGTGAAAAAAATAACTTTTGGAAATGAGCAAAAAAAGCAGTCATTGAAATAAAAAACTCAATGGATGGCTTAAACAGAAGATTAGATGCAGCTGTAAGGAGAATTAGTGAACTGGAAATTATCCAGTAGGCCACGCAGATCAAAGAAGAAAAAGATGAGCACTAAAGAAATATGGAGAATAGGTTGAAAGGGTCCAAAATACATTTAATAGGAATTTTAGAAAGAATAGAGTGAAAAGGGAGAGATAGTATGCAAAAAGATAGTGGCTTATAATTTTCAAGAACTGACTTAAGGCATGATATTTCTGCTTGAGGAAACACAAAATGTTTCCTTTCTCTCTAGTGCATCATAGTAAAACTGCAGAATATCAAAGACAAAGGAAAAAGAAATCTTTTCTTTCCTTTTTTTTTTTTTGAGACAGGATCTCATCCTGTAGCCCAGGCTGGAGTGCAGTGGTTCAATCACAGCTCACTGCAGCCTTGATCTCCCAGGTTCAAGTGATCCCCCACCTCAGCCTCTGAAGTAGTTGGGACTACAGGTGCATGCCACTACATCCAGCTAATATTTGTACGTTTTGTAGAAACAGGGTTTCGCCATGTTGCCCAGGGTGCCCCCATCTCAGCCTCACAAAGCGCTGGGATTAGAGGTGTGAGCCACAGTGCCCAGCTAGAAAAAGAAACCTTAAAAGAAACCAGAGAAAAAGGATGGATCATATACAATGGAACCATGATTAGGCGACAGCAGATTCATCAGTAACGACCAGGTCCAGAAGTCAGTGTAAACATAGTATTTATATCTGAGTTGCTTGGTGCAATGTTGAATTCAGAGAAAGTGCTCCCTGTTTGTGTATTGAACAAATTGAAAGAAAGGGAGAAAGTGGTTTTCTGTTCACATAGAAATGGATTTTTGGTTACAGGAAGAATGATTCTCCTACAAGTATACTGTTGTGAAAAAAGGACTTGCAGTCAAAAGATCCAAGTCCTATTTATTTATTTATTTATTTATTTATTTATTTATTTATTTTTACCATATGACTTCGGACTTCTCTGAGTTCACTTTTCTCTATTGTAAAATGGGGTCTACATTGCATTCTGGAAAATCGTATCCAAACCACATCCACTGAGCAATCTGTAGACCTCATTCAGCATTGGTCCTGGGGATATATCATCTAATAAGACAAAATCCCTGTCCCCAACAAGCTGCCAGCCTGGCCAGGGAGTGACTGAGGGTGCAGGCCATTGATCACCACCCAGGGTGACAAGTGCAGTAGGTACAGTGTGACATGAACATAGAAAGGAGCTAAAGGTAGCAGGGGCCTAAAGATTAAGAAGGGATAGGAGGAGAAAGTGGAAGTATATTTTATTTGAGAAAATGGCATGGACAAGCATTTAACTGCACAGACCATTGTGGAAAATGCAGGTCGTGTTGCATCAGAAAATGATGCATGGGAGCAAATGGTGTGAGGGTCAGGGAGACAAGGAGGAAGGAGGTGAAGCAAAGAGGTGGGCAAGGACCATATCCAGCCAGGACTTGTGTGCCTGGCTAAGAACCCTGGGTTTCACCCTGGAAGAGAGTGGGTGCCAGAGAAGGCCCATGTTGCTGCCCTGCCTGCTTCGCAAGGGGAGAGCACAAAATGAGAAAATGTTCTTCCAGAGCTTCGTGCATCATACAAAAAGCCGGGCAGTTGGGGAGACTAGAGTTAAAGGTAATGATAATGCCCTTTGATTGGGCAACACTCTTCTTAGCTACACTTTCTCTCTCTAAACAGGTGATGAAATTCTGGAGCTCAATGGTGAATCAATGGCTGGACTAACACATCAGGATGCTTTGCAGAAGTTCAAGGTGACCATTTCTTATCAACACGTGACCAAACTCTGGGGCCTTCAGGCAAAGAAACCAAGCTCTCAGCATCCAAACCTACAAATTCAAACTGTGGAACCCTTCACATGAGGCACCTCACTGATGCTGATCTTGGCGCAGGGTTAAAAGAAGACCTGACTCAGAAAATAATAGTGTGATCGGGATTGTTGTGGGGGATTTTAAAACTCTTTAATATTTATAAAATTGTTTTAAAACACTCTGTGTATTTATCATGGTATATTTACAAATCTGTTTTAAGTTTTTAAGATAATTGCTAAATGATATTCCTAAGTCTCCATCTAGTTAGTTCAATTCATGACTCTATCCATCCATCTATCTATTATCAATCAATCTATCTATCTATCTCTATCTATTCATCCATCTATCTATCCATCCATCTATTCATCCATCTATCTATCCTTCCATCTATCTATCTATTCATCCATCTATCTGGCATATGTAAATATATATAGTAGTTGTGTGTATATATACAAATATGTCATAATATAATTTGTAACATGTATGAATATATGCGCACATTTATATTTCATACACATACACACACACAGAGGTGTGTTTCCTTAAACAGTATTTCTTCATCTCACCCTGGATTGCTGCTGGGTGTTGTAGCCCTCTCTCTTTCTTTCAGCAAGCCAAAAAGGGGCTCCTCACCCTCACCGTGAGAACCCGCCTGACGGCGCCTCCTTCCCTGTGCAGCCACCTGTCTCCCCCACTGTGCCGCTCCCTGAGCTCCAGCACTTGTATCACCAAGGACAGCAGCTCCTTCGCCTTGGAAAGCCCCTCGGCTCCCATCAGCACCGCCAAGCCCAATTACAGAATCATGGTGGAGGTTTCTCTGCAGAAAGGTAGGAGTGCTGCAGCTGTGTCCCGTGCCTGGGTCTCCCAGCACTGGCTGAGTCTCCCAGGCTTTCCTCACTTGGAATCAGTCCAGAGGTAGGGCAGGATGTTGTCTTTTAGCACATTTTACAGCTACTGCTTGGAGCCAGGTCGAGTCTTCTGTTTATAGAAGCTCAAGACATACCATTCGAACCTAGTCAATGTGTTCTGGGTCAGTGGTTTAAATAAAGCAAAACAAAGCAAAGAAAAACTCAAACACAAAAATACCCAGAGAGAGAGAGAGAGAAACAATGGGCCAGGAGTGGTAGCTCTGCAGTAAATATGCTAAGACGCCCTGGGCAGGCCACCTTCCCTTCCCTGGGCCTCAGTTTCCCTACCTGTGGCAGAGAATTGAGGTCCTTTCTACCTCTGACATTCAGGAACAGACAGCCATTCCCTTTGCCACCCCCCCAGGTGGGGGCTCGGAGCCCTCTCTGCCTGAATGCAACCGAACTGAGACCTGGAGGATAAAGAGGAGGCAGCGAGGCACAGAGCTGGGCTCCAGCACAGGGGCCAGCATGTGTTCTAGGAGCAGAATGAAGGCCAGCATGGCTGGAGCTAGGTGGGCAGAGTGAGAGCTGACATCAGGGTACTTGGCAGAGGCAGAGAGACCCTGTGGGGCTTTGCAGCTCGATTCTCTTCTAACTGGAGTTGGAAATCCTTTATAGATTTCTAAGCAGGCGAGTGACACATCAGCTTATGCTTCAAAAAATGTCTCCTAGGGTTCTTCACGGAGAATGGCCCATAGTGTGACAAAAGTAGAGGCTTGGAATCCACTTGCAGCCATTTGGGTCAGGGATTGGGAGTAGTGGATTTGGAGAGAAGAGGATGGGCTTGAGATATATTGTCGAAGTGGAAGGGAAGCATACATAGTTAATTCCTTGCATACAGCTTTGCCTGATGTGTGTTTTAACTCTCCTGCTAGGTTGAAAGCTCCCTGAGGCCTCAGATGCCTCTGTATGCCTGCAAGCCTGGCACAATGCTTGGCATAAGGACTAGGGGCAGACAAGTCTGTGCTGGCATGGTCCCAACAGCTGTAACCAGGGCTCCCGCAGTGCATTTGCTGAGCAGGCATAAAATGGGAAAGGCATGGCCTTGGAGTGGTGTTTCCTCTGATCACTGGCATCAGAAACACCTTAGGGAGGATTTTTGTTTGCTCATTTTATATAATGCAGCTTCTTAGACTCCACCCCCAGAGATTTTGCTTCAACAGTGTTTGTTCAACAAGTTGAGGTGAGGCCAAGGGATCCACATTCTAAACAAGTATCTTATGCAATTCTGACGCCCATTAGACTGAAAAACTTGCTCTAGTCAGGACACCTGGGCTGTGGGAAGGGCTCTGACTTTTACCAAATTCTTCATCCATAAAATGGGATTGCCAACAATTGTCACGGCCTCCCTCATGGGACTGCTGGGAGGACCAGCATGAGAAGGTGAAAACATTTGCCAAAGTGCTCTGTAAATCATACGTGTCGAAAGAAAACTGTAAAGGGCCTTCCCCCACACTGTGCTCACTCCATCTGGTCCTCCTTGCTGACAGCTCCTCGTTTTCCAGGCGTTTCCATGTTGGTGAGCCCCAGGCCCTCCTCTCCCACACACTGGGGGATCCCATCCAGCCCCACGGCCCTAACACCACCTACATGCAGCTACGTTCAAACTTTCAGCTTCCACCCTGCTTTCTCCTCTGGGTTCCGGCTTCATCTGTGCAAACATCTGCTCTACACGTCGCTGGGATAGTCCCAGACATCCTGACAGCACCCCCTTGCCTGTGAAGCCACCTGAAGTATCCATTCCTCACTTTCCAGCACATTGCACATGTCATTTGGGCAAAGCTGAACCCCCCAGTCTTACCCTCATAATCCTGGGCTTCCATAGCCCTCCCTGCTTTGGTAAATCACATTACCATCTGCCCAGTTACTCAAGCCAAACAGATCTCCAAGTTATTTTGATTTTATTTGTTAAGTTTCTATACTTCATCCATCAGCAAGTCTATCTTCAAAATATCTTCCATGGGCATCCGTTTCTTTCCATCTTCACTGGAGGTGAAGTCCAAGGCCACCACTGTTTCTCTCAACAGAGGCCTCTTAGCTGGTCTTCTTGCTTCCATTCTCCATGACCCATAGTTCTTTCCCTTCACAGTAGCCAGATGTGTTCATAAAAATAGGAATGAGATCATGTCACTTCCTTGTTCACAGTTCTCCTATGGCATCCCTTCTCAGTAGAGAATAAACCCGTTCACTGACATGCCATTGTTGACACAGCCCCACTGAATCTGCGCTTGATCCCTCTCTCTCACCGTCATGTGCTGCTCTCCCATGCAGGCTGTGTCCCTGCCACACTGGCCTTTCTGGTCCTGCAACATGGCATGCTTGCTTTTGCCCTGGGGCCTTTGCGTTGGCTGTTTCTGCTTCTGAGATGCTCTGCCCCATCTCTTCACCCCTAACTCTTGTCACTTGTATTTTAGCCCAACTGGTGTCTCCTCTGAGGCCTGAAGTAGCCATCCCTCACTTTCCAGCACATTCTGCGTACATTCACCACATAATACTTATCACTCTTAGATACTGTCCTCTCTTCTCATCTAGCTCCCTCCTTCCCTCCTTCCCTTCCTCCCTCCTTCGCTCCTTCCTTCCTAGTCTTTCCCCACTATTCCTTGCCTGCCTTGGTCACTGTTCTGACCCTAGAGCGGTGCCTGCACACAACGACTACTCTGTGAATACGGGTGGGATGAAAGCTGTAATAACCAGGGGGCCATGTCTGTGGCACCCAATCGACGAGTAGGCCCCCTGGGAAAGCTCAGTCCCGGTCTCCCCACCCCGCCCTGTTCTGCTTCCAGAGGCCGGCGTGGGCCTGGGCATCGGCCTGTGCAGCGTTCCCTACTTCCAATGCATCTCTGGCATTTTCGTCCACACGCTGTCACCAGGATCCGTGGCGCACCTGGACGGACGTCTCCGGTATGTCCTCACTTCTGTTTCTGAATATACCCCCGACTTACAACCAGGAAAGAAATACCTTAGAATGTCGGGAGATTGATTTGGACATGAGCTATAAAGAATGATCTTGTGGTGGAGATCAGCCGCTCCGCCCGCCAGGACACCCCCTGTTGTGGGCACTGGCTGGGGAGGGGCAGGCCTCCTTCCTGCCCCCCAGGACACTCTTGGGAGATGCATTTGCAATCTGGCTCAGAGGGAGGGAGTGAGGCTTTGCACCCCAGCCCCTCTCCAGGCCACTGGGAGGGTGGGTGCTGGCTGAGCCCCCAGGGCTAGCAGGAGCGGGGTGGACAGGGTCTTTGTTCTCAGCTCCCACAGCAGAGCCAGGTGTGGGTCCTGCCAGGACCAGACCGAGGTGGGGCGGCCTAAATACCACATCCCGCTGTGGCCAGCACACCCCTGACCCTGCACACATTTGTAACCCTGAGAAATTCCAGGGCTGGGCCGGGAGGCAGAGAAGCTGGAGGGGATGTCTGAGGCCATACCCAGTGGGCTGGTTCAAGCCTGTGGCTGGAGCTGGGGTCTGTTTATCTAATAAAGCCCCACAGGTGCCTCAAAAAAAAAACCCCAAAAACCAAACAAACAAAAAAAAGAGAATGATCTGGGCATAGCTCAGAGCCGTGTTCCTCAAAGTGTGGTCTGGACCAGCAGAATCAATGTCAACTGGGAACTTGTTAGAAATGTGGAATCTCAGACGCCCGGACCCAGACCTGCTGAACGAGGACCTGCATTCTAACAAAATCCCCATGAATGTGTATGCATGTTACAGCTTAAGAAGCATCGTCTCAGAGAATGCCAGTCCAACATAGAAAACACACTTTAATTAAGATTTAACTAATATTGAATTTACAATGACATAAATAGGAGCTTTGATGAGGTTAATCTATGAATTCTATATGGAAATGGTGGCTTAATGACAAAAATATTAGTAAGTTGGGCACCATGGTTCACACCTATAATCCCAGCGCTTTGGGAGGCTGAGGCGAGTGAATGGCCTGAGCTCAGGAGTTCAAGACCAGCCTGGGCAACATGGCAAAACCCATCTCTACTAAACATAAAAATTAGCCAAGTGTGGTGGCACCTTCCTGTAATCCCAGTTACTTGGGAGGCTGAGGCAGGAGGCTCACTTGAGCCAGGGAGGCAGAGGTTGCAGTAAGCCAAGATCGCACCATTGCACTTCAGCCTGGGCAACAGAGCAAGACCCTGTCTCAGAAAAAAAAAAAAAAAAAAAGAGAGAGAGAAGATATCAGTAAGAGAAATACAGGTTCTTTCTCCCATAAACAATATATTTCTGGGTACTCCAGATATATTTTTTATAAATAATTTCTAAGAGAAGTTCAAATCTAATTTCTTTCAATAACTGATCTGGATTTGATTTAAAAATTTATCCTATTTAATTTGTTACAATACTTTGCACTCTAACATTTGTGTATAGTGCAAATATATCATCTCTCACTGGTTTTGGGTTTTCCTAAATCAGGAGAGTTTTGCCATCCTTTTAAAGGGTTTCCTACAATTGCAGTGTATGGAAAAGCCATCCCTGCTTATGATGCTGTCTCTCTGGAGCTTCTGAATTAGAAAGGGATTTGCTGTTATCTGCGGGAGGGTGGCAGGTGATTTGCTGAGCTGCTCTGCTGGTTTGTGGCACATACTGCAGGTTCCATGTGGTTGTCTTGGTCCTAGTACCCTCGGACAGAGAGTACCTCCTTCTTAGATCTGCAGTGGAGTAGGGATTGTTCTGGAAGCTTCTGCTTTCCTTAGCATCTGGTGCTATACAACCATGGCCTTCAGTTACAGCAGTAAAAAGGAAGCAAGGGTGAAGGAGGATGAACTCAGCAGAAGGAAGTCACAGAACACAGCAGGGGACACAGGGAAATCAGCCTCAGGAGGCTAGAGTTCCAATCCTGGACCTGCTGATGACCAACTAGGCCAGGGGTCTGCAAACTGGGGCCTATCACTGTTTTGGTTTTGTTGTTGTTGTTGTTTTAATAAAATTATATTGGAACAAAGCCATGCTCATTTGTTTATGCCTCGTCTATGGCCACAGCTGTCATGCTATTAATATAACAGCAGAGTTGAATAGTTTCGATAAAGACAGTATGGCAAAGCATGCAACACCAAAAATATTTACTCTCTGGCCCTTTGCAGAAAAAGTTTGTCAATTCCTGAGCAGACCTAGATCAGGGAAATCTATTCAACCTCTGCAACTCAATTTCCCTATCTAGGTCGGGAAGGGGACTGGATTATACAAATCTTCCATGTATCTATGTGACCCCGTGTTTCCTACCTTTTTTTTTTTTAAGGTTTAGGTTGCTATTAACTCCCTTCCCACCTCACAACTAGAATGAATGCCATCACCTTTTCTCCTTATTTCTTTTTGCAAGAATCTCAACTGCTCTCCTGTTGAGTTATTTTTTCTCTGCCTTTTAGCACATGTAGGATGTTAGGTCCGATATTCAACATCCTGTGTGTGCTATGTTAGATCCAATCCTTCCTTCTAACTAGTCTACTTATGGGAACACAGAGGCCCAAGGAGAGGATGTGGTGGATTAAATCCTGGTTAATTGTTATTTAGTTGAATTGGCTAACCCACACCCTCAGTCTTTAATGGGCATAGTTAAATGTGAAAAGAAGGAGGAAAGTTACAGATGAACTTTTGTTAATGTTGACCCACTGTAAATAGGAAATGTCTGCTGCTTTGTGGTTGTACGGTAAGGGGGTATGGGATATGCTACTTTGGTCTGCCCTGTTCTGAGTTTTGGTCTGGTGGCTAGTGGGGTCTACTTATTCATGTGATTTTTATATCTCATCAAACAGCCCAGCCAGGAGTGGGCCCCTGGGGCAGTGACTGTTCAAATGTCTCATTGATTCACTTACTGATGGCTTCTTATTGATGCTTGCACAGGTGTGGGGACGAGATTGTGGAAATCAGTGATTCCCCTGTGCACTGCCTGACGCTCAATGAAGTCTACACGATCCTGAGTCACTGTGATCCCGGTCCAGTCCCCATCATTGTTAGCCGACATCCAGACCCACAGGTAACACCCACTGGGTTATCCTCTTCTTCTCAGGCTCACTCGTTCAGTACCAAAATTGGAACAAGAAATAGATGAAAACAGAGATGTTGCTGGCTGGGTTTGTACCTGAATTCCCAAGAATCCCTTCCAAGTTTCTGTAGTAAGAATTGTCTGCAGCAGAGGTCCACTAACAAACTCCTAGATATCAGAGGCAATTGACATTAACTTAGGGAAGCTCTTACAGCTGAGTTATAAGCTCTGGGGCAGGAAAGTAGAGACCCAGGGTCCCAGCTAGTAGACCAAGAAATTTATTCATTTATGCGTCTAGTAGGTACCCACTGTGGGAATGTCTGGAGGTAGGTACTGAAGATACAGAGGCAAGTTCATAGCACACAGTCCTGCCCTGCAGAAGCTCACAGTATCAATAAAGAGCCTGACATACAAATAATTGCAAAACAGAGATGGTAAGTCCTATGAGAATACAGGAATATAGCAGGGAATGGTTGATAAAGTAAAAAAATACCAGAGGTTAGTTTTCTCCAGGCAGAGAATATAAGGAAGATCATTCCAGGAGGTGGGAACACAAAATTCAATGTCACAGAGTCAAAAAGGGACCTGACATGGAAGGAGAGGAGTGGGTTCTGTGGGGCTGGAATGTAGGGTACTAGGTAAGAGTGACTGAGAACAGATGTTGGCAGGGCATTGGGGTTACACTGCAGAGGGCTTTCAACAGGATACTAAAGAGTTTGCATTTTATTCTACATAGTGAGGAGCTATGGGAGGTCTGTAGCTGTAGAAGGAGCATGTTCATATTTTAATTTTTAAACCTTTGATTGCACTGTAGAAGACAGGATAGAGTGGGTGGAGTGTGGGGTTTGTAAGAGGAAGGAAGCTGATGGTGAGAGCCTGAACTACACAGCAGCCATGAGAAGAGAAAAGAGAAGGGGCAATGTATTAGTCTGTTCTCCCGCTGTTGATAGACACATACCTGAGACTGGGTAGTTTATAAAGAAAAAGAGATTTAATAGACTTACAGTTCCATGTGGCTGGGGAGGCCTCACAATCACAGCAGAAGGTGAAAGGCATGTCTTACATGATGGCAGACAAGAGAGAATAAGAGCCAAGTGAAAGGGGAAACCCCTTATAAAATCGTCAGATCTTGTGAGACTTATTCACTATCATGAGAACAGAATGGGGGAAACTGCCCCTATGACTCAATTATCTCCCACCAGGTCCCTCCCACAACATGTGGGAATTATGGGAGCTAAAACTCAAGATAAGATTTGGGTAGGGACACAGACAAACCATATCAGGCAACATGAGGCAATGCTTGGGAAGACTCAACAAGAGCTGCTGGGCAAGTGGCTCTGGGGTAAGAGAGGGAGGAACCGAAGATATCTCGAATATTTTTAGATTGGAAGACTGAGCAATGGTCTTCCACCAGAAGAGAGAAGAGGAAAAGGTAGCAGGCTTGGGAGGGAGAGAAGAGCATGATCTTACTGTGGGACATAGTGAGGTGGAGGTACCACGGGGTGTCCAGGTAAAGATGCCCAGTAGGCAAGTTAGACTTAGGGCTGATAGCAACTATAACAGGAACCCAGGCTGGAGCTAGACTTGGGGGTTGAATCCCTGCTGTTGGTGAGAGCTCTGGGGAACCTGGAATAATCACCACAAAGAATTATTTAATCTTAATATGCACCAGGCATGTTTTTCAAAGATGTGACCCACACAACTGCATTTAGTTGTTGTGCAGCCTCCTGAAATCAGTGTGATATTTCCCCCCCAACTCACAGATGAGGAAACTGAGGCTTAGAAAGGACAAATAAGTTTCCCAATGGTGAAGCTACTAAGTAAAGAAGCTAAGATTTAAATCCAGCAAAGCCTGTGCTTTGAACTCACTGACTCCCAAACTCCCAGTGACACTTGGACAGAGTGGAGTAATGAGGGAAATCAATATATAATGGTGTGGTGGAATTCAAACCCAGCCCCATTCTGTGGATTGCACACTGGAGCTAAACACAATCAGAGACAAGCAAACTTCTTAATTAAGGCAAACAAATAATTGGCCTAAATCTCTGGACAATACAAGAAAAGAAAGAGGTCCCAATTAATTTGTCATTTCCTCCTGCTGCTTTTAGGACTACGGCAGAAAATCAGTGGAGTAGGGCGTCAGGTTGTGGGCAAATGCTGTAGCCCTGGGCTTAAGGAATGTGCATTCTCCCAGAGACATGGGACACACACAGAGAGGCCACAGAGGTGAGGGCCTTGAGAGTGAGGGAGCTGGAGTTCCAGCTGCTCAGATAAGGGAGCCAGGCCAGAAAGGACAGGTAAGGTTTAGAGCAGCAGAAAGACGAAGACACCCTAGGCCGTGGAGATCCAGGGGCACAGGCATAGGGCAGAGAGAAGAGAGCCAGGCCCAGCAGCAGAATGCCTGGCATGTGTCCAGTCTGCTGCTTGCTTATGGTTAATTTGGGCAACTCATCTAACCTCCAAGAGCCTCTGGTTCCTCAACTCTGACATAGGGGAGTGGTCTTTACCTTACAGGACTGTTGTGGATGGTAACTCTCCTCTAGTAAGAGTTTACCATCTGCCAGGCATTGTGCCGCAGACTTTAAATGATTTATTTATTGTTGTTTATTGTGGTAAAATACACATAACATAAAATTTACCATCTTAACCATTTTTTAAGTGTACAGTTCAGTGGCATTAAGGACATTCTCATTGTTGTGCAACCATTGCCACCATCCGTCTCCAGAACTCTTTCCATCTTTCAGAATTTAAACTCTACCAGTTAAACAAGTCCCTATGTTCTCCTACCAGCAAATCCTGGGAACCACCATTTTACTTTCTGTCTCTGTGATTTTGACTACTCTACGTTCATCGAAGTGGAATCATATAAAATGGGTCCTTTTGTGTCTGCCTTATTTGACTTCGCGTAATGTCCTCAAGGTTCATTTATGTTGTAGCACGGGCCAGAATTTCCTTCCTTTTTAAGGTCGAATAATCTTCTAGTATGTGTATGTGTGTGTGTGTGTGTGTGCGTGTGTGTGTATCACATGCTGTTTATCATCTGTTTTTGGGTACTTGGGTTGTTTCCACCTTTTGACTATTGTGAATAATGCTACAATGAACGTGGAGTACAGATTCCTCTGAGATACTGACTTCCCTTCTTTTAGGGTATATACCCAGAAGTGGAATTGCTGGGTCATATGGTAATTCTATTTTTAAGTTTTTGAGGAGCCTTCAAACTATTTTCCACAGTGGCTACACCATTTTACATTCTTATCAACAGAGCCCAAGGGTCCCGATTTCTCCATATCCTTGCCAATACTTTGTTATTTTCTTTTCTTTTTTTGAGACTGAGTCTCACTCTGTCACCCAGGCTCGAGCGCAGTGGCACGATCTTGGCTCACTGCACTGGGTTCAAGTGATTCTCCCACCTCAGCCTCCCTAGTAGCAGGGATTATAGGTGTGTACCACTGCACAGGCTAATTTTTGTATTTTTAGTAGCGATGGGCTTTCACCATGTTGGTCAGCCTGGTCTCGAACTCCTGACCTCAAGTGATCTGCCTGCCTCAGCCTCCCAGAGTGCTGGGATTAGAAGCATGAGCTACCATGCCCAGCCTCTTTTCTTTTTGTTTATAGTAGCCATCCTAATGTCCTAATGTGTGTGAGGTGGTAACTCAGTGTGGTTGTGATTTGCATTTACCTAATCATTAGTGATGTTGAGCATTTTTTCATTTGCTTTTTGGCTGTTTGTATATCTTCTTTGAAGAAATGTCTATTCAGGTTCTGTGCCCAGTTTTTAATCAGGTTGTTTTGTTGTTGTTGTTGTTGCTGAGTTGTAGGAGTTCTTTATATAATCTGCAACTCAACTATTTATCTGAAATATGATTTGCGAATATTTTCTCCAATTCTATGAGTTGCCTTTTCAATCTGTTGATGATGTCCTTTTGATGCACAGAAGTTTTTGATTTTCACATAGTCCAATTTATCTATTTTTTTGTTTCCTGTACTTTTGATGTCAAATAATTTATTTTTAAAAAACCTGTCCTCATTTTGAAGTGGGTTTTATTATTGTTATTATTTTACAGAAGGAAGAAATGGAGGCTCAGGAGGTTAAGTAACTTGTCTAGGTGTTCACACCTAGACAGTAGAGGAACCGGGACTAGAACACAAGCCTTTTTGACTCTAGGACTCATACTCTTAACTATTACTCCAAAGTGATAATAAACTGTGAGTCACAGCTCAGACAGTATAATAGTGATTGTGATTATTACGATATTGTTGATAATGATGATGTCATGACAGCATTGCCAAGAACGGACTAGCTCATAGAGATAACCTATGAAGTGGTAACTTTGCCTAGAATTTTCCAGCAAGTAGTGGGGAGAAGGTTGGAGAGTTGAGGGGGCCTCCTTGGGAACCCCTGCATTGATAGACTTTGGACTTTATCTAGAAGATACTGAGGAACCATTGATTCCCGGGGTATTTCTGGAAATGGAATTCATCAGCTATTTGCAGAGTGGGTTGAAATAAAATAATTTAGAATCCAGTGGCCCAGCTTTGGAGCTGGTACGGGGCTGGGAGCCTGATGCAGGAGCTTCTACTGTTTGTTTGAGGAGATGACTGATATTTTCTAGGTCTCTGAACAGCAACTCAAAGAAGCTGTGGCCCAGGCTGTGGAAAACACCAAGTTTGGAAAGGAGAGGCATCAGTGGAGTCTGGAAGGTAAGACAAATGGTGAACTTTGATGTAAAATATCTTTGCCTTCTTAGAAAGCTTAGGATTTATCCATTAACTCATCCTCTATCCAAGGAATAGTAACAGCATTTACCATAGACCAGCATAGTATGTAGACAAAGGCTGAAAACTAGCAGCCCACCAGCTAAATTTAGCTTATATTTTTGCTTTGTTTGGAAGACACAAGATTTTAAAAGCATCTGAATTTAAATTGCTACAAATGTGCCAGGCTCTCTCCAGCTCCCGGTGGTCTCCACCGTTCCCTTTATCCTGTACCAAGTTGCCATTCACACAATAGCCCCTGCAGGCACTTGAGTTTGCAGCCCCTAGTTTATAATAATAGAATATTAGAAAAACTAACATTTGGGAATATAATTCTGACATTTATTTAATTCTTATAATTCTTATAATAAATCAGAGACTATGCTAATTCATGCATTCACACATAATTTTTATGCAAATTTTATAAGAAAAAGTGAGGCCCTCAGAGACTCTCTTACTCAAAGTCATACCACTAGAGCACAGAGGCTCTGGAATGGAGATCCAGCTGGCTTGACTCCCATGCCTAGCCATTGGGCATTAATCACGTCTACCATGGAACATCCTTATGAAAGAACAACATGCAACCATTGGCACTGATATTGACAAGAAATTAAATGATCTGGGGAAATGTTCAGAGAAAAGAACAGAACACAATTTATTTCAGCTCTGGTTTATTATTTCTACCCACCCAACATGCATATATGCTCGGGAAAGCATGACAGAGAAACTCACCAAAATTTTGACAGTAGTTATTTCTGGCTGATAGGAACACAGGTGAAGTGAATTTTTACTTTCATTCCTTCCTCCTTGTGGCTGAGTTTTCTCTAAGGAGGATGCATTATTTCATGATCAGGAAAAAAAAAAAGAAAACTTTTTATTTAAAGAGAAAGTGAGTTAGGAGCTTGGCTGGCCTTGGTTCTCTCTCATGGGGCTCCTCTGGCTTTCTTGGTCTCTCAGAATGAGCTGGAATTTGAGCAAGAGACTAGATTTCAATCCTCTCCCACCCCTTCAAGCTGTGATTTTAGGAAAGGGGCACCCTTGACAGCTTACCACTAGAGAGAAGGGCCTCTCAAGGATGTGTGGGTAGCCCTAGTGCTGGAAACTAGGGTAGGGGGTACTGAGAACCAGGAAGGGCTAATGGGGAGGGAGGGAGGAAGGTGCAGTGGCTAAGAAATAGCGGCTTTCTGCCCTCACCTCACCCTCAACTGGAAAGAAATAGTGACTTCTTCGTGTAAGATTCAAAGTGCCTTGACAGGTAGTTTCTCTGTCTTTGTTATTGAGCCTCAAAATAACCCCAGTGACTTTAAAATTATCATCCTCATTTTACAGATGCAGAAATGGAGTTGGGTCCCCCAGGAAGCTGACTCTGAGATGGAGTTTGGTCTGCAGGCAGTGTCCTGGGGTTCACTACCTGTGGCAGGGAGGGGAGCAGGCAGGGTAGACAGAGGGAGGACGGAGCTGAGGTGCACACCCAACAGCTTCAGCCAAGCCCTGGAGCTCTGCAGCCAAAGTCCCCATTAGAGTTGTCCTATGTTGGCCAACATAGCTGGGCCTCTGTAACCCTATCTCCAGCAGTCCCTGGAGATGGGCTGCCCCATTGGACAAGGCAGCTGTCTGCAGCTGTGGCAGCCCCTGGAGGGACCCACAGCTGAAAGTAGTCTGCCAGCAGCACTCCCCACAGCTGGGACACCAAGCCCTTCCTCGATGGGTGATCTGGGTGGCATATCTCCATATACATCAGTCATAGGCTCAGAAAGCTTGAATGATTTTCCCAACCCAAAGTCATACAGCTCGCCAGGGACCAACACCAAGACTGCCATACTCCAGATCCACAGTGACTTCAGATAAGAAGCAGATGGCCGATGTGCAGTGTGCTGCCCGTGGCAGTCACAGGTGAGGCCAGGGGGTATTTCTGTTTTCTGAAGCTCAGCTGTGAAGATTCTCTTGTGCTTCCCACACAGGTGTCAAAAGGCTGGAAAGCAGTTGGCACGGGCGGCCCACCTTGGAGAAGGAACGAGAGAAGAACTCAGCACCCCCGCATCGCAGGGCTCAGAAGGTCATGATCCGCTCCAGCAGTGACAGCAGCTACATGTCTGGGTCCCCAGGGGGAAGTCCTGGGAGTGGCAGTGCTGAGAAGCCGTCCTCTGACGTGGACATCAGCACACACAGCCCCAGCTTGCCTCTGGCACGGGAGCCAGTGGTGCTTTCTATAGCATCCTCCAGGCTGCCCCAGGAGAGCCCACCCCTCCCAGAGAGCCGGGACAGCCACCCGCCGCTGAGACTGAAGAAATCCTTTGAGATTTTGGTGAGAAAGCCTATGTCCTCCAAGCCCAAGCCTCCACCCAGAAAATACTTTAAAAGTGACAGTGACCCTCAGAAGAGTCTGGAAGAGAGAGAGAACTCCTCATGCTCTTCTGGGCACACCCCACCCACCTGTGGCCAGGTAAGAGGATGGGTCCACAGGTTGAGTGTTTCCAGGACCAGACTCAAATCTTGAGCATGGGCAAATTAGCAAGTTAGTGTTAGCAGGGCCAGAATGAAAGTTTCTCCTGCTCCACCAGAGAGAAACTGTTGCCTAGGACTCAGCTGAGGACTGACCATGAAAAGATGGGTTTGAAGGTTGACAGATAATTGAAGTCCCAGTCCTGCTTGCTGGCATCTGGGTTCCCACCCATAACACACTGGAATTTAAGGTTCCTTTCTTGTGTCATTTTTCACTCACCATGAAGGAAAAATACCAGGGCCCCTGCAGGGTCTCAGTCTTTGCATGTGGATCTTTGAGTGTCCTGCTTGTAGGGAGAATAGTGGCTTAAATAACTAAAAAGGGGCCTGGCACGGTGGCTCATGCCTGTAATCCCAGCACTTTGGGAGGCTGAGCCGGGTGGATCATGAGCTCAGGAGTTCAAGACCAGCCTGGCCAAGATGGTGAAACCCTGTCTCTACTAACAATACAAAAATTAGCCGGGTATGGTGGCAGGTGCCTGTAATCCCAGCTACGCAGGAGGCTGAGGCAGGGAATTGCTTAAACCCGGGAGGAGTGGCTCCTTCCAAGGGCTATTGTGAGGATTAAAGGTAACCACTTAAGGCAAGTACCTGACAGCATCTCAGGCATATTAGCATTCATTGCCATGATCTTTCCCCATCAGGCCCCTTAAAGCCCTCCTTTCCACCCCTTGCATAAAAGGCAGACTGACTGACAGACAGCTGCTGTGTCTAGAACCATTTTATGCGCAGGCTAACCACACTGAGTACTTTCATGTACATTGTGTCAATTAAATCTTACAACCACCTGATGGTGAGAGTCCCAGTTGTGCAAAGAGGGAACTGAGAAACTCGCTCAAGTTCACATTGCTAGTGGGTCACAGTTACCCACTATGCAATGCTGAGTTTCCCATCCTTACCCAGAAGCTGTCTCCCCCATCACGGAATGGCCCTGCAGGGGCCCTGGCCCTTCCCTTAAGCACACCGTGGGCAGGTGGGAGGGGGCCTCTGGAAATCCCCTAAAACAATCTACAGTGAGGGTTGGCAAGCTTCAGGAGGGGTAGCGGTGGAGACGGGATGTTGAGTAGGAGGGGTGAAAGTGAAGGAGGGAGGAGGAAGCCAGGTTACTAAAAAGGAAGTGCAGTTTTGCAGAGCGCTGGCAGGATGTGGCTGGTTAGCAACACATGATGGAGTTATCAGATGGATCTGTTCTCCCACCCCCTCTTTTAAGCCCATATTTCATTTTCCCTTGGGCCTGAGACCTATGAGTCCAGAAGGGCAAATCAGGAGCAGCCAGCTGAGAAGCCAGTCATTTTGCCTTCCTCCTGGAGGCCCAGAAAAGGAGTGCAGTTGCCACAGCAGGTCTGTCCCAGTGATGCCCTTGGCAGAGCCACATAGGGTCAGGGAATATTCCCGAGTAAGGCGTCTGGAGAAGGAACTGGGGTGTCCTCAGGGAAGCCCAGGCAAGGAACTTCCCACAGGTCATCTTTCATGCCCTGTGTGCCTCAGCAGAATACAGGGCTCCCTCCTGTACCTGCCCCCAACAGCACCGTCTCCTGGAGACAAGGCCGTTCTGCAGCTGCCCTCCTCTGTTTGCTCTGGTCTGTCCCACGTGGCCAGCAGATCCTTCTCCCACAAACATTTCCATAAAAGCAATCAGCACGACATAATTTTATTGGGCACTGGAGAGGCGGGGGTCACAGAGAAAGGATCATAGCACGCAATAGAAAACAGGAAGCAATTTGCTTGAGGTCACTCTCAAAATTTCCTTGACCATTCCTGGGGATTTCTCACTGGATGTTTTCTTCCGTGGCCACAGTGTCCACTGTCTCACTCTCCCACTTTTCCCTCCCTGCAGTCTTTTCTCTACAGGGTCCCAAGACTGTTGTCAAGCTGCTATGGATGACCCCCAAGTCTTTCCCATCTACTCTAATTCAAGGGGACTTAACTCTCACAACCAATATGAACTTTGGGATATTTTCTTCAACAAAAAACTAACATCCCTCTTATAAAAAATCAGCCTAAACTCTCCCCCGTGCTTTAAAAAACTTGCTTAAAAAAACACAACAGGATTTTCGAAGAATCCTTTCTTAGAAAACAAACAAAAAAACCAAACAAAAACGTACTTTCTCCCCACTATGCTGAATCTGCTCTCTCCCTCTTTCCTTCTTTCTCTTCTCCCTCCCTCATCCACCAAGCATGGTTCCAGGAAACACTAGTAAGAGAAAAATTTGTGTAAAATCAAATTTATTTCAGGGGCTAATTCTGAAGTCTCCCATGAAGAGGATGCAATATTGGATGTGTTGATGAAAAGACAAAACACATTTGTGCTGTTCTAAGTTGTAAAGCTGCATTGACTGCAGTTGGTATCACATGTGGCTGCCTGTAAAAGAGCTAACAATTCATGAATGTCAACAGATGTCAACTTACAGAGCTCCCAACCAGGTGAAATTAAATTTCATCCCCATGTAATTTCTCTTGTGGACAAGAGACTTAGAGATCATCAGGCCAATATTTGGAGCTTCTAATGCCATGACTCAGCCTTACTTTTTTTAAGGGCTAGTTCGAGAAGCTCAATGATTCCTTTGAAATTGGTTGATCTCTCAGTATTTCATAATGCTCTCCTAAAGCTCAGTTCTACAGTAGGGAACTCGAGCTGAGGCAATGCTCTGTGAATACACTTCTAACTTTTGTAGACCTTTGCTTCCTCCAAAATGTTTATTGTCAATGTAGATCTTAAATTTCAGGTCATGGATATTTGCCATTGCTTTTTTAGTCCCAAAGGATGCATTTGTTCCTTCCTCTTTCCTTCCTCTCTGGAAGGAAGCCTGCAGCCATGTCAAATGGCCCATCATTACACAAATCTGGAATGAACCGGACGTGGAGGCCACCGCAGTATAGCAAAGCATTTCTCTTGCAGACAATCAAATACAGGTGGCATCATTTTGATGATGTCTGCTTTCTCAATCTTTTTTTCCAGATGGGTATTATGTTTGGTTGGGCTATGTCTCTGGAACACTATTTTTCTGCCTCTCTGCCTGCAAAATTCTTACTCTGTTTATGAAGCAGACAGAAAGTACTTCTCTAGGAAGCCTTCTCCACCTCTGGGATGGAACTGGTCTCTCTGTTTCCTCTGGGCCCTGACAGTACCTTAAGCACACTGTGTGATAATCCAAACTCTTCAAGTATTGCATAGCTATTCAGAGCCTGGTTCATCTTGTCCCTAGGCTGTTTTGGGAGGACCCCAAGGCTGCATCCAGGCTCAGTGGTGGAAACAATTCTGCAACAGATTGAGGATGTCACCCTAGGTGCCACAGAGGGGAGCAATGGCACAGGTGCTGAGTATCTGTCATCTTTTGCAGAACACTTACTAAATATTTGAAGAGTGCTTAACAAGTGACAGCAATTGACAAGCATTTTCCTGAGTGCTCTAACCTTAGGGAACACTAGCTGCCAGGTTTTTTTGCTGCCTTGTTTCTACGCTGCCCTATACCCTCCCGGGGTGGGTAGTTCACCAGATGCAGTTGTAACTGAAGCAATGCCAGTCCCTCCACACTCAAAGCCTTTTGTTCCTATCATAAAGAGTCAGGGTCTTCAAGTATGTCAACAGTATGAGCCCATGACCTGGATACCAGGTTGCTGGAAGTCAAGGGATGCTCTGCATGTCTAGGAGGTGCTGGCTCTGCCACGTCAGCACCAAGGAGAAAAGAATCCTCTTTACATGGCTGCTGATGAACTTCTCACTGAAAGCAGCTCAATATCCGTTTTTCCGTCCCAATCAAAGCGTGTCTCGCCTTCTCACAGCTTGAGGCTACCGTTTTGACATGGTCTCGCTTCCTGTTTACACCACAGGAAGCGAGAGAGCTGCTGCCACTGCTGCTACCACAGGAAGACACAGCAGGGAGAAGCCCTAGTGCCTCTGCCGGCTGCCCAGGACCTGGTATCGGCCCACAGACCAAGTCCTCCACAGAGGGCGAGCCAGGGTGGAGAAGAGCCAGCCCAGGTAAGCTTTCATTGAGATCTTCCAAAAGGAAGGGTCTTTTGAAAAAAGGTGCAGGGATAAGATAAGAGCACAAATTGGCCTGAGGATCAGAGTGCTCTGCATTGACATCACCACTGGACCTGGCTGATCAACAGTCAAGGGTTCCAGGTGCTGGGCAGCAGCACCGTGGAGGTGCTGTCCAGGGTGGGGAGCCTCCTGGGTGGACGGGTGATGCTGTGGGGGTGGCAGCAGGAATGCAGGCCATTCTGGATAATTGGGAGGATGGAGCCCTTGGAAGAGGTCCAAAGACACACCCACCCAGCCATCCTGGGCAGCTACCTCTAGGGTGCCAACATTCCAGTTGCAACAGTCCTGCTGCATTCAGGATTTCTGAGTCAGAGAATGCAACGCCAGAAAAGTATAAATAGCATCTACCAGTGGTCACCTCCTCCATGAGGTGGATAGCAAGGGTGTGTCCACATGGTACACCTGACAATGCTAAGACATGACTTGAATATTTATTTGCTTGCTAGAGAGAGCATAGGACTTGAAGTCAGGGAATCCTGGATCTGTCTGTCATTAGTATGATTCTGAGCAACCTACTTTGCCTTTCTGAGCCCAGATTCACTCATCAGCAATGTGTGGAAGAGCACGTAGACCCCAAGCATATGATGCATTCAGCAAGCACACATTGAATGCTGGCTTCGTGAGGCCCTGTGCTAGATGCTGGGGGGAGAGAGAGAAAGGGATGAGACCAGGTAGTCAGGTCCTGCCTCCAAGGAGCAACTAGTAGTGGCAGGAAATAAACATATAGACTATAAAACATATGACTGTTTGAGTAACACTACAGAAAAGCTCATGAAAGACTTTTGGAGGGCTAAGGGACATTTTGGAAAGATCTAGCACATCTCACCCAGAGCAGAGGCCCTGTGGGTGGAGGCTCCTCTCCCTTAGTCACCCTAATTGAGGAACATTCTAGCAAAAGCAAACGCCTCAGTGTTTAACTGACAGGAGGTTGTCACTCCAATCTGCAAAGGGCTTGCCTGTGGAACCTCTGCCTCCTGATTCTCACAACAGCACCTTACAGCCAAGCCATTCAAAAATGCAGAAACAGGCTGGAGGCCTGGGCTCACTTGCCCAAGGCCAGTCTCTTAGATTGTGCAGAATTTCTCTTTGATATCATCAAGGTGTAATGCTCCATGATTCACTTCTTTTGAAACCTGGCATTGAGACAAGGGACAGGAGGGATCAGAGTTCCTTCAACTGGGTTGCGTTCCAGTAGCAAGCATCCCCCAAGGCACACAGGCCAGCCTCCCTCTGCCCCTGGGAAAGAGAGCCAGGACACCCTCTCCCTTACCCATGCAGATATGATGCTGGTTCAATGCTGGCTTCTGAGAAAGACTCCTATGTGCTCCAGGGCATGCCTGAGGTCCTGGCTGGCACAGAGCAGGTTGCACATTGCAATCCCCTGCTCATCACATTCCCAACACCCAGGCTGCATCCCAGGTATCTTCAGTCAGTACCTAGGGGTGGGCGTCAGTATTTTTCAGGGCCCTCCAGATTCCAGTATGTAGCCAAGGTGGAGAATCCTACTTCACAGATTCCTTTCTACCTGGAACCTTTTCATCAGCTTTTGAGGGAGGGAAAACACTCCTTTGCCGAGAGCAAGCTGATCAATGACCTGTGTATAGGCAGAGCAGCAAACACACGGCTTCAGGGCCAGGCAGGTACATACATGGGAAATGCTGGCTGGGTGAGAGGGAGCGTGAAGAGCTGTGGGAAGCCGAAGTGGCCCCATCAGAAGCTGTGCACAGGCACCTTGTTTTTAATGACACGGGTAGGTCAAAGCACAAACAGCTGCCAACTCATGACCTTTGTCTTAAAAGTTTAAACGGCAGGAGAACTGCTTTGGCTTTTACACATTTAACATGGTATCTTGGAGGCTCCTTAGTGCAGTAGAAAGGACATGAACTTCAAGAGTCAGGAGACACAGGGTCTTGCCTGAGCACTGCCATCAGATGGCCCCTTACCCTTCTTGAAATGTAATATGCCAGAGGTCGGCCCAGATATTCTCTGAGCACCCTTCCAGGCCTAAAACACTAGGATACTGTGAGATTAACTCCTACTTCTGGTCCTTCACTCCTGCCTGTTGGCAGCTCAGTCAGGTAATAGCACCTGGAGTTCACCCACCTGGGTGTCCCCCACTTCTGCTAATCTCCTCCTCTTGAATCCTTCTTGCTGTTCAGCTTGGAAACTAGAATTTAGGAAGAAAAGTCACTGTATGATGTAATGCACAGCTTTGGCCTTGTTTCTGCACTGTAGTGACCCAAACATCCCCGATAAAACACCCACTGCTTAAGAGGCAGGCTCGGATGGACTATAGCTTTGATACCACAGCCGAAGACCCTTGGGTTAGGATTTCTGACTGCATCAAAAACTTATTTAGCCCCATCATGAGTGAGAACCATGGCCACATGCCTCTACAGCCCAATGCCAGCCTGAATGAAGAAGAAGGGACACAGGGCCACCCAGATGGGACCCCACCAAAGCTGGACACCGCCAATGGCACTCCCAAAGTTTACAAGTCAGCAGACAGCAGCACTGTGAAGAAAGGTCCTCCTGTGGCTCCCAAGCCAGCCTGGTTTCGCCAAAGCTTGAAAGGTTTGAGGAATCGTGCTTCAGACCCAAGAGGGCTCCCTGATCCTGCCTTGTCCACCCAGCCAGCACCTGCTTCCAGGGAGCACCTAGGATCACACATCCGGGCCTCCTCCTCCTCCTCCTCCATCAGGCAGAGAATCAGCTCCTTTGAAACCTTTGGCTCCTCTCAACTGCCTGACAAAGGAGCCCAGAGACTGAGCCTCCAGCCCTCCTCTGGGGAGGCAGCAAAACCTCTTGGGAAGCATGAGGAAGGACGGTTTTCTGGACTCTTGGGGCGAGGGGCTGCACCCACTCTTGTGCCCCAGCAGCCTGAGCAAGTACTGTCCTCGGGGTCCCCTGCAGCCTCCGAGGCCAGAGACCCAGGTGTGTCTGAGTCCCCTCCCCCAGGGCGGCAGCCCAATCAGAAAACTCTCCCCCCTGGCCCGGACCCGCTCCTAAGGCTGCTGTCAACACAGGCTGAGGAATCTCAAGGCCCAGTGCTCAAGATGCCTAGCCAGCGAGCACGGAGCTTCCCCCTGACCAGGTCCCAGTCCTGTGAGACGAAGCTACTTGACGAAAAGACCAGCAAACTCTATTCTATCAGCAGCCAAGTGTCATCGGCTGTCATGAAATCCTTGCTGTGCCTTCCATCTTCTATCTCCTGTGCCCAGACTCCCTGCATCCCCAAGGAAGGGGCATCTCCAACATCATCATCCAACGAAGACTCAGCTGCAAATGGTTCTGCTGAAACATCTGCCTTGGACACAGGGTTCTCGCTCAAGTGAGTTTCTACACCCGGTGTTTCTCTTTACCTTTCTCATCTTTTTCTTTCTCATCTTTATTTTTAAAAATAATCCTATATATAATTTAAAAAATTCCCAGATATATTGATTAAAGAATTGTTCTGCCTCTTTCTTTCCATGTGTGTGCAGATGTCTGAGTGTGTGTGTGTCTGTCTGTAGGTATTACACCTCTGCCTTTCACATTAAGGAGGAGTTTTCACAACATCTGGCTTCAGGAGGGCTGGGAGGTAGGAGGTGGGACTGGCTCCCTGGTGAATTGCTCATGAGGGCTGACATACGCCTGTGGAGATTTGGAAGGTTGATGCACATCTGAAATGTCCTGCGGTTACTCAGAAAGACCAGAATGAGGCCAGGAAATTATCCATCAGGAATTCTTACTCTCCAAATGGAATCCACTTGTACTCTGCACGTGGGTTCAACTCCCTCGTCAGGGAGTTAGGATGTCTGGGTCCTAGTCTCAGCTTAGGCACTGATTCTGACTATGAGCAGGTTCTTTCCATGCTCACCCTCAGATTCCTTGTCAGTTGAAATTAGGAGATGGATGAGACCTTCTATGCAGAACCAAGAGGATGTCAGACGTGCCATAGGGTCCCTGCTGTAGGGCTGGGGCTTGGTCTTCCCTCTGATCAAAGTAGCTCTGCATTTATTAGTTTTATTTATTATTCTTACACTGCTGGGAAATATCTGTAGAGTGAAGGTATGCTAGTATCTACTCATAGATTTGTTGCATCAAATAATATGCACATAAGTGCTTGGCACCACACCTGGGACATAGTAATTATACAATCACTGTTACCTCTTTTTAATATTGTTGTTCATACTGTGTGTTGTTTCTCCTTATGAAAGCCTTTCAGAGCTGAGAGAATATACAGAGGGTCTCACGGAAGCCAAGGAAGACGATGATGGGGACCACAGTTCCCTTCAGTCTGGTCAGTCCGTTATCTCCCTGCTGAGCTCAGAAGAATTAAAAAAACTCATCGAGGAGGTGAAGGTTCTGGATGAAGCAACATTAAAGGTAGGTTTCCTTTGTAAGCATCTGCAGTAACCAATGGCTTATTATGGCTGTGTGGCCACCTTAGTTGGGCCAGAGGGGAAGTAGCTTGAGTAGCCTGCTCACATCAGACCCAGGTTGCGTCCTGTGATGGTGGGACACTGTAGCACTTGACCACAGTAAGACCTTCCATTTGAAGAGAGCCTTTTAGCTTGTGAACCACTTTCAGTAGATTGACTTCTTGCATCTTCTTTTGTCATTTTATAAATGAGAAAGGTAAGGCTCAATCAAGGTTACAGAACCTGGGTTTTCTGTCTCCAAGTTCAAGTTCAGTGCTGTTTCCACATTCCATGTGCTGCTGTCCTGGCATGTGTCTGTTGTGGGATGCTGTCCATTGTAAACAATGTGGGTTACAAGAGCTCTCACCTGGAGCTTTCATTATTTCCACTGTGCATGGAGAGGTGGCTGATCCCAGGGCTCACAAGTCCCCCACGCTTCAGTCAAGTCATTCTGAAAGTCTCACTTCCCATATGTTTTCTGAGCATGACCCAAAGGGGTGTGGGGAGGAAGTGGCCAGGCTGAGCTGGGGCCAGCAGTCAAATGAGCTCAGGCTCATGGGTCCTGCACCCTCTAGGTGCTGCCCCAGGCCTCCGTAGGCTTTTGGCACTAGAATGATCCAGGCTAGGATGAGAGGATAAGGAGGTTCTCGTTTTCCATACAAGGAGGCCTCATAGCTGCAATTTCCACATCAAGAGTGTAGGTGAGTCTGATGAGCCCAAGGTGCTGCTGTGCTGAGATTCTTTCGCTGTGGCTTTCACTTGTCACCTGGGACCATCATCCCCCAGGATCTTACTCAGTGCAAATGAAATAACAGAGGCAGAGCGTGTAAAACACAAAGAGCCATCCTGCCTGAGCTGCTCTGGGGAGAGTATTTGCTTTCTAACATGAGAAGAGCCTTCTACAAGGCAAGTAACCTGATACTTGGGTAAAAGTTGAGAGAGTTGGGCTAGTGTTGGGGCTTGGAGGTGAGGGTGCAGTGAGGTACATTCATCCTTCCATGCCTTTGGGTCTTAGGGGCTCCAAGTCTTAGGATCATAGGGACAGCTGCAAGTCAGGTGCTCTAGTGACGCTGAGCAAGTGAATTCTTTGACATAAGTTTACTCCTTAGTGCCAAGGTACAAACAGGTGCCCCAAGAACCTGTAGGTGTACTTTATTTGGTCTGCATGGTGATGAAAAAAATATTGAATTCTATACATGATAAAACCTGAATTGAAACCTGGACTTTAGGGAAGTGATCTGGTAGCGCTAGTTCTGTATGCCTACGTAGAGCTGACCCTTTGAGCAGATGTACTCGTTGGCGCTCTGCAGTTCCTATCACACATCTGCCCATTTGGCTCATTTTAGGGACCTGCCTGACTCCTATAGGCATCTGAGTTTGAGACCCCTGCTCTAGACTGGAATAGGAGTCTCTGACTGTGTCCTGGCTCCATGGGAGTCCCCGTCTAGGCTAGGAAGTACCGTAGTAATGTGTGTGTGTGTGTGTGTGTGTGTGTGTCACACTTGCACACTGTGCATTGGGGCAGGATGTTAGCTGGGCTTCCTTAGTGCTGCTGCTGTGACCCATGGAGAAGTAGAAGGGAAGAAGGAGCAACCAATTCCTGCAGAACAGCACTGACCCCTGTTTTGTTTTTTGTTGTTTTTTTTTTTTGTTTTGTTTTACCTGAAGTCCTACAACCTGACTTCATCTCACACTGTCCAATATGCTGATTTCTGGCTGACTTCATGGCACTCCCCCTGCCCGGCTGTGGACAGGGTGAATGAGAGAGGAAAATAATTATGCTTGCTGCTTTACATACATTTTTTTTTTCTTCTAAGCTTCCCATGACTCCTGAAGGTCCATTCTTTACAGATGAGGAAACTGAGGTTTGAGGAGGTGATGTAACTTGGAGGCTGGCCAAGCTGGGGTTTGAGATAACAAATCAGTCTGATGTCAGTCCGATGTTAAATTGTTCATCCTCTTGCAGTAAAATGTTTTTGAATGTATGTATTTCCTCTGCAGCAATTAGACGGCATCCATGTCACCATCTTACACAAGGAGGAAGGTGCTGGTCTTGGGTTCAGCTTGGCAGGAGGAGCAGATCTAGAAAACAAGGTGATTACGGTGAGTGGCCAAGTGAAGGGGCATGTCACAGCCAGAGGCAATGGTTCTGGGGGAGGGGGACACACTTGCCAGGAAGGGGCCCTGTGCTGGGGAAATGAAGAATGCATGACACTAGGCCACTGGGCAGGTCCTGTCCACTCAGCACATCCCAGAGCCTGGGGCTGCGTGGAGAGGGTAGCAGGCCTGGCCATGGGCATCTTTTCCTGTGGGTCCCACTATTCTGGCTCATCCAATCTGATCAGCATTGGCTGCTGCCTTCAGGTCACCTGTACCTGACCCAGATGGTTTCTGGTTCTGCCAGTTTTGTGGAGCCATGCTGCGGCTGCTCGCTCTCTAAAGCCGAGTGCATTGCTGTCATCCCAGGGCTGTGTTGTCTCAGGGTATCCTTTGTGTAGGCTGTGCTGGGCTCATTTGAATTTCCATGCCCAACTGAAAACAAATCCTCCAGTTCACAGCATCAGCCAGCATTCAACATACCACACCCCCTTGCAGTGGCAATCTGGCATGTTCCTGCGTGTCACTTCAGAGTCAATCATGTCAGTGGTGACTTCCTTGATTTCCTGATAAGTTTTCTATCACATAAAAAACACTTAAAACCTGTAAGTCTCTATTTCTCTCACTGAGTGCAGCTGAGTATTACAAAAAGATTCCTGACCGTGTAGTTTACTTTCTACTTGAAGAGGAGGAAAGAGAGCTTGCCTGTGGGAATGGCACTTTGGGTATTTTTCTCTGTCCATGAGTAGCAACTTCTGTCCACGTCATCTGGCCAGTCACCCTTGAGACACTGCAGACAACAGGAAACTAGGAGGAAGGCGCACATGTTGGCTGAGCACATGCACAAAAGCTTCTTTCTCCTTCTGTGTTTGAGCATTTCTCTTCCTTTCCAGATGATTAAAAGGGAACTAACGTAGAGCACCATCCACGGCCATGCTGAGCACTCACTGACCTGTTGTCTAAATTCATCCTACCCACACTTTGGATTGATAAATTGGTGGCATTTATGCTTCTTTTATAGAGGAGGAACCTGAGGTTCCTCCTTTAATTAACTTTAATCTTCGTTGGCCTAAAAATCCTCTAGCATTGAGGAACCTGAGGCTCAGAGGAGAGGTTCTGCTTCATGCTTGGATGTTACAGCCTGGGGATTCTAACCATGTAACAGAATTTTTCTAACACCAAAACAATTTAGAGAAGCAAAGAGCTTTGCTCCTATCATAAAAGCAAAACTACAGGTACCACATTTTAGTGGTTTCCATGCATGCTATCACTCAGTCCTCTTAATTATAATGGACCTCATTAAAGAGGCTGAGGCAGAGACATGAGATATTTTTGTGTGTTTGTTTATCCCACATATCTTGCAGAAAGGGGACCAAGAGGTGACTGGAGGTAAAGAGTCAGAATTTCTAGGGGAGGAGCTATAAAAATGTCTAGACTGCCTAGGAGAGTGTTTCTCAAAATGCATTCTGCCAAATGAGACCGAGAATTTCTCTATGAGAAAAGAATTCTTTGTTGAAACACTTTGGGAATCCCCATAATACCCTGCCAATACTTAGAAATCTGCCATGCAGATTTGCATTGTAGACCCTCTAAATGCCTTTTGCTTAGAAATCTGCTGCCATGCAAATTTGCATTGTAGACCCTCTAATGCCTTTTGCTTTTTAAAAGTAGACAATGTCAGAGCTTTTGTTTCACCCAGTATTCCTCAAGTTTCTTTGATTTTAAAAAATTTTTCTTGGCCGGGTGTGGTGGCTCATACCTGTAATTCCAACACTGTGCGGGGCCAAGGTGAGAGGATTGCTTGAGCCCAGGAGTTTGAGACCATCCTGGGCAACACTGGGAGACCCTGTCTCTATTTTTTAAAAAATAATAGGAAAAGCCTTTTTCTTACACAATACCCGTTAATATGCCATAGAATCAGTGCCTTGAGAAAACTACTCTGGGGACTTCTGACCTAGGGCAGGTGAAGCAAAAGATTTTATATGGAATCCCAACTAGAATCGTGGTGGTACACTATAGGACGTTGTGTTGGGATGGATTCTGAGGGCTTACCTGGTCATTACTGCTGGTGATCTCTGCTCTGGATGGAGAAGGAGGGAATGCTGGCCTCTGTGCCAGCAGCTCCAATCTAGGACACAATTATCTTTAATCTTTGTTGGCCTAAAAATCCTCTAGCATTGACTAACCGGTTCAATCCTCCTCCAGCAAGTATGTGGACTGGACTTGTGTGATTTCTGGTCCTGACTTCCTTTGGTTTGCTCAGGTTCACAGAGTGTTTCCAAATGGGCTGGCCTCCCAGGAAGGGACTATTCAGAAGGGCAATGAGGTTCTTTCCATCAACGGCAAGTCTCTCAAGGGGACCACGCACCATGATGCCTTGGCCATCCTCCGCCAAGCTCGAGAGCCCAGGCAAGCTGTGATTGTCACAAGGAAGCTGACTCCAGAGGCCATGCCCGACCTCAACTCCTCCACTGACTCTGCAGCCTCAGCCTCTGCAGCCAGTGATGTTTCTGTAGAATCTAGTAAGTTCTCCCAACTCAGTGGAAGCCACATGGGCCACATCCTCTTTGGCCATTTGGGGCCAGACCTGATGGGGCTACTCAGTAATTTGTGACCCCAAGAATGTGTGGCTGCCTAGTACACTGCCTGAGACGTGTTTACATGTGCCTGTGTGCAAACACGGGGGCTGTATCACCCCGGGCTCACTTGAAGCCCAGGGCATCTGTGGCCTGGGAGAGGAGAGGATCCCTAACAGAGACCTTGTGTTTTTCTCAGCAGCAGAGGCCACAGTCTGCACGGTGACACTGGAGAAGATGTCGGCAGGGCTGGGCTTCAGCCTGGAAGGAGGGAAGGGCTCCCTACACGGAGACAAGCCTCTCACCATTAACAGGATTTTCAAAGGTGTGGGGTGTGTCTGGTTCTTTGCGTGCTCTCCAGTTGTGGGCATGTGGCCAGGCCCCCAAAAGGCTTCTGGGCACTTTCTGGGCTATGTTGTTTCCCACAACTCCATGTCCTCTTCATAGGCATGCTGGTCCTTTTAGGGCTCAATTCTGCTTTTTCTACTTTTTCTCCTTTGCTCAGACATCCCCTCAATCCCCCCTCTGTTTTGATGGGTCTTCAAAAATACCTAAGTCCTGGGCTTGGTTCGGGTTGGCAGGGCCAGGACTCTAGAGTGGGGCAGTGAGGCACTGGCCTGTGGGGCAGAATTTTAAAGGGGTGCCAAAACACTCAGTAACTCAGATCGATACTATTTTAATGCAGCGTGTTTTTTAAAATTAATTTTAAAAAAACATGTTGGACAAAATATCCAAGTTTAAATCAAGACAGAGTCTGACTTTGTACTGCACACTTGGCCTCATTTGCCTTACCCTAGTCCTGGACACGTCAGCTCCTGCCTTTATTTAAAATGTTGATAGATATTTTGTTCATCAGGGATTGGAGTACAAACCAGTCTGATATGGGGGTCACTTGGATTTCCCTGTGAAAATCATGAATGACTGTGGCTACCATGTAAAACCATCCCTGATTCTTTGGTGTTCCTCAAATTGGAGGTCTCCAAGCCACAGAGCAAGGGGTTGTAGAGAGAGGAGTACTGGACAGGGAGGCAGGTGGGCCAGGTTCTAGTCCCAGCTCTGCCTGTAATGTGCTGAGTGACCCTTCCCTTCTGGGCCTGAGGCTCTTCATCCATAAAAGGAGGTAAAGAGGTACAGGTGTGTGTCTGAGGGCTCTTAGGACTGAGACCCAAAGGGACTCTTAGCTCTGTCCCTCACCCACTATGAGCTCCTGCTGCTGACTGGTTTCGTTAGAGGAAGTTCTGCTGCGGCTGCAGAAACCCAGAAGGTAGAGTGAGGCTTACATGGCATTCCCCCCAGAATCCATGTTAACCCCAATTCTGGGAAAGATATTTCTAATTTTTGAAGGTCAATTTGGAAGGAGCATTGGGTTCAATGTCAAGAGGACTAGATTCCAGTGTTAGTTCTGCCACATGACCTTGGTAGCATGATCTTGGACAAGTCACTTCACCACCATGGGCCCATTTGCTTAAATGTTTAGGATGAGACTGCCAGCTGCAGGGTGATGTTGGAAGGAGAGATGCAGATTCTGGAGCCAGAAAGTCTGGGTTCCAGCCCAGGGCCCACCACTAGCAGCTATGAAGCTCTGGGCCAGTTACTTGAGTTCTTGGTTTCCTCAGCTGTTAAAAGGAAACACAAATAATACACCCCTCATAGGATTACTGTCATAAATGCAAAACATTAGCACAACGCCTGTTAAAATAATTGCCCAATACACTTTAGCTATATTTTCATTACTATCATTAGTATTATCTTCTACTCTTATCAGGATTTGTGAAGATCACTGTGTCAAATGGATGGGAAATTTTATTTTAATATAAACAGTAAAATAGCATTGTTTTCACTTGCAGCTTTGAAATAGTGGGGGCCATATATGGTTGTTTCCTTTTTTATGTGGACACAGAGGACTTCGTGCCAGAGGCAAGATCCCTGTAAATATTGTTGCACAAAAATCTCACTAGCTCTCTTCCCATACCACCCAATGCTGATGTCCTCACCACATGCGGAGAACAAATGTGAAGGGAGTAGGATATTGGGTCAGTGTCCAAAGCAGGGTCTGGGCAGGACTCAGCTCCCCAGAGTCCTCTATGAACTATGGACGGTGCTCCAGGCAGGCTAAGGCGTGGAGCTGCCTGATATTTCCCTCCCCTGGGGACAGCAAGGGCTATCCCTTTCCAAAGGCCATGGAGAGCTGGAGCCTGGTGCCCTAACCTCTGAGTCACCATCTTAAGAGATGCCTCATTTTAGAACCACCAACAAGCAAGCTCCCAAGGGATGGTGCCCTGTTCTCTACCAAGCTATCCTGGCTCTTTGGAGATCAAGGAGAGGAGGCAACTTTCCTTGTTCCCCATCATCTGTGGAACCCATTACCTTCTCCCTCATTTCAGGAGCAGCCTCAGAACAAAGTGAGACAGTCCAGCCTGGAGATGAAATCTTACAGCTGGGTGGCACTGCCATGCAGGGCCTCACACGGTTTGAAGCCTGGAACATCATCAAGGCACTGCCTGATGGACCTGTCACGATTGTCATCAGGAGAAAAAGCCTCCAGTCCAAGGAAACCACAGCTGCTGGAGACTCCTAGGCAGGACATGCTGAAGCCAAAGCCAATAACACACAGCTAACACACAGCTCCCATAACCGCTGATTCTCAGGGTCTCTGCTGCCGCCCCACCCAGATGGGGGAAAGCACAGGTGGGCTTCCCAGTGGCTGCTGCCCAGGCCCAGACCTTCTAGGACGCCACCCAGCAAAAGGTTGTTCCTAAAATAAGGGCAGAGTCACACGGGGGCAGCTGATACAAATTGCAGACTGTGTAAAAAGAGAGCTTAATGATAATATTGTGGTGCCACAAATAAAATGGATTTATTAGAATTTCATATGACATTCATGCCTGGCTTCGCAAAATGTTTCAAGTACTGTAACTGTGTCATGATTCACCCCCAAACAGTGACATTTATTTTTCTCATGAATCTGCAATGTGGGCAGAGATTGGAATGGGCAGCTCATCTCTGTCCCACTTGGCATCAGCTGGCGTCATGCAAAGTCATGCAAAGGCTGGGACCACGTGAGATCATTCACTCATACATCTGGCCGTTGATGTTGGCTGGGAACTCACCTGGGGCTGCTGGCCTGAATGCTTATAGGTGGCCTCTCCTTGTGGCCTGGGCCTCCTCACAACATGGTGTCTGGATTCCCAGGATGAGCATCCCAGGATCGCAAGAGCCATGTAGAAGCTGCATCTTGTTTATACCTTTGCCTTGGAAGTTGCATGGCATCACCTCCACCATACTCCATCAGTTAGAGCTGACACAAACCTGCCTGGGTTTAAGGGGAGAGGAAATATTGCTGGGGTCATTTATGAAAAATACAGTTTGTCACATGAAACATTTGCAAAATTGTTTTTGGTTGGATTGGAGAAGTAATCCTAGGGAAGGGTGGTGGAGCCAGTAAACAGAGGAGTACAGGTGAAGCACCAAGCTCAAAGCGTGGACAGGTGTGCCGACAGAAGGAACCAGCGTGTATATGAGGGTATCAAATAAAATTGCTACTACTTACCTACCACATGCCAAGCACTGTGCTCAGGGCTAAACGGGCATTGCCTTTAGTGATCACAGCAGCTTCTACGGTGTATGGTTCTGTGCCAATGTATTGATAAGAGGGCACACACTGTGTACAGTAAATGGCTTATCCAGCTGGTGAGTGATGCGGCAGATTGAGTTTTCTTCTGTGATTCGGTGGAGACTATCAGCCCAAGATGCTTTAAGTGCACAACATTACAGGGAATGCCTGAGTGCCTGGCCAAAGGGATATTTGGTTTGGCCATCTCTGGATGCCTGATTGCCAAGCTCAGGACCAGGCAATGTGACTTTGCATCAGCAACAACCAGCATCCCTTGACCAGGCCTGGGCCAGAGTATTGGTCTCCTCTCAGCCCCTGATCCTGTGAAGTAAGGATGTGGGGGAAGACCTGGCAAGGACACAGATGAAACACAAACAATAGTAATTCTCAGGCCATCATCAGTGGAGCCATGTTAATGTAATCTGATGGCTTCTCCAGGGTCCACAGGAAGTGAAGAATCTGTTTCCCAGCAGTGGACTCAAAACCCATCTGGGCTCCTAACCTTCCTGTAAACCCCTTTAGTGGCTTCATTAGAGCAGGCGTTCAGCTCACTGTTCTATTCATCTCAAGGAATAATGGGCTTAGAGCAGTTTCTGTCCTGCTGGTTAACTTGTTTGGCCTATTCCATTCTGGATTTTGTCAAGCAGTAGACAAGCAATTAGACAAGAACTTGGAGGCACCATTTGTATCCACTTTTTAGACTTAATAGAAACATTGAAGATGAACATAATCTACCAACGAAAGACGTGATTCAATTCAACACTCCCTTCCCATGACCCAGGCTGGGCAAGGAGGCCACGTGATGTGGAGGGCACATTCCTTGCCTGCACAAACTCACCATCTGTGCACGCAGTGGCCTTCCCTAAAATCAGGGAATTGTTTTAAGTCTTATCAAGCAGCCAAGGGATGAAAGAGAAGGTGGGTTTTCATCAAGACTGGAAGGTGGGGACAGGGATGAGCATGGAGCTGGCCGTGGGCCTGGGGTACCAAGAGACTCCTTGAGAGACCAGGCAAAGCAAGTGATTGGGACAGAGGTTATCTGTCCCAGGTTATCTGGGCATAGATGCAGGTGAGCCCATGGCCCTCCCAGTACCTCCTGTCTCTGGCCTGTTTTAGAAGGTTCTCTCCTCCCCAAGGAGACACAACAACTCCTAGGGCCACTGAAGATATAACTATTGCCCAGGTTTCTGGTCTCTAGGCTGGGGAAGTCCTCTGGGTAGGAATCAGCAAGAAGATCCTAAAACAAAAGCTCATCCATTTGCGTTCCATGATGCTGGGATTTACACTTGAGGCTTAGCTTTGCTCTGCCAACTTCTTCAGAGCTGACACAGGATGAAGGCAATGCCATCCTCAAACACTGCAGGCATCACAGCTAACAATTGTGAAGTCGTCTTAACTCACCATAAAAAGGAATCCACTCCCAGGCAGCCCTACTTCTTTGCTTTGCCCAGCATTTTACTGATTCATACATTATCTCACTTGTGCCAACACTCAAGAAGCAGGCTACACTGACACTGGTATTCCTGCCTCCATATTTTCTTTAAAAGACAAATCAAAGCAGATATATTAAGTGACTGTTCAAGAGCACACTTGGCCCAAGTGGCAGAGCTTGGACTGGATGCATGTTTTCCAGCTCCTCATCCAGGGCTCTGACCAGTTTAACCTGATGCAGTCACGTGGAGGAGCAGTGCAGGCACAGTATGTCCCATAGGCCCAGTGAGATGCATTCTTGGTTGGCTGGCCTTCCACTTGGCTACACAGGGATGTACAAGGCGATCCCATCTTGATAAGACCACCACCTCAGAGTATGGAGCTCAGAGAGGGCAGGCATGAAGTTTCCTTGGCTGGTGCACCTAGAATTGGCTGAACTCATGAGAAGTTGATATAGAACAGTGCTTGCCACAGAGCGGGGACTCGGTAAGCACTTAATGAATGAATGAATTCTAAGTCAATCCAAGAGTCTGATGATTTCTTGAAAAGGGTGTTAGCTAAAGGATCTTAGGCATGACTGTAGAATTTGTAGTTGCAATAGAACAGAGAAAGAGGAAGCTTTCTGTCTCCTTAACACTGAGCTGTCATGTTTTAAAGCTTGCTCACATCTTGGCACATTTAAGAGACAGTCACCCCAGGACTCAAAAATAGGGAAGTAACAGTAACGCAGGGGAAACGTTTTCTGTTTGGAGGAGCAAAGGCTGAGAACACTGTGAAAACATTTTGCGCGCACAATAGTAACCTGGGTAAATGCAGCGTGAAGGGATTTTAGTCACACGTGGTCTTTCTTACAAGGAAGGTGGTGGGGGTGCAGATGAGGTTGCTAGAGAATGTTAGAGGATCCCTCTCTGGATTGGAGATAGGGAAAGAAAGTTGCACGGCTGCTGAGGCCCCTTCTAGGTGGCAAGGCTGTGCTCCCTGGTTCTGATGATGTGCCTGGGTGGACATGGCCCCTGTGAGTTTGTACAGTCTTGCAGCAGGATCTAGAGGGGGGATTTCCAGCCAGGGCTGCTAGACGGAGGCCTACTCTTCCATCTTTCCTGATGGCAGGATGGCCTGGCCAGGGCCTGGAAGACAGAGACCTCCTGCCTCCGCCTCAGTAAGACGACAAGGAAAGGCAAATGCCCAAGGGAAAGAAAAGGAAGGCTCTTCTCCCCAGAGTTCCCCATGCAGACATGAGTGCGTGCTCAGTTCAGAATCACTTCTGAGAACTCATCCCTAATGCTGCAGATTTGGGCTGGAACAGATTCACACTGTCTGGTTTCACCGAGGACATGAAACTCCACCTTGCGGGGATAAAGAGAGAAAAACAAATTCATCAAATGGAAGACACATTGAAAGTGTTTTTCCTTAATGCTTATCCTGTTTTTAAACCATTATTTCCAAGTTGACACCTTTTTTAAGGAAAAATAAATATTTTGCGGCATTAAAGCCATATACAAGGTCTATATCAGAAAAATATATTTGGGGGGCTGCAGCACAGGACTGAGGGAGCGGTACATGCTTAAAAGGCAACAGGGCCTGGTTTTCAGTGGCGATGATGATTCTCTATGACAGTCAGGGAAACGTGGTCTCTGAGAGTGATGGGCACATAAAGCCTTGGTGCCAGAGTGCATCGCATGGTGTCCAGGCCGAGTCTCTGTCAGATGGTTAGAGGCCTGGGTCTACCCTGCCAGGAGAGGCGTGTTTGGGTAACAGGCAGATGGAGTTTGGAACACATGAATGGCTCATCACACGCCAACCCTGAGTGGGGCAGGAGGCAGGAAGGGTGGGCTGCCGCCTCTGGTTGGCATTCTCAGAGATGCGCAGTCCATCAGCTTGTTCCAAAGAGTGAACACAGGCCTCTGCGTGCTCCCAGGCTCCTTGGTGTCCCAACAGCTGGAGCTCCTCGATGAGTCACGGGAGTTCTTTGCCAAGAAGTAACGATAGCATTACTCATGGAATTGCTTCACTGCTTTCTGAAGGTTGGCATAAAACCGGGTCATGCTGCGGGGGAAGAAGGAGTCCACCACGTTCTGTGGGAGGTAACCGCTGAGGTCGGTATGGAAGAATGTGACCAGGTTGGTCTTGGTGGGTTCCCTGTGAAGGCAACAGCAGAGCTGTGTTATGATCTGCAGCAGAGGTGCTGGGGACGAGCGCCAGGCAGGTGAGCAGAGCCCAGCCCAGTGGAAATGGCCATGATACAGTGATCGCGTCTCATCCCTTGCTGTGCCCTCCACCCAGGAGTCCTCTCTGGACCTGCTGATTTTCAGGATGGAAACCCATCCTGTCGGGGATGCATTCCACAGCCTCTCCCGGCCTCCAGGGAGGAAGAAGTCCCTACTCCCAGCCCAAAAACCCAGTACCCTGCTGCCCGATTCACTCAGCAAATGCTTTCAGAGAACTCACTTTGTGCCAGGCCCTGAGAGGAACGAAGAGATGCTGCCCTTCACTATTTAGGGTCTGCAACCTCCTGGGGGCTCCTGGGACCCTTTCAAGGGGTCTACAAAGTTAACACTATTTTTATAACAACACGAACATGTGATTCGCCTTCTCTCACATGCATACAGTGGGGTTTTCCGGAGGTTACATGATATGTGATATTGCAACAGACTACACGCACAAGCAGGTATGAGTTTCTGTTAAGCCTGGCATGAAAGAGATGGGCAAAAATATAAAAACAATGCCACTCTTTTCACAGTATTTTTTGTTTTAAAAAAATAGTTTTTTAAAATAAAAATGTTATCTATGTTAACATGCAGTGCATTTTTATGTTAAAATATTTTTAACATTTCTCAAATTTACCAGTTACAATTTCAAATACATCAAATAATGATAGCTATAACCCCCAAGAACAAAGGCCCTATGAAGCCCTCAAATATATGTAAGGGTATAATAATGCCTTATGCCAAAATTTTGAGAACTGCTATTTAGAGAACTGGCGAATAATTTGAGCACCTATGAAGGGATTTTGGCCAAGGGGTGGCAGAAGCTCAGAGGACGGCAGGTGGCACAGATGCTGACTGGAAGTCCAGAATCAAAGGGGCACACGATGTGGAGATGGAACACAACTTGGTAGGGACAGGAAGCGATCTTCACTGTGACAAACTTCTCAACGGCCAGGACAACAAAGGTGGTATAGGCTTTGTGGTGTGCATTTGGCATTTTACTTGAATGCAACTGTCCACTCAGCCTCACCAGGAACCCCAGGTAGCACTATGCCTGCCCATCAGATGTTTCCTGACATCATGCAGGCTACAGGTTTGGAACTGGAGACCTTTTAGAATCCCACTCCCCAGGGCCAAGCACGGTGGCTCATGCCTGTAATCCCAGCACCTTTGGGAGGTCGAGGCAGGTGGATCACCTGAGGTCAGGAGTTCGAGACCAATCTGGACAACAAGGGGAAACCCCATCTCTACTAAACATACAAAAGTTAGCCAGGCATAGTGGCAGGTGCCTATAATCCCAGCTACTCAGGAGGCTGAGGCAGGAGAATCGCTTGAACCTGGGAGGCGGAGGTTGCAGTGAGCCGAGATTACACCATTGCACTCCAGCCTGGGTGACAAGAGCAAAACCCCACCTCAAAAAAGAAAAAAAAAAAAAAAAAAAAAAGAATCTCACTCTTCAAGTCATACAGAAGGACAACTGGGGCATGGAACAGGATGGGGCCAGCAGATCCACAAGGTGGGAGAGCATGTGCTCCTCTGGGCTGTGGCTTTTCTCCTCTGCTTGTGCCCTGCTTCCCCAAAGAGGGTGAACTCCAGGGGACAGAGACTTCCTTCCATCTCAAAGTCCTAGCATCATCCGCACTCCACCTTTCCCTCACCCACCAACCCCTGCCCATCCCGCCTCTGCTAGAGCCTTCTCTCTCCTCCCTGCTCCTCCTCCCAATGGGCTTCCTCTGGCCCGCATCACCTCTCAGCAGCATCCTCTTTGGAAACATGAACAGGTGAGTGAGAAATGAGACTCCGTGATCATGTTTCCCTCTGGGTGAGGAATGGGCTTTGTGGTGGGCGGAACGTGTGAGAGGCCATGTGGGATGGGACAAACTCTCTTCGTCACAGTGGCCTTGGTGAGTGGTAGCTCTTGCATGTACACCATTATGTGACAACAACAGAAAGGGCAAAAGGGGGCACAGAGGAATTGTAGGTCACCCAGTCTCCCCTCAGAAAAGGCTGGGATGAAGGCATCCACTACGGTTGCTAGAAGGATTTAATGAGAGTAGGTGTGACGCACTTAGCATCCTTCCTGTGCACAGTGCAAGTGCTCCAGAAATGACACTGTAATGCTGCCTCGACCACAGATACAGGCTCCTCCACCTTAAGAACACCTTTCCCCCGCCCCCCGCGCCACTTGGAGCTCAACCACCACCACCTCTGGCCTCAACACCACCTCACCCCCAATGAGTCCTCTTGCCCTCTTGCTCACAGCCTCTTACTCAAGAGAGCAAGAGGAGAGAGAAGGCCCTAGCAAAGGCGGGATGGGCAGGGGTTGGTGGGTGAGGGAGAGGGTGGAGTGCAGACGATGCTAAGGCTTTGAGATGGAAGGAAGTCCCTGTCCCCTGGAGTTCACCCTCTTTGGGGAAGCAGGGCATCATAGCAGTTAAGACCAAAGTCAGACCATGTCCTGCTCAGGCCTCCCCAGTGGCTTCCCATTTTATTCAGAGGAAAGTCCCCAACAGGCTGCGGCCCCTGCTACCTCATGGGCCGAATGTCCTAGCCTCTCCTCTTGCTAACACAACACCTCCCTCTGTGCTGTTCCTCAAAGGCCCCGCTCTTGCTCCGGCTCCTGCTCCCACTTCTGGGACTTTGCATCTGCTCATCCCCCTGCCAGAATGCTCGCTCCACCAACACGCCCAAGACTCCCTGCATTTGTGCCTTGCTCAAACGTCTTATTAGGGAAACCCCCTAGATAACCCACTCACACCTTTCCCTGGCACCTTTATCTGGGTTTAGTTTTCCCCAAGGCACTTAACGTCTGATACTTACTAGCACATCCACGAGATAGAACTACTTACATTTGTGTTTTGTCTGTCTCCTCCTGCCTTCATTGGAATCTAAGTTCTAAGAGGGCAGACACTCTAGCTGTTTTGAGACATCAATATCTGGGTTAAGAGCCCAGATTCTGGAGCCAGATGGCCAGAATGAGACTGTGGCTCTCTTACTTGCTGGCTGTGTGACCTTGGGTTAGTTACTAAACCTCTCTGTGCACCCACCATTCTTATTTTAAAAATGAGGATCACAACAGTGCCTTACGGTTGTTATAAAAACAGTTAATTTATATGAAGTGCTTACAATAGTGGCTGACACACAGTAATGCTGTATAAATGTTTGCTGCTGCTGCTGCTGTTATTATTGTCTGCTGAATCTAGGGTCCAGAATAGGCCTATCTTCACAGAATAATAAGAGAATAATCATTGTCACAGATTTCAGATCCACAGCCTCATGAGAATAACTGCACACAGCAGGCTCTGGAAGAAAGCTTTACAGAGAACACGTGATGTTTTTAATCAAGTGGAGAGGAGTTGGAAGAGTCAACACTTGAGTTAAAACCTTCATATGGGCAGGGTTTTGTGGGACCCCAACCACCCTCTCAGCAAAATCCATGCAATCGGGCCAGGCGCGGTGACTCACGCCTGTAATCACAGCACTTTGGGAGGCCAAGACGGGGATCATTTGAGGTCAGGAGTTCAAGACCAGCCTGGACAACATGGTGAAACCCCGGCTCTACTAAAAATACAAAAATTAGCCAGGCATGGTGGCAGGCACCTGTAATCCCAGCTACTCGGGAGGCTGAGGCAGGAGAATCGCTTGAGCCTGGGAGGCAGAGGTTGCAGTGAGCCAAGATTGCACCACTGCACTCCGGCCTGGGTGACAGCCAAACTCCGTCTCAAAAAAAAAAAAAAAAAATCCATGTGATACCTTTGCTACCTGGCATGAGGGCGTGATGCTACCCATTATATTGTGCATTCCACCAAAAAGAAGACAGCAATGGGATTCAGCCCCTCAGAAGGAAGGACTCTGCCTCTTATTCTGAAAATTCCTCTCTGTCAGACCCGGCACCACTGAAAGGTGAGTCTTAGCATCTGACTACCAGGTGGGAGAGGACAAGGAAATGAGCCCAGGCCAGGGGATCCAGGGCACCTATATATTGGGAGAACTGAAACTGAGTGCAGGTGTGTATGTCTGTGTGTGGTAGAGCACAGCTGTGCTATTTTCAAACTCAAAATTTTGTTACATCTAAGAAAAGTCTTCACATGATGTCTGAAAAGCCAGCTTAGCAAAGAGGGTAACATAAAGGTGCTAGGTCTGGGCTTGGTATAATCCCACGACACCGAGGCCCACCTCCTGGGACAATGTGGTAGAAGGACAGACCCCTTCCCTCCGGGTGTCTGTATGGAGACTGCAGGGAACACCGGGACACACCTGCAAGGCACAGTTTCTTTTGCTGTCAACATGCATGATTCCCAGGGTAAACAAGGGACCTTCAGGTAATTCATTACACAGAAATTTCCTGGCAAGAGCCTGGCCATGACCTGTGGCAAAATGGGAACAGAGAGTCCCCGGGGTCAATTCTGAGGCTGACTTACAGTGTGGTCTCAGAACTGCCCTTTAGGCCTGAGTTCCGCCACATTCCTTGCCGAGGAGAGATGATCACTGAGTGAAATGTGGGGTGGGGACTGCTATCCTCAAAGCTGCTCCTGCCTGGCGGAGGGTATTCAGGGAGGACTCGGAGCACAGACCCTGCCCTGCCAACCTCCTAGCCTTTGAGTCAGGACACATCACTGAACCTCCCCAAACCTCAGTTTCCTCATTTGCTAAATGGACCATGACATTTGCTTAACCTGGAGGCTGCAGGGAAAATTTCCTGCATCAAAAATAAGAGTAACGCCTCCCCTCAATTCTTTCCCACATGCCAGGTACTCTCAGGAGGTTCTGCTTATGCAGATGTGTGTGAAAGTATTTTGTATCGTCACAATCTAAAGAGCTATAAGGCATTTTTCTTCTTTTGAATCGTAGTCAAAGTGCCCCTTTTCACAGAAGGTCCACAGGGAAGTCACAGTTAGGTCTGAGCCATGTACCTCAATGCAGGAAATTATCCTTACCCTGGAAGAGGTTCACAGAAGCAACCACAAGGATGGTTAAATCCTCTCACAAAACCTGGCTTCGGGGGACATAACGGATGCTCCACATGGGTGGCTGGAAGACAGTGCAGAATCTCGGTGAGTTACAACTTCAGACGGTCAGGTCACTGCCATTGGGGTGCCATAGAGCACACAGACCAGACTACCTGCAGCCCTGGAGTCTGTGAGGGACTCCTGCCTCTTGGCGTGAGTTCCCCCTACTCCCACCCTACTGCCCCTTACACTCACACATACAAATACACTCTCACATGCGTGTACACAAACTCACACACAGACACACACACACTTGCACTCACACACACTCACTCATCCACATTCACACATAAACATGCACATAGCTTTCCCAAGCTTGTCAAGAATATCAGAGAAAAGAACATTCTAGAACACAAGGTTTGGTCATGGGAGGAGGCAGGTGCCTCTCTCAAATCTCAGCCAGGAGAGGCATGGATGCATCCAACTCTCCCGCGTAGAAGAATTGGAGGAATGGCAGGGGCTGTGCAGAGGCAGGAGCCCTGCTCCTCACTGGGCATTAAGGGAGTGGACAGCATCCAAACCCTCAAGAAGACACGGCCATAGATTTTGCACACAAGTTTTTTGCCACCCAACTAACCCACATGTGTACAGCACACACCATGAGCTTCCGCAGGAAAAAAAAAAAAGGGGCACTGGCAAAACCGTGACTTGAACATAGAATTACTGGCATATGGACTGTCTTGCGTCAGACCCCCATGGCCCTGAGTCCCCCCAAACCCAACCAGATGAGGTAGGGGACTCAGAGTGTGAGTTTCTGGTGATTTCTGGTTGCTTGGCTTTCCTTAAGGAACTGTGGGGTGCAGAAGAGAAAGCTCGATATCGCAGGAAGGCATGGCAGCTCCTCCGGGCATCACTCACCGTTGGAACTGATGGTCCCATCCTCATATCTCTTGACTAGCACCAAGTCCACAAAATCTCTGGGAGAAATGAGCTTCATGGCAGCGGAGGGAGTGGAGGTTCTGCTTACACACAGGGTCTGCCAAACCAAAGAAGCATGTAGCTGTGACTGCTGGCCAGACATCTTCTCCCAACTCCCACCCCATCCCTCAAGGTCTGGGAAAGGTACTAGGGCTGACAGTAGGGTGGCACTATAAACAGTTAAGATCCAGAGCGAGTCTTCCCAGGAACTGGGTGTCATGGAAATACACCCAGTTTGTAAGACGAGGGCTGTGACACAGGCTGCCCACAGCTGTCTAGCTGCAGACCAGTGCCATGCTGAGGTCACGTCTCATGTGACCATAAGAGGTACCATTTATTGAGCACCTAGTAAGAGCCTGGCTGGACAAAGCTCTCAGCTGTCCCTTACCTTTAGAAATAGGAATCATTAATCCCTCCTACAGGTGAGGAAACTGACACTTAGAGAGACTAAGGAACTCAGCACGAAGCTCATGGTGGAGATAGGATTTGAACAGGGCCAGAGCTAGGGAGAGGGAAGAGAGGCCACTCTTTTTTAGGGCTGACCCTGCACTTGCTCAGCCTCCTATGTTGTGCCTGGGGCAACTCTTTGGTTTACCCTAGTCCCAGCCCCAGGAGGGAATACCTTGAACCTCACTCAATCTCAGCATATCCCAGTAGTCCACACTCTCATTTTATAAACCAAGGATGCTGGGCTTTCTCCCATTCATCCCATCCTGCAAGAGAGTGGGGCCCAGGCTCTCTCGAGGTCACAGTGGAGAAGTACAGGCCAGGCCTGTGATGGAACAGTCCTGGAGAGAAGTCTCGGGGTAGGTGAGAGGGGCTGGTAAAGGTCTCCATCTCTGTGTCTTTCCCCTCAGGTATTAAGACTTGGGGCATCGTGTGTTGCTGCAGAACTTTTCATCAGGGACACTTTCGGCCTCAGGAAATTAATCTTCGAATGGCATGAGATGCATGGGGGCACTTGAGCACTTTGCAATGGGTGCAATGAGAATAAATTTCCAGGAAACTACTCCGTGTTTCCTTCATCCCCTAATGACCTGCCTGGGAACAGGCTGCACCTGCACACAGGGTCTCCTTTCCCACTTGAAGAAAAGCACAGCATATGCCCATTCATCTAGAATCATCCTATCATGAATTGTCCCAGTGTGTAAAATCCTCCAGGGTGGCAAAGGGACAATTAGGAGTGCGGGCGGCAATATGTAATCAAGGCAGTACACACTGGTATTAGAATTTCATGTTTTTCCCTTTCTTAAGCATATTCCAAAACTTGGTGTTAAAAACTAGGCAATTTTGCCATTTCTAAATTCTGGTATTTTGTAACAGTAATGGCAGAAGTGATGAAAATTTTGAAAAAAAAATCATACTGCTTCCACCCCTGATGACTGCCTCCAAGTGCATCATTCCTGAGGTACAGTGTCTGGAAACTAAGATGAGGAGGACTTTGGAAAGAAATTTTGAAGACAGCAGCAGCACATGTCATAAATGCGACAAACTCATGGCATGGCCCTGTATCCTATCCATCCATCCACCTATCATCGATCATCTATCTATTTTAGAATTAGGATATTTGAGAGTTGCCAAAAGCATGCTGAGAAATGTCAGTCTGCAAGGAAGAGCCCTTTCTCCACATTTTCATTGTTTCACTAAATGATAAAGAGCTACCACTTGGCAATTCTCCACTTTTTTGTAAACCTGAGCTCACCAGTAGCCTGTGCTTCCCCTCTACTTTGCAGTTGTCTATTGAAAAGTTTGTATCTTTTCATGGGCTTATGAGTTAATTAGAAAAAAGAGAGCTCCCATTCATCTCATCTAAAGACGCAAAATGTTTTACTTGTCACGTTTAATATTTATCAGAATTTATAATATAATCATGTTATTTTAATGAATTACACTCGTACCTCAATCCAATTTTTTAAAAAACAATTAGTCTTGGCCAGGCGCAGTGGCTTACACCTGTAATCCCAGCACTTTGGGGGGTCGAGGTGGGGGGATCATGAGGTCAAGAGATCGAGACCATCCCAGCCAATATGGTGAAACTCCGTCTCTACCAAAAATACAAAAATTAGCTGGGCATGGTGGCGTGCCCCTGTAGTCCCAGCTACTTAGGAGGCTGAGGCAGGAGAATCACTTGAACCCAGGAGGCAGAGGCTGCAGTGAGCCAAGATCACGCCACTGTACTCCAGCCTAGCGACAGAGTGAGATTCCGTCTCAAAAAAAAAAAAAATTAGTCTCATGATTACATGAAATATATGATTAAAAAAACTTCTATTTCTATGCATATTTATGATGCAAGATGATGACTTCCAAGAATAAACATGTATTGTATTAGGATAAAATTCAGAGGGCTATGTGGAATGGAAATTTGAGTTCCAGGAAAACAGCTATATACCATTTCTGATGATTTAAAAAACCTTGTTCATGTATTTTAAGTAAAAATTTATATATTATTTAGACACATCTAAAAGAATGATGTCATTGCTTTGTTCAAAACTGAGATTTACATGTCAAAAATGACATGCTTTGCAACTTATGAAAATTTAGTTGTAAACTAAATGTTATTAATAGACATCAACTGGATGTGTGAGGATGATGCATAATTTCTCAAAAATCTGTTGGATGCATGTAAGCAAAAAGCGTGAAGACCCTCATACCAGAGGGTAACTGGGGTCATGCAGGTACGTGGAGCTGCTACTGGCCCAGGCTTCAGGGAAGTGGGTGCCAGGGGCTGAGGATCCTGTGTTGCCTAGTGCAGCAGCCCCACACAAGGAACAGGTATGCTCCCCGCAGAGACTCTGTTTGGGGCTTCTCTCCCTCTCTGAGTCATGAGGTTTCCCACCGGGAAACTGGGCTGAGGCAGGCCTCCAATGCTGCAAGCAGTGGGCAGCCTGTGCTTGCAGGACACACCCCCTTAACAAAAGGTATCACGGACCCCTTCCAGAAGAAATGGGAGGGGGTTACTATAGCCTGGCCCAGACACTATCTAGAGATAACATGCTTGGAAAGACTTACGTCAGTGATGCTTTGGATAATTTCAAAACCGGTCACATTCTCATCCCACTTCACTCGTAGGCCTCCAACAGCTGGCTTCACACAGTCCCACACCTCCTCTAGTGTCCCATATACAATGCCTTCTCCTCGGTACCTGGAGCACGAAAAGGAATTTGACCCCAACGCATCAATCAAACTTGTTATCTTGAGATTGTATCTAAGGACTAGAAGGTGGACCATGCCATGTCTGTCACTACTCTTTAGGACAGACTTGCAGAGAAGGGGCTGAAAGTCACTAGCCCCGCCTCCCTTCAGGCCTGCAGAAATGGACAGTAAGCTTTCACAAGAATACAGTTTGCTGGAAATGATTTCATTAAAAACAGTAAGGCTTTTCTGGAGGACAAGTGATCACAGGTTATAGGGTTGATTTGAATATTTTAGGAGGCAGGCCCATAAAGATACCAGGAAGGGTGCGGCACCTCTGGTAATCTTTGAACGAGGCATGCACTTACAGGTTCCCTGGAAACTCCACAGATGGCCTCCAGGAAACTGAAACTCCATTCTGTCAAAAGGCACAGAACCACAGAATTTTAGAGCTAGAAGGGCTCTGGTCACCTGGCTTAATCCCCTGTTCTACAGAAGAGGGGTAAGAGGCCTCAAGAGATACGACTCTCCAAGGCTGTGCAACCCATACGTGGAAAAGCTGGGACTAGTCTTGGGCAAAGCTGTCCCCACAGCAGAATGTGATGAAGAAAAAGATCTTAACTGGCTGACTCCAAGAGCCGTGGGTGGTTTTTAAAATTATCTTAAAAGCCACCAGGCATTCTGTTTCCTTGAGCAACCCAGGGCTACTTAATGAAAAGTCAGAAGGGTCAAGCAAAACTACTCCCATGCTACCCTCTGGCAACGACAAAGAGAGGGGTTCATGCTGTAATGAAAAGTCAGAAGGGTCAAGCAAAACTACTCCCATGCTACCCTCTGGCAACGACAAAGAGAGGGGTTCATGCTGTAATGAAAAGTCAGAAGGGTCAAGCAAAACTACTCCCATGTTACCCTCTGGCAACGACAAAGAGAGGGGTTCATGCTGTAATGAAAAGTCAGAAGGGTCAAGCAAAACTACTCCCATGCTACCCTCTGGCAACGACAAAGAGAGGGGTTCATGCTGTAATGAACACAGAAGAAAACCTTAGTATGCATCAGATGCTGGATCAGACTTTACTGGATTTAAACAACATGTAAAAACCTCCTTAGCTGCGACCACATTCTTTCATTTTGTTTTGTTTTTAAACACCTGCTTACCCCTTAAATGCAATTTATTTACTTTTACCACTGTCACAGAAACATCCAGTCCTAAACAGCATTCAACAGCCAGGTGACCTTGGGCAAGTCACTGAGTGAAAGGAACAGATACTTACCACCTGAAGTCATTGTGAGCATAACAGGCCCAATCTTTTTTTTAAAGAAGAAAACAATCCCCATTGGAATCCCTCTCAATCGGGTCCAGGGGATTGGGGAGCAGAAAACAACGGGGAGAGGAGGCGCTTGGGGGCTTCTGGGGACCCGGGCTCCACGAAGCCGTCTCCGCGACCCCTTCCCGCCCAGCTCCTCACTCACGCCTTCCCGGCAAATCTTCCAGCCTGCTGTGTCCCGCCGGTACTGGAGCATCTTCTCGGCCACAGCCTCGCTCATCTGGGCTGCCAGCGCCGGGTCCATTGCGTCGGGAGCTGCGCTTAGCTGCGGGGTCGCGGGTGTTATGAGCGGCGGCGCTGGATCCCGGGTGCCTGGAGGCTGGAGCTCTGGGAGGAGCTCGTAGCCCCGCCTCTTTCCGCGCCCCCGCTCCCGAATTGGTCCAGGCCCTCAGACGGATCCCGCCTCCCGGAGATTGGCAGGACAAGGAGACCGCGGGGCCAGGCTCTCCAGTTAGCGTCAGCGCCTGGGCGGGTCCCGGACGCCTTGGGCGGGCCGGGTAAGGTCCAGCCGTATCCGCCTCCTTCATGTCCCGCTGTGGGAGGGGCTCTGGAGCGCCGGGACTGTGAGATGGCCAATGACGGTCTGACCCGTTGGGCCGGGCCAGGTCGCGGACAACGTCGACCGTTTGTTTAAGAAGCGTGGACTCTTGTCCTGAGTGCACCGAGGCTTTCAGCCTGCGGGACAGTGGTGCGATTTGCATTAGAGGTAATATGCTAGGGCGGCTGCTGCAGGGTGGGAGAGGAAATGCGCGTGGAGACTGGGCGCGTGCAATGGTGGGAGAGGTGTGTGGCAGGGGTGCGGGGAGTGGGGGTGAAGAGAAGAGGACCCATCGTAGAGTGTTTAGGAGATGGAAGGTGAAGGTCTCTGCCCCCGATTGTGGATGTTCAGAAGGAGAAAGCATCATGACTCCCAGCCTTGGCCACCTGGCAGCTTACCTGAGATGGAGAAGAGATAGGGTGAGTTCAGTTCTGGGCATATTTAGTTGGAGGTGCCTGAAGGGCCTTTAGTGCAGGTGTCCAGGAGTCAATGCAATGCGCTGACATCTGCGAGAGGCCCGGCTTTATTAGAGATATGGGAGTTCTCTGCTTCCAGCTGCCCTGGAGCTGCGGGGAGTGAGCCAGGGTCGCATCTTCACAGCGTGAATGGCAAGGACAGCCTCGGTTTCCCCTCTTCTGCGCTATCACCAACTAAATATTTGAAAAGGTTAATACTGAGGTCTATTTCTTATCTTTCTTTTTTATGTACTTATTGTTTCCTTTAAACTTTCGATATAAATGTTTGGAAGAGTAGTGTAAACAAATTGACAACTTGAAAGACCTTTTTGGAAGATGTGAAGGGCAGCCAGGCTGTGAAGAAGACCTGGATGGGGAATTAGGGAGCTCAAGATCTAAACCCAGTTTCACTCATTATTCTTTGAGCTTCAGTTTACTCCAAGGTGAAATGGGATACATCATAAATGTTCCTGGCGGGGTCCGGTGGCTCACGCCTGTAATCCCAGCACTTTGGGAGGCTGAGGCAGGAGATCACTTGAACCTAGGAGTTCGAGACCAGCCTGAGCAGCATGGCGAGACTCCGTCTCTACTAAAAATTCAAAAATTAGCCGGGCATGGTGGCGCGGGGCTGTAATCCCAGCTACTTGGGGGGGCTGAGGTGGGAGGATCGCTTCAACCCGGGAGGCAGAGGCAGCAGTGAACCGTGATCGCGCCACTGCACTCCAGCCTGGGCTGCAGAGCAAGATCCTGTCTCAAAAAGTAATAAAAATAAACAAACAAACAAATAAATGTTCCCTATGCCCTTGTGAAGAGAGAGGGAAGTAACGCATGTAAATACTCTTAGGACCCATAAAAGAAAAGACTAGTAAATTAATCCCATTAAAAAATTAAGCACATCAAAATTTCATAAAAAGTTAGATAATATGAGAAAAAAATCGGGACACACTTTAACACATAAGTTTTCTTATCGAACCAAGGGCTCATACAAATCATTAAGCAATTTTCAGACAACCCCATAAACAAAAAGAATGCATTAGACATGGAAAGATACTTTGTGGAAAAATTAATTGACATGGCTAACAAAGCTATAAAAAGATGCAGAACCTCACTCATTGTTAGGGAATTAAAAATTAAAGCAAGGAGAGGCTTTTCTTAAAACCTATTGATGGACAAACATGAAGTTTGTTTATACCCTGTGTTGGTGAGGGTATGGAGAAATAGTTGTTACACAGCGGATGAGAGTACAAATGTATGCAACCTCCTGGGAACAGAATAACAACATATATTAAAATTTTACTCTACTTGTTCTTTGATCCAGTGACTCTTCCTGCACAAAGATGCATAAAATTAATCTTGCAACTGGAAGTAACCTATTTACCAGTATATTAACCAAAGTTATAGAACATCCACTTAGTGGAATATTATGTAGCCATCAAAATAACCTAGCCCAGATGGTGGAAAGTGGGGATGGAGTAGACCCCCTGCAGGACTATAGTAGCACTATTTTGCTCCTAGGAAATGGGAACGTCTGGATATACAAAATATTTGGAGAAGCAAACTGTCCCCGAGGCCTGTGACAAACTGGAAGTAGGAGATTGGTGAGGTCAGGGCAGCCTTCAAGCAGAACACTCATTTATTTTATCACCGGAGGCCGGCACAGGGCAGAGTGAGCAGATGATTGGAACAGAGGGAAGGTGAGAGCTGCCCACACAGTGTTTGCCAGGGGCCTGGGACAGAAATCTATTTTGTAGTCTGTCTGAGGCTGCAGTTTGGAGCTGAAGGGGATGGAGGAATGACTGAGCTCTGGAGATTCCACTGATCAGAGCCCTTCCCACAAGGTCCTGAGAGGGCTCTGAGTCACCCAGTTGTCCACCAGACTTCATCAAAGTCCCAGGTGAATACAATTAATAGGTGTATATGGGAGCAGGTAGCCCAGTAGCTTCTAACTCAACACCACCACTAGACAGACTATAGAGGGGATGGGCCCAAGTGTCCACATGCTCCAGTCTTACAAGGCCCTGAATAGAGTGGAGTATCTGCTTTCCACTTAGACACTGATGAAGAATTGCATGCATATTTACTAAGTTAGCTTGGGCAGGTGCTATGTGAATCTACAAATGTAAGCACGTCGGTATGTTTATTGCTTACTCAGCAATAGCTAATCGTTACTCAGCACTTACTTCTTGCTAGCCACTATCCTAAGCACTTTACCTGTTTTGGGCCATTTAACTTAACAATACCGCAGCACCATGAGATAGAGACTACTACTCCCATTTTGCAAGTTAAGAAAGTGAAGATCATGTAGGGTATCCAAGGCCACATAGCTGGGAAGTGGCAGAGCTGTGGCAAACATACGATTTCTATTTCCAAAGGCCAAATGTTTACTCATATGCTTTGCTGTCTACTACATCCTATGAGCATATGTAGTGTTAAGTGTGAAACGTGCAAAGATAAAAGAAAACAACAACCTGCAAACCCTAAAAAGAAGGAAAACACACACACAGAGTAGCTGGAAGATACTACCTTAGGCTAGGGAAGTTAGTCTTTTAGAGATGTGCAGAAAACTTTGCTCTAAGTTTCCTGGAGCTCATGAATTCTGAGACAAAAGGAGTGACTAAAGGAAGCAATCTGAGGTTACCAAGATATTTACTGAACTACTCTTATCAAAAGGAATTCACTCTTTAATGGATATAACAGTCTGATCTTTGAGACTTGAGAGGAGTTTGTTATGTAGGTGTTTTAGGAGAGATTTTAATAATGCTGTGGATCATGTCCTCAATAATAGTTTGACCAAAGGCAGAAATGTACACCCCCATGGACTGTTACTAAAATACAAAGCAATGTGGTGAAACCACAGTTATGCAAAGGCATTTTTGACAGAGTGCGTTTTTAGCTTTCTGTTGCTGCAACTTAGACAAGGGCTAGAGTTCAGGGAAGGGAAAGGGATAACTGACTAGCATGTGATGCTTTTGTCAGGAGCTTTATGAGCTCCTTTTCACAGCGATGATGGTTGATGTCCACAGAAAAATGAACAAAGGTGTTGAATAGGCAATCGGTTCACAGAAGAGGAAATGCAAATGGCCAGTTGACTTAGGGAGAGATGATAACAATAAGAAATACAAATTAATTAAAATAAGTTGGTATAATTTTTTCATCAGATTGGCAAAAATGATATAGTGTGACAGTATCAGGCATTGGTGAGGCTATAAGAAAATGGCCCTCTCATGCTCTAGAGGAAGTGTGCACAGACGTCTGGACTCGTGAGGACTAATAAAGGAGCTGCTAGTGAAAATGAACATGCTCCTCTCTTATGAGCTAGGGATTTCTCTTTTAGGAGGACCGATATTCACTTCTAAGTAAACACTGGCACGTGTGTGTGCCAAAAAGATACATCAAGACAGACATATAAAAGATGTTTAGTGCAACATTATTTTCAGCAGCAAAGAAGTAGAAATGATTACAATGTCCATCAGTAAAAAAAAGGATCGATATTATGTAGTTTATTCATGTGATGAAATACTTTGCTACAGTTATGAGTTTGATCTATTTTTTGCTAGAGCTAAAAATATAAGTATGTGCATTAATACATGCAGTATAATACTCTTTACTTAAGATGTGCTTACACATTGTTTATGGATGCTTATACGTATATACTCACACATACAACATATAAAACTATAAACAATTGACCAATGGATGTACTCCAAACTCTTGCTAGTGTGAAGGGAATGAGACTTTGTGTAAGGATTAGAGTAGGCTTTGACCGTATCTGTAATATTTTCTTTATTATTAATAGTAACAAAATGGCTTAATGGAAATAAAATAAAATTCCAATTTTGGCAGTTGTTGACTCTCACAGTAGGAATATTGGTGCTTGTCACAGTAGACTTTGCACTATTCTATGTCTTTTAAATTTATTTAAATTAAAGACCTAACCCAACAGTAAGTGCCAGAGTGCATGTGAGCTGTGTTGTGCATTGGAAAGTGATACTCATACTTTCAACCCTGCGTGTGTTTGGCCACTCTCAAATTTTCTTAGGAATGTCTCAGGACCTGCTTGCCCTTAAGTCCTAAAGAAGCACCTCCCCACTCCCACACAGACAATGGTGCTCCCACAGGTGTCTGGAGCAAAGGTCAGCCTTTTCCAAAATATGTTTTAATGTCCCAGGGAGCTTGAGGCCACAGTCCCAGACCAAGCACCAGGAAGAGAGGACCATCATCATGAACCTCCCATGAGCACCTCTATCTCAAAAGCACATTTCCATGGCATTGTAGAACATTGAGTCTTAAGCAGACCCATTTCATGGCATTGTAGAACATTGAATCTTAAGCAGACTGCAATCTCTTGGATTTGTCATAGCAAGATATTTGAAAATATGTCCACTCCTCTTCCTAAATTTCAGGAGAGGTGTTAATCTGTGTGTACATTTAAAATGGTGGTATTTATACGGACTTTTCTTTCAGTTTGGAATTGGTAATGAATCTTAGAATATAACCCTGTGACCAGGCCATTTGTGATTCATTCATTAGGACAATTCTTTCATTTATTTGTTCACCCATTCACATTTAACAGATGTTTATTATCTATGGTCGGCCTCCAAGATTGCTGCTCCCTAGTATACATGCCCTATATAATCTTCTTCCCTTGAGTATGCTGGCACTTGTGTATAGGATGAGATTTTACTCCCAGATATAGTAAAAGTGAAGTGATTTTGAAGATGTAATGAGATCTCCACTCAGTCAACTCTGAGTTAATCAAAAGAGAGTGTCTGGGTGGGCCTGACCTAATCAGGCGAGCCCTTTTAAAAAGTGGGTTCAGGCCTTCCCTGGAAGGAAGGAGATTCAAAGCTGAAGAAACACTCTCTGGCTTTGAAGAGGCAAACAGCCATGTTGTGGAGAGGGCCTTGTGGCAGGGAATTGCGGGCAGCCTCTAGGAGTGGAGGGCCTCAGTCCTAGGACCTCAAAGAAATGAATTCTGCCAACAATCACCTGAGCTTGGAAGAGGACCTTGAACCTCAAATGGGATGCCAGCTCTGGCAGACACCTGGATTATAGCCTGATGAGACCCTGAGCTCAGGATCCACCTAAGCTGGGCCTGGACTCCTGATGCATGGAAACTGAGATGATAAGTCTGCATTCTTTTAAGCCTACTAAATTTGTTATGCAGTAATAGAAAATGAATACAATATATAAGTGTCAGTGACTGAAGATGCAGAATGAATACAACACCATTCTTGCTCCAAAGACACAATCTGGTGGAGGAGACAAATGTTTAAAAGACACAATTTAGAGTGAAAAGAGTTATGAAAATTTGAATCAGGGTGTGCTCCTCGTTAACCATGGCAGATTGAACACACTGCTGCCCAAACCCTGCAGAATGCCCGTAGAAGGATCCAAGGACATCAGCCCATAAAGGTGAAGATAATGTGAAGGGGAGAGGGGGCAGGGGGCGTTGGGGGGTGGGGGGAACAGTGCTGTTCTTCCCTCTGGGCTCATTGGCTGGATGGTGTAAACCTGGCATTTTCTGTGGCTGTGATTTCCTTCTCCATTGACTACATGGAGGAAGCCTGTTGCCAGTAGGAGAAAATGAGGTCAACAAACATAGAAATAGAGCAGAGAGGTGAAAAGAGATTCCTGAGGGTGCTTTAATGCCCTGGCTCCAGTTGGGCCTGAGGCTAGCTTGAGTCCCATCCTTCCCAGTTAAGCAAACCAGCAAATCTTAGGGATAAATCATGGATTACTTCCAATCTAAGTGTCCTGACTCATTAATACAGATATACTGCCCAGTTAGCAGAGTAAAATAAGTTCTCAATAAATGTTAGTTCCTCTTGTCATTACTAAACTGATTATTCATACAAACTAAGCATTGTGATATCTTTAAGGGTGGCCATCTGATTTGTGGTGCTTATTAGAGAAGATGACTTTTGTCTGTTGAAAGACAGCATTGCAATACAAACAGTTCACTCGTATCATTCCGATATCTCAGCTGAGGCTTCAGCAGGCAGGATGAGATATCTCTGGCTTGCTTATGATTTGCGGTCAACCCAAAAGGAGGCAAAGCACTGAGTTCCATTGAAATGATGGCCTGATGTGCTTCTGGATGCAAAGAGCCCCACGGAAACAATCTGCTCATGTGTGGTAGTGTTACAGTAGGTAGCCAGTTAGACATGAGCAGACAGTGGGGGCTCCTGCCAACGAAATGTTGTGGGACAATCAAAGATGGGAGACACTGAACAGAGTGAGTTCAGGAAAGGTCTTTATTAAAAGGTGATCACCTGGCTCAGTAGGACTAGCGTCCAGGAAAGTCTGAGCCCTGGATAAAGAAAGCAGCCACCTTTTAAGCAGTCGGTGGCCGGGAGTACGCGAGGCAGGAAGCGTACTTACAGAAGCGAGAGCAAAGGCAGTTGTTCAGTCTTTTACATTTATCTATACTACATGTTCCACATCCCTGGGAAACCATGTTTCTGCATCAACCTTGTAACTTTGCAGCTGCGCTAGGGTGGTGAAGCAGGAACTCGCTGAGCCTCAAGGAATGTGAAACTAGCAAGTACAGATAAGGCTTGCTGAGCACAGAAGGAAAAACAGGCAGTTAGTGTTCTTCTTTAACTTAGACTATGGGGGAGCTACACTACACTTAGCTTTTGAAGGAAAAAGTAAAAATTTTTGGTTGTCTTTGATTATACTTGTAAAATTCATGAATTCCTTCTTCAACACAACCCCCAGGAATGTCAGGCGACCATCAGGTGATGGTCAGGTGGCTGCTGATTGTCTCTCTAAAATAATAATTGGTCACAGCTGGCACCAGGGAACGACAGTCTCCCAATAGATAGAAAAAACCTGAAACTGGTGATCGGCAGCTTCCCCATAAAATGTCAGGAGTTGGGCGAGTGGGCTCAAACATGCGCACTAAGAGACAAAATGGAGCATTCCCCTGGTAAGGGAAGAACCTCGAGTGAGCGCGTGCACAACTCCAGTAAACACACTGCGCATGCTCCCCTCCCCAGCGCTAGCAGGCCACTACTGCGCATGCGGACAGCCCACCCCAAGGGAAGAAAGGGAAGAATCGTGGGGAGAAGCAACGCAAGACCCCGGAAGCATGCCAACGTGTAAAACCCCAAGTCAAAGGTCAAACAGTGCACTGGATCTCTCAAGTCGCCTGCTTGGCCCTCTACTAAGTATGTTTTACGTTCTTTCATTCCTGCTTTAAAGCTTTTCAGTAAACTTTCATGCCTGCTCTAAAACTTGCCTCAGTCTCTCCTTCTGTCTTGAGCCCCTCTGCCAAATTCTTTCTTCCGAGGAGGCAAGTATTGAGATTGCTGCAGACCCGTGATGATTCACTGCTGGTGACATACTTTGGTGCCACCTAACTCGGATAAATTTGGCTAACAGTAGCTGTAGAATAGGTATCTGTAGCCCTGTCAGCCTCAGGGCCTCAGCTAGCAGCCGCTGACCATGCCCCTCAGGTCTCTAACACACTTGTTCACCTCTTTTTCCAGAAAGGGAGATGCCATGTGCTGGCCCAGCACTCCAACAGGGGCCTGACCTCTAGGAACGGGACACTGGAGGAAGCCTAGACATCTGAACAAATCAAGTCATCCAGATCCACGGTCAGCTCCTGCCCCGACTTGGCCTTCCTCCTGCTGGGCTGGCCCACGGACCTCGGGAACCTGCCCTGGCTGTGGGTGACCTGCAGGTACTGGTCAGCGCTGCTGTTCTGCTGGTCACTGCTGGATGCTGCCGACACGGAGTCAGATTCCGTGAGGGATGGCTCGAACCTGGGCTTCCCTCTGGGCTTCAGAGGGGGCTGTGGGTATTGGAAATTCCGGGATCGTGGCTTTCTGGGCACATAGGCTGGCCTCTCAAGGTGACCCTCAAAATCTTCATTCCACGACTTGTAGTGCACCCTCCCCTGGTGCTCGGGATCCCGGGTCTGACTTTCGGACCTCTCCCCAATATAAAAATGAGGAGCCCGACGGAGGTCTATCAGGGAGCGTGGGGGAAGAGACCGTTTGATCCAATCTCTGCTTGGCGTCTCCTCCTCTTCTTCACTCAGCTGTGGGGAGGGAGGCTGGCGGGGGACCCGGGATGCATATTGTCGCACGTTCCTGGGGTACAGCTCCACAATGTCACCTGAAGCATCTATCTTGAAATGTCTTTCTGGCCAGACATTTAGATGTTTTTTCTTGTAAGAGTCACATTCATTAATGACATAGTATCTGGGGGCGTGGGGCCTGGGACCCTGTGCCAGCAAAGTCGAGGCCTGTGGTCCACGGTGAGGAGGGTTGATTTGCTGAAAGTCTTTTCGGAAAAGAGGTTCTGAGTGTACATCTTCGATGTGCGTTGTAAATGTCATAGGTGTGCGCGATCTGTTCCTGTGAAGGTCACTGGTGCTTGCACACAGACCGTGCAGATACCTGTAAGACAGGGGCGGTTAAGTAGCTGTGGCCTTGGTGGTCTCAGAGCCCCACACCTGAGGACTGTGAGCTGTGAGCAGTTCTCTGAGCATTTTCACTGAGGCTGGTTCCAACTGGTTAATGGGTATGGATTGTGTGCACAGAGACATTTGGGGGACAGGGCTAAACAGTTTTCTTTACTGCTGGAATTTTCAGAACCTAAATCAGTGATGTACACATGAGTCTCCATGAAGACTGCAGAGCGAGGGGTGTTATGCTAGTGTATTTCCTCACAGAGCCCTCTTTGTGTCAAGAGGCACATAGTGGGACTAGTGTCTGTGAAGCACATGTTAGGAACACAGTTTCTCATCCTTTCTGCTAAGCAGCTGTCTGACTTCTCAAGCACTTCTCTGAGTTTCCACTGGTGGGTGGAGGGGAGTTGTACATATTAAACAGTTCTTCCCTGGCCAGGTACGGTGGTTCACATTTGTAATCCCAGCGCTTTGGGAGGCCAAGGCAGGTGGATCACTTAAGGTCAGGAGTTTGAGACCAGCCTGGCCAACATGGTGAAACCTGGTCTCTATTGAAAATACAAAAAAATAGCCGGGTGTGGTGGCAGGTGCCTGTAATCCCAGCTACTCGGGAGGCTGAGGCAGGAGAATTGCTTGAACCTGGGAGGTGGAGGTTGCAGTGGGTCGAGATTGCACCACTGCACTCCAGCCTGGGTGACAAGAGCAAAACCCTAGTCTCAAAAAAAAAAAAAAGTTCTTCCTGATAAAGACTTGAATCTGTATGGTGGCTGTAGTTTGACCCCTAGGGGCCTCTCAAGGAGTGTTTGAACCCTTTCTCCTTGTCAAGACCCCACAGAGACAGGCAGACAACTCCTTATATAACAAGACTTCAAGTTCTTTGCTAACTTAGTCATTATCTTTAAAAAAGAGAGCCCCTGTATTTTATCTATATTGCTTTCGCTGTGCTACATTCAGATCAAATATAATTCTCCATATGAGTTTGGGCCACCGCAGGTCTATCCCCTTCATCTTTCCAGGGGTCCTACCTCCATTAAAGTAGGAAGGGATCTACTGCTTTCTTTGACCCCATGTAATGCATAAATGGTCTTGCCAATAACTTGACCAGACTAGGGCTAAAATATGGAAGATCTTGCCAATAATATGGCCACTGTGGAACTAAAAAATAAACAGTTATTTTCTTAGCCTAGACAAATGTTTATCCTAGGTTGGCTGGAAGGTTTGCTTACAAGTTAAATGGCAGATAACCTAGGAGGAAGAATTTGTCCTGTTTGATAAACTTTGACACCCCCACCCCGCCTCCATTTCTTTTTAGTACCAGCTGTCATAGTCTCCTGACCCATGCCTTCTGGGAGAATTAGAATTTAATGGCCTTGGCCTCCTGAAGCTGCAGAGGCCTTCAAATCTCTCACATTCCAGGTTTTAATCTGTGCTGCAGTGGAGCCTCACCTGTTAGTTTCATGCTCTAGCCTGGATTTGGGGACCCCAGGGAGAGGTGAGCTAGGAGCCCTGTCCCCTGGCCTCGGGCTCTGGGGCATGGACTGTGCGACTGTCTCTATCCTGCCACTCTTGCTGCTCCCTGAGTCAAAATGGGCCACGTTGCCGTTGTTTTGGGGTGTGCCCGAGTGCGCTGAGGACAGCTGGCTGGTAAGATCACTGTCGTTTGGAAGCTTCTTGGTGCTTTCTTCCTGGGTCTGGATTCGGGCTGCAGGGAGAGGGAGGTGTTGTGAGAAGACAGGTGTCACTGAGCAGGTGACAACTTCAGATGAGTTGAGTTGCAAGGGTTTTATGACATCCAAGAGTTGGTCCGCAAACAATTGAGTGCACTTACAAATGCACCTAACCAGTGGGCAACAAACATTCTGTAATTCAAATGATTTCATCCCTGCAAGTTGGAGCTGGGAGTGTAGGAGGAATCAAGTGAACACAAGGCTTTACAGTGCTCCATCTGATGCTCCCATGAGGCAAAGCAAGTACTTAACAGCTTTGGGCCTCCAGTTCCTTATCTATTCAATGGAGATAATAAAGCTTACACAACAATTATGATTCTTTGGAAACAGTTCACATGCATTCTGAAAAAAGATGTGGTCTCGAGCTGGAAAATGAACACTGGACAATGCTATTGTTATCCTGAAACAGTCTATGTGGATTCTGGCTTTTGAAGGTGACCTGAACTAAATTTAATTACGCTTAATTGGCAAATAAGCGATGACGATTACAGAGGCATTTTATGGCGTGAGCCACAGTCACTTTCAGTAATCATTATCAATTGTAGGCTTCTCTCTGAAAAGCTGATGGAGCAAGCAAGCATAATCCTTAGGCCTTAGAGGTCTTGCTCAGACATTTTTCTGGAGAGGAATATTTCCCTTCCAATTAGTGAAGTATTGCAACAGCTGTGAGAGCTAGCCCCTAAAGCCCTTCTGGGTCCCATTCTCATTCATGTAGGCTGTGCCATGTTAATGGTGCCCAGTGAGCCTTCTAGCTCACAGCACTCTGTTAGTGGTCCTGAGAAACAGATCCATCTCCTTCGAGCTGCCGTTGCCCACTTTCTTCCCTTCAGGCCACAGCAGACTTCTACGCCACATGCTTCCATTCTCCCTGCTCTGCAGGGACAGGACAGAACCTAAGGAGGCTCAGGGAAGGGACCTGGGAGGGAACATTGCAAGGAAGAGATGGGCCATGGAGAGGAAGTATACAAAAGTGACCCAGACAAAGAGATTCTTTGGGCTTTCATCCACGTGAATGTGCTGCTTTTCCTCTCCTACTTCGATACTTCCTTCTGATTTTACACATGTTTTGGGATTATTCATGGGCCTGGATATGATATAAAAATTAAAGATTTAAAACAACATTTATATCCCTAGATTTTATTTTATTGTGCATAGTTACTGGTGAAAAAACACAGGTTATCAGGAATTTGTATTGGTAGTATACCGCAAACTACTTTAAATGGCTGTATTTTTAAATGCCCACTAACTGAGACAGCAGATCTCTGCATTTAAAAAAAATATTAGGACAGGTGCAGTGGCTCACACCTAGAGCTAGCTCTAGGGGCTAGCTCTCCCCAGCACTTTGGGAGGCCAAGGTGGGTGGATCATGAGGTCAGGAGTTTGAGACCAGGCTGACCAACATGGTGAAAATATAAAAATTAGCCAGGTGTGATGGCACGCACCTGTAATCCCAGCTACTCAGGAGGCTGAGGCAGGAGAATCACTTGAACCGGGAAGGTGGAGGTTGCAGTGAGCCGAGATCACACCACTGCACTCCAGCCTGGGCGACAGAGCAAGACTCTGCCTCAAAACAAAAAAACAACAACAAAAAGAAACGGAAATACTTACCTTCTACCATCTGGGCAACCTTTTTCTTATCCTCTGATCTTGCCTAAAATGCAAATGATATGCATGTTTGTTTTGGCTTTAGCAGGAAGCAGTAACAAATATTATTCCTGGGGGAAGAGAAAAAGATTTACATGCCATAGTTCTTACCTTGGACCATAACTGTACTACTATTGCCCCCTATGGACGGTATGCTCTGGGCTCGGGCCTGTTATTTGAGTGAATAAATGCAGATACCTGAGAGCTGAAGTTTTATGCCTAGCCAGTTTTATTTAGGGACAGCTAATTAACAGACCATGTTTAGATTCTGTCCATAATAGTTTGCCTGAATCACAAAGAAAAAAATACAGATCGACAACACTGGAGATGTATGTTTCCACCAAAATGGCCTTTGTAACTCCAAATGAATTTCCAATTAGAAGCTAATTTGTGTTTCTTTGCATGAATTGATGTTCATGGGAAGTTTTTTTTTTTTTCTGATAGAAGTGGAAGGAGTTTTTTTGCATGGGTGAGGTCAGTGAGGCATCTGGGGTGCCAAATTTAAGGAGGCACTTATTTTCAGGGCTGTGAAAGGACAGAATCAGCATTACGCTTACAGAGCCTCCTTAAATGTGGTGCTTTGGGAGCCTCACTGGCCTCATCCCAGTCTTGGGATCCTTCCTTGGGGTCTGGAGGACCCAGGGCACTAAGGGAACACCTGGGGTATGTGGAGGAGGAGAAATTGTGGGAGTTTTGGGAGCGTGTGTCTCCCTGGGACTGCTCTGAGAGATAGGGTTTGAGCCCCATGGAGAGAACGTAATGACAGCCACATCTAAAGGATATGAAAGAGGTGAGGCTTTAGGGACAAACAGTGCTGCTGGGCTCAGATGCCCAAGTTGACAAGGATTGGGAAGGGGCCCTTTCTCTCCCCTGCCAATCTACCAGAGCTCACAAAAGTACCTGGCACACTGAGGGCTTGGTGTGGTCACAGGGTGGGCACTGAAAGGCTCGAGGCAGCTGCAAGGCCTCTTGAGGAGGAAGAAAAACAGGAGCAGGCTTCCTCCTAGCAAAGGGGAGCCATCCCTGGGTATTCTTAGAAATAACTCTTGGACATCTGGGGATTGGTGGCCTTGCACCATAGTGGGTGGCCAAGAGTCACAGAAACCTTGAAGATGTGACTTCACTTGTATTCCCACGCTGGCGGGATCTCAGTCATGTGGTTGACACATATTCATAATAGCAAAGTTCATGAAATACTTGCGTTTTGGATCTGCATTTTGAGCTGGTGGTTGCTGAGCTTTAGAGACCGTGCGATGCTCTGGAGATAATAGATGAGCATGCTAGGACAGAACAACACAGGACAATGAGTGGACTGCAACTCGCTTTTCTGCTTTTCAGACCACATTCCCTGCAGATAGTTGGCAGGAATGAGAGGCTCCCAGGCCAGATGCGGGCTATCCACTGACCCTCCGCTAAGGACAAAATGTATCAGCAAGTTCTCAAGCCAGTGAGCACTGGGAAGGGGCTGCTTTTGTTTTCTCTTCCTGGCTTTCCACAGCACCCTCGTTGACCTGGAATTCTGCACTGGTGATAGCAATAAGGAAGAACTGAAAATGGGGGAGAAATTTTGCAGTCTATCAAGCTATGAGTACAGGATCCACTCACTTTTATTTTTTTTTCCTTTAAACCAAAATAAGCCAAAGCTACTCAGCTGAGTTGTGAAATTCCTTTTCAGGATTATTTAAGTTTCTAGAAAATGATAATGGCATTCAGCCCCATTCTAGTGATCACAGTAATTGACCAAATGGTGTTGATGGATCAATAACCACCTCAATGGCAATGGAGTGCTCCCTCATCGCCCCTCGCTGAGACCCAGTGGCTGTGTCTCCATGGCACAGTGCCTCATGTGACTCTGGTGTGTGACTCAGAGTCCCTGTTGAGATCATCAGGCTCTAAGCCTAAGTGATTTTTGAATGAACTAATAAATTTTATGTAATTATTGGAAAGCAGCGTTTTCTTGTTGGCCAAACACACAGAAGTCCCTCCAAAGCTGGCAGGTGTGGTACTCACAAAAGCAGGAGTACTGCGGGCAGGATGACCACGGGGCTACTGATGTGTCCAACCACGGAGCCAAACCACACAGGAAAGTCTTTCTCAATCGTTTCTGACACAATGTCATAAATTTTCTCTTGTCCACTGTGAGAAAGAAAAACATAACTCCAGATTTTATTGCTCTTGGCAGAAAGATGCTGCAAGACATCAGAAAATGGCTGGATGCCTGGAGGCCAATTCATAACATTCCTCAAATGATTTCATATCTAATTAATATGGAGGATGGAAGATGGGGTCATTAATCACATTGCATGTATGTGTGTGTTCTAATCGTGTACACTAAGGTAGACTAAATATTCCATATTGTATCAAAGCTGACTTGAATGCTGGATGAAGATACTAGAGGGTTTTGCTTGAATACAGCTGGATAATATAGGAAAAAAAAGTGCTGTGCACTGTGGTTTAATAAAAGCTTTCTGTGTTTTGACCAGGTAGAATGTCCTCTAGCACAGAACAATGCTGTTTCTCTTTTTCACTTTAAAAGGATTGTGTTTTTTAACATGAGCACAGAGATGATTATACTAAGGGCAGCCTTCTATTAAGGAAAGAGCCCTGGTCTTGGATTTAAAACATGCGGGTTTGCAATCTTTCTATCCTGTTTACCTGCTCTGTGAGCTTGGAGGAGAATTCAGTTCAATATGATCTAATTCCCTTACAGCTGTCAGTCACTCCGGGCAGAGCTGGGAACGAAACTTACCTGAATGGCCCACAGTTTAGAGATGGCTTGTATCGGACAATAGCAAAAATGGTTGGCAGCATGCACAGAAACAGCATAAACAGGAGCATTGCCAAGTAGAAGTTGTTGGATCTGCAGATAAATCAGATGTCATGTGTTAAGTTCACTCCATAGCCAGTTGCCAGGGTTGCATATGCCCAAAGAGCTGCCACAGAAACGGTTGCCCTGACTCTTTGCAAACTAAAAATCCTCCTCTCAGGGTTACCTACAAATGGATCTGTCATAGGGTCACATGCAGCTTAGAAACCTAGAAATCAGCGTTCAAAGGAACTTCAGAGATCTCCCACCCAACCTGTTCATCTAATAAACATTTGCTGAGCACCTGTTCACCTCAAACCATAAAAGTGGTGAACTCACCCTGGCACCCAGGAGTTCCACACAGTAAACTCAATTTATGGAAAAATCTTAGAAGCATTGCCCATCCATCTGGGTCCTTACCTAATGGTTCCCTCTCCTATTCCCAGGCTTGAACTTGTCTCTTACGTCTCGGGATGGTTTGGCTCTTTTGTTTATGATTCCTGACTCTCTCACTTGGGTGTGATTTGCACTCAACCTCTTATCCACTCCGCATGTGGCTGCCCAGGGTATGTGTTCTACCTGATTAAGCCCCGGTCCCTGAGCCCTAAGCTAGTGTCAGGGAGTTTGGATGCCCAGAGCTCCCCTGAGGGCAGCTTAGATCTGTTTGGTGTGCAAGGCCCTGTACACAGTTCAGAAAAGAGAATGAGGGGTCAATCTAGTTACTTTCAACTAGTACTCTCTGTTGGTCTGTTTCTCTGTCTCTCTCTGTCTCTGTCTCTCTCTCTCTCTCTCTCTCTCTCATGAAAAAGACTTGACTAAAAGAGAACAGAAGATTTCAGAGAGCACAGAATGTAGTAGGAGAGTGATAAGTTGTGAAACTTCTTTATCTTTGTCTATCCACAGACATACATACATATAATAAATATACATACACATATATAACATATATAAATATATCAAAACATATCTCTGAATGTATTAATATATGTGTACTGTCATCAGATAAAATGCATTGTCAAGTAGGTCATGAGCAAAAGTTTGAAAGCCACTGATATAGACACACATAACCATATGTCAAAGTAAAATAACTGAATCAAAGTATTTAGAATGTGTTATGAATTCACCAAAGTTGGTAAAATTAAAACAGTTAAAAGAATAAGTGTTGGCAAGGTTATAAAACACTTGGAACTCTCATATAATGCTGCTAGACATGTAAAATGGGGTGTTCATTTTAGAAAACTTTTTGGTGCTATTTGCTAAAGGTGAACATATGCATGCCCTGTGTCCCAGCAATTGCATTCCTAGGTATATATGCAACAAAGATACTTAGGATGTTCAAGGCAGCATTACTCATTATGGCTAACAGCTGGAAGCAACCTACATGCCCGTCAACAGGAGCCAGGATAAAGAAATTGGGGTATATTTTCTCAGTGAGTTGAATCTCACAAACACAATGTTGCGTGTAAGCAGTTGGGCACAAAGGAGCACATACTGTGTGTGTGTGTGATTACGTTTACATCAAGTAAAACCCAGGCAAGCCTAATTATGCCATTAGAAGTTGGCAGTGATTGGAATGACATACAAGTGGGCATGCTCTGGTTGCCATTTGTGTTTTGTTTTTTGATCTGAGTGCCTTGTGTTCAGTTTTTGAAAACTAATCAAGCTAAACATTTACGATTTGTGTACTTTTTTTCTAAAGGATTATTAAACTTCGGCAAAACGTTTTAAAAGTGTCATGAGTTCAAGAGGAGTAATGATTCATTGAAAGAGTAAGACATTGGAAATGGCTCTTGGAGGAGACAAAATTGGAGGACAGGCAAGATTTTGACAGGAAGAGAGTTGGGGGGACCCTTTGCTAGAGGACCCCTGGGTAAGGCAGGCATGGATTATATATATGTATATATAGTTATCTGCATGATCAGATCTTATTCTTACTCACCTTGAGGCTCGAAATACTTGCTGGTGGGGCACATTGCAGGTCAGCACAGCCCAGCTTCTCAGGTACATGAGCCCAATGAGTTTGAGAACGTTGAACGCTGGGAGACATGGGGAGAAGAAGGCCCCCATCCTGGAACCATGAGGAAGGTCAGTTTGCATCTGTTCTCTTTCAGCCTATCTCCCAGGACTATGGAAGCCCCATGCAGGAACATGGTTCTGACACTTTGGGGATTATACCCTAAGCTTAAAGGACTGGAAAAGCCCCTGAAGTCCCGAGACCACAACCCTCCACCTTCTAAAGATAAGACAAGTCACTGAAGGTGGGTATTGATCCTATTTTAAAATATTATATTTGCAAAGGACAACTGTTTGTCTCTCTTTTCACAGCTGAGCAAAGGAAAATCCTCTGGGAAGGAGGCAAATAATGGATAACTACTATTTGGGGCCAGCTCCTGGTTTTGCTTGTCTATGATGAGGACTGTGCTAATAAATTACTGCCTTTCAGGTTTAATCAACATATTTTGGGCACCTAGTTTTGCTGGATATGGCATTAAGCATCCTCACACATTTCAGTTTGTTTACTCTTCTGCAATAGTGAGAGGAGAGGTAAATATCCAGTTGATAGACAACAAGGGCAGATATGGGGAAACCAAAGACATGTTGCTAAGGCTGACTCTATATCATCCAAACCTGGGAGATTTGGGGAATGAAAGAACTGAGCCCACAGACAAGAACCAGATCATCCCAGGGAAGCTGGGACTTATGGTCACCCTGAAAAGAAATGGCAGCTAGGCGACAAAACCCATGTCTTCAGACTTAAGTCTAAATCAGTTTATATTGGATACGTATTCAATCTAATACTTGTGGAATTTGGATTTAGTGGTATGAAAATAAACATGGACATAAGAGTATGTTTCCTAAGTAAAATGTTTCTAACAAGAAATGTTCAGTTATCATTATCTGTTGGATGTTAGGCAAGACACTAAGCTTCTCTGCACTTCAGTTTTCTCATCTTTAAAAAGGGGAAAATAATAGCAGTTACTTCATGGGTTTACTATAAGGATTAAATCAGTTACTACAGGTAGAAAAGTACTTGATATCTAGCACTATTAAATAAATGTCACCTATTATTTTTAATACTGTATTTGTAAAGATATTTTGCAAAATACAGTGGCTCTAAGAATTTGACAGGAGGCGTATTACTTTGTACCTCTCAATTGCCATGTATTTTACTGAATGATTATGAAGAGAATGTTTTCTGGATGTATGGAATATCCCAAGTTCTTGTTTTTTGTTCGTTTGTTTGCTTGTGTTTTAACAAATAGCACTATTCTGGTCCAACAGGTAAAATCAGCTCCTCAGTGTCTCCAAGGACAGGAATGCCATGGGCTGGGAGGCGCCATGGGTGAACAGACTTCCCTACTTCCTGCCTCCCCAAGGGTGGGGAGCAGTCTAGGGGATGGCTGTACTCCTGGGCCCAGTGTCTAAGTGAAAATTAGGAGGAAATGGAGGGAGGGTGGCGAGCGAGGACAGACTGGCCAAGGTCCCCCGCAGCCACTCCTGAAGTCCTCACGAGGGAGAAGCAGCCTCTCCTTCCAGCCTTCCCCAAGTCCTCCCTAAGAGTGTATTCTACTGGTTTCTGTGCAGATTTTTTTCGGCTGCGACCAATAGTAGCTTAAACATGGATTATTTTCTTTTTAATTTCTTCCTGCAAAATTCTTAGGAAACCATTAATAAAAGTAATATACATGTGAAATAATAATCTTGGAAACATCCCTTCTTAATGCTTATGTAACTGTGTTATGGTCGTGTCCCATCTAGACTAAGTAAATTAAAATCTTAGCCCAGATGAGATGTAAGCAAAGGCAAGAAGAAACTTTGATACCTACCAAATCATTCCTTGGTTGTAGACTAAATGTAGCACATTCTCAGCTATTTTGAATTCTCCATATTCAGGCTACAAGAGAAAATAAACTTGTGCATTAAACAAGTTCCAAAGTTCTTTGCATGAACCAATTAATTACAGACACCTATATAGACTTCTTTGCTCTTATGAACACTTAGAGATCAGTGCTTGTGGGGCCATCCCAGCAAATGGTAAATGTTAAGAAAGGGGTGGGGCTGGGCATTGTAGCTTATGCCTGTAATCCCAGCACTTCGGGAGGCTGAGCAGGAGGATCACTTGTAGTCAGGAGTTCGAGGTCAGCCTGGGCAACATAGTGAGACCTCATCTCTACAAGAAATTTTTAAAACTAGCTGGGCATGGTGGCATGTGCCTATAGTCCCAGCTACTCGGGAGGCTGAGGCAGGAGGATCGCTTGAGCAAGACCCTGTCTCAAAAAACACAAAAAACAGACAAAAAAAAAAAAAAGGAAGTAGAAGCTCAGCTTTCTGCACCCATCTCTTCCCACTTGTATTCTCTTTCCGTGTGTCCCCCTCAACTATGCTGGACTGTTTCCCAGCCACAACATGAGAAAGGATGGATTTGGCCATATAAACTTTCCCAACAGACACAGCATTTTACTTACAAACTTGCTCTCCAGATCCCAACACCAGTAGTCACTTAAGTACCGCACGAAAAGTCCTCGGAAGAAGTCTATGAGCAGAATGCTCGCCACGGTGAAGAGCATGTCAATGATGGAGAGCTTCAGCATCTCCTGAAACACAGGGCGTCCCTGGATGCCACCATGCCCCACCCTTCCCACGGTCACTCTTCCTTCAGGGTGCTCCTAATCTCTGTTCATTCTTGTGGGCCCCAGCCAGTGGGCCCCTCCAATGGCATCTTCATTTCTCATCTTTGTAAGTTGCAGTGGGCAGAGGACTGGGCTTCTGGTACATAATGGGTGTTCAATAAATATTAGGTAATTTGAATTCGAATTTTGATATCTGAGGCCAGCATCACATGAAACTAGGAAAGAATCTAAGGTCTGTGGTTCTGAGCTGCAGGAGACTCGAGGCCAGTGACCCATTTCCATGGGATAATACCTTGGGGTTGAGGTTCTCTGTACAACATGGTTAAGGGTACAGATTTTGGAGCAGATTCCTGGGTTCAGGACTTCATTCTGCTCTTTACTATCTGTGTCCTTGGGCAAGTACTTGACCACTGTGCCTCAGTTTCCTCATCTGTGCCTATAAGGGTGACAATAATAGGACTCTTATGAGGACCAAGCATTTAGGACAGGACCCAGCATGCGGTCAATATTGGCTGAATCTTTGCACTGATTATTTTTCTTTTTTAATTTTGAGGCTTGGAAAATCATAAACCTCACTGAACTTTTCTTTTTTCTATAACATAGGGGCAGTGACAGCTCAGAGAGTTGCTGGGGTTAAGTGATGAGATGGATATGACAGAGCTTTGTAAGGGTAAAGAGAACCACCTGACCAACGTATGTCTCCCAGCACTGGTCTTGTGGACTCTGAGTGTGGAGGCTAGTCTTGTTGGCCTTTATAAGAGGCATGGTATAAGCTGAAATGCTGGTCTCTTCCAAGGCCCATGTGTTGTTTCTCCTGAGCCCCATTCCAGGCCGAGATGTGGACCATTTCTCTTCTTCAGGGGCTGTCCTGGTTGCAAAGAAGGTGGTGGAATCTATCCAATGACTTGTGTTATTTTTGGTAGCCATTTCCTGGGGAGAGAGAGAGAGAGAGAGAGGGAAGCAGGGGAGAAAGGAAAATGGCGGTCCACATATTTGTAAATGAGAATCCATCATGGACCCCAAGGGTGTCATTGCATTGCTTGGGAGTAATCATTCATCCTCTTTCTCTTTCTAGACCATCACTTGACTAGAGTTGGCCCCAATAAGGGAACACAGAGGTGTAATGGATAATATTTATTCATCCCTAGTAAGGGTCAGAAACTGTTTTAGGTAACACATGTTAACTCTACTTATCCTCACAAGAGCTTTAGATAACGATTATTACCTCATGTTCAGATGAGGAGATTGAAACTCAGTGAGTTGAAACCTAATGCTCAAGGTCACGCTGCTAGTAAGTGTCAGGTAAAGACCCAGGTCTATGTAACCTCAAAGCCCCAATGCAGAAAAATGATTCTCTGTGGCCTCGTCTGCCTATAGGCCTTGAAATTTGATGTTAGTGTGATATGCCTTGGGCAAACAACCCTAAAAGAGCACCCCCTGTCTTACTCCCTTTCCTCCCCCATTCAGGATATCCTTATAGGTGGGGCAGGTTGAAAGTGGACATCAGGCTGGGCGTGATGCCTCACACTTGTAATCCCAGCACTTTGGGAGGTCGAGGCAGGGGAATCGCTTGAGCCCAAGAGTTTGAGACCAGCCTGAGCAACATGGTGAAACCCCATCTCTATAAAAAATACAAAAAAAAATAGCCAGATGCAGCGGTGGCACGCAGCTCTAGTCCCAGCTACTCTGGAGGCTGAGATGGGAGTATCACTTGAGCCTAGGGAGGTTGAGGCTGCAGTGAGCAGTGATTGTGCCACTGCACTCCAGCCTGGGCAACAAAGCGAGACCCTGTCTCAAAAAAGAAAAAAAAAAAGGTGGACACCAAAGCTACTCTAGGTTGGGAGCAAATACTCCTGCTGGGCTGGGATAGTAAGTCCCCTCTGAACTGTTCCCCATGAAATGATTATTCTGTCCTGACTTTCTGAGTGAGTCCCATGGCCTGCTGCTCTTCCTGTGATCGTTTGCAATAGCTGTTGATAGCCTTTTCCTGATGGGATTCAAAGAAATGGGGTAGTATGATACAAAGAGTCAAAAATTCTGGAGTTCTCATCCCAGCACCATCACTTACTAGTCATGCACTGTGGCCTGAGTTTCTTTATCTGGGAAACAGGGATCATTTTTCTCTCCTTACCTTGAGAAGACTCCAGCAAAGTCAAGTTTTGCACATGATTATGGAGTACAAGTATAAGCAGTGATCCTGTCCACGATGATGACCCTGGTGTTGGGAGGAGGTAGCAGAGAGGGCAGAGGTGGGGCAGGCAACTATCTGGGATGGGCACTCACCTCAATGCTCATGCTGTTAACTTTGTCCAGGAGAGCAATGATCAGGCTGTAGAGATTTCCCAAATACAGCACAAGGACCCTGAAAGCCACAAGCCCACCTTGAGAAACAAGACCATGGCATAGAAGTCCGTGGTTCTAGAGCCCCCACATGGTTCTAAAGACTGTCATGGATATATTAAGGCAGTGGCTGCCACACTTGGTTTCCTCTAGAATCACCTTGCGGGCATTTTTAAAAAGAATTCCAGAATCCACCCTTAGTAGGTCTGGAAGGGGTCTGGAAATTGTTTTACAGCCTTTCCAGGTGATTCTGCTATAGCCCATCCTTGGATCTGTACTTTACAAACACTAGTGTAGCAGAAAATGTGAGTTTAGGAAGTGGGGCCCTAAAACGTGTAGTTTATGAGTCATGCTTTCTGGTTTATGAATTGATTTCCCATGCATTATCTCATTTGATCCTCATAGCAGCTCTGTAATAATCCCCACTTAAGGGACAAGTGTATTGAAGCGCAGAGGGAGCTAAGTCACCAGCTCAAGTTCACACAATTAAAAAGCAGCAGAATGCAATTTCAGGACCTCAGTGCTCTGCTTCTGAAATACAGGCTGGACCCCTCAGAAGCACTGAAAAGCTGTGGGTACAACTACACCCTGTCAGCCACTGGGAGTGAATGGAACCTGCCAGCAACAGTCTGGATCAGCCAATGATCAAAGACTTGATGTCAGTTTCCCTAGTGCTGGAAGGTTTTGGAAACACATCATGGAATTTCCCAGGATGCAGCCTTGGTTCTTACTGGAAACCTGTCTGGGAAAATGAAGTGAGAAAGGAAACGACAGGTTTATACACACTTCAGTGAGACAACACTTAGCCCTTGGAGAAAAATGAAGCCAATTGATGGGAGAATCGTGAAACCAATTGAGAAAGTTGATGGGAAAGCATCTTTATCTTGAGGAAAAGACTCCAAGTTGAAACCATCCCCCCAGGCCTTCCGCATCTCCTCAAGTATAAAGTTGACCACCCGTGTGCAGGCAGTGGGCAGAGAAACAGGAAAGTGGCATCTCCAGGGGACAGCATTATAACTCACATGGGCTCTCCCTCTGAATTGAGACGGGATTCCCGTGGGCACAGTGCATTTACAGTACTGAGTACAAGGCAAGCCCCTCAGTGTGTATTCAGTAAGTGTTGGCCAAAGGAAGGATTGAATGCATTTCCTCTCCTGCTGTCTTGGCATTACCATCACTCTGTGCCTTGGATAGAAGGTAACACAGTCTGCTGGTGAGTTAATGGAACTGAAATAATATGTCTTATGCTTATTACCAGAATTAGCCCTAATTTGTCTGGGGGAAGTCTCTGATGCCTCTGTTTCTCTAGTTTTCAACATGAGTAACGAGGCCAATTTATATAATAGCATTGCCTTTAGACCAAATGCAATAATGGAATTGATTCCACCCAATACTTGCTAGTGAGGAAGGAGCTTCTCTGTTGCAGGTCAAAAGACGTGTTGGGTGGAGCAGAAAGAACCAGGAATAGCCAGTGGGCTGAGAGGCTCATCCCAGATCTACCCTGGGCCATGAAGGTTTGACCAACTCCATGCTCTTCCTAGTCATGTTTTCTCTCTTTGAAATGACAGTTGAATTTCAGGGGTTGGAAATTATGGCCTTCAAACCAAACCGTACCCTTGCCTATTTTTGTCAGTAAAGTTGTATTGGAACACGACCACACCTGTTCATCGCCGTATGGTCTGTGGCTGCTTTCATGCTAGAACCTTAGAGTTGAGTAGTGGTGATAGAGACTGTGTGACCCACAAAACCACAAGTATTTACTATCTAGTTCTTTTTGGGAGATGTTTGCCAATTCCTGAATGAGAGCAAATCTTCCCAAAGTGGTCTGTGGAAAATTAGTTCTGTAGAATGTTATTAGGTGTTACAAGAGGAAATGGGGAGAAACTAGTGTAGACCAGGTTGAAGGTGAGATCAGGTAAGCAGGGCTCTCACTGCCTCCCTCTGCCACATTCAGTTTAACAATGCCTCACCCAGCCCTACTACAGTAGCTAAATTTGTAAATGAAGAGACCATACTCCGGGGAGAACAGGCAAATTTTTCAGGAAAATACTGATAAAGCCAGTGCTCAAAATGAGTGTGGTTGTTCTGACTCCCATAGAAGGTGTCTCAGGACGTCCCCTCAGGTGCATCAGCCTACTGTTGCTCAGGTCTTCCTCAACCACCTGCTGTCACAGCCACTGACTGTCCTGGCAAAGCTTCCAGGCATATCTACAAGGAACTCTTTGAGTCTGTACTTTGGGGGAACTGTTCACAAAGCATTGACTGTTCTTCTTGCGTCTGGAAAAACAACATGGGTCCCTCTCACCACTCAGAGTTAAACCACGGAGAAAACAGAACAGTGGGGAAAACCAGACACTGCCAGACCTCTTCTTGGTTCCCTTTTGTTCATTTGTTTGTTTGTTTGTTTGAGATGGAGTTTCGCTTTTGTTGCCCAGGCTGGAGTGCAGTGGTGTGATCTTGGCTCACCGCAACCTTGACTCAACCTCTGCCAAGCGATTCTCCTGACTCAGCCTCCCGAGTAGCTGGGATTATAGGCATGCGCCACCACGCCCAGCTATTTTTTAATTTTTTAAATTTTTTTTTATTTTTAGTAGAGACAGGGTTTCTCCATGTTGGTCAGGCTGGTCTTGAACTCCCGACCTCAGGTGATCCACCCGCCTCGGCCTCCCAAAGTACTGGGATTACAGGCGTGAGCCACCACGCCCGACCCTTGGTTCCCTTTTGTGTCCTCTTTTTCTGCCTGTTCTTCCTTTATTCCTTTCCCTTCTCCTCCTCCTCTTCTTCCTCTTCTTCATTTCTTTTCTTCTACCCTTGTCATCCTGGTCCTCCTCCTCCCTTCCTCCTCCTCTTCCCCTGCCTCCTCCCCTATCCCTCCTCTTGGGTTATGCTTTTCTTGAGTTGCATCCATAGGTAAAGTTCTGTGCTGATTGTCTGAGAGAAAAGAAGCAAGCCCTGGCTCTTGAGGCACTTACATTCCCACTGTGGGTGGGCACATGGGTGAGCCACAGGTGGCATTTCTGGGCAGGACTGTTGTACCTTGCAAGCTGGAAGCGCAGCGTGGTCCTGGGGTGGTACATCTCTAAGGCAGCAATGAGGTCAAAGGCTGATGGTGCTATCATGGTGACGAGGGAGACCACCACACTGACCTGCTGAGAGAGCACATGCCAGAGCCAGACATTCCCAGGACCCCCCACCAGCCCTCACCATGTGCATTTGATCTCTTTCCCTAATATTGGATCAGTGGCTTTCCACAGGGTCCTTGGATCCTCCATGGAAAATCCCCCCAAATCTCTGCTAATTAACTTTTTTCAAAAGGCGGCCACCACTTTATCATGGTCTTTTTTTTTTTTTTTTTTGAACTCTCCTTAAATGTTCTGAGGACACTCATACATCCCATTTGGGATTCACTAGGCCAGGTGCTGTGGCTCACACCTGTAATCCCAACACTTTGGGAGGCTTGTGAGGCCCAGGCAGGAGAATTTTTTGAGGCCAGGCATTGAAGACCAGCCTGGGCAACACAGCAAGACCCCATCTCTACAAAAAAAAAAAAAAAGCTGGCATATGCCTATGGTCCCAACTCATTGGGAGGCTGAGGCAAGAGAATTGCTTGAGGCCAGGTGTTTAAGACCAGCCAGGGCAACACAGCAAGACCCCATCTCTACCAAAAAAAAAAAAAAGTGGCACATGCCTATGGTCCCAGCTTGTTGGGAAACTGTGGCAGAAGAATTTCTTGAACCCAGAAGTTCAAGGCTGCTGTGACCTGTGATTGGATCACTGCACTCCAGCCTGGGCAACAGAGTGAAACCTTGACTCAAAAAACAAAAAGGATTCACTAGCATTTCTGCCACATTTTCCCCAATTACCATCTCACAGTATTTATACTTCCCTGACCTTGGATGGAAGATGGAAATAACTGCAACTATTACCAATAGAAAAGGAAAGCCTGAGAGGTAATGTAATATTCTTTCTGTACATGGAAGATTAATTATCTAGAGAATTAGGCCTGGCTTTTGTACTTAGAGCAGAAGAAAGAGGAGTTTTAGCTGGTACAGAAGATGTTTGAGATAAAATAAGAAATAATTTCTGAATATATCTTTCAAAAACTATTCATATTTCTGTCTGTAAACATACAAGCACACAGCAACTCAATTGGCATAAAATAGAGGCATGGGAAAAGATTATCTAGGGTGGGCTCAGATTTTGATAAATTACTGTACATTGATAAATATGCACACGGTAAATTGATGGCCATCTTACACATCTTTCTTTTTAAATCCCAAAAGAGGGAAATAATTTTCATAGAAATGGTCAGAGAGGTGGTTTTTGTGCTATTTCTGCCTTTCAAATCTGTATAGATAAATTGGGCCAACCTTTCAGGACAATGGTCTTAAAATGAATATTTAGAATTCCAAAATTGTTCATAACCGTTCACTTGGTGATTTTCTATTTATGGGAATATTCACACAACGGGGGTTGGGGGGGAGAAGATTGTTTAAAAAACAAACCATTTGTGTAGAGCTGGTTCTGGAAGCATTATTTGTCATTTAGATATTCAGAAACTACCTAAATATTCACGAATGACACCTGGTCAACTTTAATCCATACTATGGAATAAGTGTAGTTGTTAATTCCAGTCTGCAGGAATGTGGAACATGGATGTGAAGAAACAGATGTGCAAAAGGCAAAACACAGTCGGTGAGGCTCAAAGGTAGAGAACGGTGTAAATGCTTGAAGGTGTTTTTGAATCAAACTCTTTCCCAAAGGAGATGAATAAAATTGCCAAGCCTTAGTGCTGCCCCTCTGGCTCAAAGTCCTTATAGTCAATGCTCTAGGACAAGAGGACTAAAGTTTTTTCCTAGAGATATTCCCACCTAACTTACATAAGGAACAGAGAGGCAGGCTACTTTTCTGTGTCTCTCTCTCTCTCTTTTTTTTTTTTTTTTTTTTTTGAGACAGAGTCTCGCGCTGTTGCTCACACTGGAGTGCAGTGGCGTGATCTTGGCTCACTCTAGCCTCCGTCGCCTGGGTTCAAGGATTCTCCTGCCTCAGCCTCCTGAGTAGCTGGAACTACAGGTGTGCACCACGACGCCCAGCTAATTTTTGTGTTTTTGGTAGAGATGGGGTTTCATCATGTTGGCCAGGCTGGGCTGGAACTCCTGACCTCAAGTGATCCACCTGCCCCAGCCTCCCAAAGTGCTGGGATTACAGGCATCAGCCACTGTGCCCAGCTATGTCTCTTTTCTAGGGTGCTGCAGGTAATGGCAGTGGGTACCTCATTCTTTTCCCAAAGTGTCAGCTCCTTCTTCGACTGCTCCAGCTTCTGGGACCGGTCCACCACAAAGTAGATGAGATAAATGCTCCCAGCCAGTGAGAGAAGCACCAGGATGTTGGCAATAATCCTCAGGCAGATGGTCACTGCCCTGGGGAGAGAAACAGGCATGAGAACGGTACACAGGGTCCTGCTCACAGCACCACGATGCAAAGACAACACTACTTGGGGACTGGAACACATCCATTGCCAAGAGGATTCTCTGCCCTGAAGCATCAATGCACTTCCAGCCCACCCCACCCAGCACCCTAGAATTCCTCATTTTCTAAGAGATCAACGACCAGTCATAAATTCAACCAGCCTGCATCAGTGGGGTTTGAAACAAACAGACGAACAAATAAACGCCTCTTGTTTTAGAGTCAGAGTATTTGGGGTTCAGTTCTAGCTTCACTACTTGAAATTGGAGTCTTGTGGTATGCACATTAAAGATATAGGAATTCAAGTAAATGTGTTCAGCAGAGGGAGGGAGGAAGGAAGGCAGGGAGGAAGAGAGGAAGGGAGGACACATGATTCTGCCTGTCATCCCATATAATGAATCTGACATTGTACAGTCATGTGCCGCATAATGGCATTTTGGTCAATGACGGACTGCATATATGACAGTGGTTCCATAAGATTATATTGGAGCTGAAAAATTCCTATGGCCTAGGACATTGTAGCATGATGCATTGCACTCACATTTGTGGTGATGCTGGTGTAAACAAGCCTACTGCACTGCCAGTTGTATAAAAGTATAGTACATACAATTATGTACAGTACATATTTGATAATGAATTAAATGACTGTTACTGGCTTATGTATTTACTATATTTTTTAAATCATTATTTTAGGGTATACTTCTACTTATTTAAAACAAAATGTTAACTGTAAAACAGCCTCAGGCAGGTCCTTCAGGAGGCATCCAGGGTAAGGCACTGTTACCATAAGAGATGACACCTCCGTGCGTGTTATGGCCCCGAAGACCTTCCAGTGGGACAAGATGTGGAGGTGGAAGGCAGTGATATTGATTATCCTGACTCCGTGCAGGCCTAGGCTAATGTGTGTGTTAGTCTTTTGTTTGTTTGTTTTTTGTTTGTTTGTTTGTTTGAGATGGCATTTTGCTCTTGTTGCCCAGGCTGGAGTGCAATAGCACAATCTCGGCTCACTGCGACCTCTGCCTCCTGGGTTCAAGCGATTCTCCTGCCTCAGCCTCCTGAGTAGCTGGGATTTACAGGCATTTGCCACCACACCTGGCTAATTTTTGTATTTTTAGTAGAGACTGGGTTTTCCCATGTTGATCAGGCTTGTCTCAAAACTCCTGACCTCAGGTGATCTGCCCGCCTCGGCCTCCCAAAGTGCTGGGATTACAGGTGTGTGCCACCACATCCGGCCTGGTCTTAGTTTTTAACAAAAAAAGTGTAAAAAGTTAAAAAAATTAAAAATAAAGCTTATAGAATAAGGATATAAAGAAAAACTGTTTTTGTACAGCTGTACAATGTGATTGTGTTTTAAGTATTACAAGAGTCAAACAGTTTTTTAAAATTTAAAAGTTCATAAACAAGTGACAGTAAACTAAGATTAATTTATTATTAAAGAAACTTTAAGAAATAAATATAGTGAGGCCTAAATGTACAGTGTTTATAAAGTCTACGCTAGTATGCAGTTGTGTCCTGGGCCTTCACATTCACTAATCACTCATTCATTGACTCACTCAGAGCAACTTCCAGTCCTGTAAGCTAATTCATGGTAAGTTCCCTATACAGGTGTACCATTTTTTAATCTTTTATACCACATTTTTATTGTACCTTTCTATGTCTAGATATGTTTAGATACACAAATACCATTGTGTTACAATTGCCTACGGTATTTAATACAAGTAGCATGCTGTTCAGGTTTGTAGCCTAGGAGCAATTGGCTATACTATATAGCCTAGGTGTGTAGTAGGCTATACCATCTAGCTCTGTGTAAGTACATGCTATGATGTTCACACAAGGACAACATTGTGTAAAGACACATTTCTTGGAATGTGATCCTGTCACTATGCAACATCTGACTATTCCTTTGGTAGTTTCTTAATTGTCTTTTCTCTTTAGAAGTAAGCTCTAAGCTTTTTAGCCTTTTTCAATGCTGTTATCTTCAGCTCTTAAAACAGGCTTAGCATATATGGATGCTTCATAAATATTTGCTAGATGAATAAGTAAATAAAGGAGCAACTAATTGCCCATGAGATGGGAGACACAGGGCTCATCTCTTTCCTAATTTGGTCTCACTTCTCATATGCCTCTGATAGTGAGGGCAGGTGTGTGAATCAGTAATGATTCTAGTACTTACATACATGTTTCTGGTTTTAACTGAAACATATCCATTTTTTTCTAACACTGGAGGACAACTCCCTGTCTGACTTCAATTGGCCTATTTTGAAGGCACCTTCTTCTGCCAACTTTGGAGCTTGTCTTAGCCTGGCTAAGGCCTGGAATCCCAGTCCTTTTTGCAGATAGTTTATTTGGGAAGTGATCTCAGAAAGCAGGAGTGGAGGTTGATCCCAGAAAGCAGGAGTGGAGGTCCTGGAGTGGAGCAGGAGAGAGGGGCCATCAGTACAAGGATATGCAATGGGGTTGGCAGCAGCTAGAGGCAAATGCAGGGCCTTCTGAGGGGCTTATGAAATGCCTGACAGAACTGTTTGCCCAGTGTGAAATAGGAAAGCATTTCTTCTATTCCCAGCGGTTCAGGGTAGCTCCATGAGCATTCACTCCCAGCATTGCACCCAGCCTCTTGGTTGCACGTGCATGTGTGTTGACTGGGATCTTGTGGGTTCCCTATGCAGCAGCCTCAGAAGATCCCTGGGGCACCAAACAGCGGGTACGAGCAAGGGGTACATGTGTGCAGCTGGTGGTGGCCTGCACAGTCCTGCCCAGTAGCAAGGGCTGGAGAAAAGTATGGCCAAGAGGATTTGAAGGGGCACCCAAGGTATACTATCTTCTCCATGAAATTTCTACCCACTGGGGACCTTGGGCAGATCACAACTCTTCCCTCTACACATGTTTTGGCCCTTGATTTGCACAATGAGGAAACATTCCCAAATGAGAAGATAAATGTCACTTTGCTTGGTAAAAATAACAACATGGCACAGTATGTTGTTATTATTATTATCAACTCTGGTGGAGGAGAGCTACAGAAAAAGAATCAGATGGCAGAATCCCATACTTTTATAGGTGAGGAACTTCAGGTTCATGAAGTTCAGGAGCATTTCCCAGGTTATCGACATTAATGACAGAGAGGACTAGAATCCATGTCTTCTGACTCCCTATGGACAGCCCTTTCCAACTCCTCCCCCACTCCCTAAGCTCCCTCATTATTCCAGAGGCTGGGTGTGTTTCCTTAATTCCCCATGTCCTTTTGTACAAGTCCTCCGAATGGGCTTTCTGCACTGTGGAAACTAATCATGAGGGCTAAATAACCAGTAAGGATGTGGGATGAACAGACCTACCTGTCTTCATGAGGTCAGGGCCATTGCCCTTCCCTGGGAATGGCTTTCCCTTTCATTAGTTCTCTGTTTGAAGGGCTTCACCCTCACCAGCATAGCTCTCAAGATCTTGAGAAGAATCTTGAACCTAGGAAATCATCTTGAAAGGCTTGTGAACACCAACTGGATAATATTTGTGTCTTATGACTAGTTTCTAAATAAAACTAGTCTTAACAGCATAAGTTGGTGCTCAAAATACCTCTTTTATTATCTAAGTAAAAGAGTAAGAAATAAGAAACTGGTCAATTTCAGACCCTGTGACCCTTGTTACAGGATCTATGGAAGGAGGAAGTCGTCCTAAATATTGCTAAGGAAAAAATCATTCAGTTCCCTCAGATCACATTATGAGAAAGGAAGAAAGAAGAGCTGCCTGACAATTATGAAAATAAGATATAGATGATCTGGTAGTTTTTGTACCAAACTAAAAATAAAACTTATCAATGAATTCAGCATGGGGAGTAATAATACCTACAGGTTTTTGCTTTTCTTTTTCTCCTGTTCTTCCAATATAGCTTCCTTTAAGAAAAATACATACAGCAATAAAAGCTTAGCATCATCATTAATTATAAATCATTAGAAATAATTTACCCAGTAATTTAGCTCATACCTTCATTGTCTAAGACTTTATTCTGTAGGATTCAATTGATATAAATGAATTAGATATCAATAATCTAATCAATTGAAAAAATATTGGCGGTTGGGAAGAGGGATTGGGAGATAGTATGGCTGTAATTTAAATTATCTAAGTAGATTTTTTTTCTCAAAATAGTGCACCATTTAGCTGTCTGTATAGTTCAATAGAGCTAAGTCTCTGAATATTTTTGATTGCATTATTTTCTAAGTTAAAAGTAAAAGCCTATATCCCTCACATATATGTATTCGCTCATTTTCAGGTTATATACATGCATCATGGTAATAATCCATTATGTAAATTATCTAAAATATACAAACTGAAATTTTAAAAGGATAAAATGGAAAAGTTTAAAAAGAAAGGAGTTTCAAAATGTTTCTCCCTCCCTTCATTGAGTTATTTGGTACATTTCCTGGAGCATGTTCACCTCACTTTGGAAACAACTGCCCTGGACAATGAACATCAATGGGAAGAGGATGGTTCTGGCTTCCAGCTGAGGGCCAGCGGCTGGCTCTGACCCTGAGCTGCCCACCCCCGCAGGCTGCACAGGCTCACTCACTCACCCTGATGCTGTTCACTATGGCAGCTGTTTTGCTCTCTGCAGCCTCTGGGTTTCCAATGAGGTAATCCCAGGCACAGAACACCCGCCAGCAGAAGGTATAGTTTTCATTGGAAGCACTGGCAAGACTCGTGCGGGAGTTCTTAGCCATCCTGCAAAAGAGGAGCACAAACAGGTCTTGGGAGTCTCAGGAATAGGGGGCTGTAGCTAGCACCCATGGAGCCTTTGTGTGAATTAGCATAGGCTGCACCCCTCTGGGTGGACGCAGCTCCTCGGGTCACAGCTTGGACAGGAGAGCACCGACTGGATTTCTGCCCATGCTTGTGACCTCAGCAACACTTTGGAACAGTGTGAAAACTGCAATGGCCCATTATTATATGAGTTCATTTGACAAGGACTCCCACCACTGTGGTGCCCAGCAGGTCACTGCAGGTGTGTGTGCCCCAGGAGCCAGCTGTTCTCATCTCTTTGCAGCTGTGATTGTGAAATAAAATTTTCCTTTGAATCAGTCTTCTTGGAGCTCCTTCCCATGGGAACTCCACCCCGTGGGACTCCACGTAACGTGCTGAGTCCCTCTTTCCCACATTTCTTTAGATATTTGAAGGCAGGAGTCATCAACCCTCCTTAGGTGAAACTCTCCCTACTTTTTAGAGCCTTTCTCCTGTAATAAGCTCTCCTCTCCATCCATATTTCTTGCTTCCAAGTTTGCTCTAATCTGTCTCTTACATTGTATGTCTAGTAAAGGGCCCGAGTCTTCCATGTGGGTCCTGGAAGCCACCAGGAGCTAAGCTGGAAAGCTTCAGGGGAACTGAAGGCCCCTAGGTCATTATGCACCTCCTCAAGTTTTGTTTATTTGTTTATTGTCTTTTTTTACCCCAAGTGCTTCTATCTGCATTTTGCTAACATGCCACAAGGGGGTTGGGCAATGAAGGGTGGTTACACAAATCAAGCAGAAGCAGCAGATGAACCAGCGTGGGTGGGGCCAGCTTTTCCCCGGGATTTGGAGCCTCCTTATCAGTCTGCATTTCTCTAGCTCCCACACGGAAGACCTGGTGATGTTCTGAGCCAACCTACCCATTTTACAGATGAGGCTCAGGGAAGGAAGGTGAGTTCCTACAGGTCTCACAGTCGGGGTGGTGCAGAGCTCCTAACCCCCACCAGATTGCGTCTTTTGCATTTTGCCTCCCCAGTGATGACCTAGAGGTGCCAACTGCATCACAGCACAGACAAGCCTGGCCTTTGCAGAATTTGTAGCTAGGTCACAGGCAAACAAACATACAACCAAAGGAGGACCTTTTGCTTTTTGCAACCTCTGGTCACCTAGATCATATTGCTTATGTCCCTATTAGTGCAGCTACCACATTGTCTAAAATTACATGAACTGGTAAATCCATATGATTCTTGTATTTCCAGGCCCAATATAGGACCTAGTACAAAGCAGTAAGTGTTCAATAAGTACTTGTTAAAATGAACATGCCTCTTTTAGCCTTGGTTCTTCTCATCTGTAAAATGGATACAGTTATGCCTTAACTTTACAGGGCTATTGACAAGATTAGATGACATTACACATATCATAACACTTGATATGTATTTTGAGAAATCAAGCAGTCATACTTTTTTAAAAGAATGATGAAGCTGTAAGAAAATACTTCCATTACACATATCATAACGCTTGATATGTATTTTGAGAAATTGAGCAGTCATACTTTTTTAAAAGAATGATGAAGCTGTAAGCAAACACTGCCATCCCCACTAGGAAATACGCCAAGGGCAGCCGGTAGCCAGCTCTCCCGATCTTCCTCTCCCTGCCGTAATATCCGTAGAAGAGGACAGAGTACTGGAGGTAGCCCTGCAAAGAAAACACTCAGTGTCATTTCTGCTTCCCGTTCCCAGGTCTCAGAACTGTGGCCCATTCACCCCTTCCCTCAAGACAAGAGTGTGGCCAAGCATCAATCTCACCCCCAGAGACCAGACGGTGTCCAGGTCTTGGGCAGACGAAACCTGCTCCTTGGGGATGGTCTTCCTGGCTGTGCTTCCAAAGGGCTGGCCTGCAATCAGCTGGTGAGAGAAGAAAGCATGTCATGTGGTCCTCTGGGTGGGAGGGGACCGGGAGAAAATGAGAGGTTGATCTCCATGTGCTTGTGAAAATGCCACACATAAGAGATCTCCAGGGGGTGGATTTCTGCTTGATTTTCATTAATGAAAAATTAATCTTGGGCGGCCAGATTTTCTTTTTGCCTGATTAGAGCTCACCTGGATGTACTCTCTCTGAGCTAGACATGGTTTCTACAGGTGGATTATTAAGACCCCTGTTGGGAAATGGCCCATTTACTTTTTGAGGATGAAGTTTAGTTGAGAAATGGATTTTATTTCTTTATGTAAATGTAAGGGGCACGAGTGCGGTTTTGTTACATGGATACATCATGCTATGGTGAGGTCTGGGCTTTAGTGTTCCCATAATCTGAATAATGTACACAGTCTGGGTATTATTTCAACTTTGGGCTGGCAAACTGGCTGGTTGGCCAAATCCAACCCATGGCCTTTTTGTATGGCCCAAGAGCTAAGAATAGTTTTGCATTTTTAAGTGGTTGGGGAAAAAAATCAAAATAATTTATATAAAATTCAAATTTCAGTATTCATAAATAAAATTTTATTGAAACACAACCACATCCACTGGTTGATATACTGTCTGCAGGTGCTTTTGTGCTACACGGCAGATTTGAGTCATTGTGACGGACACCAAGTAGCCCATGAAGCCTAAAGTATTTATTCTGTGGTCCTTTACAGAAAAAGTTTGCCAAGCCCTGCTTTACACAAACACATATATTTTCATCCCCACAATGATAACCAGAGGAGCCATTTTATGCGACTGCTGTAATGTCTCCTCTTTGTAATGAGTGGTACTTTCCTGAAACATCTTACCTCTGGAATGACAATAAAAGCACCTGTCATAATGGTGAGCACAATATTAATTCCAAATAACCATCTCAAGAATATGAAATAGGAGGCAACGCCAGATCCAAAATGACCTAAAGAAAGACAAGATAATGAGAACAGTTTAAATAAAATCCTCATAGTGCAAGAAATCCTACAAAAAGAACACCATAATTTTTTTTACATCCACGGGACATAGAGTAAGAATGCCATTATTGTACCAATCGAGGTGTTCCTTCCTAAATGTTAACTCAGACAGATCAAGATGCCCCTGAATATCTATCAGTTCTATAGGCAGGAAAAGTCTCTAGTTTGCCTAAAATGCTATTTGATAGTCACTTCCCTAATGACTTACTTATCTAAAATGGTCTTATCAAATTTACAATATTTCATGTATGTTAACAAGTATCAGCATCTTTTAAGAATTTGGCATATTTCTTATCTATTTTGCACCATTTTGAGAATTTCAAGGATTTTGCTAAGGGTCTTTTTGCCTTAATTTCAAGATAAAACACCATTTGCTAGATGTTCACAATAGTGGACCGTGGGTGAAGGGTACACGGGAATTCTCTTTCCAACTTTTCTATACATCTAAACTTATTCTAAAATAAAAAGCATAGTAAAAACAAATTTATATCTATTGAGAAAATCCAGGAGCATAGAAGAACTCAGATGAGGATGTAGGCAACAATTTGACAGCATTCTGGAGTAGGTAGTTTTATGTCATTAAAAAAAAAAACTCTTAAATTTTTATTTCAAATCTAGTTTATGTTTGTCATAATGAGTAGCAAAACACAAAACATCACAAGGACAAGAAAAATTACCCATTCTGTGATCACTAAATTAAAATCACGATTAGAATTAGTTTCTATTAAACTTTTAGTGTAACCCTCCACAATTATTCTATACAAATAATGTTTTTGTATAAGATTGGCATTTCTCTCCAGCATACATCTTAAATTATCAATATATTACAAGCATTTTCTCTTGCCAAAAATACTCTTCTATAAAATAAATTTTATTGTTCCATTAAGTAAATTTTCCATAACTTACTTAAACTATTCCCCATGACTTGACATTTAGGACATTTCCAACTGTTCACCAGGTTGAATAGTTCTATAATAAATAATATCTGTCTAAGGTAAGGTTTCCTAGAAGCAGAGCTTGAGAAAGGGATTTGGCTACAGGTGATTCGTTGAGGAAGCACTCTCCGTAGAGAAGTTGTGAAGGAGTCAGGGAAGGTCGGGGGAAAGAGCCAGGGAAGGGCACGATCTTAGCTGCACCCTAGCTGAGTCTATCCCACCAGCAGTTCTGCAGCATGAATTGCACCACTGAGTTGGTCCCACTTGGAGCAAGGGATCAGACTTGAATGCCCCTCTGTCAATGGTCACTGCCTCTAGACTCTAGGTGGTGAGTGGGCGATTGGGGTGATAGGAGGTAGTCCTGGGGCAATTCTCTGAAGGGGAGCAGCTGAGTGACAAGCAGTCCATACTCAACAGCTGAGGAAAGGGTAGACTAGCCAAGGAAGGGCAACCTGGGTACAGCACTAATGGCAGCTACTACAGCCTTGTTTGTTTAGTTTATTACGGTTTTCTCTTTTTTTTTTTTTTTTGGAAACGGAAGCATATTACCAAGGTATACAACATTTTGAAGACTTTTGGTACATATTAAAACTTTTTAAAAAAGAAATACTGTCCTAATTTACATTTCTGCCAGCATATCAAAGTGCTTAATCCATTTAAATATTCAACATGTTTTTCCCAATTTGTCATCTAACTTTTAGCTTTACTTTTTATGTATGTAAGTTTTCTTTTTTTAGGTAATTAAAAATAACAGTACTTTTTCCTCCTTCACTTTTATGATTAGATATGTCTCCATTCTGCATTCATACCATCAATTTTAAGTGAAGGAGTTAAACTTACTCTTTAAAACAATTGAATCAATTGTTCCAGTGATATTTATGCAGTAGACTGACTTCAATAATTATTGCATGCTAAAAGTCTAAGTGTATTCCTGTCTGTCCCTGAATTTTTTGCTTACTCCTTTGATTTGCCCATCAATTCCCACACTATGCTATACTGCTTCAATTGTTGTACCTTTATGATATACTTTAATATCTTGATCATGCAACTTCATTTGCATTCTTCTTTATAATTTTTTTATTAATCTCTTGGATATTTTTCCTTCCATATAAGTTTTATGATCATTTTGTTAAATACTTGGTAACAATACATTGAGATTTTTATTTGATTGCATCAAACTTGTAAATTAATTTTTGGAAAATTAACATCTTCCAAATATTAAATCTTCATATGTGTTTTAACAAGACTTTTCTATCCTGTGGTATAATTTTACCACAGGATATTTTGGACTTATTGTTAAGTCTCTTCCAGGTATTGTGTGTGTCAGTGTGATCGTAGACATGATTTATTTATTTTTTGGCGTATGTTTTCTAAATGGGCACAATTATCTCTATAAAAATGCAGATTTTTGTATTTGTGTTTTGCAATTCCTTGAGCTACCCTCTTATTCATCCTCATAGGTTTTCACTTGATCCTTTCGGGGTTTGCATTATATCTGACTGAAGGAATGAACTGGGAGAGAACAGCAGAGCCGCAGCGGAATGTGGAAAGGCCCACGTCCAGACTGTTCCCATTCTGGTAGGTGGTGGGGGCAGGTATCTTGTCTTCTGGGTCTGTTGTTCCATATGGAGGCCAGTGACTCTGCTATGAGGGTGCCCTCAGCTGCACAGCATAAGGACCAGAACACAGCAGACTCTCCTTAGGCTGTGACTGGCCACTAGCATTGCATTCCTGCCCCACTCTCCAGGTGTAAATACTTACTCTCGATTTTCTTTATCCTCATTTCCCAGGGAATGAAGATGACCACAAAGTTACAGGCGAGACGAGCAAATTTCCGCCAGAGCTAGACAAGAGGGGTCAGGATTAGAGAGGTCACGTACATGAAGATGGCAATGGCTGTGCAGTACTAGGCACCTAAATGGAGTATACCAGACACTCCCTCTGGTACCTTTAATTATGATTATGGCTTCATAGGCCTTTAAGCTGCACTAGAACCAAAGTAGCTCCCTTGTCTGTGCTCCTAACCAGGTGAATGGACACCAGCTTTGGAGGAATAATGCAAGCTGCAGCCCCATATAATATGCACCTCAATACAGACACCACCCGAGCCGTGATGCCTGTATTGAAGTGGATATTCTATAGGGTTGCAGTTTGCATTAGCCATCCCATTCCTGATGAGGGGTATCTCTTGCTCTTTGAGAAAAAAAAATCTTTTTAACTTTTGGCAATTACATCTTAAAACCACAAGACACAGTACAAATTACTCGAGGAATGATATCTAAATAAATCCACTTGATCCTGTCATAAACCTAAGGGGATTCTGAGAGTGTGCCCCAGGAATCCAGATGCCTAACAGACTCCCCAGGTGATTACAAGTGCATCCCTGTTTAAGGACCAAGAGTCTAGAGCCTACCCTGAAAATGAGCCCCACCCTAATGTGTGACTCGCCTCCTGCTACAGCCTCTTTCCTGGATAGAGCTGTCAGGGATAAGGTCTAAAAATTTGTCTTGTATTTTTGGCCAGGCGCGGTGGCTCACGCCTGTAATCCAACACTTTGGGAGGCCAAGACGGGCAGATCACGAGGTCAGGAGTTCGAGACCAGCCTGGCCAATAAAGTGAAACCCAGTCTCTACTAAAAATACAAAAATTAGTCAGGTGTGGTGGCGTGCGCCTGTGGACCCAGCTACTCTACTGAGGCAGAAGAATCGCTTGAACCCGGGAGGCAGAGGTTGCAGTGAGCCGAGACCGTGCCACTGCACTGCAGCCTGGGGGACAGAGTGAGACTCCGTCTCAAAAAAAAAAAAAAAATTGTCTTATGTTTTTAAGATGCAATTGCCAAAAGTTTAAAAAACATTTCTCAAAAGCGAATAAAGCAAGATATGCCCTGACACTAGTTCTGCTTCCAACAAAGTTGGCAGGTTGTGCATTTTAACACACAAACAATCTGGGTTTGTGCTGGAAGCAAATGATATCATTGCAGAAAGAGGGATTACAAATGTAATTATGACATTCTGAACTATAAGACCACACATGGTCCCGGTACAGACATGTATGGTAATGTCATTCTGGACGTGTCTGCTGAGGCCAGAATGGCTGCTTGTAAATGAAAATCTGAATTTTATCAGAAGTTTATCAGAAGTTGTTCATCTTCTGTTCATGATTTGAGAGCCAACTCAAATACAGCCACTCCCATGAACACAGAATCTCTGTAGCCAGAAAAGAAATTCTCCTCTTTGTAAACTCCCCCAGCAATAATTTTTGGTCTCTCGCATAATGTTTATCATATCCTACCTTACATTACCTTAATTTTGTTCACCTGGCTTGTCTCCTAGGGCATAGAGAGGGAGAGGCAGGCTTTCTGATCATTTATTCCCCCAGTATCCCGAGGAAGGGGTGCACCATCATCCTTTGGCAAGGGCTTGGTGTTGGAAAGCATTGAGTCTCTGGCCCGTTTTAAAGCCCTGAAGTCTAAGAAGCACAGGGCGGAAAGCCAGAGACCTGAGTTCTAGCTCTAATTTCACATCTATCTCACTATGTGTCCCTGGGGAAGTTATTTTATTTCCTTGGATTCCATTTCTCCATCTGTATAAGAAGTAAGATTTGATTAGTGGCATTCAGAGTTCTCTTTAAATTTAAAGTTGTATGAGAATTTTCATACATGCAATGGGCTAAGGCAGGGCAACTTTTGTAGGTGGGGGTAAAAAAATCTCCCCCACCACCCCATCAGTAGTGCTTGAGGAGCCAGGGCCCTTGAACTCAGGTTAGAGAGCACTGGACTGAATGGCCCAAGATGCTCATTCTGGGAATAAGAGTCTATGCAAGTTGGCCTAAAGGAACTTCTTAAAGGAAAATGTGATTGAAAAAGGTGATTTGTTGATGACGTGTTCAGTAAGGCATGGGGGAAAAAGTTTCATGCTTCTCTGATGATTTATACCAAATCTCCACAGCAAAAGCCTTGAAACAGGAATAATTCAAAATTTAAGAAAAAAGCAATATTCTCACTCATAGGTGGGAATTGAACAATGAGATCACATGGACACAGGAAGGGGAATATCACACTCTGGGGACTGTGGTGGGGTCGGGGGAGGGGGGAGGGATAGCATTGGGAGATATACCTAATGCTAGATGACACGTTAGTGGGTGCAGCGCACCAGCATGGCACATGTATACATATGTAACTAACCTGCACAATGTGCACATGTACCCTAAAACTTAAAGTATAATAAAAAAAAACATTATTCCAAAAAAAAAAAAATAAAAAATAAAACTGTAATAAAAAAAAAATTTAAAAATCAATATAAAAATTCTGTACCCTGGTAGTGTTGCAAAAATGAAGTTCACAGTCACTTCAGAGTGATATTTTCTACAAATCCTCAAATAAATTTTGAAATTGAGCACACATATATAGGAATATGCTGATGCTTGTAATGTTTTCTTAATGTCACGAATTTTTTGAAAAAGGTTTTCTGCCATAAACCAGGGGCCTATATATGCTTATTATGTATAACAAACATGGTTTGAAGCAATGTTTCTCATGATTATAAAAGTAAATACAGTCAAGGTGTTGCCAACTAAACCTTGGGCTAATAACTTTATCTTATTATATGTCAGTATCTCCAACCTGTGATATATTTATAAAAACAAACGTTTCCATAATACTTTAACTCTAAGACCAGTGCTGTACTTATACTGAAAGTGAAATGTAAGACCTCCTATATTCTTCTCCTCTGAAAAAGTTTAGAGAGTTTTTCCATCCCTTGCATTCTAAAGTAAAAGGGGTGGGAGAGGAGGGGAAAATGAGACAGTTTAATTAAATGCAGTTGACTCTTCATTTGACCAGCATCTCTTGTCTGCTCACTGTATGCTAAGCACAGGGCTAGCCACAGATGGTACAAAGATGAATAAAGTATGCTCTTAAGAAACAGAAAAAAGGGCCGGGCGCGATGGCTTATGCCTGTAATCCCAGCATTTTGGGAGGCTGAAGCGGGCAGATCACAAGGTCAGGAGTTCGAGACCAGACTGACCAACATGGTGAAACCCCATCTCTACTAAAAATACAAAAATTAGCCAGGCGTGGTGGCAGGCGCCTGTAATCCCAGCTACTCAGGAGGCTGAGACAGGAGAATCCCTTGAACCCAGGAGGCAGAGGTTGCAGTGAGCCGAGATTGTGCCATTGCACTCCAGCGTGGGCCACAGAGCAAGACTCTGTCTCAAAAAAAAAAAAAAAGAAAAAGAAAAAAAAGAAAAAAGCAAAATCAAAACAAAGAAAAACTAAACTTGGAAGAAATAGATCCTAATTGTGGGTTTGGGTTATTGAGCTTTGGTAACTAAGAATAAGTTCTTTCTTTGGAAAGACTTACATGTCCACGCAGAAGATATTTAACAACATATATGATAGTTCATGAAAAGTATATTTATTCATAGTATGTGTTAAGCACCTAGATTGTGTTGACCTATCAACATGTCAACATGAACTATCATACATGTTGTTAGATATGTGATACATGCACATATCATTATACATACATATGTATGTATACATTTATCATTATACATGTATGTATCATACAGATCTAACAATATGTATGACAGTTCATGAAAAGCATATTTATTCATAGTATGTATTAAGCACCTAGGTTGTGTTTTCCTGTGAATGCAGATAGTGAACACGACATGCAAGATGTCAGCTGGTGTGGAGTTTGCATTCAGGTAGCAACAAGGCAGTCACAAGCAAGTCCATGCCACAATGGGACACAGTCTATTAGGACTGGAGGAAAAGGCCCTTTAAACAAGGTCAGGGAAGGTCTAGCTGAGGAGGTCATACTTGAGCTGAGACTTGAATGAAAAGGAAAATGAAAAGTAAATGGGAAGAGTGGCTTTCTAAAAGGGGAGAACAGCCAGTACAAGTTGTGGGTTAGCACGAGCTGAGCGTTTTACAGAAGAGGATGGAGGAGAGAGGAGCGAGATAAAAATTTGGATTACCTTACTGAGTGTAAAAACTCTGCTTCTAATAATTCAGCCCATTATCAAGTTATACCTTTAATAATACTGAGTTTACTATTGCTAAAAGTCTCAATAGCTTTTCATTGTTATATATATATTATAGGTCATTTGAATTCAGGTGAAATACTTTACTTCCTGTAGCACTTCAGCTTATTTAGAGAAAACAAAAGAGCTTGGTAGTTCATATGTCTACAAAAAGATAATTTATTTCATAAACTCCATCATAGTGTGGCAGGAATAAGGAGTCATGGATGATTTGGTCATAAAAACAGATTAGAATTGTAAAGAAGATTTTTGTGAAGAGTAAGAAGAAAGAATGCCAAGATGTGTCCTTAGGGATTCTTTGATAGTTTATAATTTTTCAGACATGTAAAATTTATGACCAGCTTTAATTTAAGCTATATTAAGAATATTTTTGTTTCAGAGAATCTAAAAAGAGTGTATCTGTCAGTTATTGTCTCTTAAGATAACAAACAAAAAATGTAATAATCAACATTGGTGCAGGTATTATGAGACTAATAATGGCGATATAAATCATCAAGGCTTTTAGAAAATAATCTTTAAATATTTATCAAAAGCCAAACAATGGACCACAGTCTTTTCTATAGGGATTGCAATTCTGGCATTCACCCTAAGAAAAAAATTCAAAAACATAGAAAAATCTATATGTGCAAAGATGTTCTTCGTAGGGCTATTAATAATAATGAAAAATTGGAAGCAATTTAAATATCCACCAGCGGCCAAATGACTAATTAAATTAATATACATTTATCTGATGGAATACCACACAGTCATTGAAAACCATTAAATATAAAAACTATATAGCAACATGGAAAAAATAATATAATGGTGTTATGTGAAAAAAGAGGCAAGACAAAAATGTATATACACTACAGTTATGGTATGAAAATAATTATGCAATGACTGATGTGAAATTTCTAAAATGACATTATATTGGGAAGTAGGGGGTATAGAAGGAGAAGTTATTTTTCTTTGTTTCTACACATTTATGAAATGACTTTATAAGCAGATAATTTTAATGTATACTTTTCATTTAAGTAACTGAATGGGAAAAATAACAAACAAAAACCTTAACATTGTATTATAAAATGAGCATTGGCATATACCTGCAGCTTTCTCATTGTAAGAAATACAGCTGTATACAGGGACACGGTGAATCAAACCTACGAATATGGGTGGGATTAACTCAGGAAAGGTGCTAGATCACTTTTGCCATCCTTTCTCCTGATGAATTAGGCTTACCCAGTTTCACACAATTGGGAAGGGAAGGCGTCTAGGACTAAAATTCAAGTCAGGAAATTCATACTTTTCAACTCTATCATCCTGATCTACAGCTGTATTATAGACTGGCACTCGCAACCTGTGTATGATGGCAAGTGTGATGGCAAACACAACCTCCTGGCTCTGGAGACCACAGTGCTCACATGTGTGTGTGTTTTTTGTTGTTGTTGTTTTGTTTGTTTGTTTTTTGAGAGGGAGTCTCACTCTGTCACCCAGACTGGAGTGCAGTGGCGTGATCTCGGCTCACTGCAACCTCTGCCTCCCAGGCTCAAGCGATTCTCCTGCCTCAGCCTCCCAAGTAGCTGGGACTACAGGCGCCTGCCACCACGCCCGGCTAATTTTTGTATTTTTAGTAGAGATGGGGTTTCACCGTGTTAGCCAGGATGGTCTTGATCTTCTGACCTCGTGATCCACCTCCCTTGGCCTCCCAAAGCACTGGGATTACAGGTGTGAGCCACCGCGCCCAGCCACATGTGTGTTCTGTATTACCTCTGCACCTGCTGCTTGGTAGCCTCGGGTCCTGGTCAGCCTCCCTTCAAACTTCAGCACAATGTTCTTCGCTTGTCTAAGAGAAGAAAAACATGATGGTGAACACAATTGTATCACACTTACAATTTCTGCAAAATGTGTAAAAATGCAACAGGAATAGGTTGCCATCTTGTCCTGAAAAATGATACAGCAAAAGATGCCATGAGAGAATGGAGTTACACAAATACTTCATGGTCTAATTTTTGGTAATCAGAAAACACCTTAAAATTTTTTTCTTTAATATTTAAATGGATACATAATTCAAAATGATGAATTTATACCAAAATTAGCTACAACTGAATTTCTTAAAGGCCTTCCCTGATTCTGGTGCTTGGCTGGGAATTCTGAGCTTTGGAAATCCTGGTGGCAGACACGTGCATCTCGGCCTCTTCACTTAGCAATTTTCCTCTTGCAGTCAATTGTTTAAAAGTGCAAATCAGACCTGGCTTCAGAGAATCTGCCTCAAGTAAAGGTTGGTGTCTGATTAATGGCAGCAAAAAAGTCATGTCTACATAGACATGAACAATCTGATTCACCCCAAACAAACTTCTAACACACTGATTGATCACTCTTGAATTAACCTGATATCTCTGCCTAAATGTTCAGTCCTGAAAATGGACTAAATATAATTGGGATAGACAGTTAAATTCATACCTTAAATGAACAACAGGATTAGAAAATAAATGTTAGTGCCATGGACAGACTGAAGTCAAGGGCTCTTAGAGAGAAGAATGTCACCTTCAAGGTAACCTAATCATATACCACCCCATGCAGAGATGCTCATTATCTGATGGTCGGATGCCCTCTGCTTGATTATGTTCAGTGTTGAAAAACTTAGTTCTTCTGAATTAGCCATTTTGCTAGTTTGACAGGTTTGATTGGGAGGGTGCTCTGGTCTGCGCATCACAGCAACCCCCAATAACACCCACTGGTCTGAGTCCTTCCTTGGAAAACACAAGGTACAAGCCAACTCCTTTATCCACAGACAGGATGATCTCTCCAAAACGTTACCTAACCAGAGTTCTTGGTTTTGGATCTCTCTTCCTACCATTGCAACGTCTCCATCTTAATAGCCCAGCCAATGCATTGACTTCATTCTGGCCAGAACCAAAATGTAGGTTAGGAGCAAGGTTGATGTTCTACCCCATACCATGACTACCATGTTGGGACCATCTTAATAGAGCTGTCTGCTGCAAGTTTTTAAAAAGTAAAAGCCTATTGAAGTCAAATAACAATTCATTTTATATCCTTATTTATTTTTTATTTTTTTCTGAAAATATTTAAACATTTTATGCACACCTATTTTGGGTCAAGCATAGTGGAATACAGAGTTGCCTAAAACAGAGTTTCTGCCAGGTGGGGTGGCTCACACCTGTAATCTCAGCACTTTGGGAGGCTGAGGTGGGAGGATTACTTGAGCCCAGGAGTTCAAGACCATCCTGGGCAATACAGTGAGATCCCATCTCTACAAAAATATTAAAAAAATTAGCTGGATGTGGTGGCACATGACTGCAGTCCCAGCTACTTGGAAGGCCATGGTGGGAAGATCACTTGAGCCCAGGAGTTTGAGGCTGTGGTGAGCTGTGATCCAGCCACTGCACTCCAGCCTGGGTGAGAGTGACACCCTGTTTCATAACAAACAACAACAACAACAAAAAACCAGAGTCTCTGCCCTGGAAGAGTTCACTACCTAATAGGGATGACAGAGACCTTTAAAGACAATGACTGAGAGACAGTGGGTGTGACAAGAGCTATGACAGAGGGGTGATTGGGTGTGGAGGTAGCAGGGAGGGGCGGCCCAAACCAAGGCCCAGTCATAGACCTATGCTGATTTCATAGGAACTGACCACTTGCTTCCTACAGGGGAAACAAGCATGTCCTATATCCTCTTAGACAGGTGGCTCTTGCTCCAGACTCAGGGTTAGCTCACTCTGCTTTTATCTGCATCCTGCTATGCTCCCTTGATTCTCAAGCAGTCAGGGTTCCGTGCTTTTTGCACCTTCCACAGAAGCACTGTGATGAACTTCAGCAAGTCCAATGAGGGAAGTGTTGCTCCAGTAGTTTCTCAAGGTGATGGAGAGGAGATATGCGTGGCAAGAGGATGACGGACGAAGGTGCTCAGAGGGCCAGCTGCACTCTGAGACCCTGGCCGCTGGCTGAACACATGGCCGGTGTCAGCCATCTTGGGGCTCTGGATGTGTTACATGGGCCAAGCAACATGGCAGAAGGCCTGGCTTATTCTTTGGTTTCTGAAGTGCCTTGACAGAAAAGTTACCATTTGCTCTGCTGTCCCCTCAAAGTTAAAGACACTTAACCAACTGTTATTCAGATAACAATTGATCATCATCATTTCGGGATGATTTAGCAAAATTCTAATAGAAACTATTTCTTTTTTTTTTTTTTTTGAGACAGAGTCTCTGTCACCCAGGCTGGAGGGCAGTGGCACAATCTTGGCTCACTGCAACCTCTTCCTCCCGGGTTCAAGCAATTCTCCTGCCTCAGCCTCCCGAATAGCTGGGACTACAGGTGCCTGCCACCATGCCCAACTAATTTTTGTATTTTTAATAGAGACAGGGTTTCACCATATTGACCAGGTGGGTCTCGATCTCCTGACCTTGTGATCCACCTGCCTTGGCCTCCCAAAGTTCTGGGATTATAGGCATGAGCCACCGCACCCAGCCAAGAACCTATGTCTTTTTTTTTTAAAGAGTAATTGCTCCAATGATTACTTTGGTTAAATTCCTGTGTTTCAATACAAGAGAAAACTGTACTTGGAATCAGAAATCCTAGATTTAAAGCTTAATTCTAGCACTCAGAAACTGTGTAGCTTGGGTTAGTCTCTTAACCTCTCTGAGTATCAACCTTCTTGTCTGAAAAATGGACATAATGCCATCCTTACTCAAATAAATGGAAACAATAGCAGCTGATAACGGACATGAAAGGCCCATGAAGGAGAATTACTTGGAACATTTTGAGGATCAAAACTATGGATGACTTCAGCTATCTTTCACAGTCACCTGCAGAAGAGGCTGGTCAGACTGGAAGAACATTACCTGGAATGCAAATCTAAGGAAGAAATGATTTGATGGGAAAGAAATGCAAGCCTAATACATGGTTGATGTGGAGGTAAAGAGATGTCTGCTTGGCATCTAGAAAAGGGCAGTGAAGATCAAGATCGGACAGTGGTTCTGTCCACACTGCAGGTGCCTGATGATCAGGCATAGTGTCTGCTTTGCCAGGAAGCTCCACAGCACAGGTCACAGTAGCTCAATGGTACAGGCCATGAAGGCAACTCTGCTAACTCCCTTTGCTGTGACCCCAGGCATCAGAATCACTATTCCTTACTCACTCTTAGTGAGTGACTGTTAAATACCAGATACAATGCTAAGCACTCACAGGGTTCATCCCATTTGATCCTTCAACAAACTGCTATCAGTGGATCTCAAACTTGAATGTGCAAAAGTATCAACCTGAATGCATGTTAAAAATACAAGGACCCTCTCCCTTGGTTTGATTCAGTAGGTCTGAGAGCAATCAGGGATTTTGAATTTTTAACAATATCCAGAGAGCTTAGTGGTTGACATTTTTGGAAACGTGCTGCAGGAAGTTAAGGGCTATTCCTCACCATCGCTTCAACTTTAAAAAAGAAAAGAACTGGTATTCAGAGAAATTAAGAAAATTAATATCACATAGATAGAAATTGGTAAAGGCAGTATTTGAATCAGGGAATCTATTTTTAAATCTTTAGCACTTTATTATATAGACAGACTATTTAATATGACTCTAAGTATCATAATAATCTGGCTTCCTATAAAGTCTTTTTTTTTTTAATTATTTTTTTACCCAGAGGGTGGTAATATCCAAGCAGCTAAAATGAGTATCTCTTTTCATATTGGCTTACTGCTCTGTTTCTAGTGAGCGAGACGAGCTTGGAGAGAATATTAAAATCTAGTGTTTAGAAAGGAGGTAGAAGATAAAAGACTCTCCACCAACACACACACCCCCAACACAGACACACAACTCTTTATACTCTCTCTTTCTCTGTATCTGTCTCTCTGACACACACACACACACACACACACACACACACACACACACACACACACACACACACACAGAGGAACTGGCTTCTGGACCAGCTAGACCTCTCAGATATCTTTGTGACTTTGCTAATTCAGGTCAAGAGTGACTGAGCCATCTCTCTCACATGAGTCTTTATCCTCGTTCCCATGGGCAAGGCAAGGTGGTTTATCGGAAAGCATGCTTGTAATGATCAATAATGGCCATTGAGGCCCTTACCTCAATGCCCTCAGCTTCTGTCCCATAGTCCAGGGTCTGCAGCGAATGTTTGCCATGAGATCTTTCTGGAACTGTATATTCTGGAAGATTTGTTCCGGATCATTGCTGTCCCCTGTTTCATCAGCACTAAAGCTGTCATCCAAGTTGCTGAATGATCAGGGCATTAAGGAGGAAATCTGATTAGAAGAATTGCTTCCAGCAAAGATCATCTTGCCCTGGGCACAAGTTCAGCATCTCACTGCCCTAGGGTCATCTGTATGAAATGTGTATGTGTTTGTGCGTGTGTGTGTGTGTGTGTGTGTGTGTGTAAAGTGAGGGACCCACAGAAACAGATAATTTGCCAGTGTCAGTAGCCTGTTGAAACACATTTATTGGATTCAATTACTTCCACTGGGTCATTAGAAGATAATGATTTCTCAGGGTGCATGATATTATCAGAAAACACAAGATGAGACAAGAGGGTATTTACGTACTCTTGGATTCCTGAGTAGCAGCAATTTGGGTAGGCAAAATAATTTCTTTTTCAGGCTCATTGAAATAATCAGCTAATTTTAGAGGCAGGACTCCTTATGTTACTTGAAGGTAACATAAATCAAAACTTCTGCCACTCAGAAACCCCTCTTCACCCTTTCACGTCAATTCATTTTAAGCCTGAGATAACCGAGGCAGAGCCAGGCAAAGCAATTTCTACGAGCGAAAGATTAGCTAAGCAAATTTACATGGGTGAGATATTTCAGGAAATAGATACTCTCAAGAGGAACAATTTTCCAACATGTAGCAACATTTACTCCCAGTTACACTTAATATGCTTATCCTAATGCAACATTTTGAGAGGAGTTAAGAGTATTCATCTATGACTATTAGAAATAAAAGATTTCGTTTGTTATTCTCTAATTCATGTTGTTTTTACTCATTTAGAGGAGAATTTTTTTCAATTTCACCAAATTAAATGGCAGCTGTACTAGACCTTTATAAATATTTAACAAATTCGAATAGCACTCTCATCCACTTCTAACTAGCCTGAAGGCTTTTCCAATAAACACTTTATTTATCATGATAGACATATTATCTGCTCTCTCTTGACATTGCTGATTGAGTGAACATAGAGAAAACAGGGAAACATATCTGTGGGTTTGGCCAGCCATAAAGCCAGGTTGGGATGCAAGCTTTTGGATTCTGACCTCCTGGTCAAGAAGCAGCCAGAAGAACCATTTCCCCCCATGCCCGTTGCTGAGGTTGCCATCCTAGTTGTACCACAACCTGGAGAAGTGAGTTTCTGAGTTCATTCTGAAGGACAACTGAGCAGGACAGGGACTTTGTCCCTCGCTCTGGTGACCCATGCATTCCTTCCTCACACACCTGACTCCTCTGCCCAGCTGATGAATGGGGCCAGCTCACCTGAGCAGCAGAGATTCCTGGTAGAGGTAGCACTGGCTGGCATTTCTCCGGATGCCTCTATAGCGCTGGGATGCCTTCGAGGTTTTCATGGGAGCTAACCCACTGCTAACAATCAGAAGCTGGCCAGAGAGCTAGGAAGTTGGCAGGCAAAGGTCTGTTCCGAGGTTTCTGAATGGAAGCAGCGGAGTTTGCTCTGCCCGCTAGTTCTCAGGAAGAAGACTGTGTGCTTGCAGCTGGTGCTCTGAGCAGGGAAGAATCCAGGAGGCCAGTCATGCATATGTAATGTTAAGGTGGCTGAGGCACACAGATTGGCTGGAGTCTAGACAGCCAAGGGTTTGGCCCGGTGATCTACACATCGCTTGGTGCTGTACAAATGATCACATCCGTTAACCCCTTATGCCCTGACAGTCCTGGATGGTTTGCAAAACACTTTACATCTGTGACCATGACTGGTGTTCACAAAACACTGAGGGAGTATAAAAGGCAAGGCTTAATTTCCCCAGTTTTTTACTCTCAACGAAGAGGCTTAGAGACAGTAAGGACCTTGCTTGTGTTCATACAGTGGAGTTGAGGAGAGGCACAGCCATCACATTTTATTTTTTCTTATTTAGTTTTTTCTCAACTTAGTTTCTATTTTGAAAAAAGTCAAATCCTTAGAAATGCTGATGGAACAGTACCAGGAATATCTGTACACTCTTAACCTAGATTTACCAATTGCCACATTTTGCCACAATTGCTTTATTTCTGTCTGTATCCTTCCCCCACCACACACCATTTGAAAGTAGATTGCAGAAATAATGATACATCAACCCCAAGTACTTCAGCATGATATTAATAATAATCAAATTAACATCTTATTACATTTTACCTTTACCATACATGGTCACATTAATGAGCACTATGACTCTGAGACTGAGGCTAAAAGAAATAAAGAGACTTCCTATAGCATTTGGTAAGAAAGGAAGACTTTGATAGAGATTAGACTCTCACCTCAATGTTCTGAAAATAGGTTGCCTGCTGTAAAATGGGATGAGTAGTTCATCCTAGTCCTTCAGCAAAGGTCAGCAGCTTCTCCTCCCCTTCCCCAGCCATCAGCAGAATGGAGCCCGGTTCCTTTGTCACCTGCAGACTCTCACTGTTAGCCATGCATTGGGATTCTGTTCCAAGAACCTCATTCCCAAGTCCAAGACTTGCCTGGTTTCACAGTGTAAACCTCTATTTGCTACTTAACACAAGAAATGGTTTGACTGCAGTGAGGTAAATTGCACCTTTGTAGTAACAGAATGGGAAGGTGCAGGACTGGAGTAGACATGACTCTTTCTATTGAACATTACCCACTGCACACTAAAGACTCAATAAATGGGTGAATAAATAACTGAAGTGGACACCAGACAACGGAGCAGAAAGAAAATCCATCAGCAAGTTCAGATGTGGGGCTTCGGAGAGAAACTTCATTCATTTGTCCATTCAATCCTCCACTAATTCATTAGCAAATAATTGGAAAGATCTTACCACACACTGAACTGGCAAATGTAAGCAAGAGCCCTAGCCCAGGGGTTCAGGACCATCAGGCAAGTGTTCAGACCTAGCGCTGAAAGCATGGGAACGAAGTGGAAGGCTGAGTGCCAGAGCTGGCCTTGGGTCAGAGATGGATCCGGAGCCTCTGGGACCAGGTCATCTGTCTGCCAATTTGCTTGAGGCCATTTGGCCTGATGCTCTATCTGGTAACATTAGATAAAATGTGTGCTTATCAAATGGACAAATGGCTTATACAATAGAATTACTGCTAGCCCCACTGGGATTTTTTGCATTCTTTCAGAGATCTTTACTTATCTCAATCATTCCTGAACATTTCAAAGATTTTTTTCGTCCTACTTTTTCTAAAGCCCCCCTGCCTTATTTTGAAATATTTACTCAAAAATTTAAAATATTTTATATTAATCTCACTCAAGTATTTTGAGTGTTTTTGTTTCCTTTTGATGTTACATATACATGTATATTGTAAGGGGAGGTAAGGAAAGGTAGCAAATTTTGCAGTACACAGGGATTTATTAAAAACAAATTAGAGCAAAATCAATCTTTTTAAAATTTCATATTCATTCAGGTAATTCTCTCTGGCACTATAGGTGAGATAAGTGTCAACCTTAAATAATGAGATTCAGAAAATTAATTCAGAGATTAAGAATAGAGTTTATTTGAACACAGAACTTGAGGGTAGCCACCCAGGAACCATCAAGTCCAAATAAATGGGATCAGCATTCCAAAGTGGAGAAGTTAAGGTTTTACTTGTATAGGCAGAGACAGAAATGTTAGCCGGATTACATTTTCTATATGAGACCAGTGCCTGTGGTTATAGATTGCTGCATTCTAAGGAAGATGACTTTATTACTCTGTGAGAAGGGGTAGTGATCCTGGTAGGGGGGTGTTATCTCTGATGCCCTTTGGCCTTTCTAATTATTTACAGGGAAGAAAAGGCAGAAGTTACAGCTGTGTGCCACATGACTCAGGCTGCAAAGCCACATTCTTCTCAAGGCTTAGAATAATTTCAAGTTACAACAGCATTAAGTTTAAGTTAATTTTAATAATTAAGTAATTTATTGGCCGGGCGCGGTAGCTCACACCTGTAATCCCAGCACTTTGGGAGGCTGAGGCGGGCCTCACAAGGTCAGGAGATTGAGACCATCCTGGCCAACATGGTGAAACTCCGTCTCTACTAAAAATACAAAAATTAGCCGGTCATGGTGATGCGTGCCTGTAATCCCAGCTACTCAGGAGGCTGAGGCAGGAGAATTGCTTGAACCAGGGAGTCAGAGGTTACAGTGAACTGAGATTGTGCCACAGCACTCCAGCCTGGCAACAGAGCGAGACTCCGTCTCAAAAAGATAAATAAATAAAAATAAATAAAATTAAGTAATTTATTGAACCTAAATGAAGATAGGTTGAATAAAAGATATTTAACTCTATTTTTAGTACCCAAATCATAAATTAACTGAGATAATTACATAGGAATTGCAACTTTTGATATTAATCAGTTGTCCTTGTTTTTTGCCTAATTTTAAGGAAATGTTGATTTCTAAACATTTTTATTATGAAGTTAATGTATAATCATCAAACAAAATGGAAACAATAGGAAAATTAGAAATAGCAAAAACCACCTAGAACAATATTGCTCAATGATATTAACTATTAATCTTTTCAGCTTTTTAAAAGTGCATATTTTCCTTTATATATTTTGTGGCTGTACTGTATATGTGTATTTCTCTTACCTTTTCCATTGATTTTATATTTAAAGCAATTTCCATGTTTTAAAAAAATTTTCTGTGGGCATATTTTACCAATAGGCTATTGAGTGGTATATTCTGTCTAGGATGTGAAGCATTTAACTGTGCCCCATTTCTCAAACATCCATTTTGTTCTCCCTAGTACCTTTTGTTTGTTTGTTTGTTTGTTTGTTGTTGTTGTTTTGAGACAGAGTCTCACTCTGTCACCCAGGCTGGAGTGCAGTGGCACCATTTTTGGCTCACTGCAAACTCTGGTTCCCAGGTTCAGGCGATTCTCCTGCCTCAGCCTCCCGAGTAGCTGGATTACAGGTGTGTGCCACCACACTCAGCTAATTTTTTTAGTACAGATGGGTTTTCACCATGTTGGCCAGGCTGGTCTCAAACTCCTGACCTCAGGTGATCCACCCACTTCAGCCTCCCAAAGTGCTGAGATTACAGGCGTGAGCCCAGCCCCCACCGACCTTTTTTTTGGCCATCGATATTTTCTGCTTTTCACATAATTTCTATAGAATTAGTTTTTCAGAAGTGAAATTACTAGATCAAAAAGAATATTATTTAAGAAAATTCAATGTTGTCAAATGAATATTGCTCCCTTTATATTGATTTAATGTGCTTTTATTATTATTGGTAAAATGAGTTTTTAATCAAAAATTCACATTTGTCTATGGTCTGTTTATGGTTTCCTTGGTCTGATTTTTACAAACTCCCTCTAAGTACCCCCCGGCATTCATGTGGGCAGTGTGTTCAAGGCGAGGCTGTGATTGCAGCCTCTCATTCTCCAGCCGGATGGACTTGGATGCCCTTCCCCATTTCCTCTCTAGACTGCTGCTCCTCTGGGTGCTGAAGGGCCAGGCAGAAGGAGAACATAGAGAGGATGTTGCTTTCTGAATGCAGGGAGATTAATTACTCCACATGCATTGACTTCCTCTGACAATTTGATTAAAGGTTTTAGATGCGCTGGATACCTTTAAGTTAAGCCAGAATTTGTATGTAGATAAAATGACTAAAAATCCAAAAATCAAAAAGGTTCCAAATAGTGTCAAAATAGGCTAAAATTATTATTTCCTAGACCCACTGCTTACAGGATCTATGGGGTGAGAGAAAGAAGGTAGTAAGGCAGATAGAGATAGCAAGTGAAGGCCTAATTGTATAACATATGAATCTTGTTCAGTTCTAAAAACAAAACAAAACAACAATAAAATTTAGTTATAAATCCCAGAAGGTTTCATCAGAAATGATCCGAAGGCTTAGCTTACAGGGACAAAAACATTTATTTCCTACGTCATCAATTAAAGAGTTGTTTTCCTGCTAAGTGAATTCTATTCTGAGAAATTAATATCCCTGGGCACATCCTAAAATTTATGTGTGAGTCCAGTGTGTTCCATCAGCAAAGCCAAAGTCTCTTTTCTTAGCTATCAGATTTTCAGCTCTGGATTTTACAAGACAAACTTTCCCATTCCTGGGACATATTTACACCTCTGTTATATTGTTTTAGCAACCCCAAAAGCTTTTGCTTGAAGTTTAGAAATATGTTTTGGGTTTGGAGAATATTTTTCAGGGAAGATTCTCAAGAAGAGATTGTTTTCAATTATCTGAGTAACAGCTGAATTTGTTGAGGCATGAGAACTTATTTTTATTTTTGGATTCCACATGAAATCATTGGTGGCAAATAAATTTGAAACTGTGCAGACCCTCTGAGATTTCCCTTGGGGTCCTGTGATACTCTGTAACTATGTTACACCTTTAGAAAGTAGTCTGAGATTCATAGATGGGTTGGTGGGGGTGGGGGGTGGTGTCCTTTGCTATATTGCCCCTTGCATTAAGTGAAGATAGATTCTTATCACCATAATAGAATCCTTTAAGAAGAAGAACAAATCATCAGATAGGTTGCTGTTGGGATACAATTGTAACGCTGCCCTGTCCCATCAGCTGTTAAGCTTCCTCAAGGAATGAGATTCCTTTTCATATATGAGTGTATCTAAACACATAATCTGTCCTAGGAGAAAGAAAAAAATTGAAGTTTCTAAAAAACGGGGGTAAAAGACAGCAGCTGAATTCCTTGTCAAACGACTATTTAGTAATTGGCTGAGAGTTTTCCTGAATGATTTTTAGACTGTCTGTATTTTCCCAAGTATTTGGGGAATATTAGAAAGCACAGCCAACGTCTCAGGAGGGATGAGCTCTCAGCATTTCTTCACGTCCTTACAGAAATGCTATGTCTCCATCAGCAGATGGAAGCCAAATAGCATCTGGGATCAGCTGAGACAACAGAACAGAGCAGATTCCAGACAAAACAGTATTTACGATATGTTGATCTACCGCCAAAATACGAAGTTTATCGTGTTTTGCTTTGGTCTCGATGTGATATTTTAAAACCCCTTCTTTTAGAAAATTATCTTCATCTTTTCCTCACATCTCTTTTCATCTTATATTTTCATTTTAAAATAATTAATGGTCAAATAGGGATTGAGGTATACAATGTGATGATTTGATATATGTATATGTTTTGTAATGATTACCACAATCAAATTAATTAACATGTATTTTTGACATATCTTTTCATTTCTTGTTTTATAAAGATCTTTCAAAATCCTTTTCCTTAACGTGCAAACCAATTTAATTCCCCAAAGCAAGGCCTTTTAAAAATTAAACTACTCCTGCCCTCTTTTTTCACTTTTAGTACTTTACCTTCTTTTTAAATAATATTTTCATAGGTCTAATTAACACCGCATTTCTGCCTCTACATTTTTTTGATTTTTGAAGAAGGAGAGTTCTGTCTTGGCATGTGTATACCCACAAATAGTCTTCATGTATAAATTATATTCCCACCTTAAATCTCATCGTATATATAAATGCCATGATGATCTTTACAAATCATGTGGGATTTTATATTACTCGTAATTTTATATTACTCATAATTTTATATTGCTTGTTTACAGATTTAAAAGCCTGATGAAGGAACAGCTGAACTCAGAGAAACAGCAGGTGAAAGTAAATTTTTTATTTATTTTTTCTTCCTTTTGCCAACATTCTGCATCACCTCTTGTTTCTAGCCTCACTTTCATTCCAGCAGCTTCTCGGGTGTGGCTGTGGCTGTGGCTGTCTGGCTTCCCTTCTATTGATACCTCTGGCAGCCTTTGAGGGATGAGAGGGCGTGGGGGTTTCCACTGCAAACATGAGGGAGTAGGTTGAGTGCTTCGTTGTTGAGGTGAGCTTCCCTGATGGGGTTGAACCCTGTATATCAGAAAGAAGCCCAACCACCCTTTTGCTATTTCATAGTGAAGCATTGCATTGAATCTCCTGGAGCAGACATAAATGAATGTTGTGGCTCTGGAGTGGTAAAAGAGATTGCAAACAAACAGTCTTCATATCTCCTGGGGGTGCTTTTTACTGAGCTAACATAGCTAAGCTGGAAATGTGTTTTCTAGTATTCCATTCTCTGTGTGTTGCTGGCCACAAAGAGACTTGTGTGTCTAAGTCTTGGAAGATGTAAGAGAAGGAGCTGCCATTTTGTGTGCTCTGAGGTGGGTAAAGGGCACCAGATGCTGTGGCAGCTCACACAGGTCTGTCATCTGCTAGCCTTGCCTTGCGGGTGGGGCCATATCCTGAGCCTCGCACAACCTCAGCTCCCACTGGATCTCTTCCTTCAGCTCCTCTGAGCCCTGGGCCAGATGTGTGTACAGCTCCATGGTGAAAGCCACCAACTTTTCCAGTAGGTCTTCTGCATCTTTTGGGTGGGAGGTGGTGAGAAAGAGAGGTGGGCTCTATTTCATCCTTTTGAGGGGAAATGGGAAAATACCTCTTGTCCTCTACTTCCTCAATTTCACACCCAACTCTCCTTCCTAACTCCCAGTCCAGGCGATATAGAACAAATTCAGCCCAGTATCAGATACTACCTTTACAGAGATTTCACAACCAGTCTCACCATTGTGCAGATCCTAATCCCTGTTATAAATTCTATATATTGGTTCTGTTTCTCCAATTGAACCCTGACTGAAAAAGCTCTTCATGGCTACTGTTGCCTGCGAATTTTATCTCTTGAATTAGTAGATGGTTATACTGCTCTGCCAGGACTGTTTGACTTCCTGAACAGAAAGCGTAAATGGTAAAGTGTGGATTGTGATTAAATCATTGATGACCTACTACAGGTTGGTAGTTTGTTCTGTCTGAATTGCATCTTAAAGAAGCTCATTGAAATGTCTTATATGGTGACATACTTCCTTTTCTCCAGTGTTATTTAATGTTCTCTTATTTTTATAGCCCTTGACCTTAGCCTTTTATTTAAAGCTACTGAGGGGCTTAGATTACTGTTGCCATTTTTCTTGGGATTATGCTAATCCAGGTTTTCATTTTACTATGTCAATCTCCACTTACATTTTTTTTAACTCTGCTGGTTTCCTTTATAAAGTCACTATCTCTTCTTCTTCTCTTAATTTGCGTCCCTTATTTCAGAGACAATGATTTCATTTTATTTCACTGAGTGAGAGAAGCAAATGTCTAAAATTTACATTTTGCTTTCTGTAGAAAGCTCCTTTCTAAAATCTGCGTTTTTCTTTACCTCTGGCATGCTGCATTCATTTCCTTTTTTATGCTGCAGAATTTCTGTGTTTGCGCCCCCATCCTGTGAGTGAGTGTTCTCTGGCTTCCCTCCCTGTTCCCAGGAATGCTATGGGACTTCATCTTTCATATGCTTACTGGTGAAGGCTGCTGCATGATGACTTTGTAGGCTGAGGGAGTGGAGAAAAAGGTGAGGCTGGGAGCACTCTAAAAAGAAGAATTTGGTGTTTGTTCTGTTGACTCCTTCTTTCTTATACAGGAGGGCAGTTCTCTTCTTGTATTCCTTTGTTTTTGGTGTGTTGTTTGTGTGTTTGTTTTTTGTTTATTTTGACACAAAGTCTTGCTCTGTCGCCCAGGCTGGAGTGCAGTGGTGCGATCTTGGCTCACTGCAACCGCCTCCTCCCGGGTTGAAGCGATTCTCCCACCTCAGCCTCCAGAGTAGCTGGGATTACAGGTGTGCACCATAACACCCGGCTAATTTTGTATTTTTAGTAGAGCCGGATTTTCACCATGTTGGCCAGACTGGTCTCAAACTCCTGGCCTTAAGTGATCTGCCCATCTCGGCCTCCCAAAGTGCTGGGATTACAGGCGTGAGCGACCGTGCCCGGCCACTTCTTGTATTCCTTTGTTCAGCATGGCCTCTTCCTCAGGTCTTCGATGTGGCTTAGTGTCCCTCTCAAGAACTTTTCCACAACAGGGACAGGATCTCACCACAGCAGAGAGAATCAGAATCAGTGAAAAACACCCATGCCTGGAGACTTCTTGTTTAGAACGGCCACTCTTGTTTTGATCCTTCACATCCCCTCCAATCTAATTCTGAATTTTTTTTCTTTACTGTGGCAAAATACACATAACATAAACTTACATGTTACCGTTTTTAAGTGTCCAGTTCAGTGGCATTAAGAACATGCACATTGTTTGGCAATCATCACGAGTATTCATATTCAGGACTTTATTCATCTTCCTCAACAGAAACCCCCCATACCCACTAAACAACAAGCCCTCATTTTCCCCTGCCCCACCAGCCCCTGACAACCGCCATTCTTCTTTCTGTCTCTAGGAAGCTGATTACTCTAGGTACCTATGAGGGTGGAGTCATACAGTATTTGTTTTTGTGACTGGCTGATTTCACTCAGCGTAATGTCTTCGAGGTCCATTCATGTTGTGGTATGTGTCAGAAATTCCTTCTTTTTTAAGGCTGAATAATATCTCACTGTAGGCATATTCCACATTTTGTTTATCATTTAAATGTTTTTAAGCTATAGCAAGAAAGGGTGTGGAACAAGAAACGGTCCCTATCTCTCCCACCATCTTCATGTCTAGCCCATGCACCTCTGAAATAGTAGTGTTGGTAGGACTCTAGATACTTCCTATTAAATGGGCTACAAATTCCCTGTAGATGAGGGTTCTGACTTAGGGAACTTTCTTTAATCTCCTTCCATTTTACCAAGTCTCCCGGAAACTTCTTGAAGCATGATATAGTTTGGCTGGGTCCCCATCCAAATCTCATCTTGAATTGTAGCTCCCATAATTCCCACATGTTGTAGGAGGGACCTTTTGGGAGATAATGGAATCCTGGGGGCAGTTTTCCCCATACTGTTCTTGTGGTAGTGAATAAGTCTCATGAGATCTGATGGTTTTATAAGGGGAAACCCCTTTCACTTGGCTCTCTTTCTCTCTTGTCTGCCGCCACGTAAAATGTGACTTTTGCCTTCCACCATGATTGTGAGGCCTCCCCAGTCATGTGGAACTGTCAGTCCATTAAACCTCTTTTTCTTTTCTTTTTTTCTTTTTCTTTTTTTTTTAGATGGAGTTTGGCTCTTGTTGCCCAGGCTGGAGTGCAGTGGTGCGGTCTTGGCTCACTGCAACCTCCACCTCCCGGGTTCAAGCTATTCTTCTGCCTCAGCCTCTCAAGTAGCTGGGATTACAGGTGCCTGCCACCACACCCAGATAATTTTTTGTATTTTTAATAGAGACAGGGTTTGGCCATGTTGGGCAGGCTGGTCTCAAACTCCGACCTCAGGTGATCTGCCCACCTCGGCCTCCCAAAGTGCTATGATTTCAGGCGTGAGCCACTGCGCCCGGCCCTTTTTCTTTATAAATTACCCAGTCTTGGGTATGTCCTTGTCAGCAGCATGAGAACAGACTAATACAAAGCATTTAGTAAGTTCAGGCTCTTTTTTTTTTCTAGTTTCTAGAATTGGTGCAGATTTGCCTCTAATCATTTAAAAATAGTAAATATAATATTCTCCATTTCTGGTGGGTGGAATTCCCATATCCACAGCACTTTCTTTCCCCTTCCTCTCTCTGCTTGTGAGGGCCTCTGAGTTTATTATTTCACTCATTCATTACATAAATACTAAGTACCTGTGCTGTGTTGTGTTACAACATTAAATCATATGCTACAACATTTTCACCAGACAAGGTCTATGGGTTTTGGAAAAACTCTAGGCAGTTTCCCTGAATCCCAAGCAGGCTTGTTCAGGCTTACTATTTAGAGAAAATGGGTCTGACCTGGAGAGTCAGTATTTATGGTGTGATGCACTTGAGTAGATCTTATCAGCATCTACTAATGAGAGTTGAACATTAGCATGCTAATGTCTAAATTCAGAGTATATTCTGTGTCATTGAGATAGGCAGAAAAATGACCCCCCAAAATCTATCTACGTCTTAACCCCTGAAACCTGTGCGTATTTCCTGATATAGCAAAAAGGGAGGGAGGTCCTTGCAGATGTGATTAAGTATTATGAGATAGGGAGGTTATCCTAGATTATCTGGGTAGGCACTACAGGTAATCACATGTACCTTATAAGAGGGATGAAGGAGGAGATTTTACTGCATACAGAGGAGAAGGTGATGTGAAGATGGAGCAGAGAGAGACCTGAAGATGCTGGCGTTGAAGGCTGCAGGGATGCAGCCACAAGCCAAGGAGTGCCTGCTCTCACCAGAAGCTGAAAGAGGCAAGGAATGTCTTCTTCTATAGAACCTACAGAGGGAGTACCCTGCCAACACCTTTATTTGGGCCCAGTGATACTATCAGACTTCAGACTTCTGGCCTTCAAAACTGCCAGAAAATACATTTCTGTCATTTTAAACTACTACGTTTATGGTGATTTGTTACAGCAGCCACAGGAAATTAATCCAGCCACTTTATGTCCAAAATGAGGTTAATAATAGGGAACCTGTAAGTGCATGCCTTGTTTCAAGTTTACCAGAGATGCCACATCCTTCCTGGTGTCTCTGTGGGTTTGCTTCCTAAGATTCCAATCAACCCTTGCACCCGGTGATCAACTTTCCAACTGTCTTTCAGAAAATGATTAACTTCTGTTTTTTAACTAAGTCGTCCCCAGCAAACCATATTTTTGTGAAAGCTTACTGTTCATTTCTGCAGGCCTGAAGGGAGGTGGGGCTAGTAAGTCTCAGCCCCTTCTCTGCAAGCCTGCTCTAAACAGCAGTGACAGACATGGCATGGTCCACCTTCTAGTCATTAGATATAATGCCAAGATAAACAAGTTTGATTGATACCCTGGGGTGAAATTCCTTTTTGCACTCCAGGTACTGAGGAGAAGGCATTGTGTATGGGACACTGGAAGAGGTATGGGACTGTGTGAAGCCGGCTGTTGGGCATGGTCCACCTTCTAGTCCTTAGATATAATTCCTTTTTGGGCTCCAAGTACTGAGGAGAAGGCATTGTATATGGGACACTGGAAGAGGTGTGGGACTGTGTGAAGCCGGCTGTTGGGCATGGTCCACCTTCTAGTCCTTAGATATAATGCCAAGATAAACAAGTTTGAGTGATACCCTGGGGTCAAATTCCCTTTTGTGCTCCAGGTACTGAGGAGAAGGCATTGTATATGGGACACCAGAAGAGGTGTGGGACTGTGTGAACCCGGCTGTCGGGGGCCTGTGAGAGAAGGGGGATGAGAATGTGATTGGTTTTGAAATGATCTAAAATAGAAACTCCACAGATGGCCTCTGAGAAATTGAGACTCCATTCTGTAAAAAGGCACAGAGTCATAGAACTGTAGCGCTAGAAAGACTCTGGTCACCTGGCTCAATCCCCTGTTCTACAAAAGACGGGTCAGAGGCCTCAAGAGATACGACTCTCCAAGGCTGTCCAACCCATAGGTAGGAAAACTGGGACTTTTTGAAGTGTTTCTGTGAGAATGAAAATAAATAGCTGTAAAAGGCTCAGAATAGTGTTTGATGTAGTAAGTGTTCAAAATGTTTGATTGTGATAGGTTTATTTAAAACATTGGGCCACCTAAATTTCCAACATCAAAAGTGAAGTAACAAGAATGCTAATGAAATACAACGTTTTATCTAAAATAATGCAATCATCAGAGCCTTTCTGTTCCATCTGCCTCTGTGACTACTGCCCAGTCCAAGCCGCCATTGCCTAGATTGTCGTAGCAGCCTCCTCATCGTTGTCCTGTTTCTTTTGACGACTTCCAAAGACTATTTCCCGCCCAGCTACATCCCATTCTCCTCACAGCAGCCAGAGAATTTTTTTTTGTAAAAAATGTAAGTCAAATCAGGTGCCTTCTCTTCTAGAAACCTCCAGTGGCTCCTTTTCTCAGTCAGAGTAAAATCCACATCCTTACCCAGAGCTACATAGCCCAACAAGAGGGACCCTGTGCTGCACCCTGGAGCTCTTCTCCTGTAATTTGAGTGTCTTGCCTACCCTGCTCTGGCCACACTGGCCTCCTTGCTGTGCCCAAATACTCCAGGCCTGTGGCCTTGGGGTCTTTACGTGTGTCTTTTGCCTTGGTTGGAATGCTTTTTCCCTGCATGCTCAGTTACCTGCTCCCTTTCCTCCTTCAAGTCTCTTCTCAAATGTTGCCCTATCAGAGGGTATTTTTGGCCACCCTACATACCAGAGCAAACCACCAGCCCTCATTGGCTGCCTATCACGCTTTATTTTTCTTTATAGCATTTATCCCCACCAGATATTAAATATATACATATTTACACCTTGCTAGTCTATCTGTTCAGTACTATACTTTTACATGAAAGTAAAAAACAAACAAGAGACAGTTTACATATTATATCTTTCTTTTAAAAAAACATAACTTACTCTATTTGGGTGAATAAATGACAATTGAGCCTATGATTTGTTCTGTGTCTACTAAGAATCTAATTTGTCAACCAAAATAATCTTCCTGGGGAGATGCAGTGAACACTATGCTGCACACATAAACACATTGCATCACTCCATGTAGATTATTTTGGTTGATAAATTAGATTCTTAAGAGGCTTGGGGGTCAAATACTCCAGGCATTAAATGTCAGTTCTACTGCTTGCTAGCTAGAGTACTTCCACAGTGAAAGCTAGGGAGCTTTTACTGACTGTCCCTGAGTCATTATTTCCTTATTTACAAAACAGAAATAACTTTGCAACGTTGTAAAGATTAGCAAAATTGTATAGGAAAGGCCTACCACAGTGCATAGGGCGTAGTAGGAAACTAAAAACTGAGAAGGATGTTTATTCTTGTGTCTATAATAGTAGTGTCATTTAAACCCCACCATGAAAGCATGGCCAGAATGGTTTAAGTAATTTCTTATGAAATATGTGATAGCCATTATTATCATCATTCTTGACATTATTTTAAAATCAGCATTAAAGTTTGGTAAGAATGCTTTGAGATGAATTATTTTTTGCAAACTGAACTGATTCATGTAGAGAACTGCAAACAAAATATTTTGCCAATATACTGATTAACGACATAACATACACACTATGTGTGCTCTTTAATCCAGCTCCAAATGCAAATAAAACTTTAAAAATGCCCTCTCCTGTCTAAGAAACAAGCCCAAACAGTAGCCAAGTACATATATAGAATTTAACTCGGGGTGTCTGAATTTACTGTAGTTGCCCATGGATGGGAGAAGCAGCCTGCCAAGGCCCAGAGATGCAGGGTTTAATTCCCAGAGCTCACGGGAAGCCGGCTGATTGGTGAACGCGCCCGCACTGTGTAATTGAACATGTGCTCCCAGCCCAACTGCAGGAAGGATGAAATTTGTTAAGTGGTATCTTTCATGAGATTAAAAAAGGAAGATAAACTGTCACTGGTTATGATAGGGTCTTATTAAATTTCTGCCCTACTAATTTGGAAACTGTGATAATCCAGACTTGGCATATATGATACAGAACAAAAAAGTGGAATTAAATGCTGACACTTGGAAATTTTACATTATGGTGCACCCCTAGATTCTAGGGCTCGTTGTTGACTTAAGTCTATTTTGTTTCAATTCTGTGTATCTATTTTTAACCCTTAGGTGCCATCTGCTTGAGCGTTGTCCTGGTTCACTTCCAGTATAAAGCTCAGAGTGCAGGAATAATATCCAAGTGCCAGCAAAACCACTTGGGTGGTCGCAAAATGGAGTGAGGAGGATCATGAGGGCTGTGTTTCTGAAGAACCCACAGGGGGAGGCAGCAGGGATGAACTGCAAAAAAGTGGCAGTCTATGCTGCACACATCAGCCCCACAAAAGAATAACAAAATCCAGGAGCAGAGAGCTGAGCTACCGTAACTGAGAATGGCTCCGCAGTGGGGATGGTTTGAGAACCGTGACCTGGGTCTAGATGGCCCCTCTTGGAGCTCACTGGGACCCTGCATACATTCCCTGCCTATTGACCTCACACAGCAGTGGCTTAGCTCGGCTGAGAGGAGAACTGTCTGTTCCTCTTTGTTGGTTTAACCATATGATACACAATCCTGTAAACAAATTAATTTCCTCTGGGACTTCTGAAAGCATGCTAACTGCATTATCATTTTTTTCTGCACAAAGGAAGCTTAGCAAGAAAACAATTATGGGATGGACTTCAAATGATCTCCAAATGGCCATAAAATAGAGATGTAGTCAACAGAGAGGCAGGAGAAAAAAAAATTAACAAGGTTTTGTTTGCTAAAATCTAGGATTCATTTGATTTTAAAGCTGTGTGACCCACTTCCATTCTTTCTCCCTTCCATCAGCTTTCTGCACAAACCTTTTGCCACCCTCATTTTTAACATTTGTATTCCTCCTCTACTGCCCAGAGCCTTTCTACTCTGTGTTCTCCAATTCATCCTAAAATCAAGACCAAGGTAGAATTCTCGAACTTGGCCTATTCTGAAAAAAATGGACATGGCTGGGACAGAGAGCTTGTGTGAATATTCCCAATTGGTAAGGAATGAGTTTGCACACTCATTTATTCTGCCATCAAGCATTTACTGGCTGTCTGGTTTGTGCCTGACCCTATGCACTTCCTTAGGGAATGGAATAAAAAAAAATACATGATCTTCTCCTTAAAGCAACTTGATGCTTGATAGAATGACAGACAAAGCAAGAATTGAAACAGAGTGAGGTGACTGCTGTGATGGGTGAATGCTTAGAGCTAGGGAGGGGTAGAAGAGGAGAGAGAAGGAGTATTGCTTAGTTTGGGTCTTGAAAGATAAGTTACTGTTCTTAAACTACAGTAGTATACTGTTGAGGGGCACAGATGGACCATTCAAGACAGAAAGCTGCAATGGCCTGTGGGGACAGGCGGAAACTGCCACCCTCCTCCAGTCACTCAGGCCCTAAACCATAGCTGTGACAGTCTATCAACTTACATTCCAACCTCACCTGCAGGACACAAGGGAGAGAGTTGCCAAAGAGGTGGCTGTAGGTAATGGGGTATATACATTTGGATACTGGACACAGAGAAGACACAGATCCAAAGTCTCATTGGGATAAGGAAGTTAGGAGAGCTTGAGTTTCCTTGTTCTTATTAAAATATATGAACACTCCTTCATTGATTATCAATACCATCCTGTCTGAATGCAGACATCTGGTAGTGGTCTCATGTCTTCAGCAGGAACTCCCTTCTTTTCTATCCTAGCCTCCTGTCCACATCCCAATAGGCTTAGTGAGTCTTTTGGGTAGAAAAAAATCTTAGAGCCTTTTATTCCAAATCCCTCCTGATAAGTGAAAGAAGCCAGTCTTAAACAGCTACATACTGAGCCAGGCATGGTGGCTCATGCCTGTAATTGCAGCACTTTGGGAGGCTGAGGCGGGTGGATCACTTGAGGTCAGGAGTTCCAGACCAGCCTGGCCAACATGGCGAAACCCCATCTCTACCAAAAATACAAAAATTAGCTGGGTGTGGTGGCGGGCGCCTGTAATCCCAGCTACTTGGGAGGCTGAGGCAGAGAGAATCGCTTAAACCCAGGAGGCAGAGGTTGCAGTGAGCGGAGATGGCGCCACTGCACTCCAGCTAGGGGGACAGAGTGAGACTTTGTCTCAAAAAAAAAAAAAAAAGGCTACATGCTGTATGATTCCATATGACCTTAAAAAAAGACAAAAATAAAGAGTTGGCAAATAGATCAATGGTTGCCAGGGAGGGTTGAATAGACAGAGAATAGGTTTTTTGTTTTTTTGGGTTTTTTGGGGGCAGTGAAACTATTCTGTATAACACTGTAACAGTGGATACATAAAAATATGCATTTGTCAAAAACTCTAGAACTTTTCAGCACAAATAGCCTTAATATGCGCAAAATTTTCTAAAAAAGCATTTGCATGTATGCTTTTCAATGTTTACAAATGTATGGAAAAAAACCTCAGTGAAGAAAGTAGAAAGGTGCTGCCATAAGTAACTTTGGAATTGGGTAGATTTTATCAGACCAAAGGCAAAAAACCCCAAACCCTTTAATTGATAAAGTTGTTTCCCATGGGGGTATGGGTTAACAATTCTGAAATCGCTGTATGTGTATATTGGAACTGAACAATTAAGTAAATGGATGATAGATAGTGGGAAACAGGTTTCTCACTTTTGGAGTGCGAGGTTACAGACAAGCAAGGGGAGGTGGCTGGAATAATCTGTAGGTAATGGATTAGAGTTGGGGATATCAGCATGAACTCCTGTTTAGCTTAAAGTCGATATACCTACACAGAGGCACATATATAATATAATACATATCTATATATCATATTTAAAGATATTATATATGTGTGTGGGTCTATATTAGTATACACACATATATTTGCTCTGTCATCTGGAAGGCCTAGACGCAATACCACCTTAGTAGCAGTGAGCACACCTAATACCCTGATCTGATTTTCTTTCTTATCTTTTCTTTTTTCTTTTCTTTTCATTTCATTTCCTTTCTTTTCTCTTTATTTTCTCTTCCTTCCCTCTTCCTTCCTTCCTTCTTTTCTTTTCTTTTTTTTTTGAGATGGGGTCTTGCATTATCACCCAAGCTCAAATACGGTGGTATAATCATAGCTCACTGCTGCCTCAAATTCCTTGGGCTCAAGAGATCCTCCCACCTCAGCCTCTTGAGTAGCTTGAACTACAGGTGTATGCCACCACACCTGGCTAATTTTTAAATTTTGTGGAGATGGGGTCTTGCTGTGTTGCCCAGGTTGGTCTTGAACTCCTGGGCTCATGTGATCCACCCACCTCAGCCTCCCAAAATGCTGGGATTACAAGTGTGAGCCACTGCACCAAGCAGATCTTGTTTTCTAATATCATTCTCCAATAAAAGAACCAGGGATCTTTGAAGAGGCAATGATTTTAGGACTGGGGCAGGAAATATACAAGATAAGCCTGACACATTCTGTAGTGCTAGAAAGTCAAAAAGTGCTCAAAAAAATCCACGTCAATGATGTAAGTCAAAGGAACACATGAAAAAACTTCCAATGGCCAAAGCTGGAACAATTCAAACAACAAAACAAAGTAGTATCAGAATAAAACTCAAAGTATAGTATAAAATAAATATCTATGCATCTATATTGATATAGAGTCATGTGCCACATAATATGTTTTGGTTAACAGTGGACCACATATACAACAGTGGTCCCATAAGATTACAGTATTATATTTGTACTACAATTTTCTATGTATAGATATGCAAATACTTACTATTGCATTACAGTTACCTATAGTATTCAGTACAATAATATGTGGTACAGGTTTTTAGTCTAGGCGCAATAGGCTATACCATATATGTGTGCAGTAGGCTCTACCATCTAGATTTGTGTAGTAAGATTGTCCCCTTTGGAACCCTGTGATGTTCACACAATGATGAAATCACCTAATGACATGTTTCTCAGAATATACCCCAGTCATTGAGCAACACATGACTGTAAATGGTTGAATAGATCAATAAATGGAGAATAGACAAATCTCCAGTGCAGAATTCTAAATAAATTATGTAGTTACTTTGCCCTCAGAGAGATGAAGCCCTTTCTTAAATGCGAGCTGTAAGTTACTTCCTTCCAAAGAGTAAAGTACAAAATATGGGGGAGAGAAGGGTAACTTTACATTAGAGAAATCTGATAAGCACTTCAGCCAGGTGATTGAGGTCAACGTCAACAGTCGTAAGTTATGTTGGCGGTATGCACCCTTGATATGATGAAAATGACACTTTATTTCTGTAGTCTTCCTCCCCAAAACTCATAACCCATGTCCAATTATAAGAAAAACACTAGACAAATACCCATGGAGGGGCATTCTACAATATACCTGACCAGGATTCCTCAAAACTGTCAAGGCCATCAAAAACAATAAAAGTCTGAGAAACAGAGCCAACAGGAGTCTAAAAAGAAATGATGACTAAATATAATATGGGATCCCGGGTAGGATCCTCAGACGGAAGAAGGGCATTAGGCAAAAACTCAAGAAATTTGAATAAAACATGGACTTTAATAATGTATCAATATTGATTCATTACTTGTGACAAATATACCATATTAATGTAAGATATTAATAATAGGGGAAAGTGGGTGTGGGGTCCTATGGGAACTTCCAGTATTATCTTCACAATTTTTATGTAAATCTAAAACTATTCTAAATAAAAGACTATTTCAAAAATATAATATCAAGCATATAAAAAAATGAACAAAAAACTTTGAGCTGCCTTTCCAAATGTCATCTCCCCTTTTGGGGTTTATGATATTTCTTTTGTACGAAGTACATGTTTACTTTAATGACTTGGAATATAATAAATAATAACAGCAAAAGTTAGCATTTACTGAGTACCTGCTGTGTGCTATTTATATCTGTTAACTCTACTAGCACAGCTCTAATATAACCCTGATGATAACAACAGTTGAGGCAACAAGGAACGGACAACAAGGGTTCACCCATATCTGGTTTTCCTCTCCTTCCTGGACACATGGGCCATGACTAGTTCTAATGACATGTTAGGCAAAATGGAATGTGTCATGTACAGGCCAAGACAATAAGAGCTGATATAACCCATCCACATGTTTTGTCTCCTTTGGAAGTGAACATGGAAGCTATAAATTGAGGTGTCAGAACCACAAGATGGAAGTACGTTGGATTTCTGAGTCACCACCTGGAGGAGAGCTTCCCTGCAGCATTGCTGGAATCTGATGTGAACTAGATATTCATCTTGATCGTGTTGACTTGAACCTAATTCAGGCCTAAGACATAATATATACTGCATAATATATGCCGTATAATGATAATATATTTATGCAGCCTTTATTGATATGAGTAGTGGTTTATCTCAGTTTTATAATAAAAATCTCTCAAAGAACATTGACTCCAAGGAATAACAATCACAAAAGGATTACAGCTTTGTTTAACACTTTCTGCAAATCCTTGAAGCTGATCTTTCCTGTTGTTTCTAATCCCAATAGCCAGCCTAAACCTTTTGGTGTAATCTCATGTATTCTGACCTCTGTTATTTCCTGCTGCTTAATGATCTTTCTATAAATTGTATGGGAAATGAAGCAAATGTAATTACAGTGTCTGCCAGCCCTGATGCAGATAAATAGGTGGGAGTCTGGCCAAGTGTCTCCCCAAGCTAGCCTTTGGTGTCTTTCACTCACAGCAGAAAGAAATAGGTCATAAATTACAGCACTGATTTGTTCCAATGATATCATTAGCTCCTGGAAAACAAGGATCATGAAAAACCCATTTCAAATGAACATATGAGTCAATACCAACCAAGCATCTTTTGGAAAAGAGCCCTTATAAATTCATACTAGAATTCTGACTCCTAAGTGAATATCTCTGGATCTTCAGAACATAGAAGACTTAGCTCCAGCCCATGCATCAGTCCCTTCAGACCATAGAGTCATAACCAGGCCTATTGAAAGAGCTGGTTACATGAGACAGTCAGAGATTTACCTAGGTGAGAAAATAAAGATTAGATGGTTTGAAGCAGAGTTCTAGCCCTTCCAAATCAGACCTCCAACCCCTTTCTTAATTCTATAGTTTGTAGTTTTCAAAGGAGAAGTTGTAATAAAGAGTAAGTAAACTAACTTCTTTTTTTCTTATGGTTTTTGTTTGATAATATGAGGATAAAAGCATACCCTTTTTTGACCTATCCCAGGATAAAATGCAGGTGGAGAAAAGGTTTTCCGTATTGTCTTTAGCCTTGACACAACAAAATAGGAAAAGATATTTTCCGATCTGGGTTGAGTAGATGCAAAGAAGTGTTTTAAGGTACATCTGTAGAGCACACTCAGCACTTGGGGACTCAGGTGCCTCAAGAGAAGCTAGAGACCTAATGTAGGGATATAGAGGCCAGGAGGACACACTGGAACACAGAAGATGACAGCTTTTGAAAGAGCTCAAGATTCTAATTTCTTGAACCAGAGGACAGATTCTCCTCTATGTCCGTTCACACTTTCAGACTTTACTCTGCATTAGCCCTCTGTTCCCCACACCTGCTTCTGGACCCCTGGGTGGTTACACACTCTGACTTCATCAACCCTTATCCTTATTGTAGGGATATGAAATTTAAAATTGGCATCTTCCACAGCCAATTCTGGTCACTATTCTTGTTACTTTAACTGATATGCAATAAAGAATATGCCTGACTTTGTCCCTGGTTCCTGGGAAGTAGCATCAAAACCTTTAGAATTTCTTAAGTGGTAGGAGTGTCTATTATTCATGGTGAACTCCTGGGATCAAACTTGATAGTCTGTGCTAAAGAGATGACTCAGGACAGGAGCTGGCTGCTCCTGCCAGAAAGACCAACCATGTGATTAGAGGGTGGGGCTTTGAGCCAGGTGATATCAGCTCAGTCTCCAGGGAGCCAAGGGGAGCTAGAGATTGAATTCAACTGCAAGGCCAAAGATTCCATCAGTCATGATTGTGTAATGATACCTCAATAAAAACTCTGGGCAGCAAAGCTCAGTTGAGCTTCACAGGTTGTTAATATTCTGATAATGTCACACATTGATATGCCAGGAAGGTAATGCATCCTTACTCTTTGGGGATAGAACAACAGAAGCTTTGTGTTGAACTCCCCTAGACCTCATTATATGTGTATCTCTTTCCCTTTGGCTGGTTCTGATGTGTATCCTTTTGCTGTAATAAGACTACAACTGTAATTTATAGGACTTTCTTGAGTTCCATGAGTCATTTTAGTGAATTATTAATCCTGAGGGGGTTATGGGAACCACCAAATTTGTAGCAAGCTGGTCAGGAGTAAGAGTGGCCTGTGAGCCTTTGAACTTGTGTCTGATGTCTTTAGTTTGTGTAGTCTTGTGGAAAACTGTGTCCCTAACCTGTAAAGTAACTGGTGTCAAAAGTCAGTGAAACTAGGCATAATTAGAACTCATGGACATTCACACCCATTCCACTTCAGTCACATGCTTCCGAGGCCTCACTGAGTTCCTTTTACACATCTATCTTCTCTACTTTGGTTCTTATTCCGTATGATGGCAAAAAGAAATACAACTGGACTCTAAGATGATGGTGACTCATGATGCCTGCTCCCTTCATTGCTGCAGATCTTTGGTTCTTATTAGCTCCTTTTACACATCTATCTTCTCTTCTTATGAATAATATTCCACTCTCTGATCATACAATGACCTATCCCAGTTATCAAACCATTCCTCTCTTTGCACATATCCTTTAACCACAATGAGACATTTGAACTGTTAACTTTTTCAAATATCAGCTTTTGTCTTTCTCATTATCTTTCCTGTTCAAACTGAACTCCGTAAGTGATCTCTTAAATTAACCTTATACAAGTATTCTTGATCTTCTGTCACTCTTGCCTTTCTGGACACTTGTCACACAAAACCATACTTAAGAATTAATCCTAACATATTCCTGAACCCTTCTCACACCTGATTTGCTGGACATCTGTTTAAAATCATTCAAGTATGCTATATTAATTGATAGTCTTTATTTCAAGTGATAGAAAATCTACCCCATTATCTTAGGCTAAAAACTGTAAAACACTGATGAAAGAAATAAATCTCAAATATAAATGGAGAAATATACTATGCTTATGGATTTAAGCCTCAATGTTGTGAAAGCTGCAATTCTTGTTCAAATTCAGGTATTCAACCCAATGTCAATCAGAAGTCTATATTTCTTTTGTATAACTTGACAAGCTAATTTCGAAATTTGCATGGAAAGGCAAAGCAAAAAATAGCCAAAATCACTTTGGAAATGAAAAACAAAACCAGAGGACTCATCCTATCTGATTTCAAGATTTACTATAAAGTTTATCTAACCAAGACAATGTGGTATTAGACAAATGATAGACACATGATAGACTCTCTGTTCAATGGAACCAGAGAGTCTAGAAATAGTATATAGTCAATTGATTTTCAACAAAAGTGCAAAGACAATTCAATAAGTTTTTTTTCCCAGCACATTGTGCTAGAAAAATTGGACACTCATATGCAAAAGATAAACCTTGAACTATACCTTACACTATAAAAAAGTATTCAAAATAGATCATAGGCCTAACATAAAGCCTAAAAATTTAATATTTCTAGAAGAAAACAGAAAATCCTTGTGATGTGGGGTTAGGCAAAGATTTCTTAAATACAAACCCAAAAGCATGATCCATAAAATTAAAAATTTGATAAATTAGACTTCATTTAAAGTGATAATGTCTGCTCATTGAAGGACATCATTAAGAGAATAAAAAGACAAGGCAGAGTCTAGGAGAAATATTCGCGAAACGCATACCTAAGAAAGAACTTGTATCCAGAATACACAGAAAACTCTTAAGACTCAATGATAAGAAAACAATCCACCCAATTAAACATGGGCCAAAACTGTGAATAGTTACTTCACCAAAGAAGGTCTATGAATGGCAAATAAGTACATGAAAAGAAGTTCAATATTATTAGTCACTAAAATCAAACAACAATGAGATGACACTATACATTTATTAGAACAAAGGAAAAAAAACAATTGCAAATGCTGGAGAAGATGCCGAACCACTGGAACTTTCATACAATACTGGTAGGAATGCAAATAGTACAGCCGTGGTAGCATTTGAACAAGACAAAGAGACAGAGATAAAGAAAAATAGAGACAGAATGTGTTGAAGATGGAAAGGAAAGGAAAAAGGCAGAACAGATAGACTATTATTATTCTTCCTTTCTCTACCTTCCTGTCTGCACCAATTCCTAGATCTCACAGAAAGATGTAACCTGGAGAAAATGAACAGGCATATGATACATCCAGACAATCATATACAGCACATGTGAACTTCACAACAACCTTATATAGTTGGGCAGGATAGTTCTTGTCCTGTTACAGATATGAAATTCACCGATATATGCAACATATTTAGTAGACATCTACAGGGTTCTCCATGCGCCCCATAAATTCTACCTGTTCCATAATTATTTCCTTGGAGGAAAGTCTTTCCTTCAAAGACTCACAATTCTGTAGGAGGTCAGGGACCATCCTGTGTTTCTGGCAGAGCTGAAATGTATCCTGGACCACAGAATGGAGGATGTCCGCATGGTCTGGGTTGGATGGAGGCTTGAGTGAATTATCACAGCACAGAAAAATGTTATTTTCTCTGGACAATTTAAAAACAGTGGTGACCACTTTCTACTTTTGGTTTCCCCATGATGGCAAAAAGAAATACAATTGGACTCTAAGATGATGGTGACTCATGATGCCTGCTCCCTTCATTGCTGCAGATCTTTGGTTCTTATTGTCTATTATCTACCTTGTCCCTTCCTTCTATAATCTCCCCAGCTCCTGATATCTAAAGGCAGGACATCTCAACTCTCTATCTTAAACTTAAACCAGTTGCCCATCTTCCTGCCATTCAGCTTTTCAATGTAACCGTCAAGTACCTGCAGCCTTTCTTTTCTGGTTCTGCATTGGATGATTGATGTTTCATTGACCTTGTGGAGGAAAGAGGGTACAGGTAAGCAGTAAAGACTCCAGGATACCAGTGATGACATTATATGATGCTAAAGAGTGTGTGTATGTGCGCGCGCGTGTGTGTGTGTAATGTGCACAGCCCTTTTTTACTTTTGAGACTCCGAGACCCAGTGATAAGTGAATTGAGCAAGGCTGCACTAAGAAGACAACTGCTGCCATCTTGGGCTTGAAGAGATTCATCTTAGAATACTGAAGGGAGAATTTTCCCCTCCACCTTTACAATCCCTGATTTGGAAAGATCTTCTCCTGTGATAATTAACTGGTCCCAGGCGTTGCCCTACTCAGCAGCAATGGATGGATAGGAGGGAAACCTGGAGATAATAATGGCAGCTTTCAGGGAATCCCATCCTGTGAAGACGTTACCTTCAAGACCAGAAAGAAAAGTTATGCTCTCGTCATTTTCCTGCATGTTGGCCCTACTACTCAGCCCTTTACCCCTACCCCATCCTTCCCAACAATGAGGAGGTGTTGAGTAACCTTGTTACCTTGTTAAAGAGACTGAATGATGCTGCCACCTTTGTCCTATAAGGAACTACTTGGTTTGAATTTCTCCAAGTCTATGCCAAACTCCTGAATGAGTTTGGCCCGCCTTTGGTTTATACTGTTTAGCCAGCCCTGCTCTAACTAGGCTCCTGTCCGCCTGAGAAATATGTCCCTTTCCAGACACCTGTTTGTCCTCTCCATAGCCCTGGCATGACCTGGGCAATGTGACACCCAGAACATGCCTGGATCTGTACCTTATCACTAACCAAATCCATGTAGGAATACTAACTATTTGAATTCCTTAGCTCAGTATCTGAGTCTGAATATGCATAGATTAATATTTCCCAAATAATCTGATTCCATTAGCGATAATTTGAGAAATATCTTGGGACAGTTGGAAAGACTTCAGACCTTTTCCTTAGTCAAACTGCAATGCTTTCAAAAGTTTTCTAGCACAGTTTGGCCTGCAAACAAATTTAGTTCATTTCAGTAGGAGGTAACAAAGCTTTCTGTACCTGCCTTCTTCTGGTGTAGTTCTTGTTTGCACTTTATTTCTCTGCAATGTCATGGGGGGAAGCCAGGTAATAAATAGAGACAGATAGTAAACAGACTCCTAAGTATTTAATGGGGTTGGTCGGATTTACGGCTCCAGTGTCGTAACACAGAATTACCCAATTCCTTCAGCTGCTTAGTAAGTTTCACATTATCACACAAATCAAGGGTGACTCTCTTAAAGTTGTGGTGATCATCTGAATGCTTTTCTTCATTAGATGTCAAAGTAGGAGAAAGACAACTATTTTGGAAGGTTCTCAGACGTGAAACACTGGAAGATATCTGTGAATCTACCTCCCACTCTCTATCACCATGCCCAGGAATGTATTTCCTTTGTTATATTGACACTGGCAACTCCCAGATCTGATTGCCTTGATGTAGCCTGGAGCTACGAGAGGTCCTTAGAATCTGTTCTTGCCAGTGGCCCCTTTGCAGAATTAATAAAAAATCTTATGCACAGTAATAGCAAAGCTTTGCTCCCTCTACTTGACTTTTGGGAAAGCTTGGCTCATTGGTAAACATGTAATGTTCTTTATATTAAAACAGAGTTCTGATACTCTCAGAGTTGGGGCAAATTGTTAGCCTTTCACCAAAACTTGAAAGGCTTTCTACGTTAAGATCCAAGCTCCTGCCTTATAAATATTCTGAATTACAGTCAATTTTGGAATACTCTTGTGGCAGAGAAAGTAACATGCACCAAATAGTCCAGGCTTGTGTTGAGTTAGAGCCATGCGACAAGTTCTGGCCAATAATATATGTGTGCGAGTGATACATGCCCCTTCTGACAGAAGCAGTGAAAAATTTATGAACAATATTTTAGTTTTCTTTCCTCTACTATGGCAACTTAAGTTGTGTGAGCCAGATAATGGAGTTTCAGGATGATGGTTCCTACTCAGCCTGGGTCCCTGAGTGACTGTATGGAATAAAGCTCTGCCGACACTTGTTAGACATGACCATGTGTAACAAATAAGCCTTTGTTAAGCCACTGACCATTTGGAGTAATCTGTTACAACTGCAGAACAGAGCATATCCTGATTAACAGAATTCCTACTTCCCAAATTTCTGCTTCCTTTCCTGGCTGCATAATTTGTCCAAGCTGTCTGTCATCTACATACTCCTTTACCCTATTTATGGCTTATACTATCTCATCTGACCTTCATGGTCTATCCTAAACGTCATCTCCTTCCCAAGGATCTCCGGTTTCCAGTTGGATGGGATACCCTCCTCTTCTCTGCTAATAGAAAGAGTAGTATACCTCTCTTAAGGCAATCATCTCATTTGCTTCTCTTCCTCATCCATTTAACTTAGAGCTCCTGGAAGGTGAAGACCATGTTTGATTCACCCAAACACCCCAAGGCCCCAGCTGAACATTTTGTGGTAGCTACAGGTGGATATTATTTAGTTTGAATTGAGTTTTCTCCTGAGGTTAGCAATGCGTAGGCCAATGTAGACAGCAATGTGAAATGATTTTAAATAAGTTATCTGCCTGAAACATAGCAACAGGGAGAGAAGAAAACAAAAAAAAAAACCCTTTACATGAGTAAGTGTAATTCTCAGAAAATAAGAGAAATAGCATATCAGAAAAAGACATAGGAAGCAAAAGTGATGCTTGCTGAAGAACATCAGAATGGGAATTAGGAAACAAACTTCTAGATTTGACTCCTTTGAAAACTAATTCTGTGATCTCTCTGGAACTCAGGTTCTTCATCTTGTACGTGGGATCAGAGGCTGGACGATAAATTAATTAAGGTATTTCATTCTGGAATTTTACTTACAGAAACCCCAGGTGCTGAGATGTTTTCCAGGACTAGGATGAAGTCTCCATCTTGTGGCTAAATTAAGTTCTGCAGTCACTCAACATTATGAACGTCAAGATCCAAGTCAATTTAGTGGAGCAGCGTAGATTAGGTCAATAGCTTCTGTGAGAAACAGAAACACATCTTCTTAATGCAAATGCAGCAGGACAGGTTCATTCGCAGCCATTTGGAAAGGAATTTAAACTTGGACAACGAACTGTGCAAATATATTTATTCATTCTTTTACTAAAGAGAGGGCCTGTCTTATCTTTTCCAGACTTGCATTCCTTGGCTTGTGGCCCCTTCCTCCTTCTTCAAAGCCAGCAATGTAGCATCTTGCTTCAGCCCTCACATTGCCTCATTCTTATCTGTCAAATCTCTCTCTGCCTCACTCTTATAAGGACACCTAGGTGATCCAGAATACTCCCATCTCAAGAATTTTTAATTTAATCACTTTTACCATATAACATCCGCAGTTTCCAGAGATTAGGATCTGGATATCTTTGGAGACCATTATTAGTCTACCACTGGGAGAAAGTGAAGGGGGCTGGGGAAAGTGTTTCCAGGAACACAGTAGTCTGTCCAGCGCCCCTTCCACCACTATCATTGGTGAGATCGTTGGTAGCAGCTGTGAGGTGTGATAGAGACTGACTTTTCTCCAGTTCCAGGGGCTCCAACTGGCAAAAGCTCATAACTGTTATCATCCCCCTGACTTCAGTGATCTGCTCAGGAAAGGGCACTTGAACAAATTCAGACCAGCTCAGGAGCCTCTACCCTCCACCCCCGTAGTTGTGGAAAAAGTTTTCATATCAGCTATTCTGGAGGTAGCAAAAAGAAGGCCAAAAGATTACAGCCCTTTTTGTTTGTTTGTTTGCTTGTAAGCCTTGTGGTTCTATTTGACTTTTTAAATTATGCGCATGAATTACTTGGAGACATTTTTTAAATTGAAGTGGAAAAAATAATTTAAAAGGGAAAACTAACTAAAGTAATATAATTTCAGAGTATTGATTATTGTCCAGAATATGCTTTGTTTTATTATTTTGCTAATAAAATTAAATTCACTGTACATTGTTCCAGAAGTATGTTGACTCTAAGGAAAATGTTTTAAATGGAATAGCCTGAGGATATCATTGTGGGGAAGTATTGGATGTCCTTGATCTTTTCTGTTCATTGTAGATGTTTTCTAGAAGACAGCACATCTTAAAGATATTTCAGGCTTCTTATGAAGGAAACAGTAAACCTTTTACAAACTATATTTTCCAATTTTCTTGTCTTTTCTTGAAGTACCACTGTACAACTCTTGTTGGAGAGCTACTGTAATTATTTGTGACATGTTTTTCTTTGGCCAATTCTCTATGGCTTCTACTCAGTACAGCCACCTCATAAGAACATGAGATCACCCTCTCTGCACGTGGCTTTTGGAAGCTGCCATAACTTCATGGGTTCAAAGCTGGGTTCTCTTGGGACCTGCTTCCATGCAATGGCAGTCAGTTCATCATCTGCTGTGGTTCATTCCCTCAGCTTTTGACTCGGTCCTGGGTGTGCCTGAAAGAGAACCCTCTTCCCTCATTGCTGTCCTGAAAAACAAAACCCTCTTCTAGTTCTCACTAGAAGAGTGACATATTGTTTTGGGGGAGGAAAGTAGTGTCTCCATGTGTCACCTCGTTTCTCTCCAGGCACACAGTGCTCCAAGGTAAGGGATGCTTACAAGCTATATGACAATGAATGCACAAATTATTCAAAGTGAAAGGGTTTTAAAGATCAGTGAGTTCAATGTCTCCTCAAATGCGAAAATGCCTGTCAGAAACTCCCTGACACATCATCATCTTGCATCAGATACAGTATTTCCAGTTATAGGAAAGTCATGACTGAAATGCATGGAATCAGATTTTTCAGATTGAGAGGTCTAAAGTAGTATTTCTCAATGTGATGTCAGTGGAACACTTGCAGCAGGGTCACCTGGGATGTTCATTTAGGATTCAGATCCTTGGGCCCTGTCACCTACTGAACCATGCTGTCCAGGGATAAAATCCAAGCATATGCCTAGAAGAAAGACTTATTAACTACACTGAAGATTGAGATTAATTGTACTAGACTAACTCTCCTATACAATTCTCAAAAAACCTTGACATCTATTTGTTGAATGTTATGGCTTCTCCCTAGAAAAAGCCAGATGTGTGCCTAAGTTGCCTGCTCCCCCACCCCCTGACATTATCATATATTTAATTAGAAAAGTCAATGCCATTGACTTTTTAAAGCCAAGGGCCTCCTAGAATTATGTTTTGCAAAATGTGCTATACACATTGCTTATGGTATATCAAGTAGTCCACATATGGTTAGGCAGTTTTGGAGATAAAAATGATGAAACAATCCTATTTACACATGTTTTATAAATTTGAAATGTAATATTAATTATACTTTTTAAATTCCACTGCATTTTAATGATTATATCATAAAAGTTGTAAATGTGCTCCAAGAACTGCGTTGGTAAATTTGTTTCAGCTGTCATTCAGCTAACAGAGTCTTGTGAAAATTTTCCAATGTCACTTGTATTCTATTAGTTGTGATTCTTGTTCTTAAATTGCTGCGTGGAAACTAATCTATGGTGACAATAATCAGGGCTTGGGAAGGCTTGATTGTAAACAGGCTCATGACCCTGGGAACTTTTGGGGATGCAGCAATTATTTTCTTATATTGATTATGTTGGTAGTTCCATGGATGTAGCTTGCCAAAACTCATTAAACGATACACTTCGAATGAATGCATTTTATCATATGTAAGTGAGACCTTGGTAAAGTTGATTTTAAAATGTGAAGTGTTGGCTGGGCGCAGTGGCTCATGCCTGTAATCCCAGCACTTTGGGAGACGGGGGGTGGGGGCGGGGGTGGATCACGAGGTCAAGAGATCGAGACCATCCTGGACAACATGGTGAAACCTCGTCTCTACTAAAAAAAAAAAAAAAAAAAAAAAAAAAAAAAAAAAATTAGCTGGGCATGGTGGGTGGCCCAGTCCTAGCTACTGGGGAGGCTGAGGCAGGAGAATCACTTGAACCAGGGAGGCAGAGGTTGCAGTGAGCCAAGATCGCACCACTGCACTCTAGCCTGGGCAACAGAGAGAAACTCCGTCTCAAAACAAAACAAAACAAAACAAAACAAAAACAATAAGACGTGAAGTGTTATAATACCAATTTACAAGAAAGCATATCAAAAATGACTCATTGAAGCAGGTGGTTAGTGATTAAAAATTTAATGAATATACTACAAATCAGAAAAATACACTAGATGTAAATAATAAATAGAGCACCTGTGAAGACAGAGGTTGATCTGTATATGCTGAGAGAAATGAAGATACAAGAGAAATGATGTCACCAGCTGAAATGCTGTCACATTGTTGTCTTCATTCTTTTAGAAGAACTAAAGAAATAAAAGAATGAGCATCTGAAAATTAGATTGTATTGATAAACATTGATCCATTCACCCACCAGTCCCATTGTGTTCTGTTACAAAGTTTTTCAAAATGGCATTGTGAAATCTTTCAAGGGTTTGTGAAAAATAAGGTATAGCATCTCTTTGGTGAGCCAAATGAGTTTTTCTAAAATAAGCTTGGTAATTTTCACCCTAAAGTTGATGTATTTTAGTGTAAAAAATGAAGAGGTAGTGAAGTGTAATGGAGGGTGGGAGCCAGGCTCCTCACTGTTGGAGTGGGAAGTTACAGACGAGCAAAGGGAGGAGGCTAGAATAATCCATGGGTAATTGATTAGAGTGGGAGACATCTGTATAAACTCATATTTAGCTTAATATATAAATAGTACATGAATATTTATAGATGTATCTGTACATGGGTTATATAGATACGTGTATACATGTATTTCTCTATTTTGTCAGCTGAGAGGAACTAGAGGTAATAAATGACACCCAAGTAGTAGCAAGTAAAGTTAGAACTCAGATCCTGGTTTCTAATACCATTCTCTGATAGAAGGAATGAGGGCTCCTTGGAGCAATGGATGATTCTAAGGATGGAGGAGAAACATCTTGCAATGCTAGTAATAAGGAAATGCACAGAAAAACTGACACTGATGGGCCTATGCCAAGGATACAGGAACTGACAGAAAGCTCCCAATGGCCAAAGGCAGAACAAGCTGTGCAACAAAATAAACAAAGTGGTACTGAATTATAACCCAATATATAAAATAAATATTGATGGGTCTACACTGATATAAACAAAATGACTGCATAAATAAATAAATGGAGAAGAATAGCCAAATCTCCAGTGCAGAAGAATTTCAAATAATTTATGCAGATACTGTGAGGGTTAATTTTGTGTGCTAACTTGGAGGATGTTTTCAGATGTGATTAGCATTTAAATGGGTGCACTTTGAGTAAAGCAGATTGTCCTCCATTATATGGGTGGGTCTCATCCAATTAGTCGAACCATGAATCAAACCAAAAGACTGCCCTCCCCAAGCAGGAAGGAATTCTTCAGTGGACTGCCTTTGGACTTCATCTATATTCTTGGCTTACCTGAGTCTTGAGCCTGACAACCCACACTGCAGATTTTTGACTTCCTGGCCTCCAGAATTGCATGAGCCAATTCCTTATAATAAATCCTTCTCTCCACATATACACACACATACATCCTATTGGTTCCGATTCTCTATAGAACCCTGACTAATACAGATAATTTGCATTCAAGAAAAGTGAGCATGATTCGCATTCCTTACGTGTGGGCTGCATATACTGACTTCCTTCCAAAGAGTACAGTGTGGAAAATAGAGGGAGAAGAGTAACTTTACAGTGGAGAAGACTGGCAAACTACCTCAGCCAGGTGACCAAGGTCAACATCAACAATGACCAGTCATGTTGATGGTATGTATCCTTGATATCATGAAAATGGCACTGTACCTGTGATCCTCCTCTCCTACCCCATAATCCCAGTCTAATGAGAAAAACATTAGACAAATACAAATTGATGAATATTCTACAAAAATACCTGACCAACACTCCTCAAAAGTGTCAAGGTAATCAAAACCGAGGAAACTCAGAGACTTTCAAGGCCAAGAGGAGTCGAAGGAAACAGGACAATTAAATGTAGTATGGTATCCTGAATAAGATCTTGGGAGAGAAAAAGGACATTAGGTATAAACTAAAGCAATCTAAATGAAGTATGGACTTTGGTTAATGACAATGTATCTATATTGGTTCATTAATTGTGACAAATATACCATATTAATATAAGATGTTACTAACAGAGGAAACTGTGTGGGGTACACAGGATCTCTCTGTACTAGTTCCTTAATTTTTCTGTAAATGTAAATCTACTCCAAAATAAAAAGTTTGTTTAAAAAAAAAGAAAAAGGAGGAGGAGGAGGATGAAAAGATGGAAAAAATAAACTAGGGAGGCACCTTTTAGAGTTCTACTTCTCACAGCAAAAAGAACTACAAGTTATTCCACTACCAAGAAGCTTGCAGGGTTAGCCACAAAACCAATGATAAGTATTGTACCTGGGAAAATAATCAATTAATCTTTGCAATTCTAGTCAGATCATACTGTTGGACACCACATCATAGCAATGGCACATGATAGATTACAACAAATGCTATTGTTTAAAAATTATCCAAAATGTAGAAATAAAGCAAAAGAAGATTGCTCGTGCTTTCAATATCATATACCAGACCAGCATCTATCAGGCCCATCAAGCATTATTTCATTTTTTAAAAGATGGACTCTTGTTGATTAACTACTTTCTGTTAATTAAAGCCAAGACTCTGAAGTCACGTGTTAACTTGTAGATTTTTGTCTAATGGAGATGCAAAACATTAACTAGTTATATCTCTGACTTAGCAAATTTATTTTGGTATTCCTTTCCTAATAGACTGTGTAATCTTTTTTTTCTCTAATTTTTCTTTCAATCATTCTGTGCACGTTGCTGGTTTCCTCATCAATAAATCAACAGCTCATTGACACACATTTGCTTTATATTTGTATGAGTGTAATGTTTTTAACTTTTTTTTAAAAAATATGCTTTTATCGTGCATGTTCAAGGAGCTATTTTGTGTTGCAATTAGATGACATAGATCACTGGTATTTGATCATGCATGTTTGCAGTACATATATGAGAAGAAGCTCTTGGTGGCTTCTGTTTATCAAAGCAGTTCTTTAATCAAAGTTTTTAAAACCAAAAACTGAAACTAAGACCTAAAGTTTCTTTAAACTAGAAAACCTAGATATGTCATGAAGATAGCCACTGCTACTCAAATACAACTCGTACTTGGAAGCCAATCCATACATTGCCTTTCTCTTAAAAAGCACTAATTTACCAAATATAGAGCTCCTGACCTTGATTCAGTGTTCACAAAAATTGTAAAAATTTTAAATATAATCAAATCATGCCTACAGAGAATGTGTATTTTTAGCAAATTGCACCAAGAAATTGGCAGCAAGGACAAGATTCTGCTTTTCCCTGTTGAACCATCCTGGCTGCCAAAAGAAAAGGTTTTTGAAACAAAGAAAGAGCTTTAAAAAGTTTTTATGACACCCGTGATACCAGTGTGACAAAATGTGCACAGGACTTTTTCTGTCCTCTGACAATTTTAGAATGAAGTCCCTGAGCTGAAAACAGAAAGTGTGAAGTGTTATCAGATTCCAAAAAGAGCTGCCCAGGAGATGCCAAGAGATGGAAGAATTTGCCTGGATCCCATCAACTCACCACAGCCCTTCCTATATGTAAGAACAGGAACCAGAAAGAGAAGGGACCCTTCAGAATCAGAGCCCAGGGCTACGGTTTTTTACTCTCCACCGCTGCCCAGGCTAAGAGTTACCTTCAGAGTTGGGCCCTCAGTCATGCCTGCCCAAGTGCGGGTGGTGGCACCTCAATCCCCGGCTAGACAGCTGCATAGGCAGCTAACTTGCTTCTGTCTGCCCTGTGTGTCTCTCTAAGCAAGAGAAAAGAGAGGAAAGAGACAAGAGGCTAGATGCAGGATAGGCAGGAGCTGTCCGGGAGCCTCCTGCTCTCCGTATCTCACATGGCAGGGTGAGCAGGATAAGTAGACACCGTGGGAGGGTGCCAGGCTTGGTAGCTTACTAAAGAAGGCTGTGGGCTGACCATGAAGTGCAAGGAGGGGGGCATCCCTTTGCGGGCAGGAGCTGGGGAGGGGCTTACCTAGGGGTGAAGCTGGAGTGACTCTGCCAAGCAAAGATAATGTGCGTGGTGAAGCCGCCTATAGAGTCTCCTAAGGAACAAACCCGTGTCTCCAAAATAGCCAGCCTCCTATACAGAGCGCGTCTGCCGAGAGAGAATGACATTACACCAGTTAAACAAAACACCTTTGCCCCTCTTCTGTAATTCCCTCTCTCCTTGTCCAAAGGTGGAAGCAAAAAGGAGAAGGGAAGGCGGACATAAGAGAACATAGATTACACTCAAGTCTCACCTGCTGCCTGGCTGGTTCTGGGGAGCAAGAGAGGGGATATGAGGTTGAGTGAGTGATTGAAGCTTAAAATGAACCGGACCAGAGTGTGCTTTTAAATATCGCTTGAGTAACTGAAAGTAAGCAAAAAGCTACGGGATTTGCCTAAAGCATCTTTAAGTGATGGAAAAGAGAGATGCAACTAATCAAGTTTGAAAGCAAAGATGAGAGAAAAACACCATTTTGTGTTGTGGCTTATTTAGTTTAGATGGTTCAATAAATTCAGTTACACCCATTTTGGAGTGCATTTCAGAAAATAGTCTATATCTTAAGTGGCTTGAATTTATCACTTAAGGATCATAATTTTTAATGTTAAGAATGTGATATTAGGATTTATTAAGATTCAGTTATGGGACAAACAGCTCGATTTTCAAGAGCTTCATTTTCTCCAGGCAATGATTTACCTTTCTCATCGAAGAGAGGATCTTATATTGGCTATGTTTTAAAGTCACATTAATAGGCTGTAACAGACTATGAAGAAATTCTTTTTAGATTCAAGGTAACTAGAGACCATTTGCCTCTCATCATAATGATCTACTAAACATTTATATAGCACTGACTATGTGCCAAGTACTGTCCAAGGTGCTTTGCTTATATTAACTCAATATATATAAAAAATTAAAATCCTCTGATATTGCTATATGTGAAAGTTCTTTACAAGCTATAAAATGCAGCATAATTATCAGAGGATATTACCGATATTATAAGAATAACAATTACTAAGATAACAAGAATGTTTCCTTGTTTCAGAAGTCAATTGGTGTTGATGGGAATTTAAGAAAAAAATGTCCAGTGCAGCATATTCTTTCATCACAACATACCCCATTCCTTCTCCAACAGGCAACCTCATGGAGACCATGGACCCCTCTGCCATCCCACCCATCTTTGAACCAATGCAAACTGTCTTCAGAACTCATGCCCTTACATAAACAGGCTCTACAGGCAGATCACCTGAGGTTGAAAGGTGAAGCCACCTGGACTTCTGGGTCCAGTAGAGACTTGGAGAACTTTTCTGTCTTACAAAAGGATTGTAAAATGCACCAATCAGCACTCTGTAGCTAGGATTGTAAAACGCACCAGTGTTCTGTAGCTAGCTAGAGGTTTGTAAAATGCACCAATCAGTGCTCTGTAGCTAGCCAGAGGTTCGTAAAATGCACCAATCAGTGCTCTGTAAAAACACACCAATCAGTGCTCCGTAGCTAGCTAGAGGTTTGTAAAATGAACCAATCAGCACTCTGTAAAATGGACCAATCAGTGCTCTGTAAAATGGACCAATCAGCACTCTGTAAAATGGACCAATCCACTCTGTAAAATGGACCAAATGGGAGGGGACAACTCAGGGAATAAAAGCTGGCCACCCCAGCCCTCAGCGGTAACCTGCTTAAGTCCCCTTCCAGGCTGTGGGAGGTTTGTTCTTTCGTTCTCCACAATAAATCTTGCTGCTGCTCAGTCTTGGGGTCCGCATCACCTGTAAGAGCTGTAACACTCACTGTGAAGGTCACGCTTCATTCCTGAAATCAGCGAGACCATGAACCCACTGGAAGGAACAAACTCCGGACACAAGGGCAGGAGTTTGAGACCAGCCTGACCAACAGGGCGAAACACTGTGTCTACCACAATTACAAAAATTAGCTGGGCTTGGTGGTACGCACCTGTAGTCCCAGCTACTTGGGAGGCTGAGACAGGAGAATTGCTTGAACCCTGGAAGCAGAGGATGTACTGAGCCAAGATTGTGCCACTGCACTATAGCCTGGGCGACAGAGACTCTGTCTCAATAAATAAATAAATAAATAAATAATATAAAAAAAAAACCTCTACAATATTTTCCTGCTGTCCTCCTAACACTTGAACTTGGGCTAATGCAATTTAAGCTTCAAGTCTCCCCAGTGTCAGTGAAGTGAAGCAATGAACAGTGCCTAATGAGCCCTTAAAATGTAGACCACCCATCTACATAGCGCCTTCTTTTCCACCCCTTTAAACAAATGATAGCTACTGCTGTTTGATTTTTACATTAAGAAGAACGTGTTGTCAAAAGTACCTAAATCATTTTCTCAGCTTGGTGCTTCACTTTCCCTTTAAGGATGCAGACTAAGGATCTTAATTTATGAGTTACCCACTCAAGCCTCTTTGCCACACACCTGGACCTGTTTGCAGAATTAAATTATTGGCTGTGAATCTAACATCAAACCTCCAGATGGCACCAGAGAACTGAGAAAAACAATTCCATTGCCAAGGAGCCTTTGTGTTGCTGACAAGAGAGGAGCAGGCTGAGAGAAAACGCCCTGTTTGTCACAAAGTTACATCTGCGAGCTCCTTCAAGGAAGGGAGGTGCCTGACGCTCCTTGTTAATGCCGGTTGCTGTTACAGACTTGCAATTGTGCAACTCTGTGATGTAAACAGGCAGGCTTTGTATTTTTGCAGTGCCCCTGGAGAGTGGAGAGGGTGGTTCTCTTGGCTGTCTCTGGAACAAATTTGGGTAAGTGCTCAAAGATGTGTTACTACAGAATGTACTTGTGAAGTTCTTGTTGCAGTGCAGTCAGATAAGCAAAGATATCTGCTAGAAAATAAAGAAAAAGCTACACAATTTTAGACTTTGTAGTTCATTGTCTTTTAAGACAGCAAGTCCTGCTATTGTCTGTCATAAAGCTACAGAAAAAGACCATATTGAAAACTGACGATAGCAGTTGATTATTTGTGAAAAGCCTGAGAGATGATTCAGTAAATACAAGGTGAATTTCATTGCATCTTCATGCAATCAGAGACTTGCATACACTTTTTATCCCCTAAACAGATGAACGAATGGCATGGGCCAGCTAGCAGGGAGTTGGCAGGATAAAGTTCTAACCAACAATTGCCACTTGCCTTCCTTTCTTCCATCAGCTTCTAGCTTACCTTTCAGAGACAGGTTCTATCAAAGGAAACCTAAAGGGAACCTTCCTCCCTGGCCCTGCCCCATCTAGCGTCCACAAGGATACTACACTCCAGTGAAGACTAGGGTGTATCCCAACTCCCCAAGAGCAGCATCAACAGCTATTAATCCTAAAAGTCTTGGTTTACTTCTGCAACATTGAGACACTTGCTGGGGCCAGAGCACAGGGGGCAAATGGGAACCTGAAATGCTCTTTTCCCAGCTTACTGCAGGACTCTTTGTCTCATCTGTTAGCCATATGTCACCCCATTAGAGAGATCTCTCCTGACCATCCCATCTAAAATTATTTCCAGTTACTCACTCTCTCATCCCTCTGCACTTATGTGAATAAAACAGTCTCATTTTATACTTGATTGTCTGCCTTCCCTCCCTACAGTTATTGTTGAAGCAGGCAGGAATTCCCTCTGTCTGGCTCCCACGGTATCCCCACCTTTTAGAAGAGTGTGTGGCATGTAGAAGGTTCAATATAGATTGAATAAAAGAATGAATGATGACAATAGGCTGATCCATTTCTCTATTTTCTTCTGGTTATGAAATTTGATTAAAAAATGAGATTTGGGATCAAAGCCATTACCAGAGAACATTATATTAACACAAATAATTGAATTATGCCTTAGGAAAAGACAGTGTATAACAGGGGATTATTGATAACTTAAAAGAGTATCTTTTCCGCAGTAATAAAAGAGTGGAACATTTTTAAATAAATGATGAAAAAGAGAACCCAAAGGCACAGGATCCTGCTGATAAACAATTGCACATAAGGGTGTACTATTTCTATGAGAGTAAGTATATCCCGGCTCAAAAAGAGCAGAATAAAATTGGTACAGTCTCAGGTTTATTCTGCTATTTAATTTACAGTTGCACAACCACATGGGACATCCACCAACTCACCAGTCCAGGAGGGAGAAAAACGCCTTGGATTCTTTCTATATTTATAGGCATGTATACTGCAAATTGCATTATCTCTAACAGACTGCCAGATGAGCTGGAAAAGATCATCTGTCAGCACATCCAGAAAGCTTTCTCAGACTTTCAGATTAGCTCAGGTTCCACTGTAATCTCACTATGTACTTCTTCATCAAATCGATTACCGTTGTAATTAAGTGATGAATTGGGTGATTTGTTACGTAGCCTCTTTCACCTCCATTGTGATGTACCCTTCAAGACAGAATGTGTCTGTTCCTGTCCAATGCTACATTCCTAGCCCTTGGGGAATGCCTGCTAAATCAAAACAATTAATTAAATATGTGTTGAATAAATAAATGGATAAATTGAGCATTTATTATGCTCCAAGCACAGTACTACATACATTCTTACACACATTGCTTTTTAAATTTCATCTCACACAACCCTATCTGATAGATACTAGTTTTATCCCCATTTTACAGATGAAAAAACTGAGGTCTTTAAAAAGATTAAGCAATATCATTGAACAAGAATTGAACAATAACATCTATAGCAAGTTGCCCATTTTAAATGATATTTTATTGGGGAATGTGAATTATTGTAGAAAAAGGAAGTCTTCGGCAAAGAAACACCTAGAAGCAAATTTCATCACTAGAGAGCATTGCTATCTACTGAAGTTCAAAACTACATATTTAGGCCCGGTATCCCCTTTTCGGTTTGTGCCAGACCAATTATCAATAATGCAGAGTTTACATTTTTCTCAAACATGAACGACTGGTTTGTTGAGTATGTTGAACTTGCCACTATCTAGTAAACAACTTTATTTTTCCCCTACCACTATCTTCACACCGTTTAGCCATGTTGCCTTTTTCCATCATTGGATGGAATCTTGGGCAGATTCCCCCAGCTTCTCATTGATTTTCAACCATAAGAGCAGCCTCATTTTATTTAGGGTATCAAAAAGTCAATTATAATTACTTTGTATTTTGTTAAATGTAACAGTGGCATTGTGAGTATATTAAAAAGATATCTCCGTAGCTGTTACAGATGCACATGAAGTGTGTTTTAGTGAAATGATAAAGTATTTAAAGTTTGATTTTGAAATAGTCCAGAAAAAAAAAAGAAGGGGAGAGAAACCGCAACCAGTAAAAGATTGATAATAGTCGAAGTTGGATGATGGGCACTTGGTGAGTAATTGTACTCTTCTCTCTGCTTTTGTATAGATTTGAAAATGTCCACACATTTTTTTGTAAAAATCCTGTCTGGTTTAAATAGAAACTAGATGACATTCTCCAGTGTGAAACATGTGTCTCCTCATCTTCCATCCCTCCATCTCCCCTCAGCTTATGCTGACCCCTGGGCCCCGTAAAAAAAAAGCCACAGTGCAGAAAGCAGGCATGGTCAGTCTTTCCCCTTTCCTGTGCTTGGCTCTTCTCTTCCTCCTCTTTTTATTTTCCTTTCTTCTACTGGCTCTATTTCTTGCTCTTCCAGGGCTGGGGAAATTGGGAGGGGAGGGAGGCAAAGGGGAAAGTACCTCTTTAATTGGCTGGTGCTATCTGTCATTCTCTCTGGATGGCCATGCCCTCTGGCATGGCAGGGGCCACATGCAGGTCCTTTGATGAGGCTCCTCAAAGGACTCTTCATTGGCCTCTTACCACCACCACCATGTTCCATTGTACCCTGACTGGTGAGAGACACGACCTTCCTGGCTGATATGGTCTGAATGTGTCTCCCCAGATTTATATGTTGAAATTCCAAAATGATGGTGGTATTGAGAGGTGACAAGGTCGCTTGCTCTGGGCGCCTCCTCAGCCTCGGCGTCCGCTCTGGCCGCACTTGAGGAACCCTTCAGTCCGCCGCTGCGCTGTGGGGGCCCCTCTCTGGGAGCCGAGGCCGGAGCCGGCTGCCTCTGCTGGCGCGGAGGTGCGGAGGCAGAAGCGTGGGCGGGAGCCTGGGCTGTGCGTGTCCCTCTTGGGCTGGCGCGGGTTCCTGGTGGGCGCGGGCTCAGCGCCCCGCACTGGGCGTGGCCCGCCGGCGCATGCTGGGCTTGATCTGGGGACGAGCTCCCTCTGGGCTGCCAGAGTGCCCGGGTTACATGCTGCAAAGCCGCGCAGAGAGTGCCATTGAGAGGTGGAGCCAGCTGGGCTTCTGGGTCAGGTGGGGACTTGGAGAACTCTTCTGTCTAGCTAAAGGATTGTAAACACACCAATCAGCACTATGTGTCTAGCTAAAGTTTGTAAATGCACCAATCAGCACTCTGTGTCTAGCTAATCTGGTGGGGACTTGGAGAACTTTTGTGTCTACCTAAGGGATTATAAATGCACCAATAAGCACTCTGTGTCTAGCTAAAGGTTTGTAAACGCACCAATCAGCACTCTGTCAAAACGGACCAATCAGCTCTCTGTAAAATGGGCCAATCAGCAGGATGTGGGTAGGGTCAGATAAGGGAATAAATGCAGGCTGCCTGAGTCAGCAGTGGCAACCTCCTCAGGTACTCTTCCAGGCTGTGGAATCTTTGTTGTTTTGCTCTTAGCAATAAATCTTGCTGGTGCTCACTCTTTGGGTCCGTGCCGCCTTTATGAGCTGTAACACTCACTGGGAAGGTCTGCAGCGAGACCACAAACCGGGAGGGAGGAACAACTCCAGACGTGCCGCCTTTAAGAGCTGTAACACTCCCTGAGAAGGTCTGCAGCTTCACTCCTGAAGCCAGTGAGACCACAAACCCACCGGAAGGAACAAACAACTCCAGACATGCTGCCTTTGAGAGCTGTAACGCTCACTGCGAAGGTCTGCAGCTTCAGTCCTGAAGTCAGCGAGACCACTAACCCACCACAAGGAAGAAACTCCAGACACATCTGAGCATCTGAAGGAACAAACTCCGGACACACCATGTTTAAGAACTGTAACACTCACCATGAGGGTTGGCGGCTTCATTCTGGACGTCAGCGAGACCAAGAACCCACCAATTCCTGACACAGTATGAAATGGTTCCTTTGGGAGGTGAGTGGGTCATGAGGCAGGAGCCCTCATGAATGGGATTAGTTCCCTTATAAAAGAGACCCCAGAGAGTGGCCTTGCCACTTCCACTTGTGAGGACACAGTAAGAAGGCACCATCTAGGAGGAAGCAGGGCCTTTGTGGACACCAAATATGATAGTGCCTTGATCGTGGACTTCCCAGCCTCCAGAACTGAGACATAAATGATTGTTGTTTATAAGTGACCTGGTTAGTGTTATTTTTTGTTATCATAACTCTAACAGACTAAATCATTGGCTGCCTTCTCATGACATCTCTTGCGGCTCCTGCCCTAGGCACAGCCACGATCTTTGTCCTTTTGAGTGAGATTCCCTTGCTATAGGCAAGCCCCCAGGCAGGGCCTTTTAGGAGTGCCATAGTTTTGATGCTTTCTGTGTTTTCCATCTGGTCCATGGGCTCTCAAGCACACCTGCTTTATGAAATGGTGGGAGTTCAGCTTGTCCATCTAGTGCCTCTCTCCCTGGGTCCTGCCATCTTGGGCCTTCCGGCTAATCTCAGGAGCGAGAGATGCTTATTTCCCCATGTTGCACCTGTTGCTCTTGGCTTTAGCTGTCACCGAAATTGTGAGGAAATGAAAAGTCCTACTCAGCATCCTTTTGTACCCTCCCGGCATGATTTTGAAGATTAAATAGGATAAAACCTATGAAACAGCATAGTGCCTTGCATATTATAATTTCTCTATAAATGTTATTATAATAAGTGAAAGGGGAGAAACTATCTTTCAGTAGACAATTAAAATATACTTGAAATTTAATATTCAATTTGATTAAAAACACTTCTTAACACTTCTCAGTATGGTGGTCTAGGTATTCTGAAGATTCTTGTCACTGCAAGCTGTACACCAGATATGAAGACATTGCACAGAGGCAGCACTGTAGGGCAAGGAATTAGAGACAATGAAAGAGATATGATACACAAAGACATGCAGGATAGAACAAGAGGGTTTAACATCCAATTGGAATTTCATTGAAGAGATCAAAGAGACCAACAGATCCTGACCTGGTCACTTGGCTTACCTACCCGGTGCTCCCCTGACTGGCCAACATATCCTGTCCATGGCCTGTAATGTACAAAGGAGAGGCACCTTGACTCCATAATCCTCAGACTGACACCACATGCACACAACAGACCACCTTCAACCCGGCCAGAACTCACCTAGTGACAAACTCATTGTCAGTCAGCCAGCGACACTCTGCAGCTTTGCTTTCCTTATTGATATGGAACAGGGACAGGCCACAGTCTTTCAGTTTTAGAAGACCTACCACATTTCTCCTCTCCCTACCTCATTCCTGAAAGTCAACTTTGACTTTGTTGGACCTAGTCCTTGGCTTGACAGCACAGCTTTTTTTTTTTTTTCTACTCAGCGCTCAATCTTTGTTTTCAATCATCTTTAGTTTTCCTTTAGCAAAATAACTTGAGATTTCTACAATGAAGAATGACATGAACTCCTAAAAGAATAAAAACAGTGTTCATATCTTTCATAGTCGGCAAGAGATAATAGAGTAAGAATATATGTGTGCAATTAATCTAAAAGCAGAAAAAAGACAGAAAAAATGCTAAAATAGCACAAAATCATTTAAGATAAGTAAAGCCAAGTAATTGATAACACAAAAAGGCAGAGGGTCTAAACACATCTGTTAAAAGGCAGAAAGTGTGCTAGAAGATGAAAAGGAAACCAACTTTACCTACATGCTGACTATGAGAAACTAAAAACACAAGAACACGACAGTGACAGCAATGTCAAAAGTAAAAGGTGAAAAAAGGTACAGCAGGCAAATACTAATCAAAAGCTGATATCTTTATATTAGTGTCGAACAAAGTGGTTTTTGAGACAAAACACCAAGTGTATGAAATTACTCAAGAATGGTAAAAGTTTCAGTTCATCAGAGAAAGTTAATACTAAACACAACCACCTAAATTTGCATCAAAATATATAAAACACAGCTGAGTGTGGTGGTACACACCTGTGGTCCCAGCTACTTGGGAGGCTGAGGCAGGAGGATCGCTTGGGCCTTGGAGGCAGAGGTTGCAGTGAGTTGAGATGGCGCCACTGCACTCCAGTCTAGATGACAGAGAAAGACCCTGTCTCAAATATATATATATATACACACACACTCACACATATATTTACACATATATATACACACACACATATATATAACAAATGTTAAACTAATTACAAGGAAAATGTGACAAATTCATTATATTAGGAAATTTCACTACCCATCTCAGTAATTTTAGGCTGAGCAGACATACAGCCCCCCACTTACATATACATACACACCTATCACACAGATTGGAAAATTTGAAAACACAATTAATAAGCTAGATTTAATAGCTATATATGGAACCAGCACATAACGATCAAAGCATACATTCTTCCTCAAATACACATGGAGCAGGTCCAAAATTTGGGTAAGTCTAAGACATAAAGCAATCTTCAACACATTTCAAATAATTAAGAATAATTATTTTTCATACAGGACACATTATGTTTCCACAGTGCAATTAATCTTGGAAGCAACAACATAATGTTAATGAAAAATGTACCATGTGCTTAGGCATTTAAAAACTCATGGCTGGACACAGTGGCTCACCCCTATAATCCCAGCACTTTGAGAGGCCAAGGTGGGTGGATCACTTTAGGCCAGGAGTTCGAGACCAGCCTGGCCAACATGGTGAATCCCCGTCTCTAAAAAAAAAAATGCAGAAATTAGTCAGGCTTGGTGGCACACCCTTGTAATCTCAGCTACTGGGGAGGCTGAGGTGGGAGGATGGCTTGAAGCTGGGAGGTGGAGATTGCAGTGAGCCGAGATCGCACCACTGCACTCCAGCCTGGGCGGCAGAGCGACTCCAGCTCCAAAAAAAAAAAAAAAACCACAACAACAAAAACACTCAAACACTCATGAATCAAATACCAAAAATATGGAAATGTATATGCATGTTAGCATTGAATGCTAATAGAACCACTATGCAATATAATATGATTTTGTGATTATTTAGTCCATAAGATAATGAAGGAAGAAAAACAACAGATTTGGTAAAATTTGGACAACTCTTATGGACATGTCCTCAAAGTCTTGAGTACTGCTGACTGAGTAGATTTTATCATGAATTGATACCACCATGGCAAGGTTTTTACTTCAATACAGCACCTCTAATTTCAGCATCTCTCACTTCATGTTATGGGCTGAATTACGTCCCCATCAAATTCAAATGTGGAAGTCTTAAGCCCCAATATCTCAGAATGTAACAGTACTTAGAGACAGGCCATTAAAAAGGTAATGAAGGTAAGTTGAGGCTGCTACTGTGGACCTTGGTCCAGTCTGCCTGGGGTCCTTGTAAGAAGAAGAGATTAGAACACATATGACCCAGAGACCTAGAAGTGACTGTGTGAGGACACAGTGGGAGGAAAACCATCTGCAAGCCGCAAAGAGGGGCCTCCGAAGAAGCCAACCCAGTCAGCACCTCAAGCCTGGACTTCCAGTCTTCAGAAGTGTGAGAAAATAAATCTGTCATTTAAGCCGCCGGTCTGGGATTTTGTTATGGCAGCCCTAACAAACGACCACACTTCACATGCAGGAAAATTCATGTTTACTTACTGATATGGACTAAATTTTGTCGCCTGCTCCCGTGCTCAGAAATTCATATCTTGAAGCCCTAACCCACAATATGACTGTATTTGGAGTCAGGATGTTTACAGGAGATGATTAAAATTAAATAGGTCATAAGAGTAGGGCACCAATCCAATAAGACTGATGTCCTTATAAGAAGAGGATGAGAAACCAAATCAGTCTCTCTCTCTCTCTCTCTCTTTCTCTCTCCCTGTGCATACAAAGAGGAAAGGTCCTGTGAGGGTACAGTGAGAAGATGGCCATCTACCAGCCAGGAGGAAAGGCCTAACAAGAAACCAACTCTGCTGGCACCTTGATCGTGAACTCCCGCCCTCTAGAACTGTGAGAAAATAAACGTCTGTTTAAGCCACCTGGTCTGTGGTATTTTGTTATGGAAGCCCGAGCAGACCAATATGCCTACTAAGTAAGTACAAGTTCTAGATATCCAAGTGTTTTCTTTATGTCATCTCCTCGACAAATTAAATATTTCAATGTCCACATTCTCAGAAAGAAAAGGAGTCAGTGTTTTAATGGATCCTGTTTAATCTTTACTTCCCTGTATCCTTATTTCCGTGAATGTGACTTCACAAATGGAGTCATCCTATATCCTACTCCCAAGGCACAATCTGCTAAAAGCAAGAAAAAGGCTTTGCGCTGCTAATTCACCCTTTTCTGCTCAGCATTTGGCTCTAAACTGTAACCTGAGACCCTGAAATTGCTGAGGCCCTTAACCTCTCCTTACTCCTTTGACTCAGAATGATCTCAGCGGGACAGTTCCTGGAGTTTCCGTTCATGTTTCAGAACATGACGGAGACCAAGAAAATAAAACGTTGATTCCCGATGCCATGTGGCTCAGGGTTTAGACAATGTATTCTGGTCACAGAAAATTGAGACCAAATCTGTTTTCTTGCATCTGTTCCATTGCCCTCTGTGACATTAATTCTCAACAGCAGATTCAACGTGCTGGAACTAACCAATGTTAGAGTGCTTAAGAAGTCAGGTTCAACTGAGCTCGGGTCACTGTGCTAGAACTATGGTTACCAAAACTGAAGTATGTATTTACTCTTCAATTCCTATTTCAGCTGTGAAACTGTGAGTTTTAATTAGAGAGTAAAGAGTTTGTCTCCTTAGCTTCATGTTAGAAAGCAAAATGAAAAAAATTGTCTAAAACCCTTAAAAAATAGTCCAAACCTGGGATAATTCTTCTCCGCTATTCATGAAAATATATGACCTATTTTAGGCAGGTAAAACAGAGGCAAAATTAAATTGAGACATTTGAAACCATGGAATAATCTAACAACACGCTTTTTTTAATTCATTCACAAATGACATGTCAAGTTCCTAATATTTATAATGAACTGCTTTAGGCATGAGACAATGAAATAGTGTATAAAGTATTGCAAATAAACTCATATATGTAAAATTGTTTTAAAAATTTTAGTGTTATGGAAATATAGCACTGTTGTATTAAATAATAACCTATTCTATAATCTATTTTTCTTGGCTTTAGAAAGAAACAGCTCTTATATGTTGAAGTTTGCTAGTAACTAATATTCGTAACTATAGTCTAAAACCATATTATGTCACGATAACATGTAAAATCATAATATGTCATATTATATCTTTATACAGGATTTTTGCTGTAGTATTATTTTCTTATTACAAATTTAAAACAGATGTTAGTTTCCATGATACCTGATCAAATATACTATTTTGTGATAACTTCTCTTATTTTATGATAGAGCGATCTTAACTATTATAAAAGCAAATAATATATTGAACTATTGATCCAGTTTCTCAATTAATGGTAATACAGCACCTACTATGTGTCAAGAGTTATGCTAGGCCATCAGTTAGGACAACTATGGCTGCAAAAGGTCACCCAGGATCAAATTGTCCTAAGGAAATTTATTATTTCATACTGGAAGTCCAGAGGAGAAAGAAAGAGGGCACAGCGCTTTTGGTGGCTGAAAGACACCTTCGTGTCTGCACAGACCCAGAAATCTTCATCTCTCTGCCATCTTTAGCATCAGCTTCATCATAAGGCTGCTTTCCCTCATGGTTTCAAAGGGTGTCAGTAGCTCCAGGATTGTCATTTAGTTTAGACAGTGTCCCGAAGCAGGAAAAAGCCTTCTTTTCTCATGTGTCCTTCTAAAAAATGTGGAAAATTTTACCAGAATCTCCTGAGAGACTCTGTCCACCCCTCATCAGTCAGCACTTTGTCTCATGCCCACTCCTGAGCCAATGGAGGATGCTTTTTCCTCTCTTCTCCATGTGTCTCCCTGTGATTGGTGTGGACCCACCAGGACTCTCCCCTGGGGATGCAGGTTGAGGCTCTGTGTTTCTGTCTCATGGAGGAAGAGTGGAAACCAGAATAAAACCAGAGCTCTGAGAGCAAGGACAAAAGTAGCCTCTTACTGGGTCTGCTACAGCCATGCTGAGTTTGGAAAGCACAGTCAATCTGATGGAGGAATAACCAATAGGGAATTGTACACAAAGAGAAGACATGAGAAACTAAATGATAATACCCAATAAGTACCTGTAAATCCTCCTTAGAACCAGAAGGGATATATGTAAGTACATAAATAAAACATTAAATAATAAATCATAATATAGCTTGTCATTTGTAGACAATGCATGTTGTATAGGATCAGAGGAGTAATAGCAGGTAGGTAAACTGTCCAGAGAAAATTTTGTGGAAGAAGTGAAACTTGAAAAAGAGTTGCATTTAGATAATTCTGGAATAAATAGAACCGCTGCTTTTCTGCCTTTTCTTGAGGCTTTGAATGTTCTGGCTTGTCTCAGTACCATGCAATAAGAGCAGATACTGACCCTCTCCTTTTGTTCTTGCAATAAATCAGATCTGCTTTTACTTTGACCTGTTCCTGATATCTTCAGCTCCAGGCTCTTTGGCTCATAAATCCCTAGATTCATTGTTTATAATAAAGACTCCCCATAACTTCTCTACTGCTAGCTATTGGCTTCCCTTTCAACAACTACTCAAAGTATCTACTTGGATAACATGTTGTTCTAACTACCTTGACAGGATTTTAAAACCTCTTTTGATACAACTGGTGGTTTGAGGGAGAAGGTGTGAGCTTGCATACCTGGAAAAATTGATAGAAACTGGCTTTTTAAAATTCTGTTGCTCATACTTGGTAATTTTTCTGGCTACACTTTTTTTTTTTTTCAAAGAGACTGTAGTAAATTTATCAGCTTTACATTGTCTTTGATTTAACATAGAAATTAAATAAGTTCTCTTTGTGGACTGTATCCTTGATTATAGTGAGAATTCAATTTCCAGCAAAGAAAAGTAAATGCAGAAGTTTTACAAAGCTTTATTTCATCCCACAAGATTGTCGTCCTTGTAAAATCACGAGTGTGTTGAGTTTAAGCAAAATATAATTAGGCCTGGAAATCAAATTAAAATATGGAAGACACTCTTTCTGCCCTAAGACTTTTCCCTCTATGCAAAGGAGACAGAAAAGTTCTATAATTTATGAGAATGCTGATTAAATTACCCTTCAGCAACCATCTTTTCATAGTATTATTTTTCCTTCAAAGCCACCCAAGAGCCATAAGAGATATAATGATTGTGCAAGAAAAGTTTTTCATTAAGGACTTTAATAAAATTAAATTAAATAAAATTTGAGAATCAATACAATGATGATAGGAATCTGTGGACATGATTATTTTTGGAAAAAACTTGCTGATCTCATATGCACGAATCTTTAAGTCAGACTTTGCACCCAGAATGGGTTGAAAATTTGGTCTCCATTTTGAGTTTGGGCACCAATTAATCATCTGTACATGTGCTTTTGTGCTTGGCTAAATACGATCAGCTCACAGAAGTTTGTTAGTGCATATTTGGTTTCATTCATTTCCCACATTTTGAGAAAAGGGTGCCTTGGTTTGGTGAGATAACAGAAGAGAGAATGGTAAAAACAAGTGTGTTCGATCTCCCTGAAATGATGCTCTGCTGTTCTTCAGGCTCTGTGACCTAGAAGGCTCCTCTTCTGTCTTTTTCCTCCTGGAATGTGAGAAAATCTGGCAAAGTGGGAGCCAGAGAGGCTAGGCCACTAAAAGCCTGTGTGCGAAATGATCTGTACACAGCGAATTGACTCCACCTTTCACACATTACTACTTAAATCATGAAAGGAGCATTGCAAGGAGGAAGTATTTTAACAGCAGAAGAAAACATGCCTCCAATGTCAAGAAATTTCAGCACAATTTTGTGCAGCCAGGACCAGATGAAGGGAAAGGCCAAGCAATATGTTTTGAGGACTGAATATCTATGCTTCCCCAAATTCATATGTTGAAATCCTAACTTCCGATGTGAAGATATTTGTAGGTGGGGCTTTAAGAGATAATTAGGTCACAAGGGCAGAGCCCCCATGAGTGGGATTAGTGCTCTTAGAAAAGGGACCCAAGAGGGCTGTCTCTCTTGCCCTCTTTCCGCCATATGAGAATCCAATGAGATGGCATCATCTGCAAATCAGGAAGAGGATGCTCACCAGACACCAGATCTGCCAGCACCTTGATCTTGGACTCCTCAGCCTCTAGAACTGTAAGAAATAACGTTTGTTGTTTAAGCAACCCAGTCTATGGCAACTTGTTATAGCAGCCTGAACTAAGATAATCTATAAGGTAAGGCAAATAAGAAAAAAATCCAAACCCAAAATGACTTTAAGCGACTCCTAGAGGAACCCTGCCAACATCACTAAGTTCAGAGAGGTAAAATCAGGCAACAAGCAGAATTATCTTCGGGGGTCCATAAAAATTTCCAGGTCTGGTCGCAACTGTCATATCTTGACACAAAGGGGCACATATTGGATCCCAGAAAGTTCTATGGACTTCTTAGGGCTTGCAAAAGTTGTATAATTTTATTGATTATATAAGTAATACATGTTCATTGTTGAGATTTTGGAAATAATAATCTATCATCTGACCTCTCTGAGAAAACCATTATTAACCTTTTAACTTTCTACTTTCTGTTATTTGCATTCATACATGTTTATCCATTATCCATGTAGCATTTTTTATCATGCTTTTGAACTCCATTTTATTTACATCATGATGACTTGATAGTGACAAAAAAGATTCCAAAATATGATTTTAATGACAGCATAAATGGCTGTACCGTAATATATTTAGTCATTTTCTATCATTGGATATTTACATTATTTCTAATTTCCCTTCATTATCATTATAGTTAATGTTTTTGAACGTAAGTCTAATTCCATATTTGGTTATTTCCTTACAATATTTTCCAAGACATAGAATTGGTGAAGAAAAGGTATATTATGAAAGCTACCAAAAATAAAATTTCAAATTTCCTTTTGATTATATTGATTCATTTACATTCCACTGTTGGGATCTGAGGGGAATCCTTTAACTATCCTTAATAATCTTTATATATATATATATATATATATATATATATATGTATATGTATATGTATGTGTGTGTGTATATATATATATTCAAAAATATTTGTCAATTGGCTAGATGGTTTTCTTATAGAAAAGTTCATTATTGATTTTCGTTAAATTGGACATGTTTTGCATTGCACTGGAGTGGGACATTTATTTGGCTGCTATGGTGAATTTCTGATGCCTATTTTCTTTTTCTTTTTAGTGATAAGGTCTCGCTGTATTGCTCAGGCTGATCTCAAACTCATGGCCTCAATTGATCCTCCCACCTCAGCCTCCCAAGTAGCTGAGATTACAGGCATGAGTCACCACACTCAGTGAATTTCCAATATCTTGTGTCAATTTTTCCGTTATGAGAAGAGGAGTAGGGAGGGCAGGGGTTCTTCTATTTTGCCATAGTATTTATCTCTGGTTCCTCCCTTGACCTCAGACCCGATATTTAATTCATCATCAAATCCTAATCGTTCCATCTCAAAAATAAAAGATACAACCAGAATTCTGCCGATCCTCATCATGCTCGCTGATAAGCCCGGTCACAACTACCATCATCTTCCATCCACACCAACCCAACAGCCTCCTAACCAGCCTATTTGCTTCCACTCCATTCCTTCACCATGTAGCCCTCACAGAGCAACCAGAGTGAGCTTTGAAAAATGAACATTATTCTTTTACTTAAACTTTCAAATGGCCTTTTAATCTCTCCTCATTTTTCTCCTTATCCCCATGACCACTGGTCTTCTTTCTGCATCTTTCAAACGTGCCAAACACTATTCAGTCTCAACACTTTGACATTTGCTGATTCTTTACCCAGAAAGCTTTTCCAGATATTCTCATGAGACCTCCAAGAGACGCTTTGACCATCTGGCCAAATCAGTCCTTCTCCAGCACAATTCAATCACCTCTGTGAAGCATGTTTCAAGTTAAAATTATATACGTGTGTGGCCGTAATCCCAGCACTTTGGGAGGCCGAGGCGTGTGGATCACGAGGTCAGGAGATCGAGACCATCCTGGCTAACACAGTGAAGCCCCGTCTCTACTAAAAATACAAAAAAATTAGCAGGCGTGGTGGCGGGCGCCTGTTGTCCCAGCTACTCGGGAGGCTGAGGCAGGAGAATGGCGTGAATGTGGGGGGTGGAGTTTGCGGTGAGCGGAGATCGCGCCACTGCACTCCAGCCTGGGCGACAGAGTGAGACTCAGTCTCAAAAAAAAAAAAAAAATTATATGTGTGTGTGTGTGTGTGTGCAGTAGTTGTATTTATTTCTGTGTTTATGGGCTCTCTTCTCTTTAGCATATAAACACTGTGAGGGTATAAACTATATTTTATGTTCTAGGACACATAAGGCAGTTCTTGACACATAGTAGGCACTCAACAGCTATTAAATAAATGAATGAACAAATATCTGTCAAGGTTATAGTATAACGTTTGCCCCACACTTAGTGTTCAGCAAATGGGATCTATTATTACATTGCCATTCTCTAAGATATTATTTATCCATTATTGGAAAGAGATTAGAATCTTCCTTTATGTCCCCTTTATCTTTCCCATCCCCTATCTTTCTGCTCCCTGTCAGGCCTTTTATGCAAATAAGAAAAAAATCCTAGCAAAAATAGTATCTTGGGGTGTATTTAAATATAAAGCTTATTATAGACAGAATCCATTCTGCAACGAGAAACCCTAGTCTTTAATTGGAATGAAATTTGTGAGTTGAAAATGGCCTATAATGGCATTGCTCGACTCATTTGTTTTAGGCTGACCAAATGACAACATGGCTTATTGCACCTGCAACAAGCTGACAGATTGTTCCTGCCTTCATATGGGTTTTGAACTTTTATTTTACAGATTACACAGGAAATATAATTTTAGCATCAATTACTCTTGGTACCTTGGAATAGCCTTATGCTAAACACATATTCACATAATGTAAATGATACATTAGGGTGTGTTTGAATTCTTAATAAAGACAGACTGCAAATAAAATTTAGAGCAAAAGGAATTATGTTAACAAATGAGCAGAACTTCAATAACAGCAGGGCTTTTTGGTTTTTGTATTTGCTAAGTATAACAGCCAGGGATTTGGCAGCCTTTTGTGCCTTTACCTTTTTGGTAGTGTTATACTCTGTGTGTGTGTGTGTGTGTGTGTGTGTGTGTGTATTGGTACTATGGAGTGATATGGGTACCTTTTGTCATAAGAAGGATGCAGATGCTTCCAGGCTGGTGGATAGCAGGGATGTGACTAGAAGCAGAGTTTATACCCAGTGATTCTGAAGAAGGCAATAGAACACGTGTGAGGAAAATGTAAAGGCACCCTGCAATGTGGCAACTAACTCCATGGAAGTACTAGCTGCAGGAGCCCCACTTGGCAGTGTTTCTTAACCCTCTGATCATAGAACTTTGTTCTCTTTTTAACAAAAATGCACATGTGCACCTAAAGCAATTATCTGAATGAGATTTTAGGAGACTCTTGGGCATATGTTCTATCCGTGAACACTTCAAGATAGGAAGTTTCTTATACCTTGGTAAACATCAGTGGCTTCAGAAAGCAAAATAATTGACTGCTTGTGAGCTTTCAGATAATGAAAGAATTGAATTGGCCTTGGGAAGAAAAAAAAATACATATTCTATGTAGTGACTTGAATTTTAAATAGTAAAATTGCATTGAATTTTACTACCTACCCCAGTTTTTCAGGATTTTCAAAATAGCAAAAGACAGACCCAGTGATTTTTCAAGACCGCTGAAAAAAAAGTGGTGTTGGAAAAAGTTATCCAACACTTGGAAATAAAGCCAAAGTATGAATGCATGTCCTTTTGATGTTCAATGTCATGTGGGGGCATTGTTTTACAATCCTTTCCCTAAGGATTATTTCACTAGTAGCAGAGTACACCTGAGTTTGACTGATTATTTCCACTTGATTAAAACCCACACACTGTGAAATTACATGTTAATTTGTAGATTTCTGCCTGGTAAAAAGATTTATTCTGTTATTATTTTATCACCCTGTGAGACACTATATAGTTTTATATCTGTTAGCAAATTCATTTCAGCATTTTTGAACTAACTCTGTTGATACGGTTTAGCTGTATCCCCACCTGAATCTCATCTTGAATTGTAATCCCCATAATCCTTGCAAGTCAAGGGAGAGACCAGGTGGAGGTAATTGAATCATGGGCGTGGTTTCCTCCATGCTGTTCTCGTAACAAGTGAGTTCTCGGGAGATCTGATGTTATTATAAGTGTTTGGTAGTTTCTCTCGCATTCATTGTCCTTCTGGCCGCCTGGTGAAGAAGGTGCCTTTTTTCCCCTTTGCCTTCCACCATGATTGCAAGTTTCATGAGGCCTCCCCAGCCATGCTGAACTGTGAGTCAATTAAACCTCTTTCTTTATAAATTACCCAGTCTTGGGCAGTTCTTTGTAGCAGTGTGAAAACAGACTAATACATCCATCAATCTTCATTCCTTGAACTGTTCTTTGAATCAGTTTTACCATCCTACCGGTCCCTTATTAATTAATGAGTTGAATAAAATACTTGACATATGCTCAATCTGTATTTAGCCATGTCATGTTTTTAACTTTTTGAACGTTGTTATTTGACAGTGGCAGTGGCATTGCATCGTAAGAGTTTTCAGAATGCATTGCCGTCTGGAAGGCACAGGCCACAAATCTCAGGCACAGGAGTCCCTTCCTTATCAGAAGGGCTCTCAACGTGGTCCTGAACATTGATACAGGTAACTATGTAGGAGCAGAAGCAAGCTCACTTTCCAAGCCTGGGCTTGCAGTAAGGGATTGATGAGCCTGCTAAGAGGAAGTTGGGAACACCTTGAAAGGATAGGAGATAGTAACAGGACAGAATCAGAATTCAGAAAGGTCTTGGAATACTGAGCATTGGGTTGAAATAAACCACATGTAGCATAAGAAAGAAAAACTACGTTTGAGCATTTGTAGTTGCAATTATTTGAATCCTTTGCCTTTATATTCCCACAGAAGGAAATTCATCTCAAGTTAATAATAAAAAATATGGAGAATTTTGCACAAAAACCTTAATTGCTATGTTGTTAAGAATAATAAAAAATTGAAAGCAATCAAAATGTCAACAGTATGGGAATGATTAAGTAGCTTATAGTACAGTTTATTCATAGATTTTTCACTTGCACATTAAAATGAGTGTTTATTATGAAATATAGCACTTAGTAGAAAAGTGCACACTACGTAATTGTGCAAGCTTATTGAATTATGATAAAAATTAACAGCCAGATTACGATCACCCACACCAAAAATTATAGCATTACCATTACATTAGTTCCCTTCATGTGCTTGTTTCAAACCAAAAGCCTCTTCTTAACCCCTAAAGTAATTATTATCTTGGCTTTAATGATAATCATTTTTAAAAAAAAGTTTGTTATAGTTTTACCACCTATGTATCTCTGCACTATAGCTTTGCCTTTTAAACTTCATGTAAACGGAATTGTTGTGTTTGTCTTTTTTTACTCAACATGATTTAAACTGTATGTTTAACATTTGAAAAAATGTCAAACTATTTTTCAAAATGACAGCACCATTTTACATTCCCACCAGCAATGTGTTATGGTTCCAATTTCTCCACATTCTTGCCAACATCTGTTATTATCCATCTTTTTTATTATAGTCATGCTGGTAGGTGTGAAGTGGTATCTGAAGGTTGTTTTTGACTTTTCTTATTCCTAATGATTAGTGATGTTGAGCATATTTCAGGTGCTTGTTGGCCATTTGTATATCTTCTTATGAAAAATGTTTGCTTAAATCCTTTGTCTACTTTTTAAATGGGTTGCTTGTCTTTCTGTTGTTGGGTTGTAAGAGTTCTTTATATATTCTAAATATTAGTCCTTTATATATGACTTACAAATATTGAAATTTTCTCCACTGGATTGTCTTGGTAGTTTTGTCAAAAATTGATCTACCGTAAATGTTAGGGTATATTTTTGTATTCTCAATTCTATTCCACTGATCCATATATTTATTTTAAAGCCAGTGGCACAGTTTCGTTTATTGTACCTTTATTGTAGTAAGTTTTGAAATATGGAAGTATGAGTTTTACAAATTTGTTCTTTTAAGATTGTTTTGGCTCTTCTGGGTCCCTTGAATTTTTATATGAGTTTTACATTAAGCTTGTCAATTTGGGGGGGAAAAAAAGGCAGCTGGCATCCTGATAGAAATTGCATCGGATCTGTAGATCAATTTGTGGAGTTTTACCATCTTAACAATATTGTCTTTGAATCCATAAAAATGGGATAAATCGCATTTGGATAAGCCCTTTTATATGTTGCTATATTCAATCTGAAAGTTGTTGTAGAAGATTTTTCATTGGTATACATAGGGGTATTGGTCTATAATTTTCTCTTGTTGTGATACCTGTCTAGAGTAATACTGGCCTTAGAAAATGAGAAGTGTTTCTTTTTCTTCTATTTTTTGGAAGAGTTTGAGAAGGATTGATGTTAATTCTTCTTTAACTTTTGTTAGCAATCACTGAACAAGCATCTAGTCTTTTCTTTATGGGGGTTTTCTTTTTTCTTTTTCTTTTTTTGTTTAAGCAATATCCCTGTCATGGCACTTTGTGGGAATTTTTAATACTACTAATTCAAACTCTTTGCCTGTAATAGATTTATTAACATTTTCTATTTATTCTTGAGTCAGTATTGGAAGTTTTATCTTTCTGGAAATGTGTCAGTTTCTTCTCAATGATCTAATTTGTTGTTATATAATTGGTCGTAGTATTTTCTTATAATCCTTTTTGTTTCTGTAAGATATGTAGTAATGTCCACTTTTTTTTCCTGACTTTAGTATTTTGAGTCTTCTTTCTTTTATTCTTGCTCAGTGTAGCTATAGGATAGTCAGTTTTCCCAATCTTTCCAAAAAGCCACTTTTGGTTTTATTGATTTTCTCTATTGTTTTTCTATTTTTTATTTCATTTATATCCATTATAATGTTTCTCATTTCCTTTCTTCTGCTAGTGAAGTATTTAATTCATTTACATGTAATTTAATTACTGATGAGGTATGATTTACATCTTCCATCTTTCTGTTTTCTATATTTCTTCTGAGTTTTTTCTCTTTGTTGTTGCTTTTGTTGTGCCTCTGTTCTTTTATTACTGCCTTCTTTTGTGTTGAGTAGAGATTTTCTAGTGTCCCATTTTAGTTCACTTGTTTTTTTTTCAGTATATATTCTTTTGAATTTTTTTTGGTAGTTGCCCTGGGAAATTATAATTAATATCTAAACTTGTAATAATCTAGTTTAGATTAATACCAACTGAATTTTAATAGTCTATACAACTTTGCTCCTATACAGCTCTATTCTTTCCCACTCTTATGCTATTATTGCCATAAAATTACATTTTAATATATTGTATGCCCATCAACACAAATTTATTATCTATTTATGCAGTTATCACTTAGGGAGAAAAAAAAGAAGTGTTATAACCAAAAATATATTTGTGCAGTATATTATATTTACCTATGTAGTTACCTTTACTGATGCTATTTATTGCTTCATAGTATTCCGTTATAATTTTTAAGTTACTGCTCAGTAGTGTCCTTTTATTTTGTCCAGAAGAGCCTCCTGTAGTTTTTCTTATAGAGACGGTTTGCTAATGACCAGTTGCGTCAACTTTTATCTGGGAATTCCTTAATTTCTGTTAACTTTTAAAGATTAGTTTTGCTGGATATAAAATTTGGGGTTGCCAGACTTTTTTTTCTTTCAGCACTTTAAATATATCATCTTACTGCTTTCTAGCCTCTGTGATTGCTAATGAAAAACTGGATGTTAATCATATTGAGAATAATTTATGCATGATAAGTAGCTTCTCTCTGCTTTCAAAAATCCCTTCATCTTTGATTTTTGACAGTTTGACTATGATGTACATAGGTATGGATCACTTACAGTGTATCCTATTGGAGTGTGTTGAGCTCCTTTCATGTCTAAATAAATGTTTTTTTAAATTAAATTTGTTAATTTTTGGCCATTCTTTTTTTTTAAATATTCTTTCTGCCCATTTCTCATTCTCCTCTCCTTCTAGAATTCCATTATGCATATGTTGGCACAATTAATGATGTCCCATAGATCTCTGAGGCTCTGGGTTTTTTTTTTTTTTTTTCCATTTTCTTTCTCTCTCTTAGATTGGCTAATCTTAATTGACCTATCTTCAAGTTTGCTAATTCTTTCTTCTGCTTACTCAAATACAATGTTGAGTACCCACAGAAGTTTTTTCATTTCAATTATTGTACTTTTCAACTCCAGAATTTATATTTGGTTTTTTAAAAATCATTTCATTTCTTTGTTGATATTATGTAGTTGGTGAGACATTATTCTCATCGTTTCCTTTGTTTCTTTAGACATAGTTTTCTCTAATTTTTTTTCTGGTTGTTTTAATTCATAGTCTTTATTATTTTGCATAGTTTTTAGGTTTAGAGAAAAGTTGAGTGGAAAGTACATATAGTTCATATATATAACTTCACATCCTTCCCCAGGTTTACCTATTATTAGTGTCTTGTATTAGTGTGGTACATTTGTTACAATTGATTAAGTAATATTGATACACTATTAATAACAAAAGTTCATGGTTTGCATTAGGGTTTACTCTTTTTGTTGGACATGTATTCACAATTATAGTCTCCTGCAGAATAGTTTCACTGTCTGAAAATTCCCCTCTGCTGCACTGATTCATTTCTCCCTTTCCCCAAACTTCTGACAACAGTTGATCTTTTAAAAGACTCCATAGCTTTGCCTTTTCCAGAATGTCATATAGTTGGAATCATACAGTATGTAGTGTTTACAGCGTAGCTTCCTTCGCTTAGCAATATATATTTAAGATTCCTTCATGAGTTCTCATAGATTGATAGCTCATTTGTTTTTGTTACTGAATAATATTTCATTGTATGAATATGCCACAGTTTTGTGTTTTTTAAATCCATTCACCTATTCTTGGTTGCTTCCAAGTTTTGTAAATTATGAATACAGCTGCTGTAAACATTTGTGTGCAAGTTCTGTGTGAATATAAAATTTCAACTTCTTTGGGTCAATACAAAAGAACACAATTTCTGGATTATATGGCAAGAGTATGTTTAGTTTTGTGAGGAACTGCCGATCTGTCTTCTAAAGTGGCTGTGTCATTTTGCATTCCCACTAGCAATGAATCCAAGTTCCTATTGCTCCACACCCTCATCGGTATTTGGTGTTGACAGTGTTCTGGACTTTGGCCATTCTGATAGGTGTGTAGTGATAATTTATTGTTGTTTTAATTTATAATTCTCTAATGACATGTGATGTTGAACATCTTTTCATATGCCTATTTGTCACATGTATATCTTCTTCAATGAAGTTTTAAATTAAAACCTCATTGCCTATTTTTAAATTAGATAGTTACTATCTTATTGTTTTGAGAGCTTTTGCATATTTTGGATACCAATTACATATCAGATATATATTTTGCAATTACTTTTCCAGTCTATGGCTTGTCTTTTTATTCTTCTAACAGTGTTAGTGTAACAGAGCAAAAGTTTTTAGTTTTAGTAGAGTCTAACTTAACAATTTTTTTCTTTTGTTGATCATACATTTGGTGTCCTCTAGTTTTTGAACATATTTAAAACAATTGATTTAAAGTCTTTTTTTAGTAAGTCCAACATCTTGGCTTCCTCAGGAACAATTTGTATTGACTGTTTTTCTTCTATGTGTGGCTCATACTTTGTTTCTTTGCCTGTCTCATCATTTTTTGTTGTTGAAACTGGAAATTTTCAATAATATAAAAGTGGCTACCCTGGAAAATAGATTCTCCCTCTCTTTAGGGTTTGTTGTCATTGCTCTTTATTATTGTTGTTTTTGTTGCTGCTTGTGTTCTTAGTGACTTACCTGAACTAATTCTATGCCATACGTGTTCTTTGCCGTGTATGACCCCTGAAGTTTCTGGTTGGTTAATTTAGTGACCAGGTAATGACTGGACAGAGATTTCACTAAAATACTGGAACCAAAAAGTCTCCTTGTGTTTGCCAAGGACTCTGTGTACATGTCAGGACATGCATTTAACATACATCCATTTCCTTTATCACTCTGTCTTAGCATTTCTGTCCCTACTTATGCAGAGCCTCATGGTCAGCCAGGTGTGAGAGCTTAAGGCCTTCTTAGATTTTTCCCTACACATGTGTGTGACCTTCTAGATTCCTATGAATATTTCAGAATTTTTCAAAGCCTCTGAAAAACATCTAACTCCCCAGGTTTTTCTTTCAAAGTTTTTGGTCAACTTGTTTGGACCAATTGTTATTGCCACAGTAATGCTGAACAATCGCTGCTGATTTTTGTTTTCTTTTTGACAAATGCCCCTGGGCAAAAGCCTGTTCACACTGGGTAATCTCCAAGTCTATTCACTTAAAGACGAGCCTTGTGTGTATGGTTTTCTAGGGAACTACCAGACAAGTCAAACAGTGATAAGTCAAACAAGTCAAACAGTGACAATTCTCTGAGAATGAGGCTTTGAAAGAGCTCCAACCCTGTCTGGCACCTTTAATGGCATTGTATTGTGGGCTGTTGATTTTTAAGGGTACCATGGAGTTGAGAAGGTAATGGAAATAAGGCAAGTTAAAATGTCACAACACCCATTCTTCTTGCCACTTTTTTTTTCTTGAATAAACAATCGCCTTGTTGCAAGCTTTTGGTTAATTTATAGAGTTTTGAAAAAGTCAGTTTTGGCTATTTTTGCCAATGTTCTCCTCGATTTTATGGAAAGGATTTTCAGAGGTTCTCAGTTCACCATTCCATTTATGTCTTAATATGGTTTTAAGAGTCATCAATGTTATTGGTTGGTAGCAATCTCAATATTCTGGCCCAATGAATGATCCTCCTTTATGTGGGAACCTTCCTGTATCCTGCAACTAAGCACCTAGTTATGCAGAAAAATTCCTCCTGTCTGACCAATCATATTAATTGAATCCATGCAGACAGTGAATGAGGTGGTGGATGTCCTATCCAGGTAATTCCCAATTCATAACCTTAATAACACTGACAATGTTGTATGACTCCTTAAAAAACTGGCACAAACAATACCATGTTCATATTGCTTCATCATAAAAGGTCATGGTACATGTTACTGAGACGGTATCTGAGCATGGGATTACTTGGGAACTTTCCCGTTTTCTCCCAAATTCTAGATCATATGAGTTGATGAAGCAGTTTCATCATGCTGATCATTCAATACTCACTACAAGCCACCTGACTGCCATAAAAAGAGAAATAATATGGGTGTTACAGGTAGCTTTGTCCCTGTTCTTCAATCTTTGGTAATATGTACCCAGACCTTCTCTTCTGTAGGAATTCTGTAATGAGAGCTTAAGTCCCTGGGGAAGCCGGTGAACAATCTAGTTTTGGAATATCCAACTTTTCTTAGGATTCAAGTCAATGGATTATACACTGGTGTCTGCCACTTGCAAGCCCCTTTGAACCCTAATGTCCTCATTTATAAAACATGGAGAATAAGACCCATCACACGGCTTGTGGTGAAGATTAAGTGGGTAACATTTGTAAAAGATGTGAAAGCTATTCTAACATAAGGGCTTATAATGATGACCTAAAAATCCGTAAATCTGGGTGCCAAAACAATATTGCTGCCAGAAGTCACCGACTTCTACCATGCCTGGTGCATACCTCACAAGATTCTGATTTAATTGGCCTTGGATGTGTCCTGAGAATCTGAGATTTTTGAAAAGCTCCCCAGGTGATTCTATCATGTAGTTAGGGTAGCTTTATCCTGTTAAGAATAGTTAAAAGAGAAGAAAACTTCAAAATGATAGCTTTCAGATCTCTGTTTATCTCCATGGCTGCAATAGACAGCTTGGGTTTTGCTTCCAGAAGGCTTAAAAAAAGAAACAAAAATCAGTGAATGTGTGAAAATGGTTCTTGAAATAACTCTTAGAGATGCTTGAATCAACACAAGGGAGAACATAGATGAAAAGACCAGCATGATCCTTCCACTGTTCTGGATTTTCTCTGCTGAAAACTAAATCACCATCTAACCTAGATAAAGCTTTTTTTTTTTTAATTCCTTTTCGGGGTTATATTTCCTGTAGCAATTTCTCTCACTGTTGTTAAATACATCAGCAATAACAAACGTGTGAACATGTTTCACTAATGCAAAAGAGGAGTATGTTTGTGGTGATTACTGAAGACAATATGTGTCCTACACATGGACGATGCAGCTACCTGTACCTCGCCTGTCCCCCAATGAATCTAAGATATTTCTTTATTCCCTTCTCCCTTTGACTCCCTCTGATTCATCTCTGCAGTGTCCTGACCTAACAGTGTAACCTCATAACTGGTAAAGTGAATTTGAGACTAGACAATTCTTCCTCATTATTTTCTTTCTTTCTATTCAGAAAAAAAAATATGGAAGCCATGAAGTTTGGGTTCACACTATTTAAGGATGGATGCATGGATGGATGGATGGATGCCACCTAGGATAATCTCATTCTAAAAAATAAAAAACCAATATACTTTTTTTTTCTACACTTGTTGTCAGTAAATGGAGGAGAAAATAAGGGTCTTCTCCAACACTTGGATATAAGCTAGTAAAAGCCACACATACCAATTATAATTAGGTATCTGAGGGATCAAGTCTGAGGGATTGCCTGTGACCATATAATTGGAATTTGGGAAACACCACAACTCTAATCAGGTTAATTCTAGAACAATCTCAAGGAGGGAGGGCTTGAAAATGATTGTATTTAATTTAAAGGTTCATAAATACCACATTTTTATTTTCAAGTCTATCTCTTAGAGAATTAAAATCATCTTCTTTGTCCCATTCAGTTCCCTTTCTTGAATTGTTTTTTGCCTGATAGTGTATTGTTGGCCTTATCCTTTATTTTGCTGTATTTTATTTTTGATTTATACTTGCTTGTAATAGCTTTCCCAATTCATTTATTTGAAAATTTCTATACGTTTAAAAAATTATTTTAAAAGAAGTGAAAATTAGTAATTTCTTTTTTTTTAACTTTGTATCCAACCTCCCTATATTCTCCCTCATCCTGCTCCCTGCTCCTTCCCACTCAAAAATACCTGGGAGTATGACTGGAGTTGCGTTAAATTGATAGATTTATCTTTTTAAAAGAACAATAAGAATTGCTGAAGTCAGGCAGGTACCAGCCTTCACTGCTAAAGATGGGGCACAGTGGTTTTTAACACCTGATATTTACACCGTTGCCTCAGGTTATGGGGATGACTGAACACCAACACCAGACAGATGAGGTTGACGGTGATTTACTAATCACCCATACTCGCAGCACAGGGGGCTGGGGGAAAGGGCCACAGGCCACACAGGGCCACGTAGGTGTTCGGCTTAGGAAGAGGGTGAACAAGCAGGGGCTGCAGGAGGCAGGGGCTGCAGGAGGTAGGCTTTGTAGTATCAGGAGCCTGGTGCTGTCTGCTGCCCGACGGAGGATGTGATTTTTTTGTTGAAAATTCCGCAGGCTGTCAGGGAACCAAAACCTGCCTCTCAGGTATAAGTAGGAACTGTGCCTGGTCCTCCTGAAAAGGAGGGTTATTTGGCTAGGCGACCTTATCTATGGGAGCAAAATGGGGAGGAGAACTTGTGGTGAGGCCACTTAAGGCTCTCCCAGTTTTCCCCAGGTGTGAAGGCAGTACATAATATTGGACCTTAATTTTGAGCTGTGTACACTGACACTGGTCATTCGCATCTTTTTTTTTTTTTTTTTTTTTTTTTTTTTTTTTGTGACAGACTCTCGCTCTGTCCCCAGGCTGGAGTGCAGTGACGAGATCTCGGCTCACTGCAAGCTCCGCCTCCCGGGTTCACGCCATTCTCCTGCCTCAGCCTCCCGAGAAGCTGGGACTACAGGCGCCCACCACCACGCCTGGCTAATTTTTTTTGTATTTTTACTAGAGACGGGGTTTCACCGTGTTAGCCAGGATGGTCTCGATCTCCTGACCTCGTGATCCGCCTGCCTCGGCCTCCCAAAGTGCTGGGATTACAGGCGTGAGCCACCGCGCCCGGCCGGTCATTTGCATCTTTTTCACTAAATTCCCTAATGCTGCAGCTCCTTTGTCCTTGTTGCAGAAGCCTCTAGTGCACATGGAAGCTATGTGCTGCACCAGACACCAGGTGCAGGCTTTGCTCAAAGCTCCAGTGCTGGTTAATGCTCCCATGGAATTCTGAATGTGACTCCAAGCCGTTATACACTTAAAGGAGTACATCCTATGGAAATGAGACTGTAGTCTCGTTTGTCTTAGATACTCTCATTGTATGGGAAGAACATTTGACCCATCCCTCATTTTCCTTTCCCAGAAAAATGACTCAGGGAAGGCATGGGCAAGAATCTGATCTTTTTACCCTACCGTTTTCTACTCGGAAGTAAAAAGGAAGAGGACTGTATTTCTTCTTCTTGCCTGTTCTACGTTCTAGTGGGTATCGTTAAAATTATAAAATCAGACCAATAGGTTAATAAAATGTACAAATTTTAAATTTTAGAAAATTATATCTCATGACAAACGCAGGCTTTTAAAAACCTGCATATTGCTAAAGACTCAAAAATCCTATTCTGAATTCTATTTCATAAACTGCATATTTATTCCTCCTTCTTCTTTGTGCCACAATCCCAAACCACCACAGGAGAAAAGGAGGAAGTCACATAAAAGGAAACACAACAGGGATAAGCATATTAACACATTTAAATATTGATATGTATAATATATTCTCATATGTATGAGCAGAAAATCCAAAAGAATATAGACCAAATTGTTAACAGTGCTTGTATCTGTGGAAGAGAAACAGAAGGGGATGGAGGAACATTCATTTTTAACTGTATCTAGCATTATGTTATCTGGATATTTTAAGAACAGTGCTCGTTTCTTCTATGTAAATAATCATCTAAAATATAAACATTTAGCTTAAATTTTTATCATGTTCTTTGATTTCTGTCTTGAATCCATCCTTGCTCCTTCCTTTGGTTGATGACTATAGTTTTATGGTTTCCTTTGATTTGCCTTTGGTTCACGGTATTTATTTTTATTGATCCTGTTCAGAGATTATGTGCTTTGAATTCTGTAAGTGACTGAAGTGGAATCACATTATTTGGGTATTTAACTTAGGCAAATTCAACTATGAGTCTGGAGAGAGAGAGTGAGAGAGAATGAATTCTTTTATTTTCTTACATGTCTTCCTAAGAACTTTTACTTAATCCCCAAAAGGCAAAGAAAGCTATCACGTGAAACACACAAAACAATGAAATTAAAAAATCATGTTTTTGGCTGGGCACGGTGGCTCACGCTTGTAATCCCAACACTTCGGGAGGCAGAGGCGGTTGAATCTTGAGGTCAAGAGTTCGAGACCAGCCTGGCCAACACAGTGAAACCCTGTCTTTACTAAAAATACAAAAATTAGCTGGGTGTGGTGATGGGCGCCTGTAACCCCAGCTACTCGGGAGGCTGAGGCAGGAGAATCACTTGAACCCAGGAGACAGAGGTTGCAGTGAGCCAAGATCGAGCCACTGCACTCCAGCCTGGGCAACAGAGCTAGACTCCGTCTCAAAAAAAAAAAAAAAATCACGTTTCTGAACTTCAGGTGCTTAAGTTATGGTAACTTAAGGTGACTTACTATTTTTTTTCCAGGGCAAATTTAACTATACACTTTTCCTTTTTTAACCTTTTGCACTAATTTCAGATGCTCACCCCAGCATCTGAGACAATTTCTTGTAATCCTGAAGGCTTCAAAAGCCTTTTTAAAACCTGTTTCTCTCATTTTTCAAGCCAAGGCTGAGGTGTAATCTTTCCTACCTCATCTATGTGAGGCACACATTTAGAAAACAAAGGAATGATGGGGCTAGGTTCAGAGGGCCCGGCAGAGGATGTATTGGACCTTTGCATATCTGCCTCTGTGTGTCTGGACAAAGATGCTCCTTTTTCAAGGGAAGATGATACACATGGTCTTCACTAAGGCTCCCCAGTATCCTCAGGGAAATAGTAATTGTGCTGGCCTGTGTGCCCCACAACATCTCTTATTTACTTCAGATCTAGCACGAAAATATTGTATTGTAGTTTACTACATAGATTCATGCCTCAGCCTTTTTGAGAGCAGAGAGTTAATATTTTATGTACTATCTTTAAATTCAACTCTAAACAGTGCTTTGAATGTTAGGGGATTGGAAGAATATTTCTGAATAAGGGAGTTATATACTGAATAAATAAGTAAGTAAATTAATGACAGGAAGTGAATGACACTCTTTTATCAAGTCTAAGGTGCAAATATTTTCACATTCTGAATTCTTGGAAATCAGGATGCATTTCAGAATCTATGACACATCATGGTTTATTTAGACATTTTTCTTATTTCTTAATGGCCTATAAAACAATGATACAACTTATAATTGAAGACATCTTAGATTTGGTAAAATACTACAGACTTTGGTGTGTGATAATCATTCTCAAATTAGTCCTTTTAGATAGATATCATGTTTAACATGGGCGTGTATCCCATTTTCGTCTCAAATAAGCAGCTAATTACAAGCATATTCACTCAAAGAAGAACTGATTTTCAATTTAGACCTGCCTTTCTGAAATTTGTAGACTTTCTCTTGTATGGGATTACAGCATTCTCTTTTCCAAAATAATTTTTTTCTGTTTTTAAAATTAATACATTTTTATTGCTCAAAACAAGACAAAGAACAACAAAACAAAAAAGTCTAAAGGTGAAAACACAAGACTCACCATTTTGTTTATCTTCTTCCAGATACCTGTGTATACATGTATTATGCTGCCTGATATTTAAAAAATAAGATTATATTGTGCATGCTATTGTGCTATACAGATGTATATAGTGTATTGTTTTTATAATAAAAAATAGCAATGAATTATTATCCATCAGTAGAGTGATTACATCAATTATGATACAGTGGAAACTAAGGGGGCCATTAACAGTGATGACTTAGAGCAGCATTGAGCCCATTATAATGTTTCAGGCATTACATTAAGTGATTTATATGTATCACGTCTTTCAATTCTTAGAGCAATTTTATTTTATTTCCATTTTTTGGATGGGGACCTGGACCCTTTCTTCTGTATCAGTAATTCTCAGTGAGGGTGATTGGCAAAAAGTAACCTGGAATGTGAATTTTACTTGTTTATCCGAAGCAGAGCAGGGAGCAAGGAGGCCAGAGAAGTGCTACAAAGAAGAATCAGACTTCACAAGATGAGGGAGGTTGTTTTTCTCAAAACAAAGAGATGAAAATGTAAGCATAAGCAAGGTTACGACCGGCAAATAGAAATTAATTAAGTGAACGCTGAGTTCCTTTTATGTTGCAGTTAAAAACAAACATCTCTCCTAACTTCTTCTTGGCTATCTGATTATTTGAGTTCAGAATTTGAAGGCAGACAAACCTGAGTTCAAACCCAAGCTTGGCTTGCTGTTCATCTCCTTGGGACCTTGGCAAAGTCACATCAATTTGTAATTTTGCATCTACCAATTGAAGATGTGTCTCCTGGGGGATACTAAAAGGGTGACATGATTTCTCGTGCAGTGTCCAGTTCAATGCCCATCCCCTAATCGTTCCTGTAATACTGATTTTTAATTAAAAATTTTCCAAAGCATACACATATTCATAGCAGCATTGTTCACAGGATCCAAAAGGTGGACGCAGCCCAACTGTTCAGAGATGACTAAAGAAATATAATATAGACATATGATAGAATATTACTCAGTCATGAAAAGGAAGGAAATTCTGACACAGGCTACAACATAAATACCTTGAGTACACTATGCTAAGTGCAATAAGCCAGCCACAGAAGACAAATACTTATGATTTCACTTACGTGAGGTACCTAGAGTAGTCAAATTCATAGAGACAGAAAGTGGAATAGTGGTTGCTAGTTGCTTGGGAGAGGAAGGAATAGGGAGTTGTTTAATGGATGTGAAGTTTCAGTTTTGCGAGATGGAAAGAGTTCTGGAGATTGGTTCCACAACAATGTAAATGTATTTAACAGTATGAACTATACACTTAAAAATGGTTAAGATGGTCAATTTTTTGTTATGTGTATTTTACCACAATTAAAAGGAAAAAAATTACAAAACAGTTGAGACATTTTACATATATAAAAAAGCTATCTTATTATGTGTATGTTAATGAGATAAACCATAGTAGGCACATCTCTTTTTTTTTTTTCGTCTTTTATGCATCACCAATTGATAAAGGTGTGATGTCTCGCACTACTATTGTGGCTTTATCAATTTCTATTTATTTTCCTAGTACTTTATGTTATATAGTTCAATACCATTTTATTTTGTCGGTAGAGGTGTATAACTGTCTTCTCTTTGTTGTGTTTGTGTCTTTGACTCTGCCACCTGTCAAACGTTTTTGTGCTTGCCTGCTATATCTTTGCCTACTGTTTTCCTTTTAATTCTATGATTTTGCTTTAATATACCTTTTAAAATATATATAGGTCAAATTTATTTTCTTGCCTACACAGAGAGTTTTGTCATCTGATAGTTTTCATACTTACATGTGTGTTTTCAGAATTGACGTGTTTTGTCCTTTTTAATACTTACTGGTTTTGATGCTTAATTACTCTTGTCTCTGCCCTCTTGCTAATGGGTTAGGTTATTTTTTCTTTCAACACTTTAATGATTTTGAAAAATTGTATCTCCGTTTATTCTCCAAGTGGTTACTAAAATGTAGCCATTATTCCATTAGGGGTGGCAAATTGCTGAAATTCTTTCTTTATTAGTTAAAATAATTCTATGAAGGAAATTTTCTCTTATCAAGTATTTGTTCTGAGGCAAAGTTTGTATAACAAAGGATGAATGCTTGTATCTTTCCTTGACTCACCCATTTTCATAATAATGAGTTAGTTCCCTAGCAGCCTCCAAAGATGAACAAGACCTTTTTAAGAGTCTCATGATCTACTGACTGGGTTAGCCTGGCCCAATACCTTTCTAAAGTGTTATTATGAACAGATGGATTTAAATCTATTTGGTGTGTTTCAGTCTATTGCACTTATTATTTATATTGTTGCTCAACTTTTCCCATCTTTGTCTGGTAGGAGGCACTTCAGATTGGCTTCTGAGTTTTTCTAATATGATCTTGTTTTCTGGGATTGTTTGGAGAGTGGCAGATAAGATGTTGAAGAGATAGGAAGGTGGGCAAGACCACTGTGTCATGGCTAATTGTTTCGATGTCATCCTGAGGGCAATGGGAAGCCACAGAAGAGATTTAAGCAAGGGCTGACTTGCAGCAGAACCAGAGTGGAATTGCAGGTGGATTTTGCAGAACTCCATCACCAAAATAGAGTCTAGGACACATTATCAGATCCCACAAACCTGTGCAGTTTGGACAAAGACAGAGTACATTTTTATTAACTTTCTAAGCATCTCCTAACAAAATGGAAACTTGAAAGGTGCACATGTTCTTTTACCAACTGTTATCTAGGGCAGTGCCACTCAAAGTGGGGTCTGTGAGCCAGAGTGTCTCTGTGAACTACATGTCACCAATGTGCCCTGTGATAAATTTAGAAATGGAGAGTGTTAGAACTTTTTTAGAATCCGACACAATGAATAATTTTATGTCTATTTCAACTAAAATTTTTAAAGGGTTTGTTTCATACTTTTAAATTTCATTTTTCTAATAATTTACTTTTGTTATGTTTTTTTCGAAATAATTGGTCAGTGATTAATGGGGGGGAAATTCTGCTTTCTTCTACAGACTTTGAGAAGCACCAGTGTGGAAGACATTCTAATATCTCCTGACTGTACCAAATTGGGAGCCTATAGTTAATTGTGTAGTTAATTGTATTCCAAAATACTCATTTGGAAGTCATTTGGTAAGAAATTCACACATAAAAAAAGGTTATGCTAGCAAATAACAGATGAAATGTAAAAGCAATTATCTTTGCAATGTAGCATGCATTTATAGTCATTGTTAAGTAATTCTGTGTCTTAGATTACAAACTTGAAATTGCAGAAGAGCAAAATGCCACATATGTGATGCCCGGATCGTATCCATTCCACAAACACAATTCAACCTGCTTGTTTTTATACACACACATGGAAAATGTATTCCACTAGCATAAATTATGTATGCAGATGAAAACGTGTATTCACTCTTCTTAATAGCCCTTATAAATCTGATACACCCCTGCCTGAAATGTTTCCAAGAAATGCATGTGGTAGAAAACATAATTAATCAGGGTCCATTTTTGTCAACCTCCAGGAGTCAGGGCAAAGCCAAGTCATTGATTTTGCTGCATTTGAAAGGCTGTTGTTTGGTATGTCAGCCTTGTTAGTATAGTTGAAAGTACCTATTAAGAGGCTAGAAGCTTGGCTAGCTCTAGAAAAAAATTAGAAGATTTAGTAGTGCTGGTATAGAGTTGTCAGACTGCCTATGATGAAAAAACTCACTTTGGGGAACCGCCATTTAAGTTTGTCCCAATTTCTCCTCTGAAAATACGTTCAACAACACACAGATGGTGAAGGCTCAGGAAGAGTGTGCCCATGACACATTCTGATTTCCTTATCCACCAGAGAGAGAAAATGCACTGGAGAGATTTTACTCTCCAAAAAATTAAATTTCATATAATTATGTGAAGACTAAATATATTAATGGAATTAAGTATGGTACTTTTTCCAAAGTTTACAGAATACTATAGTGTTCTTAGGAAAAACACAGCACATCACTCCTTCAGCAGGAGATGAAGTCTCTTATCCCCACAGAGAGCTCAGAAAGCATCTATTAGAAGGACACTGGATCTAATGGTCTAAGCCACATGCTCTCTCCTATTTAGAAAGACTACATGATAAATCAATGTACACATTCATTATATCATGATAAAAACTCAGTGAGGTGGCTTTATCATGCATAAGCCAAACCACCAATTGCATGATTCTTTTATTTTCCCTTTTCAATCCCCTATTATATGATCATAGTACTGCCTGTTCCACATGCATTATCTCATTAAATTACACAATGACCTAGAGTTTCAAACTGGATCCTTTCTGTAACAAATATCAGACACTCAATTGGCTTACAAAATAAGGATTTTATTGGTTTTCCTACTAGGAATCCCAAGGTCGAGTGGGTTTTAGGATTGGTATGAACAAACCTCCACTTACCTCTGTCTTAGCACTTCTTGTCTTTATCCAAAGGTTGAGTTTCCTCATTGTTTCAAGACAGCTATTAAAATGGATAAGGTGCCTTGACTTCTTTAAGCAGAGACAGAAGGATGACCCTCTCATCCCTTTCAAGAATGAGAAATTTTCTTAAAATATTTTTGGCCAGAATTGAATCACTCACTCCATTTTTGAACAAATAATTGGAAAAAGGGATGGAGTTACTATAAAAATGCCTTTGACAAGCATAATTTTTAAATGCTTTTTGGGTTCAAAGATTACATTAAGTAAATACAATTTATGATAAGAAACACACAGACACATATTCACATACATACCAACCAAACAATACTTATGTTTGCTGTATTCTCTTTCCTTCCTTTTTATTCTATTATAACCAAATTAGTTTAGATGAATTATGGTTATACACATTCTGGTTTATACACGTTCTGGTTTAATAACTCCCATTTTTAAATGCAGCTTTTCTTTGTAGACTAGATACTGAAAACAACCAAAAGTCAGTAGGCTAAACATCTGGAAACAGATTGATATTTGAGAGTATTGAATAGTTGTAACTGAAGCCATAGGAGTGAATTATTCATCAAAAGTGCATAAAGATAATAAGCTTTTAAAACTATAAAAGTATATTACATGCAACTATTAAATTTGAAAATATAATGAAAATATAAAAATTTTAAAAAGAATCAAAATCAATAACTTCCCAAAACAGAAAGCACCATGCCTAGATGGATTCACTGGTGAATTCTACCAAAAATTTAAGGAAAGAATGATACCAATTGTCTATAATCTCTTTCAGAGGATAGAAATAGAGGGAATACTGTCTAAGTCATTCTATGAGATAGGCATTATCCGAATGGCAAAACCAGACAAAGATATTACAAGAAAAACAAAAATCTATAGACCAATATGTCTCATGAACGTATTTGCAAAAATCCTTCATAAAATATCAATTTGAATTCAACAACATATAAGATGAGTTATACATCATGACCAAGTGAGATTTATTGCAGGTATGCAGGCTGGTTCAACTTTCAAAAATTATTTAATGTAATCCATCATATCAACAGGCTAAAAATGAAAAATCACATAATCATATTAACAGATGTGAAAAAAGCATTTGACAAAATCCAACACCAATTCATGATTTAAAAAAACACCTTTTGATAAACTAGAAAGAGGGAAATCTCCTGAACTTGAAAAAGAATTTCTACAAAAACTGCAACCCACTAATGATAAGAAACTCAAAGCTTTCCTGCTAAGATCAAGAAATATGCAAAGATGTCTCCTCTCACCTTTGCTTTCAACATTGTACTGGAAGTACCAGCTAATGCAATAAGACAAGGAAATGAAATAAAAGACCTATAAATTGGGAAAGAAAAGAAAAAGACAACTGGCAGAAAAGCAGAAAATTGTCTTTTCTGCAGAAAATTGTCTTTTCCACATAGATGATCATGTCATCTATGTGGAAAATCCAAAAGAATTGTCCAAAAAAACCTCTTAAAACTAGTAAGTGATTATAGCAAGCTTGAAGGATGCAAGGTTTATATACAAAAGCCAATCACTTTGCTATATCCCAGCAATAAGCAAATGGAATTTAAAATTTAAAAAATAATTCCATTTATTTTAGCACTTCCGAAAATGAAATAGCTAGGCATAAATCTTAAAAAATATACCATATCTATATGATAAAACTACAAAACTCTGATGAACAAAGTCAAAGAACTAAATAATAGAGAGATATTTTATGCTCAAAGATAATGGATAGGAAAATTCAGTATTATGAAGTTATCAATTCTTTCCAACTTGATCTATAGATCCAATACACTCCCCATGAAAATCCCAGAAAGTTATTGTGTGGATATTGAAAAACTAATTAGAAAGTTTATATAAAAATGCGAAAGACCCACAATAGCCAACAAAATATTGAAGGAGAACAAAGCTGAACAACCAAGACCACACCACTTCAAACTTACTATAAAGCTGCAGTAATCAAGGCATTGTGGTATTGATATAGAATGGACAAATAAATCAATATAACAGAAAAGAGAGCTCAGAATTAGACCTAGATAAATGTAGTCAACTAATCTTTGACAAAGGAGCAAAGGCAATACAATAAACAATAGATAGACTTTGAACAAATGGCACTGGAGCAACTGGACATTCACATACAAAAACATGAATCTTAAGACATAGACCTTACACTCTTCATAAAAGTAAACCCAATATAAATTATAGACCTAAATGTAAAATGTAAAAATATAAAACTTCTAGAATATAACACAGGAGAAAACCTAGGTTAACATGAATATGGTGATGACTTTTTAGATACAACACCAAAGGCATGACCTATGAGGGAAATCACTGATATGCTGGACTTCATGAAAATTACAAACTTCTGCTCTGTGAAACAGAATGAGAACAAGCCATAGAGTTGAAGAAAATATTTGCAAAGACACATTTTATAAAGGATTGTTATCCAAAATATGTAAAGAGCTCTTAAGACTCAACAATAAGAAAATGAACAACCTGATTTTAAAAATGAGCAAAAGACTTAAATACCTCACCAACAAAGATGGCAAATAAGCATATGAAAACATGATCAAATCATATATCATAGGGGAAATGCAAATTAGAATAATAATGAGATACCAAGGCACATCTTTTACAATGGCAAAAATCCAGAACACTGGCAACACCAAATGCTGATGATGTGGAGAAACAGGAACTCTCATTCATTGCTGGTAGAAATGTAAAATGGTACAACCACTTTGGAAAACAGTTTGGCGATTTCTTGCAAAACTAAACATACTTTTACTACATAATCCAGTAAATGCACTTCTTGGTATTTACCCAAAGGAGTTAAAAACTTATGTCCACACATAAACCTGCACACAATATTTACAGCAGCTTTATTCATAACTGCCAAAATTTGCAAGCAATCAAGATATTCTTCACTTGCATTTCACTAATTATCAGGGAAATGCAAATTAAAACCACAATGAGATACCACCTTGCTCTTGCAAGAAGGGCCATAATTTAAAAATTAAAAAAGTAGACATTGGTGTAGACGTGGCGAAAAGGGAACACTTTTACATTGCTGGTGGGAATGAAAACCAGTACAATCACTACAGAAAACAGTATGGAGATTCCTTAATGAAAAGTAGAACTATGATTTGACCCAGCAATCTCACTACTGGAAAGGATGGCAGGGTTTGAGGGATGAAAGACTATACATTGGATACAGTGTTCACCACTAAACAACTTATCCATGTAACCAAAAACCACCTGTTCCCCAAAACAACTGAAATTAAAAAAAAAAAAGAAAAAGGAAGTCTAATTTTTCATTGACTGTCATTATTTTCCTTTTGGTCATGGGATATAGGAAACAGTGGGTTTATGGGAAGCAAGTATAGATGGCCATCGGCTTACAATGGTTTGACTTATGATGTTTTTTGACTTTACAATGGTGCAAAATTGATATCTCTTTAGTAAAACCATAATCCGAATTCTGATTTTTGATCTTTTCCCAGGCTAGTGATATGTAGTACAATACTCTCTTGCAATGCTGGTCAGCAGCAGCCAGCCACAGCTCCCAGTCTGCCACACAATCAAGAGGATAAACAACCAATACTCTATAGTATACTGAGTTGTCAGATGATTTTACCCAACTGTAGGATAGTGTAAGTGTTCTGAGCATGTTGAAGGTAGGCTAGGCTAAGCTATATTTTTCAGTAGGTTAGATGTACTGAATGCATTTTCTTTTTTTTTTTTCCAGACAGAGTCTCGCTCTGTTGCCAGGCTGGAGTGCAGTGGCGCAATCTCAGCTCACTGCAACCTCAGCCTCCCGGGTTCAAGCGATTCTCCTGCCTCAGCCTCCAGAGTAGCTGGGATTACAGGCATGCACCACCATGCCCAGCTAATTTTTGTATTTTAGTAGAGATGGGGTTTCACCATGTTGGCCAGGATGGTCTCGATCTCTTGACCTCATGATCAACCTGCCTCAGCCTCCCAGAATGCTGGGATTATAGGCATGAGCCATCTTGCCCAGCCTATATACTGTATTATTCCAACAATATGACATTCTGGAAAAGATAAAACCATGAAGACAATTAAAAAAAATCAGTGGTTACCAGGAGTTGGGGAGGTGAAAGGGAGAGACAAATAGAATGGAGCACATAAGATTTTCAAGGCAGTGAAAATACTGTGTATGATGCTATAATGATGAATTTATTTTTCCAATATGTATTTGTCCAAACCCATAGAATGTACAACACTAAGATTTAACCTCAACATAGTCTACAAATTTGGGGTGATTATGATGTGTCAATGTAAGTTCATCAGTTATAACAAAGGAACCATTCTGGTGGAGGATTTTGATGATGGGGAAGTCTATGCATGTGTGGGGTCAGGAGATATAAGAGAAATCTCTGTGTCTTCCTCTCAATTTTTCTGTGAGCCTGAAACTGATTCAAAACAATTAAGTCTTAAAAAGAAGAATGCATGGCTGGATGCGGTGGCTCATGCCTGTAATCCCAGCACTTTGGGAGGCCAAGGCAGGAGGATCACTTAAGGTCAGGAGTTTGAGACCAGCCTGGCCAATATGGCAAAACCCTGTCTCTGCTAAAAAACACAAAAATTAGCCGGGCATAGTGGCACGTGCCTGTAGTCCCAGCTACTTGGGAGGCTGAGGCAGGAGAATCGTTTGAACCCGGGAGGCGGAGGTTGCAGTGAGCTGAGATTGCATCACTGCACTTCAGCCTGGGCAACAGAGCCAGACTCTGTCTCAAAACAACAATGACAGAAAAAAAAAAAAGAAGAAGAAGAAGAATCGAATCCAAGAAGCAGGAAATTTAAACAAGCAATAGAAAGGATTGTAAATCTAATTATTTTATCTTCTGTTACCATTAAAAAGTATATCAGATCTAAATAGATTTATGGTTATTATATTTAAATTTTAAAGAAACAACTCCAATATTATTTAAACCGTACCTACTTCAACATAATAAAGGCCATATATGATAAGTTCACAGCTAACATCATACTCACTCGTGAAAAACTGCAATCTTTTCCTGTAAAATCAGGAGCAAGAAAAGGACAAGGATGTTCACTTTTGCTACTTCTGTTCAACATAATACTTGAAGTTCTAGCCAGACAAGAAAAAGAAGTAAAAAGCATACAAAGCAGAAAGGAAGAAGTGAAATTAAAATCATGTACTGCATAACATTTCTGCCCATGACAGATGACATATACAATAGTGATCCCATAAGATTATAATGGAGCTGAAGAACTTCTATCACTTACTGACATCTTGATAATCCTGACCCTGTGTAGGTCTAGGTTAATGTGTGTGTTTGTGTATTCGTTTTCAACAAAAAAATTTTAAACATAAAAAAAAATTTTTTTTAAATACAAGAAAGGTTATAGAATAGGGGTATAAAGAAAAAATGTTTTTGTACAGCAGTAGAATGTATTTGAGTTTCAGCTGTTATTACAAAATGAGTCAAAAAGTATTTTTAAAAATTTAAAAGTTTATAAAGTAAAAAAGTGACAGTAAGCTGAGGTTATTTATTTTTGAAGAAAAAAAATTTTCTATAAGTTTAGTGTTGTCTAAGTGAACAGTGTTTGTCAGGTCTACAGTAGTGTGCAGTAATGTCCTGGCCTTCACATCCACTTACCTCTCACTCTGACTCACCCAGAGCAGCTTTCAGCGCTGCATGCTCTGTTCATGGCAAGTGCCCTATACAGATATATCATTTTTTATCTTTTATGTTGTATTTTTCTATCTTTATATATGTTTAGATATACAAATATTTACCACTGCCTACAGTATTCAGTACAGTAACATGCTGTACAGATTTGTAGCCTAGGTACAATAGGCTATATTATACAGCCTAGGTGTGTGGTAGGTTATATATACCATCTAGGTTTGTGTAAGCACACTCTATGATGTTTGCACAATGATGAAATCACCTAACAACATATTTCTCAGAACGTATTCCTGTCATTAGGCAATACATGACTGTATCTCTGTTTGCAAAGTGACATTATCTTATATATAGAAAACCTGAAAGACTCTACCAAAAAAAAAAAGCCTGTTAGAACTAATAAACAAATTCTGTAAAGTTGCAGGGTACAAAAGCAACACACAAAAATCAATTACATTTTTATACACTAACAAGGAATATCTGAACAGGAAATTAAGAAAACAGTCCTATTTACAATAGCACCCAAAAAAGTAAAATACTTAGGTATGAACTTAACCAAGAAGGTGAAAGACTTGTACACTGAAAACTGATGAAGCAAGTTAATGAAGACACAAATAAATAGAAAGACATATGATGTTCAAGGATTGGAAAACTTAATATTGTTAAAATTTTCATACTATCCAAAGTGATCTCTACATTCAATGCTATCCCTATCAAATCCCAATAACTTTTTTTTACAGAAATAGAAAAAAAAATCCTGAAGTTTGTATGGAACCACAAAAGTCCCCAAATAACCAAAGTAATCTTGAGAAAAAGAACAAAGCTGAAGGCATCACACCTCCTGATTTCAAAATATATTAACAAGCTACAATAATACGAACAGCATGGCACTGGCATAAAAACAGATATATAAACCAATGGAATAGAACAACACAATAATATAATAATTTGTAGCATAATGTATGAATGAATAGCCTACATTATTGTATGAAAATGATAATATGGTAAAAATGAACACATTAGAATTATATTTAAGAATACATATTAACTATAAAAGCATGATGTGGAAACAAAAAGCAAGTTGCAGAATATATACAGTATGATAAAGTTTATATGGAATTTAAAATTAAGGAAACAATGTTATATATGGTTTATTTGTACAAGGAGAAACCCAGATGAGAAGGATACATACTAACTTCAGTACAGGAGTTACCTCTGTGGAAGGAGAGAAGCAGGATATGCAATGGAATTACAGCTTCAACTCCATCAGTAATGTTTTATTTCTTAAAAAATATATGGAAAATTTTTGATGTGTTAAATCTTGATATAGATTTCTGAAAATTCACTATATTATTCTTTGTAACTTTTGAATGCTTGAAATGTTTTATAATAAAAATATACTTTTGAAGAGTAAGTTTAGATTCACTTGGTTTGTTTATTAAGCCATGAGGTTTGTTTCTTTCAGCCCCTGGTTTTCTACATTTACTTTAAAAAATTATATCTTTATTAAAGCAGCAAAACAACAAAAAACCAATATTTAGACAGAAGCTGAACTGTGATACCTAATAAATTAATTTGTACGTGGGCATTGTTTCATTTTGAATAAATTCTCTGGAGCACCTGAAATATAATTCACCCTCATAAAGTGAAAATTCCTTTTTTTTTTTTTTTTTTTTTGAGACAGGGTCTCACTTTGTCACCCAGGCTGGAGTGCAGCAGCATGATCTCTGCTCACTGCAACCTCTGCCTCCGGGCTCAGGTGATCCTCCCATCTCAGCCTTCCAAGTAGCTGGGACTACTGGTGCGCACCACCACACCTGGATAATTTTCCCAATTGTTTTTGAGTCAGATAAGACCAGATTTAAATATAACTCCAACATTTGCTAACTGAATGAATAGATCACTGAGAAAATAACAAATTGATTTCGGTTTTTCAAAGGTTAACATGATTTATCATAATTTGGGGGTCATCGTGAAGACTAAATAAAATGTAAGTTAAATGCCTAGTACAGTACTTAGTGGATATTTAGCACCAAAATATAGTGGTAAATATAATAATAGCAAATATTCATTGATAATATAAATTCATTAATTATTTCCTACATCTTTGTGTGCATTGTTGCATTTAATCTTTTTAAATTTTATTTTTGATATATATTTGTACATATTTATGGGGTACATGTGAAATTTTGTTACATACTTAGAATGTGTAATGATCAAGTCAAAATACTTAGGTATCCAATACCTGAGTATTTATCATTTCTATGTGTTGGGTACATTCCAGGTCTTCTAGCTATTTTGAAAAATATCATATTAATACATAGTTGTTAACTATAGTCACCCTATTATGCTACCAGACATTAGAACGTATTCCTTCTATCTAATTGTATGTTTGTACTCATTAACCAACCTTTTTATCCCCTGCAGTTGCCACCCATGCACCCTTCCCAGTCACTGGGATCAATTATTTCATTTTATATCTTCATGTGATCAAAATTTTTAGCTCCCATATATGAGTGAGAACGTGTGATATTTGTCTTTCTGTGCTTGGCTTATTTCAGTTGACATAATGACCTCTGGTTCCCTCCATGTTGCTAAAAATGACATGATTTCATTTTTTTATTGCCGCACAGTATTCCATGTGTACATAGGCCACATTGTCTTTATTCATTCATCCATTGATAGACACTTGGGTTGATTCCATCTCTTTGCTATTATGAGCAGTGCTGCAATAAATATGCAAATACAGGTATCCCTTTGATATATTGATTTCTTTTCCTTTCTATATTTACCCAGTAGTGGGATTGCTGGATTGGATGGTAATTCTATTTTTAGTTTTGTGAGAAATCTCCATATTGTTTTTCACAGTGGTGGACTAGTTTACATTCCACCAACAGTCTATGAGACTTCCTACTTTTCCCATATCCTCACCAATATCTGTTTTTTTTTGTCATTTTAAGGATAACCATTCTAACTGGGGTAAGGCAGTACCTCCTTGTGGTTTTGATTTGCATTTCCCTGATGAATACTGATGTTGAGCATCTTTTCATATCCCTGTTAGTCTTCTTTTGAGAAATATCTATTCATGTCCTCTGCTCATTTTTGGGGGTTAGTTGTTTTTTTTTTACCCCTGAGATGTTTGAGTTTCTTGTATATTATGGATATTATTTCCCTGTAAGATGAGTAGTTTGCAAATATTTTCTCCCATTAAAGAAGTTGTCTCTTCACTCTGTTGATTGTTTTTGTTTCGTTTTCTGTGCAAAGGCTTCTTAGTTTAATACAGTCACATTTGTCTATTTTTGGTTTTGTTCCCTGTGCTTTTGAGGTCTTAGCCATAAAAATATTTGCCTAGATCGATGTCCTAAAGAGTTTTATCTGTGTTTTTCTTTTAGTAGTTTTATAGTTTTGGGTTTTACATTTAAGCCTTTAATCCATCTTGAATTGATTATTGAGTGTGGTAAGAGATAGAAATCTAGCTTTATTCTTCTGCATATGATTATCCAGTTTTACCAGCATAATTTATTGAAGAGGTTATCCTTTCCTCAATGTAGGTTTTTTATCCTTCAAAAAGGTTTTTATTTTTTAAAATGAAACAAAATTTAAATATATTTAGGGGGTTAATAAGTGCAGATTTCTTACATGTGTATATTGTGTAGTGGTGAAGTCTGGGCTTCTAGTGTACTCGTCACCCAAATAGTGAACATTGTACCCAATCGATAATTTTCAACAGTCCAAACCACCCCCGCCCTCCCACCTTTTGTAGTTTCCAATGTCTATTATTCGATTCTGTATGTCCATCTGTACCCACTGTTTAACTCCAACTTATAAGTGAGAACATGTGGTATTATACTTTCTGTTTCTGAGTGACTTCACTTAGGATAATGGCTTCTAGTTTCATCCATATTGTTGCAAAAGACATGATTTCATTTTTTTTTTAATGAAAGAAATATTCTATGGAGATATTGTTAATGGTGCTGCAATAAACATAAAAGCATAGGTATCTTTTTGATGTAATTGTTTCTTTCCCTTTGGGTATATACCTAGTAGTAGAAGTGCTGGGTTGAATGGTAGTTGTATTTTTAGTTCTTTGAGAAATCTCCATGCTGTTTCCATAAAGGTTGTACATTCCCACCAACAGCGTATAAGCATTTCCTTTTCTCCACATCCTCACCATCTGTTGTTTTTTAATGTTTTAACAATAGCCATTCTAGTTGGTGTAAGATGATATCTCATTGTGGTTTTATTTGCATTTCTCTGATAACTTGTGATGTTGAGCATTTTTTCATGTTTGTTTGCTTGTACATCTTCTTTTGCAAAATCTAATTTCATGTCCTTTGCCTACTTTTTAATGGGGTTGTTTTTTTCTTGTTGAGTTGTTTGAATTCCTTGTAGATTCCGGATATTAGCACTTTGTAAGTGTGGACTTTGCAAATATTTTCTTTCATTCTGTAGGTTGTCTGTTTATTGTGTTTATTGTTTCTTTTCTTTCTCTCTCTTTTTTTTTTTTGAGGCAGAGTCTCACTCTGTCTCCCAGGCTGGAGTGCAATGGCGCAATCTCAGCTCACTGCAACCTCCACCTCCCGGGTTCCAGCAATTCTTCTGCCTCAGCCTCCCGTGTAGCTAGGATTACAGGCGTGTGCCACCATGCCCAGCTAATTTTTGTATTTTTAGTAGAGACGGGGTTTCACCCTGTTGGCCAGGCTGGTCTCATACTACTGACCTTAGGTGATCTACCTGCCTTGGCCTCCCAACGTGCTGGGATTACAGGCGTGATCCACCGCACCCAGCTGTTAATATTGTTTCTTTTGCTGTGCAGAAGCTTTTAATTAAGTCCCATTTGTCTATTTTGTTGCTGTTGTGTTTGCTTTTGATGACTTGGTCATAAATTCTTTACCTAAGCCAACATACTGAAGAGTTTTCCCTAGGTTTCTTCTAGTATTTCTATAGTTTCAGGTCTTACATTTAGGCAATTAATCCACCGTAAGGTTTTTTTGTTGTTGTTGTTTTGTTTTTTAATATGGTGAGAGGGTCCAATTTCATTGTTCTGCACAGGCTATAAAAATTTCCCAACACCATTAATTGACTATGTTCTTCTTGCCCTGGTGTACAGTTTTTATGACTTTGTCAAAGATCAGTTCGTTGTTCGTATGTGGCTTTATTTATGGGTTCTCTATGCTGATCTATATGTCTATTTTTATACCGGTACCATGTTGTTTTGGTTTCTGTAGCCTTGTAGTATAATTTGAAGTCAGGCAATGTGATGCCTCCAACTTTGTTCCTTTTTTGCTTAGAATTGATTTTGGCTCTTTGGGCTCTATTTTCATTCCATATGATTTTTAGGATTGTTTTTCTAATTCTGTGAAAAAATATATTGGTAATTTGATGGGAATTATATTGAATCTGTAGATTTATTTGGGCACTATGGTCATTTTAATAACATCGATTCTTTCAATTCATAAGCATGGAATGCATTTGTTTCTGTCATGTATAATTTCTTTTTTCAGTGTTTTTTTGTTTGTTGTTATTGTTTTGAGATGGAGTCTCACTCTGTCGCCCAATAGGCTGAAGTGCAGTGGTGCGATCTCGGCTCCCTGCAACCTCTGCCTCCCAGGTTCAAGCTATTCTCCTGTCTCAGCCTCCCGAGTAGCTGGGACTACAGGCATGCACCACCATGCCCAGCTAATTTTGTACTTTTAGTAGAGACGGGGTTTCATCATGTTGGCCAGGCTGGTCTTGAACTCCTGACTCAGGTGATCCACCCACGTTGGCCTCCCAGAGTGCTGGGATTACAGGCATGAGCCAGTCGGTGTTTTTTAGTTCTCCATATAGAGGTCTTTCACCTCCTTGGTTAAATATATTCCTAGGCATTTTTCTTTCTGTAGCTGTTGTAAATGAGATTGCCTTCTTGATTTTGTCTTTAGCTAGATCATTATTGGTGTATGGAAACACCACAGATTTCTATATGTTAATTTTGTATCCTGAAACTTTACTGAATTCATTTGGGAATTTTTTTTGGTGGAGTCTTTAGGGTTTTCTAGATATAAAATCATATCAGCAAACAGAGATAATTTGACTTTGTCCTTTCCAAATTGGATACATTTTATTTTTTTTTTCTCTTGCCTGATTGCTCTGGTGAGGACTTCCAGTTCTATGTTAAATAAGAGTGGTGGAAATGGGCATTCTTTCTTATACCAGATCTTAGAGGGAATACTTTCAACTTTTCCCTGTTAGGTATGATGTTGTCTGTGAGTTTGTCATATGTGGCCTTTATTATGTTGAGATTTGTTCCATTGATGCCTAGTTCTTTTGAGGATTTTTATCATGAAGCGATGCTGAATTTCATTCAGTGATTTTTCTGCATCTATTGAGATGTTCATAAGGTTTTTGTCTTTAATTCTGCTTGTATAATGCATCACATTTATTGATTTGCGTGTGTTGAACCATCCACGCATCCCTGGGATAAATTCAACCTGATCATGGTATATTATATTTTAAATGTGCTGTTGGATTTGATTTGCTAGTATTTTGTTAAGGATTTTTGCGTCTATGTTCATCATATATATTAATCTGTAGTTTTCTTTTTTTGTTGTACCTTTGTCCGATTTTGGTATCAGAATGATAATGGCCTTGTAAAATGAGTTAGGGATAACTCCCTTCCACTTGATTTTTTTGGGCTAGTTTCAAGGGGATAAGTATTAGTTCTTGTTTGTGTGTTTGATAGAATTCAGCTGTGAATGCATCGGGTCTCAGGCTTTTACTTATTGGAAGATTTTTTAATTTGTGATTGTGAGAAGTGAAGCCAGCTGGACTTCCTCCGTGGAGTGGGGACTTGGAGAACTTTTCTGTCTTACAAGGGGTTTGTAAAATGCACCAATCAGCACTCTGTAGCTAGCAAGAAGTTTGTAAAATGCACCAATCAGCGCTCTGTAAAAACGCACCAATCAGTGCTCTGTAGCTAGCAAGAGGTTTGTAAAATGCACCAATCAGCACTCTGTAAAATGCACCAATCAGTACTCTGTAAAATGGACCAATCAGCACGCTGTAAAATGCACCAATCAGCAGGAGTCTAAAAGAAGCCAATCGCGGGGAGGATTGAGAAAAGGGCATTCTGATAGGACAGAAACAGGACATGGGAGGGGACAAATAAGGGAATGGAGCTGGCCATCCCAGCCAGCCAGCGGCAAACCACTCAGGTCCGGTTCCATGCTGTGGAAGCTTTGTTCTTTCGCTCTTCACAATAAACCTTGCTACTGCTCTTGGGTCTGTGAGCTGTAACACCGTGAAGGTCTGCCTCCATTCTTGAAGTCAGCCAGATCATGAACCCACTGGAAGGAACCAACTCCAGACACAATTCCATCTTGCTACTGATTTTAGTTTGTTCAGGGGCTGTGTTTTTTCCTCATTCAATCTCAGTAGGTTGTGTGTTTCCATGAGTTTATCTGCTTCCTCTGGGTTTTCTAGTTTGTGAGCCTATAATTGTACATAATAATCTCTGATTATTTTTGTATTTTTATAGTATCGGTTGGGATGTCTCCTTTTTCATATGTGATTTTGTTTGTTTGGATCATCTCTATTCTTGGTTAATCTAGCTAGTGGTTTCTCAATATTGCTTATCTTTTCAAAGAACCAACTTTTTGTTTTGTTCATCCTTTGTATTTTTGAGGGGGTCTCTTTTATTTAGTTACACTCTCATCATTGTTATTTCTTTTCTTTTGCTAACTTTGGGTTTGGTGTGTTCTTTTTAATCTATTTCTTGAGGTGTAATGTTGGGCTGTTAATTTGTAATCTTTCTAATTTTTTGATGTAGGCATCTAATGCTATAAATTTCTCTCTTTGCACTCCCTTGGCTATATCCTACAGGGTTAGGTATGTTGTATTTTCATTTTTATTCATCTCAAAAAAATCTTTAAATTTTCACATTAATTTCTTCATTGACCCAGTCATTGTTCAGGAGCATGCTGTTTAATTTCCAGATATTTGTATAGTTTCTGAAGTTCTTCTTGGCATTGATTACTAGCTTTATTCCACTGTGGTCTGAGAAGTTACTTGATATTATTTCAGTTTTTAAACATTTGTTAAGACCTGCATTGTGGCCTATAAGATGCAGTCTATCTTAGAGAATGTTCAATGTGCTAGTGAAAAGAATATTCTGTAGCTGTTGGGAAGAATGTTCTCTAAATGTCTATTAGGTTCATTTGGTCTAAAGTCCAATTTTCAAAATTAGTTTTCTGTCTTGATGATGTGTCTAGTGCTGTGAATAGGGTGTTTAAGTCACTCACTATCATTGTATTGCTGTTTATCTCATTACTTAGGTCTAATAATATTTGCTTTGTGAATTTGGGTGCTTCAATGTTGGGTGCATATATATTTAGGATTGTTATTTGCTCTTGCTGAATTGATTCCTTTATCATTATATAATGACCTTTTTGTCTGTTTAAAAAAACTGTTTTTGATTTAAAGTCTCTTTTATCTAGTAAGTATAGTGACTCCTGCTCAGTTTTGGTTTTCATTTGCATAGAATATCTTTCTCCACCTCTGAGTTTTTTTTTTTCCATCTATGTGCCTTTAAAGGTAAGGTGAGTTTCTTGTATGTAGCATATAGCTGGATCGTTCAAAAAATTCATTTAGCCAATCTGTATTTTTTTAGTGGAGCATTTAATTCATTTACATTAAAGGTTAATATTAATATGTGAAGCTTTGTTCCTGTCACATTGTTGTTTTCAACTTGGTTTTAAAAATTCTTTGTTTCGTTTTCTTTTTTTGTCTTTGTGGTTTGATGAAACTCTGTTCTGTTGCCATTTGATTCCTTTCTTTTCCTCCTTGTTTTATAAGAACTATGAGTTTTATATTTTCGTGTGTTTTCATGATGGTGAATATCAACCTTTCATTTCCATGTTTATGACCCCTTTGAGCATTTCCTTTAGGGCCAGGCTAGTGATGAGAAATTCCCTCAGTGTTTGCTTGTCAGGAAACAACTGTATTTCTCCTTTATTTATGAAGCTTATTTTGGGAGGATATAAAATCCTTGGCTGGCAGTCCTTTTCTTTCAGTGCTTTGAAAATACTATTGTATTCTCTCCTTACCTGTGAGGTTCTGCTGAAAAGTCCACTGTTAGCCTGATGGGGTGGGGTTTTTTTTTTTTTTTTTTTTGAATAGGTGACTAGACATTTTTCTCTTGCTAATTTTAAAATTACTTATTTTAATTCAACTTTAGACATTCTGAATATAACATGCAGTGGTGAAGTCCTTTTTGTAATATATTTTTCTGGGGATTACTGGGCTTCTTATATGTGGATGTGTGACTATCGATAGACGTGGGATGCTTGCATTGATTATTTCTTTAAATAGGTTTTCTAAGCTCTTTCATCTCTCTTCCTCCTTGGGATACCTATAATTCATAAGTTCAACCACTTTATGTAGTTACAGATGTCTCAAAGTCTTTGTTCATTCTTTTTAATTCTTGTTTATTATTTTTTTCTGACTGGATTATTTCAAAAGACCTGTTGTTGAGTTCTGATTTTTTTCTTTTTTTTTGCTTGGTTGGTTTAGTCTGTTATTGAAAGTTCAAAATCTATTTGGTGTTTTCTTCAATGAATTTTTTAGTTCCAGAATTTCTGCTTTTTTTAAAAAATAGAAGATATATATAAATTATATATATTTATATATAATACATAGTATAGTATATATTTATATAACATAAATATATTTAAAGATATATATCTTTAATTGTATATACTATATATTTTTTAATATATAAGAAGATATCTATCATCTTGGTAAATTTCTCATTTATATCTTGAATTAATTTTCTAATTTTTTTGTGTTAGTTTTTAGATTTCTCTTACATCTCATTGAGCTTCTTTAAAATCCGTATTTGAATTATTTATCTGGTATTTCACATAATTTTTTTTGATTAAGGTCTGTTGCTGAACAATTGCTGTGGTCCTTTGGTGGTGTCGTATTTCCCTGGCTTTTCATGTTTCCTTTGTTCTTCCATTGATACCTGCACATTTTATGTAGCAGTCACTTGTTCCAATTTTTTGAAATTGTTTAAAAAATATTTTTTTAGACAGGGTCTCATTCTGTCACCCAGGCTGGAGTGCAGTGGTACAATCATGGCTCATTGCAGCCTTGACCTCCTGAGCCCAGTTGATATTCCTACCTCAGCCTTCTGAGTAGCTGAGACTACAGATGTGTGCCACCATGCCCAGCTATTTTTTAATTTTTCTTTTCTTTTTTTTTTTTTTTTAGTGACAATGTCTCCCTATGTTGCCCAGGATGATCTGGAATTCCTAGGCTCAAGCAGTCCTCCCATCTCAACATTCCAAAGTGCTGGGGTTACAGGTATGAGCCACCTGTAATTGCTTCTGTACAGGTTGTTTTTCAGCCTAGCCTGAAATTGCTTTTGTACAGGATAAGTTTTTCCTGAAGATGTATGTATGTTGATTAAGATACTTTGACTTTGATTTTGGATTTCTGCAAATCCAAAATAATTTTTTTTTGTTTTTTTGTGTGTGATCTTTGTATGACTTCTTTGGCAGTGCACAGGGTCAGTGGTATCTGTGATTTCCTCAGTGGCTTAGGGTATGGTTATTAGTTGAAGTTGTGGTGAAGTTTTGCTGGGAACATGGACACCAACTGAGCCAATCTTTGGGTCTCAGTGATGGCAGTAGTGGAGTGAATGTGCCTATTTGTAGGCCCCAGAACAGTCTTACACTGGCTCCAGTGTTAGTGGGTCCTGGGAGAGCTGATTATTGGGCCTCCAGGGATTTGGCTTGCTTAGAAGGTGAGTGTGGTGTGAGGGTGCATTCTCAGGCCTTTGGGCAGCTAGTGTTGCTTGATGATGGCAGTAGTGGTGGTGGAGCAATCCACTGGGACCCAAGCAGTCCACGTCAGTATTGCTGTGAAGAGTTGGGTGTGCTGGTCCTCAGTCCCAGAGCTACCCATAGCAGGGCAGTGGGTATTGTCCTAAGTGTGCTGTTCCTCCCTAGGTGGACTGGCAGCTGCAGCTGTGTCACCTGAAACTTGGCCAGAACACAGGGCATAGCCCAGCATTAAATGTTCAAAACGGTGCCATCTGTGGGCTTGTCACCAGAGAGGGCAGGGCCATTCTCAAGTGAGCAGCATAGACAAGAAGATGTGAAGAATGTGGTTTGCTCTAGCCTCAATCTCACAGCAGTTCATAGCAGAGCAGTAGGGATCCTCCCAGAGGTGCATGGGAACACCTGGTCTCCCTTCTTCCACCTTGGAGTAGTGCAGTGGCAGTAGCCATGTTTCTAGGTCCCTGGTATCTAGGCTTTCAAAATGGCACCCAGCTGAGGCTTCTCTAGGCTCAGATGCCAGTGGATTCTGTGTAGATTCCCTTCCTGGAGCAGCATCTCTGTGCAATCCTTAGGCAGCTTCATATGTCAGGCCTGAGGTCCTAGTAGTCAAAGGTTTCTCCCATATCCCAAATCATAAAAGTCTGTTTCAGAGTGGAACTTTGGGGCTTTCTCTCCATTTCCCTGCATCAGGAGGCTCTCCTGGCCCTCAGTCAGTTCCTGGCCAGGCAAGCTGCCTGAAATCCCTCAAATCCTCTCCTTACTTCTGGTGCTTCTCGTTTCTTCTCTTGTGAATCCTAGCGTTCTCTTCTAGATAATCTGTTCAAAATATTAAGTATCTACTTACTATTCTGGTTCCTCTTCATGGAGGAGGCACCTACTACCTGCATGTATCTGCCATCTTGATTCCTTTTCCTAATGTATATTCTTAATGACTTTGTTGAAGATCAGTTGGCTATAAATATGTGGATTTATTTCTGGGCTCTCTATTCTGTTCCATTGGTCTGTGTGTTTATTTTTACACCAATACCATTCTGTATTGGTTACTATGGCCTTGTAATATATTTTGAAGTAGTGTGATGCCTCCAGCTTTGTTCTTTTTTCTCAGGAATGCTTTGACTATTAGGGCTCTCTTTTGGTTCTAATTAATTTTAGGATTTTTTGCATGTTTGTAAAAAGTGATATTGGTGTATTGATAGGGATTGCATTAAATCTGCAGATTGCTTCAGGCATCATTAACATTTTAATGATGCTCATCTTTGCGATCTGTGAGCATAGGATGTCTTTCTTTCCATTTTCTTGTGTCCTCTTCAATTTCTTTCATTGATGTTTTACAGTTTTCCTTGTAGAGATCTTTCACCTCCTTGGTTATATTTATTCCTAGGTATTTTATTTTATTATTTTATTTTGTAGCCATTGTAAATGGGATTGCCTTCTGGATTTCTTTTTCAACTATTTTATTATTAGTATATAGAAAGTATGTTGGTTTATATATGTTGATTTTATATCCTGTGACTTTATTGAATTTATCAGTTCTAAGAGGTTTTTGGTGGAGTCTTATGGATTTTCTAAATACAAGATCATGTCATCTGGAGGGAAAGATGGCAGTCTAACCATTTGACTTCCTCTTTTCCAATTTGGATACCTTTTATTTCTTTCTCTTGTCCGATTGCTCTGGCTAGGACTTCCAGTATTATATTGAACAGGAGTGGTGAGAGGGAGCATCCTTGCCTTGTTCCAAGTCCTAGAGGAAAGGCTTTCAACTTTTCCCCATTTGGTATAATGTTAGTTGTGGGTTTGTCATATATGGCCTTTATTATTTTGAAGTGTATTCCTTCCATGCCTAGTTTGTTGGGAACTTTTTTTTTTTATCATGAAGGGATGTTGAATTTATTGATTTTTTTGTACTTACTGAGATGATTTTGTATCTTTTTCTATTTATTGAGATAATCAAATGATTTTTGTCCTTCGTTCTATTGATGTGATGTTTATTGATCATGTTTATTGATTTGCATATGGTGAGCCATCCTTGTATTCCTGGTATAAATGCCACCTGATCATGGTATATTATCTTTTTGATGTGCTATTGGATTTGGTTTGCCAGTATTTTGTTGAGAATTTTTTCATCTGTGTCTATTACGGATATTGGCCTGTAGTTTTTTTTGCTGTGTTCTTCTTTGGTTTTGATATCAGGATAATGCTAGCTTTGTAGAATGAGTTAGGGAGGAGTTATCTACTCTTCAATTTTTGGAACAGTTGCAGAACTGTTGTGTGTTTTAGAACAGTTTCAGGAGGCTTGGTACCATTTCTTCTTTGTGTGTTTATTAGAATTCAGCAGCAAATTCATCCATCCGATCCTGGGCTTTTCTTTGTTGGGAGACATTTTATTACTGATTGAATTTCACTACTCATTATCGATCTGTTCAAATCTTCTACTTTCTTCTGATTCAATCTTGGGAGGTTGTATGTTCCGAGGAACTTATTCATTTATTTTAGGTTTTCCAGTTTTTAGATGTATAGCTGTTCATAATAGTTTCTAATGATCTTTTGTATTTTTGTGGTGTCAGTTGTAATGTCTCCTTTTTCATTTGTGATTATGTTAATTTGGGTCTTCTCTCTTTTTTTTTTTAGCTAGTCTACTGGTAGCTTATCATTTTTCTTTATCTTTTTGAAGAACCAACTTTTTGTTTTGTTGATTCTTTATATTTCTTTAGTCTCTATTTTGTTTAGATTCACTCTGATATTTCTTTTTTTCTTTTTTTCCTTCTAATTTGGGGTTTGGTTTGTTCTTTCTAGTTTTTTGAGGTGCATCATTAGGTTGTTTGTTTGAAGTCTTTCTACATTTTTGATGTATGTGTTTATTGCTATAAACTTCTCTTTTAGCATGACTTTTGCTGTTATCTTACAGGTTTTGGTATGTTGTGTTTTCCTTTTCATTGGTCTCAAGAAAAGCTTTAATTTCTATCTTGATTTCTTCATTGACACAATGGTAATTCAGGTGCATGTTGTTTAATTTACAAATATTTGTGTAGTTTTCAAAATTCCTCTTGGTATTGATTTCTAGTTTTGTTTTATTGTGGTCTGAGAAGATATTTGATATGATTTTAGTTTTTTATAATTTCTTGATACTTGTTTTATGGCCTAATATATGGTATTTCTTAAAGAATATTCCATGTGCTGATGATAATAATGCATATTGTGCAGTTGTTGGATAACATGTTCTGTAAATGTTTGTTAGGTCCATTTGGTGTAAAGTCCAGTTTAAATCCAATGTTTCTTTGTTGATTTTCTGTCTATATGATCTCTCTAATGCTGAGACCAAGGTTTTGAAATCCCTCAGTATTAATGTATTGAAGCCTATCTCTCTATAACTAGTAATACTTGTTTTATGTATCTAGGTGCTTCAGTGTTGGGTCCATATAAAAACTGTTACATCTTTTTGCTGGGCTGACCTCTTTATCATTATATAATTACTTCTTTGTCTTTTTTAATACTGTTTTTGAGTTAAAGTTCTATTTTGTTTGATATTGAGCATAGCTGCTTCTGCATACTTTTGGTTTCTGCTGCATAGAATACTTTTTTCATACCTTTACTTCAGCCTGTATGTGTCTTTACATGTAAACTATGTCTCTTGTAGGCAGCATATACTTGGATTATGTTTTGTTTTGTTTTGAAATCCATTTAGCCAGTCTATATTTTTTAAGCAAAGGATTTAATCTGTTTTCATTCGAGGTTATTATTTATATGTGAGGTTATGTTCCTGTCATAATTTTCATTGTTTCTGGTTTTGTTATCTTTTGTGTCTTTCTTTCTCTCTTACTGTTTAGCATTGTTCTTTGGTGGTTTTCTGTAGTGATGTGATTTTTGTATTTTCTCTCCCTCATTTGTGTGTTTGCTTTACCAGTGAGTTGTATACTTTCATGTGTTTTCATAATGATGGTAAATATTGTCCTTTCATTTCCATGGTTAGGACTCCTTTGAACATTTCTTGTAGGTTTAATCTAGTGATAATGAATTCCCTCTGTTTTTGCCTGTATGTGAAAGACTTTTGTCCTTCATTTATGACAGATAACTTTCCTGGGTGTAGTATTCTTACTTGACAGTGTTTTTTGCTTTCAGAACTTTGAATACCTCATCCCAATTTCTCCTTGTCTCTAAGGATTCTGCTGAGAAATCCACTGTTTGTCTGATGGGGTTTTCCTTATATGCAACTAGATGCTTTTCTCTTGCTATTTTTATATTTCTCTGTTTGTCTTTCACTTTTGACAGTTTGAAAATAATGTGCCATGGAGATCTTTTTGGGATAGATCTAGATAGGGATCTCTGAGCTTCCTGTGTTTAGATGTGTAAATAACTTGCTATACCTGAATCATTTTCAGCTATTTCATTAAACATTTTTTTATGCCTTTGGACTTTTCTTCATTTTCTGGAACACAAAAAATTTAAATATTTGATTCCTTTATGGCGTCCGTTCTTTCCTGTATACTTTTCTTATTTTTATTCTTTCCTTTTTATTAATTTATTATTTCTGACTTAGTTATTTCAAAAGACCTGTCTTTGAGTTTTGAAATTCTTTCTTCTCCTTGATCTAGTTCATTGTTAAGGCTCTCAAATGTACTTTTTATTTCATGTATTAAATTATTTAATTATGGAATTTTTGTTCTCTTTTTTTGATATCTCTCTTTGGTGAATTTCTCATCCATATTTTGAATTGTTTTATGGATTTCTTTGTATTGTTTTTCTGTGTTCTCTTATATCTCACAGAGCTTCTTTAATATAATTATTTTGAATTATTTTTCCAGCATTTTGTAAATTTCTTTTTCATTGAAATCTGTTGTTAGAGAATTATTGTGTTCCTTTGAAAGTGTCAAATTTCCTTACTTTTTCATGTTTCTGGTTTCCTTCTGTTTATATCTGCACATATATTGCAATGGTTCCTTATTCTAGTCTTTGAATTGACTTTTGTAGAGGAAGATTTTTTTAAGGATATGTGTCTGGTGATGGTTAGGAAGAACACCTTAGCTTTCACTCTGAGTGTTCGTAATAGTGTAGTTTTCATATAGTTTTTTCAGCTATGTACAGACAGCGTCAGTGGTGTCTATAATTTCATCCTCCTCCTCCTGCTCCTTTTCTCCTCCCTCTTCTTCCTACTTTTTTAGTCTTGAAATTTTCAAACAAAAATGTACAGAGGGCTGTAACAAGCACTTGTGAAGAGCTCATTGCATGGTTTTAACAAATATCAACAGTTTGCCAATATTGTTTCATCTATCTCCCACAAGTTCTGATCTATTTTAAAGAAAATCTAAAAGATCCTTTTATTTCGCTTATTGTGATACATATCATTTGTTCCTTTAAATCCACTTTCTACCTTTCAGCCCTTGCTTATGTCCAAGGAGACTTAGCTTAGTCTATATCAGAGACTCCTTAGCCTTCTTGCAAATGGGCAGCACCAGTAAAAGATTGGAAGGAAGGAGAAGATTGGGCTGGGAACTTATTTCCCCAGCAGCACCTGCTGGATCCAATGGGTTGGCTACATGTCACATCCCTCTACCAAAGCTGCAGCTCTCACCATGCAGTTCTTCCTAGATTCTTCGAATTGTCCAATGTGTGCCATCCTTTTCTATTGGAATCCTTGACTAACTGAGATATGGTTTGGATTTGCGTCCTTACCCAAATCTCGTGTTGAATTGTAATCCTCAGTGTTGGAGGTGGGGCCTGATGGGAGGTGACCGGATGATGGGGACAGATTTCTCGTGAATGGTTTGGCACCAGCCCCTTAGTATTGTCTTGGTGACAGTAAGTGAGTTCTTGTGAGACCTGGTTGTTTAAAAGTGTGTGGTGCCTCCCCTCTCTCTCTCGGTCCTACTCCTGCCATGAAAGATGACTGCTCCTGCTTTGCCTTCTGCCATGAGTAAAAGCTTTCCAAGGCTTCTTGCTATGCTTCCCATACAGACTGCAGAACTATGAGCCAATTAAACTTCTTTTCTTTATAAATTACCCAGTTTCAGGTATTTATTCATAGCAGTGCAAGAATGGACTAATCCACCTGCACTTTCAACCTCTTAGCTAGTTTCTATTCCCATACTCTCTCTCTCACTTAATAGAGTCACTAACCGTATACTCTACCAACATTGAAACTGAACACTGATCTTAGACCCATTCTCTTGCATCCCTCGTGCCCGGTAAGACCTGACCAGTATCAATTATTCAGGATTGTTTCCTGGAAATCAGTTCCTCTTCTTGAATTTCTGTTGTCCATGTCATAGTTCAGAGCTCTGTGATCTCATCTACTTCAGCTAAAGTTATATTTTAAAAATGCAGATCTGACCATTTAAAGCTTTATTAGGTTTTGATAGCTCTCCAAGCTCGGAAGAATTAAGTGAGATTTTATCAGCTCTATATGCGTGTTTATTAAGGTAGGCTTTCTGGTGTCCTCCAAACAAATGGTTGCTGTGAAATTTAAAGAATTTCACATGCTAATTTTTACCTAAATATGTTTAGGATTATCAATGTTTCTACCTGATAAAAGGAGAGATTAATGAAGTGGAAATCAAACATATAATAGAGAGGATGAATAAGTCTAAAATTAGTTCTTTGATAGATGAAAAAAATCTTAAATGTGGAAGATAAAACTATAAAACTTACAAAATATATAGAAGATATGTTTATGACTGGCATATAGGTGGAATTCTTAAGCAAGGTACATCAAGTGCACTCTAGAGAAAGAGAATGATACATTTTACTATATTAAATTAAGCATTTATGTTTAACAAAATGCCCATAAAGTGAAAATACAATGTCCAATATACAGAATAAAAATTTTAAAAATGTATAAATAATATTAATGAATTAGGAGAAATGGCTCAGTAGAAAAATAAGCAAGTCTGACATGCACATGTATGTTTAACTGCAGCACTATTTACAATAGCAAAGACATGGAACCAACCCAAATTCCCATCAATGATAGACTGGATAAAGAAAATGTGGTACATATACACCATGAAATACTATGCAGCCATAAAAAAGGAATGAGATCATGTCCTTTGCAGGGATGTGATTGAAGCTGGAATCCACTATCCTTATCAAACTAACAAAGAGATAGAAAACCAAACACCACATGCTCTCACTTATAATTGGGAGTTGAACAATGAGAACACATGGACACAGAGAGCAGAACAATTCACACCAGGGCCTGTTGGGGGTTTGGGGGTGAGGGGAGGGAGCTTAGGGGATGGGTCAATAGGTGGAGGAAACCACTATGGCTCACATAAACCTGTGTAACAAACCTGCATGTTCTGCACATGTATCCTGTTTTTTTTTTTAGAAGAAATAAAGGAAAAAAAAATTGATAAATAACAGAAAGAAGAAAAATAGGCAAATCTGGAACAAACATCTTTTAGATGAAGAATATGAGTGGCCAACCAGTCTTATGAAAAGATGCCTAATATCATTTGTGATTTGTAAAGTCAAATCAAAGCCATAGTGATATTTCATTTCAAACCCATCAGATTGGCAAAAATATTCAAATATGTAATATCAAGTATTGAAAAGAGTGAAGAGAAACAAAAAATCATATAACTGTGCTTGAGGAAGTGTAAATTGGTACAGCACGATTTGAATAGTTTGGCATTCTCTAATAAAGTTGAAGATGCATGTCCCTTAAGACTGGCTTTTTTCATTTCTAAATGTCTAACTTAAACCCTTAGAAATGTGCATCAGGAGACAAGAATCAAAATGTTCTAACACAGTAAAAAAAAAAAAAAAACAGGAAAATTCACATTACAAATAGAATGACAAAGTATATTGTGGTATATTCAAACAATGAAATATTATACAGCAATAAAATACATAAACCACAGGCAGCAACAAGTATGCTTCTTATGAAATAATCTTGGTCAGGATGGGCGTGGTGGCTTGTGCCTGTAATCCCAGCATTTTGGGAGGCTGAGGTGGGTAGATCACCTGAGGCCAAAAGTTTGAGACCAGTCTGGGCAACATGGCAAAACCCTGTCTCTACTAAAATTACAAAAATTAGCCAGGCATGGTGGTGTGCTCCTGTAGTCCCAACTACTTGGGAGGCTGAGACAGGAAAATCACTTGAACCCAGTAGGCAGAGGTTGCAGTGAGCCAAGATGGTGCCACTGTACTCCAGCCTAGGTAACAGACAGACCCTGTCTCAAAAAAAATTAAGAAAAAAGAAATAATCTTGGTCAATTAAAGGTGGTCAAAAATAATGCATAGAGTATAAATCTCTTTGCAAAAAGCTGCTTTTTAAAATGCAAAAACTATATAACCTATTGTTAAGAGTGTTTATGTATGTGGTAAAACTACAAAGAAAAGTAAAAGAATAATGAACCCTAAATTTCTGGTGGGAATCCCTCTGGAGGGAAAAGGAAAAAGATGGCAGTCTACTCTTTCTTGCACTGAGACGAGTTCTATGCCCCCGTGATCTGCAGCCAGTGCATACCGGTGCAGCCTTGCAGGTCCTGGCCAGCCAGCAACTGCTCTGTTTTGTTGGTACATGCGCCTGAGTCCATTCTGATGATTAAGTAAGCTTAATGTTCACTCTGGCATGTTACTATTTGCTGTCCAGTTATTCTTTTCCTGTTACCGTTTGTTGTTGTTATTTGTACCAGGAGAAATGAATGGAATTAGAGAACCATTGAAGGAGAACATAAGGAAGATTTATTTTTAGCCTTCCACCCTCTCCCAAATCCTCACTTTTAAAATCATCCACAGAGCAAAATAATTAAAATTACTGATGAAAAAATGTGTAAGTAAATAAAAAGATGAGCCAGTGTGATAACAAAGTAAAGGAAAAAAACCTAAAAGTCTAAGAAAAACAGAAATTTAAGGATTTCTATGTGAAATATAGGGAGATTAAGGGGAGCAAAAGAACTAGAAATCAGAACTTTGAAAGGTAAGATTAAAAGCTTAACACATATTAACAACTAAAGGAAAAATTAATCATAATAGATAAAACCACTAGCTCAGAACTTACAGTTGTCTAATTTTGTCAAAGTTAAACCACAAAAGTGTGAATAAAAAACTTAAAAGAAGATAAATAATTAAAGGGAAACTTATAAAGCAGAGTAACAACCCAAAACTATGAAGGCTAGAGGCTTACTCATTTTTCGACAAATATTAATTTGGATCTTTCTGTGTGCCAGGAAAAGTGCTTGCTACTGGAAATTAAAGCTCAGACATTAAAGAATATGAAACTATGTCAATGCTAAATTATTAAAGGGTTAGTAATAAAAGACATGAAATATTTAAGGGACAAATAGACACAAATTATAAATGATAGTAAAAAGAGATAAAAAGGATTATGAAATCTCAAAAGCTTAAAAAGATTCAAATGAGATCAAACAAATTAAGGCACATTAAAAGAAATGAATTACTCCAACATTAGGAAGCCAAAATCTTAGTGGAAACTAGCACAGTGTAAGGGTTACTGGTGGTGTGGCCCTGAGCAAGCTCCGAATCTCTTAGCTCCTAGTTTCCTGATTCATAAACGGGGGTAGCAATGAGTCCTAACTGGGGAGTTGTGAGTATCAAATAAGGTCATGAATAGAAAGCAGTTTGCACAGTGCCTGGCTAAGGTCAGCTCTCAACAACAGTTAGCTACCCCTAACAGTAGCCAAGTTATGACCCATTTCAGAAACTGTAGGATTGAAGGAAGGAAAGGCAGGATCCATCTGAACGTAGCTAAGGCCTATTATTCCTGCTTGTCCAAGCCTGTGGCTGAGCTGACTTTGCACAAGGACTCTCCTAGCGTGCAGAGGGGTTTTATGGGGCAAAGAGCTGACCCCAGAGGGAGAGTCATAACCTTTGACGACCTTTTGCCTTTGTCTTTTACCTTTTCCAGGTTTGAGCCTCAGGTGTCTACCCAAGATTCTGAAATGCTCAGGGGTGGGAATGATAACCTCCTAGAAGGCAGCTTTCTCACTCAGCCTGGCTGTCCCCCAGGCAGCCCTGTTTAGGTTCTCAACTCTTCAACTCCCCTAAAAAATCTCTTCAGTTCCCTTTCAGGCCTGTTCTTATCAGGGTCTGGAAAACAATATCAGAATACCAACCTTGACAAACCATGCTTCGTCAAGCTCAGACCACCGTGGGATTTCAGTCCTGCACACTAACATTTAAAATCATGCCTGTGGATGTCCTGCTTGGTCTCAGCCTGTGAGTTTCACTGATTACTCAAGGTGGCCACTGTACCCAACAGGGCACACTACAAAACCACTGGTTGTCAAACAAAGCCATTTTAGACAAACGCAAACCATAAGTCTGGGTTTTTTTTTTTCTTCTAAATTTATTTTAAGCTTTACAATTTCAATGGAGAAGAAAAGGAACTTTATTTTAGGATGTGAATAATTCTGGATGATTTGCACACTGGCATTTGTATATTGCATGGAAATGTGTTAAAAGTGAAAAAAAGAGAGAGAGCAAATTGGCAAAGGTCTGTATCAAATCACAGAGGAGAACAACTTTCAGAGATTGCTAAGTAGGAAAGTAATATCTCAAGTGATCCTACAGTCGGGAATACTGGCAATGTCAAGAGTGTTCCGTTTTATCTTCTAGCAGGAGCAAAATTTGCAAGCAAATTTGGCAGAGGAAAACATCCTAAAATGCATTCTTAACTCTGTACAATTTCTTTCATGTAAAGTGCCAATAAAGAAAATTAAAGAAATGAAAGGGGTACAAAGGGGAATAGAATCCAGTTTGCTGTCTGCTCATGGCACTGGAGGAAATTTTAAGGAGAAGGCCACTGTATGCATTGACATTAACAAGAGAATGCCTTTTCTTTTCTTTTCTTTTCTTTTCTTCTTGCCAATGTCAGAATTCTCCAGAAAGCACCAATGAGTCACACCTAAAATACCAGAGGTAATCCCAGAACGGAGATTCTGTATACCCTGTCAACTTGTAGCTAGACTTTTTAAAAAATCGACTGAATCTGGTGAAAACAAGGCAATGTAAGGCCATATTTTCATAAATTTGCTTCTCTTATGCATTCCTGTTGAAATGACCACAGGTGAGCAAAGGTTTGTAGAATCAGCCAAATTTTAAAGACTTTCTACAAACTATGGTAAAATTAAGATGACATTGGAAAGACAGTGCACACTGAATTTCAAGAGAAGGAATTTAGTTCAACTGAGTGAAGCCTATCCCTTCCAAATTTTCATTGAAATGACCAAATAAATATGAAAATTGGGGAGGAAAAAGCAGTAGAAGCCCTTAAAAAGGGCAAACATCATTTGTATACTAGAAACACTGGGGAAATTCTGCAGGATATACATACATAGAACCAGACCAAAGCACAAGCTGCCCTGCTATCTTGGGACACCTCAAGTTCACAGCAGCTTAGACTGGAAATGACAGAAATAATGGAAAATTGGAGGGACCCGTTGAACATCTACCAGTGCCTCAGATCGTATGGACAGGGAACAGATTCACTGCTCTGCTTCCATTGTACAGAGGGCACAGACAGCAAGTTAAGAGTAACCATCTGTGACCTCTAGAAGGAGAATTCACTCCTACTTCCTGCCCCTGTTGGGTTCCTGTGAGTAAGTTTTGGGATTCTCCCTTTCACACCACTCCCAGCCTCATCCAACTTGGTGACCAGGGTCTGTGTTGGACGTATCTGTGCTGTGGGATGGTGCCAGTGGTTTTAAGGGGTCTGGTGTAGAAGGGCACTCTTCTGGCTAGATAACCAATGGGCAAAGTGTTGTCTGCTATCAGAAGAACATGGTTTGAAAAGGCAATGGATATCGCCTCTGGGTTCACATAGCAGATGGAGCCCCTTGCTCAAGTAGAAGCCAGGCAACTGGCAAAAGTGACTTAGTTCCTTTTCTCAGACCTTGCTGTCTCTTCTGTCCCATCGCTTCTGTGTTGTCTTCTCCTTATCCATCAAGCCCAGGATGCGTGTGTGTGTGCGTGTGTGTATGTGTGGAGGGTTGGTGGGGGCCAGGGAGGGAGAACTGCCTTTCCTGTACTCTCCTGTTTCTTATTCTTTCTGTCTGATCTTTTATTCTTTCCCTTTTCTCTCAAAACCTGTTCTTTTGATATTCAAAGCCAGATAGCAGCTACTTTTTTCTCTTCTTTCAGCTGTCACAGTCTCTTTCGGAAATAATGAGCAGGGAATAATCCAGCTCTTGAATAGTAAGGGTTGGGGGTAAAACACAAAGATGGAATAGATATTGGCAGGGCAGGGGCACACCTATAAATATTTCAAAAATATCATCTTGTTGAAAGCCTAAGTTACAATCCTCATCATGTGCCAATTAAATAAAAGATTATTGGTTTCAATAGAAAGAGTAGTTGCCGCAACAAGACCAGCCAGAGAGGGGCCCAGATTGTCTCACCCTGGACCCTTTTCTTCTCCTGTTATTGTGCACAGTTGTCCATTATCTGGCATGAAGTTCTTTAGAGTGCTGCCAAGAACGAGGACTCGGGCTGGCCTTATGAGGGTGTTGATTAGGATTTCTGACTCAAGCCACATCAGTAGATTCTTTGTGTTTCTGATAAAATGTGAGGCTACCAGCCAAAATTCATTGGACAGGACAAGCATGTGATACAATTGCTCCTCCAACTGTAGGCAAGTATAAAGGGAAGAATCGTCATTGGTTGTAGGGAAAGTATGTGACCACGTTATAATTGCTAGGCTGATCAAAATCACAGATGGGCATGGATCAGTATTTGGAAACTGACCTGAAAGAATAGTGTGGTTCAGCACAGTGATTGTCAACGAAGGGCGACTTGGTCCCCAAAGGATATTTGAAAATACTCGGAGATAATTTTGGTTCTCACAACTAGAGTGATGCAACTGGAATCTAGTAGGTAGAGGCAAAGAATGTTGCAAACCATCGTAAAATGCATATGGACACCCCTTCTCCCCACCCAATAAAGAAATATCTAACTCAAAATGTTAATAGTCTGAGCTTGAGAAGCTCTGGTCTAACAGAACGATATACTTCATTCTCCACTGCTGCCAGACAGTGTCTCTCTTAAGGCTCTCCCCACCACTTATTTTGCCATCAGGCCATATGCCTTGCTGTGCTTCATTGTGTATTTGAGGTGCATTCATGCCTTGGCACTTTGCACTTGCTCTTTCTCCTCCCTCACATCTTTGCATGGCTAGTTTCCTTTGTCTTTCCAGCACTGATGAAATGCCATGTGCTCAGAGAGGCTTTCCTTGACCACCCAATCTAAAGTAAAGCCTCCCCAATGCATTCTGTAAGACTTTCTCCTATTTCTTCATGATTGTCATCTTTCGCTGCGGGCTGTTAGAATGTCAGGTCTACCGGAGTAGGACCATGTGGTGCTGTCACTCACACAGAAGAGTGCCTAGGACAGCAGAACAAATGTCCATCGATTTAACATCTCCTTAAGTATTTCCTTGAAATGGAAGCATTAGAAACTTTAGAAAAATCTTCCTTCACAAGACCCTGTATTTGTAAAAAGGAAACACCTTTCTCGACCACTCTTTCTCCTCTCCATCTTTACAGCATTGAGATTGCCTACTTATAACACTTTGCAGTAGAATGTTTTGCAATGATAGGAATGTCTTAGATCTATACTGTTCGATACAGTAGCTACCAGCCTTACATGGCTATTGAACACTTGAAATGTGGTTAGTGTGGCTGAGAAAGTGAATTTTAGTTTTTATTTTATTTACATTTAAATAACTACATGTGGCAAATGGCTATCATATTGTGTAGTTCAGGTCTAAATATTTTATCCTAAGTTGATATGATGTACTCCTCTTTTATTTCCTTTTTCCTTGCCAGTTTTAGATAACAATAAGCATTACAATACTATATGCTCAGCCCTATCCCCCCATAGCTTTTATTTTATATCTTTTATTTATAGAGTTACTAAAATGGAAAAATTTTGATAACATAGCTTAGATTTTAAAAGTAAGGAACATAGTAAGATCTACAACATAGTATCACTTATGTAAATTAATTAGAAGCACTTTCATATGCAATTAATCTAATATTTTGTAAAGATAACATAATGTCTCTGACATATATAAATGTCTTTGAGATCTATATGTACACACATTTTTTTTTTGATACACATACACAACATACATCTAAATAATAATGCCATGTACAAAATTGGTAATTTTTTGTCTAGTAAATATTTTATTTCATCTATTTTCATTGATCACAAAGGACTAAAATTCCAAATCAACGTTAATAATAGAAATTTCAAATCAATGTTAATAGAAATTTCAAATCATTGTTGGTAATAATAATAGTAACAATGTTAATGGTATTAGTAAATATTACTATTTTTAATGACAAATTAGTAATATTTGTCATTAAAAATATATATCAAAGAAATTAGACATATTAGCTTGCATGTGTATAGGAGCTGGGAATTGGGATGAAAAGTAAGAAAAAAGAGAAATCAGAGTCCCCTTACACAGGCTGGTGATAATAGCGTGTCATGTACTGAAGGGTTTGCTTAACTCAATTCTCTGTACGTTGTATCCAGGCACATCATTGCTAGGGGCTGAACTGTGTCCTCCGAGAATGTATATGTTGAAGCTTTAGCCCCCAGTGACTATATCTGGAGAGAGAGTCTTTAGGATGTAATTAAGGTAAAATGAGATCATAAGGGTGGGGCCCTAATCCAATAGGATCCATGTCCTTACAAGAAGAGGAAGACAGAGATCTCTCAGTCTCTCAGTCTCTTCTCCCATATGAGGACGCAGAGGGAAAGTAACCATCTGCAAGCCAAGAGGAGCCCCCACCAGAACCCGACCATGGTAGCATCCTGACCTCAGACTTCCAGCCTGCAGAACTGGGAGAAAGTACATTTCTGTGGTTTAAGCCACCCAGTCTATGGAGCCACCCAGTCTATGGTATTTTGTTATGGCACCCTGAGCTGACTGAGACAATCAAATCACATTATTCCATGATAAATGTGGTATTTTGGAAATTTGGCTTTTGATAACTAGTGTGTGGACAATTGGCTAAATATTTTTGTAAAAAAAAAAAGGGTACTTCATATCTTACAGCAAATTCCAAATGGATTAAAGATTTAAATGTAAAAAAGATAAGAAAAATTCTAAATAAAATGTTATCACATGGGTTTAGAGTTCATGAAAAGAAAAAAATGCCATGATTACATAGGTTGCATTTTATGAAGACAGGAACATTTAAACATGAAGCCAAAAGAAATAAAAGTCACAGATGAACAGTAATGGAATTAGCCTGATAGACATTACCATCCCACCCCACAAAAAATATTTTGATAAAACTCAGCCATTTATTTTGGTTAAAAGTTCTTGATAAAATAGGAATGAAAGGATGCTTCCTTCATAGCATAAATATCTCAAATCGAGTCAACTTCATGCTTGAAAGTGAACTGTATGAGGAATAGCCACTAAAATTAAGAACAAGTTATAAATATCTCCTGTTACTATTATTACTTAACATGGGTTTGGGATTTTAGTCCCTTGTGATCAGACAAGGGAAATGAACAAGATAAAATATTTAATAGATGAAAAAAAATCACATTTTTTGCAGATGATATCATTTGCATAAAAACTAAAAATAATATAAAGTCAATTATAACTGATGAAAATTTCAATAAAGGGAAAATTATAAAACAAACACAAAAATATAACAAGTACAAAAGAATACATTTTCTATATATCAGTAATATGCGATTGAAAAGTATAATGGAAGAAGGATTCCATTCATATTAGAAGCATAAAAAATCTTGAAACAATATTGACAGAAAATAGGCAGGTCATATATTTTTATGCTCACATATATGTTAACATTTACTGTCAATATTGTTTATATATATATATATATATATATATATATATGAACATTTACTGAGGAGTGGGAAAATCAGAATAAATGGAAATTTTGCTTGAGAAGATAATTTAATGTTCTCAGTCCATCCCAAGTATATCTATAATTTGAACACAGCTTTAAAATTTTTAAATGACTTGTTTTGGAAATTGAAAATAAAGAAAAACAAAACTTTATCTCAAAGAAAAATGATTGAAAATAGTACAAAAGGAAGAGTAATAAATTTGAGTTACAAATAGAAATAGAAGATGAAGTTAAAATAATTTAACCACTATGAAACCAGCACAGAAATAGATAGAATTAAAATCCAGAAAATAGACAAGCACATAATGTAAACCTAGCAGATGAAAAAGGTGTGAGTTCAAATTCCTGAGAAAGAATAAAGATTATTTAGTAAATGCCATTGAATCAATTGGCTTAAACATTTGGGGGAAAAAAGAACATAGAATCTAGCTTATGTGTTATACCAAATTAGATAGTAAATATGCTAAGATTTAACTTTCAAAAATAAAAGTATGAAAGTAGTAGATGAAAATACAGGCTAATTAGGAAAGGTCTATTTATGAATGACATCAAAGGCAGAAATCACAAAGAAAAGTGGTTTAGATTAATTGAACCAAAAATTATTTTGTTATCAAAGCCATCATGAAAAGAATTTAGAGAGAAATAAACTGGCTAAGAGGTTATTGTCTTTAACATGTAAAGGGCTCTTTCAAATCAATAAAAATATAAAAACACAATGGACAAATCGGTAAAGACTTTAAAGAGAAGTTTCTCCAAAGATGAATTCAAATAAACATATAAATATTTGACCTGAACAAAAATTATGGAAACTAAAATATGAAAAATAACATTTGCCCATATCACATGGAAAATAATGTGAATGCCTTCATGGCACTAGGAGAAATGGGCAATCTTATTCACTTTTAGAAGAAATGCAAATAACTCTACACTGTCTGAAACTCAGGTTTTTCAGTGTATCTCAAAAGTCTTAAACGTGTGCATTTTCTTTGATCTAGCAATTCTGCTTCTAGGAAGCTTTCCCAAGGAAATAATTAGGTCAAAAATTAACCGTAAGGCTCTGCTACACAAAGTCTTTCATGCATTGTGAGGGGACAGTAACTGAAAAGCAGAGCAAATTGTTCAATCATAGCAGGTTTGTTAAGTAATTTGTAGTCATTCAATTTATTAAATTATACTTCAGTAAAATAAATTATATAGCAGTCTGTAGAAGATCTCTTCTCATTTAGCAACATTCAGTAGATGTATAACTATTTTAGATTAATGGATATAACTCTAGAAGGGTACGTAGCACAATACCAACACCCAACTTTTTTGTGGTATTAATACTACCTGCTCCTAACCCTACAAAGTAATCCTGATTGTAAGGATTGTAAGCTCAAACGTTAACTCCACTGAGTGGCCTTCGGTGAGTACCGCAGACAAAACTATCTTCTAGCCAAGGACATTCCCGGTCCCAGGCCCAACACAGTTTTTTAATTGCCATTTTTTTTAAGCTTCTTCACAGCATTTACCAATGTGTGGCATTACATAAATGCATTCGCTTGTTAATGTATTTCTATTACCTGCCTGATCCCCTTTCAAGATCAGCTCCATGAGGGCAGGGACTGTCTATCTTGTTTCTACTGTTCCCAACAATAGGACCCAGCAAAGAGCTAGATATTGAGTAGATGTTTGTTCAATTAAGTATGCTTTCTTACTGAATTGTAAGAGTTTTTATATATGAAGGATAATAAACTTCTGTCATCTACAGCAGAGGTTGAAAACTTTTTCTGTAATTGGCTACATTGTAAATACTTTAGGTACTAAAGTACTTGCAAATCACAGCGACTCAGCACTGCCTTTCTAGTGTGAAAGCAGCATAGACAATACACAAATGAATGGGTGTGGCTGTGTTGCAGTAAAACTTTATTTTAAAAACAGGAGGCCGCAGGATTTGACCCTTGCTAACCCCTATTCTGCACTGTGAATATATTTCCATTTTATTGTGGGCCATTTAATTTTTGTTTTTATGTACAGAAATTTTTAATTTTTATGTAGTCATTAGTATTCAACATTTTCTTTAGTTTTGTTTTATTTAAAACTTTTCTTAGAAAGTCTCTCCCCATCCCAAATAAGATAAGTATGCTCTGGATCACTAAATGTACCTGATTCAAATATATGAAATTCTCATCCTTTGGCCTTTTATTTTATCCTCTGAGACACAAATTCCACGTATTTTGTTTCCTGTGAAAATAACTGTATCTGTGCATAAAGCTTTTCCCACAATGATGTTCATCACAAGGCTTATTGTAATAGGTACTTTTTGCAATAATCTTAGTGTCTATTAATTGAGAATTAGATGTATTATCAATATAAATGAAAACAAATGATATAAACTAATGAAAATGATTTTAAATTGAATTAAATATTGACCAGAAAATGTGTCCACAATATCCTAAGCAAACGAAAGCAGAATACAAATAGACCTACAGTATGATCCATTTAAAACAATATTGGCACTTATTTGATGTTCAATAAATTTTCGTTGAATGAGTGACTGAATGAATGAGAGAATAGATAGAGCAAAAAATAAGAGTATTCTTTCTGAGAAAATAGCAGCACACCTAAAATGCCAGATCCAAAACAACCAAACAAAAAGTAAATAAAACATTCTTTTCTAAGCATAGCATGGCTTACAGGAAAATAAGGAAGTATTTTCTGCTCCAGAAGCTGCATAAAAATGGGACTGCATTTGAATAAGCATCTACCGGAGCTGACATCTGCCCCGGCAGTGTCTGGTAACCTACAATTTCCAGAACTGCATTAAGAGATATGGGGCCGGGGGAGGGAAGGGGACAACCACAAATCAAAAGTGGGTAAAAAGTGGAAAAACAGGCCAGGTGCGGTGGCTCACACCTGTAATCCCAACACTTTGGGAGGCCGAGGCTGGCGGATCACCTAAGGTCAGGAGTTCGAGACCAGCCTGGACAACATGGTAAAACCCCATCTCTACTAAAAATACAAAAATTAGCTGGGTATGGTGGCATGTGCCTGTAATCCCAACTATTCGGGAGGCTGAGGCAGGAGCATCCCTTGGACCCAGAAGGTGGAGATTGCAGTGAGCTGAGATCACGCCACTGCACTGCAGCCTGGGAGACAGAGCAAGACTCCATCTCAAAAAAAAAAAAAAAAAGAAAAAAAAAAGTGGAAAAACAGTAGAAATATGAGGCAAAATAAAACGGTAGAAATTAACACAAATGTGTCAGTAAATGGACTGAATTCATCAGTAAAATAAACAAAGATTGTTAGTCTCAGTAAAAGAGAACCAAATGAATGCTGCAGTCCCTGTATACCTGAAGGCCTGAGAAGTCTTCACAACTGGGTTAGGGAAGCGAGAGAGAGACGGAAGGTGTTCTGAGGGCTACCCTGCTCTCCACTTTTTTGAATGTGATAAGAAATAAATTTAAAAAGCAAAAGAAAATGTATAAGGTAACTGAGTGCTGACTTTTCTTCTTTTTTTTTGCTTCAGATGACAGTAACAGTATCCCCAAATTTTAAACACTAAAGAACAGTTGTTTTCACAAGTTAAATCTTTTAGGTAATTATATATATATTTTCTTGCTATGATTCGCCTTTCAAAATTAGTTGTGCATGTAAAGAATAAAGCAAAAACCACAATGAACCCACTAATAGATTTTGTACTTAAACTACTTATCAGAAAAAACAAAAACCCTGAAAAATCGTCAAAGGCCTAATTCTGAATATAACAAAACAAAGGATAGTGGCTTTTTCTAAGAGTGTTTTTCTCCCAAGAAATGCATAGTTTTCTGAGAAAATATTTTCATTGATTGTGACCAGAGATGTTACAAATTACAGGGTGGAAATTGAGGTTTAGTTCTAAGCTTTCCACTTAGCCTGTGACTTTGGGACAGTCACTTTTTGTATCTGGGCCTCAATTTCCTCAACGATGAGACAAGCAGTTTGGACAGAATTCCAATATCCCTTCCACATATTAAACTGTGTAGTTTGAGATTATGCGGTGCATTATTATAAATCCCCACTAGGGGGCAGTATTTGCATAGTCATGTCCATCAAAAAGCAGAACTGGGCGTGCAAAATTAACTTAGAACTCATTCTCTCATCTTTGCTAGAAGACAACACTGTAAGCAGGTGGAGACCATAGCCCTGCATGAAGTACTGGGGCCTCTGTGCCAACCCACAGTTCCACTAGGAGGTAACAGCCACCCCACCCCATCCCCAAGAGCCCAGAGAGAGGCGGGACTTCTGATGTCAGCTTTGACTTTCGCAGGGGCTTCCGGAGTGTCTGCATTGTTCTCATTACTGAAAGCGTTCTGGTTGCAGCTTGATGTCTTTGGTGAGGATAGAGTATATTTTGCTTCATTTACTAATTCTCGTTTTCTTCTCCTGTCCCTTCAATATGGATAGATAAATCTGCACAACTTTTACCTCTGGAATTGACGAGTTACCTTCATTTGTGGTTTGCAAAAAGATGCCTGGAAGGATACTGTGTACCAGCACCATGGGATACTTGACAACCCCAGTCAATGGGGATCCATCCTAGGCCAAATGCTGTCCATTCAAGTGGTTCTGGAATCTCAGGGCACACTACAAACCAAACCCAAACCAAATCTCCAGGGCAGACCAGGGATCCAGAGATTGGAGAGATGTGGATTTACATGGTGGTGGCAAATAAAAGAAAGTGAGAACAAGCTTACATTTGCCCAAGATAGCATTTAACCGTACCCTCCCTAACCCAAACCTCCCACCTCTTTCTACCAAAAATATCGCTAAGGCGGCTGAGAAGCTGTCAAACACCCTCTGTGCCTCGCCTCCCTGGTAGGGCTGCTAGTGACAGAGGCATCCGCCAAGACAGGTCATTGAATATTTATTGGTTCTCCTGCACTGGGAGGAGCTGCTGCAGAGTATAAAGATCCATGAGACGAGTTTCTGCCCTCCAGGAGTTTTCAGGAAGGAAACAAACCCAGGATACAAATATTGTTAAATAAAGACAGAGCACGCCAGGGACCCTAGGAGAGAAAAGGCCGAGAGCTGTGGGCAGAGACTAGTGGTGACTGAGAAGGCATCCCGTGGGCCTTCCTTGACATGGGTGGCCTGGAAGGGAGGAGATCTGGACAGAGGTGAGGGCAGGGCAATGACAGGTGATGGGGACAGAATAACTGAACACACTGGGGTAGGATGAGTGGGGCATATTTGGTAAAAAGGAAAGATACAAGGAGGCTGAAGTAAGAGCAAGAGTGGACAGTGAAAGAAGGAAGGCAGGGAGGGGAGGAGAGGAGCTCCCTGCCCGAGCCAGCCCTGTCTGGGTATTCTTTGGGCTTTACTCAGCTTATCAGAGACCTAAGTTCCAATGTTACAAAGCATGTGGGCAGATGGGCATTCTCCTTTACTATCTGTGAATGTGTAAATCATCATACTCTTTTTTCTGCATAGTTTGGCCCTGTGATCTCACAATCCCACGTCAAGCAATTTCCCTTTAGCAGATAAGCACCCAGATGTAAGAAGCATATAGGAAAAGCTAGTTTTCATAGAAGTATTTTATTTTATTTATTTATTTTTGGGGTAGAATCTCTCTCTGTTGCCCAGGCTGAAGGGCAGTGGTGCAAACATGACTCATTGCAGCCTCGACCTCCCAGGATCAAACAATCCTTCTGCCTCAGCCTTCCATGTAGCTGGAACCACAGGTGCACACCACGATGCCCAGTTATTATTTTTTTGTAGAGATGAGAGCTTCACTTTGTTGCCCAGACTGGCTTCGAACTCCTGGGCTCTAGCAATCCTCCTGCCTCAGCCTCCCAAAGTGCTGGGATTACAGATGTGAGCCACTGCACCCAGCCCGAACTATGTTTAATAGTTAAAAATTAGAAATAATCTATGTGTCCTTCAAAATGGAACTCAAATATATAATGGTATTTGGGAGCCATTTAATAAAAAAAAATCATCTTGTGATCAGGGGTGTTCATGACATGTGGTTCAATGCACTAGGCTACTTATAGAACAGCTGTATATAGTGATGCCTTCTCAAAGTTGTCCACATGTAAGTGTGAATGAGAATATGCACCGATATAGAGTTATCTGAAAGAATGCTCAACAAAATGTGTACAGATGTGCGTGATGTTATGACATGATATGTGTGTCATGATGTGTATGATTTTGTGTATTATCTTAATTCTTGACCCCAAAGGTGCCATCTTTACAGAAACTCTTGGGCAGTGTTCTTGGGAGGAACAGAACCAATAGGACGTACGTACATAAAAATCTCCCTCTTTCTACATATATATCTATAGATAGATAGGTAGAGAGAGATTCATTTTAAGGAATTACCTTACATGATTTTGAAGGTGCAAGTCTAAAAATCTGCAAGGTAGGCAGGCAGGCTGGAGACCCAGGCAAAAGTTGCAGTCCAAGTGCAAAAGCCATCTGCTGTGAGAATTCCTTCTTGCTGCAGGGAGGTCAGTCTTTATTCAGGCCTTCAACTACCTTGATGAGGCCCAGCCGCATTTGGAGGGCAATCTGCTTCATTCAAAGTGCACCCGTTTAAATGTAAATCTCATTCCCAAACTCCTTCACAGAAACATCCAGAATCATGTTTGACTAAATAATCTGGGCACCATGGCCCAGCCAAGTTGACACATAAATGTAGCCATCACAAGCAGTGCCCAAGATGTTAGGACTGGTTGTTAGTCCCCAGAGACTTCCAGAAAAAGTCATTTCAGCAGCTTCTCAGGAGATGTGGTGCAGGGGATGATGGGGTATGTGTGATAGCTCCGGGCAGGCGCTACAGGGTTTTGTTTTAGTTGGCTGGCTAGAGAAAGCTGGACTCCTGTATAGAGTTACTGACTTGAAGAAGAATCTATAAAGAACAAAGAGATATTTGAGTTCTTTTCCTACATTAGGCAAAATTGAAACTTTCATGCACAATGGCAGACCTGACCAAAAAACAAACAAAAACCAAACATTCAAGTCTCTTACTGTGTGTGGTCTGTTCCCATGCCCCCAATATGGTGTCTTTGCCTACTCACCCTCTTAGATACTCTTACATTTCTTTGCCTGTGACTCACACCTTGCTAGAAACAATGTTGGTTATTGGCGTCAAAGGTACAACCTGCAAAAAAGCAGCCTATGCTTAAAATATAATTCTCTGTTTTCTCCATATTTTCCTCACACTTCTCAGGACTTGATGCAGGAAAATCAAGACATCACTGCTAGTTCAGGTGAGATTAATTCAGTGTGGGTCATTACAGTCAAATTGATAAAACTGCTCTGCTCACCCTCCATAGAAAAAAGTCCATAGCTCTCCACTCCAGTGTGGCCAGTATCATTCCTCAGCCACATTCTAAAGAGGGCCAAGGAGTTTAGCCTCATAACATCTGTGGCCTTGTGCATGGCTCCTGAGCATGCGGCAGCAGGAAGGTGGCCGGAGCTGGGTCATCGTGGCTCTCCAAAGGCTCCTCCTGCACTGGGAGCCATAGTGTCAAGCCTCCCTCACACACTGGCAAGCAGCCCTTTCCTCCTCTCCCTACTGTCCATCATGGCCTGGCGATGTGTGTTGGCAAAAGCAAAGGCCTGGGAAAGAGAGCCATCTGCCAGCTCAGCCTCAGCAAGCCCTTCCTTCAAGCCTTCCCATCAGAAGCCAGATTCCTTTCCTGGGAGCAATTAGTCCTAACGACAAATGACAGAGGTTCTAAAACTGCGATTCAAGTGAGATTTGCAGAAGAAATGATAAATAAACCCAGAAGTTATCAAATTATAGCAGCAGGATTTATTCACTTGTATTAGAAGCTGAAAGCACAATGTAAGGGCTTGTGTTCCCTTTGGCACAAGTCTTCTCGTGCAGTTATTCGTTCTTCCTGAACACCCTGGGATTTCCACGTGGAGAGTTCAGAAGGAGAAGTAATCTGCGATCTCTCTGCTTCAGGCTCTCTTTTTATTTCTTCATGAATCGTTTAGTCAGCTGTCCTCTGGGAGGGAACTTTCAGTCATTCCACCTTCTAATTAAGATTTCTTTTCAAAAACAGCAAACATAGGTTTGGTCCATTGGGTTTGCTTACCCTGGCCCAGCAGCCATGTCCTTATAAGAATTTCCAAGTTAAATGTTTAGCTTGGGTGTGTGCAAAGAAGTTGAGACAGTCATCTGCTTTGCATCACCTGAGGTCAGCGGGCTCAAGAAAGGAGGTGAATGCAATTTTAGAATCCTTGACTGTCCAAGGTGTACAAAAGGTTGCTGGGTACAGCCTGCCTTAAACATCTGCCTCTCTAAACAAGTCTTTCAGCTGCTGCCCACACTCAGCCAAATTTGCAGCCCTTCTCTTCTTCCCTGATTTATTTTTCTTATTTGTACTTATCCTCAGCTGACACAGTTTGGATGTGTATTCTATTTATCTTGTTCATTGTCTACCCCCAGCCCCCACTATAAAATACCTTCACAAGACTAGGAATTTTTTGTTTGTTTTGTTCACTGTCATAATCCAAGAGGTTAGTACGGTGACTCTCAATAAATACCTGCTGAATAATAAATGAATGAGTGAATTTCAGTGCCTAGGTCCTAGGTCTGCCCATTGTACTTTACATAATAAATCTAATCTGATCCTATCTAATCAGAAACAATTCTCTAGCTTTGTATTATTTATGAGGTATTAGAAAACATAAACTTCCATCAGCCTTGGAAAGCCTAGATGATCAGTCTTTATAAGAAGGGAGGATTTATTTAATAAACACTGAGAAAGCACAAGGAGCATTCAGGTACTGTTCTTTTTTTTTTTTTTTTTGAGACAGAGTCTCGCTCTGTTGCCCAGGCTGCAGTGCAGTGGCATAGTCTAGGCTCACTGCAAGCTCCGCCTACAGGGTTCAGGCCATTCTCCTGCCTCAGCCTCCCAAGTAGCTGGGACTACAGGCGCCCGCCACCACGCCCGGCTAATTTTTTGTATTTTTAGTAGAGAGGGGGTTTCACTGTGTTAGCCAGGATGGTCTCGATCTCCTGACCTCGTGATCCGCCCGCCTTGGCCTCCCAAAGTGCTGGGATTACAGGCATGAGCCACCACGCCCTGCCAGGTACTGTTCTAAGGGCTTTATAGAAATCAGTCCATTCAATCCTTTGACCAGCACTATTAGGTGAGGACTACTGTTACCAGCCCATTTTACAGATGAGGAAGTGAGGCTCAGAGATGTAAGCAGACTGCTCAGGACCCCATAGCTGGTAAGTGTCCAAGGCAGGAAGTCTGACTGGAGAATCTAGTTTCACCAGCTGCCTTCCCTTGCTTGGGAAGGACTTGGCACGCTGCCTAGTGCCTAGTGAAGCCATCTCTAGGCACAGAGAAGATGGGAGCAAGGGACAGTGCAAGTCCTGCCATGTGGAAGCTCACCCTGTGGTGGGAGAGATAAGACGCCTGTTTCCAAGCTGGCCGTGTCGTATGAACAGTGCACTACATGGCACAGGAAGTGAGAAGCATGAGCCCTTTCCTGTGGCCAGTTTTCCGGCTTCCCAGGAAAACCACCCTAGCGCTCATCAATGAGGGCATGAGGCATCCCATCCCAACCCTGCCCAGGCCTCTGGGCAGAACCTACACTCACCCTAAACCTGCTTGTCAGGGCAGTGGGATCCACAGGGTGTTGGGAGGGAGCAAGGTCGGTATGAAACTTGAGGTTTCCAGGTTTCCAGAAGCGAACTCTTCAGTCAGTCTTTCTCCTCAAAATGTGTCAGGGCTCTTGCTGGAATCTTCCAACCTCCAATGATCGGGTCATTCACGGTCTTCTGTCCACTGGGGACAAGTTGGCTTCTTGGAAGAGAGGAAAAAAGCAAGGGGAGAACCATGGATGACTCTTCAAGCTTCTGCTCTGAAGTTTACTCTCATTTCACTGGGTAAAGCCAAGTCACCAGGTCAAGCCTGATGCAAGTCCAGCGGGAAGTATTGTTCTCCCCAGGGATGGCTAAGTAAGGAGGGATGGTACATTTTTTTGACAGTCAGATAGTCTACCAAAGCAGGGTATATATAATGGGAGCAGGAAATAGTTGGTTTGACGGAGGCATATGATGTCTCGAAAGGAGGTCCTCCAGGATGTACTGAAAGAGTAGCTTGGGGTCAGTTCTTGGACTGTGGACTTCGCAGGAAGGCACTGGGAGCAATGGAGGGTTGTTGAGCAGGGAAGCAACACGTTCAAAGCTATGTGTCTCGGGGGCTGGATTGGCCCTTTAAGTGCACTTTATAGTAGGCATGTAGGGATAATAAAATATAATTACTCCCACAAAAAGCGGTTCAATTAAAGCAACCTAAATCAGGATGTTTGGACACTAGTCTGCAAAATGGTGCCAGTCTGGCTGCACAAGAATCACAGCAAATCCTGGTGGCTGTACCTCCCAAATACATCATTAATATCGCCACCTCTCAGCCCCATGCTCTCACCTCGGTACAGCCACCAACATCTTTTCTCTGACAACTGCTCCCAGCTGTCATTCTTTCTTCTCTGTAGTCTCTCTTTAGTCTCTCCTTCCCACACCAGCAGAAGATAAACATATTTTTAACATGTAAATCCCATCATGTCGGTACCTTGCTGAAACCCTCCCTCTAAACACACACACACACACACACACACACACACACACACACACACACACACACACGGCAGACTTTAAAGGAATTCTGGAGACAAAGGGAATCTACATCACAGAAACTCAAATGATTACAATTCAGGGTTAGATATCGCTGCTCCTCATCTTCTCGAAGCCACTTTAGAACTTTGGAGGCCAGCCCTGTACCACTGCTCATCCTTGCTTTCTTTCTTTCCCACTCTCACTCTCTCATTTGCTCTCTCTCCTGGCCCTCTATGTAATTCAACTTCTTGGATTCAGAGAAGTTCAGCTGTCTCTCTGGGTATCTGACTGGATTCTTGTCCTCAGAGACTAAAAATCCACTCCCAGGAAGAGTTCTGACACCCCTTGTCATGCTTAGCTTCCCACCTTCCCTTCAGTTTAGGTAACTTTGTCTCTCTCCGTCTTTCTTTTTTTTTCTGTTTAATTTTTTTTTAAATTATACTTGAAGTTCTAGGGCACGTGTGCACAATGTGCAGGTTTATTACATATGTATACATGTGCCATGTTGGTGTGCTGCACCCATTAACTCGTCCTTTACATTAGGTATATCTCCTAATGCTATCCTTCTCCCCTCCCCCCAACCCCCTGACAGGCCCTGGTGTGTGATGTTCCCCTCCCTGTGTCCAAGTATTCTCATTGTTCAGTTCCCACCTATGAGTGAGAACATGTGGTGTTTGGTTTTCTGTCCTTGTGATAGTTTGCTGAGAATGATGGTTTCCAGCTTCATCCATGTCCCTACAAAGGACATGAACTCATCATTTTTTATGGCTGCGTAGTATTCCATGGTGTATATGTGCCACATCTTCTTAATCCAATCTATCATTGATGGACATTTGGGTTGGTTCCAAGTCTTTGCTATTGTGAATAGTGCCCCAATAAACATACATATGCTTGTTTCTTTATAGCAGCATGATTTATAATCCTTTGGGTATATACCCAGTAATGGGATGGCTGGGTCAAATGGTATTTCTAGTTCTAGATCCTTGGGGAATCACCACACTGTCTTCCACAATGCTTGAACTAGTTGACAGTCCCACCAACAGTGTAAAAGTGTTCCTATTTCTCCACATCCTCTCCAGCACCTGTTGTTTCCTGACTTTTTAATGATCGTCATTCTAACTGGTGTGAGATGATATTTCATTGTGGTTTTGATTTGCATTTCTCTGATGGCCAGTGATGATGAGCATTTTTTCATGTGTCTGTTGGCTGCATAAATGTCTTCTTTTGAGAAGTGTTTGTTCATATCCTTTGCCCACTTTTTGATGGGGTTGTTTGATTTTTTTCTCGTAAATTTGTTTGAGTTCTTTGTAGATTCTGGATATTAGCCCTTTGTCAGCTGGGTAGATTGCAAAAATGTTCTCCCATTCTGTAGGTTGCCTATTCACTCTCTCCCTCTTTCTTTGTCTTTACTCGCCCAGTGGAGTGTTGGAAACAGATCGGGAGAGCTGATTGTACTCATTTCTTCCCAGGTCTACATTAGTCGTATGTAGTATTTGTACCTTCAAATCAGCCATAGTGGGCATATTTACATCACAGAAAACAGCAAAGGCTACAAATCCAGGCTCTTTCCTTCCAGAGCTGGCTGTTAAACATTGATCAGCACATCACTGCATCTATCTATATGATTTGTTTGTTTAGTCATATTCAATAATTTCCAACAAAATGGAATCTTAATACTGTTTTAAACCTACTTTCCAGGTAAATAATCATTCATGTTTTATAATGTTTCTATTGAATTTCTTTACGTGAGTGAGCACAGCATGGTTTACTCAGCCTATCTCCTGCCACTGGACATTTATGTATTGCCAGTATTTTCACATGACAAACTACAATTAAGATATTTATAGACACTTATTGAGCACATCTTTAATTATTTACTTAGAGTTGATGATGAAAATCTTGGGGTGTTCATATTTTTAGGGTTCTTGATCTACATTGTCAAGTTGAACTCAGAAAGGCTGGAGCCATTTATTTGTTCACAGGCAGCATATAACCTGCCCACTTCTTTTTAAATCTCCCTTCTTTAGTCCATAAATTTAGCATAATCCAACTCAAAATTCTAAGGGAATATTTGAAATAATTTTACCAAATAACCTTGAAGTTCATCTGAAAACTAAGCATGCAAAAATGTCCACAAAATGGTAGGACTTACCCTGCTGGATGTTAAAATTTATTACCAAACTTCGAAAAATCTGAACAACTACAAGCCAGCACCAGAATCAACTGATCAGAATAAAAATTATAAAAATTAGACTAGCACCTGTATGTGTGTTTATGTGCAAATCTCCAAAAATGCTAAAAATGGAATTTCATATTGATAGGGGCAACGATGGATTAGTCAAAAAGTAACATCAGGACAATTGCATAAGGAGAGAATTAATCAAGATCTCTCTTCAAACTTAAAACAAAAAAAGACAAAAATGTTAAAATTAAAAGTAGAATTAAGACAAAAACATAAAACATAGGTGAATTTATATAATTCTGAGGTAGGGAAGGCCTACCTTCTAAGCCTGGCACTAACAGCAGAAATTACAAACAAAATAGTTAATAGATTTGTATTTCGTAAACATGTAAAGAACCATAAAGTAATTTTTAAAACAATTGAAAAAAATAAGAAGTATATTTGTAAAAGACATGTCAGGCAAAGATTTAGTACACACAATATGCTAAAAGCTTCTACAATTAATAAGGAAAATATAAAATATTGACAAACTATCAGCTTGCAAATGAAAACAAATTTCTTTCATATTTTAAGAAATAAAACATTTATATTTTCTCTTTGTCATATTTGTTGCTGTAAATGTATAGTCAACTATTTTAATTCTCCTTTAATTTTTCATTGTTTCTTATGTAAAATATTTTTGTCCTAGAGGTATAATTCATTGAGCTTTAACTTTGTGACTTCAATTTTTTCTAGAAATTTGATGATCAATTAGATTTTCTGGGAACTTTTGACAATATTTGTTTTCTATAGTTTCTATAATTTGATTTTTATAATTTAACTCTTTAATATATTTGTAATTTATTTTGTATGCTATAAGATGTGGAGCTAATTTTATTTAACATTTAATGGTTCTAAAATAATGCATTAGATGTTTATTCTTTTCCTAATTTTTATATTATATAATGATAGACATTCATTTATGTATTCAACACCAATTATTGAGAATTTTGGTGGGCTGTGTGGTTGCTTTGTTAGCATAACAATTTTAATTGTTATAGCTTTAAAACATTTTTATATCTAGTAGTACTATCAACCTCAAGGGTAACTCCTTTTACATTTTTTAGTATATCTATATTCACTCTGTTTTCCTAAATCAATTTTGTGAATTTCCAAAAGGTCTTGCTATAGAAGTATTATAGATGTGAGTATAGATGAAAGTGTAGATGCATATTCATAGCTGGAGCATATTTGTTAAATGGATGGATAATTTGGTGCGGAGAAATAGGTTAAAATTCAAAGAACATAAGGCAAAACTTATTTGATGATGTTCCAGTTAGCATCATGGGCACACCAGATGGATCAGCCTTGGAGATAATGCATACAATATCTTCTGATCAGGAGAGAAGGAACTGAGGAAGTGGGGTGTATTAGTCCATTCTCATGTTGCTGCAAAGCTACTACCTGAGACTGGGTAACTTATAAAAGAAATAGATTTAATTGACTCACAGTTCAGCATGGCTGGGGAGGCCTCCAGAAACTCACAATCATGGCAGAAAGGGAAACAAACACGTTCTTCTTCACAGGGCGGCAGGAAGGAGGATGAATGAGTACCCAGTGAAGGGGGAAGCCCCTTATAAAACCATCAGATATCATGAGAACTAACTCACTATCACGAGAACAGGATGAGGGTAGCCGCCCATGATTTGATTTTTCTCCACCTGGTCCCTCCCACGACATGTGGGGATTACGGGAACTACAATTCAAGATGAGATTTTGGTGGGGACGCAGGCAAACCATATCAGGGGGAAACAGACCTGTGGTTGCCAGAGGAGGCCACCTCTGAGAAGGCATCCTTCCCAGAGAACGAAGATGCTCAGCAGAATGCAGAAGAAACTGGTTCCAATGGAAAGATTGTCAAAGAAAATGGTGTCACAAAAGGGAACTTTTGCAGAGATCTGTTGGGGGAAGAAATAGGAAGGAAAGAGCAATCTCTTTGCAAAGAATGCACACCTGAAATGATCTGGCAAGTGCACGGTGGTATTAGAGAGAAGGTGGAGATTATCCCACAGGGAGGTATGACCTCGATTTTATGGTTATATAACATTTCAATAATGCATGTGCATGCTGCACTCTAAGAACAAACATTCCTTATCTCCAATGTAAACCTAGAGTGCTGGTTACTGCACACCATCTTTTGGGTATATCTTGGCTTAATGAACATGCCCCTAGGAAAGATGTAGGGTAAATGCTGAGATTGCCACAGGCGACTTTCTTCTCACTAGGAGTGGAATTCTATGAGCAAAAGTAGAGAAAAAAAGGAGGTCAGGAAAAAGTGGAGAATAAGGGAAGGTGACAACAAGCTCTGAGCTTCTCTTCTAGAGCTCTGTTCTGAGACATGATCTCATGCGTTTTCGTAATATTCTTATAAGATGAGTAAGAAGCAGTTATCACCACCTGAACTTGACAGAGAGGAGAGTGGTTCCATAGAGATTAGAATCCCTCTCTTAAGAGGTGGCAATTTGTTAATATAATCGGGAATATAACAAGGTGGTTTAGTAGCCTCCTGGGTCTACACAGTCTTAAAGAGAGGTGTTGTTATTTTTAAATAAAATGGACTATCATCATTGACACAAGACAGTGAGATATTTTACTAATTTAATTGATTTTCTTGCTCTCACTGAATCGAATTAATTTATTTGCACATGTTGACAGAGACCCAGAAAAAAAGCTGTAACCATCAGTCAGCACAGCCTCATTTCAGGATGAAAAGTGGTTTCAGCTCATGGCTCAGTGCCTGGGAAGGAAATGTGAATCCCCGCTCAGAGGAAGGTGTGCTTCATCCAGCAGCAGGAGCTGCTTTGGGGCTTATTATTCAAATTTGGCAGAATGGAGGATGGTCTGGCAAAGGGGCCAGGTTTATAGATGAAAGAGCCTATGGTCAAGTGATTGGAGATGGGAGAATTTGCTGTGTTTTGGGCAGAAAGTCTGGCTGCAGCCTCCCCTCGGCACCTTGCCCATTGGAACAATGATGGAGATCCGCCAAGAGGATCACAGCAGACTGGCTTGCTCATACAGCCTGGCTTACGGGTGTGCACTACAGAACATTCACCCTGATCTCAATAGTGGAGCATGTGGTGGTGGGGGTGCTGAGAAAGCCCACATCAATACCTTTATTAAGGCTCTTAGCACTTCTGCAGCTGAACAACATTTAACATGTACATACTCCTAACATTCAATACATTCAATTTGGAAATGTAACCTTTGGTGATGGAGGAGAATGTGAGTCTCTTTATCACCACCCCCAAAATCCAAGGGCTCTAGTGTCAGGGACTGGCAGATTTCCCAAAGCATTGGAATTTTTCCCCCTCAAAGAAAAGCACAGCTGAGATTTTAACTATATGTTAGCTGGGGAGTCTAAATTAAATGGAGAAGGTTTGAGTGTTTTGAAGAAAGGATAAGTTTTCCTTTATTTTCTTTTTCCTTTCATATTTTTTCACCAGCAGCACTGATGTGGCACTCAGCTATTTGGCAAGCCAAACTGCCCCCCTGAGGTGATAGTTACCAAGGTGCTTTGCCCATAATTGCCACCCGATAAAGGCTTGACTGGTTGATCATTTAATTACATGCTGTGTATTTCTTGACTTTCTTCCAGAATCAAGCAGATTTATAGCAGACCCAACACCACAGTAGGTCAACATTAGGGGCTAATCAATTCTAGTATTTGTGCAGTGCTGTTCTCTTAACAAAGCGTACTCGTTCTCATCTAATTCCTTATTCCACACATGACGACTCTGGAGACCATTAATCAGGGCTCAACAGACTTGATCTGTAAAGGTCCAGATTGTAAATACTTTAGGCTTGTGGGCCAAATACTCTCTGTTTCAACAACTCAGCTCTACCACTGTCATGTGAAAGCAGCCCTAGACAATAGGTAAATGAATGGCTGTGACTGTGTTCCAATAAAACTTTATTTATAAAAACAGGTATTGAGCTAGCTTTGACCATGAGCCATAGTGTGCCCTGGAGTCACTGATAACCTGACATTGCCCATTAAAGATCGAATGCCCAATGAAACTATATCTTGTTTCTTTAATTCCGCCTACACCATAACTCATTTTTAAAGGATTTTTTCTTTTTTTACTTCTAGTTTTAGATTCAACTGTAATAGTTCATAATAATCAATGTTTGGTAACAACGGTGACTCCAACCTCACTCTGTCTAGATCTAGATTGTTACCCTACCAAAGTCCTTGCCCGTTGTGCTGGTAGAAGTGAGTCATTCAAGAAATAAACTAAAGAAGGAGCAGCATGGCTCAGAGTCCCTAAGCCAAATGCTGTTGTTAAGGACTGTGAATAGTGCAGGGTCTGCCTGCAGAGCCCCACGTGTGCCTGTGCTGTGCCTGTTGGACACCTTAGCACCCCTCCTCACATATAACCCTGCCAGACAGTCACTTGCTCTCCTTTCATTTTAGAGATGAGCAAACCCAGGCCGAGAGCAGTTAAAAGAGCTCCTCGAGGTCACCCACAAGGTCATGTGCAGTTGCTCAAGGCCCCATCCTCCGAAGGGGACCCCACATGATTGTATTAATGCTCTGCTATTGCCATTTCAAATTCTTAATAAATTTTGAACAAAGGGGTCTGTATTTCCACTGGGTTCTGCAAATCGTATTCTGTTTCCTTGCTACACAGCTGATAAGAGTGGAGCTGGGATTCAAACCCAACTCTGTCAGGCCTTTCCTTAACTCTGTGTTCTTCTCACCATTGACCCCCAAGTGATTGCATTGAGGGAAGATTTTGTTATCACCGGCTCAGCTTCACTTGGGTGATATATTTGCCGGGGCCAGACAGAGATGTGCTCAAGGGACCAAATCCATTTGACCCATATCAAACATACAAAACTCAGCACAAAATATTGTTTAATCATGTGATCCAAAAGATCACAAGAAAGTAATTTACATTTGTAAGGTATGTTGACTTTCATTATCTAACATAATCCCTCTCATTTCCCTATAAGTGGATGTTACTATCTCAAGTTTCAAGTGAAGAAACTGAGGCCCAGAAAAAGTTAAATAACTTGCAAAAGGGAGACAGCCAATCCAGCTGCATATCCAATTTTTCTCTCTTGAAGTGAAAAGAATCCCTTTTTCCAGGTCTCACCTCAATATCCAGGTTTGTAAGTGATTCCTGGAATGGGATATAATTATTTCCAGGTATGCAGACTCACACTAAACGTCTGCCAATAAACAGTTAAAGAAAAGAGAAAAGTGTGCCATTTCCTTCTAAAAAAGAGCCCTGCCTCCCCCTTCATTTGTTAGGGTAGATGATGTGGCTTTCCGTCCATTGAGTGTCTCTAGGAAAGACTCAACTAGAAAAGCTCTGTGTGTACTCCAAAGGAGATGTTAAGTGGGGACCCCATAAAACTTAAGTAGAAGCAGGCATTTTTCCTGGAAAATACTCACTCTGATGTGGCCGTACATTATGTTTTACAGTGCTGCCTCAGCAACAGCAAAAAGAAAAGCCTGCTGCCCCCAGATTCATGGCATGGATTTGCAACCCATCAATCATGGGGAAAAATTATTTCAATAAAGCCCTCTCCACAAGTTGAAGCAAGGCTACGGTGCACTTGAGGAGTCTATAATCCAGAAACCACAGCTAGCCAACTTGTGAAAAGTAAATTCTAGGTGTTAAATATGACAGCTTCCTCCTCCCTGGGGTTCTGAGGCATTCAGATGAATTCACCAAGAATATTGGGACTGCAGGGACCACGATGTGGGAGCCCCAGCTCTACCACTTACTCGCAGTGCAATCTGAAACAAGTTACCGTTTATTGTGTTGCTTCAATTTCTTCAACTAAAACAATGCTGATCATAACAATCTCATACATTTGCTGTAGGGATAAAATAGACAATAGTAATATTTGAAAGCAAAGCATAAACATTCTTTAAAAAACCTGGAGAGTAAACTGTAATAACATAACATAAATGTTGGTATTGCATTTGAGTTTCCAAACCCTGAAGGTGATCACATTAAGACTGCAGGATTACCTGCAAAAAAAAAAAAATACAGTATAGAATTAAGGAACTCAGGGTCCAAGCAAGAAAGCTATGGCACAGCCCAGAAGAGGCAACTGAAGAGAGTTTAATGAAGGGCCTATTTACAAGGGAGTGAGTAGGTTGTAGAGACCAAAGGAAGGGTAATATAAATGCCTTTGGGTTTTCAGCTGCCTGGAAGGTTCTCTTCCAGAACCTGCAGAGAGCTACTGCTAGAGGATAGGACCTTAGGCAGAACACAGCCTGTGCCAGATTATGGGATGAGGAGGATGGAAATTAACACTTGTACTCTCCTCACTCTCCTCTCACCATCTCCTGTCAGTGCCTCCCATAGGCTGAAACCAACTGGAAGCCACAGGGCAAGGGAAGCCTTGGGTGCAGTTTCTAAGAGTCTGTCTGTGGGGCAGAAAACCGGGTGGAGAAGGGTGGAGAGTTGACTTGAAGAAGCACATAGAGAACATCTGGCACAAGGGACATTAAAAAGCAGTGACTCCCATGTTTGGCTAATTCTTCAATTTCAATGGGGATTAATATACATACTATATACATACATCCATGCAGCCTTGTACTTCGATATGCTAATTTTGAGAGCTGGCCTGAGGTTCCCCAGGTGATCTTGATGATCTTACAGATGTGGAAACACAAAAAGACGTTCATTGAGAGTGTTTCCATCCCCGGCATGCAATAGATGTGCAACCACACATGTGCTGCAAGAATCTGATCTCTTGAAGTGCTTGCCCGACTGCCTCCCACCCAGTTCAAAACAACCAATGCTGATTGCACAGCTGCAACGCGCAAAGCACTGTAATTAGTTTTTCTGCATGGAATTTGCTTTCCAACCCCTGCAAATATATATATATGTAAAAGATAGGGTCCACGGTACTCAAAGTTCTTTCATTTAGTAAGAATAAAGATTTTGTAAGAGTAAAATAATTTTATGAAACTTCAAAGCAGTAATAGGGGAAATGGTGTAAGAGATTACTTTGTAAGTGCAAAGTAGGACAAATTTCACTGCTGGAGAGGGATAAGAGGAAGACTTATTCACAGCAACTGGGTAGAATAGGTGACTCCTCACTATCCCCATTTCACAGATTGGCATGGTAAGGCCCAGCAGTGGCTGCATTGTGACTTTCATGGACCCTCCTCCATAAAAAAAATTTAAGATTATATTTTAGAATTACATTGGTAGAAAGACAAATATAATCCAGGCTGAATTATATTCACTTTTTTCTTTTGATTAAAAAAATGTAAAGCATTTGTGTGGGCTGCTAAAAGTATCATGGGCCTTAAGCACCACGCCTGCTGTGCCGAATGGAGAAGTCAGCCCTGAGCATTAGGTGACGTACCTCCACACACACACAGCCGGGAAGCAAAATTCTCATCAGCTGTCAGGCTCTAGAGCTATGGCTGCACCTTAGGAGAAGCTGGGTTGCTCCCTCAAATCCCCACTCTCAGCTGGCACCCAGACAAGTTAAGTCAGAATTTCTGAGTATGGGGACAAGGCACCAGACATCAGAGGTCCCAGGTGATCCCAATGGGTAGACAAGGTTGACAGCCATGCTTGAAAGTCCTCTGTCCCACGCTTCTTCCTTCTTAAGGGAGCACAGAAGAGACTCATTTTCATATCCACCAGATGATCTCTCCTGTGACTAAGGTGAGGGTGCATATTTTATATCAATGCATACACTTCCATCATCTGCCCTTGCTATTCTCTACAGCTTTTTCTTCCCTTCTCAGGCTCTCACAACAGGGCTCCTCCCTGTCCTGGAAGAGATTTCGTGTGTTCCTGCCTTAGCTCACATGGTTTCCTAATGTGTAATTCTCCTCTCCACCTACCTGGACTCAAATCCAGCCCTACCGCAGCAGGCCTTCTGTGCCTTCTCCAGGTGATGGATGCCTCTGAACCCGTGCACAGTCGGCCTGCTCTCAGAGCCAGGCTCAGAGAGGGCCAGCTGGCAGCAGTGCCCTGGGCTTTCCAGGAGGCTGGGCAGTGGCTCAGGGAGGCAGCACTGGCGTCTGCTTTAGGACTGGGCTTCCTTTAGGTAATATCCCAACCAACCAACACCCTCACGCCCCCACAATGAGGAGGACTCCACTGGGCTGATCTATCCCCTCGGCCACTTTCATATTCACTTCGGTATTGTATTGCTTTTGGGTCATTTCAGATTCATTTCACCTGAATTTCAGATGTTTGGGGAAGGGAGACAGCCAAGGTATAAAATAACATTGGCCCGTATTTAAAAAGAGAGAATATAGGCCAGACACCGTGGCTCACGCTTGTAATCCCAGCACTTTGGGAGGCCGAAGCGGGCAGATCACCTGAGGCCAGGAGTTCAAGACCAGCCTGGCCAACATGGTGAAACCCCGTCTGTACTAAAAACTACAAAAATTAGCCGAGTGTGGTGGTGGGCACCTGTAATTCCAGCTACTTGGGAGGCTAAGCCAGGAGAATTGCTTGAACCTGGGAGGTGGAGGTTGCAGTGAGCCAAGATGGCGCCACTGCTCTCCAGCCTGGGCAACAGAGGGAAACTCCATCTCAAATAAATAAATAAATAAAAAGAGAGCATACAAAATCAGAATGATGAGTGTTCCTCCAGAAAGACCAGCTTTTAATGAAAGAAAATCCACAGAGCACATTACTTGAACTTAGCAGTATTTGTTTATTCATTTACTGTGTCATAAATCTCCTTTTTATGTTAATAAGAACACAGAATAAAGAGTCTTGGCTATCAACTGATCAACTAAGCTCATGGCCCAATTTATATTACATTTTACTATGTTCTATACTCAACTATAAGGACAGAGTTATTTTCTTGTGTTTTCCTGCCATTAAAGTAAATAAATAAGGACTCTCTTGTCACGCAAATAAAATACAAAGAATATTCGCATGGCTTACAGAGCCATGCATGAGCTGTCTCCCTGCTACTCCTGTAACTCAACACCTTCCTGTCTTCCTCTTTGCTTGTGGCTCCAGCCTCCTGACCTCCTGGCTCTTCCATGCCAAGCACGCTCCTCCCTCAGGACCTTCGAACTACTGGTTCCTTTTGTCTAGCGTGTTCTTCCCTAGCCATATCCAAAGGGCTCGCTTCCTCCCTTCAGTTAGAGTCTCTGCTTACCTCTCACCTTCTCAGAGAGAATTTCTCTGACCACCCCACATAAAATGGCACCCTGTCTCCTCCACCACACATTCTCTTCATCTACCCAATTGGTTTTCTTCACAACCCTCTAAGTGTGTTGAAATGGGTTCCTCCCATCTCAGTTTTAACTGAGATAAGTACAATGCCTATCACCAGAGTGAATGTGAAACCCATCCCTGCTGTCCCACACCTTAGGGAGAATTTTAAAAGAACCTATGGGAAAATAGCTCCATGACTCAGCCATAGCAAGAACATACAAAGGTGTCAGAGAGGGTTTTGGGTAACGCCTTATCTTCCCTGTATGGGACAGGCGTGTAACTATACTGTGAATCTTCCTTACGTTCTGATCTCCAGCCTTAGTGACGGAGGAATCCTTGCACTTCCTGCAGTCTAGAAGTGGCTGTCTCCTGCCTGAGAAATCTCAGGTGGCCCTAGGCAGCAGGATACAGGCATCTGCTCTGGGATCACATTGCACTCCGGGGGTTATCCGGACAATGATGCATGACTATGTGCTGTGAAGGTGTGGATAAAGTTGCTGCAAAAAGCAGCAGCCTGGAAGCCCTGCCTGGGATCAATGAGTGCCTGAGAAGCAAGGGCTGAAGGAGGCAGCCGAGGATCTCAGACTCAGCTAGAACCATCCATCCACCAGGCCCAAGAGGTATGACTTGGTGGTCAGTTCTCACTAGGGCTGATGACCTGAAACTGAAGTTAGGAGCTAGGGGAGGCTCCATGAGGAAATAAGAGAGTGCTGTCCCAACACCCCCACCATTGCAACTGGCCAGTCCACTGTCAGCTCCAGCTGAGAGGGGTCAGAGAAGGTTTGGTTTGGATTCAAGTTCATTTTGATTCCTACAGAACAGTAGACAGTCTAACTACTAAACTGAGATTCTATTTGTGACCACAAGGGATCACAAGACTTTATTTATTAGCTCATTGTTCATTTGTTTGATTTTACCTGAGAATGAGGAGAAAAATCTTCAGCCTGCTGGAATGTTCATCAAGGGGCAGGAAAAGAACCACTCCTCTCTGAATATTTATGTTTTTCCTGAATATATTTAAAAGAAAGAGAGAGAGTATTAATAGAAGGTGGTAATTGTTGAAGATACTAGTCCCACACTTACCAGCACCAGTCACTTTATATACATGTGCTTATTTATTTATTGTCTGCCCCCTCGAGAAGTATCCAACCCCAAGAGAAAAGTGATTTGTCCTTTTCGTTCACTGCTCTTTCTCTCTATCTCTATTTCCTAGAACAGAAATGCAGAGCAAAGGGTACAAGTTCAGTAAACCTTTTCTGAATGAATGAATGAAATTATTTACTGCTGGACTTACCTTTGCCCATCTGAAATGCATACTTTTATAAATGTATGGAAGTCAAGGTTTGTGAAACACGTTAAATAAATAACTGCAGACAATAATGGCAGTTCAATCTAATAAATATTTATTGAACACTCATTAGGATCCAAGGGCTGTGAAGGGTAAAAAGATTTTAAGTCTCCTCCAGTAAGGGAGAAAAAACATGTACAATCAAAGTTAATAGAGCTTTCTATGGCCTTCCATCAAGCAGGAAGTCCTGTGCATTTAACTACGATGTTGGCTGTCTTAGGTTTTCTAGTGTGACCTTAGAAAAGACACGTACACACACACACAGACACACACACTTTGAGAGAGAGAGAGAGAGAGGAGACAGGAGGAAAGAAAGAGTGGGGGGAAATAGAAACACCAAAGCAACGTTGACCTTCCTTTGTAACCACATTCGTATATGAACTGCAGAAATGACAGTAAAATGTATGTGGAGGGGCTGCAATAAGTCAATGTGTTCTTGGCTTAAAGCATTGTATCCTGAGCTCTTTCTCAGCGATGCCAGGTGCAGTAGCTAAACAAAGCTTATCCAAGACCTTTCCTTTTTTTCCCTTAAGCATCAATTTATTCTGAGTCCCTGGAGTCATCACTAAAAAATAAATGGTATATATTTTTTCTGACTTGTGAAGTTATTTAAACACAGCATCGTCCAAAGTATACAATTTAAATCATGTGTAGTAACACGCTTGATGAATTGTCTTTCTAAAGGCTACAGAATCTGCAAATAGTTTGAACTTTTCTATATTGAGAAATAATTCTCTGATTGGGCCAAAATGTTAGGAGATTTATTTTAAAAGTTAAGTTCCATTCAGCCGGGCATGGTGGCTCACGCCTGTAATCCCAGCACTTTGGGAGGCCAAGGTGGGCAGATCATGAGTTCAGGAGATCGAGACCATTCTGGCTAACACAGTGAAACCCCATCTCTACTAAATAAATAAATAAATAAATTAGGTGGGGGTGGTAGTGGGCACCTGCAGTCCCAGTTACTGGGGAAGCTGAGGCAGGAAAATGGCGTGAACCTGGGAGGAGGAGGTTGCAGTGAACAGAGATGGCGCCACTGCACTCCAGCCTGGGCAACAGAGAGAGACTCTGTCTCAAAAAAAAAAAAAAAAAATGCTCTATTTACATAAGTAAATACAGTAAGTAAGTACAACCACCAGAACTGTGTAGAAGAATGTCTAATGATAGGGAAGCACGTCCACAGGATGTTGTTGAGAGAGCAAAAGTAGGTTCCAGGGCAGGGGCCATGTTGTGATCTAGAACAGTGTTTTCATGCTTTGTTGACAGTGCTCCCTACTTAGAAAGAAATTAGTGACACAGTGCACAGCCCCCAACCCTGCCCCCCGACACACACCTGAAATAGAGTTTCACGATACCCAGACTCTCTTTTCTTATTTCATTTTTTTTTATTTAATAGGAGTTTTATGAAACCTGTATTCTCTTCTATTATCTGTTCCTTTTTAATGCTGGTCACCACACCTAAATCAATTTCGTGACATGTTAGTATGGGTCACAACCTGTAAGTTGAAAGCCACTGACAGAGAAGATGAACAGCAGCCACCTACTGAGTGTGTGCTATGCTACACCAATTTACATGAATTAAAACAGCTAATTTGGCCACAATCCTATCATGCAGTGGTGACCTTTAGCCCCATTTTATAGACGAGGTAAGCATGGCAGAAAAAGTAAAATAACTAATACAAATTGTTGAAACTGGAAAGTCATGATGCCAAGACTCTTCGTCATTTTTGTCTCTCCAGGGATATTGCATATCATATTACATTTAATCAGTCCTTAACACATATGGAAGAGCAAAGTCTGGAGATCCGCACCAGAATGGAGCCAGGGGTTGTCTCTGAGTGTGGAATATGGGTGATTTCTTCCTTCTGCTTCTATGTATTTCCACTATTAAAATTAAAACATTACTTTGGTAATAAGATAGCTTATGGTATTTACCTGATCAGTTTCTTTTTTTTTACCTATTTCTGAACTTGGTAATAATGCTGTTGGAAGAATTCATCCTGTTCCACAAATTTTTATTCTTCTAAATGTTTCTAAATATCCTCTTGAGAGTCTCTAAGCAATTTAGCTATTGAGAGAGGTTTTATAAAGTGATTTCCATGATCATTGATGGCTCCTCCGACTTCCGAGGGTTGTTAATCAGTAGAAATCAAGTGTCAAGGTCAGAGTTCTTGTTCACTAATTAGAGAGGAAATTCGCGTATGTCCTTTATTTGTAGAATATTATGTATGTATGTCATTATGAAAATTATGAGGACCCTTTTGCTATCTCTCATGCTCTTTTTGTCCTTGCCAATTTCACTAGGAAGTTCTGATGTAGACAGGGGTTAGGAAAACAAATTTCATGTAAAAGCATCGTCCTTCGTGTCGCAGCTTATGTATGACTTCTCCAATGAGATCTTCCTCCCCGCAACAAGAAAATGCCAGACTCCACTATTGCACATCCCCATAGGGCTGTGCATTCCCTCTTTTAGGTAATCATCACAATTAAAATAGTTTGTTTAAAAGCCTTCTTCATGGCTGGTCTGTCCATAGTATGAGGGCAGAACTGTGTCCCTCTGGCTCCCAGCTCTGTCCCGAGCCCTTGCTCATTGTCTAGCGAGTCATAGTGACGCAGTAACTATTTATAGAATAAATGAAGATGTGCATAATGAATGTATCTACAGATGAATGAGTAAATAAGTGAAATATGAGAAACACATTTTTAAAATTCCCTTTTTTTCAGGTAAAGTACATTGAAGACTATGCTTTCAACTGAATCCTACAGGATTAATAGGGACTTTCAAATTTGCCCTCCAAGGACCACAGTGGTGGTCCAATTTACTCAAGCTTGAGTAAGGAAGACCATTTGTAACATAAAACATATACACATCTCAACCTGGTAGAAAATAACTTCCATCTTCTATGAACAAGAAGCCCTCATAAGAATAGGTATTCCCACAAACAGTAACTCCCCAGTCCCCAGGGGTTTTTAGCCACAACATGAACTCAAGAAGACTCAACAATCTTAACTTGCGTTTACCTGCTGAGCCTCATCCAAAATGCAATACATACTTTTTCTCAACAACTTTCTTCCTGAATTAGAGAACAGTAAGTTTAAAAACCTTCAATTTTTTTGTCTTTATTATTGATATTGGTACAAGTATAAGTAATTCCACACAAGGCATGGTTACTAATAAGTGGTGCTCATCCATTTTGGGAAAATGTGACATAGAAAGTAATTGTAGCATTGAGAAAGCATTAAATTAGATGTCAGCTATGGAATTTTGGGGAAAAAGGGTCAATTTAAAGAAGTCCTTCAAGGCTGGGCACAGTGGCTCAAGCCTGTAATCCCAGTACTTTGGGAGGCCAAGGCAGGCACATTGCTTGAGTGCACAAGTTAGAAACCAGCCTGGGCAATATATATGTCTCTACAAAAAATACAAAAATTAGCCAGGCATGGTGGCGGGCACCTGTGGACCCAGCTACTTGGGAGTCTGAGGTGGGAGGATCGCTTGAGCCAGGGAGGTGAAAATTGCAGTGAGCCCAGATCGCACCACTGCACACCTGTCTGGGCAACAGAGACCCTGTCTCAAAAAAAAAAAATCCTGTAAAATAATGTTTGAAACATTCACATGCTACTTCAAGATTGCACATCAGATTTGTATGTGTCTAAATAAGACAATTGGTGAGTTGTACATTTTAACAAAGAACAAAATGATGCTAACATCTTTACTTCTATTAAAATTATAAAAATCATTATCAAAATTGTAACTAATTTTTAGAAGATCAGATATGTTATTGACATATGGCTGTCCTACTCATCGTTAAGAACTTCCATATTAACTTTTTAAACTAATATATTGACTTTCATGGCTAAATAGATGTTTTGTTTCACAATGGCTAAACATAAAATGTCATCCAATTCCTAAAGTAAAATATTTTGAGCTTAAGGAGGAAGAGCATATGTTATGATAATTCTGTGTTTTATTTGTAATAATGAATACTTAAGTTTAAAGATTATGAAAATTTATCTAGAATTTGTGGTGCACTGGAAATTGACTCACACCAGCTTGTGGGAGCTGATTGGACACAAATCTTCTCAGTGACATCACGTTGGTAGACTTTAATCAACCATATTTGGAGTATTTATACCATGGATATTGACAAATTCTATAAATCAAGGCACCCTCTTTGGAAAGCTGGTTAATATACATCTGCTCACACAGCAATAAGTACAATAGGAAGATCTGTGACCATGGTGGAGTTTTGCAGTATCGTGTATGATTTCCCACGTTCTTGGCAACAAGCCTCATTTTACATGATCTTATCTCAAGAAATGTATTCATGGAAGTACTAGACACTACAGACTCAACAGCTAAGTGAGTTCCTTAGATTGAATATATTATAAGTCATACTTCCTGCCTTGAGTCATGCTTATCTCATAAGTGAAAAGACAAATTGTCATGTCTCTTTTAACGAATGTAATTCTTTTGGCAAAGCTTTTAAAAAGTAAGTCTTTAAAAAATTATCATTTATAGACATTTTGACATGAAAGTTAAAAGTGTAATGATATATTTTCAAACCTTTCAAATATCTTTGAACTCTGGGAAAGTGATCTGGTAATACAGCTGGAAATGTTCCTTGCTGATGTCACCTTGTGCCCATATCTGTACTGACCTATGGCCACAATTTCTCAGCTTACCGTACCAACACAAGCCCTGTGGGCTTCAGCTACTCAAATAGCATATCTACACCTGAACATTGAGCATACATTAATTTTAGCAATCATGTGCTCACCTTAACTGGTGAATTGTCATTTATTAGTGGGTCTTAATGTTCAATGGCTTATGGTTAGATTTGTAGAATTACTATACACTAAAATCTAGCTACTTCTAGAAAACTCAGATTACCTCTGGAAAAAAAGAGCTATCTTAGAAAATCAGAATACATGGTCATTCTATTTAGAGGAGAAGAGTTATTGTACTGGAATTCAAAGGACCTGCCTGCTCTCTTAATAATACAACAACCTATCCTCCAAAAGTGTTGACATAGGACAGGTGGCTACTCTTATAGTCTGAGATCCTTCTCATTGCCCTAACCACCTTCTCTGCAGGAGGTACAGGAAACATTCTAACATTTTGCTGTAACTCTTCTGTGAAAATATGTGTACTTTTGAAGGTGGATAGTTTTTAGGAAACTGTTCTATTTCTTCATTTACAATTGATCTTCTTATAATTTCTCTCTTAGGGTACATTTTAATCATTTATATTTTATTAAGAAATCACTGTAGAGATTCTCAAATTTACTTGTGGAAAATTACAAATGGCTTCTTTAGGTATTTTTCTTCAGGTGCCTATATCTTCCCTTTGTTATGATTTCTTTAGCTTTTTTTTTAAATTCCTTTACTAATTTCTTGAATTAGATACTTAAGTAATATATTTTATATAAATTTTGCTTGTTTATTAGCAAAACATTTACAATCATGAATTTTCCTCTGACAACAGCTTTGTCTTATTCAATCAAATGCAAAGTTTTCATTATTGTTCTTTTCTATATATTGTGAAAATTAGTTTTAATTTCCTTTTAGAGTTGCATAGGTGGTTATATTAAAATTTTTTAGTGATAAATTTTTTATATTGTTTTTTGTTCTATTGGAGACATCAAGACTTTTTTTTTTTTTTTTTTGACAGAGTTTCACTCTTTTTGCCCATGCTGGAGTGCAATGGTGCAATCTCAGCTCACTGCAACCTCTGCCTTCCAGGTTCAAGCAATTCTCCTGCCTCAGCCTCCCAAGCAGCTGGGACTATAGGCACGCACCACCATGCCCGGCTCATTTTGTATTTTTACTAGAGACAGGGTTTCTCCATGTTGGCCAGGCTGGTCTCGAACTCCTGACCTCGGGTTATCTGCCTGACTTGGCCTTCCAAAGTGCTGGGATTACAGGCCTGAGCCACTGCGCCCAGCTGAAACATCTTAAACCTTATTTTATCTTGTCAGTTGTCCATCAAGATGGTATAGTGGCTACCTATTGACAACAGCATTTGCCATTCAGCAAGTAACTATCAAACACCTACTGTGTTCTTTATGTTGTGATAAGTGCTAGAAATAAAATAGTAAGAAAATAGAGACATGATCCTTGATCCCACAGCGTTTATACAAGTGTGGGAGACAAAAAACAAAGTATGTAAAACACAATTATAACTGTGGTAAGTCCCTGATGCTGTGATTACATAATAGGGAATATGACTCACTTAAGGTGTTAAAAAATATGTTCAGTAAGGAACTGGTATTGAGTTGAGGTCTGAAGAATGGTAGAGGTAGTACAGGATGGGAGTGTTCCAGCAGTGGTAACACACAGAGCCCCTGGAGTAGGAAGAAGAGGTGGCTGGGTGAGATAAGATGACATGGCTGCAAAGAACGAGGGGCCAGATGCTAGGAGATCAGGCTGGGGAGGGAAGTAGGAGAACTACTTGGGACAAAGAGTGGGTGTTGGTAGACTAGTTGGAGGCTATTGCAGTGGGACAGTAGCTTGAGTGATGGTGTCCAAAGAGAAAGAAGTAGATAGATTTAAACCTTATTTAGGAAACAAATCAGAAACAGGTTATGTGTTGCACTATTAATGAATGGGGTAAGGGTGATGGAACAATCCCAAAGAAACCTGGTTCCTCAGTCTGATTTTCAGTGTGGCTTCCCTACCCCACTGATCTTACCTACCATAACTCCCCGTATACTCCCATTGGGAAGCCCCATCCTTTTCACATGTCCCAATAACCTCCAATCCAATGTCTGTGTCCACACTTATTCCCTTGTCTAGAAAGTGTTACCCCTGGGCACCCATCCACATCCAAGAGAGGTGCGAAAACATTTTTTATATAAATGGATGTGTTGTTTTTTCTCACAACTTCTTTTCATCTTGTGATCCTTCTCCTATTTTGTCAGTGTATTTAATGCTTCGTGGAAAAGATATTCTAGCAGAAAACAGGCTACTGCATTTCCAAAGCTTAGGCCTTGAAAAGACTCATAGAAGAGAAAAGTGACCTCTAAACAGGAGTGTACAAGTCAAACCACTGGAATGTGGGAAGAAAGTATTAGCTTTGCTAATATAAAGGGATTGACATTGATACCTGCATGAGGTCACATCTTGCTTAGTGAAGTAACCTGTGAGAAGACTGGGATTTATATGCCAGTGAGTCTGGCCCATCCTCATTTTTTCTTTCACTATATGTATGTACTCTAGTTTCTTGGTACTAGTTTAATGGTCTTGGGATTATGTTTCTTAAACTTAACTGAACCAGCTTTCCAAAAAATGGACAGTCGGCTTTAAAAGATTTTCAAAAAGAAATTTTGGTTCAAAATTAGTACTATGATATATTCACAAGAAAGAAATAAGGAAATAGCAGAGCCGACACATCTACTCCCAGGATGAGTTGTCAGCTACCTCATGGGTTTAAAAAAGATAATTTCATCAGAACTGAAAAAAAAGTCAGCCAAACTATTTTGAAGTTATTAAAACTGTTGGAAATATAGATTTAAATCTAACACCATGAGCAGTATATATATTATATATATATATGTATAATATATAATCTCATGAGATAGCAATTAGTAATAACGATGTAGTATATAGGAATGTATGTATTTTCTCAGAGCATGCCTTTTTATTGGTAATTGTTCATGATCAAAAACAATTCACAAGGCCGAGCATGTTGGCTCATGCCTGTAACCCCAGCACTTTGGGAGACCGAAGTAGGCAGATCACTTGAGCCCAGGAGTTTGAGATCAGCCTGAGCAACATAACAAGACCCCATCTCTTAATTTTTCTTTTAAACAAATTACTGGCATAAAGAATATTTGATGAATCATGGCATAACTCCCTACTCACTGAGCCTATAAGATATTCTTCATATCGTAGGGGTGAGAGGAGAATTTTAAAAGAAGTTAGGGCTTAGATTCTGGTGTAGTTCTGTGAAAGAAGTCCCATATCCTGGCCTACCTGGGCGAGTCTCTTTGATAGTGAGATGACTCACTCGCTGAGCACTGAGAGGCTTGTGTTTGTTAGTGCAAGCCTAGAAGAACTTCACAGATTGCTTGGATTTGCAAAGGGGTGTCAGAATCACAGAACTAGCTCCAAGCACTTAGGAGGGGGCACAGATATAGCAAGAAGAGTTGCTGAACCTGAGAGGTTTTAGCTGAAAAGAGAGATGCTGCAACAGCAACCTGCAGTGAGCAGAATATGGAACTAGACAATCAACATCACATTCGCGGCTCCTAAACACCCATATCTTGTATTTATTTCCAGTTGTTTGTTGTTTCTTCTTGCCTGGACTGGAATCTTCTTGAGAGTAAAGTGATTTCTTAGAAACGTTTTTGTACCTTCAAAGTACCTAGAGCGTTGATTGAGACACGTAGGTGCTCGTTTAGGGCTTACTGATTATTAGTACCTTGACCTTTAGAAGGAATCGATGTATTATCCATCTATTTCAAATGCTATCAATGATGTTAGTTCTGAGAAGAAACTAACCAGCAACAGCCACTGATTTGGCCCCAGAATCCATCATATTTATTGATTACTTGCTTTTAACAAGAATCCACAAATGGACAAACCCTCAGAAACAGTTCCTAATCCAGAAGAGCCTTTGTTTTATTTTAACAGTGCAACAATTGGCATATAGAGCCCTAGTAACTTGTTTAAGGTCATCCAAGGGAAGGAGTGACAGAAAACTAGATTTTTCATCTTTACTCTTTCTAGGCAGAAATTGAGGTAGTGGTAGAATGTTTGGATTCAAAAGGGAACCACCAACTACTAAAAATAATTAATAAGCAGGATTTGTATGCTTATTAATTTGTATACTGCTTGTTAATTATTTTTAGTTTATTATTGGTGGTTCTCTTTTTTAAAGCAAAAGAAGTAATATTTTCAGAGTTCATTACCTTCTCAAGAGAGAGACAAACTGATGCCTATACCTTGATACTTTATATAAGATATCTGCTTCAAAAACAGCTTTTGTCTAATTTGTCTCTATTACACCAATTGCTTGTGATTTTACATAATCCCATGAAAGTATCACTGGCAAATGATGACCTGATGCAACACAGTTTGAGAATATGGCTTTCCTTTCATTAAAAAAAATTACACACACCAGCTTTGGAGAAGATGGCAGTTTGAATTAAAACAGTTCAGATCCCATCTTAAAGTTTCCATTAAACTATACATAAAATACCAAGTAGGAAAAGCCCTTCAAAAGCACCAGAAAAAGTTGAGATAAGAAAATTGTATGTACTAGAATGTAGTCAGATTGCACATTTTGTTCTTTATATTGAACCAGTCTTAACCAAGTCCTGATAGAGAAGTAGAATTGTGTGCCCGCTTGCTGGGACATGGCAAATTATCAATTCTCAATCAAGTCAGGTTCTTTCTTACAGCTATACAGCTTCCATTTCAATATGTTAGCAGAGCAAGGGACACATAATCGTTTGTGCTGTGAAAAAGCACCCACAAGGAAAACTCCTTTTTTGAGGAAAGGTAGGAGAAAGACTACCGTATAACAAGACAGCTCCAAGAATTTCAGGGCTGCCTAGTTATAAAAGTAGGTGAACAGATGATTCTAGCTCTTGAATCTACAAAAGAAGGCATAGCTTTCATCCAAAATTGTACCAATCTTCACTGTGATTTTCCTGCTGCAGCTTGCAAGAGGCTCTGTTGGGTATTTATTTGTACTTGAGATGTTTGGAGTTTCCTTGAGTAACTTCATTGAGGGGACAGGCATTTGCACTTTTGTGGGTTTTACCTCCCACCCTCTGTCTAACTTGTGTCTTACTAAGATATCTCAAGTACTGGCTAATTGCTGTTCATCAGGTACAATCAGTGTGATACCATCATAGTAGTGGACCAGGGTGATGTTTGTGGAATGTCAAGATGATTAAGTTCTCTGAGGACTATATTATGGCAGAGATCAGGAGAATCAAAATCCATCTGAGGCAAGGTTATTAAAATCTACGGTTGTTCCTGCCAGGTGAAAGCAATCTTCTTCTGGCAGGCCTTGAAAATTGGTATTGGAGGCAACATATTTTGTAGAAAAATAGCTGAAAACCAGTATCCCATCCTTGCTTGAAAGTCTGTTTCCTAGGACTGCTACTAATAATGTATTACTTAGGCTGTAGTCATGCAGGTAGAAATCATAATACGTATTTTAACGGACAGAATTTAATATAGGGAAGTGATTACACAAGAATTGGAGTATTGAAAGAACAAAGAGGAAACAGGGAACCCAGAAACATCCATTGACACAAACATACACACACACACACAAAAGAATCAGTTACCACCCATGGAAGTGAGGAGAAAAAGGAAAGTATTTGGGGTTATCAGAATATAGAACTTTGGAGGTAGGGCCCTGTTGAGGTGGAACTCAGACATCTGAGAAGGGGACAGACTTCCTTTATTGCAGCTGCATTTATGCTGAAGGCCTATGATGATAAAATTCTGGGAGTACTGAATGAATTTGGAGTCTAGAACTAATTTTTGCTGCTGGGAAGTAAGTTGTGCCACTACTGAGGAGATACTAGCAAGAACAATACACAGAAAAGAAAAATAAATTCTCTTCCTCCTCTTGCCTTCTAAGATCCTCCTAGTCCTCCCTGTTGGCAGAACCTAACATAAAGTCATCTGGCAAAGAAGCATGTTCCAAGACCCAGAATTGCAAATATAGTATAAAAGAGTGGATTGGGGTGAAAGACAATAGATAAATGGCTGCCACCACAGATTTTCTTTTTGAGAATCTTGAAGAATTTAGTTTATTCATCTAAGGAGGAAAAGAGAAGTTTATAAATAAGCTTTCTATCACAAGTGAGCATGGCTACTATTTGGAGTTTTCTGAATCAGGATCTAAGTGAGCATTGTGAATTTAAGTGGTGCACATTGAATTAGTGCAATTATATTAAATGATTTGAGATTTGAGATTACAGGCCTGCTATGAACATTTGTGCTTAGACAGGAAAATTTACATTTAACAAACGACAAGGAGGAGCCAAATGTGAAAAGAGACCAGAGAAAAATAGCATCAGTTGAAGATTAACAAATAGAAATTCACATTAAATTCAAGTCCATAGTTCCAGCATATTAATTTCATTCAAGTTTCTCCAGTTTCCAAATTCATTTTAGAATTATGAGGCTGTCCAGTCACGTTTATACTTTTTTAATGCTATTCCTGTTTCCCAGACTCTAAAAGGTAGTAATTTGGCCTGTTATGCTTAGATAAACACCTGGAAACTCTCCTGGGAAAGATCCCAACTCCAGACATAGTTAAAAAAAATCCTCACATGTGTTTCTTATTATAAGAAACTATTACTCTGCAGACAAGAGAAAATTCCCATGTCTTCAATGAGTTGCCAATTATGTCACATTATGTGATGAAGCACTTATGACTAATATATAAGTAATTGTATCCAAAACGTAGAATAATAAAAGGGAAGATGAAGAAGAAAAACGATTTTATTTAAACTGCTAGAAGACTATTTTTTTTAATTCAGGTCTTAGATTGTGACAAAATGATATATAATTCACAAAAATCTACCAAATAGATTGTATTGTTGTATTTTATGATTTTGGCAAGACTACTCATTAGAAATCTGATCACACTGCTTCAGGTTTAAGGCAGCAATCTTTGGATAGCTATATATCCATTTAGCTACTATTGTTTTCTAAAATTGAAATTGAAATATAACTTCTTATTCTTACTCTTTTTATTATTAGAGTAAAATAGTAGAAAACGATTTATAAAGCTGCTAATATCTAGGGAAAGGTATAATGTGCAAATCAGAAATAAAAAAATTTATCAAAATACAGTGTGATCAAGAAGGGACTCAAGAGGAACTGATCAATTCCATTTAGAGTTACACAAGTGTGAACCATGAGTAGGTAGCAGCTTCTTATAAGGTGTCTACTAAAACTCCTTTCTTAGGGAAACCATGACTGACTATTATGATAGCCTCTGACCAGGTAGATAGAGAAAATATATATCTGATACGTAGTACCAAACTCCACAAAAATAGGGATGCACTGATAGTGCTCAATTTTAGCTAATGTTTTATATAGGAAATATGCTATGTAAAGGTGGAGATAACCAGTTACTAGGCAGGAATTTTGATAGCATGAGAAGTGGGAGTAGTGCCTGTGGTCACTTTGGCTACCATAATAAACACAACAAAAGAAAAACTTGAGGAAATAATCCAGTCCACCTTCTATGATTCCTGTGGTCGTAACTCTTTTGTGTTTGTGTGTGTGGTTTTTTGTTTGTTTGTTTGTTTGTTTTTAAGATGGAGTCTGGCTCTGTCACCCAGGCTGGAGTGCAGTGGTGCGATCTCGGCTCACTACAACCTCAGGCCTCCTGGGTTTAAGCGATTCTCCTGCCTCAGCTTCCCGAGTAGCTGGGATTACAGGTGCCTGCCACCATGCCGGGCTAATTTTTTATATTTTTAGTAGAGACAGGATTTCACCATGTTGGCCAGGCTGGTCTCAATCTCCTGACCTCAACTGATCTGCCCGCCTTGGCCTCCCAGCGTGCTGGGATTACAGGTGTAAGCCACCATGCCCGGCCTTGTAACTCTTTATTCTACCATTTACTGGATCCCCAATTTTATAAACTTTCATCCAACTGAACTCCCCCTATGATTTCTCTCATCCATGCCTAAAAGACCAAAATAAGAATACATATGTACAATCTGTGGGGGAGGAAAACCTTATTAACCCTAAGATGTAATATTCACTATTTTTAAATGAACAACAAAAACAACAAACCATATTTGTTTGACATTCTGATGTCAAACAGACATTGGAAAGGATTCACTAATAGAGAAAAGAAGCATTTAATATCTCAGGGAAATATTTTCTGGTTTTGAAGATGATACACTAAATGAAAATGCTTGAAAGTCTCTCATTTCATTTATAAACTTTAATGATGAAACTACAGTATAGAATCATGGAAAAGGGAAACTATATAGACTGAGTATAGTGCTCACACTAGAGGTAGAAAATGTATCACTTAAAGAATGCAATAGACAGCAATGGCAAATTGGATGAAGTGAACAGTGTTCTTGGTTTTACGGAAGAGAATAGATTAGCCTGAAGAATTTGTTGGCTCACATAACTGGATATTTCTGGAGAACAGATTTAGCTTCAGGCATGGCTTGATTCTGAGCTCAAATAATATGGTCAGCTTTATCTAGTCTACAGCTTTACTTGTCTGCCTTTTGTTTACTTGGCCTCAATTTTTCTTACCGTATGCAGGCTTTCAAAGTAGTACCTGACAAGATATTCATCAGAAGCTCTAGGCCTATTTGCTTTTAGCTCATACTCCTAAAGGAAAAGAAAAACCTCAAGTTCCCCCAAAACTTTCTCAAGGAAAACTTTGATTGGCCTGGGAAAAAGTCACACACCCATATCTGAAAATATCACTGTATCCCCTGAGATGTAGCACTATGATTGTCAAATGCCTGTTCCTGTGTCTGAGATTGGAGTTTGATACCATGATTAATAGCCACACCAGCACTACATGGAATCGAGACATTCCTAAAAGAATCAGATTAAGTGCAGTATGTTCTTAAACTTGCTATAAACAATATTAGCTGCAATCTGCTAGTTTGTGAAATCCAAAAACATATATAAATCAATGAATTGGGACACATCGCCATTGAATTTTCCAAAGACTCAAGAGAAAAAGAAATGAAAATAATACGAAAAAGACATAAGAGATATGTACTTTTGGGGTGAAAAATTCAGTATTGTTAAGACAGGAATCCAGATAGAGTAGGACGCAGAAAAGAGGTGTGTGCAAACACACAGCAGGGGTCTACAGTACAAAATGCCTCTGGCTAGCCATCCACAGTGCAGCCCTTCTGGGCTTCTCACAGATATCTGGGAAAAATGAACACAAACAATAAAGCATATGGAGTTGAATTGAGTAAGTTCTTTATTTTTCCTCTTATGCTACAATTTCCTTTTGTTTCTTGAAACTAAAGAAGTACTTTTTTAAAAAGGAAGACTCAATTTACCTTCTCCAGAACCAAGAGTTGTACCAAAATACGTGAAATAAAACACAACTTTTATTTTATATCATTCACTGTTGCTCGTCTTTGAGGCAATCAGACCTCTGTTCAACAGGATATGCCTTCTCACAGTTACCATTTTTCAGCATCTCAGAACAATTAGGCAGCAAGGAAAATAGGCTCTGCATACGTTGGAAGGACTATTTCTTTCAAATAAAGTGTTGTAGGAGAGGGTTGACAATGGGAACCTGCCAGCAGATGTTTATCATGGCTTTTTATTATTTCCTTGGTTCAAAATTACAAAGACTCCGGGCCATCTCCATTGGCAATACACCAATAGAGGGTGTCCTGGAAAGCAAGAATAAGAATGGTTGTGAGAACTGAAATGGTAATGCATACGAGTGGACAGGGAGGAACAAATGGAAATTTACTAACATGCTCTGTTAATAGAATTTATTTCTAAGTCTGGAAACAAAATTATCTTAATATCTATAAAAAATAAAGAGGATAAAATCAACCAGGGACCAGTGAAAATATATAGCAGAATAAGGAAAAGGAATTCACATTTAGAAGATGTAGAAGAATTAGCTGGGCATATTGGCACGGACCTGTGGTCCCAGTTGCTCAGGAGGTTGAGGTGAGAGGATCGCTTGAACCTAGGAGGCTGAGGCTGCAGTGAGCCATGTTCATGCCACTGCACTCTAGCCTGGGTGACAGAGTGAGACTCTGTCTAAAAAAAGAAGATGCAGAAGAAGAATGCTATTCTGAAAATATCCAAGAGAAGAATTCCAGAAACTTTTGGCATCACGAAAAGAATTTAAGCAGATATAGATTCTCTGCATAGAATCATAATAGACTGAAATGAAAAGATAAGATGAGACTAAAAAGAACACAAATAAGTGGATGGAGTAAAGATGATTGCAAACCACAACTATCTCTACAACATTAAGTTATAAGAGACTGAGATAATGTAAGGAGTCATTATGTGAATAAAATGGGAAAATGTAACTCTCAGATTTCAGAGGACACAGTTCAGATGGGAAACCATGAGATAGAAAGTTCTAAATGTGAATGATAGCAAAGCAGTGCCAGCAAATGGAAGATCATTTCTAAAGGAGATACTAGAGTATGTGGAAGATAAGGAATACACAAACATATAACAGAGAATATTTTCTGAACTAAAGAAAACAAATAAGAATTCAACTCAAGAAGGAAAATAATACTCAGGCACTAATACTCAGAGAAAGCAGAAAATAAAAAATTAAACAGATGAAAAAGACATTATTAATATAGGAATTCTTTAAAAAGAGGATACATTGATAGCCGCTCCTGTGAAAAGGTAATAAAACAGCTAAGCCATTGGCCTAAAACAACAATGAACAATTAGCAATTTTAGGAATAAAAACAAGGATGTAATTGAAGATACACTAGATAGTTTGAGAAGAAAAATAAGAACGTTGTTCACATTCCAGACAATTTAATAGAAAGGAAACCCCTCTTGAGTTCAGGTGAGACAGAAATTTTAAAGTACAAAGATATTTTGAAAGTACAAAATAAAATTCCAAAAAGTATCCAGGCAGAAAAAAAAAGACAAATTGTTACTTACACAGTCATATAAATCAGGCTGTCCTCCATTTCTCTATTTTAATGACAATTTTAGAAATAAAGTGGAATGATTATCATTGTCCTGGAGGAGAAAGAAAAGATTGAACATTTCAGTATATCCATCCAAGATCTTTCATATGTTCATTTCTGATGAGAGTAGAGAGATATCTCCAACTACAGAAAATATATCATGCATTTCGCTTGAAAATTTTATTTCAAAAGATACTGTTTCTAAAGAGATAGAGCAAAATTAACAATCAGACTCAGAGTATAAAAAGTCTGATATTGGGCTTTAAAATTGATTAACTAGAGCTAAACCTGATAAAAATCTCTGTCTGGCTACCTAGCTAGCTCACTGTCTTTCCCTCAATTTCTTTCTCTCTCCCCTTAATCTTACCAGGCTGCCCATAAGGTCCTGATGAGCAGCCAGGTTTAGGTACCACCACTCTAGAATCTACACTGAGGACAGATCTACACAGGGATATAGCTGACCTTGCAAAATATGACCTAGCTATTGGATTGAAGAAAGATGACTAAGATGAGAGCCACCCACTGGTTTGGGAGGAGAAAGGAAGTAATCCAAAGAAATACAGCAGGCTTGGGACATTGTTGAAGGCTCAGGGGTTCTTGAGGGTAAGGTTTAATTGAGTAGGAGGAAAACTGAAAGTAGACATTCAAGGGATGGTGCCTGGGAAATGGGAAATTAGAGCCAGGGCTGACATATGCACAAGCACATAGAAATTGAATTGGGGGAGCAGCTGCTATGAGGGCTGGGACTGGCATAGAATGTAAAGAAGGTTAACATTCTGGGATTTTTTTTTCAGAGTCCAAGTCAAGGAATAGAAGTAGTCAGTTCGTGGTGGAGTTGCATTGATGATTCCAGAGCGGTTCCTGCTCCTCCTCTTTAAGCCAGTGTGTTTTACCAAAGATTTTCGGGACAAAGAAAAAGCCAGGCAGTAGGTGCCAAATACAGTGACTCATCAGATGACCCTGCTGTTTATCTCCAACATTTTCATGAACAGCTTTCAAGGAATGAAGGAAGGAAATGTTCTGTGTCCATAAAGTAGGATTGGAAACAGTTGACTTGTATGAACATGGCCAACACAAAATAGTCCAGGGGGATGTGGAATATTTGAGGAGAACAACATTAGACTGAGAAATTATGACAGTCAGGAAAAGAAAAATTGTACCAAATATCAAAGAACGTGAGTTTTTTTCAACAGAAAACTAAAGCGATAGATGGAACCTGTGAGTTCACTTCTAAAGGAGCATTAAAAAAAAAATGAAACCTAGGAAAATTTCTGGGAAGAACATCATTGTAAGGAGTGGAAATATAGTTTTCCTGAAGCATTAGATGCAACCAATGATGCTATAATGCATGCTTGTTTAAGGGTTCTGGTAAAACAGTATGGTTGTTAAAAGATAAGCTCCAGAATTTGAGACAGCATAGATGACAAGTTACAGAGAAACATCTTGAATAAAACAGCGGAAGTTGTTCATGGGTAGGATTTATGGTAGATCCTTGGAGACAGGGAGGACCCTTCTGAATTCAAGAAAGCCAACATTAATTACCAAGAAAAAGAGGAGTTACAGATTAGAAAATTTGACTCTGGTGATAGGAAAAGTCACAGAAACTTGATATGAAATAAGATAATAAACCAGATGGAGAAATACGACTGATGGAGCTATAAGAAGTCTCAACTGTGTAATTAAAATAAACTCATTTTGCTAATGAGTTAGATATTTTTAAGTCTACACATTTGAAAAGGGAACGGAGAAGAAAAGAAAAACTTCATTGTATTTCAGGAGCAATCTGTCTCACCTGCTACACAAGGAATATTGCTATGTGAAAACAAAGGTTTACTCAGCAATCATGCAGTGACGGCGTTCCAAATTTTCAGTTATTTATTTCCTTGCGTTGGAGTAAATAAGAGTAAATAACAAATATAGTACTGATCAATCATGCTTATCCAGCTGGAGCTGGTGAGACAGCAGATTGCAGAAATATCATTCATTTATCCAACAAACAATGGTAGAAAATTTATGTGCCAAATCCTGTGTTGGACACTAGAAATTCAAAGATCAGTAAGACATTGCACCTCGATGAGTTTACCATGTGGGAGAGATACATAATGCCATAATTACTATCTAATGTGATAATAGAGCCCTCCTCACCAGTCTATGGAGACAAAGATAGACACTTAATGCAGCCCGAAAGAGAGAAGTGACCAGTCAAGCCTTCCTTGGTTAGAGAGATCCCAGCCATGTTTAGAGTGACAGCAAAGATTTCAGTGATTTGGGAAAGAAGAGAGATGCTTCACATTTTAAGCACAAGATAGTTTTCAGGGTGCAGAGAAGAGTAATTTTTCTAAGGACCCAGAGGATCCAGTAGACCTCTGTGGATCAGGACACCTGGGAGAGTCCCAGACATCAGGGCGACTGGAAGGCTCTTCCCCAACCAGGGCATATTCCAAGGCTCCAAGGCTCCAGCTCTCAGAAAGCTTTGGGGAATGTTCTAACAGAGGTACATGATGCAACGGAAGCTTGCTGAGATGATGATGAGACCAATTAGGTACCCTAGATGCAAAATATAAGGAGACTCCCACAGTCAAGGTTGTGCAAGTGAAGTATCAGTATTTGTACAATTCATGAAGAGTGAGTGCCTCCTTACATTTTTTGCCTTGCAGAAGCTCATTTCTCTCCCTTCCTGCTCAGGCCTCTGCAGGATAAACCCCAAAGAAATAGATGAGCAGGAGGCTCCTAACAAGTCAATCTGCTGCTGGTCTATCCTCTTCTATTTTTCCTCCATGCTGGTTTAATCTGGTTTTGGACAGAAGGAAAGCAACTGATTCTCTCATATAGGTGGGAAGTGGTTGAGGAATGGAGTGAACACAAATAATTTTGCAGGAGGGCAGGAAGTTGAATGAGTTCCTGTCGGAAGACCTCAATCTTCTTTATGAAGTGAAAGGTGAAATCATTGCTGTGGGTATCTTAGTTTGCTAGGACTGCCGTAACAAAATACCACAGACTGGGTGTCCTAAATAACAGAAATTTATTTTCTCACCTTTCTGGAGGGTAGAAATCTAAGTTAAAGCTGCCAGCAGTGTTGGTTTCTCTGGAGGTCTCTCTCCTCAGCCTGCAGATGGCTGCCTGCTCTCTGTCTTCACGTGGCCTTTCCTCTGTGGGCTCACATCCTTGCTGTATCTTCTCTTATAAGGACAACCATTCTGTTGGATTAGGGTCCCACTCTTATGACCTCTTTAAATGTAATTACCTTCTTAAAGACTGTATCTCCAAACAGAGGCACATCAGGGGTGAAGACTTCAACATGTGGTTTTGGGATAGACACAATTTAGTCCATCACAGTGGGTAAGGTAGATGAGGTGGATTAGGAGTTTGGAGAGGGATAAGAAGTTACAAGAGGTGTAGAGGGGAAATTGACTAAGAATAAGCAAAAATTCACCAAGGTAAGCAAGCCACGTTGATAGCTCTAAGGTTGGGGCCCTTGGGTACATGATAATGGCTAGTCTGTGTGGCTGAGCAACATTCATTAGAAGGAAGTTCCCTTAGCAGCCCAGATGTTTGAATGGAGACAGTGGGCCGGGAGACTGACTGCACCAGAAAGGGAAACTATCAGGTATGCAAGGACATGTTTAGTACTAAGAGAAAACAGATCGTTGATGAACTACAGAGTCAAGGCTGGAAAGGCTGGAAAGGCTGGCACACAAATGAATGGACTGAAGAGTTGAAAGAAGGAAGCCTGTATAGAGTGAATGGTGAGTCATGGGGAATGGGAACTTGAGAGAGCTGAAGGGACGCAGAGTAGTGTAGAGCATGCGATATTGGAGTATGAGATTTCAGAGATAAAATAAGCTTAGGGTTTGATTTGTGAGTAAATGTCTGAAGTAGTTAAATATGTGGTTAAATATAGTGTTAAATATAGAAACATCTGGGAAATGCATTTTTAAAAGTTAGCGTCTATCTAATGGAATCAACCCAAATGACCATCAGTGATAGACTGAGTAAAGAAAATGTGGTACATATACACCATGGAATACTATGTGGCCATAAAAAGGAATGAAATCATGTCCTTTGCAGGGACATGGATGGAGCTGGAGTTCAGTATCCCCAGCAAACTAACACAGGAACAGAAAACCAAACAACACAGGCTCTCACTTACAAGTGGGAGCTGAACACTGACAACACATGGACACAGAGAGGAGAACAACACTCACTGGGGCCTGCCATGAGGTAGGGTTGCAGGAGGGAGAGCATCAGGAAAAATAGCTAATGCATGCTGGGCTTAATACCTAGGTGATGGGTAGATAGATGCAGCAAACCACCATGGTACACATTTACCTATGTAACAAACATGCACAGCCTGCACATGTACCCCAGAACTTAAAATAAAAATTAAAATAAAAAGTGTCTATCTAAATAACAATTAGAATAATACTTTGGGACAACTTCAAGAAAAAAAGGCTAATAACTAAAATGGTGATCTGTAATACAGGTAAATTTCTTAAAGTTCTGTTTGTGACCCTCCCCAAGGTGAGTCTTAAGAAAAAGAAGAGGAGGCTAGGCACGGTGATTCACATCTGTAATCTCAGCACTTTGAGAGGCCGAGGCAGGCGGATCACTTAAGTTCAGAAGTTTGAGACCAGCCTGGGCAACGTGGTGAAATCCTGTATCTAACAAAAATATAAAAAAATTAGCCTGGCATGGCAGTGCATGCCTGTGGTTCCAGCTGTTTGGGAGGCTGAGGTAGGAGGATCGTTTGAGCCCAGGAGACAGAGGTTGCAGTGAGTGAGTCGATTCCACCACTGCACTCCAAACTGGGTGACAGAGTGAGACCCTGTCAAAAAAGAAGGAAAGGAAAGGAAAGGAAAGGGAAGGGGAAGGGGAAGGGGAAGGGGAAGGGAAAGGAGGAAAGAAAATAAGCAGTTTTTAAGATGAATGTAGATAATTTCAATTTTCCACAGACCCTTGTTATGGTTACACCTCCTTAGAAAAGAGATGCATTTATACCAACATGTTGAAATTCAGTAAGGAATTTAGGGGCATTACGAAGTAAATTTAAATCTAAAATATGAAATGAATCAAAGATAATTTTGCATTTCTCACTGAGAGCTGTCAAGGATAATCATTTGTCTTTAACTTAATTGCCACTATTAATTAGACCTCTGGATGGGTTCTGGAGAAAATAGGCCCGAAAGAATAGTCCCTCCTAATGTAACAACCTTAGGGGAGATGACCCATTCAGGTCTGGTCCTTCTTTGACAGAAGGATGATCTTTAGACAACCTGGCCGTGGTAAAAGAACAAGACTATTGTAGTTTGCACATCCTTTCTTTTCAGATAATTCTTTGATGTCAAAACCAAAACTCTATCTTTGCCTGGCTGGGTCTTGGCAAGGATACAGTGCAATCAATTCATGGAGCAGGTAGCATCACTAACAAGATATCCTTTTTCAATTATACCCATCCTGAGGACAAAGGTGCTCATTAGCCAAGGAGAGCACCCTTTCCTGGAATCAGGGGTGGCAGAAAGTAAACATTGGTGCAATTTTACTTTTTTTAAACTATGTTCCGTAAATATATCTTTCATGTATTAATGAGTGTACCTGACACAAAGAATGCTCGATTTGGCCAAAATCTTCAAATAGAGTTGGAAGCTATGAATTAAATAATTACATAGTCCTTGTGTAACAGTTAGGAAGCATCACCCCCTCTTTAGATGAAACAATGTGTATATAACTCAAAAAATTATCTTCTGAAAGAATGAATTAGGTAGGAGCCAGAAAATGTTTGTGATGATGATTTTGCCTGGTTCCTAAAGTAGACAATATGTATGTCTTTAGAGTCGATATTATACAGTCCTTGAAGTGATATAAAAATAGTATTTTAATCAATTCTGCCATTTTTCTCTTTTTAAAGTTCACTGATTTCTTATTACAAATTTCATAAAAATTATCTCTTGCCTTAATTTGCTTTATTATGTTTTCTAACTTTTGGTTACATTTTAAAATAATTGTCATTTTTTAACCAGTTGATATTAAAGCAATTTAAGCTAAAATTTTTGCTGTAAGTATAGCTTTGGCCTTTACTATTAGGCTAACATGATAATATTTAATGTTTTCATTGACTTGTAGAGGTTGTCTGAACTTCAGATTATTTAGAAAGCAATGTTGGTTTACTCTTTGACCCAGGAGAGCTTTAGGTAAATTTCATGTTTAAATTTTGAAGTGTTTTACTTTTACATTTCTTTTATTTGTTTTTTAATGAAATGTATCTGTTTATCACATTATGGTCACAGAGTGTGGTCTTTATAATTTCCATTATTGAGGCTTTCTTTGTAACTTAGCATGTAATTGATTTTTTATGTTTTTCATAGGAATTTTATAAAGAATGTGTGTTTTCAGTTCTTTGTTTATAAAAATCAAAGCTATATATATGTGTATATATATATACATATGTTTCAATTTTATTAATGACATTTTGAAGTTCCTCTATTTTCTTTTCATAGAGAAGTTTTTGTTTGTTTCTGCTATCCAGCATCCACTTTCCTTAATTGAGCTCGTAGAACCTTGTTTTGTTAAATCGAGGTAATATACAGTAAAATGCTTAGTTTGATGAATTTTGACAACTGTATACACTCACATAATCACCGTCCTAAACAAACTACAGAACACTTCCATCGCCTCAGGAGCTCTCCTATGTCCCTTTCGAGTCAATCTCTTTCTCCCCAAAACGACTGTCTGCCTTGAAACTTAACTTTGGAAAGAGCAATATTCTCCCTCTGTATCTTACCAGATTTAGAAGCATATAACAGAAACACATGAATTGTAGTGGCTGGAATAAAAAGTAGTTATTTTGATTATTACAATAAAAGAAGTCTGGGGGCACACAGCCCAGAATCCAGCTTTCTACTAGGTCGTGTTAACACTTACTCTCCACGTTCAAAATCACCTTCTAGTTTCAGGTTGGACTCTGCAGCTGAAACCAACATATTCTAGAAAATAGAAAGGAAGAAGGGGAAAGGAGAAGGGCGAGGGTAAATAGGTGACCTCCCTGCTGACCCAGATAGCTTTAAAACAGTTATTCCAGAAGGCTCACTCAAAAGTTTCCACTTATATCTGGTGGACCATCCCCATCCCCAAGGAAAGCTAGGAAATGTCAGAGCTTTTTGTTTTTTAAGCAGGGCATATTGATTTACCTCTAGTGCTACAGGGGTCTTAGAAAGAAGGTCAGGAAGAAGGGCTATTGAATAGGGTCCCAGTGCCTCTGTCACATCCACCGTCGGTCTTAGCCTTCTGGTGAAGCTGGTTTTTATCCCCAGCTCCAAGTCTGGAACCTGTGACCTCCGCCTACACCAATCAGTGTATTTTATTTTCCTGGCCATAAAGATTTATTTTAAGACGGTCCCATCAGAACAAACAAGTCTGCTGATGAAACGGGAGAGTTCCGTGATCCCCCTTGCAAGGTGTGTGACAAGGGTGTAGCTGCCAGGCAAGTGCGGGAGCCAGGGTGAGTGCTTTGGGCTCCAGCCCCACGGTAGTGTCTAGGGGTGGGTGCCTGCAGCCCCACTGTTACAATGCTCTTTTAGGCTTGCCATTCACAGATGTCTTAAGTGTTAGCCAGCTCAATGGACCCTCTGCCTTTTTGCAAGGGCAGAGGGCCAGAGGACCAGTGTGACAGCTTTCGTGTCCTGAGCTCTTGCCCAGCATCCTGGAAGAATTGGGTCACACACAGGCTTGAAGGATGAATGCGGGCTTTTATTGAGTGGTGGAGGTGGCTGTCAGCAGGACCTCTAGGGAGCTGAAAGGGGGGATGAAGTGGGAAGATGATCTTCCCTTGGAGTTTGTCCATCCAGCAAATGAACTCCTCTCCGACCGTCTCCAGCTGAACTCCCCTTGGTGATCAAACATTCTCTTCTCTCTTTCTCTTCTGCGTCACTCCACCATTCATCTGCTTGTCTCCTCATCTCCTCACCGGCTCATCTGCTTCTGGAGCCTGGGGTTCAGGGTTTATATGGGTACGGGATAAGGGGCGTGGCAGGCCAAAAGGCAACTTTTTGGGTGTGAAAACAGGAATGCCTGTCCCCATTTAGGGCCAACGATCTCCAGGCTTGAGTGTGGGGCCTTTGCCAGGGAACCACCCTCTTCTACCCACTATTTCCCTGTCTCCTGTCCATATCACTATGGTGTATGTTTATCAGGGAAGCCTCCCCTTTCTCACAAAACCTAAAATTTTGTTGTACAGGATAGCTTGGCTATCTTGAGACCCTGCAGTAAGAGCTGCCTTTAAATTGAGTCAACGTAGGGCAGAGTGCAGCCAAGAGAGTCAGAAACTGTGTTTTTGCTCATTGTTTCTGCCCCTGACCTGAGGCTACCACTAGGGGTTTCCTTATGTGAACGAATAAGCCCCCCTTTATCTTTAACTAGTTTTGGTTGCATTTTCTTTCACTTGTAGAAGAAAGAGCCAAAGTGAAATACTTACCAGTGTTTTATGTACTTCATAGAAAAGCTAATAGGTATGTTGCATTTTCTCCAAATAAATGTGACCTTTGTTTTTACAAATTCTGTTTAATATATTTTATGTCTATGCTATTTGGTTCTAAAAAATTTATTATTGTTTTGCTATACTTACTCTATATTGTATTTTTTAAACAATTAGGAACGCATCTTTTTGTCCTATTGACCTATTTTTGCCTCCATTGCTACTTTGTTCCTGATATCCTCCTTCCAACTTTGTTTGAATTTGCCTGGTATCTTTGCTTACCCTTCATTTGACCTTCTCTATTTTATTTAACACCGTATCTCTGAGGTCTAGGATAATACCTGACACATAGGGGGTGCTCAATAAATATTTTTGGGATAATTGTACAGGTTTTGTTTTGAAAGAGAATAATTAGATATAATTTTCTTTAATATATTATTTTTTTGCTGTTGCCTTTTCTTTTCCTCCTTTCTTCATAGACCTTTGCAATTCTGCTCTTCTATTTTGTCTCATTATTTGGAAGTAATGAATGCTCCATTTTTAGTCTTCATTTTAATTTTTTTAAGGACCGTATTTTACTTCTTTGTTTCTCACAATATCATGATCTGACTGTAAGTTGACAGATTTATTGATTGGTTCTTAAGGTATTGAGGAAATATTGGGAAAATTATACAGTCTAAAAACAACATGAGCCAGAAAAAAATTTTTAGCATTGTAGTATTTCACTTATTTCTCTAGCAATTATTATTAATTTGGTCGCATTTTTTTTGACATTTGAAACTGAGGAGTTAATCTGTTTGGATCTGCCAAACTTAACCTGCCTTGCTTGATTTTGGTTGCCTGCTTTTTGCTACTTTGTTTTGGTAACCCATATAGCTATGCTGCTAAACACTGTAACTTAGCCTTCACTGGCTTCCTTGTAGATAACACCTTTACTATATATGTCATCATGATAACAACTGCTTAAGTTGTTTTTCAGGAATTTGGAGCAGCTCTTGTCCAATTGAAAGCAGTTGAGATCACTGACCATTTAACTGGGCCTATGCAAATATCTGAGAGGTAGCCTTTTGATGTCAGAGGGCCAAAAACTCTACCCTCAGATTATGCTAACACTATCATTTTCAAAACATGTGTCCTGTGAACAGCCATGAACCCCAACTATGCTTGTGCAGATCACCAATTGCTTCATTATTATTGCTGGTCACCTTTCCCAAGCCTTAGGCCATCTCATTTCTCTAACCTATAGACATCCGTAAGCCTTATCTTTGATGAGGTAGATTTGAGAGCTGTTTTCCTGCCTCCTTGAGGCGCCGCCCTGTGAATAAATCTTTTCTCTTTTGCACAACCCATCATCACAATGATTGGCTTACTGTGTATGGGCAGAGCAAATCTGGTTGGTATCACATTCTTTGCTGGCTTTTGGGATAGTGCAATGCTTAACTAGTAAGTGTCTACATAGATTCGAGTGCCTCTAGAAAGTTAAAATTTAGTTCTAAAACTAATTCCAATTAAGAGATTAACAACAATATGTTTTTTTTTAAAGTAATGCGAAAAAATAGATTCAAATGCTGGGTCTCAGATGGAGGAAGGAAATCTTCATTTTGGCCCATAGAAATAGAGGTACAGGAAGATTTCAATGAAATCCCAAATATCTGTTTTTATTAGTATTCTCCCTTTGGTTTGTATTGTCTCCAAGGCATCAGAAGATTTTTATTGTTTGGCACTACAAGATGTATGCTTTTGCATTTTCCTCTTCCCTCGTCTAAGCCTGGAAATCCTTTATCTTTATTACAGACAGCCGGTGTTATACAGATATGCCTTTTAGAGGGATTGTCATGTGTAATCTATACCTGGAGCAAATTCTAGGACACTTGTGTCAGTGATTGAAGATTTTAAAAAAATGAATGTAAAAACAAAGCAATGCACATGATCACAATTTTGTGCTTAGTGTGCCACGTATGCTTTGCCTGAGTATTCTTATAATTGGAAATCATATTAGTTTTCTGCAAAATCCAGAGTATGGCCTCGGGGTGACCAGTGCACCATGTCCGTTATGATATACTTCGGTTATTCCAGCCTATCTGTGAATCTGTTGGTTGCAGGAAAGAAGTAAATTCTTCCAGACTTTGGGACCAGAGTTCAATGAGAAGTGATAACACTAGCAGGCTGTTCTTATTCTCCTTCTTTCTCTTTACCTAGGGCTTAGGAGCTGTTGGCTGCAATAGTCATTCCTGGGGTGCCTAAAAAGGATGACGATGGATCTCTTACCGATAATTCAAAAAAATAAAAGAGATGTGATTTTATTTGTTCCCAGAAGTAGTAAAATGATTGATATTCATTCTAAGTATTTTGCAATTCCTGGAATTATTTTTTAACATTATTTTGAAACAATTTAAAAATATTTTATTAGATAACAAGTAAATACTTGCTCTCATCAAAAAATTAAATAATATAAAATAAATGAAGTTCTATCTTTATTTCCTTATTTTCCTTCCCTCACAGTTGAGTGGATACTTTGAGGACCCTCTTTTTCACTTAGTGGCTGTGTGATCTTGAACAAGTTACTCTATCTCTGTGCTTGATTTTTCTTATCTGCAAAACAATGATAAAAATAGCAGCTTCCTTGTGGGGTCTTTGTAAGGATTGAAGGAGGGAATTCATATAAAGTACTGAGAACAGCCCGGGGTTATCATAACTCTTAAATGCCAATTATTATCAATGTTCTTATCATTTCACACTTGTCTTACATTTTTCATAAATGGGATCATCTATATAAAATATTGTTATTTATTTGTGTTTCATGATAATTTCTTTCCTAGAGATATTTTTATTTCTGTATTTGTTTCTTTGTAACAGTTGAATAATAGTCCATAATGTGAGTATATAGTGTGATCCAAAGCACACTGTTATTTGTAGAGACTTGGATGGCTTCCAGGTTTTGGATGTTACAAATAATGCTGCAATTATCATCTTTGTATATTTATTCTTATGCACTTATTTGTGAGAATAATTCATATTTCTAGATGTAGAACTTCCAGGTCCAAGGATATATGCATTTTCAATTTTCTTAGTTATTACTAAATTTCCCTCCCCAAAAGTTACATCAACTTGTACTCAGCCCACCAGCCGTGAGTGACAATTCCTTTTCTTTTGCTTCATCGTCGTTTAAATTTTCCTTCTTCTCAACATCACGATCATTAGAGAAATGCAAACCAAAACCACAATGAGACACCATTTCACACCAGTCAGAATAGCAATTATTAAAAAGTGAAGAAACAACAGATGCTTGCGAGGTCATGGAGAAAAAGGAACGAACGCTTTTACACTGTTGGTGGGAATGTAAAGTTCAACTATTGAGGAAGACAGTGTGGCAATTCCTGAAAGATCTAGAACCAGAAATACCATTTGACCCAGCAATCCCAGCAATTCCTTTGGATATATATTACTGCATATATACCCAAAGGAATATAAATCATTCTATTATAAAAATACATGCATGCATATGTTTATTGCAGCACTATTTACAATAGCAAAGGCATGGAACCAACCCAAATGCCCATCAATGATAGACTGGATAAAGAAAATGTGGTACATATACACCGTGGAATACTATGCAGCCATAAAAAGGAATGAGATAATGTCCTTTGCAAGGACATAGATAGAGCTGGAAGTCATTATCCTCAGCAAACTAACACAAGAACAGAGAACCGAGCACTGCATGTTCTCACTTATAAGTGGGAGCTAAACAATGAGAACGCATGGACCAAGGAGGGGAAAAAATACACACTGGGGTCTGTTGTGGGGAGCAGGGGTGGAGGGCATAAGGATAAATAGTTAATGCATGTGGGGCTTAATACCTAGGTGATGGGTTGATAGGTGTAGCAAGCCACCATGGCAGATGTTTACCTATGTAACAAACCTACATGTCCTGCACATGTATCCCAGAACTTAAAATAAAATTTTAAAAATCCCAATTGCAACCTTTGCAATAATAATAATAATAATAAATTGTCCTTTTCTTTTTTCCCTAAGGTCTAGGGAAATTTCTCAGTCTTTCACTTTTTTTCTAATATCCCCTAACAGTTTTTAAGCAATTAATGAAATACAAGTCAAATCTATTTCTTAAACTAGAGTAGAACTATAGTATTACTGTCGTTCAGAACTTTTCCTAAATAAAACTTGAACGATTGGTTTCACAGCTTTGCAGGACATAGGGGAGGTGGTTGATGTTTGAATTTTACTGTTATTTTTTTGTTTTGTTTGTTGTTTATGTCTTGAGAAGCTTGTGGTTATAAGCATAAACTTAGAATGTATAATTTGGATGTGGGATATTGGAATTAAAATCTAAATTGTCCCGAATAAGTTTTATTAAAAGAAGTATGGCCTATCAAGAGAAGTTATCTCTTCAGTTCAGCAAGCAGCTTCATGCAGAAGTAGAATACAAGACATGTGGGCTACAACTGAAGCCTGGGTGAGCCAGTTGCCTTTTGCTTACCTGGGATTTATTGAGTGAATGTTCCATTATCTCACAGGGATCATCTCTACCAGGTTGGCCTCCTTCATGGACCGTAGTCTTGGTGAACAAGGCTCATAACCTTTGGCTAATGCATAGAGCTCCAGTGATATCCCTGATGCATAGGGTAGGAGAGTTTAGCTCAACATATTACTCAACACATGTGGCTCAAACTATAGTCCAATATATAAAACAATTAAAAACAAAAAACTGGTGAGCTCCAAGATAAGATGATGGAATAAACCTAAATTAAGTAAAAGACTCTCTTAACACTTAATAATAAAACAAATGTGAATTTGTTCCAATAAGAAATCCACCAACAGTAAGCAGGCGGAAGAGAGAGAGAGACATGGTCGATTTAAAGTCATGAATGTGCCAAAATGATGATCAAATAAAGGAACATAAGATCCTTGTTTGGAGTTGTAGCGCAGGTTATCTCCTAATCCCATCTTCACCCTTTGAACAATGGTTGGAGTCATTTTATTTTAAATTGCATATTTCAATTTTAGTTGATGTGGATCGACTCCCTGCAATGAAAGATGTGGTCACTATCATTCTCACAGGCCCACCGATCTTCCAGTCTTCGTCTTTCCATTTTGTTACATCACTGATTTTATCCATCTAACTGTACACATAGAAAGACTCCGACATACTGCCTTTTAAAACAGTAGTTTTTCTTCTAAAATAATACACTCAAGAAGATCCTATTTCTTGGGGGTATTTTGAGGCTTTATGGACAGTGTGGTTCACATTCCCATGATGCAAGCTTAATATGTCTAAGGATCTGTCTCCAACTCTTAACGCAACGATTCTGACTTCAATGATTTCTTATGCCTCCTGACTTCAGATAAAGATCTTAAACAATTCCTGAAGGGGTTCTTTGCATTAGAATACTATAAAACTTAGGTGAGGATGACAGCACCCTTATTATAGACTGAACTATATACACAGTTTATTGGAAGAGTTAATTACAGCATACATTTCAACAATTACAGACTACAAATAACATAAGATACATTTCTGGTATTAACTCTCAACTCATTGTCCCTAGGGAGCTGGCAAATTCCTGATCCAGATGTGGCTGAGATAAATGTTTTTGTTCTGGCCCAGACTAAGTCCTGTCCTTCTGCACTCCTTTTAATTTTGCATTATTTCTGGAATGCCTTTTGTTTCCCTAAAATTCATTTTCCTATTGTCATTGAAATGGTCACTTTTGGCATTTCAAAACAAACAAACAAGTAAACAAAAATGACTTAGCTTCTCTGCTGTCAGTAGCCCAAGATTTATCCTCATAAAGTGCAGACCCATCACAAACTGCTTATTTCTGGGCATCCCATTTTTCAGCCAGACACTTCAGTGACTTCTGCAAACCCTAGGGTTTGCTTTGTGCACACTTCAAAATAAATGCTAGATACCTATTTAACATAGACAGGCCTCCTCTACCTGGGCTATGTCTTTGCTCTGATCTGTGTGCTCTTTAATTCGTACTTTATCTCCCTCTGAGCTGTGTTCTGGTGGCAGCAGGGATTTTATGTGGCTGTAAAACCACTCTGTCTTTTGTGAGAAGACAACAGATTCTGGGTAGAGTTCAATGTGATTCTGGGTAGAGCTCTGTGTGGAAGTAAATTATTTTATTATACTACCAGTGTCTCTCTTTTCTATGCATTTCCCTGGTTTTAGTACATCATGGTTTCACTTTGGCTTTTTCCAGTTAACCTTCCCCCATCAGCACTCTCAAAGTCTGCCTGAATGTTTAAAGAACCTGAAACAAAGACAGTTGGGGGTTGATCACGTAGCCTTAGGCCAAAGATATTTTACAATGCTATTCTGTAAGGAATTTTTGGCCACAGTTTCAGATCATTATTTATAATCCCCAAAAGATGACCCCGCCACTTTCTAATCTTACCAGATATACTGGACACTCGTATGTTAAATTCAGGTCAGAGTCTGTGTGGGAGGGAGAAGAAAAGGAAGCTCAGATTTATTGAATTCTAATGTGCCAAGACAGACTTATTTCTTTCATTTAATTTTCTTAACAAATAAGCAGATATTATTCTCATTCTTCTACTAGAGAAACTGAGGCCAGAAGAGTTTACATAACTTGTTTAAGGTCACCATGCAATAATTAATGGAATTGTCCAAGTCTGTCTGATTCCAAAGCCTATACGTTTCACACTAAACATAATGCACTTACCAGGACTATAAATGTGAAAGGGGCTGGGGGCCAATTTTTAAAGGACTTCTAAATGTTTGTAACATTCTTTATTTCAAACAGCCCAAGGTTGCTTTTTAAGGCTGATGCCCCTGCTACGTAGGTAGGGTTAGTTAAGACAAGTCAGGGTCTGAGCACCACAAGGAAATTCTTACCAAGATCCCAGAGGTATCCAGGAATCCACGTGGTACTTATTAGGAAGATTTTGCAAATGAATCGCTTTGAGGATTTTAGTAGAGGAAGTCAGTCTGGGAGACCCTCCTGCTCCATATGGGCTGCATTTCACTCAATGGGGTTTTTGTTGCAGCACAGCTCTGGAAGGAGGTCAGGCGGTGGTCAGCAGAGGAAACCACCGCTGAGAAGGCTGGGCCCTGAGCTGTCATTCCCCCACTTTGCTTTGGACAAGGTACAAGAAATCCTTTATGGGCTGGTGCGATGAAAACTGATGGAAGCCAGCTTTGTTCTATTTTTGTAATATATTTCGGGTTGAGTTAATTCTATGGAAAAAAATAGTCAGTGGGGTTGTGTGTTTATATAGGCCCTTCATCCCGCTGCTCTGTGCCAAGTTCCACGAGTCTGCAAGGAAGTGAAGCCAGACGTGCTCAGCGTCCTGGGTCCTCACCCCAGTGACCTCTTAATCTCTCCAAGTTTACCCAGCTCTCTCGCAGCAGCATTTGCATGGAAATTGATCTCTCAGCTTCTGGCTTTTGGCAGGAGGACACTTCCTTCATATGGAAAAGTGTTTAATACCAATTTAATGGTCTCTCTAGCCACTGTACGCCCTTAGCCCACCCTCCTCCCTCAGTGCCCACTGGCACAGAGCATGGAAATCTAACTTTTAATCACCCCTTTAAAAACACCCTGAAACTTTCTTTCAGTATGTCCACTGCTTTTCTAATGAGGGTTCGCACCAACTTCCTTTTCATCCTGCAAAGAGTAACTGCTACTATAAATTAAAATGATGTCCTTAATAATCCATATTATTTTTTAGCATCTCCTATTCTCGTTAAACATAAATGCAGACAGGGAGGAGGAAGGAGATGGCTTTTTTTTCTTTAATACACAGGAACCAAAGCAAGTGGAAATAATTTTGTTGGTAACTCTGATAAAATGATGCCTCCTGTTTGAGTTTAAATAATAAAATAAATAAAGGCCAAGATGAGGGAAAAGAGTATTGTACAGTGAACATTTTCTGAACTTGAAGAATCAGATAGACACTAAATTAAACATTTGAGCAAATCATGGTAGTAGTTTGTCAGAGTCTCCTTAAACAACACATGTATACATAGTGGAAAATGATTAAGAATGACAAGAATGCGGGAGGAGTCTTACTATAAATACAATAAGTCAGTCATAAAATAATTGTGATGTGGCTCATCAATTTTATGATTTATCCCTGGCCAATTTTTGCTTTTGTTGAGTTGTTGCTTTGTCCTTATTTTTCAGTATCATTATTGTTTAAACTGTTCAATTTTTAAATTCATTTAATTGTAGTCAAAATAGCTATGTTCTAGCCCTGACTGCCAACAATCCACTAGAAAACGCTGGAAGAACCACTGACTATTTCTGGTTCTCCAAGGATTCTTTTATTCTCTAAGTCATTTGTGATTCTATTAAACCCAATATTCCCCCATTAAATTAAACGTCCTGAAAAGAACCGCCTTACCCCTGATAAACTGAGCTACTCATTCTTACCAGTTGGAGTCTTAGTTTTACATTTTCATATACTGCACAAACACCATTTCAACAGCAATAAAAGAAGAGAAAAAATATAAGAAAATTTCCCCTAAGCACTCATCATAATACATCACCCTTTTCCATGTCAGGGAATTTCTTCACCATATTTTCACATACATGCACATAACTTTTACATAGTTTTAGTTTCAACAAAAGTTTTTTGCCTTTCACTTAATATTCTATTCTAAACATTTTCTGCGTTGTTGGAAAATGCATTCATTCAACAATATCTCCTATATGCACTTCTAAAAAAGCCAACTTGTATGAAAAATCATAATAACCGTTCTAAAGGCTACGTAATATCTGTATAATATACCATTGAGAAACATCATTTATTGAAGCATATTCTTTTTTTATGTACTTATTTTTTTAGATAGGGTCTCATTCTATCACCCAGGCTGGAGTGCAGTGGTGCAATCATGGCTCACTGTAGCCTCCACCCCCAGGGCTCAAGCAATTCTCCTGCCTAAGCCTCCTGAGTAGCTGGGACTGCAGACACACCACCACGCCTGGCTAATTTTTTAATTTTTTTGTGGAGACGGGTTTCACCGTGTTCCCCAGGCTAGTCTTGAACTCTTGGGCTCAAGCAATCATCCAGCTGAGGCCTCCCAAAGTGCTGGGATTAAAGGTGTGAGCCATTGCAACTGGCCAACATATGCTTTTATTCGGTTTTAGGTTTTCAGTTTTCTGTATTACAAATCAAGCAGTAATGCAGGTCTTCTTGCATCGATCTCTTCTCATATTGACAGCTCCCCATTCCCACATCCTCCTTGGGATAAATTTTCATGAGTATTATTACTCTCTCTGAGGAATCTCTAGTTATAGCAGTACTTTAAGCTGGTGAGAATTCCAGCTTACCTGTTTACTAGTCCTTGATAGTACCTGTTGCAATGATAAAGTGTGATTGAATATGAAAGCATACAATCTGATAACTAGGATGTAGTAGACCCTGATTAGAATTTGATTTTGCTTTATTAAAAAATTACATTTCAAAACTCATAGACATTTGTACTGCTACTGGTAATATGTAAGAGTATGAAATGCCACCAAAATCTCACAAATTTTTTTATATATTTTGAAAATTGACAAGGCATCAATTGGTGCTTTGCATTGTGATTTTTTTGTATTTTTAATTGAAATATAATTAATACATGAAAATGCAAAAATCAGAAGTGTACAGCCTGATGAATTTTTATAAAGTGAACACACCCATGAAATGATATAATACTATCATATTATCAGCATCCCAGGAGTCTCTTTCTCCCTTTTCCTGTCATTATCTCTTACCCAAAGATAACCAATATTCTAACATCTATCACTATATATTAATTTTGTCAGTTTTTGAAATTTTTATGAATGGCATCATACAGAATGTATTTTTTTCTGGATTAGATATGATTATGTTCATGAAATCCATGTGGCATATAGCATTTGACTGATTGATTCCAGAATATACATATATCACATCTTACTTATCCATTATACTATTAATAAGCATTAAGTAGTTTCCAGCTTTTGGCTCTTACATGTAATGCTGCTATGAACATTTTCATATATGTCTTTCTTTGGCTTTATACAGAACATAAATTTATGTTGGGTCTATTCCTAGGAGTGGAATTTCTGGGTCATACAGAATGCAATTGTTCAGCCTAAATAGCAATTGCCAAACAGTTTTCCAAATGGTTGCAATTTATATTCCCACCAGACGTATGAGAATTCCAGTTGTTCCACATCATCACCAACACTAAGGAGTTTCTACCTTTTTCATTACAGACATTCTGGTGTTAATAGCCATTCTAACAAATGTGCAGTGGTATCTCATAGTGGTTTTAATTTGAATTTCCCTGATGTCTATTGATGATGAGCATTTTTTCATGTGCTTATTGGCCATTCTAATATCTTCCTGTGTGAAGTGTCCGTTCAAGACTTTTAGCTACTTTTTTCCTTCTTTTTGTATTGCCTTTCCTTTTCTTATTAATTTGTGCATGTCCATCATATTTTGGATGCAAGTCCTTTTGAAATATATGTACTACAAATGTCTTGTTGCAATCAAACTTATCTTTTTACTTTCTTGATGTTTTATAATACACAGAAGTTCTTAATTTAATGTAGTTTAATTTATCATTATTTTCCTTTATAGATAGCCTTTTTGTGTCCTATTCAAGAAATCTTTGCCTTTCAGTGTCATCTGATTAAAATAATTATTGGTCTTTTTACAATTCATCTGGATTTAATTATTGTGAAGGAAAGCAGGATCAAGTTCCAATGTTTTTTTGTATGGATGCCTGATCAAATAAGCAATCTTTATTGAGCACCAACTAAGTAACATTGTGTCATCTTTGTCATAAAGCAAGTGATCATATAAGTATTTTACCTGTTTCTGCACTTTCTAATCTAGTTCATTGGTCTATTAACTATGTTTGTCTCAACTCCACACACTTATATACTACTCCTTATTACTGTAGTGTATAAGTCCTCATATATGGTAGTTTATATTTTCTAATTTTGTTACTCTTTTTAAAGATTAATGATTCATAGTCATTTGCAATTCTATATACATTTTAATAATCCATTTTTAATTTCTACACAAAGTGGCTCCAGTTCCAAGATGGTGGGCATAGAAGCAAACTTGCTTCACTCCCCCGACAGAAAACACAAAACAAATACACAGCACTAGGATTATCACCAGCAATATCCCAGAACTCAAATAGGAAGGTCAGAGAGTTCCCAGGGATACAGAGGAGTGAAAAACTCTGAACAGATGGTAAGAGAATTGGACCTCCATATCTGCAATTCCACTCCCCACAATTTGCCTACAGCAAGCACATGGAAAATTTACTCCACTCTCATGGTTTCTACCCTGAAAAAAAGCAAGATTAAGGTAGACTATCAGCACCCCCACTGTCTTGGGTTCCCTAGCAGAAGACCTGTCACTGCCTCAACCCACAGGAAGCAGTATCTGAAGGGAGAAATATCCCTAAGGCAGCCACAGACAAAGTGGGGAGGTGGTACTAACATCCCCAGCCCTGGAAACTCTGCTCTGTAACTTGGCCAAAGGAGTTGTCAGATCAGAATAGCTGTTCAGCAGCTCCAGGCTGTAGGAGGTATGTTCCACAGTTCCCTTGTGCATGAACCCCTAGCCAGCTTTCCCATACTGGGATATGCTCTTTGAAACCTCCCTCATTTGCGACACGTAGTGTTATAAGTTTTTATTAGAGCAGAGGCAAACCTGGGCTTAAGTTACTATTTAGTGCCAAAAAGGAGGTGGTGACCTAGCAGGAAAAAGAAAAAAAGAAATTTAACAGGTAAATTACAAAGAATAAGCAAATATGTCCAATAAAAAACAAAACAAGCTAGGTAGAGAAGACTGGAATTAAAAAACGAATGCTTCAATGTATAGGCATAGAAATACATCCACAAGAAACAACAGCAAACAGAACCATGTCCTCCCTAAATCGACAAAATAAGGAACCAGTGACTGTCCCTAATGAGATGGTAATATATGAGCTCTCTGGCCAAGAATTCAAAATACCAGTTTTAAGGAAACTCGGTAATCTCCAAGATAATGCAGAAAAGCAATTTAGAAATTTGTCAAAAAAATTAACAAGAGATTGAAATAATTTTAAAAAATCAAACAGAAGTCATGGAACTCACAGATTGATTTGCTGAACTAAAACATTTATTACAGGCTCTTAACAACTGAGAGAATCAAGCAGAGAAAAGAATTTGGGAGAAAGTAAGAGAAAAGAACTACGGTCTCTGCCTGGTAATCCAGAGAATTCTTCTGGATCTTAACCAAGACCACCAAGGCGGTACCTCTATGAGTCTGCAAAAACCACAGTTCTATTGGGCTTAGGGCCCAAGTCCCTTTGAATACCCGGAAAGCATTCCCAAGAAGGACAGGCATAAAGAAGCCCAGACTGTGGAAACTACAATAAATACCTAACTCTTCATTGCCGAGACACTGAAGAACATCTGCAAGCATCAACATCATCCAGGAAAACGTTAGCTCACCAAACGAACTACATAAGGCACCAGGGACCAATCCTGGAGAAGCAGAGATACAGGACCTTTCAGACAGAGAATGCAAAATAGCTATTTTGAGGAAACTTAAAGAAATTCAAGATAACACAGAGGAGGAATTCTGAATTCTATCAGAAAAATTCAACAAAGAGATTGAAATAATTTAAAAGAATCAAAAAGAAATTCTGGAACTGACAACTACAATGGGCATATTTCAGAATGCATCATTCTTAAGAGTGCAGTATTCCTTTAATAGCAGAATTAATCAAGCAGAAGAAAGAATTAGTGAGCTTGAAGACAGGCTAGTTGAAAATACACAATCAGAAGAGACAAAAGAAAAAAGAATAAAAAAAATGATCCATGTTTATAGGATCTAAAAATAGCTTCGAAAGGGCAAATCTAAGAGTTTTTGGCTTTAAAGAGGAGGTAGAGAAAGAGATAGGGGTAGAAAGTCTATTCAAAAGGATAATATCAGACAACTTCCCAAACCTAGAGAAAGATAACAAGATTGAAGTACAAGAAGGGTATAAAACACCAAGCAGACTTAAACCAAAGAAGACTACCACAAGGCATTTAATAATTAAACTCCCAAAAGTCAAGGATAAAGGATCCTAAAGGCAACAAGAGAAAAGAAACAAATGACAAACAATGGAGCTCCAATACATCTGGCAATGGAACATGGCAAGGATGCCCACTTTCGCCACTGTTATTCAACAGAGTACTGGAGGTCCTAGCTAGAGCAATCAGACAAGAGAAAGATATACAAGGCATCCAAATTAGAAAGCAAAAAGTCAGATTAATCATGTTTGCAGATGATATGAACTTATATTTTGAAAAACCTAAAGACTCCATCAAAAAACTATTAGAACTGATAAATTCAGTAAAGTTGCAGGATACAAAATAAACATACAGAAATCAGTAGCCTTTCCATATATCAAACTGAACAACCTGAAAAAGGAATTTAAGAAGTAATCCCATTTACAATAGCCACAAATAAAATTAAATACCTAAGAATTAACCCAAAAAAAGTCAAAGCTCTCTACAATGAAAACTATAAATCACTGATGAAAGAAATTGAAGAGGACACAAAAATGGAAAGATATTACATGTTATTGGAAAGATATTCCATGTTCATGGGTCGGAAGAATCAGTATTGTTAAAAAGTCCATTATTACCCAAAGCAATCTACAGTTTCAATACAATGCTTATTAAAATATTAATGACATTCTTCACAGAAATAGAAAAAAAATCCTAAAATTTATATGGAATCACAAAAGACCCAGGATGGCCAAAACTATCCTGAGCAAAAGGAATAAAACTGGAGAAATCACATTACCTGACTTCAAATTATACTACAGAGATATAGTAACCAAAACAGCATGCTACTGGCATAAAAACAGACACACAGACCAATGGAACAGAATATAGAACCCAGAGATAAATCCACACATCTATAGTGAACTCATTTTTGACAAAGATGTCAAGAACATACATTGGAGAAATGACTGCCTCTTCAATAAATGGTTTTGGGAAAACTGGATATCTATATACAGAAGAATGAAACTAGGCCCTTATCTCTTGCCACATACAAAAATCAAATGAAAATGGATTAAGCACTTAAATCTAAGACCTCAAACTATAAAATTGCCCCAAAAAATTGGGGGAAATCTTCAGGACATTGGTGTGGGCAAAAGCTTCTTAAGTAATACCTCACAACCACAGGCAACTGAAACAAAAATGGACAAATGGAATCACACCAAGTTAAAAAGCATCCACACTACAAAGGAAACAATCAACAAAGAGACAACCCACAGAATGAGAGAAAATATTTGCAAACTACCCATCTGACAAAGAATTAATATCCAGAATATATAAGGAGCTCAAACAACTCTGTAGAAAAAAAATGTTAACCTGATTTAAGATTTGATTAAACATTTCTTAAAATAAGACATACAAATGGCAAACAGGCATATGAAAAGGTGCTTAACATCATTGATCATTAGAGAACAGTTAGATATCATCTCACCCCAGTTAAAATGACTTATATCCAAAAGACAGGCAATTGCAAATGCTGGTGAGGATGTGGAAAAAACGGAATCCTTATACACTGTTGGTGGGAATATAAATTAGTAAAACCACTATGGAGGACAGTTTGAAGCTTCTCAGAAAACTAAAAATAGAGCTACCGCACAATACAGCAATCCCACTGTTGGTATATACCCTCAAAAAGGGAAATCAGTGTATCAAAGAGATATCTGCACACTCATGTATTTTGCAGCAGTGTTCACAAATGCCAAGATTTGGAAGCAACCTAAGTGTCCCTCAACAAGTGAATGGATAAAGAAAATGTGGTGCATATACACAATGGAATGCTATTCAACCATGAAAAAGAATAAAACTCTGTCATTTGCAACAACACGGATGGAACTGGAGGTCATTATGTTAAGTGAAATAAGCCAGGCACAGAAAGAAAAACATTGCATGTTCTCACATATTTCTGGGATCTAAAAATCAAAACAATAAAACTCATGGAAACAGAGGATTGAAAGATGGTTGTCAGAGGTTGGGAAGAGTAATGGAGATGTTAGGGAAAGGTGGACATGGTTAATGTGTACCAAAAAAAATACTTAGAATGAATAAGACCTGTTATTTGATAGCACAACAGGGGGACTATAGTAGATAATAATTTAATTGTACATTTTTAATAGCTAAAAGAGTATAACTGGATTGTTTGTACCACAAAGGATAAATGCTTGAGAGGCTGGATACTCAATTTTTCATGATGTGATTATTAAACATTGCATGCCTTTACCAAAATATGTCATGTACCTCATAATTATATACACCTACTATGTACCCACAAAAATAAAAAAAAAAAGCTTTCCAAAACTTGGGAAAGAGATAAATATCCAGGTACTGAAAGGTTAGAGAAGACCAAACAGATGTGTCCTTAGCAAGACTACACCAGGGCATATAAAAATCAAACCTAAAAGGTCAAAAACAAAGAGAGGATCCTAAACGTGGCAAGAGAAAAGAAGCAAATAACAAACAAATGAGATCCAATTCATCTGGCAACAAACTTCTCAATGAAAACTGCACAGTCCAGGAGGAGCAGGATGACATCTTTAAAGTGCTGAAAGAAAAGAAAAAACTGTCATCCAAGTATATTGTATCCACCAAAGCTCTTCTTCAAAAACAAGGAAGAGACAGTCTTTCCCAGACAAACAAAAGCTGAGTGAATTTACCACTACTAGACTCATAAGAAATGCTGAATGGAGTTTTTCAATCTGAAAGATAAAACATTAACATGAAAAATTTTAAAAACTGAAATTATGAAACCCACTGGTAAAATTATGTGCACAGACAAACCCTGAATACTCTAATACTGTAATTGTGGTACATAATCTGCTCATAACTCTAGTATAAAGCCTAAATGACAAATCTATCAAAATCAATAATAGCTACAGCAACCAGTTAAGATATAGGCAGTGTAAATATGTATAAATTGAGACAACAAAAAGTCAAATGTAGGAGGGTGTAATTAAAGTGTGGAGTTGCTTTTATTTTTTTATTTCCATTTTCTTTGTGATCTAATATCAGTTCTCATCTCTTTATAACTTATTATATCTATAAGAATTTTTATAAGCCTCATGCTAACCACAGTGCAAAAACCTATAATAAATACACTAAACATAAAAAGCAGTGAATTAAAACACACTTATGGAATCAACCTAAGTTCTTATCAATGAATGAATGAATGAATAAAGAAAATGTGGTATACATACAATAGAATGTTATTCAGCCATTAAAAAGCATGAAATCTTGTCATTTGCAGCAACATGGATGGACCTGGAGGTCACTATGTTAAGTAAAATAAGCCAAGCACAGAAAGACAAATATCTCATGTTTTGATTCACATGGGAACTAAAAAAGTAGATCTCATGAAGATAGAGAGTAAACTGGTGATTACCAGAGGCTAGGAAGAGTGCGGTGGGGGGAATGAAGAATGAAGTGAGAGTGATTTATGGGTAGAAATATATAGTCAGATAAAAGAAATAGGACCTCGTGTTTGATAGACCAGGAAGGTGATTATAGTTAACAATAATCCATTGTATCTTTCAAAATAGCTAGAAGAGAATAATTCAAATGTTCCTAGCATAAAGAAAAGATCAATATTTAAGGGAAGTGCTATAGTTTGGATATTTGTCCCTCCAAATATCATGTTGAAATTTGGTCCCCAGTGTTGGAGATAAGACCCAATGGGAGGTGTTTGGCTCATGGGGACAGAGCTCTCAGGAAAGGCTTGGTGCCATTCTTGTAGTAATGAGTGAATTCTCACTCCATGAGTTCCTGTGAAAGCTGGTTGTTAAAAAGAGCCTGGCATCTCTTCCCTCTCTCTCTGGCATCCTCTCTTACCATATGATCTCTGGACAAGCCAGCTCCCCTTTACTTTGTCATAAGTTGAAACAGTCCAGGCCCTCACCACAAGCTAGGCTGATACCAGCACCATCCTTCTTGTAGAACATACAGAACCATAAGCCAAATAAGCCTCTTTACTTTATAAATTACCCATCCCCAGGTACTCCTTTTTAGCAACACTAAACTAAAACAGTGATGAATATCCCAATTATCCTAATTTGATCTTTACATATTATATGACTGTATCAAATTGTTACATGTGCTCCCAAAATGTATGCATCTACTATGTATCAATTTAAAAAACTCTTAGTGGGATTTTGATTGATATTGTATTAAACGTACAGGTCAGTTTGGGCAAATTGACATCTTTATGATATTTACTTTAATAAGATATGGTATATCCTCTTTATTAAAAATAAGTAATATAGTTTTTAGTATACACATTTTGTATATTTCATGGTAGATTAGCACATGCTTCATCTGTACCTTTTGGGATAGTTACATGATTTTTATTTTTTATTTTTAATGTAATGAATTTTATTACCTGACTTTCAAATGCTAAACGAAACTTGTATTTTTAGAATTACTTTCACTTGATTGTCATGTATTATCCACTTAATATAATGCTGGATTCAATGTGCTAATATTTCTCTGTGTTCATGAAAGATATTGCCCTGTAATTTTTGATAATGTAATAAATTTTTAATAACAGAGTTACATTAACAATCACAAAACAAACAAAAATACACATTTATCTCTTTCTGCAGTTATGTTTAATAAAAATAAATACACTAAAAACAACATGGGCATATAAGAGTTATCATTTTAATTTGTAATAAAAAGGAAAGCCTTAGCAAACTAGAAATGGAAAGGAACTTCTTTTATATGATAAAGAGTATCTTACAAGAAGATCACACCCAATAACACAGTAAATGATCAAATATTGAGATCTTTCCAAATGAGATCAAGAAAGAAACAGAGATGCTTACTAACACTACCTTTGTTTGATGTCATACTGTAACTCCTACCAGGGCAATAAGGCAGCAACAACGAAAATAAAAGTCATAAGTATTTAGGAGGATACATAAAACTATTATGTATCAGAGAGACAACATGATTGCTATAAAGAAAATCCAAGATAATTTACAGACAAGAATTAACAAGTAAATGTAACAAGTTTTCTGCTAACAAGGTTAACATAAAATCAATGATACTCCTACATAGCAGTGGCAAATAACTGGAAAATTAAATTTTAAAAGGCACATTTTGCAATAATATAAATAATTACAAAATACTTAAAAACCAATGCAGCACAAAGGAAATGTTACCACATGGAAATTCAGATCTTTGGGAAGAAATAAATAGTATTGGGCATGGTAAATATTAGGATAATTTTAAGAATTTTTTAAAAATCCTCTAAAAGTCAATTGACTATTTAAATAAAAAATAAAAACAAAGAATTTTGCTTAATAACACATGGAACTAAAATACTTGAAATAATAGTATAAAGGACAAGGTAAAATATAAATGGAATTACATTGTTATGGGTTCTTACAGTGTACAGAAAGTACATAATATTAATTAAAGGTAGACTGTGAAAAGTTAAGGATACCCATTATGATCCTGACTAAAACCTACTAAAAATAATAGGAAGAAGTTAAATAACCAATAGAAAAGATAGACAAAATAGTAAAAATATTTTTTGTGAAATAAGGGCCACAGAATAAAAAGAAAAAATCAGAAATAAATAAGATGGTAGACTGACGTTCAACTGTATTGATCATTACATTAAATGTAAATGAATTAAACACCCCTATTTAAAAATAGAGATTTTTAGATTGGATGAGAAATAAGATCCGACTCCACATTGTTTGCAAAGAGACATACTTTCAACCTAAAGTTGAAAGTCAAAGGATAGGGAAAGACACAGTATGCAAAGAATAAGCATAAGAAAGTTCATGTAGCCATATTAACAATAGAAATATGAATTTTAAGACAATGAATGCTGTTGTAATCATAGGAGAGTTAGTTTGTGAGGAATGAAGCAATCCTAGAGATGTATTTTCTAATAACAGACCTTCAAAACATGTGAAGCATCATCAAGAGGAGGCAACATGAACTGCTAAACCCTAAACTATGGATGAATCTCACAACAAATAACACAAAGTGGAAGAAACCAGATATGCTGTATTACATACTGACGATTTCATTCGCATGAAGTCTGTAACAGGCACAATTAAGTCATGGTAATAGAAATCAGATCAGTGCTTGCCTGGGGCAATGCAGGTTGGTTGGGATTGATAGCAAAAGTGCACTAGGAAGCTTCCCTGGATGATGAAAGTGTTCTGTTTGATGTGTGATGGAAATGACACAGGTGTATACATGTGCCCAAATTCACTGAATGCACATTTAACAGCCATGCATATTCTCACGCCATTTATGCCTCAATAAAATTGATTTTTAGAAGTATAAAAGCGGTGGCAAAAGCCCTGCTCACTTCAATGTGTTTCCCTTTTCTTTGTCACCTTGACCCCTCAAATTCTATGTTTTAGTCGTTTTCCAAATGCCTTTGTGCAGCTATTTTGTTGTTTTGTTGTTGTTGTTGTTGTTGTTGTTGTTGTTTTTCATACGGAGTCTCGCTCTGTCACCCAGGCTGGAGTGCAGTGGCGCGATCTCGGCTCACTGCAAGCTCCGCCTCCCGGGTTCACGCCATTCTCCTGCCTCAGCCTCCCCAGTAGCTGGGACTACAGGCGCCCGCCACCACGCCCGGCTAATTTTTTGTATTTTTAGTAGAGACGGGGTTTCACCGTATTAGCCAGGATAGTCTCGATCTCCTGACCTCACGATCTGCCCGCCTCGGCCTCCCAAAGTGCTAGGATTGCAGGCATGAGCCACCACGCCCAGCCTCTGTATTTTTTTTTTTTATTATACAGTATCCGAAATTTATATTTGTTTCCAGTGAGAGGTTTGACCTCATATAAGATCTTCCATCATAGCTGGAAGCAAGAGTCCTGTTGCCATATTTTTTTAATTGCTAGAAAATGTACACTTTCTAGATTTGGAGAATGAGGTAAGGAGATGAGTAACTTATCCCAAGGTCACACAACGTCTAAGTTGAAAATGAGGATCAGAGCTCAGCTAGTCATTTTCTAGAGTCTACCGTTGTAATGACTTTGGAGAGTGCGTTTATGGAGAGGGTGAGTTCTGAGAGATGAACGTGGGTAGATGGAGAGCTTGTTGATTGGATGGTCCATTTACAGATGTTTTCTCTGCTATACGAATTATGACAGGGAGTTATGCCAGGATTTTCAGAAGGTAAGATCATTTCTCCTGTTGCTGCTGCTAAAAAATGTTTTGTTTTTCAGTGACCTTATAGTATTCTAAAGAGGCTTGCGGGAAGGAGCATCTTGGCACTACCCCTATCTTCTGCTGTAAACTAATTAAAACCACATTCAAAGCCAAGCATAATTATGGAGGAAAATCTGCGGCCAAAAATGAAAAATTACATTCCATATAAATGATTTTGGGGTTATCTGAGAATAGATAATGGAATGTTGAGTGTATTATGTCATATTTGTTCTAAAATTTCATTAAGTTTAGTGAACTTAACCTTATATATAACTGCCAGATATTTTTCCATTACATAAAAAATGTTCAAGTTGAATGAGAAGTCAGGATGCTTCTATACCAGGTAGTTTTCCATTTTAGCTCTGGTTTGACTAAGACAGTTCCATCACGTTGCCATGAGTTTGTAGTGAACTTTTAGATTTATGTCCCTGCACTAAACATGGCTCTCAAAAATAATACAGGCAAAATTCTCCACTTTTAAAGGAAATCTAGATTCTATCATAGGAATATACAGGAAAACATGACAATATAGAGGAGAGAAATCCTACCCAAAGATTGATTCCCATTTACTCAGTTTCCCCTATTGTTAACATCTTACGTTATTGTGGTACATTTGTGACAACTAATGAACTAATATTGTTACATAATTTTTAACTGAACTTCATACTTTGAATTCTCTTCATTTTTACCTAGTGTCCTCTTTCTGTCTCAGGATCCCATCCAAGATCCCACATTACATTTAGTCATCATTTCTCCTTGGGCTCCTCTTGGAGGTGACAGCTTCTTTGATTTTTCTTGCTGGTGACCTTCGCAGTTTTGAGGAATACTGGTCAGGCATTTTTGTAGAATGTTCCTCACTTGGGCTTTGTGTAATGTTTGTTTCATGATGTGACTGACGTTATGGGTTTTTGGAAAAGCACTACAGAGGTAAAGTGCCATTTTCATCATATCATAACAAAAATACATACTATCCACATGATTTGTCATTGATGATGTTAACCTTGATCTAGTGTTTATCAGGCTTCTTTTCTGTTACGTTACTCTTTTACCTTCTTTTTATGCTATTCCCTTTAGAAGGAAGTCTCTATGTGCATCCCACACTTAACGAGAAGGGAGTTATGATTTGTCTCCTTAAGAGCAGAGTATCTATCTGAATTATTTGAAATCTTCTGTATGTGAAATTGGCTATTCTCTCCAATTTTTAAGAACTTATTCAAACATTTATTAATGTTAGTACAGAGACTCATGAACATTTATTTGGAAATGTGTGTTATTCTGCAATATTACATTGTTTATTTTGTCACTCAAACCAACTTGCTTTGGTATCTCTCTTCAACACTGAACTTGAATTTTTAATTTTATACATTTGCTTCTTTCCTATTACCTTCTTTATTTCCCTCAATGTAATCATCACAATCTGCTATTATTTGGTTTATCTACTTAATCCATTTATTGTCTGCCTCTCCCACTAGAACATACGCTGCACAAAGGCAGGGACCCTGTGGCCTTGCTTACCACTTTATCTTTAGAATGCAGTGTAGTGCTTGGCATGCATAGGTGATGAAGTATTTACAGCGAGTGCCCCATAGACACCCCAAACCTACTGTGTCACAAATGAAGCTCCTTTCAGACTTTCTGTTATTCTTGATTACTCCACGTTAGAAAATGACCTCTTGCCCCATCTCCCACATGCAGTCGATATCCAAATCTCATAACATGCACCTGAAAAATGGTTCCTTAATCTAACTCCAACTCTTAATTTGTATTCCTTCTTCTTGAGTCTTGGTTCTCATCTCTCTCACCAACCTCCCAACCAGTCTAATTGCCTCTAATCTTCCTACTCCAGTGGTTTGAAAACTTTCATTCTAGAGAGGCATGCAAACCTGGCAAGATCTGTCCTCTGCTTAAAGATCCCTGTTGGCTTTGCTTCCTGAGAGGATAAAGTTCAAATTCTTCACATGGATTTAAAACCGTTTGGAACTTGGGTCCCACTCATCTCTCCAGCCCATTCTGTGTCACCCACTGTAACCCTCTTCCAGGCACTTCAGTCTCAAACATTCCATGCTCTCCCCAACCTTGAGAGTACCCCACTCCTGCCATCTCTGGCTTTGTCTCCCTCCCAAATTACCCTTATTGTTCTTGACTCAGATCAAAGTCTGTCCTGCTTTTCCTAATTCCCTCAGGTGGAGTTATTTTCTATTGGCTGAAAAAGTTTCTTGCCACCGTTGAGGCTGCCTACTCAATCTGTCAAATGGAAAAGGTGGGTACGTCCAGAGCACAGCCAAGTGTATGACAGAGAGGAAGAAAGCCCGAATTCTTGTAACAGTATTACTATTACATCTCTATTTTGCAAAACTCAATCTTAGTTATCAGCTAGAATAAGGCTTTACAGAATTATCCATTCTGTTTTCCCATTTTACGGATGCAGAAACTGAAGTTCAAGGGTACTAAGCACGTCAGATACTATTTTAAGTGTTTTCCAACCTTTTACTCTACTGAACCTCTGCAGCGTTTCAATGTAAGTGGTATTTTGCCTTTATTTCGTCAGTGAAGAAAATGAAGCACACAGAGGAATCTGTACTCTAATCTCCTACACTGCACTTCCTTGACCTCACAGGGAAGTGAGACTTGCAGCCATGCAGCTACTTGCTGGTGGTGAAGTCAAGACTTGAACTTGGCTCCTTACTGCCCAGTCCATGTCTCTGCAGCCCTTCAGAGAGGATGAGCCGATTTCTCTTTTTTGTTTGTTTTTGAGATGGAGTCTTGCTCTGTCACCCAGGCTGGAGTGCAGTGGCAGGATCTCTGCTCACTGCAACCTCCACCTCCCGGGTTCAAGTGATTCTTCTGCCTCAGCCTCCCGAGTAGCTGGGACTACAGGTGCATGTCACCACGCCCAGCTAATTTTTTGTATTTTTGGTAGAGATGGGGTTTCACCGTGTTAGCCAGGATGGTCTCGATCTCCTAACCTCGTGATCTGCCCGTCTCAGCCTCCCAAAGTGTTGGGATTACAGGCGTGAGCCACTGCGCCTGGCTGCTGAATAGGATTAGGAATATTCATTCAAGAACATGAAACTATAATGAGAAACCAGAATGGAAATGATGAGAGAAACCAACTGTTTGGCCTGTGGCTTCCACTGAGTCAGGCTGAGCTGGGGGCTGAGCTTTCATGCCTCAAAGACCTGAGAGAAAAGCACATGGATGTTCAGGCCAGAAGAACATGTGGAAACCATGCACTTCCTATTACAAAGAGCCTTCTTGGAGGGTGGAGTCCTTCTACCAGGATTGGGTGTTATCATCTGTAGTTACTCAGCTGCACATATTTCACCCTTGGACTTGAGCCATTCAGGTTTCAAAAATGAAAGGAGGTCACTCAGACCAGAATGCTTCTCACAGCCCTTCCCTGATATAGTGGGATAGATTTCCTATTGTAAGGGAGGAAGAATGAGAGAGGAGGAGGATCCTACTCTCAGGATAGCTATAAAATATGGGCAGGTCTGGTATGGCTCAGTTTAGCTTGTCAGCCTGTGCACAGGACTACAGAAGCATAAGGCTCATTTGGCTGGCAAGAGGAATGGCTACTCCTGCTTGGAAGATGAAAATAATAAAAGATATTGCTTCACCTGGAACATTTTAATATTAATTATATCGTTAATTGTATGGGGCTGTACAGTTTACGAAAATGTTCATATATACTATCTCATTTGATTCTTCACACTAACCCTGGGTCGTAGGGTTATAGCCCAAAGCACGTGTGTGTGTGCATGTGTGTGAGTGTGCGTGTGTGTGTGTGTGTGTGTGTGTGTGTGTGTGTGTGTTCTGTGTATTTTCCTCTCTCTTTGACCTCTTCCCCCACCACCATCCAAAATAAAACTAGGAGCAAAAGTCTATTCACAGGTACAATTTTCTTAAAACTGGATAAGACTAGAGATAAGAGGAAAGAGGAAGAAGCTAAAAGGTAACTTGAACAAGAGAGAAGGAGTACAAGGAACAGGTCTTTGAATTAGCGTGAGGGATCCTCCTTCCAGGAAGGCCAAGAAGTAGGGTAGAAAGGATTTAGTTCGGAGCTGACTTAAGTGCAAACCCCGTTGCCAACCAGTTGCCTATGGATGACTCATCAACAGATAGTCATAAACATTCGTCAGACCATTTAACATTGGGTAGGAAACTTGGACAACTTGTGTGGAAATGGGCTGAGAACCCTCCAACTTCACACAAGTTGGAACTGAGCAAAGCATTTGGAATTTTACTAGGAACTAGGGTAATGGGAAACACACTTAAACACGTGGGGCACCCATTTACATCTGTAAACTAGGATAATAGGTATTGTCAATTATTCTTAATAAAGGATGACTCTGAAGCCAAAAATTATGGGAAACTCACCAAAGGTATAGAAGCAGGAAGTAGCAAAACCTGCACTCACACTTCTGACTATTAGGCCAGTGCATTTTCTACTGCAAAAGGCAACTGCTGGGGAAGTGGCCAAGAAAGGCCAGATTGAAATTCAATAGCCATGCGTCTTTCCCTGCTGTGCTATGAACAGCCAAATAAAAGTTACTAACAAAAGTTCTTATTCATTTTCTGTGCTCACAGAGTCTGGGCCAGACAGCTGGTGATACCAACCTGCGTAACAGGAGTTAAGATGATTAGGGCAGTTTGAGAGGTGAGGTGGGAGAGATGCAAAGTCTGAAGGAAAAAAATTTAGATGCAACCTCACTGGTAATCAGGGGAAATCAATAACAATGAAATACTTCCAATAGGACAAGGCTGGTAAAAAAAAAAAAAACAAAAAAAAACCAAGTTTAATAATATGAAGTGTGGGGAAAGATATGGGTACTCTTTCAACACTGCTAGTGAGAGGACTCATGGGAAGGCACTAGAGGGCAATATCTTTTAAATTAAAAATATACATGCCTTATATTTCATTAATTTTTGATAACTCCACAGAGAACCATTTAAAATGTATACGGGAAGCATATTCATTGCTAGATTTCTTCTGTGACAATGAAAAGTTGATACCAATTATAGAATGCCTAAGGTTAATAATATTTCTTTTTTTTTTTTCTTGAGAAAGAGTCTGGCTCTGTTGCCCAGGTTGGAGTGCAGTAGTGCAATCTTGGCTCACTGTAGCCTTGACCTCCTGGGCTCAATTGATCCTTCCACATCAGCCTCCCGAGTAGCTGGAACTACAGGCGCGTGCCACCCTGCCCGGCTAATTTTTGTATTATCTGTAGAGGTGGGGCTTCGCTATGTTGCTCAGGCTGGTCTTGAATTCCTGGTCTCAAGGAATCCTCTTTCCTTGGCCTCCCAAAGTACTGGGATTACAGATGTGAGCCAACATGCCCAGCCCATTTTTCTTAATTAAGAAACAAATGATCGTTCACATCCTTGTTACTCACACCAAGTAAAAATATAGAGTTACGTGGATGGCCAGAGAAAGTTCTCCGTGAGATATTTTTGAGAAGACAATGCAAATGTTAAAATACCAATTGTACAAACACATGAACATAAATCAATATTGTCAAATTCTATATGAACAGATATGCGTATAATTGCAGGTATAAAGGTCTGAATGAGTTGCGATTTTACTGTGGCAAACTCACAGCTATAAAGTATAATGATCAAACAAACATCTGGATTGGAGACAAAAATTGGGGCTGAAAATCAAGAGAGACTTTTAGCTTTATCTGCAATGTCTATGTTTGCAGTGAGATTATATTTGTGTACTCTTAATGTAAATATATATACACACACACATACGTACACACATATGCCCTTACATACGTACATATTTAAAAGTGATGGCAGCAGCAGCAGGAGGGGGCCTGTGGCTGTCACAGCAAGGAGATGATTAGGGCAGAAAGTTACCAGAAATTCCTTGAGAGCTTCTGTTAGCTTCAAACCTGGAACAGTTCTCTCTGCCCTATTCATCTCTGCCTTGCTGATCCATGCCCCCTAGATTTGTTTTATTTTTTTTATTATCCACTATAAAAATGTCATGTGCTCCTCATAGAATGTTTGGGAAATACAGAAAAAGTAGGAGGAGATTAAAACAATCCCCCATAGTGCTGTAATCCAGAAGTAACCATTGTAAAGCTGCTGTATTTACTTTCACAGTTATTTTTAGTACATTGTTGACAAGGTTCTAGTCATATGAAATATATCTAATTGCATATATTGATTTTAATATCATTTTATGACCACCAATATAATATGAATTCGCTGTAATATGTGTTAGTGTAGGGTAAAAAATTGGGGGGGGTGGAATTGAAAATCATAAAGGGAAAATAGCAAATCATAAAGGGAAAATAGCAAATATAATATGAATTCACTGTAATATGTGTTAGTGTAGGGTAAAAAATTGAGGGGGGGAATTGAAAATCATAAAGGGAAAATAGCAAATCTCCCATGTCTCACCTTCCACAGTAAACATTTTATTACATTTTCTTATGTTTATTTTCATGTAATTTATGTAGTTGAAAGCAAAATGCACCCACTAATTTTTAAGTATACTTATAAGGGATATCAATAAGTACTAGGTAAAAGATGACATAAAGAGAGGCATCATTTAGGTTCATATCTGCCACTAATTTTATTAGGTTCTAGTTCTGTCAAAATGACACAGGATCCTTAATATGGGTTTTATATGTGCAGAATACCAAGATTCCAGTAGTTCTGTGCAGCATTGTTCTTCATTGTTAAAAATAACTTTCTTAGAATAGAATTATTCCAACATTTGCTATATTTGCTATTGGTTTTAAGAAGAATTAATTACTTTAAAAATTAGTCTCCTATCTTTTGTTATATATAAAAATAAAATGGATTAAAAACTTAAATACAAGACCCCAAACTATATAACTGAAAGAAGAAAATGTAAGGGAAATGCTTCAGGACACTTGTCTAGGCAAAGATTTTACGGATAAGACTTAAAAAGCACAGACAACAACAAAAAAAATGACGAGCGTGGTATGGCAAACTGACAAGCTTCTGCACAGCAAAGGAAACAATGGCGTGAAGAGGCAATCTGTAGAATGGGAGAACATATTCACAAACCATTCATCCAACAAAGGAACAATCTCCAGAATAAACAAGAAACTCAAACAACCCAACTGCAAAAACCAAATAATGCAATTTAAAAATAAGCAAAGGGTCTGAGGAGACATTTTTAGAAAGAATTTATACAAATGGCCAACAAACATATGAAAAAATGCCCAACACCACTAATCATCAGGGAAATGCAAATCAAAACCACAAGGAGGTATCATCTCACCCCAGTTAAGATGACTCTTATCAAAAAGACAAAAAATTACAAATGCTGGCGACGATGTGGAGAAAAGGGAACTCTTATACACTGTTGATAGGAATGTAAATTAGTACAGCCACTACGGAGAACAGTATGAAAACTTCTCAAAAAACTAGAAACAGAGCTACCATATGATCCAGCAATCCCACTAAAGGGTATTTATCCAAAGGAAAAGAAATCAGCATATCAAAGAGATATCTGCATCCCCATATTTATTACAGCACTATTCACAATAGCCAAGATATAGAATTAACCTACATATTAACTATTAACAAATGAATAGATAAAGAAAATGTGGTATATAACCATGGAATATTCTTCAGCCATTAAAAAAGAATGAAGGTCTGTCATTCATGGCAGCATGAATGAGCCTAGAGGACATTATATTGTGTGAAATAAGCCAGGCCCAGAGATTTAAACACTGCATGCTCTCACTCATATGTGGAAGCTAAAAAATACTTGAGCTCATAGAAGTATACAGTTGAATTATGGTTATTAGAGGATGAGAGAGGGGAGGAGAGGAAGAGGTTGGTTAATGGATACAAAATTACAGATAGATGGGAGGAATAAGTCCTAGTGTTCTATAGCACCAGAGGGTAAATACAGTTAATGGCAATGTCTTATATATTTCCAAATAGCTAGAGGAAAGAATTTTGCATATATTATTGCATATATTGATTTTAATATCATTTTTATGAACACTATGTAGTATGAGTTCACTGTAATATGTGTTAGTGTAGGGTAAAAATTTGGGGGGAAGATGAAAATCAAAAAGGGAAAATAGCAAATATCCCAGGTTCTCACCATGCTAATTACCCTGATTTGATCATCACACATCGTACACATATCTCAAAATATTACTCTTATCCCATAACTATGTACAATTATTATGTGTCAACTAAAAATGAAAAAAATAATTTTCCTAGAGTGGGATTATTCCAACATTTGCTACATTTTCTATTTTTTAAGAATAATTAACTATAATTACTTTTAAAAACCCCAAACTTAGTATTTCCTAACAAGAAAAACCTGCAAATCAGTATAAACCACCATGCTCCTATTCTTTAGTTTTCCTTTATAGCTCAGTTGACTGCTTTTGTGTCTTCAAGTAAATTTTTCATGAGGGGTACGTAGACAATGGATTTTCTAGCTTTTTGCATATTTAAGAAATATTTTTCTTTGACCCGAAAAGCTGGACTAGTACAAAATTGAGAGTCTCTGCTTTCTTTTTTCTCTCAAATCTTAAGTATTGCCTTTTTGTTCTTTGGCATTTCATCATGCAGATGTCATCCCAATTTTTCTTCTTTTTTATGTGACTTATTTTTTGGTAGAAAGCTTCAAATTTTCTCATAATTATTCAAATTTTTAAAATGCATGTTTTCAGTATGGCCTTCGTGCAGAATTCTTTTTACTGGTTTCTTTGCTCAGCACAGATTGTTTAATCTTTAGTGAAACCAGGACTCTTTTCTTCGGTGTAGTGATTATGTGTTACCTTTCTTGCTCCTTTGGTCTAGTGATTTTGCCTTGTGCATTCTCAGGCCCCGTGCTGATTCCCCTTCCCCATTTCCTCTCCTCACCGTCGATGGCCCCAGTGCTATGAGCAGTTCCCAGTCCGAGTCCCAGTCATTGTTAATGCTCCCTGGTGTCTTCCTGCTGCCCAAGATGAACTCTTCTTCAAACTCTAATGATTTTTCTTTGACACTCTCAAAAATCTACAGTCAAGTTAGGCAGTGACATGGGCGGTGGTGTGTGGGTAGGAAGAGGTCAGCAGTTCCAGAGAAGTTAGTGACAAGGGTTGCAAAATAAGAGTGATCATAGGAGTAAAAGGGCAGCCAGACAACGTCAGACAGGCTCCGATTATAAGTAAGAACTGCCTTCTCCTCTTTCTGACCCCTAACAAATATACCAATTAGCACTTTTCCTAACAGTCACTCTGTTCTTAGCACTTTCATTGTTAACTCATTTACTTCTCACAATAATTTTGTGAAGTGGACACACCAAGATGATCCCCATTTTACAGATGAAGCAATTGAGGCAGAGAACTGAACTATCTTGCTTAAAGTTACAGAGTCAGCAAGGCGCAGAATAAGGATTTAAACCCAGACTGTCAGCTTCAGTGCCACATGTTTAACCACATACTCCACTGCCTCTAAATAAAATAAGATGAGGAGGGTCCTCAGTCCTGGAAAACATTGAGCTTCTTTCTCATCCACTGCATAGATGACCAGACTGTTGATATTCAGAATACAAAGCTACAGTGACACATTGGACAAACCGGTGATTGAAGCCTGGGGTCACATGAGGTACATTTTGGTCTTTTTTTTTTTTTTCCTGGTGATTTCTACCAGCTCTGCCTATTTCTTTTCCCTTCTGCATGTTGCTAATGGGGAATGATCCTCCCAGGATGCAAGGAACTCCTGCTAATTCTCTCCTTCTTGCCTAGGTGTTTTCTGGAAATTGCTGTCTCACTGTCTCAGAATGAATAAGAAGAGAAGTACTGATGAGGGTGAGAGTGAAGGACAGCACATCACTCAAAAATGTGACAGCAGTTATAGCCACAGCGTAGAGCATCACCTGCCTGTTTCCCTTGTGGATCTGTAGTCCTTCCATCTCAGAGATAGTGGTGGGGAACAAGGGACAATGGTGCAGGCAAACAGCATTCTAATTACCTTTTTTTTTTTTTTTTTTGAGATGGCGTCTCACTCTGTCGCCCAGGCTGGAGTGCAGTGGTGCAATCTCAGCTCACTGCAACCTCTGCCTCCCTGGTTCAAGCGATTCTCCTGTCTCAGCCTCCAGAGTAGCTGAGATTACAGGTGTGTGCCACCATGCTCAGCTAATTTTTGTATTTTTAGTAGAGACGGGGTTTCACCATGTTGGCCAGGCTGGTCTCGAACTCCTGACCTCAAGTGATCCTCCCGCCTTGGCCTCCCAAAGTGCTGGGATTACAGGCATGAGCCACTGTGCCTGGCCCCATTCTAATTACTTTTGAAGTTAAATAGGTTCATTCTGTTTCCATTCAAATAATTGAAGAATACTGAACCAATGGAGGAATGAATGAAATGGCCCAGTAAGGCTGCAGAGAATGCCCCCACGTATCTCAGATAATTATTTTTTTCTACAGCAGTTGACTCTTTCCCTCTGTCCATGAAAACTCCACACCAAAAGTTCTCCCTGACTCTTTCTGCCCCTGTCCCTGTCCCTATTCTTTGTGTAGTCCTCAGTGCTGTGTGTGCATGCATGTGAGCTTCTCATATAAAAATGGTAAATCACTGAGAAACCACAATTTATTTACTTATTCTTCTTCCCCCTACTGCTTCTAGCAGAATATTGAATATACACATTGTTTTTTTTTTGAGACAGAGTTTCACTCTTGTCACCCAGACTGGAGCTCAATGGTGCAATCTCAGCTCACTGCAACCTCCGCCTCCTGGGTTCAAGTGATTCTCCTGCCTCAGCCTCCCCAGTGGCTAGGACTACAGGTGTGCACCACCATGCCTGGCTAATTTTGTATTTTTAGTAGAGACAGGGTTTCACCCTGTTGGCGAGGCTGGTCTTGAACTCTTGACCTCAGGTGATCCACCCACCTCGGCCTCCCAAAATGCTGGGATTACAGGTGTGAACCACCGCACCCAGCCGACACATTTTTGTTTTTTTTTTTAGTAGAAATTTAGTCTTGCTATGTTGTCCAGGCTGGTCTCAAACTCCTGGCTTCAAGCAATCCTCCCGCCTTAGCTTCCCCAAGTGATGGGATTACAAGTATGAGCCAGCGTGCCTGGCTTTGAATATACAGTTAAACTACCAGTTACTGAGTTCCTTCCAAGGGTCAAGACTTTCCACAAAATGCTGTGTAAGTATCACTATATTTAATTTCACAACAGCCAAGTAAGTAGGTATTTATATCCCAATTTAACAAAAGAAAATGAGGTGCCAAGACATTCAATAATTTACCCAAACTGAGATTTAATTTCAGTCTGCCAGACTCTAAAGGTCACATTCTTAACATCATATCATGAGGGTATTTTCACCCGAAAGTACAATGATACAGTTGAGATATAAGAAAAGATATTAAATTATACATCTTTCAAACTTTTTGTAACAGAAAAACCTATTTAAAAAAAATTCTGCTAAAGACAACTTTGGTTTCAGGGATGTGACGCTTTCCATTTCTAAAGAATAGTGTGAGTCTTCTGGTTCCATTTCTATGCTTTGGTGAGGCAGAATTTGGGAAATGGGTAGACAGAGCTGAGCAATTGCCAGGAAAGAGACTGCTTTATTCTACTTCCATTTAAAAAGGGAGGGAGAGCTGTTTGCACAAAAAGGAAAAATAGAGAAAGAGTGGAAGGACTAAGTTGATTACTTAGTTTGGTTTGGGAGAACCTTGTTTTGGGGTCAGATTTGAGAATGAAGAGAGAGATTTGCAAACAGCAACAGAACATGAAAGACGCAACAAATGAGGTGAGAAGAGGATATTACGTCCTGCATAGATAGGTGCTTACAGATGATTCTGCAAATGAGAGTAGTGCCTTCAAAGTGAATTGTCTGGTTCCATGGAGAAACTGGCTCTGGAAGAAATCAGACTGGAGCATTTTCATAAGAAAGAGGAAGGATAAAGATAATCACCCCACTGTCTTCTGAAGCCAGGCTGTGTAAAAACACAAAGACATCTCTTGGGGAGTCACTTTACAATGGAGATAATGTAAAACCAAAGTCAGTAGATAAGATTCAGGTAAGATTTAGTTCAACTCCTAAAACAAGTCTTAGTATGGACAAAGCAGCAATATGCATTCAGCTCATTCTATACTATGCATTATTTTTATTATGAAATATTGTGTACATCGAAGTTTATGTATAGGTGTATATTTCTTTCAAATAATTGCTTGATTTCTGCTTTAACTTTATTCTTTACTCAAAAGTCATTCAGAAGCAGGTTGTTTAATTTCCAGGTGATTGTATGTTTTTGAGAATCTTCTTGGTATTGATTTCTATTTTTATTGCCCTGTGGTCCAAGAATGTGGCTGATATGGTTTCAGCTTTTTAAAATTTCTTGAGAATTGCTTTATGGCGGAGAGTGTGTTTGATCTTCATGTATGTGCCATATTCAGGTGAGAAGAATGTGTATTCTGTTGTTGGGTGGAGTTTTCTGTAGATATCTGTTAGGTCCATTTGTTCAACTGTCAAGTTTAGGTCCCAAGTATCTTTGTTGGGTTTCTGCCTCAATAATCTGTCTACCACCATCAGTAAAGTCCTGAAGTCTCCCACTATTATTATGTGGTTATCTAAGTCTCTTCATAGGTCTCTAAGAACCTGTTTTATGAATTGGTGTGCTCCAGTGTTGCATGCATATATATGTAGTACAGTTAAGTGTTCTTGTTGAGCTAAACCCTTTATCATTATTTCATACCATTCTTTGTCCTTTATGATCATTATTAGTTTAAAGTCTGTTTTGTCTGAAATAAGAATAGCAACCCCTGCTGGGTTTGGTGGCTCATGCCTGTAATCCTAGCACTTTGGGAAGCTAGGGCCGGTGGATCACCTGAGGTCAGGAGTTTGAGACCAGCCTGACCAATATGGTAAAACCCCGTCTCTACTAAAAATACAAAAATTAGCCAGGCATGGTGGCAGGTGCCTGTAGTCCCAGCTACCTGGGAAGCTGAGACAGGAGACTTGCTTGAATCTGGGAGGCAGAGATTGCAGTGAGCCAAGATTGCACCACTGCACTCCAGCCTGGGTGACAGTGAGACTCCGTCTCAAAAAAAAAAAAAAAAAAAAAAAAAGAATTTCAACCCCTGCTACCTTGTTTTTTATTGGCTTGATAGATCTTTGCCCTCCCCTTTACTTTGAGTCTGTGCATGTCATAACTTGTAAGATGAGTCTCTTGAAGACATCATACAGTTGGGTCTTGCTGCTTTATCCAACTTGACACTCTGTGCCTTTTAAATGGGGCATCTAGCCCATTTACATTCAAGGATAATATTGACATGTATGAATTTTATTTTGTCCTCGTGTTATTAGCTGGTTGTTATGTAGATTTGATTATATAGTTGCTTTATAGTGTCAATGGGCTATGTACTTAAGTGTGTTTTTCTGGTGGCAGGTAACAGTCTTTTGTTTCCACGTTCAGCACTCCCTTAAGGATCTAGTGATAACAAATTCCCTTAGCATTTGCTTGTCTGAAAAACATCTTGTTTCTCCTCTGTTTATGAAGCTTAGTTTGGCTGGATATGAAATTCTTGGTTTGAATTTCTTTTCTTTAAGGATGTGAATATAGGCCCCCAATCTCTTTTGGCTTGCAAGATTTCTACTGAAAGGTCTGCTGTTAGCCTGAAGGGGTTCCCTTTGTATGTTACCCAACCCTTCTCTCTAGCTTTCTTTAATATTTTTTCTTTCATGTTGACCTTGGAGAATCTGATGACTACGTGTCTTGGACATGGGCATCTTATATGGTATCTTGCTAGGGTTCTCTGAATCTCCTGAATTTACATTTTGACCTCTCTAGTGACACTGAGGAAATTTCCATAGAAAATATCCTCAAATATGTTTTCCAAAAAGCTTCTTCTCTCTCCCTCTCTTTCTAAGATGGCATTGGGTCATATATTTGTTTTTTTTTTTTAATATAATCCCCTGTTTCTCAGAGGTTTTGTAGGTTTGTTCATTTTTTAAATTCTTTTTTCTTTTTTTGTCTGAGTCGATTTGAAGAACTGGTCTTCAAGCTCTAAAATTCTTACCTCAGCTTGGTTCATTCTGCTGTTAATACTTCTGATCATATTATGAAATTCTTGTAGAGAGTTTTTCAGCTCTAGAAGATCAGTTTGGTTCTTGTGAAAAATTGCTATTTTATCTTTCAGCTATAGTATTATTATATTGGATTTCTCAGATTCCTTGGATTGGGTTTCAGCTTTCTCCTGAATCTTAGTGATCTTGGCCATCCAGATTCTGAATACATGTCTACCATTTCAGCCATTTCAGTCTGGGTAAGAACCATTGCTGGGGAGCTAGTGCAGTCATTTGGAGGTAAGAAGACACTCTGGCTTTGGAGTTGCCAGAGTTCTTACACTGGTTTTTTTCTCATCTTTCTGGGCTGATATTCCTTTAATCTTTGAAGTTGTTGTCCTTTGGATAAGGGTTTTGCTTTTATTGTCTTTGATACCCTTGAGGGCTTGACTGTGTTATAAGTTGTGTTTAGTCGACTGGCTTCATTTCTGGATGATTTCAGGGGCCAAGGCTCAGCTCAATACTCCTAGCCTGTGTGCTCTAACCCTGTGGGGGATGGAGCCAGGCCTGCAGCTTTTTTCTCTGGCTCCTCGAAGTTAGGAACCTGTTGTACTGGAGGGGTCAAGATGTGCCCAGTTCACTGGCAGCAACAGTCCAATGAGAGGTGCTGGTAAAAGCACTTGAACAGGAAAGCAGTGGGCAGCAGGTGTTCCTGTACATGCACCAGCAGTGGGTCCTGCACATGCACACACATGGCTGAAGCAGCACGGGGAGGTGCAGGTGGGTATGCACCAGTGGAGGAGTTCTATCGGTGGGTGCTTGCAGCAGGGGCCTGCCTTCAGAAGCTCTCCAACTGTTAGATAGAGTCTAATGATGAAAGAGCTATGGTGATGGCCACTGGCAAGCACCTTGACTTGGCAGCTGATGCCACACTGCATGCAGGTGTGGCCAAGCAGGGACCCTGGGATAGGCTGACAGACTGGGGGGCACTCAGATCAGACTGTCCCCATCCCACAGGCAAGATAGCCCTGCTCTGTTTAGGTATGACACTCAACAAAGATGAAAACCACATAGAGGAGCATGGAGAGCCTTGTGGGTTGGGCACCTATGGCTGTGCTCCATTGCAACTGTTCCTGCCAAACCCTCTGGGCTCCATGCAGGCTGGAAGTCTGTCTCCACCAATTCTCCAGGCAGTTACCCCTGCCAGCTCGAATGTCTGTGGCAGTCCTGGGGTTTCCTGCAGCTAGGATTTCAAAGGTCCATGGTGAGAATAGGCCACTCCACATCTATTTAACTCATCCCTTCCCCAGGAGCTGCTTGGGGCCAGGAATGAGTCCTGGTGCTCCCAGGACTGTGCAGGGTTCCCAGATTCCTCCTCTTTTAGCCCAGGGTTTGCATCCTCCCTCTGTCCACTCTCAATGACTTCTTTCCAAAGATCTGTTTGGAGTGTGCCAGTCTACTTGATGGTCTGGTCTCTTTCAGCGGGAGAAACTCCCTGGCTGCATCTAGTTGGCCATCTTGGCTTTTATTGATTTATCATTTTATTCTGAACTTTAATCATTTCTCTTTCATGTTTTGTGAGCATATTCTGTTTGTAATGTTTTTCATTTATCTTATGATGTCTTTGATCAGAAGAAGTTGTTTATTTTAACATAAATTTTTAAATCTTTTTTTTAATGAGACATAACCTAAAGATTCCAAAGGGCTTTATGTGGAAAAAACATTTAATAATAACCGTTCTTGTTAATAATGATGATTTTTTCCTTTTTAATCTTTGTATTCTTTATTTCTTTTTCTTATTATGTGGTCAGCATATTTTTGAGGAGAGATGATGGGTGTTTTACTTTCTTTTGAATTTAAAGAAAATGTTTTTAAATTTTCTTGTTAATGATGTTGTTCACTATCAGGATTTGTTTTGTTTTCTTTACATGCTGTGTGTCCAAGTTTAAAAGTTGCCTTCTCTTCCTAAATTGCCAGAGTGATTTTTGTTGTCATTTTGTTTTTTGCTTTTGTCTTTGTCTTTAAATCAGGATGTAATGTCTAATTTTATTGAATGCTTTTTTTTTTCTGCATAAGTTGAAATCATCATTTTTTTTCCCTTAAGGAGTGAATTAACGGTGAATTACATCATTTTCTTAAGATGGGTTTTTTTTTGTTGTTAACCCAACCTTGCATGCCTGGATTAAATCCAACATAGCAGTGCTCTATTTCTGTTTAATACATTGGTGGATCTAGTTTGTTAGTACCTCATTTAGAATTTTTGTATCTATGTTTATGAGTGAGGCAAGCATACAATTTTCTTTTTTCATGCTATTCTCAGGTTGTGGTTATGCCAGCCTCAAAAACTAGTAGGGGATCTTTCTTCTTTTTTATCTTCTGAAATAGTTTATGTAAGTTTGAAAATAACTAGTTACTGAATATTCAGTAGAGGTTAGTTGCCAATAAAATTATCTAGGCCTAGTTTTCTCTGTAGAATTATTCCTTTTAAATATTTTCTTTTACTTTTTATACTTTCTTTTTTGTTTAAAACTGTTAAATATATTTATCTTCTATTCTATCCTGGCAAGCCTGATATCTGAGAACAAGAACACTATAACTTTTCTCTAAATTGTGTTTTGCACCAAGAGAATTTTTCACATCTCTAATCAGTGATATTGTAAAAATGACACATATTTTTCAAGGTAATTTCATCAAATGTCTCTCTTAAATATCTCTGAGATTTGGTGAGTAAGTATTATTAAATGAAAGTTTTAAATATAAATGCTTTGTAAGTAGAGGACACTGTTCTTTTATTTTTGCTGATAACAAGTAAGAAACCTGGGGCCTAGAGCTATTAAATGAAGTGAAATTTTCTCCTAATCTGATACATTTTCCACTCATACAATGACTGGGTCTAGCTTTTTTATTTTTATTTTTTTTTTCACGTTGAGAATGACTTTTTACTTGCCCCAAGAAAACGACAAGACTGAACTAAAAACAAAAACTAAAAAGTGATCTAAGAACTAAAACAACAGCTGAAAATTCTGCCCTGTGTGTCAATAGTAATGGGATAAACTTTTCTTCTTAAAAAGGAAAGCCCCAAAGCACAGCAGCACACACATGCAGTCCCAGTTACTTGGGAGTCTGAGGTGGGAGGATCGCTTGAGCCCAGGAGTTCAAGACCAGCCTGGGCAGCATAGCAAAGGCTCATCTCAAAACAAACAAAAAAACCCAGAGGTATGCCAAGATCTAAGTTCACTGTGTCTTTCATTTGAATTTGATTTTATTGGAGATCTCTAACCTTGAAGTTATTCGTCACAAGCATTTTTTTCAGTTTATTATACAAATGTTTTACTTTTTTGGTATCTTATAATTTTTCATGCAATGTTAGAATTTCATTAATCATGAAGTGGAAGCTCAGAGAAGTAAGGAAACTAACTGATTAAATTATAAGTATGTGCCTAGTGTACACGTACATTAATCATATACTCCTCCTAACAATCTTGCAAGTTATACATTGTTGTTTCTACTTTACAGATGAGGAGACTAAAGTCATACATCTGTAAGTCATGGAGCCAAAATTCAAGTCCAAGTTTTTGTCTCCAGGCCCAGTACTTTTTCCACTATTTTACATAACCTTTCTATAATTTTCCAGAGTCATGCAACTTAGTTGTAAGTGATATAACCAAGACAAAAACTCCGTTCTTTTGACACCTAGTCCAATAACCTTTTACCATACCACACTGCCTCTATGAAAATAGAGGTGGCCAGGAACGGTGGCTCACGCCTGTAATCCCAGCACTTTGACAGGCCGAGGTGGGCAGATGGCTTGAGATCAGGAGTTGGAAACCAACTTGGCCAACACAGTGAAACCCTGTCTCTACTAAAAATACAAAAAATTAGCTGGGCATGGTGGCGCACATTTGTAATCCCAGCTACTCGGAAGGCCGAGGCAGTAGAATCACTTGAACCTGAGAGCTGGAGGCTGTAGTGAGGCAAGATCACGCCGCTGCACTCCAACCTGGGACATGCAGCAAGACTCCGTCTCAAAAAAAAAAAAAAAAAAAAGGCAAGCAAGAATTTCCCTGAATATTTTCTAAGAGTAAATAAAAAGAGTTAGATGACTGTTATGAAGAAGATTAGTTGGTGGCCCCTAACATCTGTTAACTCTTCTCCCAAGTTTTAGCTGGGCCATGGCCACCTTGAATAAAGTCTAAAATTTCCTAGCCTTCCTGACAGCCATGTAGGGCCATGTGAATGAGTTCTGCCAATGGGATATACGTGCAAATGATGTGCCTGGCTGTGGGAAGCATTCTTAAATGGAGCATGTGCATTATCCTTCTGTTCCCTCCTCCTTTGGGTTAGAATAGAGATGTGAGGGCTGGAATTGCAGCAGGCATTTTGGATCACAGGAGACCCTGGGAACGGAGACCGTTACTAGTCAGTCAGGAAGACAGGAGCCTAGGATCTTGTACCAAGAAACATGGTAGCAGCCCTGAACTCTCTCTCCTTCACTTTATATAAGAAAGAAATAAGTTGTTACCTTGTTTAAGATATTTTGGTTTTGCTTATTTCTTTTCCTTGTCATAACCAAACTTAATCCTAACAAACAGTAAAATCTTAAAAGGAAGAAACTGAATTCAAAATCCTTTTTTTTTTTCCGATTGGGAAAAACAAATGTTTGTTAAAACTGAAGCTAATTCTTCATTATTATTTCTCTTTGGGAGTAGGGAAGTTGGAATGGAGCCTAGAAATGAAGTCTTGGGGTTTTAACATTCCCACATGGTTTATGTAATAAAAAGCAGAGCTTCGGGATGGCTTTTTAGAAGTTCAAGATGAATGGACTACAAAACCAAAATGGGATGTAATATCCAAAGTATAAAAGGCCTACACTTTGTATCTTACCTCAATGAAAAGAGTCAAGCATTTATCCTTTTTTTAAAACTCACTCACCAGCTAAAGCTACTATAGTAATTTCCTGTGACAGTCAAACTGACTAGCAACTTATATCATTTCACATGGAAGAGAGAAGAGGCTTTAAAATTATTTTTGCCTTTTTTCTAATGACTTTAAAACTTGTCAGATACACTCATCCTTGTTTAGCAGAGCAGTATTTATGCACTGTTGACAAAAAGAAAAATTCTGTAACATTGCACAGAGATTTGATAAACTCAGCCTTATGTCAGTACTTTTATGAAACATAAAATTAACCATTTTCAGTAACTTAGCTTTTCTACAAAGACCAATGAAAATCTATCAGTATTTCAATTGTATCATTCAGCATTTTCAACACAGATGAATCACATTTCATTCTTTAAAAATTGAAGATATTATTATGGATAATTTATATTCAAGGCAAAAATATATATGGTTAATAGGGGAAAAAAGCAAGAAGAAGGAAATAAAAAGTTACAGTAATCCCATTACGTAGAAGAGTGGGTCTCAAATGTAAGCATGCATTGGAATCATCACAGTTTTGTTAAAACAAATTGCTGGGCCTTACCCTCAGTGTTTCTGATTCAGTAGACACAAGTGTACCTTGCAAATTTGAATGTCTAACAAGGTACCTGGTGAGGCTGATGCTGCCAGTCCTGGGATCACACTTTGAGAAACATGGACTTGGAGGAATTGCTCTTACCCTAATGGAGTTGGTCTTTTCAATCTTCCAGTTAGCAACATCTAACCATTCTTATAAAAGTTACCAATGACATCCACATTGCTAAATACTAGGGTCACTTCTTGGCCTTTCTCTTTTTGACCTGTCTGCAGAATAAGCCACGATTAATCATTCCTTGTTCTTGATACGTTGTCCTCATTTGATTTCTGATGTCTTCTCATTTCTTATTTCTTGAGCACTCACTCCTCATATCTTGGCCTCAGATGTAGGAGTGCTCCAAGGCTCCGTTCTTAGACTTCTATTTTTGTTCATTTACACTCAGTCTTTTGACGGTCTCTTCCAGTTGCATGGGTTTGAATACCACCCCTGTGCAGAACATTCTTATATTTACATCTCCAGGCTGGTCACACTTCCTGCATGTATAGACAGACTGACAGAGCCAACTTTCCATTCTGTGTCTCAGATGTCCAATAGATGTCTCAGATTTAACATATTCAATACTGAATACCTCACTCTGCCCCATACTCCTCCTGTAGGTTTCCCCATCATGGCCAATGGCAGCATCCATATTCCAGCGAGCCAAACCAAAAATGTAGAGTCTCCTGACTCATCTAATTTTTTCCAGAAAATTATTTCAGTTTTTCCTTCAAAATATATGCAAAATTCCAGCACTTTTCTGGCTCTTATCCTAGCCAAAGTCACCTTCATCTCTCATCTGGAAACTGCGTAGCCTCCAAAGCATTCTCCCTACTTACACCTTGCCTCCTACAGTGGCAAAAGGAATCCTTCAAAAATGTGTGTTATGTCACTTCTTTGCTCAAAGCTTCTCATTTCTCTCAGAGGAAAAACAAAAACAAAGCCTTTACAATGGCCCACAAGATCCTAGGTGTTTCTTTTTTTCTTTTTATTTTTTATTTTTTATTTTTTTTTTGAGACGGAGTCTTACTCTGTCGCCCAGGCTGGAGTGCAGTGGCGCGATCTCGGCTCACTGTAAGTAAGCTCCGCCTCCCGGTTTCACACCATTCTCCTGCCTCAGCCTCCGGAGTAGCTGGGACTACAGGTGCCTGCCATCACGCCTGGCTAATTTTTTTGTATTTTTAGTAGAGAGGGGGTTTCACCGTGTTAGCCAGGATGGTCTCGCTCTCCTGACCTCGTGATCCACCCGCCTTGGCCTCCCAAAGTGCTGGGATTACAGGCGTGAGCCACCGCACCCGGCCATCCTGGGTGTTTCAAAACCAGTGCACTGCATGCCATGTTTCTCTCTCTCTCTCTCTCTCTCTCTCTCTCTCTCTCTCTCTCTCTCTCTCTCTCTCTCTCTCTCTCTCTCTCCTCTCTCTCCTCTGTCTCTCGTCTCTGTCTCTCGTCTCTGTCTCTGTCGCTGTCTCTGTCTCTGTCTCTCCCGGCCCCACCTGCTCACACACTCCCAGCCACACTGGCCCCTTACTATTCTTCAAAAATGTCAAGCCCTTTTGCACTTGTAGTTCTCCTTTCCTGGTCTATCTCCATGATTTTCTCCACCAATATTTTCACCTTTTTAAATTTTTTTGAAGTGTGGGAGCCTATATAAAATAAAATAAAAAAAAAGCCATCCTCTAAACCTCTTACCCTGCTTTATTTTCTCCATAGTTTGTTTCTGACAAATAAAATCATCTCATTTAATTGCTTATGGTTGAACTTACTCCACTACATTGGACCCTCTTTGAAGACAGGGACTTTGGTTTACTGCTGTATTCCCCAGGCCTGGAAAGCTCTGTGAATGTATGAACAAATGACTTTTTAAAAATCCAAACTTTGTACCACATGCAATATGGCCACCTAAAAATGCTGCTGCTGATGATAATAATGTTATTAAAACAAATAATAATGATTTCCTGAGTACTTTCAGTGTATTTACTTATAGTACTCATTTGATCTCTACAATCTTTTAACCCAGATACTATGTTACACATTTTACAGATAAAGAAAGGAAGTTTAGACAGATTGAATAGCATAACTAAGGATCCTAAAGCCAAAGTTTTCATTCTTAATCATGTCAATGTACAGCCTCAATGTGAAGTCTTCGCATACATTCTTGTGTACAGTTTTCTCCTCATTTCTCGTGTACATTTCTTGTGTACAGTCTTGTGTACAGTCTTGTGTACATTCACAGATTTTCATAAAATTTTTTATAACTAGTACATCAACAGTTATGCAAACTTTTAAGAATTTTAAATCAAAACATAATAATTGTATATCTCCAAATAAGAATATTAAGAAATTAATTTGCCTAAACCTACACCAGTTGTGAATAATTGTCAGTTTTTTTAGTGGAAAATAATATCTTATTGTTGTATTGATTTGCATATTTTAGCAGGTTAGGTTGAATATTTTCCCAGATCTATATTTGCCAATGCTGATTTTCTCCTTGTCCTAATTTCCTGTTTATAACTTCTCAATGGGATGTTGACATTTTCAGTGATTTTAAAAATTCTTTTACACGTTTAAGATGCTAATTATTGATTGCATATGTATTTAATATTTCTCTCAATTTCTGTTTGGCTTCAAATTGTTTATGTTGCATCTTTAAATGTATGGAAGGTTTTGGTTTTTATATAATCAAATCGATCAATGTTTCGGAAATGCTTCCTGATACTGATGTCAGAAAGTCTTTCACGTATACACATAGGCTTATCATTTCCCCTCATTTGTTTATGATTCCATTTTTACATTTATCTCTTGAAACCATTCGAGATTTGTTTTAATGGGTGAGTTGAAGTCCAGATCTAACTTGTGTGAATATGTGGTTACCCAGTTGTCTTCTAACTATTTATTTAAAAATCCATTTGATAAGTACATTCCATGATATGACAGAGAAAGAATGAGAGAGAGAGAAAGAGGTTCTTGCATAAGTATCAATGCCAGATGAACTTTGTCCTTTTCTTTATGGAACTGATTCAATTCATTTTTTAGGGTACTTTTTCATTTTAGTTGGATAACTAACATCTTCACAAGTTCAAAGTTTCGATTCACAATTATATAGTTTCTCATTTATTCAAATTTATCTCCCTCTGTAAAAAGTTGGAAAGTTTCTTTCATATAGACCAATAACATTCCTAGATGATTACCAATTATTTCAATACTAATGTTACTATCAAGAATAGAGTGGTTTTTCTTAATCTTTCCTCAATGGGCATTGCTATTTATCAAGGAAAGTGATTGGTTTAAAGTACCTATTTTGTAACTGACCACTTTTCTGAACTCTCTTATAGGAATGTTTGAATGATTTTTTTAGTTGACCATTTTGGCTTTTTCAGGTACATGTTAATATTCATGGTCATATTAATAACATGTCTTATTTTTTCATATTTGTTATCTTGGCTAGCACCTTCAGTAAAATGGTGAGTATTTGTGGTCATAGCAGAAAGTGTACAAAGAGAAAGTTACCAGTAGCTTTCATTACAGGAATCCAAAGTTAATTCATTATCATAAAATGTGTTAAAATATTCAATAATCACATTAGCAAATCATAGAAAATATCAGTTGACAAAAAGGATTTAATAAAAATTTAGTCTTTTCTTAAATTTAAAACTAAGATTAGAAATATATTTCTATTATGTTTAATGTTTTAAATGTCATACCAAATAACGTATCTATTTAAAGATGTATGTTTAAAGTTATATTTATCCACTATTTTTAAGATGTATCTATTTAAAGATACAATCGCTTAAGGCAGGAAGAGGGTAACCATGGTTGCTTTCTAATGTATTTGTTTTCATAACATTTTGTTGATCAATTTCTGTTTTTTCTTCTTTTTTATATTTGAAAATTAGAAATTTTACTTTTAAAGTAGAAACCATTAGTAAATAAATGTTAAAAAATACTTTAAAGTTAATGTTTAGAAAGAATTCATGTCTATTCTTCCCCCTTTAGAAGTGAGGAGTTGAGCAGAATTTTACCCTCTTCTTCCTAACCTTCTTCTTTTCAGAGCATTTTTCATGGTTCTGCTAGGTAAAGCTACATCTCTGTGAGTAATATCAACTTCATTTTGGCGTCTGCACCATTCTGTCAAGACTCTCATGATCTGGTTTCTAACTCAACTCCTAGAGCTCCACCTCCTGCCGTTCTCCCTTAGTGCTCCGACTCTAGCCACACAAACCAGCCAACCACCAGCTCTGCAGAGACCCCATGATCTTTCCCATCTCAAAGTCTTGCACAAGCAACGATTCCTCCTGCTTGGAATAGTCTTCACTTTCATCCCCTTTTCCTAATTAATTTCCACCTCTCTTTTATGTCTCAAATCAAGCATCACTTCTACGGCATACTCTGATAGTACTGTCTTTTTCAGTTATGGCCATTACTATAACTCATAACTACACATTTATTTATTGTGTGTGTGATTATATGCTGCCTTTTTCCTTCACTAGTCTTTAAGTTTTATGTGGGTAGAGACTGTCTTGATGACCACTTTATCTCCAAGACTTTTTATTGAATAACTGAATGATGTGTATCTTAAATATTACCATGCATAATCATCCTAACAGTGATTTGAACTTACATCTGTATAGTATCAATTTTATTGTCCATTAGCTGGAGGAACTTCTTTTAAATGGTTTTCTGTAAGAATGGTGAGGCCAAGAGGGATAATAAGGCCGCATGTAATTATATGTCACCTTTTCTCTCTGTCATGCAGAGCTCCTCCATGGGGATTCAGGTACATTTCCATGAGGCACAAAGGTTCTTATCCTAATATTAGACACAAAATAATACCCCAAGACAAGGGGGCTCAGCAATATCAATTTACAGAGTATGGGTCAGATCAGAGAATTTGTATCAGATTTCCCAAGCACTGGGTCATTTCTTGATTCCTGTCAGCAACTTTAAAATTAGTTCCCAAGAGGCTTCTAGAGAAAAATTATTTTCTGCATTTTCCAATTGTTTTATAATGCTTAAAAATAAAATGTTAACCAAAACAGAATGACTCTTCAAAAACTTTGGACCTTTTGTGGAATCCTGTTCTAAGAAAGATTATTTAAGTTTTGGAATTAAACCCCAGCTCTAAGAGGATGTTTATTTTTAATTGCATTTGGTTTCCTTTGTCCGCAATTAGAATATACTGCCATTAATTCAGCAATAATTTGCAAACCTATTTGCCGTAGTGTATTGGAGCTAGCTCATACCAGTTTGAATGTCAAATTTTCTGAAATTTTGCAAGCCATTTGTTAAACCTACAGTAGCTTGGAATCAGCTATGGTGGAAGTTTTACACCATGGAAATTGGCAAATGCTACAAATCATGGTGCTTTTTCCTCCTTGAGAGCTGACTGTTAAACATTTACCAGCATACCACTGAAGCAGGCTTGAATTATGCAGTATTCCTTTGGGCAGTTTAAAGGTATAGCCTTAAACTCTGAGTAGCCTAATCCTTCACATGTGTGGTTAACCAAGAGAGAATTTGGAATGATGCCTTACTTCATGAATGCTTTATTATATTTGGTGCTTGACAAAATCAGACGAGACCTCCCTCTGTAGGCTAGACATATTTGAATATTTTAATCAGCAATGAGGCAAAATTTCAAGATGCCAAGAAGCTTAGAGGCCAGTCAAATGATTTCTACAACTGCTCATGTATTTTCTGCACATGCACTTGCACACACACACACACACACACCCCTTACAGAATAGTCAGAAACTCTCTGCCTGAGTATTCAGCTCTCTGCTTCTGAGATTAATTCTTATTTTTTATATCTAAACAGAGCCCGAACCCCCTCTTTTTGTATGGAACAGATACCGAGGACTTAAGTCATCTTAACTCAGATGCGGAAGGGGCTCTTTTCCTCTTCATACAGCTCCTAATGCAAAAATAATTAGCAGTGATGCCATTCAATCAGAACATTATTCCCTCAGGGTGAGATGAATGGGCAGGTCCTTTGTTCTTCTTTAGTTGCTATAGTAAATAACAAGCTGGTACTTGTTATTTTTAAGACTTTCTTCCAGAAATTTTTTCAGTTGTCTTATGTACATTTGTTCCTAAAAGGTAAAAATGATCTTTTGGACAACAATGCACACAGATCATATGAGACTTAAGTTGAAAATAACAGTTAACGGTTGCAATTTGTTTTTTTCTCTTTTCCCCATGAGAAAAAAAAAAAGCATGTGGTATACAATGAATATCAATCAGGCTCCAGGCCTGTAAAGAGGAATTTGACCACAGGTCTTTTGGAATATCACACAGCACTAACATTCCTCTATTCTGCGCAATATTAGCCATGGGAATGGCTGGGCACAGCACACATGCAGGCAGTCTAATGCTATAATACTTTCACCTACATTGTTGCTCAATTCTCATCTGGGATTCTGTTGCATATTCCTCAGAGCCTCTTCCACTAGGCTCATGTCCCAAATCTCAATCTCCCTCTCCTCTTTTTTTTTCTAAATAGAGGATCTCTCATTCTGTTAAGATATCCCATCCTATCTATTTTAGAATACCTTCTTACCCATCTAAAATTCTTCATCTGTGCTCCTAATTCCCTACCAAACTACCCACTAGAGATCTGGCTTCCTCATGATGTTATAACATGTCCCCAATTGAAACTTTCTCATCATGCTACCTCCATCCTTCTTTCCCCACCTTCTCCAACCTAACGCTCTTTTCTTTCTGTTTTTCTTCCTTTTAGTAAATAGCATCTCTATCTCTCTGGTTGCTAAAGACAGAAATCTGGGAGTCATTCTTCATAACACCTCTTCCACGTCATCACTAACATTCAATTTGTCACTAAATCCTGTTTATTCTATCGCCTCGAAATGCCTAGACTCATTCCACCTCCCTCTGTATCAGTACGAGCCACCACCATTGTCTCAGCTCAATTGCCACATGAGAGTAGAGGGTCTTCCTACTTATACTCATACCCCTCCTGCAACCCATTCTTCAGATGACAGCCAGAGAAACCTTTTTGAAATAATGTCACTCTCTTGCTAAAAGCAATTTGAATTTGTTTTCCATTGCACTTCAAATAAATCTAAGTTCTTGGGGATTTTAAAATCTTTCAGGACAGGCTCACCTCGTTATACTCGCCCCTTGATGCTCTTCCCCTCTTTCACTACCCTTTAGGCAGATTGACCATTTGGTGCTTCCTTAATATAACCAAGTTTTGCTCTGGTTCAGTCTTCAAACAAGGCATTTTTGCTTTACCTAGATTATTTCTTGCCTTACTCTTTTTCTCACTGTCCTTTAGCCATCATCTAGCTCTCAGGTCAAACTATATTTTCACTGAAAGACCTTCCTTGACTCTTTGTTTTTCTCAATCAGAACCACACCATCATCTTTCACTGCATCTTGATCTTTTTCTTCATGGAGTTTAGTAACTGGCACTATTGCATTCATCTGCATGCAATTGTTTAATGCAGTTTCCATCTCGAGACAGTAGGTTCCATGGGAGGAGCAAGCATTTTTGCTTCGTTCACCATTGAATACCCTTGTCTAATACAGTGCCTGGCACATAGTAAGTGTTCAGTAATTGTTGACTAATGAATCTGTGTATATTTCCCAAACTTTTCCCTATTCTCAGAGAATGGCTTTTCCTTTATCCTTTCTAAGAAGATCCTTCAGCCTATATTCTGGGCATACTTTCTCACAACTCTTCAATGATTTAATTCCCTAATGATCCTCTTTCTGGCAGCTCCAATACTTCACTTTCACTGACTTTTATACTTTATATTCAAAGATTTAGACAACACTTCTTTTGCCCATTCACTCAACTCTGCTGTCTTCTCTCATCAAGCTAACCAGCATTCCCTTAAAAAAAATCCATGAAGGAGAAGGTAGGAAAGTCATCTGATTGTAATGCAAGTTTGACCCCTGTAAAAGACGGGAGAAACATGGAAGGGTTGGGTAGGAAGGGTTTCAGTTTAAAGCAAATTTCTAAGAAAATTGCTATCAGACTAATAGGAGCCTTGGAGGTAAAGTCACCTGTAAGAGGAGTACCATATCTCTAAGAAATGACTTTTTCTCATTCAATATGTTAATGCAGCAAATGACAGCGATTTCTCAAATGTTAAACCATCCTGTTTTGGGACAGATTCCATTTAATTATAGTATATAATCATTTTTCCATATTGTTTGTTTATGTCTGCTATTATTTTGTTGGGGACTTTAACACATGTACATTAATGAGTGAAGCGGGTCTTTTACATTCCTTTCTCATATTGTCTTTTTAGTTTTGAAATCAAAGTTATGCTGGCCTCATAGAGTAAGTTTGGATATATTCCTTTTTTTTCTTCCCCTCTAGAATACTCTCTAAGATTGGGGCAATCTGTTTCTTTTAAGTTTGTTACAACTTGCCAATAAAACCAACTGAACCTAGTGTGGGGTGTGTGTGTGGGTGTGTGTGTGGGTGTGTGTGTGTGTGTAAAGATACTAAATTACTACTTCAATTTATTTTATAGTTTTTTAAGTTGTTAAGCATTTCTACTTATTTTGGGCACAGATTTGGTAAGTTATATTTCTATTCATCTAGAGTTTTGAGGTTTGTTGGTCTGTCTTTGATATTAAGCTCTTTTCCTTTTTTCTCCTTAATCTATACTTATGCACTTTTGCATTTATAATATTATTTGTGCCTTGCCTTTCTTTTCCTTCTTCAAACTTGCAGGGCAGTATCTTAGTTTTTCCCCCAAAGAATCAGCCTTTAGCTTTGATCATCTTCTCTATTGTATCTTTGTTTTTATTTCGTAAATTTTTTACCTTTATTATCAGCACTTCTTTCATCTTCTTTTGGATTTCTACTCTTTTACCCTTTCTCATTTTTTACTTTGTTCATATAGCTCATTACTTTTCAGCCTTTTCTTATTTCTAGTACATCCCTTCTGCCTTTGAACAACTGATAGATACAGAACTGGCTGTAGCAAAAATATCTCTATTTAATTGACAAGCTCCATCACTGCTATAACCAAACATATCGTGGAGGGTGGACAACTAAAAACTTAATCAAATATTAGCCCTAATTGCAGCAGCTGTGCAAGATGGGCAGTCTTTGCTAGAGCAGTGTAAAGGTAATTGTCCATCCCACTCAGAAAGAAAGATCAGAAACAGTTCACATTCACTTGGGACAGAAAACAATATACATCAATGGTTTTACTCCACGGTTATTTTATCTCACTCTCTGTCAATATAGTTTCAATGCACCTGGACTGTCTGAACATTACACAGAATATCATATGGGTCTACTCTAGTAATCGATGATTCATGTTAAAAGGAGCTGTTAACTGAGAAGTGATGAATACTCTCAAGTGTTAGTAGGACACACGTACTCTAGAGAGAGAGAGTGAACCCTATGTAAATTCGGGAGCTGCCACAGCAGGGAAGGATTTAAGGGTGTGGAGCAGGCTTCATGTGCTGACACCTTGGTGATACAATAATTTGTCCTTTACTCCAAGCTCTCACCACATAAAGGAAGCACAACATCTGTCAGACCTCTTCAAAACTGGAAGTGCTCTAATCTCTTTACCGCATCTCAAGAACCGTCATCAGTTTCAGGCTGCCACACAGGTAGGCCAGCTACTTGACCATGAAACCTTGCAGATTCAGTATGCAAAGAATCTGCGGTGGGAAAAGAAACCATGTGGAGTTTATGGCAGGCTGCATCAGGAGAATAACAAGGGAGATTCTTGAAGTTCTGGAGCAAGGTCACGCTCTCTGCTGCAAAGCACACACCGTTTGCAGAAAGCTCCCAGTCTATACTTACTATCTATACTTACCTAATCTATACTTATGCATTCTCTTGCATTTATAATATTATTTATTTGCACCTTCTTTTTCTTTCCCTTTTTTAACTTTCCAGAGTTTTATCTATCTTAGTTTTTTTGTTTCTTTGTTTTTCCAAAAGAATCAGCCTTTCTGAGCCCTGGAGGGTCGAGTACCCAACCATGGGTAATCAGGAACTGTGCAACTAACCTGCCTATCAGAGTCTGGGTTCCAACAGAACCAGAGGGCACAAGTAAGGTGACCCAGAATCCTATGCCACTGTTCATTAGTGCCTCTCAGTTCCTACCTGTAGCCCATATGGGGTTCCCTTATAATTGTTGATAAAGGAAGAAAAAGGCCAAGTATGGTTCCTGGACGGATGACTTTCTATGTAGGTATAAAGTAAAAGTGAACTGCCATTGCAATACAGCCCTCTTCAAGGGTGGTCCCAAAAGAGGCCAGTAATGGGAAATTGTTCCAACAGCCAGAGCTTCAGGTACAGCACTTGGTGACCCCTTTGGAGGCCTGAGGTAAGGATAGATGGGTAGTGGCAAGTGATTTCACCGGTTGGCCAGGGGCCTGGAAGGAAAAAGATGGAAAGATCAGGGACAAGGGAGACTAAAACTGGAGAGGGTTCAGAAACTGGACAAGTGACCATGAATTTTAAAAATCCACTTTACTGAGGTATAATTTCCATACAATAAAATCACCAATTTTAAGTATAAAATCTGATGAGATGTGAGAAATATGTATGCAGCCAGGTCACCCTCACTGTAATCATGACCCAGACTGTTTCCATCACCCTAAAAACTTCCTTTGTGCTTCCTTACGATCGATCGACCTCCTCTCCAGCCCTTGGCCTCTGGCAACTACGCATCTACTTTCTTTGATGATACTTCTGCTTGTTGGAGAATTTCACATAAATGGAATTAAACAATTAGATAATTAATAAAAGCATGAAAGGAACGTGATTTGCCCAGATTCACAGTAGGCCTGACCTGGACTCACACTTAAATCTCCTGATTGATTCCTAATGTTGAACTTTTTCACTCCAGCCCACAATTTTCCTGTGTTGAAAGCTGTGAAATTCCCTGAAGCTATCCTTCAGTTAACTAGCAGTAGACTTTGTGGGGAAAAGTTAAACACTAAGGAATTTAGTGACAATGCTAGGAAGGGCTCAAGCTCTGCAGCAGCTCCTTTCTGAACCAATGATCCAAAATGCAAAATGCAAAATTTGCTGACTTCCCTCAACTCTCTATGGACATGAGGAGGTGAGGCTCCAATATTGGCACACATTGGCTACTTTTATTGAAATGTAGAAGCTGTCTAAAGTAAAAGCAAGAAAAGAAAAATAGACACAAGAATGCAAAAGTCTGTCTTCCTTAGAAAAGAGGGAAAACTCGTGAATCTATAAGCCTCAATATCAAGATTATGATGTTCATTTATTTTTGGCCCTTTAATTCTGTGTTCCTATTTCATATTTTTTTGAAAAATTCTTTAGTTGGAAAATTGTGATCAGTGGAGAAATTGCTTAAAGTTTTAATCACATAGCTTCCTTTGCTCAACTGATGTTAAAGCCAGTATAGATCCTATTTCAAGACTTTTTTTTTAGTGTTTTTTAGAACCCTCAACTTTTATATGTTTGCTGCATGCTTTCTATGTATGGAGCCTCACATCCATTTATAGCATGGTATATATGTCTGGGGCAATCTGTCCCCATGCAAAGGTTGTGTCATTGTTATTTCCTAGACTCCATTCCAAAGCACTTCTTCACTGGCTTCCCGCCAAAGCACAGTATCTCCAAGGAAACCTGGGGCTGGTTGCCATGGACACTCCCTTTACTGATAAGTCACATCACACCTCTTCACTTCTAAACACGCCCACGAAGCAAGTCCTTTGGGTGATCAGACAATTCTATTCATTGACATTTCCAAGCCCTACAAGCTCACATCCATTCCATGCTCAAGGAATAGACATACAAAGAGGCTTTTCAAATATTTGTACCTGTCCAAACTAGCATGGAGTGAAGCCATCTTTCTGTAATTTGGTTTCATGCCATGGGGAATAAGTAAGCTTCAGCAAATATCAAGCCTGAATTGGAGCGATTGCAACGATGCAATCAGAGCAGCAGGAATGAGGACTGCATGTGAAATCCGGTCTTTGTAACATTATATTTGGCTTCACTTGATTCAGGGTCATGCCCCTCTCTGTTTTCCCTGGAGCTTTGCCAGGAGGCCATGGTCTCCTGCAAGGGTCATTCTTATCAGTGGTGTCAATGTTCAACACGTGGCCATTTTTTTTAACTGAATATTTTGCTTATAATTTAATACTGACCATTCACCTTACTAGTATCTCATGGAAAGCTCTTCTTTCCATATTTTTAGTATCTTGGTACTTTTTCTTAGTATTTCCTGAAAAATTTTTTTGGACAGCTGTTAGTAGTGGAAAAGCAGGCTTTACTAAATTCTTCTGACAGGATCTTTTCCTAACACAAAATATTTTGAGCCACGAGCTTAGTGAATAATTCTCGATGACTGGAAATTCTATATTAAAATTAAGGAGGGATGGGCTTCTTGGGACATAGTCCCATGGTTTAGTTGGTAATATGGTCACAGCTTCTATACTCACTACTCTGTACCAAAATTTACTGTGAAACAAAGGAACTTCAGATAGGAAGCTGTGGTTTTCTGTCAATCCACAAATATGAGGACTTATATTTTTAAACAATTACTATAAACCAATAGTATATATGAAAAGACAGAGAAAACTATGGAAACATACTTGAGATTCTTCAAATTTGTTACCTTATGGTTGAGGGGGTGAAATTGGAATGTAGATAGAAGAAGCTACTAGCTTTTTGTTCTAAACATCTCTGTATCATTGATTTTTTACAATGAGAATGTAGTATTTTTGCAGTTAAATAGGCAGATTATTTTTACTTTTAAATCAATGGGATATTTTTATCCTTGAACATCTGCTATGAATATGAAAAATAAAAGGTGCAAATAAGCTGTAGGAAGATGTATGTTTTGGCTTGCCCAGGGGCACATGTTGAAGAATGCTTTACTTGAGAGGAAGAAGGTGACTGGTCTTGAGGCATGTAATTTCCCTTGCCCCTGCAAATGATGGAAATGACCACGTACAGTATCAATGGAGGAAAACCTGTACCACTACTTAAAATGAGGGAAGAATGTCATTCGTATGCAATGGTCATCAAGGGAGTTTGGGATACTGCCTATGGGACCAGGTGGAGGGCCAACTCCACATACCTCTTCCTGGGAAAGCAGGGCTCCATCACAAGGGGTGAGCAAAGAATGCCCTGGCAGCAATGGAGTTAACATCCAATCTGGTTGAGAGGCTGTGTCAACGGGCATGTGTCACAGGGTTCAATCTGCACTGAAACAATGACTTGAGTCCAAAGGGAGAAGGACAAGCAAAACCACAACAAGCAGAAAACTGGATGTGGTGGAGCTGCCTTCACTCGGGAGTAGTAGCCCAGGGCACTAGCAGCAGGGACTTCAGAGAAGAGCTGATGCTGGACAGAAGACTCAGCAAGCTCAGTGTGTATTCAGCTCAGTCCAACCAAACAGAGAAATCATGTATGAGTAGGAGCTGATTGCCCATCCCCATACACCCAACCCCTCATAATGCCCTTCCTGCAGCCAAAGTACTGAACAGGAATTAAACCTTCCACTCCCGGGGCTTCTTGCTTAAGATGTGAGAAAGGACTCTATGTCTCCAGCTGGATGGTTCAGACAAGTATTTTCCCTTCATCTTATTGCTCGCTGACTCTCCCAGGGATTTGTCTGCTATTTTCTTTTCTTCTTCTTTTTTTTTTAATTTTCAAAGAACCAGTTCTTTTTCTGTTTTCTGATGCTTTAATATTGAATTTGTCAGCATATAATCCTTCCTTCTACTTTCTTTGGGTTTATTTTGATGTTCTTTTACTAATATTTTGAGGTGAATGCCTAGATCATATATTTATATTCTTTCTTGTTTAATAAAAAAAGAGGTAGAGGTCTTATGAATTTCATATTGAATAAAACTTTGAGCACATCTAATAAGTTTTGATGCAAAATTGCCTTTGTCCTTACTGCCTATGTAGTCTGGGATTGCTTTCATTTTCCTTTCTCGTTTTGTGATCCAAGAACTGCTTGAGAGTGCTTTTTAATTTAAAAGCAAATGATATTTCTATTTAACCTATTTTAGAACTTTTTTTAATGAATGTGGTCTTTATAAATTCCAGTTTTTGAAATGTATTTTTCTTCCTGATATAACACATCATTAGTTTCTTTAAATAAATGTTTCATGAGCACTTTTAAGAAGTATACTCTCCATAGAATAAAAAATATTACGATATATATCGGTTATTTGTTGGTTTAATCTCACTCTTGAGGAGTCAAATTAGTACTATTTCTTCATCAATGACACATCATCATTATTAGTTCAAGCCAGGCTCTATTCTCCTTAAGTTAATTTGCTTTAATCTTTTGGATTTTTCTCACACACCAATTCATTCCTCTCTTCCTCTAGAGACACGGTACTCAAATGTGTTTGCTAATATCCTTTGAAATAATATATTCTTGTAAAAAATATGATTTTGCTTCGGGTATGTATATTTTAAATTTATACAAATCATATTGAGCTGTCGACTTAATTTTATTTCTCACCTTTTTTCACTTAACACCATCTTTTAAGATCTATGCCTATTGTGTGTTTTTTTCTGCTACTTCTATGTGCTGCACACGGTATTGTGTCTCCAGCATATTTTATGTTTTATTTTATTTCATAATAGACTCTTACATGTTCCGGCTCCCCACTTGTGGAAACAATACTGTGATAGAGTACTTCACATGAGCCCCTTTCCACACCTATATAAGAGTTTCTCTAGGGCAGGGTTTCTCAACCTCAGTACGATGAACATTTGGGGCTGCACGGCTCTTAGTTGGTAGGGGCTGTCCTGTGCATTGTAGGATATTTAGCAGCACCTTGGGGTCTACCCAGTAGATGCCAGTAGCATTCTCCCAGTTGTGACAATCAAAAATGTTTCCAGACATTGCTAATTGTCCTCTGGTGGAGACGGGAAGAATCACCCTAACCTGAGAACCACTGGTCAATGTCATACCCTCAGGAGAAAGAGATGGATGGGTTATTGTGTATCTGTAATTTCACTAAGTATGACCAAATTGCTTCCACCAGCAGGGACAAGGATGTTGTTTTCAGTATCTTGGCCAAAAAGATAACATTCAACTTTCTTGTTTAATATCACTGGTCATTTTATTAGTCAATGAGGTTTCACTTGAGAGATCAATTAAACATCTCTTCATATACTAGTTAGTCATTTAAGGTCTCCTTCTGCGAATTGACTTCTAATATTCTTTTCCCATTTTCCTGTTGTGTATCTTGTATTTTCTCTTGTTGAATAAATATATTCTCCCTGTCTGTCAGCTGTTAACTTTGTCTCTGATGTTCTTTACTAAGCAGAAATCCTAAATTTTGATGTAGTCATAGCTAACATTTTGCCTTATAAAGTTTTGTGCTTTTGGAAGTATAAGATCTTTGCCTTCTAAAGGTTAAAAAAAAATCAACCATTATAGTTTTTACCAATCCATCTAGAGTTGAACTTTGCATATATCATGTGGTAGGTATCCAAAATTATTTTTCTTCATTAAGTGAACCATTTTTTCCCAGCAATAATTATGGATCTAGCTTTTTCTAAATATATGTAGTAAGCGTCTCCTCCCAACATAAAACAACTTTTAGTTTTTGTAAGATTTTAAGACAGCCAAATTTAACTTTTTGTCCTGTGTAATATTTATTTATTATTTAATATTGTTCCTGTTTAAGAAATCTTTCCCAGTCCTAAAGGCAAAAACATATTCATCTATATTTTCTACTAATATTTTGTACCCTTTCTTTGACATTTAAGCTTTTACTTCTTTGGGAGTTAATTTTGTTTTTCATTTAAACTAAGGATAAAACTTAATTTTCCCCTAACTTGAATCAACATGTTTTCCAGCTCCTTTCATTGAACAATCACTCCTTTTCCCAGTGATCTGTTATACTATCTTTATCATTTATCAAAGTTTACCGTACTGTAGGTTTTTGTTTCTGAGATGTCTAATCTATTCCACTGGGTAATTTGTCCATCCCTGTGTAATAACATACTTTCAGACACAATGGCTTTATAGTAAGTCCTGATTTCTGGCTAAGCATATCTTTCCTCCTTATTCTTCTTTTTCACATGTATCTGGAAACTTAGTAATAGCTTGTCAAGTTCCATGAAAAACGCTATTAATTAGAGTTGTGTTCAATCTGTAGATTAATTTAGTGAGAATTAATATCATTTTGACATAAACTTTTCCTACTCATGAGATATTTCTCCATTTTCATAGGTTTCCTTAATGTTTTCCAGTAAATTTTCATAATTAATGTGTGTGGGTCCTTTATATACTTCGTTAGATTCATTACTAAGCTTTTTATTATTTTTATTGCTAATGTAAATAGTGTTCCATATAAATTACATTTTCCATTAATTTGTTGCCATTATAGAAATGCAATTAATTTTGAAAATATTGATCTTATATCTTGGTACCTTACAAAAATCTCCTACTATTTCTAATAATTTGTAGGACTTTTTTTTTTTTTTTGTCAAGGTTCTTTGTAGACAATTATGTTGTCTGCAGATTTTAAGGGCAATTTTATTTCCTCCCTTCTAATTCTAAATATCTTTATTTTCTTTTTCTTCTCTTATTGTTCTGGCTATGCTCTCTACTAAAACGTTGAAGGAAAAAAGTGGTACAGGTAATGTATTTGTTTAGTTCCTGATTTTAAAGAAAATGCTTTTAAATTATTTTCTCATTTAAGATTATGCCTACTGTAGGTTCTTGGGTGTTATGTTTTTAGATTAATTTGATTTGGTTTTTTAATCACACCTGAGGCATTTAAAATTTTTTACATTTTGGATATTTTAAAAATTTCCTCTTTAATTCAAGCTTATTAATTGTGTTATTCAAATCCTCAATAAATTTATTTTTTTTAATTCCGTTTGGTCCAACAGTTTCTAAGTTGAATATATGGGATATCTAATTACAATTTCTGATATTTTTACATCTCTATATGTCTGCAGTTGTTGTATACATTTTGCGACTATATTGTTAGGTGAATATATGTTCATGTTTACTATATCATCAGGGTATATTGTTTCTTTTTGCAATATTAAATGTCCCTTTTGTCCCTTATGATGATCTGGAATACAATCATTTTTGTGTCTTATTAAAGCTGTTACCCTGTCTTTCTTTTGGTTCACATTTGCATAAGATATTCTTTTCATCTTATTATTTTCCAATTTTTTTGTATATATTTTTTCAGTTTGCTTATTGAAAAAAACATAAAGTTGAATTTTTTTCCATTCCGAGAATCTCTCTTCTGAAATATGAGTTTAAGCTATTGATATTTGTGGTAATTAATGGTAAACTATTTCGTGTTACCTAATGATTTTTTATCATCGTGATTTCTATTTAGTTTTTATTTAATATTCTATATCTGCTTTATATTGGCTTGAAAACTATATATTTCTGTCTTTCTAGTACTTTCTCATATCTTATTAAAATTCATACTTTTTTCTATCTATTTCTAAGGCTTATTCATATATAAATAGTTCTCAAACAAGAAAAATACTTTAGGAAGTTCTCATTTCCCTCTGGTTTCTGTCCTTTCTACTTATTCCCCCACTCCAAGTCCCAAGCCACACTGCTATTTTAATTTTATTGATTAATTTTTGTCATTAACTTGGAAGGAAGGGAACATTTATTTAAACAAGAGTAAACTGGAGTCACTTCCAAGATGGCCGAATAGGAACAGCTCCGATCTGCAGCTCCCAGTGAGATCAACGCAGAAGATGGGTGATTTCCGCTTTTCCAACTGAACCTCTGCTGGTGATACCCAGGAAAACAGGGTCTGGAGTGGACCTCCAGCAAACTCCAACAGACCTGCAGCTGAGGGGTCTGACTGTTAGAAAGAAAACTAACAAACAGAAAGGAAGAGCAGCAACATCAACAAAAAGGACATCCACGCCAAAACCCTACCTGTAGGTCACCAACATCAAAGACCAAAGGTAGATAAAACCACAAAGATGGGGAGAAACCAGAGCAGAAAAGCTGAAAATTCCAAAAAAACAGAGTGCCTCTTGTTCTCCAAAGGATCACAGCTCCTCACCAGCAAGGGAACAAGACTGATGGAGAATGAGTTTGACGAGTTGACAGAAGTAGGTTTCAGAAGGTCAGTAATAACAAACTTCTCCAAGCTACAGGAGCATGTTCTAACCCATTGCAAGGAAGCTAAAAACCTTGAAAAAAGGTTAGACGATTGGCAAACTAGAATAAACAGTGTAGAGAAGACCTTTAATGACCTGGTGGAGCTGAAAACCATGGCACAAGAACTTCGTGACGCATGCACAAGCTTCAATAGCAAATTCGATCAAGTAGAAGGAAGGATATCAGTGATTGAAGATCAAATTAATGAAATAAAGTGAGAAGACAAGGTTAGAGAACAAAGAGTGAAAAGAAACAAGCAAAGCCTCCAAGAAATATGGGACTATGTGAAAAAACCAAATATACGTTTGATTGGTGCCAGAAAGTGATGGGGAGAATGGAACCAAGTTAGAAAACACTCTTCAGGATATTATCCAGGAGAACTTCTCTAACCTAGCAAGGCAGGCCAACATTCGAATTCAGGAAATACAGAGAACACCACAAAGAAACTCCTCGAGAAGAGCAACCCCAAGACACATAATTGTTAGATTCACCAAGGTTGAAATGAAGGAAAAAATGTTAAGGGCAGCCAGAGAGAAAGGTTGGATTACCCACACAGGGAAGCCCATCAGACTAACAGCAGATCTCTCAGCAGAAACCCTACAAGCTAGGAAAGAGTGGGGGCCAATATTCAATATTCTTACAGAAAGGAATTTTCAAACCAGAATCTCATATCCAGCCAAACTAAGCTCCATAAGTGAAGGAGAAATAAAATCCTTTACAGACAAGCAAATGCTGAGAGATTTTGTCACCACCAGGCCTACCTTACAAGAGCTCCTGAAGGCAGCACTCAACATGGAAAGGAACAACCGGTACCAGCCACTGTAAAAACATGCCAAATTGTAAAGACCATTGACGCTATGAAGAAACTGCATCAATTAATGGGCAAAATAACCAGCTAACATCATAATGACAGGATCAAATTCAAACATAACAATATTAACCTTAAATGTAAATGGGCTAAATGCCCCAATTAAAAGACACAGACTGGCAAATTGGATAAAGAGTCAAGACCCATCAGTGTGCTGTATTCAGGAGACCCATCTCACGTGCAAAGACGCACATAGGCTCAAAATAAAGGGATGGAGGAAGATCTACCAAGCAAATGGAGAGCAAAAAATAGCAGAGGTTGCAATCCTGGTCTCTGATAAAACAGACTTTAAAACAACATCAAAAGAGACAAAGAAGTCCACTACATAATGGTAAAGGGATCAATTCAACAAGAAGAGCTAACTATCCTAAATATATATGCACCCAATGCAGGAGCACTCAGATTCATAAAGCAAGTCCTTAGAGACCTACAAAGAGACTTAGACTCCCATACAATAATAGTGGGAGACTTTAACACCCCATTGTCAGTATTAGACAGATCAATGAGACAGAAGGTTAACAAGGGTATCCAGGACTTGAACTCAGCTCTGAACCAAGCAGACCTAAGAGACATCTACAGAACTCTCCACCCCAAATCAATAGAATATACATTCTTCTCAGCACCACATCACATTTATTCTAAAATTGACCACATAATTGGCAGTAAAACACTCCTCAGCAAATGTGAAAGAACAGAAATCACAACAAACTGTCTCTCAGACAACAGTGCAATCAAATTGGAACTCAGGATTAATAAACTCACTCAAAATTGCACAACTACATGGAAACTGAACAACCTGCTCCTGAATGACTACTGGGTAAATAACGAAATGAAGGCAGAAATAAAGATGTTCTTTGAAACAAATGAGAACAAAGACACAACATATCAGAATCTCTGGGACACATTTACAGCAGTGTGTAGAGGGAAATCTATAGTATTAAATGCCCACAAGAGAAAGCAGAAAAGATCTAAAATCAACACCCTAACATCACAATTAAAAGAACTAGAAAAGCAAGAGCAAACACATTCAAAAGCCAGCAGAAGGCAAGAAATAACTAAGATCAGAGCAGAACTGAAAGAGATAGAGACAGAAAAAAACCCTTCAAAAAATCAATGAATCCAGGAGCTGGTTTCTTGAAAAGATTGACAAAATAGATAGACCGCTAGCAAGACTAATAAAGAAGAAAAGAGAGAAGAATCAAACAGATGCAATAAAAAATGATAAAGGGGATACCACAACCAATTCCACAGAAATACAAACTACCATCAGAGAATACTACAAACACCTCTATGCAAATAAACTAGAAAATCTAGAAGAAATGGATAAATTCCTGGACACATACATCCTCCCAAGACTAAACCAGGAAGAAGTTGAATCTCTGAATAGACCAATAACAGGTTCTGAAATTGAGGCAATAATTAATAGCCTACCAACCAAAAAAAGTCCAGGACTAGAGGGAGTCACAGCTGAATTTTACCAGAGGTACAAAGAGGAGCTAGTACCATTCCTTCTGAAACTATTTCAGTCAATAGAAAAAGAGGGAATCCTCCGTAACTCATTTTATGAGGCTAACAGCACCCTGATACCAAAGCTTGGTAGAGACACAACAAAAAAAGAGAACTTTAGGCCAATATCCCTGATGAACATCAATGCAAAAATCCTCAATAAAATACTGGCAAACTGAATCCAGCAGCACATCAAAAAGCTCATCCACCATGATCAACTTGGCTTCATCCCTGGGATGCAAGGCTGGTTTAACATATGCAAATCAATAAACATAATCCATCACATAAACAGAACCAATGAAAAAAACCACATGATTATCTCAGTAGATGCTGAAAAGGCCTTCGACAAAATTCAACAGCCCTTCATGCTAAAAACTCTCAATAAACTAGGTATTGATGGAACGTATCTCAAAATAATAAGAGCTATTTATGACACACCCACAACCAATACCATACCAAATGGGCAAAAACTGGAAGCATTCCCTTTGAAAACTGGCACAAGACAAGGATGCCCTCTCTCACCACTGCTATTCAACATAGTGTTGGAAGTTCTGGCCAGGGCAGTCAGCCAAGAGAAAGAAATAAAGGGTATTCAATTAAGAAAAGAGGAAGTCAAATTGTCCCTGTTTGCAGATGACATGATTGTATATTTAGAAAACCTCATTGTCTGAGCCCCAAATCTCCTTAAGCTGATAAGCAACTTCAGCACAGTCTCAGGATACAAAATCAATGTGCAAAACTCAAAAGCATTCCTATACACCAATAAAAGACAAACAGAGAGCCAAATCATGAGTGAACTCTCATTCACAATTACTACAAAGAGAATAAAATACCTAGGAATCCAACTTACAAGGGATGGGAAGGACCTCTTCAAGGAGAACTACAAACCACTGCTCAGTGAAATAAAAGAGGACACAAACCAATGGAAGAACATTCCATGCTCATGGATAGGAAGAATGAATATCATGAAAATGGCCATACTGCCCAAAGTAATTTAGAGGTTCAATGCTATCCCCATCAAGCTACCACTGACTTTCTTCACAGAATTGGAGAAAACTACTTTAAAGTTCATATGGAACCAAAAAAGAGCCCGCATAGCCAAGACAATTCTAAACAAAAAGAACAAATCATCATGCTACCTAACTTCAAACTATACTACAAGCCTACAGTAACCAAAAAAGCATGGTACTGGTACCAAAACAGATATATAGACCAATGGGACAGAACAGAGGCCTCAGAAATAACACCACACAGCTACAACCATCTGATCTTTGACAAACCTGACAAAAACAAGCAATGGGGAAAGGATTCCCTGTTTAATAAATGGTGCTGGGAAAACTGGCTAGCCATATGTAGAAAGATGAAACTGGATCCCTTCCTTACACCTCATACAAAAATTAACTCAAGATGGATTAAAGACTTAAATGTAAGGCCTAACACCATAAAAACCCTAGAAGAAAACCTAGACAATACCTTTCAAGACATAGGCATGGACAAAGACTTCATGACTAAAACACCCAAAGCAATGGCCACAAAAGCCAAAATAGACACATGGGATCTAACAAACTAAAGAGCTTCTGCACAGCAAAAAAACTATCATCAGAGTGAACAGGCAACCTACCAAATGGGAGAAAATTTTTGAAATCTATGCATCTGACAAAGGGCTAATATCCAGAATCTACAAAGAACTTAAACAAATTTACAAGGAAAAAACAACCCCATCAAAAAGTAGGCAAACGATATGAACAGATACTTCTCAAAAGAAGATATTTATGCAGCCAACAGACATATGCAAAAATGCTCATCATCACTGGTCATCGGAGAAATGCAAATCAAAACCACAGTGAGATACCGTCTCATGCCAGTTAGAATGGTGATCATTAAAAAGTCAGGAAAGAACAGATGTTGGAGAGGATGTAGAGAAATAAGAACGCTTTTACACTGTTGGTGGGAGTGTAAATTAGTTCAACCATTGTGGGAGACAGTGTGGCGATTCCTCAAGGATCTAGAACTAGAAATACCATTTGACCCAGCCATCCCATTACTGGGTATATACCCAAAGGATTATAAATAATTCTACGATAAAGACACATGCACATGTATGTTTATTGTGGCACTATTCACAATAGCAAAAACTTGATGGACCCAAATGTCCATCAATGATAGACTGGATTAAGAAAATATGGCACATATACACCATGAAATACTACACAGCCATAAAAAATGATGAGTTTATGTCCTTTGCAGGGACATGGGTGAAGCTGGAAACCATCATTCTAAGCAAACTATCACGAGGACAGAAAACCAAACACCACATGTTCTCACTCATAAGTGGGAGTTCAACAATGAGAATACATGGACACAGGGCAGGGAACATCACACACCGGAGCCAGTCGGGGCACTGGGGCCTGGAGGAGAGATAGCATTAGGAGAAATACCTAATGTAAATGACAAGTTGATGGGTGCAGCAAACCAACATGGCACATGTATACCTATATAACAAACCTGCACATTGTGCACAGGTACCCTAGAATTTAAAGTATAATAAAAAAGTAAAATAAAAAAGAAATTGGGAAAGCTGAAAATAAAAAAATAAAAAAGTGAATTTACTTTTTCTTTACAAATATCTCATGAGGGCTCCAATTTATTTTTCTTTTTAAAAATACCTTCTTCCTATGAGTTTTCAAAGAGGGTCTTTGGGAAACTTTCTAAAGGTTTTTTTTTTTTTGATTGAAAATATCTTTATTTTGTCCTTATATTTAAAAGATAATTTAGCTTGCTATATGATTCTAAGCTTTAAGTTCTTGTCCTTCCACAATTTGAAAATACTACTCCATTGTCTTCTGATATTTGGTGTTGCTGTTGATAAGTGTGAGGTCGATCTAATTCTTTTCCTTTCTAGGTTATCTACTTTTTCTCTCTGAAATCTTTTAGAGATTTTAGTTTGACTAAACTTCTTAAAATTCACTGTAATGTGACTAGAATGAGGTAATATGAATGCATGTTTCTGTGAACTTTCTTATCTATTTTGGCATTCATTCTACAACACATTTCTTTTTAAAATTTAATTTAGTTTTCAAGCGATTTCTTAGAGGATTTTTCCACATACACAAGAAAGAGACTTATATGTTATAATGAATTCCCATGTATTCATCACTCAGTTTGAACAAATGTCAATAAATGACCGATTTTCTTTCATTTATACTTCTGTTGCACCACTGCCACCAGTTTAAAGCAAATCGCAAGCATCACACACTTCATTCATAATAAATTTGGCATATCTAAATGAAAAGGACTCATCTTTTTAACATACCCATGATACCTTTATCACACCTAGAAATATTTCAATAATTCTTTAACACCATTTAATAGATAGTCTGTGTTCAGATTTTTCTGATTGTTTCAAAGATTTTTTACAATTGTTTTTTTTTCCAAAATAGGATTAAAAACATGATCAAAACATTGTATTTGGCTTATATATCTTTTAGGTCTTTTAAAATTAATGACTATTCTCCATTCTCTATTACCTTTTTAAATCTAAGGGGTTTTTATGCATTTTTTTAATGTCAGGAAATTTTTGATAATTTTTTTAGCTACTCCTTCTTTTGCTTACATTTTTCTCTCTTTTTTGAATTTTTTTTATAAAGGCATTGACATTTCTACTTTGATCTTCTATCTCCTTTAACTTTTTCTCTTACTATTTTCTATTGCTCTATTCTCTCCTAATGCAATCTGAGACAGTACCTTAAATTGTTATACTTACTAATTGTTCATCAACTGTACCTAATTTGTTATTCAGTCCACTCATTATGTTCTTTGTTCCAATTCTTATACTTTTTATATCCAGTATTTATAACTTGCTTCTTCTTACAACTGCTTCTTTCTGTTTCATGCTACCAACATTCTCCATTATTTAAGAGTAATTTCTACGTTTATTTTATGTTGCTCCTTTTCTCTTCTCTATAATGTTTCAACAGTTTATGGTTTTTCTTACATGCAGACTGTCTCAAATATCTTGACATTTCTCTCCCTGACTTTGTATTTTACTAAAGATAACAGCTACCTTGACAGGTCATATGTACCCAGGGGCCCAACTCTCAGGGAGGAAAATTTGAGTGACCTGCCTCAGAGAGGAGAGTCTCTGACCATGACTATGCCATCATTCTACACTACCCCTCCCTGTCCCCTTCCATCTCTTTTGCACCTTCCTAGACTTTGAAATTCTGTAATATTTGTCTCCATTTGTTGTGATCCTCTAGCTTTATGGAGTATGAGCAATGTGCTACTGTTTTTCTCTCTTCCAGTGGCAAATAATCCAGTGTATCAATAATAACAGAAATTCATTTTATCAAAAACTGAAATACAATTTTAGCTACCAAATTGACAAATACCTTAAAACATAGTATGATTTATTACAGGCACGATTGTGCTAAAACAAGGACTCCTGTAAACTTATTTTGAGATTACAAATTGATGTATATTTTCTGGAGTCCTGTCCTGTATCAAAAGACTAGAAAATGTCTGTGTTCTCTGATCTAATATTTCTATGCCTAAGATTTTTTCCCAAAGAAATAAAATGCACACACACACACACACTCACACACACCCATCCATATACACATACATACATCTGTATATATGTGTCTGCATATTTATATATAGGTGTGTGTAAAGCTGTTCAACAGGACATCATGTATATAAATAACACTAGATACTTCCATTCATAGGACTAGGTCATCCACAACAAATTAAAATTATGTTTCTGATTATTTTAAAACATAGAAAAATCTTACATAATTTAGAGAAAAAAGACAAAGCTATACAACTATATTTGCAGTCCATGTGTATACTGTGAAAACTTATAACGTATGTGCTATATACATGCTTTTAGAAAGTACAAATGTAGAGTTTTATGTACACAGCAAAAAGTATCAAATGGAAATACATCAAACTGTTAATAGGGGTCAACTATAGATGGTGCAGTTAAGGATGACTTCTCTTTTCTTCTTAATGCTTTATTTTTTACATAGTCTCCTGCGAACATATTCTACTCTAATAATTATTACAAAATGTTATTTTTAACAGTGAGTCATCTGGTCTGATAGCATCTCTGACAGATGGTACGCCAGCCTGAACACGTCCAGCGTGTTGGGGTCTCAACATTCCACAGATTATCCACTCCATTGTGTGACAGTTATAATGATTAGAAAATGTCTCTTCTATTGAGCCCAAATCTGTCTCCCTGTTAATTCTATCCATTGATCAGAAATCCTTCTTCTCTTCCGTATGGCGAGTCCTCGGACATTTGAAGACAGCTGTCTTGTCAGCTCTGAATTTTCCCTTAGCTTCTTTAACCATCCCTGGTATGGACAACATCCAGCTCTTTGGCTCTCAAGTTGCAGAACTATATGTTAGATAAGAAAAAGCTTGATTATCAGAATTCTTTCTGCTTCGCCATAAAGGAAAACTCCAAGTCTGCCTGGGGCCATTTCTCCAAGCCCCAATCTGGTTTTTATTCTATGCATACCTACTCATATCTAACCATATCTCAGGGCACACCATGAAGTAGCAGGACTCTTGCCCTGGCTTCATCCATTCCCCCTTACCTTGCCAAATCTCAGTTTCCTTCCCACTGTTAGAATGAAATGCCATCCCTTCATCTTGTTCACAGCTGAATGCAAGGTACCCACTCCTGCTCTGCTATTCTTTTTATACTGCTTCTTTAATTTTCTCTCCCCAAATCTTATCTCTTTACATTATTAACCAATTTTATCTGCCCCTTCACCTAGTATATCTTCACCCAAATCCTGATCACCAGACATCTAGAAGTCCATGAAGATAACCTATGAATAGAACCAACCATTTCTTCCATCTTCATTGCAGTTAATCCTATATTAGCAATTTTTTAATTTCTTCTTTAAAATTTTAATTACATTTTAATAATTTACTTACAGAAAAATTAAAGTAGAAAACAATATTAAGAGAAAATACTGGATTATGACACAATATTATGTTATAATATGAAACTTCTAAACAAAATTTTGATGGATTCCATAAGCCTCAAAAAGTCATTTCTCTATGTACAAAAGAATAATCACTTTAAGCGTCATCCTGAGAGGTGAAGCCAGCTGGACTTCTGAGTCCGGTGGGGTCTTGAAGAACTTTTCTGTCTTAGAAGAGGTTTGTAAAATGCACCAATCAGTGCTCTGTAAAAACACACCAATCAGTGCTCTGTGGCTAGCTAGAGGTTTGTAAAATGGACCAATCAGCACTCTGTAAAATGGACCAATTAGCACTCTGTAAAATAGACCAATCAACACTCTGTAAAATGGACCAATCAGCAGAACATGGGCGGGGTCAAATAAGGGAATAAAAGCTGGCCACCCCGCAGCCAACAGGGGCAACCCAGTCAGATCCCTTTGCATGCTGCGGAAGCTTTCTTCTTTTGCTCTTCACAATAAATCTTGCTGTTGTTCACTCTTTGGGTCTGTGCCACCTTTAAGAGCTGTAACACTCACCATGAAGGTCCCTGGCTCCATTCTTGAAGTCAGCAACCACAAACCCACTGGAAGGAGCCAACTGTGGACCTAATCCCATGATGTTTCTAATCAAGAAAGAGAGAAACAGTTCTCAAATTCTCAAGTGCAGCAAATATGATTCTACTGGATTTCTAAAGAGTTTACTTCTAGGGGGCTGGGCACAGTGGCTCACGCCTGTAATCGCAGCACTTTGGGAGGCCGAGGTGGGCAGATCACAAAGTCAGGAGATTGATACCATCCTGGCTAACACGGTGAAACCCCCTCTCTACTAAAAATACCAAAAAAAAAAAAAAAATTAGCCAGGCATGGTGGCAGGTGCCTGTAGTCACAGCCACTTCGGAAGCTGAGGCAGGAGAATGGCCTGAACCCAGGAGGTGGAGCTTGCAGTGAGTCAAGAACTACTGTACTCCAGCCTGGGCAACAGAGCAAGACTCTGCCTCAAAAAAAAAAAAAAAAGTTTACTTCTAGGGATTACCTGTGCATTAGGATTTTCCAGAGAAACAGAAACAACAGGATACGTATACATAGAAAGAGATTTATTATAAGGAGTTGCTTCATGTGATGATGGAGGCTGGCAAGTCCAAAGTCTGAAGGATGGGTTTGGAGGGTGGAGACCAAGGAAGAGCTGATGTTACAGTTGAGACTCAAAGCCCATCTGCAGGCAGAATCCCCTCTTGCTCAGGGAAGGTCAGTCTTTCATTCTAGTTGAGCCTTTGACTGATTGGATGAGGCCAAGCCATATTATGGAGGACAACCTGCTTTACTCAGATTCCCCCAATTTAAATATAAATTTCATCTGAAAACGTAATTGCAGAAACATACAGAATAATGTTTGACCAAATATTGGCACTGTGGCCCAGCCACGTTGACATATAAAATTAACCATCACAGCCTGATTATTGGAAATAACCTAAATACTCATGAGTGGCATTAGATGGGCAAATAATAATACCTGGTAGAATATTATGTAGCTACTAAAAATAAAAAATAAATGTTACTGAAAACTGCCTATGAAATAAGATTTTATGAGGAAAAGCAGACTAGAAATGTGCATATTTACAAAGATAGCCCATAGCCTGCCAAAAACAAATGTGCATGCCAACAGTGAGTAGAAGAAAGTCTAGGAAAAAATTGGGAGTAGTGGGGATGAGGGTATAAAGTTTCTAAAATTTATAATAAAATATTTCTGCAATTATGATACAAACTGATGATTCAATCATAAGTTTATAATTTCTGTTATGCCCTATAAAATTATTATTAAGCAGTCACTTGAAAAATATTTACAGGCTCTAAGTATTAGGTTGAAATCAATAAAACTTCCATACCTAAATTGGCGAAGGATGTTCCAAACTTTCTTATTTCTCTTTAAAAATAAGTGCCAAATCAAAGAGATTTGATGGATTTATTTGAATATGTTCTTTTGATAAGGGTCTTAGTGATCCCAGGGATAAAAAGAACAAAGGATAGGCATTCACACAGCTGGCTATCTGCTTTTAGAGAAATCCCAAGCCTGATAATTATATAAGACTCGAAAAGAAATCTTCTGAAGTTCTCCTCTCGCCTTATCTTTCCATTCTCTCATAAAACTGTCTAGTTAGAGAAAGTGGCAAAGTATTCACTTCTGAGTACAAGGAGTAACATAGATTCCAAACAAAACTCATTTGCAAGAATAAAAACTCCATTTTAAGAGAGCAGGGTATTCTCACTTATTTTCCCTATTGACAGGTATTATGGTCTGAATTTGCGTGTTCCCCAACCCAGCCAAACTCACAGGTTGAAATCGTTATTCTCAATGTGATCGTATTAGGAGGTGGGGCCTTTGAGAGGTGATTAATATCATGAGGGTGAAGCCCTCATGCATGTGATTAGTGCCATATAAAAGAGGCCCCAGAGAGCTCCTTCTCACCTTCCACCATGTGGGGATGCAGCAAGAAGACAGCCATCTATCAACCAGGAAAAGGGCCCTCACCAAACCCAAAATCTACCAGTGCCTTGATCTTGGACTTGCCAGTCTCTAGAACTGTGAGAAATAAATGTTTGCTGTTTAAGCCACTCGGTATATGGTATTTTTGCTATGGCAGCCCAAACAGTCTGAGATAGCAGGGATAGAGGCTTGTACGAGTCAGGGTTGCAACAGGACCAGACAGCTGAAGTTTATTAAAGACAGAATGTGGGGAGAGAACCAACAGCGAATGTTGGGGTACCCAGAAAGTAACAAGAGCAGGAAGCTGTTGTTGTCTGAGGCCTAAAGGAGCACAAGGTTACCTTGGGGTTTGGGTCATGGTATCAAAGTCCACTGAGAGCTGGAGCTGAGGAGAAGGAACTCAGGCAAAAGCTGTAGTCCCTGAAAGACACAACTGCTCTCAGTATCTCTGTGCCTAAGTTGGGAGCAAGTGGGGAAGAAATAACTGCGACTCCTCTCTGCTCTAGCTCTGCGTTTCTCTCTGCTCTAGCTCTGCGTTTCTCTCTGCTCTAGCTCTGCGTTTCTCTCTGCTCTAGCTCTGCGTTTCTCTCTGCTCTAGCTCTGCGTTTCTCTCTGCTCTACCTCTGCGTTTCTCTCTGCTCTAGCTCTGCGTTTCTCTCTGCTCTAGCTCTGCGTTGTCTCTTGATGGTGCCTCCCATTAGTCGATCCCATGAGAAGCTGGTGAATACGGGTACCTAGATGATACAGGCCATTAGGGGGAGTCTCTTAAGTCCCAGAGCAAGGCAGAGAATGGCAGAGGAAGGGAGAGAAGAGCTCTCATCTCATGTGGGTAGGGGTAGGAGGCCAAATAGAAAATAATCAGCACAGTGTGTTCTTCGCTGAGATAGGTGGAAGAGGTGAAAAGTCTCTTCAGGGTTTTGCTTGACTTTTGTTAGGAAATGATAGTTCTCTCCATAATATAATATGAGCACCAACCAAGAGGCTTGTGTCCTCAATTGTGTGAAGGTCGGCTGGAGTTTAACGAAGAGCTTGGGTCCTCATCATCCTTCACTGAAATACCTACAGGGTATGCTGACCTGGAGGTGATAATTGTATTTCAGAGCCTGGTACTTAACACCTATCAGGGTCAAAACAGAATCAGCAGCATCTCACCCAAATGGAGAAGAGCGAAGGTCCCTGGGGCAGTGTATCATGGTCAGCATTTGTAATGGGTCACATTTTCCACGAAAGTAAAGCCCTGTAAGTTTTTATTATGCCCAAGCACAGCTTTTATGTTTTATCTTTGCCACCTCCATGAGAAAAGGGAGAAACTAATATCCCTTGGTTGGTCAAACCCATGGTGAGGGTAGATGCTCATGGTTCAGAAGCTCCACCTGTGCCATAACACAACTCATACAACTAAGGGAGGATGCTATTTCCACTTGTGATGTGTACAACCCCAAAGATGACAAAAGCACTGATATTTAAAAAAATTTCTGATGTTCAATGTCTTTATAAGTGTTAGTAATAATCATGGCCCAGTTCAGGCCGTGCTCTAAGAGAATGCCATATTATCTCTGAATGGAGACAGATTTGCAGTGGAAAATGATATTCATATCTCTCTTGGTTAGATATATGGCTCATCTACTACAGAGCTCTCCCAGAAAGAACTGTGTCTGAGGGCTATCAAATCCTTACCAGTATGAAATAAAAATCCCTGAGTCTTCTTGCCAGCAACTGTTTGTCAGGAGATGTTCTCAAGGCTCATAGCTTGCCATCTCTGCCAGTCGCTCCCCACTCTCCTTCATAAGGCATTTCTTATTGTGCATCCTGCTTCTGTAGTATCTTTTGGCTTGTCTTTGATTACAAGTATTGTGATTAAAAATTTTCTTTGGGGCCAGGCACGGTGGCTCACGCCTGTAATCCCAGCACTTTGGGAGGCTGAGGCGGGAGAGTCACCTGAGGTCAGGAGTTCAAGACCAGCCTGGCCAACATGGTGAAACCCCATCTCTACTAAAAATACAAAAATTAGCTGGGCATGGTGCCAGGCGCCTGTAATCCCAGCTACTCAGGAGGCTGAAGCAGCCAGGGTTCACTTGAACCCAGGAGGCAGAGGTTGCAGTGAGCTGAGATCATGCCATTGCACTCCAGCCTGGGCGACAAGAGTGGACTCCGTCTCAAAAAAAAGAAATTTTCTTTGGAATCAGTCATCATTCAAGTCTGCGAACTGGACCTCTGCTTGTTCACCAACTCTGTGCTTCATTTTCTGTTCAATTCACTTCCAATTGAAACCAACTTTTTTTTTAACCTATCACCCTGAGCTTTGTATCAAATATCTGCCCAAATATCTTCTTTTTTTCTTTCCTTTCCCTTCAGACAACTTATCTAATCTTTGTGTAAAAATAGTGTTAGATTTACTACTGTTCCCTCCATGGCTTGATATCATTACTACATCTTACTTTCCTGTCCATTCTTACTCTATTTTCATTTCTTGAGGAAAGTTTCACCAGTATTTCCTGTCTAATTAACTGCTTGAGGTCTAAGTATGCACTGTATCTCTCTCTCTCTTTCTTTTAATTTTTATTTTATTTTTGAGACAGGGTCTCACTCTGTCACCCAGGCTGGAGTGCAGTGGAGTGATCATGGCTCACTGCTTCCTTGACCTGCTGGATTCAAGCAATCCTCCCACCTCAGTCTCCCGAGTAGCTCTGACCACAGGCATGTGCCACCACACCCAGCTAATTTTTGTATTTTTTATAGAGATGGGGTTTCACCGTGTTGCCCAAGCTGATCTCGAACTCCTGAGCTCAAGCCATCTGCTCCCCTTGGCCTCCCACAGTGTTAGGATTACAAGTGTGAGCCACCACACCCAGCCTTTCTCTCCCTTTTACTCTCTCTTTACTTGTAGCCATCTCTCAACTATAGATTTGCAGCTTTTCCTGATGATTATGTTTGTCTAGCAAGCCATGTTACACCACTTGGCTATATTGCCCTCATTTGAATAACAGCCTACAGCCTGTCACTCCCTTCAATTTCAGCCATTATTCCAGTCATGCCGGAGCATGAGATTTATTTGCCCATTGCTAACATTTCCTGTACTTAGAGGGCATGTACCATACAGTAAAATTCTAGAAAAAGGTCACTTCTTTGGCCAAGAGTGAAACCTGGTCTTGCATTTAGCACTGTCTCTAAACAACAATTATAGCTCCCTGATCCTGGCCTTGCTCTCAGGGGTACACAGCCAATTTGTGTGGGTTTTCCATGGAGAGAGAAGATTCCAGGGGAGAAAATCCCTGGAGCTTGCACGTCGTTTTTCATCTAATTATGAGCATGTTACTGAGCCTTTCTTGCCTTGTTCTTTGACACTATTTCTGAGTTTTCTAAATTCTTCCTTCCGTTTTCCAATCTGTCAGTATTAAAATGAATTTCCTTATATTTTTAGATTTTCAGTTATGAGAACAACAACTCATGCATAGTAGCTTCTGGTTTTCAAAGACTGAAGCCCACCTGCCTGTTCCGGCGTAGATAGATCTAATCTAAAGATCTTTTTGTTGTCCAAAGATCTGTCTCCTGAAGCTGTCTTTTTTTTTTTTTTTTTTTTTTGTGCATTTGGGATGAGCACAGATATCAAGACAGGAAGACCATGGCCCTGGTATATTACCATCTTGTCTCCAGAGAAATGTAGAAGGAAATAGGTTTCAATTCACTGCTTTCCAGTCTGCCACGTGCAGCCTTATCCCTCAGAGGAGTGAGTCTCTCAATATCTGGGTCACTGGCCCAGATTTTTCTGTCTCTGTGCTGACTGACCACAAGACATCTCTAGATGTCAGGATTGTTTGGTATGCAAATTTAAGTAGCCCTCCTTGTGAGGCTTACTGTGCACTTTGTGCATTAGAATGGCATGTTCAATGAAAAAGGAGTGAATTCACCCTTACAGGTGGGGAAGATGCCAGAAGGGAGGTGTGTCTCACCTGTCAGATGCAACTTCATAAATGCTGTTTGCTGGGATAAGCTCTGTGCATGTTCCTGAGAATTCTTTTTCTAAGATCAAACTTTTACATGTAACTTGAAAACACGTGTGGTATGTTTGAATGTGCAGAGTGACAAAACCCAGATGTACAATATTCTTTATTTCTCTCTGTAATTGAACTCTATTCAATTATTTCAGCTCTCATGTCCTCAGTATTGCTGATACCAGAAAAGTTAGCTAACTCAAGGTCTGAGATTTAGTCTCTTGGGTAACCATTCAGTCATTTGAAACATTCTCAAAATTCAGCTCCTCTCTCATCTTCCTTTCTCCCTGAGGAAGGCCTAAATTCTGGGGTTGAGGGTGAGGAAGAAAAAGGAATCTTGACACCGAAGTAAATGGGGTGTCCAGTCTACAATCCTTCTCCTTTCAGATTGGACTCCATGAAGTGTTACTCATTGGAAATAGTCTCTGGCAAATTGTTTTGACATACGTTGTTTTGGTTTTTTCATTTTGTTTTGTTTTGAGATGCAGTTTCACTCTTGTCGCCAAGGCTGGTGTGCAATGGCATGGTCTCAGCCCACTGCAACCTCCGCCTCCGGGGTTCAAGTGATTCTCCTGCCTCAGGGACTTGGAATCCCTGCATAGCTGGGATTACAGGCACCCACGACCATGCCCAGCTAATTTTTGTATTTTCACTATAGATGGGGTTTCACCATGTTGGCCAGGCTGGTCCCGAACTCCTGACCTCATGTGATTCACCCACCTCGGCCTCCCAAAGTGCTGGGATTACAGGCTTGCCCAGACACATTGTTTTTTTGGTTTTGTTTTGTTTTTTAATAGATTTTATTTTTTGGAGTGGTTTTAGGTTCACAGCAAAATTAGGCAGAAAGTTCTGGGAACTCTTATATCATCACTTCCCCACACACACGCACAACCTCCCCAGCTATCAACATCTGGCACCACAATGGTACATTGTTATAATTGATGAACCTACATTGACACATCCTCATCACCCAACATCCACAGGTTATATTAGGGCTCACTCTTGGTATTACACATTCTATGGGTTTTGACAAATTGCAATGACGTGCAACCACCTAGTATCATACAGAGTAGCCTCATTGTCATAAAATTCCCTTCTGCTCCACTTATTTATTCCTCCTGCCCACAAACTCGCAGAAACCAGTGGTCTTCTTTATGGTATCTATAATGTTGCCTTTTCCAGAATGTCATAGACTTGGAATCATACAATATGTGGCTTTCTCAGATTGGCTTTTTTCACTTAGTGATGGGCATTTAAGTTTCCTCTGTTTCTTTGCATGGATGGATAGCTCATTTCTTTTTAGCACTGAATAATATTTCATCGTGTGGATGTACCACAGTTTATTTATTCATTCACCTACTGAAGCGCATGTTTTTGACTTCCAAGTTTTGGCAGTTGTGAATAAAGCTGCTATCAACATCTGTGTGCAGATTTTTGTGTGAACATAAGTTTTCAGCTCCTTTGGGTAAATACCAAGGGGCATGATTGCTAGATCATATGGCAGGAGTATGTTTAGTTTTGTAAGAAACCACCAAACTGTCTTCCAAAGGGACTGTACCATTTTGCTTTCCCATCAGCAGTAAATGAGAGTTCCCATTGCTCTACTGCCTCAACTTGTGGTGTTATCAGTGCTCTGTATGTTGGCCACTCTAACAGCTGTGTAATGGTATCTCATTTTTGTTTCAATTTGCAATTTTCTAATGACATATGATGTTGAGCATGTTTTCATAGTTTATTTACTTCTACATATCTTCTTTGGTGAGTTGTCTGTTCAAGGCTTTTGCCCATTTTTAATTGGGTTATTTATCTTCTTATTGCTGAGTTTTAAGCATACTTTGTATATTTCAGATAATATCCTTTATCAGATAATGTATTCTGCAAATATTCTATCCCAGTCTGTGGCTTATCTTCTCATCCCCTTGGCATTGTCTTTTACAGAGTAGAAGTTTTAAAAATTTTAATGAAGTCCAGCTTATTAATTATTTCTTTTATGGATTGTGCCTTTGGTGTCCTATCTAAAATGTCATCACCAGACCTAGAGTTACCTAGATTTTCTCTTATGTTATTTTCTAGAAGCTTTATAGTTTTGTGTTTTACATTCAGGTCTATGATCCATTTTGAGTTAATTTTTATGAGGGGTGTAAGGTCAGTCTGGGTTCGTGTTTTTGCGTGTGGGTGTCCAGTAGTTCCAGCATCATTTGTTGGAAACACTCTCTTTTCTGCATTGTGATGCCTTTGTTCCTCTGTCAAAGATAAATTATGTTTCTATGGGTCTAATTGCTGATCTCCTTCCTGTTCCCTTGAACTATTTATCTGTAACATTCATTTTTGATGTGCACCATTCTTCTATGGGCTCTGAGAGCCACCTGCATACACAATGTCTCCTTGCCTTAAGCCCTACCTCCATGGGTGCTGTGATTCAGTCCTGAGTGTTTAGGACTCTGCAAGTGCCCCACTGCTCTGAGCACCTCATCTAGTCATTGCTACTCTGTTCCTCTGGTTTTACAAAGGATGGCGGGCCTCTAAGAAAGGTTCACAGAAGCCACTCCAAGAAGCAAAACGTAAATCACCTTTGCTCTCAGGTTCTCCTTACAACCCTTTGGAATTTTTTGCCAAACTCTTCTGTGAGGCAGCATGTCCTTCTCCTGCCAGAATGTTGAATTTTTATTTCCTTTTGGGTAGAAATTAAATCTTTTAACAGCATGCATTCTCTTCTAAACTATTGAGGGTTTTTTTTTAATAGAAAATTTATGCCTTCCTTCTTTAGAGTTCTTGGTCTGTTTAGTCTCAAAAGACTCTCTTTCTCTCTCAAAAACAAATAATCAAACAAAACTAAAGACTTATATTCTTCAATTGAAAATGTTGGCTTTAAAAATCTATTATTTAAACGAGTCTAACAAATTCATTCAGCTACTCCATTCATGCCTGTTGTCTTTATTCTAGGGCCTGGGCTCTGTTCTTCTACCCTGAGACTAGTTCATCTAGTAAGTTGTCTCGGCTCCTTGACTAGTGGGGAAAATAAAATGGTATTAAAATGCATAAGAAAAAAAAGTTCAAAATATTGTGGGTACACACATAAACATACATATATATTTCAAACAGAAAAATAGATAATCTTATGAATTTAAATAAATAAAACACTATAGACACATTGGTACATTCCTCACTAACCTAATTTAGGGGCATAAATTAGTTTTACGTAGTGAAGACAATAGTGTACTAGAAGATTCTACCTTTGCTTATACCACTAACCAGTAGTATAACTGTAAGCCAGTTCTTATTTCAGTTTTTTTATCAATCAAATATAATATTTAACTAAATATTTAAATATTTAACGGCTGTTAATGAATGGTAGGGCCGTTGGTTATTTATCTTTTCCCTTCTTGTCTGCATTGTCCAAAATTTTTAGTGGATACAAAATATTTAATCAGATATTCCCCTAGTTTTTAAAAATGTAAAATTCAGCAGTTGCTATGAGATCCAATTGTTCTCATCTATCATTGTGGCAAATATCCCACTCTTCAAATGCCCCCAAAGCACCTGGCAAAAGCAAACACAAGTTCTCTCCAAATGAGGATCACATCACTCTAGACCTCAAATTATTTCTAAATGTAGTTTTATACATGCAATATCCAGTATCAAATTTAAGATAACCAGGAAATCCAAGAAGACCATAAAATATAAATGAGACCTATAGAGAAACATAAGAATAGAACAGGTCTACATGTACTCCAGATATTAGACTTATCAGACACATCCTGTAACATAACCATGTTTACCATGATAAAGGAGATTAAAGCCAAGCTTAAAATTTTCTGCAGGGAATGGAAAACTGTAAAAAAACCAACACAGATTTTGAAAAGAGCAATGAGAAAATTCTACAACAGAAAAACACAATAAATAAAATTTACACATAGGTTGAGGAACATATGAGACATATGAGCATATGCTGGAAAGAGAATTAGTGAACTGGGAGAGAGGCAAAGGAACTATCCAGAATAAAGTACAGAAATGCAAATGATAAAAAAGATACATAAGAAAGAGTAAGAAGTGAAAAAAGTGAAAAATTCTAAAAGCATTTAACTGGAGTCACAGAGGCAAAGAGAAATGAGTAAAAAGCATTATTTGAAGACTAATGGCTGAGAAGTTTTCTGAAGTAATGAAAAGAAATAATTCATAGATTCAAGAAGCCCAACAAGTCAGAAGCAGAGAATAAAAAGAAACGTAGGCTGGGCACAGTGGCTCACATCTGTAATCCCAGCACTTTGGGAGGCCAAGGTAGGCAGATCACAAGGTCAGGAGTTTGAGACCAGCATGGCCAATATGGTGAAACTCCATCTCTACTAAAAATACAAGAATTAGCTGGACGTGGTGGTGGGTGCCTGTAGTTCCAGCTACTTGGGAGGCTGAGGCAGGAGAATCACTTGAACTCAGGAGATGGAGGTTGCAGTGAGCCAAGATTGTGCCACTGCACTCCAGCCTGGGCGACAGAGCAAGACTCTGTCTCAAAAAAAAGAAAAAAAATAAAAAGAAAGAAAGAAAAGAAATGTAAACCTTAGCACCAAACAGAAAAGAAAACACAAAGACAGAGTACCCTCGAAGTTTCAAAAATTAGACTGACAGCTGACTTCTGAACTACAATAATGGATGCCAGAAATAATGGAAGGACACATTTAATGGATGGAAGAAAAAATAACTGCCAATTCTATGTTTATCCAGTGAACACACCCCTCAAGAATGAGAGCAAAATGAATACATTTTGAAAAAATTAAAGCTGAAACAATTTTCCACCAAGAGATCTACATTTTGCAAAAGCCCAAAGAGAACAAAGGTGATAAAAGGAAGACACTCTCAAATAGGAGGAATGTTGGAGATAAAAAAAAAAAAAAGAAGGTCCATGAAATTATCAACTAAAACCAAATGTAAATGATGTTTCACTATGTAAAGCAAGAATAATATTGTCTTGCAAAGGTTAAAGTATGTAAAGAATAAAACTACACACCAACATCTAAATAAGAACATGGAAAATGGAGTTAAGCTATTCTAAGGTACTTGCATTATTAGCAGAAAGAGTATAAAAATATCAGTTAACATTAAGTTGTAACAAGTTAAAATCACATTGTAGTTTCTAGACTGACCACCAAAAGAATTATAAAAGAGAACGTAGCTTCCAAACTAATGAAGGAAGAATATTAAAAGAATAAAACATATTCAATCCAAAAGAAAACAACCAAAGAGATTAAAGGAAACATAAAACAAGAAGGACAAAAGGTATGCACATAGTAAGGTGGTAGTTTTAATCCAAATATATCAGACAGTAAGAAAAAATACCCCACTGTAAACCACTTTAATGAGAAATCTAAAACATAAGTATTCAAAAACATTGAAACTAAATTAAAATTATGGAAAAATATTTAGTTATTGCTAGTGTAAAATGACTTCCAGGAATACCCCCACCCATTGCTGCTACTTTACTCAGGATCCTCACACAAAGGGACAGGCCAGAGAATGTATTGTGCTGTGAAAATGTCTTGTGGGTCCCAGAACTGAAAATATGTGGGATATGGGTAAACAAGGTTTTTGATGTATAGAACCAAAGTTACCCTTATAAAAAAGTTTCTGATTACTAGCTGTGTAAGTAGAGGATTCATTTCTCACCAATACCTACTCAAAACAGAATTTTGACTAGATAAGTTAGCATAAACAATTGCAAACATACCATACATATTATTTTTTTCTTTGATGGATATCACTTGAAGTAAAATTTATCAACATTCTTGTTTGTAGGGAATAAACATACAACATACTATAAGCAGTGAGTAATGTTTTGTGAAGTCATGTTGTATTTATCTCATCTTATTACATCTTATTAGGTATCTGACACTTCTCACCCTAACAGAGTTGAGTGGTTCCATGAAACAGTACTCAAAATTAGCATCTACATGGTGAAATGACCTGAAGAAACATGTTGCTGCAATAAAATGCTTACACATATTCATTCATAAATCAATGTGTATCATATTAGAGTAATTTGATTATGTGTTTGTTTATCTCAATCCAATGTAGCAGTCATTTTAAAGTGCACTGAAGTCATTGTTGCATATCTTCAATTTTAGACTATTTTTGGTGTATTAATGATTATACCAAAATTCAAATATAATGAAAAGAAAGTACCATATTGGAAGACAATAAACTTAAAAAAAGACTTACAAAAGCTTCAAAATGTCCAAAATTTATTTCATTATATTGCAATGAAAAATAAAATTTTAAGCCTGATGATCAAAATCATGACAATACCTAAAAGAATTATGATAGCTAAGAAAATATTGATAATGAAATCAACAAGAGAGGAGATCCTGAAGATTAGAAGAACATTCTGAAACAAAATGGAAAAGCAGAAGGAAGATAAAAATAATAGTAAATAAAAGTGTAATTCATATGTTCAATAGAGTACACATGAAAGTCAGCAGCAAGTTCATTTTGATGAATTATTTGACTTCAGTACGTACTGTGATATTTCATTATTATCTGATACAATAAAGAGTAATCCTATTTAATTCTATTTAATTACAGGGGCTTTTTAAAAAAATCTATTAATAATAATAGAGAATCTGCTAATAATAGAGAATCAGACAAAATATATAAAGAATATAATTTAATATATGCAATATGTTTTTCTAATAATTTGAAAAAGAAAATTAATGGTCTCATTCTTACCCAATCTGGTTAAAGTTTGCCTACATTGTTTTGTTTCTAATTAGTTTTTAACATGACAGATATTGCAATAATCATATAAACTTTCAGGCTATTAAAATACATTGAAACCTTTGACAGTCATGATAATGCATACAGTATAAGAACGTTTATTTGGATTACATATAGATCAAATAAAAATGAAATCGATCGATATCTTTAAGAACATACAGATACAATTTTGAAGGGATAAAAATAGTGTCTGGTGCTGGTATTCAACTTTTACATGAAGGTGGCCAGTTGAGGTGGTTCACACCTGTAATCTCAGTGCTTTGGGAGGCCACAGCAGGAGGGTCACTTGAGGCCAGGAGTTCAAGGCCAGCCTTGGCAACATAGCCAGACCCCCGTCTCTACAAAAAATAAAATTAGTCAGGCATGATAGTGCATGCCTGTAGTTCCAGCTACTCAGGAGGCTTAGGCAGGAGGATCGCTTGAACTCAGGAGTTTGAGGCAACAGTGAGGTATGATTATGCCACTGCACTCCAGGGTGGGCAACAGAGCAAAACTCTGTCTCAAAAAAAAAGGAAATAAAAGATCAATTTTTTTTTTTTTTTGACACAGAGTTCGCTGTTGTTGCCCAGGCTGGAGTGCAATGGCGTGGTCTCGGCTCACTGCAAACTCTGCCTCCTGGGTTCAAGCGATTCTCCTGCCTCAGCCTCCTGAGTAGCTGGGATTACAGGCATGCACCACCACGCCCAGATATTTTTTTTATTTTTAGTAGAGACGGGGTTTCACCATGTTGACCAGGCTGGTCTCGAACTCCTGACCTCAAGTGATCCGCCTGCTTTGGCCTCCAAAAAGTGCTGGGATTACAGGCGTAAGCCACTGTGCCTGGCACAAGTCTATCCTGTTTCTAAACAAGATTCACAGCCGGTTACACCAAAGGCTGCTGTTTTTTTTGTTTGTTTGTTTTTGTCTTTTTTTTTTTTTTTTTTTGAGACGGAATTAAAAATCTGTTCAAACCTTGAAGGATGGTATAATGACATTTTTAGGAGTCTAGAATAAAATTTTGAAGCCTCATAAGAGAAGCCAATCACAAGTGCAATGCAAAAAGTTTTCTTTAGAAAGTTGCTATCTTTCAGATGTGCCTCACCTAGCAACAGTCTTCCATTCACTATCCTTCAAAAAACGAGAGGCTCCTGCCCTTGGTTTTCTTCCTGCTTGACTGAATTTCATCCTCCTCCAGTTATCTTTTGCATAGCCTGCTCTCTGGCTGTAAGCTCATCTTTCACTCTCTTATCTTCTCACGTTACGTCTTTTCATTCGAAAACCTCATTTAACCACAACTCCAAATAATAATCTTGATTTTATCGACACACTGATTTCTCTCCTGACTGCTATTTTTGTATTTCCACCTGCCTGCTGAACCTCCCTACAGCAACACACTGTCTCTATTTCAAATACAAATATTGAAAACTAAACTCATTGTGAGTCATCCATCCTATACCCATTTGTTTGAACATCTACTAAGTGGTGGGCTCTTTCATTTTGGGGATACAAAAATCAGGTGGCTTAGTCCCTGCCCTCAAAAAACTCATCGTCTGGAGAAAAAGGAAGATCTGTGAATAATTGCCTGAATGTGCCCAGTGTGCTCCAGGGGAATGTACTGTGGCTCCCTATTCCTTAGTTTAGGGTGTCTCCCTCCTCCCAGCTCCTTGGGCATAGTTCTCTTTGGCTTCTCCTTTTCCTGCCACCTCCTATGGAGGCAAACCGAGGCTTGTTAATTGCAGTCCTTTTCAGTCTCTTGGCCACCACTGCCCTTGTTTTCACAGTAATTAAGGCTTCATATCAGCCTTTGAAAAGGGTTTTTTCTGATGTTAGCTTTCTGCTTACCATCCATTTTATACACACAACCAGAAGTAGCACGCAAAAACACAGCTCCAGGGCTGTCTCCCCAGGCCAAAACAGCTCAATGGCTCTCACTGTCCAGAGAATCAAGGAATCAAATCCAAATTCTCACTTGATACTGAAAGATGGCGCCTTCCCACTGGGTTCCCACTATCTCCTACACACACGCACATATGTACAAACACACACTCCCTTTCCCATGTAATCTTGGACTCAGGCACACTGGGTGGGCACAGACCATCCTTGAGTGAAATGTGGGCATGTCTGCCTCACCTCCTGGAGCATGCATCTGGGTACTGCAGGAGCAAGATGCAGGCTATGTTACCTGCTCTGCCTCCATCCCCTGCCACACACACACTATGCAAAGCGGAGTCCAGAAGACATGTGGTGTCCAGCAAATGCTTTCTGAATTGACAGACATGCTTTAGAAGTTTTACTGGCTCAAAGCAGTGAAGGGAATTCAACACACTCATTAGAGAGAGGCAGCACTGGGTGACGGTAAACGCTGTGTATTCTGCGAAGGCCAGGGCAGTGTGCGATGTTGGCCAACACATCAGAGCAAGGGATGCTGCAGTAGTCTCCGTGAAAAGCAAGGAAACCAAGGCTTAGAGAGGTTAGAGAAGGAGCAAGTCCTAGGTAACCGCCTGCAGCTGGGCAGGATTGGGGCTCAGGTCTCTGGCACCCCAGCCTCATTGTCTTTCCCACACAACATGATGCCTGCAAGATTTCCTGTTACAGTGACAGACCATTTAGTGAGTCTGTCAATTTGATTCTAATTTGGTATGGCATGCATCTCCAGGAAAACAGACAAACAAACTTAGGCCCCATTTTATGAAGTTTCCATAAAATCCCAGAAGCATTATCCAAAAGACATTCAGATGTTCTGGAAAGCTCCGTGAAGAATTTGGGTTTGGGGAACTGTAATGTGGGAAGGGCCTTCACTGATGCCCTCACCCACCCGCCATGGGAAAGAATCCTGATGGGGGTTCAACTATTTCTGTTTGAAGGACCTTTACGGGTGGAGACCGAGGGTCTTAACTGCACAGACTATTGCTGTGTGAGCTACAGTGCTTAACTTCCCTGAGCCTGTTTTCTCTCTTTATTTTTTTGAGACAGAGTCTCACTGTGTCACCCAGGCTGCAGTGCAATGGCGCGATCTTGGCTCACTGCAACCTCCGCCTCCCGGGTTCAAGGAATTCTCCTGTCTCAGCCTCCCGAGTAGCTGGGACTACAGCGCGCACTGCCACGCCCGGCTAATTATTTTTTTTGTATTTTAGTAGAGATGGGGTTTCACCATGTTGCCCAGGCTGGTCTCGAACTCCTGGGCAGATTGCCTTCTACAAAATGGGGGTGGAGGAACTAAACGTTCTACAAATTTCCATACTTTCTCACCCTTAGCTTTGAAATTCCAGCAGCCTAATGTTTCTGTGACAGAGACACTTCTGGGGCCCATCTCATTGCTGAGTAGTTCCTAATTGTTAGGTTGGGTGGAGCATACGTCTGCCCTTTGGACAGGAAGCTGCCTTCACATAATGTGAGGGGAATCAATGGGCAACAGAAGGACTATCCTCTCTCCCTCCAGTGGCTGACCTGGCTGTCAGCCCCAAGCACAATGTGGAGTCTGTTCACCCTTGGCTGCCCTTGAGGAAATGAAGTTTTCCCCCCAGTCTCTCCAGTTTTCCTACCGAGGCTGGCGAGCTCTTTAATTACACCCTGTCACAAACACTGACCTGGTCAGAGGAACAATGCCATCAGGTGGCTCAGGCCTGGTGGCAGCAAAGAGGAGATGCCCTTCAGACCTTATTTCTTGTCTGGTGAAGGCCTCCCCTCCATGCCAACAAAGGTGAATTGATAGACCCTTCACCGAGAAGCGAGTGATGATGCTGGCCACTGTGACGGCCATGTGGAGAGGGCACAGGGAGCAGGGCCTCTGAACTTTCATCCGTGTAGGGCAGATCTCTAAAAGCCCTTCTGCCTGATTGCATTCCTTGATTCCCTTGATAAGGGTTCACAAAAAAGACTGTGACCTCAGCATGGCCTCAGGTGCACTGCTCTACTGGATTGTGGCACCTCCAAGCAGCATCACAGCCTGCAATGAGAAACAGGTAATGGAAGCGTGTCATCTAAATTTAATTCCAAAATGAAAGTCACCTTTCAGGCCACATTACCTGTATAATCAGAGGACTGCCTCTTGGAAAGGACCATTTTCCTTGGGAAATTACACTATATCAGTGATGAAAGGGCTTCTCGAAATCACCTAGTCCATACACTACCATTCCTCCTCTTTCTTTGCATCAACCTCATCATCAAAACTAGCATTTACTGAGAACTGACTGCATACTAAGCACGCTCCTAAATGTTTTACATGTATTATTTCATTTAATCCTCACAACAATTTTGTGAGATAGGGCCTGTAATTATCGTCATTTTGCAGTTGAGGAAACTCAGGTCTAGAGAGATGGAATAATTTGGTTTTGGTCATGCAAGTAGGAAAATTGTGGAACCAGAAAGTGGTAGGGCCTGGATTTGAAAGTAAATCCCAATGAGAAGAAACGACATGCAGACAGTGATTCAAACATGCAACACAATCCAGGTCTTCTGGTCCCTACTGCCCCTCTCTTAAGATCTTGGGGACCTGAGCTCTGGAGGGATCAAGGATATAAGGCTTAGAATCAGACAAGACTAAGATATTTAATTCTACTAATTCTATAACCTTGAATAAGTTAGTTCATATCTCTGAGTCCCAGTCTTTTTCTTCTATACAATGGAGATAGTGACACCAACTCAAAGGATACTTATGAGTATTTGATGAAATTATTTGAAGGCTCTTTAGAATTGGAGAAATTGGCAAAGTTGAGAAGGAATAGCCAGGACTAAGCAGCAATAGGATAAATTGATGGGGGTTTCAGGAAGGAGAAAGTGGTTGATGAAGCCAAGGACTACTGCAAGGTGCACTAAAAGGAAGAATGGAAAGAATACACTGGATTAGTCAACTAGAGGATAATAAGGACCTTAGCAAGAATAGGTTTCAATAGGTTTCTTTCTTTTCTTTTCTTTCTCTCTTTTTTCTCTTTCTTTCTTTCTCATTGCTTTCATTCTTTCTTTTGCTCTTTCTCTCTCCTTCCTTCCCTTTCTCCCTTTCTTCCTTTCTTTCTTTCTTTCTTTTTCTTTCTTTCTTTCCTTCCCTCTCTCTCTCTCGCCCTCCCTTCCTTCCTTCCTTCGTTCTCTCTCTCTCTTTTTTTTCTGTCATGGAGTACAGAGGCAGCAAAACCTCTTTGAGTGGACTGAGGAGTGATTGAGCAATGAAGCAGTGGATAATCTGTCTGTAAAAGGATAAAGACAGGATAGCAACGAAGGAGGAAATGAAGTCTGGGATGGGAATGGATTGCTTTTTAAAAAGGGAGAAACTCGATCATGTTAGGATGTTGATGGAAAGATAAAAGTTTCCTGGGGAGGTGGGAAGAGATGTGAATCAGAGCACAGGTGAAAGGAGGTCAGCCTTTCATAAAAGGAGAGACATTTCCTCAAAATACATCATAGAGGAAAGAGACCATAAACATCCTCTCCCTGGGAATGTTCGCTGATAAGGGAGCTGAAATCCCCTTGAAATGCATCTGTGGTTTTATTCCAATTTTAAAGGGAACTGCTTCTCAAAATAGCAAATCAAGTATGGACTGCCCTCATGAACAGAGAATCTCTCAGCCTAAATATTGGAATATCTACCAACAGACAGGTAATAGATGAGAGAGGCAGCCTGGTGTTAGGGAAAAACGAGGACTACGGGAAACAGAGGTTTGCGTCTTACCTCTGCCATTGACTCACTCTGTAATTAACTTTGGGCCAATCTTCTTAATCTGGCTGACTCAGTTTCTCATTGTAAAGTGAGGAGAGTAATCACCCATATTTATGAGGCTGCTCTGAAGACTCGGTATTAATGTATCTCACATGTAATGAGCACTTGATAAATTTCAGGTTTCATTTTAGAAAATTTCATCTTTCACAACATCAGTATTTGACCCTTAGCATGAAAAATTGGAATGAACACACAGCTGGTGATAACGCAACACACCTGGGTGTCATGATCCCGGGGCTGGCAAGTTCCGTGTTAAATATTAGGCTAGTGGTTCCACTTTTTCTTTAAAGCTCATCTCAGTTTGCCACTACATTTTGATCAATGTGTAAAGTGGATATTTGTTGAAACTGAGGGTGCCGATGATCACAGAGAAATCTTTTAGAGGGAAGATGAAACTAAATGGGTTGAACAAAAGCTAGTTCCCCTGCTGAGTATAAGAAGTGGTTCCTGGGGTTTAGGGGGAATAATTATATTCTTTTCTCTTTTCTGCAATTTGGTTACCATTGAGAAACAGGATACAGGAGTCAGGAAGTTAGAGGTAAAATTACCGGTTTTATGAGTGTGGGGAAAGACTGGAGAACTGGGTCTTGTATTTGCCTTGCAATTGAGCTTAAAGATGCTGTCCCACAGCTTCAGGGTTTCCTTCCATCACCTTTTCTCAGGGACAACACCTGCCATGGTGAGCTAACGTCATGCAGAGGCAGAGAACTGCTGCGTCCTGCAGACGGCTGATCCAAAGTGACAGACAGCTAACGGAGCTGTGCAGCACACACGCTCAAAAACAGAGGCTTCTCAGGGAGGAAGGGCATGAAGGAGGTAGAAAGGAGAATGTAAGTAAGTGTTGCTTCAAATTGCTTCATCCTGGGAGGCCAAATTCCCTCTTGGAAACATGAAGATGGGGAATAAAAACTCTCATCACCACCTCAATAGGGTGTCAAGTGAAATCAAATGCTGCACCTAATGGGCTGATAGATGGTGTGCTCTAGGTGGTGAACGATTCTGTACAAACGGTGACATGGTGCAAAACACCAATCTGAGTAACTGAAGTGTACTGTGGATCTTTTTAGAAATACGTTGAGACACAGTTATAGTGTGGTAGTTAATAATTACTGCTAAGGCCGTAAAGAAGAACGAGATCATGCCCTGGATGCAGGGACATGGATGGAGCTGGAGGCTGTTATCCTTAGCAAACTAATGCAGGATCAGAAAACCAAATACCGCATGTTCTCACTTCTAAGTGAGAGCTAAATGATGAGAACACATGGACACATAGAGGGGAACAACACACACTGGGGACTACCAGAGGGTGGAGGGTGGGAAGAGGGAGAGAATCAGGAAAAATAACAAATGGGTACTAGGCTTAATGCCAGGATGGTGAAAAAATCTGTACAATAAACCCCCTTGACACAAGTTTACCTATGTAACAAACCTGCACATGTACCCCTGAATTTAAAATAAAAGTGAAATAAAAACAACAATAATTGCTGCTAAGTACTTTGGTGGTGTTTTAATTTTTCAGCCATTCATCAACGCCACTGAAAACTCTTGATTGTTTTACAATTGAGGAAATCCAGAAAAGACCAGAGAGATGAAGAGTTAGGATTCAAGTCTGGGTCTTCTAATATCCAGGCCAGAATTTTCTGGAAGAGAAGTAAATCGCATGAGGAAAGCTAAAAGTATGGAAATGTGGCTAAGCCCTACCATTAAGTAGTTTCTTAAGACTACCACCACTTCAGGTACCCCTAACCCGACAAGCCCAGAGGGACTAGTGCAGCTGTCAGTCAGCAGAGGCCTGAGCAGAGAACAGTTTGAAGACCAGCTCTCTGGAGAAAAAAGAGCATATTAATGATGTGATCTGCATATTCTTAACAAGGCAGCCTTGGAGAAATTAAGCATAAAGGAGTAGTGTGCTGCTCAGAGCTAATTTATAACCTATTCAAGGCAAAAAGATCTTAATGAGGATGAAAGTTAACATTTTTGAGAAATTTTTCACATGCCAGCAAATGTGCTAGTTGCGTTTCATGGATTTTGCCATTTAATCCTTATGGAGGCTTAAGAGTTAGGTTCTAAGATTATCTGCATTCCTACAGATGAGGAACCTCTGGCCATTCAGAGGCTGGGAGCCTCTGACCATTCCTCACCACTGAGTTTGCTCCCACCTCACACCTGTGCATTTGCTAGTCTTGCTTTCTGGAACAATTCCTCCCCAAATCTTCTCATGGCTGACCTTTCACATGCTTCAAATGTGTGCTCACATGTCACTTCCTCAGGGAGGACCTCCTGACACCCAGACTTAAACAGCATCCCAATTTGCTCCCCAATGCCTAACTCTACTCAGTTTCCTTTTATAGCATTTATCACCACTTGAAATTATATCACACACACACGTGTTTACTGCCTGTCACTCACTATTACTAGAAGGTAAACTCCACAAGGACAAGGAATTGATCCAATTTACCACTGTCTCCCCTGCTTTATGAACCTTGCACATAATCTTTATGAGCCTTTATTGAGCACCTACTATGACCCTTGCACATAGTAGGTGCTCAGTAAACATTTGCCTGAAGTGCCCGTCTTGGCAAACAGTGCAATGCACACACAGGCTAGCGTCCTACTTCAGTGTCTGTGACCCTAACCACTGCTCCACACTGCCCTTCAGGCCAGTACAAGCTTCCCTGAAGAATCCTGCTCTGCTTCAAAGTATCAGTGTCTACAGGTCAGCGAACAAAAACAGGAATGCTTTTGGCACCATGCAAGTCAGTTTTCCACCACAGGTCATTGGGCTGATTAATTTAAAGCCAGAGAACTGAGACTCATCAAAAGCTCTCTTGGAGATTAAATTCTGTCCGTTGCTATTTCTTCAAATATTTCTTCCTCCACTTCTCTCTGTTTGTTGTTGTTGTTGTTGCTGTTGCTGTTGTTTTTTTTTTTAATTTCAGGAATCCTACTAAGCAGTCACTGAAACTTTTGAGCCTGCCTTCCATATCACTTTTTTAAATATAGTTTCTATCTCCCTGTCCATTTCTGTTGCATTCTGGGGACTTGGCTTAAACATCACCTTATTAATTTGGTCTTTAGCTGCCTTCTGCTGTTTATTTCAAGCATTCAGTTTTCCAGCTGATCGTTTATAGATGCAATATCTGCTGTTATCTCGTGGAGAATATTCACATATCAATCTGAAACCACTTGACCATTTCCTTGGATGGCAGTTGCTCCCTTTGTTGGGTTTGTTAATCCCCTTTCGGGGTACTCATTTGCTTCCGACATTTGATCACTCTCGCGTGTGTTCCTGCCTCTGAATCTGAGAACCTGCATCCAGTATAAGTGCAGGCTTTGTTACTACAGCCTGCCCCCAGTGATTGTTAAGGTGGGATAGGAACACGACCCACAGGTGTCCCATTGGCTGCTCCCACTGGGTGTCCCCATGCACACAGAGCACTGCCTCCTTCTCTGGCCTCAGGCACCCCATTCACAGCTCCTGCCTCTAAGTAGCCCCCTCTGCTGTCTTCTCTCTGGTACAGGAGGGCTTTCCTGCATCTACCATGACCTCCCAATTTCCTGATGGTGGCCACAAGGCTATGCCTGCTCCCGCCTCCTCCTCCTGCTGACAGCTTCCCAGCAGAGCTCCTCAACAGCCAATACCCCAGGGGCAGCAGTCCTTCCACTCTGTATCCTTCATTCTATGAGACACCCCTCTAATCTGATCCCAGCTGCCATCTCTTTCAGAGATTCTGTCTAATGACCGAAAGGTCTTCTTGCTGTCTTGGCCCGTGCTCTTTGCACTCTCATATATCTCCTTAGCATTTGGTAGCTTCCTGGATTTAAAAAGAAATCCCTAGTGCGAAACCTTGAAAAAAAAAACACTAACAAACAAAAACTTTTAATAATTTGAAAAATGAATAATAAAAATTTAAATGTCCATAATATAGTCCCCTTTAAGTGTCTCTGAGATATCTGGGTTGCCAAATGTGAAATCCTGGACACTTACTCAGTGAGACATTTACCATTACCCCAAGGATGTAAAGCCTCATGCAATCTGTGTAGCCACTCTGCGTATGAGCAACCCTCAGAGAGTCTAAGGAAAGAGCATGTTGGGGCAGCCCTGGTTCTGAGTGATGTAATCCTATAGGACATTCTGCCACAGAATCCATTAGATGACAAACACAGCTACCTTTCAAAGTCGTTTCAATGATAAGCTTCATGAGGGCAGAGGCCACATTATACTCACTAAGTATCACTATGGTGCCTTGCACTACAAATGCAGTTTTCCACTCATATATTCTCTAGAGGTGAGTTGATGTTATTTCTTGAAATTAAAATGATTTGTGAATCATTTTGCAAAGATCATAGTTAATTATTATTTACCAGACCTTAATTGATTCAATAAATTATCTACACTCAGTAGGTTGATTGTAAACTAAGAGGGATAGATTGTTTGATTTTTTTTGTAGTTTAAAAATATTTGTTATATCCCCCTCTATAAAAAACATATGCCCTTTGATAAAATAATAAATCAATTCATAAATATACAGCATAGCAAGTGATAACCCCCCTTAGCCTATCAGTCAACAAAAATCAGTATTAACAATTTCTGACTGCACAAGAAAATAAAAAGAAATGTGCTCTGGTAGAGCCAAAAATCACAAAGAGTCTCTGAATGTAAAACAAAAAGACAAGATCATATTAATAGAAGAACCAAATACAGGGTTAGTATTTAGATATCAACAACAAAAACTCAAGGGCAAAAATTAAAGCTACTAAATGTTTATTGCAAACTTAGTATGTGCTTTATATGTATGAACTTGTTTAGTCCTTATAACAACTCTATTAAGCATGTAGTTACTATCTCTATTTATAAGTGAGGCCCAGGGAGGTAAAGAAACTGGCCCAGAGTCACACAGCTAGTAGGTGATGAAGCTGGGATACAAATCCACACTGCCTGGTTCTAGAACTCATGTCTTGACTACTGTATACTCTACTCAACTCTCTGAGACTTGACTTTATGCTGTGCTGTACTGTAGTATACATTATACTGCCATTCAACAGAAGGATTAGAATGTCACCAAGAATGACAGTTTCATTTATTCCTTTCTGGTCCTTATTTTGTTTCTTTCTGCATTGACGTATGCCTCATATTCAATGTTAATTACAATTGGTTGTCATCTCTGTCCTGAGTTGTTCCTGCCTATGATGTATATGTGTGACTACTTCACCAGTAAGGAAGATGTTTACCATAAATTTGTAGTTAGAAGTTCTTTGCTAAGTTAAGAGAGTTTCCTTTCGATTAGTTTACTAAGAGATTTTGTTTTGCTTTCTTCTGACTATTCATATGTATCGAATTTAGCTAAATGATTTCCTGTACCTATCAAAAGAATCACGTTTTTCTTTCTATCTTTAATGTATCAAATAAGATAATCTATTCCTTGAGATTTTTGTAAAAAACTCACCTTAAAATTTGTCTAGACCTGGTTGTCAACTGTTAAAAAACATTTTACTGAAATTTATTATTAGAGCTTGGGCCACATGGTGAAATCCCTGTCTCTACAAAAAATACAAGAAATTAGCCAGGCATGATGGTACTCACCTATAGTCCCAGCTACTCCAAGGCTGAGGTTGGAGAATCACCTGTGCCCGGGAGGTTGAGGCTGCAGTAAGCTGAGATCATGCCACGTCACTCCACAATAATTTCTACATACCTATGAATGTTCACAAAGTTAATATACCTTTATTCTCAGTGCTCTACAAAGAAAGAGAACATTACTAGCACCCCAGAAAACTCCTTCATATCCCTTCCAATCACTGTCTCCTCCTCCACCAGGGACAGCCTCTGTTCTAACTTCAAATAGCATGGACTAATTTACCCGCTTTGTGCTTTATATAAATTGAATAGGACAAGATATACTCTTCCTGTGTCTGAAATTTTTTGCCCAATGCTATGTTTTCCAAAATGCATCCATGTTGTCACGTCGGTGTAGATAATTCCTTCTCATTGTTACACAGTTTTACTTCGTGTGAACAAGACTATTTATTTTTCCATTCTGTTCTTGAGGGACTCTGGAAGTAGTTTCCAGTTTGGGGTTCTTATAGATAGTGTTAACAATCTAGTACATGACCTCCTGTCCTTTTATTAAAGAGGGAGGTGTGTTGTGGGAACTACTATTTTTAGTAAGAACTGAAAATTTTAAATAATTTCCGATTCATTTGTCTACTTTTTTCTTTGGTCAATTTTGTTTATATTTTTTCTTTGAAGTTATTAATTTATCTAAGCTTTTAGATTCTAGATAGGTGTAAATTTGTTCATAATATTTTCATATGATTTTTAAAAGTCTGAATATGTCTCTAAAATCTTAGCATTATTCTAACTAGCATGAATTTAGACTCTTATTCTTTCTCTGGCTATTTTTTGTTCTGGTTTGTTTTACTATTTTGTTTTCTTTCAACAGTCATCCTTATAATATCTTTTCTTTTGCTTCTTTTAGGTTTACAATATTTTTCTTTACTTTTATTAAACATGTTGCTTATTTCCAGCTTTTCTCGTGTATGTGGTTAATAGATAAATGTAACTAATGCTTTATATTTTGTCTTAAGTCCCACTTTAGATGCATCCCATGTGCTTTGATGTGCTGAGATTTTGTTGACAGTCATAAATATTTTGTAATGTCTATTGTAATTCTCTCATTGACTAGAGATTATTAAGACACAACTATATAGCTACTTATGAGAACCTTTGTCTTACTGGGAACACAGTCAGCTGTTATTTCCCTTTGCAGTTGTAAGTGGCCACAATTGCATTGCAGCCAACAAAATGTGATCAGATGTGATGTCCATTATCACCTTTCCTGATCCCTAAGAACTCCCACACTTGACCCTCCATGCTCTTCTGCCTTCCCCTGGCTTCATGCAGACGAGCTCACAGACCTTGGAAATCAAGCACTGAAGACAGATGAAGCAAAAGGGAGAAAATGAACTGCTCACAAAAAATAAACACCCCTTGGAGGCTCTCATTGAGGAATAAAGTAAGCTTCTGTTATGTTTGAGCCATTATGCAGTGGATGCTTGTTTATCATAGGAACCAGTGGTACTTTAGCTAACATAGCTATATGGGGTTGCATTTTGTTAATTTTAAAATAATATATTTATTGGATTTTTTGTCTAATTTAATTGTTTTATAGTCAAAGATTTCATCTGTTTGATACCAGTTCTTTGGTTTTTGATGAAACTTCTTTGGGGCTTGATAGGTAGAGATTGTTTATAAATGTTTCACATAAGTTCTAAAAGTATATATTTTCTTTATTTCTTTGACCATATATCTATGATCAAGCCTGTTAATTATAGTGCTCAACTTTTCTCTGACTTTACTAACTTTTGGCTACTTGATTGCTCTTAGAGAGGCTTTGTTAAAATGTTTTCCACTTTAAGTGTGGAATTGTTTTATTTTTCTTAAAAGTCAAGTCATAAAAGCAGAAAGTAGTATGGTGGTTGCCAGGAGCTAGGGAGTAGAGGAAATGAGGAGATGTTGGTCAGAGTAGGACCTTTCAGTTATAGGATAAGCAAGTTCTGGGGGTCTAATGTGCAGCATGGGTGGTGATGGGTGTAATTAATTTGACTGTAATAACCATTGCAAAATGTGTACTCATAGAAAATTAACACATTGTACACTTTGAATGTATTCAATCTTTATTTAACAATTAAATTTTTTAAAATAGCAACATTATTGCTGCTAAAAGCAATGATTTGGTTAAATTTTGATTCATAGATTTTGAAGCTCTATTGTTAGATACATTTATTTTTGTGATGGTTTATCTCCTTATCATTTTGAATGCTCTCTTTATAGATTCACTAATGTTTTTGTCTCAGAATCCTTTTTATCTGACATTCTCTTTGCCAGATTAGCATATATTTTTCCAGTTTATTATTTTAAAACTTTTTATTTTGTTTTAGGTTGTATTTTTTAAAACAGTATATATCTGAGTTGTGTTTTTATTTCATCTGATCTGAGGATCTGTACCTTTTAAATTCCATCTGTTTATACTTGCTGTGTTTGCTGACGTATTTGGGCTTGTTTTTACTATCTTCTTTTTTTCTGCAATTATTTTATCTATGCTTTCTTTTTTTCTTTCCGGTCTCCAATTATTCTATTAAATTAATTAAATATATACACAACACAGACACACACACACACATACACACACACACACACACACACACACAGACTAGAATAACACCTGGAACACAGTGTGATATAAGTATTATTATTATTACTCAAGTTATTTTCATTTCATTTTTCCCATGTTTCCTTTATCTCCATTTTCATTACTCCTTTTGTAGTTATTCATTCTATTCTTTTTTAGTGGTTACTCTTTAATTTTTAACAGGCATTTATTAACATAATAAAGTCTACAGTTAATTCAGTATATCTCTCCGCTTACCAGACAATACAAGGGCAAGCTCTAACTGTAATTTTCCTCTATTGGTTTCACATTATTACTGCTTAGCATTTAATTTCTTCTTTTAAAAATAAATTCCACAAAATTCACTTTCTTTAGTGTTTTATTTCAATTTATTTAGATTATTTAGATTTATCGAAATACTAACCAAATTCTTGAATACATTATTTCTTGCATCCCATTCTTTCTGGGGAATTTTATTTTTTGTTGTCATTGACGAAAATTCCTTAGTATTTATTTAAGTGATAGTCATTGAGTTGCAAAGTTTCTCCGTCTTTTGAATCTGAAAATAACTTCTTATCACCCTAACTTATTTATAAAGAAACTACAGGCCATTCTTTAAAGATGATAATATAGATAACTTAAACTCTCTGTGACCTTTGCATTTTTAACTCACACTTTTAAAAAATAAACTTTATGGCCAGGCACGGTGGCTCACACCTGTAATTCCAGCACTTTGGGAAGCTGAAGCAGGCGGATCATGAGGTCAGGAGATCTAGACCATCCTAGCCAACATGGTGAAACCCCATTTCTACTAAAAATGCAAAAATTAGCTGGGCGTGGTGGCGCACGCCTGTAATCCCAGCTACTAGGGAGGCTGAGGCAGGAGAATCGCTTGAACCCGGGAGGCAGAGCTTGCAGTGAGCCGAGATCCCGCCACTGCACTCCAACCTGGCCACAGAGCAAGACTCCGTCTCAAAAAAAAAAGAAAAAGAAAAAGAAAAAAGGAAAAAAACTTTAACTTCCATTAACAGTTTCAGATTTTGAAGAAAATTTTTTCAAGTAGTACAGAGAGTTTGCATAAGTCCCGTACCCAGTTTCCACTGTTAACATATATATATATATATATATATATATATATATATATATATATATATATATATATATATATACACACACACACATTTTTTTTTTTTTTGAGACGGAATCTCGCTCTGTCGCCCAGGCTGGAGTGCAGTGGCGAGATCTCAGCTCACTGCAAGCTCCGCCTCCTGGGTTTGCGCCATTCTCCCGCCTCAGCCTCCCGAGTAGCTGGGACTACAGGCACCCACCACCACGCCCAGCGAATTTTGTTTTTGTATTTTTAGTAGAGATGGGGTTTCACCGTGTTAGCCAGGATGGTCTCGATCTCCTGACCTCAGGATCCGCCCGTCTTGGCCTCCCATAGTGTCCACTGTTAACTTCTTAGGTTAGTACAGCACACTTGTTACAATGGGTTAACCAATATTGATATATGATAATTAATAAAGTGATACTCTAGTCAGATTTCCTTAGCTTTCACGTCCTTTTCTGCCCCAGTATCCCATCCAGAACACTACATTACAGTTAGTTGTCTTGCCGCCGACTTAGTTAGGATCCTCTTGGCTCTGATGGTTTCTCACACTTTCAATGTTTTTGATGACCTTGACAGTTTTGGGGTGTACTGGACAGGTATGATCTGTCTAATGTTTTTCTCATGATTTGACTAATGTGATCGATTTTGGGGAGAAGGATGGTGGAAATAAAGTGCCATTTTCATCACTTCATATCAAGGGTACTCACTACCAACATAGCCTATCACTTGACTACCTGGCTGCAGCAGTGTCTGTCAGGAAAATGACTCTTTTTTGCCCCTCTATCCACGCTGTATTCCACAGAGGAGAGTAGGGCATGTATGCTCCTCTTCCTTGAGGGTGGAGAGTCCACATAATTCATTTAGCAATCTTCTTCATGAGGGATTTGTCTCTTCTCCCTTGTTTTTTAATTACTTCAGTCGTTTATTTATATCAATATAGACTCATGAATATTTATTTTATACTTCAAGTTTTATCCAATGCTACTTTATTTTATCCAATATAAATTATTGGAAGAATTTTTTGCTCAAATTATTCCAGTTTTGGCCATTAAGAGCTTCCTCAGTTATCTCCTGTGTCCCCTTGGCATTCCCTCATCATTGTGGGGTTTTGTGTTTTAGCATTTCCTTACCTTTCGGCTCTACAAGATGCTTTAGGCCCATCTTGTATATTTCCTGTCCCAGTCCTAGAATCAGCCATTTCTCCAAGGAGCTTTGTTTCCTTTTATTGGAGAATGGTATTAGAAACCAAGATCAACGTGCTAGGTGAGCTTGTTCCTACTGTAGTGTTATTTTTTTATGCCTGCTCAAATGACAGAACAAGGAGATTTATGTGCACATACTAACCCAAGTATATACACATATCTATAAATTTTGCTATATGCAACATGTTAAACCAAGCATGAGTTTCTACTGATGTTGCTAACTCTAGCACATTCCTACATGGATGAAACTAGCTTCCTTCCCTTGGCATCTGTAAACTTTCACTACAACAGTGAGAAACTATCTCTCACCATCCACCATCCATTTGCTTAACTGCTCAATATGAATATATATGTATCTCAGTTAACCCACACTACTGTGGGATACAACTTTATCATCTACGGTATAGTACTTATATACGGTTTCTTTCGCCTTTAGTTTTACAGACTTCGCTCATTTCCAGAATTACTTCACTCAGCACCTTTCCCTCACCCCTTTCAGGAAGGTTGTTTTATACATTTAGAATACAGTTAGATTGTTTTGTCAAATTCTGCATTCCATCCTGAGATTTCTGCAAAGTGACAAATTATTTGTTTAAATTTGCATACATTAAATTTCATTCTTTTTGCTGTAACATGCAATGGCTTTGAAAAATGCAGACTGCCATGAATTTAAAATTATAGTACCATACAGAATAGCTTTCCCACCCTGAAAACATCTGTGCTTTACCTATTCAACCCTCCCTTTCCTAGCCCTGAATCCCTAGCAAACTACTAACTTTTTTACTACCTCTGTAGTTTTGCTTTTTCCAGAGTGGCATATAATTGAAATCATACAGTATGTAACCTTTTTCAGACTGGCTTCCTTCACTTAGCAATATGCAGGTACTATGGTCTGAAAGTTTCTGTCCCCTCAAAATGTATATGCTAAAATACTAACCCCCGACGTGATGGTATTGAGATTTGGGGCCTTTGGGAGGTGATTAGGTTATGAGAGTGGAACTTCCGTAAATGGGATTAGTGCCCTTATAAAAAAGAGGCCCCAAAGATCTGCCTTGTCCCTTTCACCTTGGGAGGACACAGTGATAAAACACCATCTATAAACCAGGAAGCGGGTCCTCATGAGACATTGAGTCTGCCTTGATTTTGAACTTCCCAGTCCCCAGAACTATGAGAGAAAAAAAAAAAAAACTACATTGTTTATAAGCTATCCAGTTAATGCCTTTTTTTTTTTTTTTTTGAGACAGAGCCTGACTCTGTTGCCCAGGCTGGAGTGCAGTGGCACAATCTTGGCTCACTGCAACCTCCACCTCCCAGGTTCAAGTGATTCTCATGCCTCAGCTCCCCAAGTAGCTGGGATTACCAGCATGTGCCACTACGCCTAGCTAGTTTTTGTATTTTAAGTACAGATGGGGTTTGGCCATGTTGGCCAGGCTGGTCTCGAACTCTTAACCTCAAGTGATCCACCACCTTGGCCTCCCTAAGTGCTGGGATTACAGGTGTGAGCCACTGCACCCAGCCAGTTAATGGCATTTTGTCAACACAGTCCAACTGGACTAAGACAGTATTTTAGGTTTTTCCATATCTTTTCATGGTTTGGTAGCTAATCTCTTTTTATTGTGCAATATTAGTCAATTATATGGATTTACTAGTTTTGGTATCCATTCATCTATTGAATGACATCTTAGTAGTTTCCAGTTTTGGGTGATTGTGAATAAAGATACTATAAGCATTTGTGACCAGGTATGGTGGCTCACACCTTAATCCCAGCACTTTGGGAGGCCGAGGTGGTCAGATCACTTGAGCCCAGGAGTTCGAGACCAGCCTGGGAACATGGTGAAACCCTGTCTCTACAAAAAACTCTAGCTGGGTGTCGTGATGCATGCCTGGAGTTCCAGCTACTCAGGAGGCTAGGTGGGAGAATCACCTGAGCCCAGGAAGTCAAGGCTGCAGTGAGCAGTGATTGTACCACTGTACTCCAGCCAGGGCGACAGAGTGAGACCCTGTCTCAAAAAACAAAACAACAGAAAAATTAAAAAACAAACAAATAAAAAACTTGTGTGTAGGTTTTTGTGTGGATCTAAGTTTTCAAATGACTTGGGTAAATACCTAATAGCACAACTACTGCACTGTACGGTAAGATTATGTTTACTTAATAATTATCTGCTTGTCTTCCAAAGTGACGGCTGTGTCATTTTTCATTTCCATCAGCAATAAATGAGTGTTCTGTGTTGCATCCTTGCCAGCAATTGGTGTTGGCAGGTTTGGGTTTTTGTTTTAATTTTAGCCATTTTAGAAGGTATATAATGCTATCTCATTGTTGTTTTAATTTGCAATTCTTTAACAACACGTAATGTTGAGCATGTTTTTATATTCTTGTTTGCCACCTGTATATCTTCTTTGGCAAGATGTCTGTTAAGATATTTAAATTATCCTGTTTTCTTATCATTGGGTTTTAAGAATTTTGTCCATTTTAAATAAAACTCATTTATCCCAAGCTTTAGCTTTTCTTCTTATTCTCTTAATAGTATCTTTTGAAGAACAAACATTTTGAATCTTAAGAAAATGAATCTTCAAGCCATAAGCATAGTAGATTTCTCTGTTGGTTTCTTTCATTAGAGTTGTGTAGTTTTCTGCATGAAGATCCTGTAAATATTTTATATTTTGGTGCTATTGTAAAGGCTAGTTTTTAAATTTCAAATTCCAATTGTTCATCACTGGTAGATAGAAAGGCCATTGTTCATTGTGCATTTACTTCATGAGTCCCCGGATCTTGCCATGGCCTGAGGCTGGGGTCTAGGTATATCTTGCCATCTGTCAGCTCTGGACACAGCTCTTCTGGTTCACCAGTCTTCTTAGCTCTTCTGAACAACAGTGGAATTTTTTGGTAATTGCTATACTGTATTTAGTCATATGGTTGTGCCACCTAAACTAGTCACAACGCTATTGCTCTCATTCAGCCATTCCATGTTGACTTCTGTGAGCAAATAATCTTCCATAGCTCCAAAGAGGAGTCACAGGAAGCCCCCTTCTCCCCTCAGCTCCTCTAAACTGTGTAGAATTGTTTCTCTCATTCTGTAATCTCCCCTGGGATTGCAATTTAGGTGAGAGAGTACATGTCACTTCTAACCACTAATCTTATCTCCTCTAATAGTTCCCCAATCAAGACAGGGCTTTAATCGTCTTCTTATGCAGAGATAAAGTACTCTTATATCACATTGAGTTCCTCCCTACTCTGTGGCTTATAAGGAGGGCATCCTTATAACCCAGTTTTCAAAAGACATTCCTGGTTTAAGACTGTTGTCCTGAGGTCCTGTGCGGTTTTGCATTTGTCTCAGATTTTTTTACTTTTAGTAAAGTACTGTTACTGGTAGTTGAGTTAAAATGACTTGGAATAAATTTGGTGGACTTCTACTTTGTTTAACTCATACATGGTATCTTCCAGTACTGCATAAGATACATATTCAGTGAACAGTGTTTTCCCTTTGAATTATTAAAGTAGCAAAAATTTTTTATTAATTAAACTTTTTGATGAGTAATACATGCACATGGTTCAACATCTTAAAAATCTGTAAGGACATACAGTGAGAAATCTCTCTTTTCTCTTTCTATGCTCCTGCCATCTAGAAATATTTTATGCATATTCAAGAATGTATTATACAAATATGCACACAAATATTTATGTATTATATTTTTATAAAATGATAGCATATTATACAAATTGTTTTGCACCCTCATTATTATTTAATATGAAATGGAGATCTTTCTATTTCAGAATCCTAAACTATTTTCTTATCTTTTTATAGCTGAGTACTAGTTCATTTTATGGGTGTACTTTATTTAACCAGTCAATCCTGTATTAACAGACATTTAGATTTCCCCCCAGTTATTTGCTCTTATAATTGTATAAAAAATGACTTTATAGCCACATCTTTGTAAGTTTTTATTCCAAAATTAAAATTTCTGGATCAAAAAATGCATTTTTAATATTTCCAAATTGGACCCTATACAAATTACCAAATTAGATCATCAATGTATGTCAGTGGGTACATTTCGCTACATACTCTCCCCCAAGTAATGTAGTCAAATATCCTTATCTTCACCAATTTAATAAAGAATTTCTCAGAGGGGTTTTAATGTATATTTTGATTATTAATGAGATTAAGCACTTTCATAAGTTCCAGACAACTATATATACTTTTGATGGACAACTTTTTTATATGCTTTGTCCATTTTTTAATTGAGATTTTGGTTCATTTGTTGTGAATGTGTAGGAACTATTTATCTATTGGAGAAAATAGTCTTTTCTGGTGATATGATATGCAATAATTTACTCCTTAGTTTTTATCTAATTTTTAGTTTTGCTTTGTAGTGTTTTGTTTGTTTGTTTGTTTGAGACAGGTTCTCACTCTGTCGCCCAGGCTGGAATGCAGTGGCAGGATCACAGCTCACTACAGTCTCCACCTCCCCAGCTCAATTGACCTTCTCGCCTCAGCCTTCCAAGTAGCTGGGACTACAGGCACGTGCCACCACACCCAGACAATTTTTTTATTTCTTGGTAGAGACAATGTCTTACTATGTTACTTAGGCTGGTCTCAAACTCCTGGGCTCAAGTGATCTTCCTGCCTCAGCCTCCCAAAGTGCTGGGATTACAGACATGAGCCATTGTGCCCAGCTACTTCTAGTGGATTTCATCATGCAGAAATTTTGTATTTTCATGTACTTTTATCTTTACGTTATGACTTCTGTGTTCTATATCATACTTAAAAAATATTCCTCATTCTGGGCCAGGCGCGGTGGCTCATGCCTGTAATCCCAGCACTTTGGGAGGCCGAGGCAGGCGCATCACGAGGTCAGGAGTTTGAGACCATCCTGGCTAACACAGTGAAACCTGGCCTCTACTAAAAATACAAAAAACTAGCCAGACGTAGTGGCACACGCCTGTAGTCCCAGCTACTAGGGAGGCTGAGGCAGGAGAATCGCTTGAACCCGGAGGCGGAGGTTGCAGTGAGCCAAGATTGTGCCACTGCACTCCAGCCTGGGCGAGAGGGAGACTCTGTCTCAAAAATAAAATTAAATTAAATTAAAATTAAAAATAAATTAACAAGGCATGGTGGCATGCACCTGTGGTCCCAGCTGCTTGGAAGGCTGAGGTGGATCTCTTGAGCTCAGGAGGTCAAGGTTGCAGTTAGCCCTGATTGCACCACTGCATTCCAGTCTGGGCGACAGAGTGAGACTCTGTCTCAAAAACAAATAGTATTTATTAATTAAAATAATAATTATGAAAACTATATAATATCCCAGAAAAAATATTATGAATATAATTTGTTGTTAAATGCAAAATGAAACACTATAGCAACATATATGTAAAAGATGTATATATACACGGTTATTTAGCAGAGAGCAATTTTTCTTCCTTTTTAAGAGATTACATTAATAAGAGATTTTTCAAAGTTTTAAACTGTATATATAAAATATTTCAATGACCCTTAGTGACTTTTATTTGGAAGTTTTCTAAGATTTATTTTATCATATATTTACCCATTACATTTTATTGTGTTACTATTCTTAAGCCATCAGTCAGATTAAAGTATTTGAAAGGAACACTTTAGAAATGTACTAATTATTTTGCTAAGAAGTGGCTAATTCAGAAATTGCCATAGAAGAATGACATTAAAATCTAAGTCATTAAAAAATCACCTTTTTAGAGCTGTCTTATGGTCAAGCAGAGCTATCACAATTGCACTACTATTACCCAAATGTAAAAAAGGAGGAGGAGGAGAAGGAAAAAGAAAAGAGGAAGGGGGAAGCTCATAAAACTCTAGGTTTTAGGTTTTTCTTTTTTCCATATTAGGTGCAAATAATACTTGCCCAACCTGCCTCACAGGATTGTTCCAAGACTCAATTGAAAGAAAACACAATAAGGGAGAGTGACTGTTATAATTATGAAAGTACTTATTAATGTCATTCTCCATCTAAATGTGCAAAGTTCCACCTGTTTTGAGGGAACAATGCCACCAGTCCTATAATACATGTTGAGGTTGCTAATATCTTCAAGAGATTGGGTTTAAAGGGAGGCCAATTATGTCTAGCTCCACACTTTGCAGGCAGCTGGCTTTTATTTTCTCCCCTTTGGAAGAGTGTTGCTTCACAAATCTTGACCTTAGTAGAGAGTGAATGAGAAAATGCACAGCCTGACATTGACTTTGAAATATCTGACAGGACACAGGGCTGAGAGCATCTATCAATAATTCATTTCAGGTTACGGGGCAGAACAGGATCCCCACTGGTTTTAAAGCCATTAATTGGTTGTTAGACTCCATTAAGTCACTCTGGATGTGAAAAGTATGTCTGAAGTTTAAAAACACAGAGATAGGAAAGCCAGCGCTCTTTTATTTTTTCCCACAACTGGTGTGACATCTTTGCCAATGAGAGAAAAGCCTAGGTCAAAAGGGGCTGAAAATTGAGATGACATCTACTTTCTTTGGTCTTTATACCCAGGAACCAAGCAAAGATGGCAAGTTTCTCAAACCATTGCCTTTCTCCCAAATGAAACAAAATCTTTATCTTGAAAGTTAGTTTCTCAATGGCTGCTTTATAATTTTGTAATGAATGCTGTTTGCAGATGTTTTATTAAAAGTATATATTTTAAAGACAGAAAAGGAACTCATAAGTAAAAATAAATAGATTTGTTAAAAATCACATGTTAATCAAAAACTAAGATAGATTCCTTATGCAGAATTGAGTATAGTTTGTAGCCATTTGATACTAAAAGACAAAGCAACAGCTTAGGCTAAGGCACCTACAGGGACAGTGGTGCCGATCAAAGGAGGTGTGGCATGGGGCAGGGAACAGATGCAAGTGTTGGGTTTAAGAATTTAGCAAAACAATGATGAAGCAAATTGGTCATTCTGAAATCTGCATTTAACCAATTTTGAATTTTAAAGAACTGATTTTTGGTGTGTTTGCCTATATCCAACTATTGGCCATCAGCAAGCGGTATCCTCCTCCTGAGCTGCAGTGCTTTTACGTTACAATGAAAGAGTTCTACAAGAAATCTTTCAACTCTTCTCTAGTTTCAATTTTTTTTTCATTCTATCACGTCTTCCTGAATAACCACAAGTGCACCAAGAAAACCACAATTTCATATGTGATTATGGAACGATATAGGGGACAATGCCGTTTATCTCTCACACAGTTTTCCTGTCATGGATTTGACATTATAGTTCTCATATTGTATACAGCACCTTTTTACAAATATTCAATTCTCATGGAAACCCAGACAGGCAGGTGGAACAATTATTTGTGTTTCCATTTTTTCAGATGAAAAAATCAGACCCAGGAAGTTTAAGTGAATCTAAAGATGGCAGAAATAGAAATGGGCACACAGTTTTGAAGATATTTTTATCTTGATTGCATTCCAGGCATCATTCTGTGAAGTATTTACCTGATCCTTATGATTAGGGACATAGCGGGGTGATCACAAAATGTCTATTGAATCCATGCAATGCTTTCCTATGTCAAAATAGTAATAATCAGGCCGAGTGCAGTGGCTCATGCCTGTAATTTCAGCACTTTGGGAGGCTGAGCTGGGTGGATCATTTAAGGTCAGGAGTTTGAGACCAGCCTGGCCAACATGGTGAAACCCTGTCTCTATTAAAAATACAAAGAGAATAAAATACCTAGGAATCCAATTTACAAGGGATGTGAAGGACCTCTTCAAGGTGAACTACAAACCACTGCTCAACAAAATAAAAGAGGACACAAACAAATGGAAGAACATTCCATGCTCATGGATAGGAAGACTCAATATCACGAAAATGGCCATACTGCCCAAGGTAATTTATAGATTCGATGCCATCTCCATCAAGCTATCAAGGACTTTCTTCAGAGAATTGGAAAAAACTAGTTTAAAGTTCATATAGAACCAAAAAAAGCCCACGTAGACAAGACAATCCTAAGCAAAAAGAACAAAGCTGGAGGCATCACGCTACCTGACTTCAAACCATACTACAAGGCTACAGTAACCAAAACAGCATGGTACTGGTACCAAAACAGATATATAGACCAATGGAACAGAACAGAGGCCTCAGAAATAACACCACACATCTATAACTGTCTGCTCTTTGACAAACCTGACAAAAGCAAGCAATGGGGAAAGGATTCGGGTGCTAGGAAAACTGGCTAGCCATATGTAGAAAGCTGAAACTGGATCCCTTCTTTACACCTTATACAAAAATTAATTCAAGATGGATTAAAGACTTATATGTAAGACCTAACGCCATAAAAAACCTAGAAGAAAACCTAGGTAATACCATTCAGGACATAGGCATGGGCAAGGACTTCATGACTAAAACACCAAAAGCTATGGCAACAAAAGACAAAATAGACGCATGGAATCTAATTAAACTAAAGAGCTTCTGCACAGCAAAAGAAACTATCATCAGAGTGAAGAGGCAACCTACAGAATGGCAGAAAATTTTTGAAATCTACCCATCTGACAAAGGACTAATATCCAGAATCTACAAAGAACTTAAACAAATTTACAAGAAAAAAGACAACCCCATCAAAAAGTGGGCAAAGGATATGAACAGACACTTCTCAAAAGAAGACATGTATGTAGCCAACAGACATATGAAAAATGCTCATCATCACTGGTCGTCAGAGAAATGCAAATCAAAACTACAATGAGATACCATCTCACGCCAGTTAGAGTGGTGATCATTAAAAAGTCAGGAAACAACAGATGCTGGAGAGGATGTGGAGAAACAGGAACACTTTTACACTGTTGGTGGGAGTGTAAATTATTTCAACCGTTGTGGAAGACAGTGTGGCGATTCCTCAAGGATCTAGAACTAGAAATACCATTTGACCCAGCCATCCCATTACTGGGTATATACCCAAAGGATTATAAATCATTCTACTATAAAGACATATGCACACTTATGTTTATTGTGGCACTATTCACAATAGCAAAGACTTGCAACCAACCCAAATGTCCATCAATGATAGACTGGATTAAGAAAATGTGGCACATATACACCATGGAAAACTATGCAGCCATAAAAAAGGATGAGTTCATGTCCTTTGCAGGGCGCGGATGGAGCTGGAAACCATCATTCTCAGCAAACTATCCCAAGGACAGAAAACCAAACACCGCATGATCTCACTCATAGGTGGGAGTTGAACAAAGAGAACACATGGACACAGGCAGGGAACATCACACACCGGGACCTCCTGGGGGGTGGGGGGCTGAGGGAAGGATAGCATTAGGAGAAATACCTAATGTAAATGTCGAGTCGATGGGTGCAGCAAACCAACGTGGCACATGTATACCTATGTAACAAAACTGCACTTTGTGCACATGTACCCCAGAACTTAAAATATATTAAAATATTGTTATATATATTATATATTTTATATTTATACATATTTATATATATATATATATATATATATATATATATATATAATTGAATACTACTCAGCCATAAAAAGGAATGAAATAATGGCATTTGCAGCGACCTGGATGGAATTGGAGCCAATTATTCTAAGTGAAGTAACTCAGGAATGGAAAACCAAATATCGCATGTTCTCTCTCATAAGTGGGAGATAAACTATGAGGACACAGAGGCATAAGAATAATACAATGGACTTTTGGGACTCAGGGGGAAAGGGTGGGAGGGGGTGAGGGATAAAATACTACACATTGGGTACAGTGTATACTGCTCAGTTGATGGGTGCACCAAGATTTCAGAAATCACGACTTAAGAACTTATTCATGTAACCAAACACCACCTGTTCCCACGAAACCTACGGAAATAAAAAATTTAAAAAAAAAGTTAGCTGGGTGTGGTGGCGTGTGCCTATAGTCTCAGCTACTCGGGAAGCTGAGGCAGGAGAATCGCTTTTACCCGGGAAGCAAAGGTTGCAGTGAGCCAAGATCACACCACTGCACTCCAGCCTGGGCGACAGACCAGGACTCTGTCTCAAATAATAATAATAACAATCAAACATCAGGAGATGACCCAGTCTTTTTAATATATAGGGAAACAATCCTTTCAGTTATTTCCTCTTCCCAGCTGTTTCTTCAGTTCAGAGCTTCCTTTCTTCTTTCTATATCCAATAGTGTGTGGCTATGTGCTCCCAACAAATGAATGCACAGGGGTACGAATGTTCATTTTTGAAATGAGTACCTATTAATGCCTTTTTTAAAAATTACCATTGTACCTTTCCAGTGTCCTTAGATCATCAGTGTTTGAAATCTAAGCATTACACAAACAGCAGAAGCATTATCAAGAATGACTAATCCATACAATGCAATTATGCACCTGCTGCTTACAGGCACATGAAATATATTCTGGGACAAGATGGGAAATACAAATACAGGCATGGACATGGATTGGTTGCTGGGATTCTTCTCACCATAAAATTATGGTTTTGCTGCTGCCACTACAGAAACTGTGGTTCAGGTGGCTCAGGGACGATGAAAATGTCCACAGTCTTCAGTCCAAGAAATGAAACACAGGAACCTTCAAGTGTTTTGTAATCACTGTGTTTATTTTATTTCTCCTTCACCATGGCTGTTACTGGCAGGAAGGCTCTCAAAACCAAATTCCAAGAATTGTATTAAACATATTTAGCTCACCTACAGAGTTCTCTATGCTTTTGCATATGAGATGTCCCAGAATAAAGTCATTTCTTGAATCCAGTGGTTTCCAAAACATATTTTGTATTGCCTCCCTTTCTCATTGTCTGTCAACTCCCAAGTTGTTGTGATGATCTCAGTCATGAAAATACCAGTGGGTTCCTGAGCATGAAATTAAAATAAAGAGACTTTTCAGATGATAGTTTAATTCCACTTGCAGAGGAGAAGACAGAGGTCCAGAGAACATTAATGAATTACCCAAGGTTGTGAATTGTAAGGAACAAAACCTAAAATGGTTCTCAGTAGTATGCTCTTTTCTTTACTGAGTTGTCCCTACAGTCTTCTTGAACCTTACTTATAATTCAAGGTGCACTGTATGTATCCAAAGTAGTAGTTCAAGCTCCTCTATTGGAATATTATTTATTTCTTTTTATTATGTAGTTATTATTATTGTTATTATTATTATTATTATTATAGGCTGTGACATAAGAAGAAGGATAGTCTTGGTTCTTAGTTCCTGGCAGAGAGCTACTAAAACCCTTGGAATTTGTCTTTTCTTCTAATTAGGTGGGTCTTAGTGGGCTTTTAGATAGCGTTAGGATGGAAGTTGGTTGCCAGAAAGATCAAGCCTTTAGCTTGATCCAAATTAGAAATCTGGAACTTTCAGCCCCACCCCACAAAGTCTGGGGAGGGGAGAGGAGCTAAGATGAATTAAACACTAATGGGCAATGAATCAATCCGTTTAAATGATCTTTTGAGAGTATGTGTGTGTGTATAAATACAGTCTTCCAAATTGTCAGGGCTCTGTAAAAGTAATTTTTGAACTTTGCAGAACTATAAGCAGCCTTACTTTCACCATTTTCTATGTGAAAGTAACATCATTGAAACAATTCATCCTTTGTATTTGTTTCCAAGAAACAATGCAAGTTGCAATGTGATCTCAGACCTGTTTCATATGATTATCTTTGATTTAAAGTTTCATATGAAGAAGGTATGGGACAGAAGCATAGACAAGGTGTGGAGATTGGAGAGTAAGCTAATAGGGGGGCACACATCTGTCTTTGGAAAAAGAGTCTGGCAGAAAGTTGAGAGAGCCTGCCATAACTCAGCTGTGGCTTTGGGGTGGGCATATTCAGCACAGCGAGTTTTCCCACCCACTGTTATTTTTCTACATAAAAATACAACTCAACGAAAACAGCAAGGCATAAATATTAACTAGTCCTAGCGTGAAATTATGTTTAAAGAGATATTGTCCAAGTAAAGTAAAGTACAAGAATATACACAAACTATCCTTTTATGTGAATATTTTCAGAACTGTTTTGGAAGAAACCTGTTGGCTCCACTGAATGTCTGATAGGCAAGGAGGTTCTTTTTTTTTTTTTTGAGATGGAGTCTCGCACTGTCACCCAGGCTGGAGTGCAGTGGCATGATCCCGGCTCACTGCAAGCTCTGTCTCCTGGGTTCACGCCATTCTCCTGCCTCAGCCTCCCGAGTAGCTGGGACTACAGGCGCCCGCCACCACACCTGGCTGATTTTTTGTATTTTTAATAGAGACAGGGTTTCAACGTGTTAGCCAGGATGGTCTCAATCTCCTGACCTTGTGATCCGCCCACCTCGACCTCCCAAAGTGCTGGGATTACAGGCGTGAGCCATGGCGCCCAGCCCAGCAAGGAGGTTCTTAACCTTTTAGAAACCGACTACAGGCCGTTATAATAGAGCCAAGTCTCTGTTAAGGTCCTTGAACACAGGCTCTCAGCTTTGATATGACCGAACTGAGCAAGGGAAATAGATCAGGCAAAAATAAAACTTTCTTGATTGGAATAATAAGAATAATTTTTTATTTTGCAGAGCCAGGAGATTTTATTCAGCACAGGTGTTTATAATTTTCTGTTTTCAACTTAAAAAAACTGAGTGGAAAAGAATTGCAATGGGGAACAAGGAGACACTTTGCTCTGAAATGAACAGAGAGGTTAGGAAGCCCAGTGGCCAATTCTGCATAAACAGGTAGCAAAAGTACAAGTGAAAAGTGGGACTTGAACTTCCTTTGCAGACATAAAAATGCCTCATAGAAAATCAATAAAAAATAAAGTTTTGCAAAATAATTGCATTACCTCAACTAATAAAACTGCTCACTTTTTTTTCTGATATGTCCTTAAGGTTGAAATGATAGTTTTACAAAGTGATATTTCTCAGCATCCATACGTGTTTTATCCCATATCTCTGCTTAAACTTTAATGTAAATGTTTGTCTCTGCCCTCTTGTGAATTTTTCAAAATTGCTTCACAAAGACCTTTAAGGACCAAATTGATTCAAAGCAAATGGAATAGAATAGAACTGAGATTAAGAACCCTTTGTTCTTATCTGATGTCTGGTTTTGGGCGATTTAAATTTTATTTTCTGCGAAGACTATTTATTGAGTTGTTAATTCGAAGTCGTATTCTTATCAACTTTTATCATTACATAGGCCACAAATTTTGTTTTTAAAAATACAATGAATGAATACAATAAATTAGTAAATGTGCTAATTTTGTTAATAAAATGTATCACTAATATTTTAATGTTTCTCCTTTTTTGGTTCCATGTGTGTATTATGTGTATATATTACACACACATGCACAATACCTAACTACACAAGTATATAGCCCATACCAATTAGGTCATCCTGTACATTGTTTTGAAGCCTACTCTTGTTTTATATAGAAATATGTTATAAATTTCTCCTCTGTCACTAACTGTTCTTCACTCTATCATTATGTGGCTATTCCATTGTTTAGACAAGCAGTTCTCCATTGTTAGACATTCATGTTTTCCGCCCAGTTTTACTTTTAAAATAATCAAGTTATCATTACCTTTGTCTATACACGTCTACAAATATCTCTGATTATTAGGGTAAATGGCTGGATCAAAAGATATGTGCTTTTTAGAGCTTTTGATTAATGGTTCCAAAATGTCTTTGAGGATGGCTTTATTAAAGTTCCATGTGTACTTCTACCAGCAGTAAAATAGTGTTCTTTTCCCATGCCACCACCAACTTTGGATATTTAATAAAACCTGAAATCTTTGGTGATTGCAGAAAACAAAGGCAAAAATTCAATATTTAAAAAATGTGAATGCTTGCGAGATTGAAAATTTATAACATGCGGACTGGTCCCTGAATCTCCCTCATACCTCATCTCTATTTTCGTCTCCTACAGTGCCTACCTTCGTTTTGGTACTTTCACGCTATTTTGAATATTATCATTTTCTCGTGTAAATGTAGTGCGCTGAATGGTGGGCCCCAAAAAGATATGTCCATGCCCTAATTCTCAGAACCTGTGAGTATTACCTTATCGGTAAAAGAGTAAATGTTACCTTATTTGGCAATGGATGCAATTAAGGGTTTTGAGAGGAAGAATTAATCCTGTATTATCTGAGTGGGTCATAAATCCGATGATAAGTGTTCTTAGAAGAGGGAGGCAGAAGGAGATTGGAGAGACACAAGAGGAGAAAGCGATGTGAAAACGGAGGCAGATAATGGGGTGATGTGATATCAGGCACAGGAAAGCAGCCAGGCAGCCACCAGAGCTGGAGGTGGCCAGGAACGCATCTTCCCTTAGGGTTCCTAGGGGGAGCACAATCCTGCCGGACCTTGGACTTCCAGAAACTGTGAGGGAAGCCATTTCTGTTTTTAAGCGGCAAAGTTTGTAGTAGTTTGTTACAGCAGCCCTAAGAAATAAATACAACAGATTAATTTTAAACATGCAAATCTCCTTTCATTCTTTACTGTTAATGTTTTCTCCATTCCAGAATAATTTTAGAATCATTTTTTGTCAGAGGGTAGTGAAAAATAAAATTGTATGCTGATACTACCTAGAATAATGTTAAATGTATAAAGGAAATTGGAGACAACAGACGTCTACCATTTTCATCCTTATACCTAGGCTCCTGGAAAGGCTTTTTAAGTTATACTTCTTTTGTGTTACCTAATAAAGCTTTGACTTTTTTTTTTTCCCATATGGGCTCTGTAGTTGAATTTATTTTTAAGGTTTTTTTTTTTTTTAAGTGCATTATACTTTGTTGCTAACATAATTGAGTGTGATATGTTCTCGGTCAGTGCTTTCTAATGGAACTTTCTGGGATGATATAAATATTCTCCCTTTGCCTTGACCAATGTGGCCAACACTAGCCTATTGAATGTTTGAAATGGGGTTAGTGTAATTGAAGAGCTGCATGTGTACATTTTAATAAATGTCAATGAAAGCCACATATGGCTACAATATGGGACAACATAGTTCTATGTGATTATTGCTGCTTTATTAGATGACCAAGGCAGTATAGCAAAATGGTTAAGAGCATGGGCTCTGGAGTTACATGGTCTGAGTTATATCTTAGCTCCACCATTACTAGCTTAGTGGACATACACTGGGAAATAACCCTAAGTATTGGTCTGGAGGCCGGGGGGCAGGTGGAGAGACCCTCAGATAAGCATTGTTTTATAGTGGACTTGTGTCATTTAAGGTTTGTTTCATCATAGTCTTCAAGCAAGAAGCTGGGAATAGTGAAATACTTCTTTATTTGACATTTTTGTTTTATTTTTATTTTATTTTTTATTTTTCCATAGGTTGTTGGGGTACAGGTGGTGTTTGGTTACATGAGTAAGTTCTTTAGTGGCGATTTGTGAGATTTTGGTGCACCCATCACCCCAGCAGTATACCTGCATCCTCTTTATAGTCTGTTATCCCTTACCCCTTTCCCACCCTTCCCCTTAAGTCCCCAAAATCCATTGTATCATTCTTATGCTGTTGTGTCCTCATAGCTTAGCTCCCACATATCAATGAGAACATACAATGTTTGGTTTTCCATTCCTGAGTTACTTAACTTAGAATAATAGTCTCCAGTCTCATTCAGATCACTGTGAATCTTTAAGGCTGAGTAGTATTCTATCATATATATTATATATGTATATAATATATATATAAATATATATAATATATACATATATAATATATATGGATGAAGAAACTGTGATATATATATCATATATATCGCATGTGTATATATATATCATATATATCGCATGTGTGTGTGTATATATATATATATATATATATATATATATATATATATATATGCGCATTGATTGATGGGCATTTGGGTTGGTTCCATGATTTTGCAATTGCAAATTGTACTGCTATAAACATGCATGTGCAAGTACCTTTTTCATATAATGACTTCTTTCCCTCTGGGTAGATACCCAGTAGTGGAATTGCTGGATCAAATGGTAGTTCCACTTTTAATTGTTTGAGGAATCTCCACACTGCTTTCCATAGTGGCTGTACTAGTTTACATTCCCACCAGCAGTGTAGAAGTGTTTCCTGATCAACACATCCACACCAACATCTTTTTTTTTTAATTTTTTGATTACGGTCACTCTTGCAGGAGTAAGGCGGTATCACATTGTGCTTTTGATTTGCATTTCTCTGATCATTAGTGATGTTGAGCATTTTTTCATATGCTTGTTGGCCATTTGTATATTTTCTTTTGAGAATTGTCTATTCATATCCTTAACCCACTTTTTGATGGGATTTTTTTTTCTAGCTGATTTGTTTGAGTTCATTGTAGATTCTGGATAGTAGTCCTATGTCAGATGTATAGATTGTGAAGATTTTCTCCCACTCTGTGGGTTGTCTGTTTACTCTGCTGACTGTTCCTTTTGCCATGCAAAAGGTCTTTAGTTTAATTAAGTCCCAGCTATTTATCTTTGTTTTTATTGTATTTGCTTTTGGTTTCTTGGTCATGAAATCCTTGCCTAAGCCAATGTCTAGAAGGGGTTTTCCACGTTATCTTCTTGAATTTTTATAGTTTCAGGTCTTAGATTTCAGTCCTGAATCCATCTTGAGTTGATTTTTGTATAAAGCAAGAGATGAGGATCCAGTTTCATTCTCCGACATGTGGCTAGCCAATTATCCCAGCACCATTTGTTGAAGAGTGTCTTTCCCCACTTTATGTTTTTGTTTGCTTTGTCAAAGATCAGTTGGCTGTAAGTATTTGGGTGTATTTCTGGGTTCTCCATTCAGTTCCATTGGTGTGTGCCTATTTTTATACCAGTACCATGCTGTTTTGTGACTATGGCCTTATAGTATATTTTAAAATCAGATAGTGTGATGCCTCCAGATAGTGTGACATTCTTTTTGCTTAGTCTTGCTTTGGCTATGCAGGCTCTTTTTTTATTCTATATGAATTTTAGAATTGTTTTTTCTAATTCTGTGAAGAATGATGGCAGTATTTTGATGGGGATTGCATTGAATTTGTAGATTGCTTTTGGTAGCATGATCATTTTCACAATATTGATTCTACCCATCCATGAGCATGGGATGTGTCTCCATTTGTTTGTGTCATCTATGATTTCTTTCAGCAGTGTTTTGTAGTTTTCCTTGTAGAGGTCCTTTGCCTCCTTGTTTAGTGATATGATTTGACTCTGTGTCCCCACCCAAATCTCATCTTGAATTGTACTCTCATAATTCCCACGTGTTGTGGGAGGGACCCGTGGGAGATAATTTGAATCATGGGGGCAGTTTCCCCAATACTGTTCTCATGGTAGTGAATAAGTCTCACGAGATCTGATGATTTTATCAGGGGTTTCCGCTTTTGCATCTTCCTCATTTTCTCTTGCCACTGCCATGTAAGAAGTGTCTTTTGCCTCCCACCATGATTCTGAGGGCTCCCTAGGCATGTGGAACTGTAAGTCCAACTAAACCTCTTTTTCATCCCAGTCTTGGGTATGTCTTTGTCAGCAGTGTGAAAACACTAATACAGTTAGGTATATTCCTAAGTATTTTAATTTTTTGCCGCTATTTTAAAAGGGGTTGAGTTCTTGATTTGATTTTCCACTTGCTCACTGTTGGTGTATAGAAGAGGTACTGATTTTTGTACTTGTATCTGGAAACTTTGCTGAATTCTTTTATCAGCTCTAGGAGGCTTCTGGAGGAGTCTTTAGGGTTTTCAAGGTAGACGATCATATTGTCAGCAAACAGTGACAGTTTGACTTCCTCTTTACCATTTTGGATGCCCTTTATTTCTTTCTCTTGTCTGATTGCTCTGGCTAGGCCTTCCAGTACTATGTTGAAGAGGAGTGGTGACAATGGGCATCCTTGTCTTGTTCCAGTTCTCAGAGGGAATGCTTTCAACTTTCAACCATTCAGTACTATGTTGACTGTGGGTTTGCCATAAATGGCTTTTATTACATTGGGGTATGGAGAATAGTGAAATACTTCTTCATCTCCACAAATTTCTGAGTAATCTGGGTTTCAACTTTTGTATGTGTACCTACCCGGATAGCCTCATCCCAAATCTCCAGGTCCCATTCCTTCTCTTTCAGGTCCCTGACTTTGGTGTTAGAATTCTCCCAGGACTGCAAATCCAATGTTCTCTGATGTTTTGCTACTCTCAGAATTGGGTCATAATACTTTTCCTCAGTTTGTCCCTATCTCCACCACAACTACAGGAAAAGAGGATTGCTTTGAATGTTGCCAAAGAAGCCCTGAAGGAAAGAAAGCCCAAAGAGGCTTTTACACTTGGCTTTGAATTGGTGATTAATGGTACTGAGCTTTCTGTTTTCTCTTCAAAGCATCAGTGGTGTTCAACAACAGCCACCAGATTCCACAGACCTTATAATTATCATTTTCCTCATATTGCTCAAATGCCAGAAATATTGCTCAAGCTAGGGATTTGAGTTCATGTAGTCTACTGAGAAAGGGATTGCAGGGAAAAAAATGAAGGAAGCAGGGAGGGAAGAGAAGGGGGATAAATAGAGAAATGGCCTCAACTGGAGTCCAGCTCAAGCCTGAGCATGAACTGTACCACAGAGGCAGCCCACCATTAAGGCAAGGATGTCTGCCTTTTGTAGCTCTATATCAGTCAGCTATTGGCTGCAGGCTACCCAAGAGGAAAGTAAAGCTCAGGCTAAGGCAATTTCTGTTCTGCAGAGTATACCTTTCTAGAGAAGTTGTAGCTGTGAGCTTTCAGCCGTTAGCACAGCAACCGGGGGGATTTGTTACTATCTTAGAGAATCTGGGCAGGACACCAAGAGTGTCCACTACCCTAATTTGTTTAAGAAAAGAGTACTGAGGTTTGAATTTTAATCAAAGACTTATTTTTTTAAATCATTATAGTTTTTTTCTAACTTGAATTGTGTGATGTATTATATCAATAGTTATTGGTTGTTGTTTATCTCTTTATTTACTCTAGTAATTGATCTATTACTGAGTCACTTTATTCTACCTTGCCCATGATAAGTTAGTCTTTTTACACTACTGTTAAAGTCTATTCACAAATACTTTATTAAGGATTTTTTTCCTGCCATGTATAGCTGCATGGTCTACTCTAATAAATGTGGCTCAGAAGAACAACAATAATTTATTTACTAACAATTTTTCAATTTGGGTAAAGCATGGAGGGCATGGTTCATTTGTGTTCCATGTTGTATCTGCGGGGATGGAACATTTGAGACAGTTTTTTCTCTAACATGCCTGGCGCCTTATTTGGGACGGCTCGGTGTATCTCTCCCCTATAACTTCTCTTCCTGACTAGCTTGGGCTACCTCTCACCATGGTGGCTGGGTTCCAGTAAGTAATGTTCCAAGAGGACAAGTCCCTTTTTGCAAGCACACATCAAGTCTCTGTTTGCGTCAGGTGTGCTAATGTCCTATTGTCCGAAGTTAGGCACATAGCCAAGCCCAGAGTCAATGTGAGACTACCAAAGCGTGCAACTAAAGAAGTAAAGGTCACTTGAGACCGTCAAAACGTCAGTTTGCTACATTCCACCCTAATGATTCATATCTCTTCCACCTGTCACGTCTCTTCCACCTCCCAGGACCCTCAAGGTCTCATCCCATTATGATAACTGGCTTAGACTTGAAATCCAGGATCTTGGCATCCAAATTAGCTTAGATGAGGATAAGGTTTCTTGAGTATGACTTATTTCAACCTACAGCCCTGTAAGCTATACAGATATATTTATTTTCTGCTCACCTGAAAACCCAATATACAGCGATGAGGCAGGACAGGAAAACAGCAATAGACACTGCCATTTAAAAAGAGAAAAACAGGAGGCACATCGCAATCACTGATGCATAGCATTTCTGAAAACCAGCTGGCTTCATTTTCCAGTATCTTTATTAAAACTTGGTCATCTTCCCTGGAACCATATTTTCTGCTCTGTTAGCTCTTGGTTTCTCCCTCTGATTCATTCTTTTTCCATAAGAAAAGACCTGTTTTTGCAGCTGAGCCGCTTCCTCTGCCTGGGCTTTCTGCCCGTTGTGAACGTCTCTGTCTCCCTTAGTCCAAATTGTCAGTGCTTATGGTGGTATAATTCTCTTTTTCAAAAGTGTGGATTTCTTATGAATCCTATTGCAGTTCAGTCCATCAGACAAAGGCCACATCCAAAAATCTCTTCAAGACAGATTGCTATTTATTGATTTAAAAATTACTTCTGCATATATTTGAACATTACTTCTTTCCATTCTCTCCCTTTCTTATCCCAACTACTTCACTCAACCTAGGTTTTGGGAAGGCTGGAAAGTTTTATTTTTCAATCTAGCAAGATCTGAGTCTTCTCTATATTTTAAATAATTTCTATTTATTGCTGAATTATTTATTAATTTATTATAAACATATTTTCCTTTATATCCTTGAACATAGTTATCATAACTACTTTAAAATTCTTATCTAATTTGGCAAAACCTCATCTCTACAAAACTATAAAAGTTAGCTGGGTGTGGTGGTGCATGCCTCTAGTCTAAGCTACTCGAGAGGCTGAGGTGGGAGTATGGCTTGAGCCCAGGAGGTCGAGGCTGCAGTGAGCTGTGATCGTACTACTGCACCCCAGCCTGGGGGACAGAGTGAGACTGTGTCTCAAAAAAAAATCTGATAATTTCAACTTCTGGCTCACCTCAGATCAGTTCCTACTGACAACTTTGTCTCTGCAGTATGGGTCTCATGTTACTCTTTCTTTGTATGTCTAGTAATTTTGTATAGTATACTGAACATCATGAATGATACATTTTAGAGATGGTATATCCTGTTATATTCCTCTAAAGAGCTTTGACTTTTTGCTTTGTTTATTTTACCAGGCATTTAATTTGTCTGAACTCAATCTCCAAACTTATTCTCCCCTGGGTAGGAGGTAGTTAAAATCTCTGTTTTGTAATTTTATTCTCATTGGGGCTTATTGGAGTTATCCTGTATATATAGTTCAAGAGAATATACAAAAAAAAGGTGTCTCCTTTTCTCTGGCTCTCTCTATTTTAGAATATCTTTGATCTGCAGTGATCCTCTTCCTTCTGGTTCTTCCAGCCATTAGGATGGAGAGATTCTATTCTAGGATTGTGAGTTTCCATCTGAGTCTTAGCGGCTTCATGTGATACTGACTGGAGTCTGCTCACAGGCAAAGAGCAGTAAGAGCATCCACTCTCTAACAGTTTCTACCTGATTCAGCTATCTTTCCAGTATCCTCAAGAAGTTCTTCTTCAAGCCCTTCCAGAGGGTACAACTGTTCTCTTCAGAAGGCTTTGTCAAATAGAAGCCACTCTGCCACTACTGGAATTAAAATCTCTTTTCTTGAATCTAAAGATAATTCATGTAGAAAAAGAGCTAGTCTCAAAACTAGGTTGGGTTTGGGGTACTTGGGGAAGGAAAGAGAGATAGTGGAGAGAAGAATATATTTTTTAATAAATATCTCAGTTTCCTTCTCATTTGTGAATATAAGTTTTTTGTACTTCAATTTTTGATGAGTTACAGGTTTTCAATCACAGATTTTTATCTAGATTTTTCCACCTAGTACATGTTTCCTTGGGCAAGTAATTTAACGTCCCTGAGTTCCACTTTCTTTATCACTGTAACGTGGTTGATCATGCCCCTGTGACAAGGAGACTGAGATCATAGTTAATTGAGATTGAGTGACATCTGCATAATTTTAATAGTAAACTATTTGGAATCTGTACTTCTATTTTTATGGTCTTTGTATACCTTTGTTATGATATAAATGAATATAATTTTATGTAGCTATTGAAAAATAGTTACATTAAAATGTTCTGTAGAACTACCCTGGTCTAAAATCAGGTTTCTTTGCTAGGTAATAAAAATATTTCCCCCGAGGCAGTTCTGGGAAAGTATTATAATAGTCCAAAATTGTACCTTTGCAGAATATAAAATAACTAATAAAAAGATTTTGTAATTGTAGTTCCTTATGAATTATGTGAATTACATTAAATATTTTTAAGAACATTTTCCTTGCGTGAATAAAGCTTTTTATGAACTAACGTCTCAACTAGTGAGAAGGTTATGCTGATCTCAGCTTATACCAGCAGGTCACAGTAGCAACTACATTCTTAACTTTTAGAGGTATGAATTTGCTCTCAAGTTCAATTTTTTATCTAAATAATTTAAATATGATTCTGAGTCCCCACTAGCCTGAATGACAGAATGTTATTAGTCAGAACTGAGACTCCCTTCCTGATTTTATTTCGGAATGAAACAAGTCCAGGCTGGGGTCGTACCTGTCTTGGCAAGTCACGCTCCAATCCATCCATTTCTGCAGCCATCACCTTGGGCATCCTGTTCCAATGAGGCATACAGCAGTGCTGAGAATAAAGCGCTTATTATGTACGGTCGTCTGGGTTGGGCACTGTGGGAGACTGGGAAAAAATAGGGTATAACCCTTGCCCTCCGTGAAGTACAGGAAAAATCTCGGTGTCAAAAATGTAAAATTTCCAGCCATTTGGCCATAGATGTTACTTTTAGTGTAACCACAACCAGTATCAAATGGAAATCTGGCTGTAAAAAAAACAGAACTGTGAAACATTTAGAAAAGAGTAATGAAAACAGCAGAAAATTCAGTTCTCAGCAGAATTCTGTCAACAGAAGAAATTCTACTTCCACAAATTCCTTAGTTGAGAAAGGCGTGCAGAGGGCTTCCCAGGCCATCTATAAAACATGAAACCAAGAACAGAGCAGATGAAGAAAGGTTTCTATTTTCTTTCTGATTTAGCCTTAACTTGTGGTTTATGTTTTTTAAAAAAATGGTCTAAGCTCTTCTCGGGACCATTACAGGACTGTGCAGCTATGTGCTTGCACTAACATTGTTTATTTCAGAACATCTGTGCCATAATCTTCGGTCATGCCTGTGGAATATATGAGGTCATCTCTTTGGATGTTTATATAGCTGAGGAATAATCAAAACCAATGCACCAGGGATGGATACCCTTTCCCAGATTTTTAAGCACTTTTGCTCCTTTCATATCACCTCTTAAGTTTGCTCAACTCAGCACTGTGGGCACGGTATGCTCTCAGCAAAATGGGTGTTGAACTAATTAATCAGTATAATCTGGCTCAACTTTTGCCAATCTCACCCCTCCTCCCTACACACACGCACACACACACATACACACACACACTGCAAAGCACAAGAGAAAGATAAGCAATATGGAATTAAAATGAGCTGAGTTCTCTCTTAGCCCTGTCATTACCTACTTCTGTAAACTTAGGCAAGCCTAACCCTCCATCTGTTACCAGGATGAGCTCTCTTTGCTCCTCTTGTTTTAAAGATACTTCTTTGACTTCTTATCATATACAGACACAGTCCAAAGATCTTTCATGTTGTAGCTGCTGCCTGCCTTTCCAGAATCACCTTTCACAATCCCATAAAAATGGGCCCTGCTGGTAGCTGCCCTGCACTGCCTGCAGACCTTGCACTTGGACAAATTCTCTTTCTCTTGCCTCCATGTTTTGGGGGCACCTGGCTGAATGTTGTCACCTTCTCACTCCATCCTCCTCCTCCCTCAGCACCTCAAACACATCCTTATTGTCGCTCTAGAGTTGCAGCTGCAGTTGACCCAAAAAGAGCTCAGGGCCTAGAATAGAAGAAAATCATCAATACTGGAGTTAATGGATTGTGGTTTTGTTCAAACTGGGAAAGACAATGCCCTTGGTTGGCAGGGTCAGTGTATCCATTTCACATTAGGAATTGGTTTCTTCTTGGATTGGCATCATTTTGCCACCTTCAAGATCTTTACCTACTTTAAGGTTGTTTGTTTGTTTGTTTGTTCGTTTGTTTTGGTTCTGGTCATGTCACCAGGGATCAACACAAGCAGGACCTGTCTCCTGGTGGCAGTGTGGTGGCACATGGCTGGTGTCTTGCTTTATGTAGGTGCTGCTGACACCTTGAGTTCTCACCCTAGAGGCCACTGTACTTTTTCTCCCACAGAAGTAGTTTCTCCACCAGTGTCTTCTGGAAGCACACACCTAAAGGCGAATTATTCTTAAAATACCCCTTTGTGCAACTATTCCCCTTTATACGCTGCCCTTTTAGGAAAGATAATGACGGAAAGAATCAATAGAAACCCCAAATAGAGAAAAAGCCTGTAGCAGCGTTGAGAATCAGCTTTGAGGCATTGCTGTTTTCTAGAATGTAGGGGGATCACACTGAAGGCACAGTGTCAAGAGCTGACTCATCACTTTTCTTTCCTAGAAAGTGATGCAGAGTAAACGGAGCAGAGGAGTATTTCACCAACATCTCTGAATTAGAGAGAGGCAAGAGTTACCTGTCAGAGTGGTTCTGAGAAAAGATGCAGAGCTACCTCATTGCCAGTAGGGACCAACATTTGTCAGTGACTTCTGAAAGAACAAGTAATCCTCATGAAACATAAATTGTGAGCTGGCCTGGCTTCTCAGTGATGGAAGAACAGTTTCCTAAAGCAACTGGACATCCTTCCACTCACCTCCTAGAGTGGCAAGAATCTGGCCACAGCCATGCCATGTATTTGGAATAGAGAATGGGAAAATCAGATGAGGAAGGTGACCTCATGCCCTGCAAGTTCAACAAACTCAGGGGAGGAAACTTGAAGAGATGACACTTCCTAACTAGACTGCTCTTGATCTCAACCTCCTCACACCTTTAGTGACGCACGGCTGAACAGGTAATGCTGTTCATGCCACCAGGCTTTGACCTTGAGATCAAAAAGAAGAATTCTAGCAGCAACCAGGTAAACCCACACAGACTATTTTGAAGGACACAGCAGCTAGGACAGAATCATGTGTGAGTTAGGAAACAGTGGCCTTATGGGCAGATGCAACCGTGCACCAGTCGTCACAGTTTAACGCAAAGATCAGGGGTTAACTTTCAGCCTCACTCTGCAGCCTACTGGGTGCCTTTGTGCAGGGTGGCCCTGCTGGGAAGCACCTGTGCTGTCCTCTTTCTAAAATACGTAAATAGGAAAAAGAAATGCAAGATAGGGCCTATCAAAAATTCATTAGCATAAAAGTAGGAGACAAATGTCGCTCATGAGAGATACAATAAGAATATAACTTCACAGGCGATCTACTGCAGGTGACTTTTTGCATTTTTATTATACAAGCAATTATTCATTGCAAAAAAATAAAAATAATTAGAAAGGGTGATCAGAAAAAAGAAAAAAAATCCATGGTCTCATCTATGTGATAAACCACTTCAACATTTTCCCCATCATCTCTTGGATATTTATTAGTTGAAATTCTACTGTAAAAAGAAGCTTTCTATGTATTTCTCTTTATTTACTTACCTATGTCATCATGGACTGATTCTTTTATTCTCATGGGTTATAGAATCACTGTTGCTGTTTTTTTGGTGCTCAAACCTTGGCAGGTTTGGTTGCTGGGAGCCTCTTCCATCAGGCCCTGGCCTCATCACTTTTTGAGCACGTCCTGATGTTCCGGCACAGCAAGGTGCTTCAGCCTCATCTCATCCTTCCCAGGCCAGCCCCAGAATTAACCATCTCTCCAAGGAGCCCTCCTGTTAACTTCTCCATGTATTTCTTTCCAGTCGTGTTTGTTTGTTTGTTGGTTTTGTTTTGTTTTGTTTTGTTTTGTTTCGTTTTCCCTAGGACTACTTCTAGGCTCCTGGCTTGAATTTAAAGACGGTTCAGACATTTCTTAGCTTGTTAGGTGAGTGAGCCAGGCAGGTTCCCTGGAGAAACCTCTAGATGAAGAGGGCATCCTGAGGGGAGAAGCAGCACAGGGGATGCACCTGAGCCAATGAGAAGCCCTCTCAGCACAGGGGAGAGGCAACGAGGAGTGAACAGGGGTCTGTTACGAATCTGTCACTCTCTGGGCTCCGGAGAGCAAGAGATTACTAACAAAGCGTAAAGAGCCTTACACTGAAAACAGTTATAGAGCATAATGGTTTGAGCAGTGCACATGGAGAGCCCCTACTGGCAGGCCGTAATAGCCTCGGAGAAAGACTTAAACTTGAAGTCCCACTTCATTACAAACCTCAGTGGAGATTCGGGGCTGTGGGGCTTTGCTGATTTGTGGTTGCAGGTGACTGTGGCTGGTGGCTGCTGCATGTTGGAAAGAACCGCAGGGTTCCGTGAAAGTGCTCCAACTTCCATGGGAGTTGGGGATGAACCACAGAAGTGGAGGCAGGCGCAGCGGCAGAGTACCACAGAAGCCAACTGGCTGTGGTACACCCGTGACCACATCTTGGGCACTTCCCATAATCCTGGGAAGATGTTTTGCAGAGGGTGGAGGTCTTGTCTGAATGAGAGGGGGCAAGAACCAATTAAATATTAGTTATTACAATTAATGGAACTACATTAACACCCGCAGAATTGTAAGGCTTATATAAACTTAGAAGACAGACTGAGATATCCATTTTTTAAATCTACCTCCCCCAGGCCCCCATCCTGCCAGTCCCACCTTGCAGAGAAAAAATATGAATGTTTCTTTCTAGACCACTGGTTCTCAACTAGGAGTGATTTTGTCTTCTTGGGGGACATTTGGCAATGTCTGGAGATATTTTTGCTCGTCACGATGAAGGGATGCTCCTGGCAGCTAGCAGATAGAAGCCAAGGATGCTGCTAAAATGCACAGGATAGCCCCACAAACCAAAGAATTATCTGGCCCAAAGTGTCAATAGTGTCCAGGTTGAGAAACCAGGTTTGAGATGCGTGAATCTCTTTGGTTTGGAAAATATTTTTATATATTAAAGACATTAATGTATTTTGTCTAGTATAGATGTCGTGAATTGTTTCCAGTTTGTTTGTTTTTTGCACTTAATTGTATTTTTAAACCTATGGAAATATAATTTTTATATATTCAAATCTATCAATGTTCAGTTATGTCAGAAAACATTATTTCTGTTTTTGATATGGTTTTTGCTATAGTCTAAAATTGTATAAATATTCAACTATTCTTTTGATGCTTTTATAGCTTTACCTTTTACTTTCAGCCATTCTGGAATTTATTTTATGGCAGGGTAGACTGTAGGAATCTCAATTTATTATTTTCTTCTTAAATAGCCAGTTGTTCCAACAATATATACTGGAAAGCCCTATCCTTTATCCGCTTTGCACTTTTTGAAAGAGCAAAATTATATTCTGAATCCAAATATCTAGTTAGAACTGTTTCTGGAATTTCTATTTTGCTCTTGGTCTATAATAGTCTGGTAACAGGTTCATTGTACCTTTAGGGATACAGATAATAATCGTGTGAAGGTCAAAGAACAATCATATTGAGATCTTGATTAGGAAGGTACTTTCTATGTTAATTTAGGGAGAATTGGCATTTTTACCATAGTGATTCTTTTTATCTAGGAACATTGTCTGTTTCTCTATTCTTTTATGCCTGTTAGTAGAGTTCAATAGTTTTTTTCAAATACATTCTATATATTTCCTTTAAATTTATTGCTAAATATTTTATATTTTGGCATATGTATTTTTTTCCCTCATATCTTGATAGCTTCTATTTTATAGAAAAATCTATTACTTTCTTAAAATATCATTTTGTAACTGGCTTCCTTAATTGTCACTGTTGTTAACAAGTTTTCAATGGATTTTTTGTTTATTTTCCAGGAATAATGTCAAATTACTACAATTTTTCCTTTTTCTTTCCTATTAGTGCTCAGGGGATCATCTTCAATCTTGGGAATTAGAAACTCTTTGAAATCTCGATGTAAGTAAAAAATTCAGAGGCTAGACTTGTCTGGTAATATCTTAAGAATGTATAATGAATTTAGGATGCCTGTTGTCATTATCTGCAATATTTCCCAAATATGGAAAATGCTACACTTCCAGATTACTTTCTAAAACTGAGGTATCATTTACACCTATCAAAATGCACAGATATTAATTATATAATTCTATGAGTTACATATATTCATGTGACCACCACAATGAAAAAAAATAGAACATTTCCATCATGCCAGAAAGTTCTTCCACAAATAGGCAACCACTGTTCTAATGTCTACCACTACAGATTAATTTTGCCTGTTTTACTATTTCATATAAATGGAATCATATGGTATGTCGTTTTTGGTTTTGGCTTACTTTTTAAATATACTGTTTCTGAGATTCGACCAGATTGTCTCACATATTAGTTCATTCCTTTTTATTGCCAAGTAGTGTTCTATTGTATAACTATATCAAATTTTTTAATTCATTCTTCTGTTGGTGAACATTTGGGTTGTTTACAAATTTTTTATTATTATAAATATAGCTGCAGTAAATATTTCTGGATAACTCTTTAGGATGCCTGTTGTCATTATTTGAAAATACGTTCAAAACGATGAGCATGTTTTCATTTCTCTTAGGAAAATATCTAAGGGTGGAAACCCTGGGCCATAGAGGAGGTATATGTTTAAATGTATTTTAAAACTCCAGTTGCCCACAGTCTTTGTGCCAAATTTTATAACTTTTAAATTCGATAAATTTGAAAGTTACAGAAAAGTTGCAAAAAATAGTGCAAAACATTCATGTACACCCTTTACTCGGATTCATCAATAGTTTACATTTTACTCTATTGCTTTTTCATTATATCTAACTTCCTATCTATTATCTATCTATCTAATATATACCCATATCTATATCTACATACTATTCTTTGAAACCATTAGTAAATTGGTTAAATTTTGGTAACTCTGAAGAACAATACTTTGCTAGAGAACATTTATTAAAACCAAGAAATTTAATAATGATATAACGTCATTTTCTAATACAAAGTCCACAGGGCGGTTTTATCAATTGTTTCAATAATGTCCTTTATAACTTTTTTATTTTCCACATCCAGGATCTTATCCAAGGTCACAAATTGCATTTACTTGCATGCGTCTTCTCTCAGCTGGAACATTTCCTCAATCTTTGTCTTTCATGGGTGGCATTTTCTTTTCTTCTTTTAAATTTCAATAGTTTTAAGAAAACAGATGGTTTTTGGTTACACAGATCAATCGTGTAGTGGTGAAGTCTAGGATTTTAGTGCACCCATAACTCAAGTAATGTACATTGCACTCGATAGGTAGTTTTTCATCCCTCACCCCACTCCCACCCTTCCTTCTTCTGAGTCTCCAATGTCCATTATACCACTCTGTATGCCTTTGTGCACTTATAGCTTAGCTTCCACTTATAAGCAAGAACATGTGGTATTTGGTTTTCTATTCCTGAGTTGCTTCACTTAGTATAATGGCCTTCTGTTTCATTCAAGTTGCTGCAGAAGACATTATTTCATTCTTTTTTATAGCTGTGTGGTATTCCACAGTATACATATACCACATTTTTTTTATCCACTCATCAGTTGATGGACACTTGGGTTGATTCCATATCTTTGCATTTGTGAATTGTTCTGCAATAAACATATACATGCAGGCATCTTTTTATATAATGAATTCTTTTCCTTTGGGTAGATACCTAGAAGCAGGATTGCTGGATTGAATGGTAGATCTACTTTTAGTTATTTGAGAAATCTCCATATTGTTTTCTATAGAGGTTGTACTAATTTACATTCCCACCAGCAATGTATAAGCATTCCTTTTCCACCACATCCACACAAGCATCAACTGTTTTTTGACATTTTATTAATGACCATTTTGGCTGGGGTAAGGTGGTATTTCATTATGGCTTTAATGTGCATTTCCCTGATGATGAGTGATGTTGAACATTTTTTCATGTTTGTTGGCCATTTGAATATCTTCTTTTGAGAAATGTCTGTTCATATCCTTTGCCCACTTTTTAATGGGATTAGTTTTTTCTTGCTTACCTGTTTGAGTTCCTTGTCAATTCTAGATATTAGTCCTTTGTCAGATGCATAATTTGCAAATATTTTCTCTCATTCTGTAGTTGTCTTTACTCTAATGATTATTTCTTTTGTTGTGCAGAAGCTTTTTAGTTTAATTAGATCCCATTTATTTATTTTTATTTTTGTTCATTTGCTTTTGGGATCTTAGTCATAAATTCTTTGCCTAGGCCAATGTCTAGGACAGTTTTTCCTAGGTTTTCTTCTAGAATTTTTATGATTTCAGGTCTTAAAGTCTTTAATCCATCTTAGGTTAAATTTTGAATAGGGTAAGAGATAGGGATCCAGTTTCATTCTTCTGCATGTGACTAGCCAGTTTTCCCAGCATCATTTATTGAATAGGGTGTCCTTTCCCTAATTTATGTTTTTGAATGCTTTGATGAGTGACCTTTTTTTTTTAAGAGCACAGATCAGTTATTTTATAAATATCTCTCCGTTTGGGTTTGTGTGATGTTTTATCATGATTGGATTCACATTATTTATTTTTGACAGGAATATTATGGAAGTTATGTTGTGTCCTCACTGGTATATCATACCAGGAGATACACACTGTCACTTGTCCCAATATTGATGTTAACTGATATCTTCCAGATTTCTCCACTATAAAGTTACTAATTTTCCCTTTGTGATAAATAAGAAATGTCTTTGTAAATATTCTGTTCATTATCATGTTTTCATCTATAACATTTTGCATCATTGATGATTTTCTGACATCATTCCTTCTATATTTATTAGTTCTTATTCTATATTCAATATATAGACACTTCCATCAGCCCAGGAAGCTCCTCCGTGTCTCTTCCCAGCCTGTCTCCCCTGCAGAGACAACTCTTCCTTTCATTGTTTTCACTGTAGCAGGTTATTCTCCATTTTTCTCTTTCTCTCTCCCTCTCCCTCTCTGTCTGTGTGTGTGTGTGTGTGTGTGTGTGTGTGTGTGTGTGTGTGTGTATATCTATATCTATCTATATATGCATACATATCTATATCTATATATATATGCATACATATATATATAATCATGGATTCTTATTTAATTGAATGAGTTAAAATACATTATTTTCATTCTTTGTTTTGATTCTCAAATTGCCAGACTTGGGAAGTAGGGACTCCTTCAAGCTAGTTGCTATGTCCTTTTTAAATATCCTCATAATACTTTGAGTAGTTCTTTGCTTTTTGTCACAATACCATATTTTAGGCTCATTATGAAATTTTCTTGCCCAGATCTGGAATCAGCCTTTTCTCAAACTAGCCCCTTATCACAGAGAATAATATTTAGAAACCAAAGTTTAGTGCTAGCTTGCCCATTGCTTCTCATATGTCATTGCTTCTAAGCCTTTTCAATGGACAGAGCTTAAGAATGTATACATACATATGCGTGTATGTTGTTGGTATGTATATATAAATATATTTCTATGTGTCTCTATTGAAAGCCATGAGCTCATACGGAAATAAATTGAAAAATTTGCCATATTTATAGATGTGAAATGATGGCAGTGGTGGGCCATCTGGAGTGGCCACTGCCATCATGCTGACTGCAGCAGGGAGGTGCAGCCAGGACTACACACTCCGTGGAGCTGGCAGGAGCCAGGGACAAGCAGGAGCCAGGGACAAGCAGGAGCCAGGGACAAGCATGATCCCTGCCCTTTCTGACTTGGGGTGGAAGCTCTCAGGGTGCTGCTGCAGCTGCCCAAGCCATGGCTGTGGACCTGGGCATCCTTGTGCTCTTGGGGCCTGGGAGCAGGCAGGAGCCCTACCCTCCCAGTCACAGCTGCAGCCACCCAAACTGTGGCTGTGGACCCAGGCATTCCTGCACTTTGGAGGCCCATGAAGGCCTCCCCTATCCTCACAGGCTTGCAAGTGCCTGCTTCCACTGCCTGGCTTCTTCCTGCTGTCAGTGCTTGCTCTGATCTTAGAGCAAAGGCTGGGCTGAGCCTGGGGGCTGTCACAGCCTGACCAGGTGTGTGCACGCTCAAGGCAGTGCTGACACACCAGTCCCCTGCTGCCTCACCCCCTCTGGACTTTGGGCACTGATGAGCATGGAAGGGAAGCCAAGGGGGGACTGAGGGCAACTCAGCCCTGGCCTGCAGACACCTCTTGGCATGAACAGCCTGGGCACCATGAACATCAGTGAGAGGCAAACAGGCTCCTGGGCAGAAGGGGGCAAGTCCCCAGAGAAGCCCCACCTTCAGGCCAGGGAGGGCCTGAAGGCTGGGGGCCAGGCTGCCAGTCCCGTGGACTGGAGTGGGAACTTGTGGTACCTTTTCTGGGCCCACTCATGGCCACCCATGGACCAACTGGCATGCACTTCCTCCCCTCTTAGGCCCATAAAAGCCCCAGGCTCAGCCAGAGCTGGGCAATGTCAGGATGACCTGCTGCAGAAAGGAGCTACCCACCTCAGGGCCTCCTCTCTGCTGAGAGCTGCAGAGATTATGGAATGACCTGCCTGCAGAGAGGAGCAACCCACTCCAGGACCCCCCGTCTGCTGAGAGCTGCAGACATGATGGGATTACCTGCCTACAGAAAACAGCAAACCACTCATGGGTCTCCTAGGAGCTGAACACTCGTTAGGACACCCTGGCTGTGGAAAGGAGCTGCCCCCTGCAGGAGACTTACCTATTCTCTTGCTCAATAAAGCTCCTCTTCATCCTGCTCACCCCACCACTTGTCTGCATACCTCATTCTTCCTAGTTGCAGGACAAGAACTCAAGACCCATCAAGTGGCAGGGCCAAAAAAGCTGTAACACCAACAGGGCTGAAACATGCCCCCTGCTTGCCACGTTGAAGGTGAAGAGAAGGAGGTAAGAGCTGTGGCCCTTTGGGGAGCCCATACCTGGGAGTTCCCTGTGCCAAGACCATGACTCCCTCTTTGGGGCCTTGCAGTTCCTGGCATCTCCAAGCTTCTGGATGCCACTGTGTTCCCCAGTGCCAGCTGTGGAAGCCGCTTGTGGTGCACCTGGTCTGGCCACAGCCTTGCAGAGAGCTGGTGCCTGTGCTGGCACCTGGAGCTGCCTGCCCTGGCACCTGGAGCTGCCTGCCCCACTGCAGCAGCCAGTATATCTGACTGTGGGCAGTGGCCGGACCCCATGCTCACTTGCACACCTCTCACCATTTCGTGCCTGACTTGCCCATGGCAGGCTCAGGACCCAGGTCGGTAGCATGAGCCAAGCACAGCCTGCGAGGCTGTGGGCAAAATGAACCCAGGGGGCCTGAGCAAAACTCAGGCAGAGGCACCACTGGCTGCAAAGTTTTTCAGCCAGAAAAATGACAACCAAAGATCCTGTAACACTAATATTGATATATATGTTCAATTTACTCCCAATCAAAATTCCTTAATACATTTAAAACAGCTGCTTCAAAATATTTTGTGAGCTGATTCCAACATCTGAATGATCTCAAGTCAACTTATGGTGACTGCTTTATTTTTTGATTATGAGTCTACGCTTCATTTTTTCTTTCCATATTTATATTAATACTGGACATTGTGGATGATACAGAGATTTTGATTTCTATATCTTCCTCCATAAAGTGTTGGTTATTTTTCTGGCAGGTAAACTACTGTCAAATCACTGTAACTTGAGGAGTTTTGGTGTTTCACCTTGCTGAACAGGTGTATGGAAAGCCCAAGTCGTTTGGTAAACCTCTCAACTTTTGACAGGCCACAAACTCCAAACTGGATCTCCTGTGGTAGGCAGTAGGTAAAGTTCCTGCACAGTTCTTTCAGCCCCCAGCTGTTGTTGGTGAGCCCCCTGAAGTCTCCCCTGTGCTTGTGCAATTTGGGATTGGCCAAGGATTAAAGGGTGTCTATAAGCTAATCTGGGGACTTCCTCTGAGGCTGTCTTCATTCTAGGATTCCCCTCTTTATATTTCAGCCACTCTGGCAGCACCAACTTCATCTCTTGACACCACATGCTAATAATACTGTTTGAGATGTCACATGAACTGGAAAGTACCTCAGGGGAAAAGTAATCTAAAAATGGTCTCATCGAGGGAGTGTGGTTCACTTATTTCAAGAGTTCAATCTTCTTGTTTCTTTCCACATTTTGTCACGCTCCAATATCTTCAAATAATTGGTTTTTAAGAAATATTATGTCCAGAGCTTGTAATTGTTATCTGTGGCAGTGTGTCCAGAGTCGGTTCCTTCCGGTGGGTTCTTGGTCTTGCTGACTTCGAGAATGAAGCTGCGGACCTTCGCAGTGAAATGTTACAGCTCTTAAAGGTGGCATGGACCCAGAGTGAGGAGCAGCAAGATTTATTGTCAAGAGTGAAAGAACAAAGCTTCCACAGCGTGGAAGGAGACCCAAGGGGGTTGTTGCTGCTCGCTGGGATGCCAGCTTTTATTCTCTTATTTGTCTCCACCATGTCCTGCTGATTGGTCCATTTTACAGAGCACTGATTGGTCCATTTTACAGAGCGCTGATTGGTCCATTTTACAGAGTGCTGATTGGTCCATTTTACAAACCTCTAGCTAGCCATAGAGCACTGATTGGTGCGTTTTTACAGAGCACTGACTGGCGTACTTTACAAACCTCTAGTTAGCCACAGAGCACTGATTGATGCATTTTACAATCCTAGCTACAGAGTGCTGATTGGTGCATTTTACAATCCTCTTGTAAGACAGAAAAGTTCTCTAAGTCCCCACCCGGCCCAGAAGTCTGGCTTCACCTCTCAGTGAGGAGGGGTATAGTTAGTCTAAAAAAGTTTTCTCACCATTATAAGAAGCAAAACTTGCCTCAAATTTTTTTGAACAATTATTGAAGAGAAACAAAAATATTCTCTCTTAATGAAGTGCAATGAATATTCTTCATCACTATCAAAACACAGATTACATGATAAACAACGTAAGAATTATCAAGTTAGCTTATAATACATGTGCTACTGATAACTTTACCCCTAGTTGAGACATTTTTGAACCCAGAGAACTCATTCAAATAATCTTGACTTCTCCATGTGAGATCTCAAGATTCTGTGACAAGAGAATTAAGAAAAAGTTTCCAGTTAAATCTAGGATCTCTCAGTATCATAGCACTATTGTTATTTCCAGACTATTGCAAAATAATAATGACGATAATGCATAGCCAGTGTTTAATATATTTCACAATGTAGAATCCTCTTTAAAATCATGTAATAAAATATAATTGGTTATCATGTATTATTCTAATTTAGTGTTTCAATGCAAGTAATTTTATCTATAGTTTGTGTATTTACTTTCATAAATTAAACGGGTCTGTGGTTCTTACCTTTGGGTTATCTTTGTCAGATTTCTCTATGACACTAGTGCTAGCTGCACAAAATGATGACGCTTACTTTCCTATTCTCTGCAAGAGTTTAGATATTAGAAAAATCATTCATTCTTTGAAGAGTTGAAACATTGCACCTATGAGACTGTCTGGCTGTTTTTTTTCCTAAGAGTTAGTTATATGATGGGTTTTTATTTTTATTTTTTTTGTGTGCTAAACACCTTATATGCTTTATTTCACCTAATTTTGTCAGTCTTTTTTTTTTTTATATACTTTAAGTTTTAGGGTACATGTGCACATTGTGCGGGTTAGTTACATATGTATACATGTGCCATGCTGGTGCGCTGCACCCACTAACTCGTCATCTAGCATTAGGTATATCTCCCAATGCTATCCCTCCCCCCTCCCCCCACCCCACCACAGTCCCCAGAGTGTGATATTCCCCTTCCTGTGTCCATGTGATCTCATTGTTCAATTCCCACCTATGAGTGAGAATATGCGGTGTTTGGTTTTTTGTTCTTGCGATAGTTTACTGAGAATGATGATTTCCAATTTCATTCATGTCCCTACAGAGGACATGAACGCATCATTTTTTATGGCTGCATAGTATTCCATGGTGTATATGTGCCACATTTTCTTAATCCAGTCTGTCATTGTTGGACATTTGGGTTGGTTCCAAGTCTTTGCTATTGTGAATAATGCCTCAATAAACATACGTGTGCATGTGTCTTTATAGCAGCATGATTTATAGTCCTTTGGGTATATACCCAGTAATGGGATGGCTGGGTCAAATGGTATTTCTAGTTCTAGATCCCTGAGGAATCGCCACACTGACTTCCACAATGGTTGAACTAGTTTACAGTCCCACCAACAGTGTAAAAGTGTTCCTATTTCTCCACTTCCTCTCCAGCACCTGTTGTTTCCTGACTTTTTAATGATTGCCATTCTAACTGGTGTGAGATGGTATCTCATTGTGGTTTTGATTTGCATTTCTCTGATGGCCAGTGATGATGAGCATTTTTTCATGTGTTTTTTGGCTGCATAAATGTCTTCTTTTGAGAAGTGTCTGTTCATGTCCTTCGCCCACTTTTTGATGGGGTTGTTTGTTTTTTTCTTGTAAATTTGTTTGAGTTCATTGTAGATTCTGGATATTAGCCCTTTGTCAGATGAGTAGGTTGCGAAAATTTTCTCCCATTCTGTAGGTTGCCTGTTCACTCTGATGGTAGTTTCTTTTGCTGTGCAGAAGCTCTTTAGTTTAATTAGATCCCATTTGTCAATTTTGTCTTTTGTTGCCATTGCTTTTGGTGTTTTGGACATGAAGTCCTTGCCCATGCCTATGTCCTGAATGGTAATGCCTAGGTTTTCTTCTAGGGTTTTTATGGATGGGTTTTTAAAATTTTCAAAGTCATTGGTCTATTCAGTTTTTTTTCTTGCTCATAAATAAATTTTAACTCATAACTCCCTTGAAAGTCATATGCTTCACCAAAATCATCAAGTCTATTAGCATAGATTTCCATATGGTAGTCTCTTATGATTTTGTAATCCCATTTGCATCTTGGGTTATAGCCACCTTCTTAAGGTGTATTTGTATTTAATTAAGGTTTTTATGTTAGAACTCAGAACTCAGAATGGTCGTGTTCTTCTGATTATTCTATTTTTTGGGGGGAGTTGATTCTTTTGTTTTGTTTTTCAAAGATCTAGCTCTTGTGTGTGTACACTCTAAATTAGTTGGTTTTCCAGTTTATTAAAGTCTATGTTGCTATTAATTCCTTGCTCCTTTCTTCAAGTATTGATTTAATTATGCATTCTCTGACTTCTTGTGTGGAGTACTGATTTCAATTATTTTAATTCCTTTTTATTTTACAATAAATACAGTTAGTGCTCTAAATTTTCCAATAAATTTGGCGTTGGTATGCTTTGTCTTAATTGTTCTGTTATTTCCGAGATGGCTTATTTGTACATTATAAATTCCATTAAATCATTATTGAAATGTTGTGGGTGACAACTATTAACATGAATAGATGCCAAAGATATTTTAAGTAAAAATATTAGGTTATAATCTAGCATCTACAAAATTATCCTATTTTTATTCATTTATTCATTAATTCAATAAGTATTTACAATTATCCAGTATGTGGTAAGCCTGTTAAAAATGCCTTTTTTGTGGGTAGATATACATACATATATATATATATGAAATGTATAGAGAGATTAATATATAAGAAAAATTATATTAAACATATTTACGTAAAGCTAAATAGAAAAGATACAGGGAAAAAAGCACTAACCCAGACATGGTTATGTGCACGTGGTAGAATTATTATTATTGTTTTCAATATTTTTTCATTTGGTTATTTCTATTTGCTAATTTTCTACAGTTAAAAGATATTGGATATTTAAATATTATTGTTGATTTTTTTAAATATGGTTCCTCTTTGACACAGTATTTATATTTCAAGGAATTTTGTCTGAGAAAATAATTCAGCATGTAGCAAAAATTTAGGAATAAAGCCACTTAATGCAAAGTTACAAGTAAATAAAAAATGCATAATTTCTGTCCAACAATAGACAATGGATAAAATGAATAGTGGGATGTCTATATATTGTATTATGTACTCATTATATTACAAAACATACTTATGTGCATTGATATATTTTCCTGACTACATACTCTTAAGTGAAGAAAGCTGTCAAAAAATATATAGAGAATGGTTATACTTAAAAATCAAACATATAATTAGGTACTCATAAAAATACCTGGAATTTATACAGTACAATTTTAGCTATTTATTTCTGAATTATAATATCATGGATTGCTTCTACTCATTTATTAATATTTTTGTTATTTTACAATAAACTTGCATTCCTTGTATTTTTTTAAAGAGTTGCAAAGGCTAAAGAAGTAGTGGCAAAAATTAGGGGGCTGCCAGTAACTGGCTTTTGAAAGAATGTTTCTCATTTAACCTCTATTTTATGAAATTAAATTTTTTTTTCTGGAAACTATAATAAAATTAAGATAAAATAGCAATAAATGAAATGGAGGGACTCCTTGGGATTTTTATTGCAAATTTCTATAATGAAGAGTGTGTGTATGTGTGAAATCTTTCTTACTAATGAATTAGGAAAATCTTAACATACAAGGCAAGCTAAACAAATATCAGCAAATGCAAACGAAACGCATCCTTATTTTATTCAGGACCAAATATCTAGAGTCTTGCTGCTATCTAATCCACAGATACAAACTTAATCAGTTTCTCATTAACCGTCACATCTTCATAAAGAGCTGAACTGTAGAACCACTGATAAGGAAACAACAGTAATTAGTCAATCTACATGCAGAGCTATCTTGATGAAAATTGTGGCTTTGATAAATTTATTATAGAATTATTGGGAGAGCATAGTGCTCTGAGCTTCCAAATTATTATTTTAGAAAGATATTTGGCAAATGCATCAAATAATTGTATCATTTGAAATAACATCTATCCAAACAAGCTGATATATAATCAAAAATATTTGAGCCAAAAAGTTCACTGAACTCTTTACAAAGGGGAAAAATTAGAAACAACCTACAAATCTCATCAATGGGATAAAAATTGCTTAAGTTGCCATATGTCTGCTCAAGCGATTACTAACTCACTTTTAAATGAGCTGTCATGCAGGGTTTATAATAAGAGGTAAATGCCAAACACATAAAGTTAATGGGAAAAATTGGGTACAAAATTTTATGTGTAATATGACTACAAACCAAAATATGCAAAAATAAAACTCTATAGAAATAAATTTGAAAGGCAGTATAACAACATACTAATTGGTTTCTGTCGGTTGCATGAATATAAAGGATTTCTCATTTTTTTTGGCATAATTTTGTCTTTTTTAAAAATTTCCATAATGAACATGTACCATTTTATAAAAGGAAAGATAAACAGTAAAATTTATGTTTTTAAAGATATTTCTGGGATGTTTAAAAGTTTTATTATGAGTTTCACAGAGCCACTGTCTTTGCATGAAACTGAGGTATTGCAGGAAACTGAATCTACCATTTTAATTTTATTTTCTGTTTTCTTATTGGCCAAAAGTGTTCTCCTGCTAACTTTCAGTTTTGGGGGTTGAGGTGAGATTTAAAGAAATAAGTAGTATCTTATATAATGATAAAAGTTAATGAATCTCTTCCACTTTGAACAGTGTGAGGGTGTGACCAAGGCCTTCAGAAGCAAGGCTCTCCATCCTCTGCTCTTCACACTCCCAGGCTCATTTCAGTGAAGGAGTTGCTTACAGGTCCCTTGTGTTCTATCTTACTTTTGGGTGGCTGCTTTCCCTAAATATGTCTCCTATGTTATGAGACAGAATAACACTATGGGGATGAGCTCAGCCCTGGGATAGGAAGCCTGGGATTCCAGCCCCAATTCGGTAACTTCCCAGCTCTGTGATTTTGATAGTTCTTTGATAATCCTTTCATAGGATAGTTGATATCCTAACTGCTAAAACAGATAATAATAACAATACCAGTACTCATTCACAGGGTCATTGTGGGGATTAAATGAGGTAATACATATCATATTAAATGTTCAATCAGTGTTAACTATTAATGTATCTCATTTGGGTAAGTCAGTAAGAGCCCTTTTAACTCCCAATTTTAGTTTGCATTTAAAAGCCACTGATACCTCTGAATAAAGGCTCCTTCTTTGGCCTCATGACCTTTATATTTTCATCTTGTTACTTGCTAGTTCTTATTGGCTCTGCTTATTTTGGAAACTCTACCAAATTTTGAAAAAAAAAAAACTGGCTTGCGGCCTTGAAATGATGAGTTTTGATATTTTATACTTGAAAAAGTTAACATTTATTTGCTCATAAAGTGATTATGCTTTTTAATGTATTTCCTCACTGGTAAAATGACAGAGGTAGTGGATATGGGTGCTTGGGTCTCTTCTATAACAGCAGTAAATGTTCGCAGAAATCGCCAGGAGATCCACGTGAAAAATGCAGCTTCTGCTTCCGTAGGGACAGGGTGACGCCTGAGGCGCTGCATTTCTAACAAGCTCCCAGGTAATGCCAGCGATGCTGGTCAGTGGACCACATTTTGAGTAGCAGGGATCTGTGATATTACCTTCAATTCACGTATTTAACTGGTCAACTATAATGATCCTCCCCATGGTATGAATATTACCTTAAGCAAGATACTTAACCACTCTCAGCTTCATTTTCCTAAAATGAAAAGTTAAGATAACACTCACCTTCTAAGAATGTTGAAAGGATTCCATGCATCAATAGATGGTGCATTTGAAATTTCTGGCAACAATATGAAGCATACTGTGGGTGTTAGTAAATGCTACTTGTCTTTCCTTCTCTATTAGAGACTGAGGTAGAGCCTGTCTTAGCCAATGACCTGCTAAACATCACCTTCATAATATTTGATGGTGTAGATCATTAGATATTTGAAATTAATGGAAGATCTATACAGGACATATTTGAATGATGGAGGACAAGATGATAACAGCTTACATTTGTTGAATAATCACTTTGAACCAGGTTTGTCTGATTCAAGTTCCCTTGGCTCGCTCTCTCTTTTTTTCTTTCTTTTTTCTTTTTCTTCTTCTTTTTTTTTTTTTTTTTTTTTGTCTTTTTCAAGTTTTTAAGATAACATCATTTGGAGAAGAAGCCATCTTCATGATCTTCATGTTTGGGCTCTACTTCAAAGTTATATCTCAGCCCTCAGAAGACATGATAATGACTCATAAGATTTCATCTTGAAACGGCTTTTTAAATCCATCCACAGTAAGAAAAAAATGTAGATGCAGGTGGTTTATAAATGCCCTTTTAGGCTTGATCAATTGTTTGTAGCTATGACCTTAACAGTCAAAAACAAAATCTGGAGGAAAAGAAAATGCCTCCAATAAAAAACGCTAATGCAGCCTCTTGAGCTTGTGGTGTCTGTGGAAAATAAGAAATGATTAACTTCCTTTTGTAAGTATAACATTACCCACTTCATAATGATGGTATAAGGATTAAATGAGATAATCCTAGCTTTTTTTGTTACTATAAAAATAAAGATAGTCTTTTTATGTAAATTAGCTAGGGTAGGACTTGTTTCTCTGTTAGGGTATGTTTGTTATAGTCTGTTTTAAAAGCACTGTGCATGAGCAGTGATACGATGGAATTAAAGAGAGATTTGCCTATGGGCTTTTCCCTTTATGTTACATAAGGAAAACTTGAATTTCACATTTCTAGCCACGTAGTGATGACTTTGGCATAAAGAGTTCACCAGGTAGAAGGTGGCCCCTTGTGCTAAGAGCCAGCATTCTCATGGAAAATTAAAAACAACTGTTTATTTTTAGCCATGAAAATGCAATCATTCTTGTGCTCAAATATGCTTTACATTACCTAAAAAAAAGTTTATTGGCACTGAGTCTGTTGTGTAACTGAGGAAACCATTGTGTGCTGTCAAAACACACTAATGTAAAAACCAATCCAGTGAGCAACAGAATGATGGACGAAACAGGTAACAGGGCTGAGGAAAACTCTTCCGGAGGTTGTAGAGGAAACTAAAGCAGGAGAAAAACTGCCTAGTGCCGAAAGGTTAGAATAAAGACGTTGTTTAGTCACTTGGGAAAAGGAATTCAAAGTCAGAAAAATGATTACATTAACAGTGAGTGCAATATTTGGCCTGTTTGGATGCAAATTTTTCTTTCCTATTTGAAATGGCGAAGTGTCTTTGAGATGTCATATGTTTGTTCTCTACAGTGCCTTTCTTGGGGGAAAGTCCTAAATTCCTAAACTTAGAGAGTGGAGGAAATGCTCAGGGTGATTCTTGGAGGGAGGGTGGAAGTAAGCATTTTGAAAGTAGGTTAACTATAACTAAACCTTGATTAAGGCATCAAAGGAAAACAGGTTGGAATTGACTAATCGTGGATCTCTTGATATCCAGAATTATTAACTTGATCTCCTGGATCGCTGGGCTCATGTTTGCAGCTCTCAAGGTTATCTTTTACTCTTAATACAAAAGCATTACCAGCAAACTTTATAATAATTAAGTTAAGATAATCAATACTAAGGCAACTCTGGACAGCTTAGGGGCAGGAAAGCCTTGGTATATAAGCCTGAAATGTTTTCCTCTTCCTGGTGTAAGGGTAGACGGTAATGACCTAGCTTATTTCCCTTGTGAACACCACTCTGCGAAACTAGCATCTCAGGACAAGCACTGCCCTCATGCAAACAGCTACCTCCAAGATGAGATGCTCCCGGAGGTCTCTCTGACCTTCTCCTTGTTTCTGTGAGAAGACTCCACCTTGTTTCTCTCCTTCCAGGAACCAGGTTGTTTTCTCATTCATCCTCAATATGTTTTATTAGCCATATGCGTTGCTGCCTCCAGGCAATGTACAGGCAATGCAGAGAAGAGGAAATCCAAAATCCCATTAGTGGACAGGGAAATGGAAGAAAATAAACCCAACGAAATTCGAAAGAACAAAATATAAGCTAGAAACTGTAATTAATGAAAAACATTTTCCCTCCCCAGAAATGAGTTAATCAGCAAAACCAAAACTTGTTCTTTGAAATGACTCATAAAACAGATAAACCCTAGGCAAATAGGATCAAGAAGGATAAGAAACAAATAACATTAAAAACCAAAAAATCCTGACACGTGGATAAGTATGATGTTTGAAAATTTCAAGAAGATATTAACACTATGAAAAACTTTATAATAATAAATTTGAAAATATAGTTGAAACAGACATTTTTCCCCTGGGAAATATAAAAGCAAAATTGGCCCAAATTCCCACACATGTAGAGCCTAGAATTAACCACTGTATTTATAATTCCAATTCTTCTCCTCTAGATCTTATCCTATCTTCTGCAAAACTCTACCAAACACTTTTCCTGGGTGGGTTCCTCCAGTTGTATCTACATTTTTCTCATTGTGCTATTGTTTGTATAAACAGGGCATGATTAAGGTGACTGGGGGAGGAGGGTGCCTGAGTGATTCAGTGGCATTTGGCCCCTCCATACCATTCCATCAAACTCCTCATCCACTCTTCAAGTTCCAGCAATGGGCACATTTCACAGTTTATCTCCCCATTGTCTGTTTCTCCCCAAGGTGTCAGTGATCGGTACATCGTCCCCTGAATTCTCAGAGTTCACAGATTTCAATTTCTTCTACATCTATTCACTAACACTAATATATTTTTTGCCTCTAAAATAAGGTCCTTTGCTGCAGATCAAGACTTCCAACTTGCCCTATACCTATATAGAAAAATGGCTGGAAGGATATAGAGAAAAATGCTAAAAGAAGGTACCATAGGAATATAGTTGTTTATTTTTACCTTTGTAGTTTTCTGTGCTTTTCAGATTTCTATCTTGAGTCCCTTTTGTAGAGGAGGCCACTCTTATGTTTGCTCTGCATCCAAATATACTGTTACTTTACTTTGAATTGAAATCAATCTCTTGATAGATAGATAGATAGATAGATGATAGAGAGATAGATAGATAGAGAGAGAGAGAGATAGATGATAGATAGAGATAGATACGTATGTAAAACATATACAAACATGTAGAGAGGTATGCAACTATACAAAGATCTATATTTTGTATGTGGGTTGATTTTATACCCAAATTTTTTTATCTATACTTCTTTTTTTGGAATTGTTATTTTTTGCAGTGAACAATATGTTTCACAGACCTTTCCACATTGGTACACGTAGGCTTATCTGCATCTTTTGCAAGTACTACATAGTCCAGATTTACCATGGTGCTCTTATCCCAGTTTTGATGTTCATTTCCAATTTTGCCTGTAACTAACACTGCTGCAGTTAACATGCTTGTACTTTCATACAGGGCACATGCAAGTGCATCCTTAAGGTAGAAACAGAAATGAATTGCTGAGTCAGAGGAGACATTATTTTTCACTCTAATAGACACTGCCAAAATTGTACTGTAAATAGCTGCAAAAATTTATACTTACAAAAACAGTGTATATTTATCACAGCACAATTCACAATTGCAAAGATATGGAATCAACCTAAGTGCCCATCAACCAATGAGTGGATAAAGAAAATACAGAATATACGTATACCATGGAATACTACTAAGCTGTAAAAAAGAGTATTCATTTCTTTACAACATCATCAATATTTGATATGATAAAAGTTTGTTACTCTGATGAGTGAAAATTACATTTCTTTTTTTCTAACTTACATTCCTTTGTTATTGGTGAAGTTGAATATCTTTTTACCTATTTATTAGTCATTTGTATTTCATTTTGTACAAATAGGACTACTTGTTCATGACTGTCATGACTGTTTTCATGAGAATAATGTCTTTTTTTTTGTGAGATGGAGTCTCACTCTGTCGCACAGGCTGGAGTGCAGTGGGTGATCTCGGCTCTCTGCAGCCTCCATCTCCCGGGTTCAAGAGGTTCTCCTGCTTCAGCCTCCCGAGTGGCTGGGATTACAGGCACATGCCACCAAGCCTGGCTAATTTTTGTATTTTTAGTAGAGATGAGGTTTCACCATGTTGGCCAGGCTGGTCTGGAACTCCTGACCTCAGGTGTTCCTGAGGCCCGCCTCTGCCTCCCAAAGTGCTGGGGTTACAGGCGTGAGCCACCCCGCCCAGCCAATATGTTTCATTTTGAAACAAGTATCATAATATGTTCCAAATATTATTTTTGCTTTACTGAAGTTCACCCTTTCATAATCCATTCAGGGAGGACTTGTAGATGGTTAACTTTCTAAATCTGTGCATGTCTGAAGTGTTATTTGGACCCTATACATGTGGGATGTACTTCCAGTACAACTTTTTTGGGTACAGGGTCTTCTCATTTCTCCTAGAGTTACCAACTGGGTGGTGAATATGGTGAAACACAGGAGACAGACAACGTATCCTGCTCTTCTGTGGTGCGGGCTCCCTGATGATTGCCCTGGACTAGTCCCCTCACTGCTCCTCTGATATCTGCACCCAGGCTTGCAGCATCTCTAGAGCCATTCCCAGCTTTCTCAACAGCTGCTCCCTGCTAAGCCTAAGTTTCCTTCTCCAATCCGATCCCATGTGCCTTCCCCCTTTCAGGAATCCTTACATTTTCTTAACCACTAAGGAAGCCTTGTCTTATTTTCCAGCATAGGGATGGATGGTTTATTTTGTTTGTATCTACTTGTGCTGTTATTATGGGGAATACTGAATGTTCAGCATGCGTTTATTCTGACAGCCATTTTGAATTGCAAGTCCTTTGTGATTTCAAAATGTCAGTAAAGGAAAGCACAAGCAAACACATAAATCATAAATATTTTATCCCTTAAAAACAAAGTGATTTTATCATATATATATATATATATATATATATATATATATATATATATATATGTGTGTGTGTGTGTGTGTGTGTATATTTATCCAGCCACAGCGTTGTGCTCAGTGCTGAGACTGAGGAGTAAATCTGACCTTCTCATTCTATGGAAGTGCACAGCCTAAGTAAGGACAGAAAGAAACATGAACCAATTAAACATACTTAAAATATATTACATCATGACTATCACCCAGAAAAACATTCTGCCAAAAACTCTTGTCTAATTGGTAATTATAATCATCGGGTATCTTCCATAATAATAACCGAAGTTATACATTATAATGAGCAAATTCATATTCATCATTCCATTTTTTCTGCAAAACAACCCTGTAAGGTGAGAGCTATTTTTATCCCACTTTGCATATGGGAACTATTTTAAAACTCTAAGCACACAGTATTTATCCCTCCCTGTGTACAATAAGTCACAAGAAAAGCAAAATCGGTTGACCTTTTGCAGTGGCCATTCTCCCCAGGGGAGTTTGAGGTCCTGAGTAACCCTGGGGAAACCAACCAGGCTTGGACCCTCTTCCCAAATCTACTGATAAAAGTTAAGGCCTGCATTTTGCTAATTATATCATTGCTGTCTTAAATATTTAATATGCATTCATCATTGAATCCTCACAAGACTAATGAAGGAGGCACTAATATGACCCCCGCCACACACAGCATTTTCCCGAGGCTCAAAATAGTAAGCATCTAACCAAAGGTAACAAAGCTAGAAGTGGAGGGATTTGAACCTAAGTAGTCAGGGTTTATAGTTCACACTCAAAACCATGGGTAGGCAAACTATGGTTGTTTTTGTACAGCCACAAGCTAAGAGTGGCTTTTACATTTTTACAGACTTGTAAAAACAAACAAAAACCAAAGGATAATATGTGATCGAGACTATCTATGGCCCACAAAACCTAAAATACTTACTACTTGGCCATTTACAGAACAAAAGTACTGATCCCTGCTTTAAACCACTAACCTACACAGACTTTCAAATAAGTGCTGGGCTAACTTCTGATAACCTTCTGTCTGAAGCACATCCTCAGAGACACGTTTGATTCTGATAGGAGTGACAGGAGGTGATGGACATTTTTGCATTAAAATCCTAGTAAGTGATAAATGTGTGCATAGATCATTCTTTTGACTCTACACTTTATCTATGTCTTTGAGTTTTAGGTTCAAAGAACTGTTTTTATTTGCTTGTCACTATTATGAATGCTTGGACCTGTTTGATTTTCAGGTAGCATCTCCACTCCTAGAAATATCTCAAGGTTTTGTTCTAAATAAAAGTGCAGAGTAGAGGTGGTTTAATAATCATCACTTCTTGTCACATAAAGGCTGTGACTCCAGAGTTTGTTGCAGAAGAAGTGTTGTGAAAGAAATAATTAATATGATGGGTTTCGAATGCTGTGCTCCTTGAGAAGGTCGCTCACTCTCTGAGCTGGTCTATTCATCTGAGTAATGGGTCGCTGAGGGGCAAGGCCAAGGAGAAGGAAAGGAACTCCTCTGCATGTCACTCTCTGACTCCTTAGTCCTTCCTCTCCTTTTTTTCTGAAATGAGGTCCATTTCCAAAGCTCTGCAACCTGGGGCCTGTGGAAACTTAAGATCACTTGTGAGTTCCTAGATACTACATGCAGAATTTGGCATCTATGAGCATGTAGAAGTGGATAATTTTTGACAGTCTTCAATATATTCTTGTTTATATAATATTCTTAAGTATATTCCTAAAAATAATTAAGAACCATAAGCTGTGCTAGGGAAGTGGGCTCATGGCCTTATGTTAGTCTACTTGAATAAAAAGACAGTCAATGAGGTCAGTTTTCAGGTTTGGGTATTTTGATTACCTTTCCCCTTAGTTGTTTTAAATGAGCAAAGGAGTAATGGGGTTTTCCACCACATAACAGAATATCTATGAGTCATCAGTGTCCTGAGAAGCTAAACGTCCTACTAAGGATCCTGCAAAGGGAAAACAGAAGAGGAACTTGCACTTTTTGAGAACTTGCTGTGTGCCATAAGCCTAAGTCCCTATGTGGGAAGGATTCTACCCACACATGACAGAGGAGGAGACTGAAGCATGGTATGTTTAAATAAATTCTTCTGTATTGGAATGCTGATCTTTCTGCCTCCAAACCCACAACTTAAAAAAAAAAAAAAAAAAAAAAAAGGTCAGGTGCAGTGGCTCATGCCTGTAAACTCTGCACTTTGGGAGGTGGAGACAGATGGATCACTTGAGGTCAAGAGTTCAAGAACAGCCTGGGCAACATGGTGAAACGCCCATCTCTACCAAAAAATACAAAAAAAATTAGCCAGGCATGAGAGAATCGTGAGAACCCGGGAGGCAGAGGTTTCAGTGAGCCAAGATTGTGCCACTGTGCTTCAACCTGGGCAACAGAATGAGAGACCCTGTCTCGAAATAAAATAAATAAATAAAATAAAAAATAAAGTATTTAATTTTCTCAGATTATACATTTATTGTAAAATAAACAGAAATCACTCTACTATCATCATAGCGTTTCCTTCCTTTCTCTAAATATATTGCCACAGCATGTATCCTTCCAGTATATACATATATACACATATATACACACACACAGTATGTATACATATATACATTTCCAAAGTTGTGATTATAATATATGTGCCATTTTCTATTCTCCTTTATTTCGCTTAATATAACATGAATATTTAACACTTATGAACATCTTTTACTGATTGATTATGTTATATTCTGAACAAAAATCTAGCATCATGTACTAACCCATTCAATTACCATTGCAGATGAAAGTTGTTTGCCTAATTTTAATAAGGCTTATTATTTTAACAACCCTTATTATGTTTAAGCATAAAGGTGGTAGGATTCTTTTTACATGCTAGAGTCCTAGAAATAGACATAGGGAATGGACCTTTGTAAGGATTTTTTTTATATTTGTTAAAATAGTGCAGAAAAGTTAAGTTCATCTACCCTCTCATTCATAGGAGTTGGCCTGTTTCATCTGTTTCATGCATGTTTGTTAGTATTGCAGACCAGCAAATTTGTAAATTTCGTTAATTTGATTTTCTTAGAAAAAGAAATGGCGTTTTGCTGGAGAAAGCAGCATAGCGGAATGTAAAGCGGTAAAGCGTGTATGCTCTGGAGCCACAGACCTAGATGGTGAAGTCTAGCTCTGGTACTTGACAGGTATGTGGTCTTTAGACAAATCATTTAACCTTTCTCCAGGCCTCAGTTTCCTCACCTTTGGAATTGAAAATATGACGCCTGCTTAAGAGGGGTATTTTGAAAATTTCAGCTAACATATGTAAGAGGGTATTCAGTAAGAATAGATAATGCAATTTCAGTTGACTTTTTTTTTTTTATTATACTTTAAGTTTTAGGGTACATGTGCACATTGTGCAGGTTAGTTACATATGTGTACATGTGCACATTGTGCAGGTTAGTTACATATGTATACATGTGCCATGCTGGTGTGCTGCACCCACTAACTCGTCATCTACCATTAGGTATATCTCCCAATGCTATCCCTCCCCCCTCCCCCACCCCACCACAGTCCCCAGAGTGTGATATTCCCCCTCCTGTGACCATGTGATCTCATTGTTCAGTTCCCACCTATGAGTGAGAATATGCAGTGTTTGGTTTTTTGTTCTTGCGATAGTTTACTGAGAATGATGATTTCCAATTTCATTCATGTCCCTACAGAGGACATGAACGCATCATTTTTTATGGCTGCATAGTATTCCATGGTGTATATGTGCCACATTTTCTTAATCCAGTCTGTCATTGTTGGACATTTGGGTTGGTTCCAAGTCTTTGCTATTGTGAATAATGCCGCAATAAACATACGTGTGCATGTGTCTTTATAGCAGCATGATTTATAGTCCTTTGGGTATATACCCAGTAATGGGATGGCTGGGTCAAATGGTATTTCTAGTTCTAGATCCCTGAGGAATCGCCACACTGACTTCCACAATGGTTGAACTAGTTTACAGTCCCACCAACAGTGTAAAAGCGTTCCTATTTCTCCACATCCTCTCCAGCACCTGTTGTTTCCTGACTTTTTAATGATTGCCATTCTAACTGGTGTGAGATGGTATCTCATTGTGGTTTTGATTTGCATTTCTCTGATGGCCAGTGATGATGAGCATTTTTTCATGTGTTTTTTGGCTGCATAAATATCTTCTTTTGAGAAGTGTCTGTTCATGTCCTTCGCCCACTTTTTGATGGGGTTGTTTGTTTTTTTCTTGTAAATTTGTTTGAGTTCATTGTAGATTCTGGATATTAGCCCTTTGTCAGATGAGTAGGTTGTGAAAATTTTCTCCCATTCTGTAGGTTGCCTGTTCACTCTGATGATAGTTTCTTTTGCTGTGCAGAAGCTCTTTAGTTTAATTAGATCCCATTTGTCAATTTTGTCTTTTGTTGCCATTGCTTTTGGTGTTTTGGACATGAAGTCCTTGCCCATGCCTATGTCCTGAATGGTACTGCCTAGGTTTTCTTCTAGGGTTTTTATGGTTTTAGGTCTAACGTTTAAGTCTTTAATCCATCTTGAATTGATTTTTGTATAAGGTGTAAGGAAGGGATCCAGTTTCAGCTTTCTACATATGGCTAGCCAGTTTTCCCAGCACCATTTATTAAATAGGGAATCCTTTCCCCATTGCTTATTTTTCTCAGGTTTTTCAAAGATCAGATAGTTGTACATATGCGGCGTTATTTCTGAGGGCTCTGTTCTGTTCCATTGATCTATATCTCTGTTTTGGTACCACTACCATGCTGTTTTGGTTACTGTAGCCTTGTAGTATAGTTTGAAGTCAGGTAGTGTGATGCCTCCAGCTTTGTTCTTTTGGCTTAGGATTGACTTGGCGATGCGGGCTCTTTTTTGGTTCCATATGAACTTTAAAGTAGTTTTTTCCAATTCTGTGAAGAAAGTCATTGGTAGCTTGATGGGGATGGCATTGAATCTGTAAATTACCTTGGGCAGTATGGCCATTTTCACGATATTGATTCTTCCTACCCATGAGCATGGAATGTTCTTCCATTTGTTTGTATCCTCTTTTATTTCCTTGAGCAGTGGTTTGTAGTTCTCCTTGAAGAGGTCCTTCCCATCCCTTGTAAGTTGGATTCCTAGGTATTTTATTCTCTTTGAAGCAATTGTGAATGGGAGTTCACTCATGATTTGGTTCTCTGTTTGTCTGTTGTTGGTGTATAAGAATGCTTGTGATTTTTGCACATTGATTTTGTATCCTGAGACTTTGCTGAAGTTGCTTATCAGCTTAAGGAGATTTTGGGCTGAGACAATGGGGTTTTCTAGATATACATCATGTTGTCTGCAAACAGGGACAATTTGACTTCCTCTTTTCCTAATTGAATACCCTTTATTTCCTTCTCCTGCCTGATTGCCCTGGCCAGAACTTCCAACACTATGTTGAATAGGAGTGGTGAGAGAGGGCATCCCTGTCTTGTGCCAGTTTTCAAAGGGAATGCTTCCAGTTTTTGCCCATTCAGTATGATATTGGCTGTGAGTTTGTCATAGATAGCTCTTATTATTTTGAAATACGTCCCATCAATACCTAATTTATTGAGAGTTTTTAGCATGAAGGGTTGTTGAATTTTGTCAAAGGCTTTTTCTGCATCTATTGAGATAATCATGTGGTTTTTGTCTTTGGCTCTGTTTATATGCTGGATTACATTTATTGATTTGCATATATTGAACCAGCCTTGCATCCCAGGGATGAAGCCCACTTGATCATGGTGGATAAGCTTTTTGATGTGCTGCTGGATTCGGTTTGCCCGTATTTTATTGAGGATTTTTGCATCAATGTTCATCAAGGATATTGGTCTAAAATTCTCTTTTTTTCTTGTGTCCCTGCCTGGCTTTGGTATCAGAATGATGCTGGCCTCATAAAATGAGTTAGGGAGGATTCCCTCTTTTTCTATTGATTGGCATAGTTTCAGAAGGAATGGTACCAGTTCCTCCTTGTACCTCTGGTAGAATTCGGCTGTGAATCCATCTGGTCCTGGACTCTTTTTGGTTGGTAAGCTATTGATTATTGCCACAATTTCAGCTCCTGTTATTGGTCTCTTCAGAGATTCAACTTCTTCCTGGTTTAGTCTTGGGAGGGTGTATGTGTCCAGGAATTTATCAATTTCTTCTAGATTTTCGAGTTTATTTGCGTAGAGGTGTTTGTAGTATTCTCTGATGGTAGTTTGCATTTCTGTGGGTTCGGTGGTGATATCCCCTTTATCCTTTTTTATTGTGTCTATTTGATTCTTCTCTCTTTTTTTCTTTATTAGTCTTGCTAGCGGTCTATCAATTTTGTTGATCCTTTCAAAAAACCAGCTCCTGGATTCATTGATTTTTTGAAGGGTTTTTTGTGTCTCTATTTCCTTCAGTTCTGCTCTGATTTTAGTTATTTCTTGCCTTCTGCTAGCTTTTGAATGTGTTTGCTCTTGCTTTTCTAGTTCTTTTAATTGTGATGTTAGGGTGTCAATTTTGGATCTTTCCTGCTTTCTCTTGTGGGCATTTAGTGCTATAAATTTCCCTCTACACACTGCTTTGAATGCATCCCAGAGATTCTGGTATGTTGTGTCTTTGTTCTCGTTGGTTTCAAAGAACATCTTTATTTCTGCCTTCATTTCGTTATGTACCCCGTAGTCATTCAGGAGCAGGTTGTTCAGTTTTCATGTAGTTGAGCGGTTTTGAGTGAGATTCTTAATTCTGAGTTCTAGTTTGATTGCACTGTGGTCTGAGAGATTGTTATAATTTCTGTTCTTTTACATCTGCTGAGGAGAGCTTTACTTCCCAGTATGTGGTCAATTTTGGAATAGGTGTGGTGTGGTGCTGAAAAAAAATGTATATTCTGTTGATTTGGGGTGGAGAGTTCTGTAGATGTCTATTAGGTCCGCTTGGTGCAGAGCTGAGTTCAAGTCCTGGGTATCCTTGTTGACTTTCTGTCTCATTGATCTGTCTAATGTTGACAGTGGGGTGTTAAAGTCTCCCATTATTAATGTGTGGGAGTCTAAGTCTCTTTGCAGGTCACTCAGGACTTGCTTTATGAATCTGGGTGCTCCTGTATTGGGTGCATATATATTTAGGATAGTTAGCTCTTCTTGTTGAATTGATCCCTTTACCATTATGTAATGGCCTTCTTTGTCTCTTTTGATCTTTGTTGGTTTAAAGTCTGTTTTATCAGAGACTAGGATTGCAACCCCTGCCTTTTTTTGTTTTCCATTGGCTTGGTAGATCTTCCTCCATCCTTTTATTTTGAGCCTATGTGTGTCTCTGCAAGTGAGATGGGTTTCCTGAATACAGCACACTGATGGGTCTTGACTCTTTATCCAATTTGCCAGTCTGTGTCTTTTAATTGGAGCATTTAGTCCATTTACATTTAAAGTTAATATTGTTATGTGTGAATTTGATCCTGTCATTATGATGTTAGCTGGTGATTTTGCTCGTTAGTTGATGCAGTTTCTTCCTAGTCTCGATGGTCTTTACATTTTGGCATGATTTTGCAGCGGCTGGTACTGGTTGTTCCTTTCCATGTTTAGTGCTTCCTTCAGGAGCTCTTGTAAGGCAGGCCTGGTGGTGACAAAATCTCTCAGCATTTGCTTGTCTGTAAAGGATTTTATTTCTCCTTCACTTATGAAGCTTAGTTTGGCTGGATGTGAAATTCTGGGTTGACAATTCTTTTCTTTAAGAATGTTGAATATTGGCCCCCACTCTCTTCTGGCTTGTGGGGTTTCTGCCGAGAGATCCGCTGTTAGTCTGATGGGCTTCCCTTTGAGGGTAACCCGACCTTTCTCTCTGGCTGCCCTTAACATTTTTTCCTTCATTTCAACTTTGGTGAATCTGACAATTATGTGTCTTGGAGTTGCTCTTCTCGAGGAGTATCTCTGTGGCGTTCTCTGTATTTCCTGAATCTGAACGTTGGCCTGCCTTGCTAGATTGGGGAAGTTTTCCTGGATAATATCCTGCAGAGTGTTTTCCAACTTGGTTCCATTCTCCCCATCACTTTCAGGTACACCAATCAGATGTAGATTTGGTCTTTTCACATAGTCCCATATTTCTTGGAGGCTTTGCTCATTTCTTTTTATTCTTTTTTCTCTAAACTTCCCTTCTCTCTTCATTTCATTCATTTCACCTTCCATTGCTGATACCCTTTCTTCCAGTTGATTGCATCGGCTCCTGAGGCTTCTGCATTCTTCACGTAGTTCTCGAGCCTTGGTTTTCAGCTCCATCAGCTCCTTTAAGCACTTCTCTGTATTGGTTATTCTAGTTATACATTCTTCTAAATTTTTTTCAAAGTTTTCAACTTCTTTGCCTTTGCTTTGAATGTCCTCCCGTAGCTCAGAGTAATTTGATCGTCTGAAGCCTTCTTCTCTCAGCTCGTCAAAGTCATTCTCCATCCAGCTTTGTTCCGTTGCTGGTGAGGAACTGCGTTCCTTTGGAGGAGGAGAGGTGCTCTGCGTTTTAGAGTTTCCCGTTTTTCTGTTCTGTTTTTTCCCCATCTTTGTGGTTTTATCTACTTTTGGTCTTTGATGATGGTGATGTACAGATGGGTTTTTGGTGTGGATGTCCTTTCTGTTTGTTAGTTTTCCTTCTAACAGACAGGACCCTCAGCTGCAGGTCTGTTGGAATACCCTGCCGTGTGAGATGTCAGTGTGCCCCTGCTGGGGGGTGCCTCCCAGTTAGGCTGCTCAGGGGTTGGGGTCAGGGACCCACTTGAGGAGGCAGTCTGCCTGTTCTCAGATCTCCAGCTGCGTGCTGGGAGAACCACTGCTCTCTTCAAAGCTGTCAGACAGGGACATTTAAGTCTGCAGAGGTTACTGCTGTCCTCTTGTTTGTCTGTGCCCTGCCCCCAGAGGTGGAGCCTACAGAGGCAGGCAGGCCTCCTTGAGCTGTGGTGGGCTCCACCCAGTGAGCTTCCCAGCTGCTTTGTTTACCTAAGCAAGCCTGGGCAATGGCGGGTGCCCCTCCCCCAGCCTCGCTGCTGCCTTGCAGTTTGATCTCAGACTGCTGTGCTAGCAATCAGCGAGATTCCGTGGGCGTAGGACCCTCCGAGCCAGGTGTGGGATATAATCTCGTGGTGCGCCGGTTTTTAAGCCGGTCCGAAAAGCGCAATATTTGGGTGGGAGTGACCCAATTTTCCAGGTGCGTCCGTCACCCCTTTCTTTGACTCGGAAAGGGAACTCCCTGACCCCTTGCGCTTCCCAAGTGAGGCAATGCCTCGCCCTGCTTTGGCTCGCGCACGGTGTGCGCACCCACTGACCTGCGCCCACTGTCTGGCACTCCCTAGTGAGATGAACCCGGTACCTCAGATGGAAATGCAGAAATCACCCGTCTTCTGCGTCACTCACGCTGGGAGCTGTAGACCGGAGCTGTTCCTATTTGGCCATCTTGGCTCCTCTCTCTCAGTTGACTTTTTAATTTCCACCATTTGATTGTTCATTTGTGTCCACTCCATTTTGAATTATTTGTTCATATCCGTAGCCCCCCTCCTTGTCAGCAGGTTCTCCGTGTTGAATTTATCAACTTCTTATTTAAAATGTTGGGAATATTGCCTCTACAGGTCATTTCCATCACATCAGATCAGGAGGCCCATAGGTAAAGGTGCTGATCTCCCAGGTAGCTGTTCCTGGAAGATGTACAGCTACAAGGCACTGAAGCCAGAGTCAGGCTATTCCAGAGTGGCATGGGCAGCCTAGGGCAGTGAAGAGGCCATGCTAGGCATAGAGTTCAGTTGAGTCCGAGGCACACGATGAACTATTGGGGTGTAGGAAGAAAATATTAGAACCCTAATTTATATTTACTTTTTAATCTAAGAAAATAAAATAAAATAAACTAAGCTAGATAACATTTAAATACAGACCTGGCACCCTGAGTTGGCCTATGTTGGGCAGCCCTGAGTGTGAATTGTGAAGAACCCTTACAGGGGAGTTGAAATTCCACTGTGGAGAAGGGCTGAGCCAGTGCCCTTGCGTATCTGTGGGCATTCAGCATGCACTTTATGTGTGCCACTGCTAAGTAAGTTTATGGATTATAGTATCTTAAGTAGTGCATATACACACATATGCACAGATTAAAGCTAAGATTATTTATTATAAACTTAGCACCATTATATTTTGTATAGGATTATCCAAATGTATATGCATATGCATAATATTATGTAAAGGATTATATATGTCTATATAGATAAATATGCGTACATAAAGTATTAAGGATATTTAGATGTATAAAATTATGTTCAAAATTTTTGTAAAAGGCATAAGTACATATGCAATTCTGATTACAATAGGATAATAAATCTGTATAGAGTTATGTTTTTCTGTGTATATATATGATATCATGTGTTTATATAAGTACTCACAAAACATATGTGTCTATATAGATAGATGTTTTGCATATGTGATTAACGGATGTTTTCTAAGAAAATGTTTATGGATATGATTAAGTATATGTATATACAAAGGCTTGAATATGCTTGCGTTATGTGTATCCCATGTGTTTTGTAACCACAAAAAGGTTACTTGATTGCCTTGCAGCAATATATTTGAAGAGTTTTCAAAATGAAAGATGCATACACATTTTTATTTTTAAGCATATAAATATTGCACATTTGCTAACATTTTCTTTGGTAAGAAGTGACTCCCAGACCATCTCCCAGTAGATATTATAAACACAACCCCCCACACACACATACACACACACATCATTGATCCACTCCTTCAAAGTGAAAATAAAATTTTAACAGCAAATGAGAAGGTAACACTCAGATGTGCAAAATTTAAAAACCATGGAAATGAAATTTTTTAAGTAAGTTTAAATAATAAACAAAATGTTTGACTGGGCTTTGAAATCTTTTGTTAAAAATATAAAAACAAACCATCATGTGACTAGCTTGCAAGAGCAACTGATTACCATCAGGAAACGTGGAAATGTACCACCAGGAAAGCCAAATTTAATGAAATATATTGAAATATATATTGAATTTAATGAAGTATAATTGGTGAATGGTATTAAAAAGGAGTAACCTAATTTGGCAAATTTAGCCAAAATACACCATTTCCTTTGTGATCTATGAATCTCGTGAAATGGCTTTTCAGTTCTGAGAGGCATTACGAAGAGAATCAAAATAAAATCAACTTAGAGCCATGACTTTAAATAACTGTATCAAAAAAAATTAATGCATACTTTAAAAAATAATACATCTTTTCATAAAACATTACTAAAATTTAATAATGTGATGGATAATATTTAGTGAGAGTAAAATAAGTTGAACAATTTAAAAAATTTTTTAAAACTAATTTCTTTTTCATCCTTTAAAAATTTGCTATTTAATGTATAATTGACACTTATTAGTAATGTATATAATTTATAAACGTATACTTAGATATAAAATTATATGCACATACAATCCCAATGTGTACATATGTAATAGTGTGTTTAATACATATATGTGTGTGTATATATACATATATGTACATACACGTGTGTGCTGTACACTTAAATATTTGCAATGCTTGGGGGACAAGATCAAAAATATGTTTGGAAACCACTGTTTTAAGTAGAGTAAGTTCAGAAGAGTCTTTTCCCAAGTACATATTGATAACTTACTCCACACATAGCTCAGGTACATGAGCCTTTATACACCATTGTACAGTCTAGAGAAGTAATAGCAATGTACTCCTGGAGTCCCACAGCAAAGTAAAGGGAAGACCAAACTCTGTGCACTTCCTCTCACCCTTATCCAGGCCTTGATAAGTCAAGGCAGTGACTTGATTTTCAGCCTGAGTTTTTAGCAAGCTGCAGACTTTAAAAGGTTCAACGATTATTGATATGAAAATAAAAACTGAATTAAAAACAGTGTTGGGCTGGTAAATGTTTTACAGCTGCTCTCAAGACAAAAGCCCTGATTTAGCATTTACCTATTTCTGTGGTGTAAATACTTCCACCATGGTCAATTTCAAGCTACCAAGATGTTGCTGAATGCTGAGGTTGGAAGAGAGGCACGCAATCCATTGAGTGGGACCTTTCAACTGGGCCTTCAGCCATCCCTGCCAGTGTTCACCAGCCGACAGAGATTTGAATTCTCCCTGGGACAGAGAACAGGGAAGGGCAGGCCACCATCTTTGCTGTTTGGGTGACTCAGCCACTCCAGTCTGTGGGCTTTGGAGAGCCCAAGCCAACGAGGACAGAAGCAGTACCCCAGCACAGCACAGTTGCTCCATGAAAGCATGGCCAGACTGCTTCTTTAAACAAGTCCCTGATCCCGTTCCTTTTCACTGGGCAGAATCTCACAACTGGGGCCTCCAGCCACACATACCGATGTTCTCTGGCTGACAGAGATTTGAAAACTTCCTGGGACAGAGCTCCCAGAGGGAGAGGTGGGCTGCCATCTTTGCTGTTTGGGCAACTTAGCTGTTCCAGCCTCCAGGCTTTGGAGAGCACAAGACAATCAAGGGTGGAAATGGTACCCCAACCCAGCACAGCTGATCTATGAAAGCATGGCCAGAGTGCTTCTTTAAGTGGGTCTCCAATCCTGTTCCTCCTGACAGAGTGAGGCCTCCCAACTGGGGTCTCCAACCATCTCTTACAGGTGTGTTCAGGCCAGGAACAGGTCCTGAGTAGAGCTCCCAGAGGAAGGAGCAGGCTGCCATCTTTGCTGTTTTGCAGTCTTCACTGGTGATACCTCCAGCTACTAGAAAATCTGAGGCGACTAGGGACTGGAGTGGACCACCAGCAAAGCAAAAGACCCCTATAGAAAAGTGGCCAGACAATTTTTTTTTTTGAGTTGGAGTTTCACTCGTCTCCCAGGCTGGAGTGCAATGATGCAGTCTCAGCTCACTGCAACATCTGCTTCCCAAGTTCAAGTGTTTTTCCTGCCTCAGCCTCCTGAGTAGCTGGGATTACAGGCACCCGCCACCATGCCCAGTTAATTTTTGTATTCTTAGTAGAAAAGGGGTTTCACCATGTTGGTCAGGCTGGTCTTGAACTCCTCACCTCATGGGATCCACTTGCCTTGGCCTCCCAAAGTGTTGGGATTACAGGCATGAGCCACCGTGCCCAGCCCATGGCCAGACTATTAAAAAGCAAAAAATAAAAAATAAAAAAATAAAAAATATCCAAAGGTCAGAAACCTCAAAGACTGAAGGTAGATAAGCCCTCAAAAATGAGAAATAATTAGTGCAGGAATGCTGAAAACTCAAAAAGCCAAGGTGTCCTCTTTCCTGCAAATGACCACATATCTCTCCAGCAATGGTTTGGAACTGGGCTGAGGCTGAGATGGCTTAAATGACGGAAGTAGAATTCATAATACGGATAGGAGCGAACTTCACTGAGCTAAAGGAGTACATTGTAACCCAATGCAAAGAAGATAAAAATCATGATAAAACAGTGCAGGAGCTGACAGACAAAATAGTCAGTATAGAGGAAAACATAACTGACCTGATAGATCTGAAAAACACACTACAAGAACGTCATAATGCACAAGTATTAATAGCAGAATAGACCAAGTGGAGGAAGGAATCTCAGAACTTGAAGACTGGCTTTCTGAAATAAAACAGACACACAAGAATGGAGAAAAGGAATGAAAAGAAATGAACAGAACCTCTGAGAAATATGGAATTATGTAAAGAGACAAAATCTATGACTGGTTGGTGTATCTGAAAGAGATGGGAGGAATGGAACCAACCTGGAAAACACATTTCAGGATATCACCCATGAGAACTTCCCCAACCTAGCTATACAGGCCAACATTCAAATTCAGGAAATGCAGAGAATCTTAGTAAGATACTCCATGAGAAAATCATCCCCAAGACACATAATCATCAGATTCTTCAAGGTCAAAATGAAGAAGAAAAGGTTAAGGGCAGCTAGGGAGGAAGGCCAGGTCACCTACAAAGGGAAGCCCATCAGACTAACAGCAGACCTCTCAGTAGAAACTCTACAAGCCAGAAGAGATTGGGGGCCAATATTCGATATTCTAAAGAAAAGAAATTCCAAACCAGAATTTTATATTGGGCCAAACTAAGCTTCATAAGCAAAGGAGAAATAAAATCCTTTTCAGACAAGCAAATCCTAAGGGAATTCATTACCACCAGACCTGCCTTACAAGAGCTTCTGAAGGAAGCACTAAATATGGAAAGGAAAGACCATTACCAGCCACTACAAAAACACACTGAAGTACACAGTCCAGTGACACTATAAAGCAACCACAAAAACAAGTCTGCAAAATAACCAGCTAACATCATGATGACAGGGTCAATTCCACACATATCAATACTAACTTTAAATGTAAATGGGCTAAATGTCCCAATTAAAACACAAAGAGTGGCAAGCTGGATAAAGAGCTAAGACCCATTGGTATGCTGTCTTCCAGACACTCATCTCACATGTAATGACACATATAGGCTCAAAATAAAAGGATGGAGAAAAATCTACCAAGCAAATGGAGAAACAGAAAAAAGCAGGGGTTGCAATCCTAGTTTCTAACAAAGCAGACTTTAAGCCAACAAAGATTTAAAAAGACAAAGAGGACATTACATAATGGTAAAGGATTCAATTCAACAAGAAGATCTAACTTTCCTAAATGAACTTGCTTTATGAATCTGGGTGCTCCTGTGTTGGGTGCATATGCACCCAGATTTATAAAGCAAGTTCTTAGAGACCCTCAAAGACACATAGACTCCCACAATATAATAATGGGAGATTTTAACAACAAACTGACATTAGACAGATCATCAAGACAGAAACTTAATAAAGATATTCAGGCCCTGAACTCAGCACTGGATCAAACGGAACCTGGTAGATATCTACAGAACTCCTCACCAAAAATCAACAGACTATATGTTCTTCTGATTGCCACATGACAATCTAAAACTGATCACATAATCAGAAGTAAAACCCTCCTCAGCATATGTAAAAGAACTAAAATCATAACAAACAGTCTCTCAGACCGCAGCACAATAAAATTAGAACTCAAGACTAAGAAATTCACTTTTGCATGACTTTGGGGTAAATAATGAATTGAAGGCAGAAATCAAGAAGTTCTTTGAAACTGATGAGAACAAAGATACAGCATACCAGAATCTCTGGGACACAGCTAAGGCAGTGTTAAGAGGGAAATTTATAGCACTGAATGTCCACATCAAAAAGTTTGAAGGATCTCAAGTTAACAACCTAACATCACAATTAAAAGAACTAGAGAACCAAGAGCAAACCAATCACAAAGCTAGCAGAAGACAAGAAATAACCAAAATCGGAGGAGAACTAAAGGAGATAGAAACATAAAAAACCATTCAAAAGAACAATGAGTCCAGGAGCTGGCTTTTTGAAAAACATTAATAAAATAGACCACTAGCTAAACTAATAAAGAAGAAAAGAGAGAACATTCAAATAAACACGATCAGAAATGATAAGGGGATATTACCACTGACCCCACAGAAATACAAACAACCATCAGATAATATTATGAACACATCTATGCACATAGACTAGAAAATCTAGAAGAAATAGATAAATTCCTGGACACATACACCATCCCAAGACTGAACCAGGAATAAACTGAATCCCTGAACAGATCAATAATGAGTTCTGAAATTGAGGCAGTAATAAATAGCTTACCAACCCTAAAAAGCCCAAGACCAGATGGATTCACAGATGAATTCCACCAGAGGTACAAAAAAGAGCTGGTACCATTCCTACTGAAACTATTTCAAAAAACTGAGGAGGAGGGACTCCTCCCTAACTCATTCTATGAAGTCAGCATCATCCTGACACCAAAACCTAGCAGATACAACAAAAAAAGAAAACTTCAGGCCAATATCTTGGATGAATATCAAAGCAAAAAATTCTCAACAAAATACTGGCAAACTGAATCCATCAGCACATCAAAAAGCTTATCCACCATGATCAAGTAGGCCTCATCCCCAGGATGCAAGGTTAGTTAACATATGCAAATCAATAATGTGAGTCATCACATAGACAGAACTAAAGACAAAAAAAAAAAACCACATCATTATCTCAATAGATGCAGAAAAGGCTTCCAATAAAATTCAATATCCCTTCATGTTAAAAACTCTCAATAAACTACTATTGAGGGAACATACCTCAAAATAATAAGAACCATATATGATAAAATCACTGTCAACGTCACACTGAATGGGCAAAAGCTGGAAGCATTCCCCTTGAAAACTGGCAAAGACAGGGATGCTGTTTCTCACTAGTCCTATTCAACATAGTATTGAAAGTTCTGGCCAGGGCAATCAGGCAAGAGAAAGAAATAAACGGCATTCACATAGGAAGAGAGGAAGTCAAACTATCCCTGTTTGCAGGTGACATGATCTTGTATCTAGAAAACCCCATTGTCTCAGCCCAAATGCTTCTTAAGCTGATCAACAAGTTCAGAAAAGTCTCAGGATACAAAATCAATGTGCAAAAATTACTAGCACTCCTATAAACCAGCAACAGTCAAGCCAAGAGCCAAATCAGAAACAAACTCTCATTCACAATTGCCATAAAAGGCATAAAATACTAGGAATACAGTTAACTAGGAAAGTGAATGTTCTCTACAAGGAGAGCTACAAACCACTGTTCAAATATATCAGAGATGACACAAGCAAATGGAAAAACATTCCATGCTGATAGGAAGAATCAATATTGTGAAAATGGCCGTACTGCCCAAAGAAATTTATAGATTCATTGCTATGCCCATTAAACTACCATTGACACTCTTCACAGAACTAGGAAAAAAAACTATTTTAAGATCCACATGGAACCAAAAAATAGCACAGAATAGCCAAGGCAATCCTAAGAAAAAAGAACAAAGCTAGAGGTAGCATGCTACCTGACTCCAAACTATACTACAAGGCTACAGTAACCAAAACAGCATGGTACTGGCACAAAAACAGACACACAGACTAATGAAACAGAATAGAAAACCCAGAAATAAACACCACTTACAACTACCAAATCTTCAACAAATCTGACAAAAACAAGCAATGGAGAAATGATTCCCTATTCAATAAATGCTGTTGGAATAACTGGCTAGCCATAAGAAGAAAATTGAAACTGGACCCCTTCCTTACACTATTTACAAAAATTAACTCAAGATAGATTAAAGACTTAAATGTAGAACCCAAAACTATAAAACCCCTGGAAGGCAACCTAGGCAATACCATCTAGGACATAGGCACAGGCAAAGATTTCATGACAAAGATGCCAAAAGCAATTGCAAGAAAAGCAAAAATTGACAAATGGGATCTAATTAAACTAAAAAGCTTCTGCACAGGAAAAGAAACTATCAACAGAGTAAAGAGACAACCTACAAAATGAGAGAAAACTTTTGCAAACTATGCATCCAACAAAGGTCTAATATCCAGCATCTATAAGGAACTTGAACAAATGTACAAGAAAAAAACAAACAACCCCACTAAAAAGTGGGCAAAAACACGAACAGACACTTCTTAGAAGACATACATGTGGCCAACAATCATTATGAAAAAAAATTAAAACATTGCTGATCATTAGAGAAATGCAAATCAAAGCCACAATGAGATACCATCTCACACCAGTCAGAATCGCTATTATTAAAAAGTCAAAAAATAACAGATGCTGGCAAGGTTATGGAGAAAAAAGAACCCTTATACACTGTTGGTGGGAGTATAAATTAGTTCAACCATTGTGGAAGACAGTGTGGCAAATCCTCAAAGATCTGAAGACAGAAATGCCATTACTGGGTATATGCCCAAAGGACTAGGAATCATTCTATTATGAAAACACATGCATGGGTATGTTTGTTGCAGCACTATTCACAATAGCAAAGCCATGGGATCAACCTAAATGTCCATCAATGATAGATTGGACAAACACTATGGAATACTATGTAGCCATTAAAAAAATAAGATCCTGGCCTTCGAAGGGACGTGGATGGAGCTGGAGGCCATTATCCTTAGCAAACTAACACAGGAACAGAAAACCAAATACCACATGTTCTGACTTATAAGTGGGAGCTAAACGATGAGAACACATGGACACACAGAGGGGAACAACACACACTGCAGCCTATCAGAAGGTGGAGGCTGGGAGGAGGGAGAGGATCAGGAAAACTAACTAATGAGTACTAGGCTTAATACCTGGGTGATAAAATAATCTACACAACAAACCCCCATGACACAAGTTTACCTAGGTAACAAACCTGCACATGTACCCCTGAAGTTAAAATAAATTTTTGTAATAAGAAAAAATGTGATGCACAGAGTCAGCTCTTGTAAGACAGGATGAGCTAGTTGCAGCATGCAACACTGACAAAAAAAATCATGGAAATCCAATTTTGAGATAAAGGGCATCACATTGGTGACAGAATCTCTCTCTCTCTCTCTCTCTCTCTCTCTCTCTCTCTCTCTCTCTCTCTCTCTCTCTCTCCCCCCCCCCCCACACACACACACACACTCCCAACCCATGTCACTGCATCAAATAATAGAGGGAAATATGGATTTGGAGTCAGAAAACTTAAGAATGTGTCCCAAGTCAATCACTTATTCGTTTTAAGATCTTGTGCCATTCCTTGCACCATATAGGCCTCAGTTTTTTCATCTGTAAAATAAGTCTACTACTGGTGATCCCAACTATCTTCCAGAATTGTCGTGAGAATCAAATGCAATCATATGTGCATGTGCTGCACATATTTAAGGATAAATTTCTTATACTTTCCCTATCCATCAGGCAAACATTGCTCAAAGTTGGACTCTGTAGCATTGTCAGGTGAATATTCAATTGTATGAATTCTGAATAGAAAACTATAAAAGATGAACCATCATCTAGCAAAAGAATGTTGTGCCTAGTGCCTCCTGCAATTACAGCTTCTAGCACACTTTATTTTTCCTGATTTCTCTAATAATAGGTAGTTCTTCTATAATTAACTTCCTACCGTTTTTGAATGAGTGGAAAAACTATTTGCTGAAGGCAAAGTCTTGATAACATTCACACAAATATGTGTGCTTCTTTGACATATGCTCTTCTTAAAATCAGCTGCTATCTTTGTATACATCCCATACACCAAACCCTTGCAGGAATATTCTAAAGAGTCACCTAATCACTCTCTGTCGATTACCTTGTAGAACGTGTATTATTAATGGCAGCAATTGCTTTCTGACCTCCTTGCCATGATCCATTTTCATCCATTAAGGCATTACATTATCCACTTAGCAAACCATGCATCATAAATGAAATATTGATTTAAAAAATTATAAACTGCTTTACATTTAAGAAACAGTTCTATAAAATGAAACTTCAAAACTAAAATAAAAATGCATACAATTTAAAAGGCACAGTGCAGTTCAAAGACTTATGTAGTGATCAAATAAATATGGTCATGTTTAGTTTCCTTTTATGAGAACTTTATTTTCAAGATTTTAAAATTGTGTGTTCCTTGGAATTATCCCCATTTTATTGCATACATTTAGATAAACTTAGATCTTTTACTAAAACAAAAGTATGTTTTAAAAACCACAAACCCTCTTTCTCAATGGGAAATTTAGGTCTCAGTTTCAGAAATGGAAATGAAGACCATTCAGGAGGGGGGATGCTAGGGTAATTTACTACTATCAAATATGATGTAGGGTCTTTCAATAATATTCATTTTCTTTACAGCATAATAAGGGAAATTTGATGTTCTGTGACAAATGATACTTCACAAGATTCATAGATCCAAAAGTAGTGTGTTTTTACTAAACTTACCAAACTAAGTTACTCTTTTTCAATACCATTCATCAATTAAACACGCATTTGGTTAAACTTGGCTAGTATATTTTCACTTTTCTGATGGTAGTCAGTTACTCTTGTAAACTAGTCACACAAGTGAAAAGTGAGGTATTAGACACAGAAGTATAAACTTGTCTCTCTAAATGGAATAATGTGAGAAAAGTAGTTAAATCCATCGTGATAAATAATATCTTTTGGACAAGACTTCACCTCTATCATCTGGGAAGGATTATGGTTTAAGCAAAGGAGAGCTAGCTCCGTCTTTAAAATCGTAAAATCCAGTGCTGAAACGCTGAATTTCTGAAATGCAGGGATGCTAATTAAAAGGGTAGGGTGGTGAACTCTGCTATTTTCTTGCCTCACTTTTAAAGCACAGAGATCCTCGACTACCTGAAAGAAATATGATTATCTCAAGGTGAAACATTCTTATGGGAAAACAGATCTATCTATATCTACATCTATGTCTTAACCTATATTATATTCCACCATTCACAAAAGAAGTACATCTGATACCATCTGAGCTCATTCATATGCTGAGACAGCCAATGAATGAATCATGAGGATGGATGTCCATGCCCTTATTACTGAAGTCTCAGTAAATGTGAAGTAAATGAATATGTTGACTCATATGCTACAGACCAGTGAGGACCTCTGTGTTCTGGTACATCACTGACATTTGTTTTCTAAGCATCTCACTTCCCATATAAGAGAGAAACTCAAGGTTTGAATATCAGTATGGCATGGGCAAGGCCCTAGGTCAGCTTTGCAAGGAACACCAATCAGGAAAAAAAGATTATATTAGCTACGTTTTAAGGTGTTCTCTGACTTAAAAATTCTGACAGTTCTCACCTCTTCTTGGTCAAGTATATCCCATCATAAAACGTTTCTGTGGCTAAGAGACAATGAAGATGACATGAAGTTAATAGTAGAGTAAAGGTAAAATGATGGAAAGAAAGAGGAGAGAGAGACAGCAAAAAAGAGAAGGAGATAAACATAGAAAAGAGAGGGAAAAAAATGAATACCACTACGCACCTATTAGAATGGCCAAAATCTAGAGCACTGACAACACCAAATGTTAATGAGGATGTGAAGCAACAGAAATGCTATTTATTGCTAGTGGGAATGTGAAATGGTACCCCCACTTTGGAAGACAGCTTGACAGTCTTACAAATCTAAACATACTCTTACCATATGACCAAGCAATAACTGAGCTCTTTGGCATTCACCCAAAGGAGTTGAAAACTTATGTCCATTCAAACACCTGCGCATGAGTGTTTATGACAGCTTTATTCAAGAATTGTCAAAACTTGGAAGCAACAAAGATGTTCAGCCTTCCATAGGTGAATGGATACATAAACTGTGGTATATCCAGGCAATGGAATATTATTAAGCACTAAAAAGAAATGAGCAATCAAACCATGAAAAGACATGGAGGAAACTTAAATGCATGTTATTAAGTAAGAAGAGACAATCCGAAAAGACAACATACTGTATGATTCCACTCATGTGACATTCTAGAAAAGACAAAACCGCGGAAAAGGCAAAAGAGTGGTTGCCAGAGGTTAATTGGTGGGGGATAAATAGGAGAAGCAGAAGGGATTTTTTAGGGTAGTGAAAATACGCTGCATAATATTATAATGGTGAATATATGTCATTATACATTTATCCCAACACATAGAAAGCACAGCACCAAGAGTTGAACCCTAATGTAAATTACGGACTTTGGGTAGTTAGGATGTCAATGTAGGTTCATCAGTTGCAACAAATGAACCACTTTGGTGGAGGGTTGCTTTTCTTTTATTTTTATATATAATTTTTGTGGGTACATAATAGGTTTATATATTTATGGGGTATATGGGATATTTTTATACAGGTATACAATGTGTAGTAATCGCATCAGGGTAAATGGGTTATCCTTACCTCAAGAACTTATCCTTTGTGCTACAAACAATCTAATTATACTCTTTTAGTTATTTTTAAATGTACAGTTAAATTATTATTGACTATAGTCATCGTGTCATGCTATCAAATACTCGATCTTATTCATGGGGGAGGCTGTGTGTATGTGGGAGCAGGGATTTATGGGAACCCTCTGTACTACCTTCTTCTCAACTTTGCTGTGAACTTTAAACTGCTCTAAAAAATAAAATCTTTAAAAAATAAATAAATGTTCTAAACAAAGAAAGGAGAAGTGGTATAGAGGAAATTTTAAAAAGAAAAGGAAGAAGGAAGCACAGGAGGAAACAAGAAGAAGAGAGAGATGGCTTGAGGGGATGAGCACAGAAAGCTGAAGGAAAGGATATGAGTAGCCATCCTCATGCTTGGAATGGATAGAGGTGTGGAGAAATACTTGTGGATTAGAAATTCAGTGGATGGAGAGCAGGCTTCAGCTAATCCATGTGGAAGGGGTTGTAAAATAGAGCCTCCAGTATGTACCCTGCCACCCTTGCCCCACAGAATCCTCACTCTGCAAGAGGACCAAGGGCTGGGTTCAGGATTGAAATTGTCCTGATGGCAGAGAAGAATGCAGCCATAATCACTGCAATACAGCATCTCTGAATTTGAGTAGCCCCTTTGTGATGGACTGAATGTTTGTGTCTCCCTCAAATTCATATGTTGAAATCCTAATCCCCAATGTGATGGTATTAGGAGATGGGATCCTTGTGAGATCATTAGTTCATGAATGTGGAGCCCTCATAAATGGGATTAGTGCCCTTATAAAATAGACCCCAGAGAGCTCTCTCACTCCTCCCACATGAGGATACAACCAGGAGGCAGCCATCTGCAACCCAGAAGCTGACTCTCACCAGAACTCAATCATACCAACACCTTGATCTTGGATTTCCACCCTCCAGAACTGTGAAAAATAAATTTCTGTTGTTCATAGGCCATCCTATAGGCCTACCTATAAGTCTGTGGTACTTTTTTATGGCAGCCTGAATTGAGTCAACCCTTCTAGCCCATGGCCTGACCTTGCTCTATCTAACCAGGAATGGACTCCAGGCATTACTGGCCTTGGTGTGCACATGGCCCATGCTCCAAATAGCCAAGTAATGCTTCAGCCTCATTGAAAAGTGCAAGAGGAAACAATCAGAAGCAGGTTATAATCTTACAAGAAGCCAGGGGAATCTTTGACCATTAAATCAACTTGTGAAGTCAAGACTTCAGCCTTCTACCACAGCATATTGGCCACAGCCTGCTCCCTAGGAGCTGTCTTCACCTTACAGGTTTCCAGATCTTTGATGAGCTCCAATTCAAATGTAGAAGTCTGGGTCTTAAATTGCCAATTATCACTCTTTCTTCTCATCCAGTTTCTCTTTGTCTCCAAAATGATGCTAAGTTCCCCTCTCATCCTATGTCTTCCAACTCTGAAGAATTTCCTAACTGATCAATCCCCGTAATCGACTCCAAATCCAACCCATGTACACAGATTTGTTGTGTATGTGGGCCTTCAAATGAAAGGGTCTGAGGGTAGGGATAGGCACACACAATGTCCACAGCCACACTGAGTGTTATCTAGAGAATATATGCTGGATATCTTCTATTTTCCCCTCCAGATCCCATTCTCCATCATCTCCACCCTGCTCTGTGACCCAGTCGGCTGCTCTGCTTGAACGACATCAACAAGCTTCCTGCATCCTCATGTCTAGCTGAACTCAACCAGTGGGAAGTACCAGCAGGAGATCAAAAGAAAGGAGCAAAGTACAGTCAAGATGTTTATTTATTTCTCTGTTCTTTTCTGCCAAAGGTACACAAAATCAGACACTAGTTAAAGGCATTCAGGACAGATTTTATATGGTAATAACTATCGCAATGGAGTAGAGAGTCCAGTGTGAACTGAACTTCACCAAAACAAAAAGCTGGAGTCTTTTTAAAGGCTGGGGTATGCTAGGGGAAAGGCACTGACAGGAAGAAGAACAGGGCTTGGTCCATGGGCTTAGGCCATCTGAGTCTGTTAACTGGTGTTTATCAAAGTTGGGTTCCTGATCCCTGCAGAGACTAGGAGACAAGGGCCCTATCTTCAGGTGCTGGCTGGAACAAATAGTAAATTCTTTTGGCAGGCTTTCCCAGGCAGGAACCTAAGGGGACTGGAATCATAATCCTAGGGATGTGACCTTGAGCTGTTAGACTATGCTAGGGTTTACATCTCTTCGTGCAGAGGATTGGATGGAGTCCTTAAGGGTCAAGACAGTTCTCTTTTCAGTTCTCATTTCCCTAACAGGTCCACTGTGGGATGGCTGCTTCTCTTGACCCATGGTTTCAGCTCCTGACAGGTAGCCACTCCATGCAGCCCTTCTCTCATTGGGTTCTGGTGACCATCCTCTCCTCTTGCCTCTTTGGGTATAACAGTGGATAGTGATACTCTTGATAATAATACTATTCCTCATGGTTTTCCTATACTGTGACCACACTTTTGTAAAGAGTGATTTAATAAATATGCAGTAACTGTGGTTCTCAATGTTCTCCCATATCTCTTGAAGCATTTTGGCATGCTTTGGTTGACTTACAACTGCTGCACCTGCATCCTGTGCCTGCAAACATTTTCTGGAACCTTGGAAGTCTCCTTTGCCCACAACTCTAGGAGGCCAGCTGTGCTGGGAAACTAACATCCTCCACCCATGAGCAGATCTCCAACAATGGCTCTCAGGAGTTGGTGAATGAATACCCAGCTCCCTCATCCTTGGGTGGTATCATGCTAAGGCATGTGTTTTCAACAACTATGCACAGAGTTTTCCTAGGTAATAAACTCTAGTCACCCATTCTCAGTTATCTATTCTTGCCTAACAAACCAACCTAAACTTAGACTGACTTAATACAATAAACATTTTATTTGCTTATAGTTCTGTGGATCCGCAATTTTGGTTGGGTACAGCTGGGTGCTTCTTCTACTGATCTCATCTGGGATTAGTCATTTGGCTACATCACTTGGGGGATCAAGTGGCAGCAGGTTTCTCTAGAGGACCTCAGGTTCCACATGGTGTCATCCTCTGGGAGGCTAGTGTGGGCTTCTTCCCAGGGTCATCTCAGAACATTTCTAAGAGGACTAGTAAATAAACAGCAAGACCTCTTGAGGACTAGCCCCGATATCACTTCCACTATGTTCTGTTGATCAAAGCAAATCACAAAGCCAGACAAGATTCAAGGGTTAGGGAAATAGTCTTGCTCTTCAGAATTCACAATCATTTTCAATCTACCATACACACTAGGACAGCTGCCTTTCCTCTCCCATTAGAGGATAGCAGTAGGATAGTTGCCTTTCCTCCCCAATACAGAGGAAAGCTGTACTTTCCTCTGTCACACCCCCATTCCCCTACTAGCAACCTCTTCACCTTCCAAATAAGAAGTTGCACTAAAATTCTTGTCTCAACGTCTGGGTGAACCTAAACTCTCTTAAAATTATTTTAATTTCAGTGATTCATTTGTTTATTGCTGATATAGAATGGTATTAGATATTATCATACAATTTAGTGCAAGGCTTGAAAAGGGCACAGGGTTTTAGGAATCCCCATATAATGTTGCCAGTAAGAGGTGAGGGTGTCTCACTGTGATAAATATTACTAGTGCCCATCCAAATTTCTGATGATTTTTCCCTTCCATTTGTGCAAGAGAATTATGCTTCCCACACCCCTTGAAGTTAAACATGGCCATATGGTTTGCTTTGGCCAATAAACCATGGGTGGATGTGGTACAGTGTACGTATGCTTGCCTCAAGAAAGAGGGCATAGGCCGGGTGCGGTGGCTCATGTCTGTAATCCCAGCACTTTGGGAGGCCAAGGTGGGTGGATCACCTGAGGTCAGGAGTTTGAGACCATCCTGACCAACATGGAGAAACCCCATCTCTACTAAAAATACAAAATGAGCCAGGCATGGTGGCGAACGCCTGTAATTCCAGCTACTTGGGAGGCTGAGGCAGGAGAGTTGCATGAACCTGGGAGGCAGAGCTTGCAGTGAGCCGAGATGGCGCCATTGCACTCCAGTCTGGCCAACAAAGCAAAACTCAAAAAAAAAAAAAAAAAAAAAAAAGAAAGAAAGAAAGAAAGGAAAGGAAAGGAAGAAGCAAAGAAATTTAAATTCCAACATCCAACATCCAGAGCTTCTCATTATTTTCCTGAGAACCTTGAAAAGTAAGTAGTTGAGGCAAAACTCAATGGGAGGACCTGAGAGATCACTCTGTTTTTGAGGAAGGCTGGGTGATTTCAGTGTGGCTGATGTTTTCCTGTTGAAGGAGCTCTTAAGGAATTTGGTCCCATGAGTATATTTAAAAATGGAGTGAATCGACAGTCAAGACCCAAGCGTTCCTTTGAACCTCTTTAGGAGCCACAGCTTAACTGCAAGAGCTATGCATTTCACAATACATGTGGTGGTTTCTAGCAACAATCAATCAAAAATTGAAATTAGGCTGTCTAAGAAACATCTAGATGCAACCTAAATGCCCATCAATTATAGACTGGGTAAAGAAAATGTGGTACATATGTACCATGGAATGTTATGAAGCCATAAAAAAGAATCAGATCATGTCCTTTGTGGGGACATGGATGGAACTAGAGGCCATTATCCTTAGCAAACTAACACAGGAACGGAAAACCAAATACATGTTCTCACTTATAAGTGAGAGCTAAATGATGAAAATACATGGACACATGAAGGGGAACAGCACACACTGGGGCATTTCAGAGGGTGGAGGGTAGGGGGAGGGAGAGGATCAGGAAAAATAACTAATGGGTACTAGGCTCAATACCTGGGTGATGAAATAAGCTATACAACAAATCCCCATGACACAAGTTTACCCATGTAACAAACCTGCACATGTACCCCTGAACTTAAAATAAGTTAAAAAAGGCCGGGCGCGGTGGCTCACGCCTGTAATCCCAGCACTTTGGGAGGCCGAGGCGGGTGGATCATGAGGTCAGGAGATCGAGACCATCCTGGCTAACAAGGTGAAACCCCGTCTCTACTAAAAATACAAAAAATTAGCCGGGCGCGGTGGCGGGCGCCTGTAGTCCCAGCTACTGGGGAGGCTGAGGCAGGAGAATGGCGTGAACCCGGGAAGCGGAGCTTGCAGTGAGCCGAGATTGCGCCACTGCAGTCCGCAGTCCGGCCTGGGCGACAGAGCAAGACTCCGTCTCAAAAAAAAAAAAAAAAAAAAAGTTAAAAGAAAAGAAAAGCCATCTAGATTAAATGTATTTTAGTTTGAACTTTTTTTTTGGCTTGGATTTATTCCTCAAAATCCCCATGGCCAGGAAATTAATTATATCTCACGAGTATCCCACTGCATCTGCAGTTGGCTCTAAGAATTGAATTGATTTTTATTTTTACTTTAGCCATCTCCCTGCTCTTTGGGGGTGTACAAAATAAATGTAGAACTTTTTTGTTTTGAGAGTACCTCAATATTTGACAACAATGGTCATGAACACTCTTCTTATTACCCATTCCTTCTTTCTCACCTCAGGCTTCTGGTTGCCGCTGAATTTTCATTATGCCCTTTACTTACAAATTATGTTATTTACCCAAGGTATTAATTTACATAAGAAAAAATATATTTTTATAAAATTTTAAACAATAGAGCCATATCTAGAATAAAATGCTAAAGTCCCCTTTTATCACCTTATAGCACCCACTTCCCATGTTTCTCTTCAGAAGTAAACTTTTTTACAGTTGGATATATATTCTCTCAGATTCAGTTTTATACATTCACATTCTGTATGTGCATATACAAAAACAAACGGTAATTTGTTCTTGTTTTATACAAATGGAATTATAGTTCAGATTTGATATGTCTCCATTCATTTATATATTTCTATTGAGCACTAGTTTTAGAGATGTTGCTATAGCAGAACATACAGAGATATCTCATTTTATTTAATGGTTGCAAAAGTGTTTTGTAGTATGACTGCATTGTAATTTGACATTCCCCTATGGATAGTCATTAAGTGATTTTCAGTTTTTTACTACTGAAAACAATGCTAAAGTAAGCATTTTGTGTATATATCTTTGTGGATATATCCTAATATTTCTCATAGGATAGAACTTTACCAGAATTAAACAATAGAATTGTTTAATTCTATTAAACAATTAGAAACTATTAAACAAATGCTATTAATTATTTAATAGAAAGATATAGACACCGAATTTTTTCATAGAATCTATCATAGTCTCCTTTTATTTTTCTATAGTCTTCAGGCTGTGCTAATTTGAAAATCCATCCGTAGCACATACATTTGTCCATTTTCACATGACAGCATACCTTAGCCTAAGATGACTGATACAGATAATGGTACTCAGAGTAGGATGCTTGGAATACAGCAGTACATGAGATATATGGCACTGGCTTTAGGGCCAGATAATGGAGAATGACATGTTGCAGCTGAAAAGATGGTAATTCACATTATGCAGTGGTGAAACCAACAAAACTTTTCTCTGGCAACTTGGAAAACAGATAATATAACAAATGAACTGATGACTTTAACTAAAGTAATAGGGAAGGAGAATGTTATTAGCAAGTATTGGTTGTTATTGGCCATATTTGACAAAGTGTTGGAATAAAGAGATGAACTTCTTAAGAATTACCCATTTACAGAGATTAAAGGAACTAGAGCCTAGAAATTTCAGGATGGCAAATTGAAAGATGCCACTGTTACTCCTCGGCAATCCTTTGAAAAAGAAAGGACAATTAATATTTAGCCTTGTCCAGTAACAATGAACACTTAGAGCTCTGAGGCAAGCCACTGAAGGGACCCAACATCCTTTACACAGTACTCCTTTAAAAATGCATACACTGAACGTAAGCATGGCTAAACAATCAGACAACCCCAAATGAATAAATGTTCAATCAAACGACTGACCCATACTCCTCAAAAATATCAGTGTCATGAAAGACAAAGAAGGACACTAAAAATACATGACAACTAAATGCAATCTGGGGTCCTGAGTTAGAAAATAAATAGCACTATTGGGTTAATTGAATACATCTTAATATGGCCTATATGTTAGATAAGAATGTTATATCAATGTTAAATTATTTGAATTTGATTATGATAATGTGGTTATATAAAAGCATGTCCTCATCACATGCTGAAATATTTAGGATTTAATATAATCACGATAACTTACTGTTGAATGGTTCAGCAACAATCAGTGTGTGTGTGTGTGTGTGTGTGTGTGTGTGTGTGTGTCTAAAGAAAGCCAGAAAGAAAGAGAAAAATCTAAAAGGAGGGAGAGAATGTAAATGTGGAAAAATATTATTAATTGGTGAAAAGGAAAAGAATATATGGGAATTACACCATTCTTACTACTTTTGTGTATATTTGAAATTTTTCAAAAGAGAAGTTAAAAAAATAAGCCTTGGAACAAGATCACAATATCTTAGCCCTGATACCTTTGAAGTTAAAACCTTTGACTAAGGTAGCACTCAATAAATCATTTAGGTTAGACATAGTAGCTTAACTAAATGAGAATAAAGGTGTGATTCTTCCACAAAATTCGAATGGGTTTAAGATATTTATGTCTCAAAAATAATTAGGGTGCAGCTACTGGCGTATGGAGCCAACAGAAATCAAATAGATAAAAACCAGCTAAGTTTTTAGTGAATGCTATTGTCATGGGACCACTAGCCTTGACTAAAAGACTCTGATTAATCAAAACTTAAAAGAATCGTTGCTCCCAACCCTCCATGTGCAAAAAGCAGGCAGAGAAAGATGCTCAGCTTCCATAGAGGGCATATTCGCCAGTGTTTTTTCTCAGACGAGGTCAAGAAAAATAATGGAAAAGCCAGAACCTCCCAGAGGACAGTGCTAAGAAGTTGGAAGACAATGGACTTGGAGCAGAACCTGAGCCCAAAGGAAAAATACTCACCCCTAGAATAAGGGTCCTTAGAATATTTGCACAATATGATTTCAGAATTACGATGGAAGACAAATTGCTGTGAGCCTCATTCTTTCTGAATGTGGGGGTTTATGGGGGTTATTAAGTTCTTGTCCCACTATTGTCTGCTGAATTTTAGAAGCATGATGTGTCCTTTTACTTCCCAGAACTCTTGATCCAGAGAAAGCACAAGAGAAAAAAAAATACATGAGATCCTAAACTTTGAGCCTAATACAGTGATTGCATGGGAGTTTGGAGTTGTTTCTCTTGGGAGAAAGGTGATGTGTGGATTTTGTATGAGAAAGAGAAGGCAGATAAGTCTGTTACACTGTATTATATTGAAAATCTTTGCAGAGACACCCTGTAAGAAAATTATATATCCAGCCCTATTAAGGTCAGGCTTAGCCATCTGACCTTTTGTCACATCCTTTGGTATGTGAAATATAAGCATAAGTGATATGTACTATTTCTGAATGGAAGTTTTAACACCCATTATCCCCTTTTGCCAAGCTCTCCTTTTCCTCTTCTATGAGACCACAATGTCCGAGGTAGAAGCTGCTACATCAGTCTTAATTAAAGTGAATAAAGGAGACATGGAAAAATTCCCAATCAAATCATGACAGATATGCAATTTGAGAAAGAAATAAACTCTGGAGATTTTGAAAAAGAGATTGTTGGGTTTGCTTATTATCATATAATAACTTAGGACAGGTTGATTAATATAGGAATTAATAAAATTTTGCTATAAACTGTTTACAAATAGCACACCCAGAAGATAAAGACACAGGAAAGGTGAGAGTAAAAGGATAGGGGCCAGGTGCGGCTGCTCATGCCTGTTATCCCAGCACTTTGGGAGGCCAAGGCGGGCAAATCACTTGAGGTCAGGAGTTCGAGACTAGCCTGGCCAACATGGTGAAACCCCATCTCTACTAAAAATACAAAAATTATCTGGGTGTGGTGGCGCACGCCTGTAATTCCAGCTACCCCAGAGGCCAAGGCAGGAGAATCACTTGAACCCTGAACCCAGGAGGTGGAGGTTGCATTGAGTCAAGATTGCACCACTGCACTCCAGCCTGGGCGACAGAGCGAGACTCCATCTCAAAAAAAAGAAACTAAGTAAAAGAATAAAAGATGGTATATCAGAAAATAATAAACCAAAATAAAATTGTGGTAACTGCATGTTAATAGAGATGTTAATCACACTAAACAGACTTTAAGACAAAAAGTGTTATTGGGAGTAGAGTGATTTCCCACATAGTCATAAAAGTTTTAATTTCAAAAAGGTGTAACAGTTCTTAATATGTGTGCACTTCATAATGTAGCCTCAAAAATAGAAATCAAAGATTGATAAAACTACTGGGAGAATTTGACAAACCTTTCATCTTAGTGAGATATTTAAGCACACTTTTCTCAATTACTGATAGAATTAGTAGAAAAATTAAGTTATAGAAGATACAGAAGAAATAAAATATACATTTTTGTCAAGCAATGAGGACATTTACACAAATTGATCACATGTTTGGCTATAAAGCATGTTTCAACAAAATACAAAGAACTGGTATCATACAGATCATGCGCTCTGATACAATGCATTTTAGAAGTTGTATTAGTCCATTTGCATTGCAATAAAGAGATGTCTGAAGCTGGGTAATATATAAAGAAAAGGGGCTTATTTGACTCATTGTTTCGCAGGCTGTACAAGAATCATGGTGCCAGCATCTGCTTCTGACAAGGACCTCAGGCTGCTTGCACTTATGGCAAAAGGTGAAGGAGAGCCAACTTGTCACATGACAAGAAAGAGAGAGGCCAGAGACAAGAGAGGGAAGATGCCAGGCTGTGTTAAACAAGCTCTTGCATGAAATGATAGAGCAAGAACTCACTCATTAGGAGGAGAGGGCACCAAGCCATTCATGAGGGATCTGGCCCCATAACCCTAACACCTCCCAGTCAGCCCTACCTGTCACACTGGAGATTAAATTTCAATGTAAGATTTGGAGGGGACAGATAGCCAAACTATGTTAGAAGTCCCAAATAAAGAAAAAAATCTTCGTATATTTGGAACTTTAAAATACACTTCCTAAGTATTCTTGGGTCAAAAGAAGAAATAAAAATGAAAACAAAAATGCCTAGAGCTGAACAACAAAATACTACATTTTAAGCACTGTGGAGTAGAGTAACAGCTGTGTTTTGAGGCCAATTTATGACTTAAAATGCTAAGTTCTGAAAAGAAAAAGGGATAACCATCAGCAAAGCATAAACTTATCAAATTAGAAAAAAACAACTGAATAAATGGAAACTAAATTAAATTAAATGAAAAGGATCAGCAAAGCCAAAAGGTGGTTCTTTGAGAAATCTAATAAATTTGACATAACTCTGGTGATAATCACCAAGAAAACAGAGAGGGAACCCAAATAAACAATATTAGGAGTAAAAAAGATACATTCAAAAGGTAGGGAGGAGCCAAGAGGCCGAATAGGAACAGCTCCAGTCTACAGCTCCCAGCGTGAGCGACGCAGAAGACGGGTGATTTCTGCATTTCCATCTGAGGTACCGGGTTCATCTCACTAGGGAGTGCCAGACAGTGGGCGCAGGCCAGTGGGTGCACGCACCATGCGCGAGCCGAAGCAGGGCGAGGCATTGCCTCACTTGGGAAGCACAAGGGGTCAGGGAGTTCCCTTTCCAAGTCAAAGAAAGGGGTGACAGACGCACCTGGAAAATCGGGTCACTCCCACCCGAATATTGCGCTTGTCAGACCGGCTTAAAAAACGGCACACCACGAGATTATATCCCGCACCTGGCTCGGAGGGTCCTACGCCCACGGAATCTCGCTGATTGCTAGCACAGCAGTCTGAGATCAAACTGCAAGGCGGCAGCGAGGCTGGGGGAGGGGCGCCTGCCATTGCCCAGGCTTGCTTAGGTAAACAAAGCAGCCTGGAAGCTCGAACTGGGTGGAGCCCACCACAGCTCAAGGAGGCCTGCCTGCCTCTGTAGGCTCCACCTCTGGGGGCAGGGCACAGACAAACAAGAGGACAGCAGTAACCTCTGCAGACTTAAATGTCCCTGTCTGACAGCTTTCAAGAGAGCAGTGGTTCTCCCAGCACACAGCTGGAGATCTGAGAACGGGCAGACTGCCTCCTCAAGTGGGTCCCTGACCCCTGACCCCCGAGCAGCCTAACTGGGAGGCACCCCCCAGCAGGGGCACACTGACACCTCACACGGCAGGGTATTCCAACAGACCTGCAGCTGAGGGTCCTGTCTGTTAGAAGGAAAACTAACAAACAGAAAGGACATCCACACCAAAAACCCATCTGTACATCACCATCATCAAAGACCAAAAGTAGATAAAACCACAAAGATGGGGAAAAAACAGAACAGAAAAACGGGAAACTCTAAAACGCAGAGCATCTCTCCTCCTCCAAAGGAACGCAGTTCCTCACCAGCAACGGAACAAAGCTGGATGGAGAATGACTTTGACCAGCTGAGAGAAGAAGGCTTCAGACGATCAAATTACTCTCAGCTACGGGAGGACATTCAAAGCAAAGACAAAGAAGTTGAAAACTTTGAAAAAAATTTAGAAGAATGTATAACTAGAATAACCAATACAGAGAAGTGCTTAAAGGAGCTGACGGAGCTGAAAACCAAGGCTCGAGAACTACGTGAAGAATGCAGAAGCCTCAGGAGCCGATGCAATCAACTGGAAGAAAGGGTATCAGCAATGGAAGACGAAATGAATGAAATGAAGCGAGAAGGGAAGTTTAGAGAAAAACGAATAAAAAGAAAAGAGCAAAGTCTCCAAGAAATATGGGACCATGTGAAAAGACCAAATCTACGTCTGATTGGTGTACCTGAAAGTGATGGGGAGAATGGAACCAAGTTGGAAAACACTCTGCAGGATATTATCCAGGAGAACTTCCCCAATCTAGCAAGGCAGGCCAACGTTCACATTCAGGAAATACAGAGAACGCCACAAAGATACTCCTCGAGAAGAGCAACTCCAAGACACATAATTGTCAGATTCACCAAAGTTGAAATGAAGGAAAAAATGTTAAGGGCAGCCAGAGAGAAAGGTCGGGTTACCCTCAAAGGGAAGCCCATCAGACTAACAGCGGATCTCTCGGCAGAAACCCTACAAGCCAGAAGAGAGTGGGGGCCAATATTCAACATTCTTAAAGAATTGTCAACCCAGAATTTCACATCCAGCCAAACTAAGCTTCATAAGTGAAGGAGAAATAAAATCCTTTACAGACAAGCAAATGCTGAGAGATTTTGTCACCACCAGGCCTGCCCTAAAAGAGCTCCTGAAGGAAGCGCTAAACATGGAAAGGAACAACCGGTACCAGCCGCTGCAAAATCATGCCAAAATGTAAAGACCATCGAGACTAGGAAGAAACTGCATCAACTAACGAGCAAAATCACCAGCTAACATCATAATGACAGGATCAAATTCACACATAACAATATTAACTTTAAATGTAAGTGGACTAAATGCTCCAATTAAAAGACACAGACTGGCAAATTGGATAAAGGAGTCAAGACCCATCAGTGTGCTGTATTCAGGAAACCCATCTCACGTGCAAAGACACACATAGGCTCAAAATAAAAGGATGGAGGAAGATCTACCAAGCCAATGGAAAACAAAAAAAGGCAGGGGTTGCAATCCTAGTCTCTGATAAAACAGACTTTAAACCAACAAAGATCAAAAGAGACAAAGAAGGCCATTACATAATGGTAAAGGGATCAATTCAACAAGAAGAGCTAACTATCCTAAATATATATGCACCCAATACAGGAGCACCCAGATTCATAAAGCAAGTCCTGAGTGACATACAAAGAGACTTAGACTCCCACACATCAATGATGGGAGACTTTAACACCCCACTGTCAACATTAGACAGATCAACGAGACAGAAAGTCAACAAGGATACCCAGGAATTGAACTCAGCTCTGCACCAAGCAGACCTAATAGACATCTACAGAACTCTCCACCGCAAATCAACAGAATATACATTTTTTTCAGCACCACGACACCTATTCCAAAATTGACCACATACTGGGAAGTAAAGCTCTCCTCAGCAAATGCAAAAGAACAGAAATTATAACAAACTATCTCTCAGACCACAGTGCAATCAAACTAAAACTCAGGATTAAGAATCTCACTCAAAGCCGCTCAACTACATGGAAACTGAACAACCTGCTCCTGAATGACTACTGGGTACATAACGAAATGAAGGCAGAAATAAAGATGTTCTTTGAAACCAACGAGAACAAAGACACAACATACCAGAATCTCTGGGATGCATTCAAAGCAGTGTGTAGAGGGAAATTTATAGCACTAAATGCCCACAAGAGAAAGCAGGAAAGATCCAAAATTGACACCCTAACATCACAATTAAAAGAACTAGAAAAGCAAGAGCAAACACATTCAAAAGCTAGCAGAAGGCAAGAAATAACTAAAATCAGAGCAGAACTGAAGGAAATAGAGACACAAAAAACCCTTCAAAAAAATCAATGAATCCAGGAGCTGGTTTTTTGAAAGGATCAACAAAATTGATAGACCGCTAGCAAGACTAATAAAGAAAAAAAGAGAGAAGAATCAAATAGACAAAATAAAAAATGATAAAGGGGATATCACCACCGATCCCACAGAAATACAAACTACCATCAGAGAATACTACAAACACCTCTACACAAATAAACTCGAAAATCTAGAAGAAATTGATAAATTCCTGGACACATACACCCTCCCAAGACTAAACCAGGAAGAAGTTGAATCTCTGAAGAGACCAATAACAGGAGCTGAAATTGTGGCAATAATCAATAGTTTACCAACCAAAAAGAGTCCAGGACCAGATGGATTCACAGCCGAATTCTACCAGAGGTACAAGGAGGAACTGGTACCATTCCTTCTGAAACTATTCCGATCAATAGAAAAAGAGGGAATCCTCCCTAACTCATTTTATGAGGCCAGCATCATTCTGATACCAAAGCTGGGCAGAGACACAACCAAAAAAGAGAATTTTAGACCAATATCCTTGATGAACATTGATGCAAAAATCCTCAATCAAATACTGGCAAAACGAATCCAGCAGCACATCAAAAAGCTTATCCACCATGATCAAGTGGGCTTCATCCCTGGGATGCAAGGCTGGTTCAATATATGCAAATCAATAAATGTAATCCAGCATATAAACAGAGCCAAAGACAAAAACCACATGATTATCTCAATAGATGCAGAAAAAGCCTTTGACAAAATTCAACAACCCTTCATGCTAAAAACTCTCAATAAATTAGGTATTGATGGGACGTATTTCAAAATAATAAGAGCTATCTATGACAAACCCACAGCCAATATCATACTGAATGGGCAAAAACTGGAAGCATTCCCTTTGAAAACTGGCACAAGACAGGGATGCCCTCTCTCACCACTCCTATTCAACATAGTGTTGGAAGTTCTGGCCAGGGCAATTAGGCAGGAGAAGGAAATAAAGGGTATTCAATTAGGAAAAGAGGAAATCAAATTGTCCCTGTTTGCAGACGACACGATTGTATATCTAGAAAACCCCATTGTCTCAGCCCAAAATCTCCTTAAGCTGATAAGCAACTTCAGCAAAGTCTCAGGATACAAAATCAATGTACAAAAATCACAAGCATTCTTATACACCAACAACAGACAAACAGAGAGCCAAATCATGAGTGAACTCCCATTCACAATTGCTTCAAAGAGAATAAAATACCTAGGAATCCAACTTACAAGGGATGGGAAGGATCTCTTCAAGGAGAACTACAAACCACTGCTCAAGGAAATAAAAAAGGATACAAACAAATGGAAAAACATTCCATGCTCTTGGGTAGGAAGAATCAATATCGTGAAAATGGCCATACTGCCCAAGGTAATTTACAGATTCAATGCCATCCCCATCAAGCTACCAATGCCTTTCTTCACAGAATTGGAAAAAACTACTTTAAAGTTCATATGGAACCAAAAAAGAGCCCGCATCGCCAAGTCAATCCTAAGCCAAAAGAACAAAGCTGGAGGCATCACACTACCTGACTTCAAACTATACTACAAGGCTACAGTAACCAAAACAGCATGGGACTGGTACCAAAACAGAGATATAGATCAGTGGAACAGAACAGAGCCCTCAGAAATAACGCCGCATATTTACAGCTATCTGATCTTTGACAAACCTGAGAAAAACAAGCAATGGGGAAAGGATTCCCTATTTAATAAATGGTGCTGGGAAAACTGGCTAGCCATATGTAGAAAGCTGAAACTGGATCCCTTCCTTACACCTTATACAAAAATCAATTCAAGATGGATTAAAGACTTAAACGTTAGACCTAAAACCATAAAAACCCTAGAAGAAAACCTAGGCATTACCATTCAGGACATAGGCATGGGCAAGGACTTCATGTCTAAAACACCAAAAGCAATGGCAACAAAAGCCAAAATTGACAAATGGGATCTAATTAAACTAAAGAGCTTCTGCACAGCAAAAGAAACTACCATCAGAGTGAACAGGCAACCTACAGAATGGGAGAAAATTTTCGCAACCTACTCATCTAACAAATCCAGAATCTACAAAGAACTCAAACAAATTTACGAGAAAAAAATCAAACACCCCATCAAAAAGTGGGCGAAGGACATGAACAGACACTTCTCAAAAGAAGACATTTATGCAGCCAAAAAACACATGAAAAAATGCTCATCATCACTGGCCATCAGAGAAATGCAAATCAAAACCACAATGAGATATCATCTCACACCAGTTAGAATGGCAATCATTAAAAAGTCAGGAAACAACAGGTGCTGGAGAGGATGTGGAGAAATAGGAACACTTTCACACTTGGTGGGACTGTAAACTAGTTCAACCATTGTGGAAGTCAGTGTGGCGATTCCTCAGGGATCTAGAACTAGAAATACCATTTGACCCAGCCATCCCATTACTGGGTATATACCCAAAGGACTATAAATCACACTGCTATAAGGACACATGCACCCGTACGTTTATTGCGGCATTATTCACAATAGCAAAGACTTGGAACCAACCCAAATGTCCAACAATGATAGACTGGATTAAGAAAATGTGGCACATATACACCATGGAATACTATGCAGCCGTAAAAAATGATGAGTTCATGTCCTTTGTAGGGACATGGATGAACTTGGAAATCATCATTCTCAGTAAACTATCGCAAGAACAAAAAACCAAACACCGCATATTCTCACTCATAGGTGGGAATTGAACAATGAGATCACATGGACACAGGAAGGGGAACATCACACTCTGGGGACTGTGGTGGGGTGGGGGGAGGGGGGAGGGATAGCATTGGGAGATATACCTAATGCTAGATGACGAGTTAGTGGGTGCAGTGCACCAGCATGGCACATGTATACGTATGTAACCTGCACAATGTGCACATGTACCATAAAACTTAAAGTATAATAAAAAATAAAAAAAAGAAAAAAAAAGAAAATGTGGCACATATACACCGTGGAATACTATGCAGCCATAAAAATGATGAGTTCATGTCCTTTGTAAGGACATGGATGAAGCTGGAAACCATCATTCTCAGCAAACTATGGCAAGGACAAAAAACCAAACACCGCATGTTCTCACTCATAGGTGGGAATTGAACAATGAGAACACATGGACCCAGGAAGGGGAACATCACACACCCGGGACTGTTGTGGGGTGGGGGGAGTGGGGAGGGTTAGCATTAGGAGATATACCTAATGCTAAATGACAAGTTAACGGGTGCAGCACACCAACATGGCACATGTATACATATGTAACAAACCTGCACGCCATGTACATATATTTAGGGTATGTACAAATATTTTTAGAGCATAGGTACATATCCTAAAACTTAAAGTATAATAATAATAATAATATAAGAAATTTAAATGTTTTTTCTGGAAACTATGATAAAATTAAGATAAAATAGCAATAAATGAAATGGAGGGACTCCTTGGAATTTTTATTGCAAATTTCTATAATGAAGAGTGTGTGTATGTGTGAAATCTTTCTTACTAATGAATTAGTAAAATCTTAACATACAAGGCAAGCTAAACAAATATTATCAGCAAATGCAAAAGAAACGCATCCTTATTTTATTCAGGACCAAATATCTAGAGTCTTGCTGCTATCTAATCCACAGATACAAACTTAATCAGTTTCTCGTTAACCGTCACATCTTCATAAAGAGCTGAACTGTAGAACCACTGATAAGGAAACAACAGTAATTAGTCAATCTACATGCAGAGCTATCTTGATGAAAATTGTGGCTTTGATAAATTTATTATAGAATTATTGGGAGAGCATAGTGCTCTGAGCTTCCAAATTATTAATTATTTTAGAAAGATATTTGGCAAATGCATCAAATCATTATATCATTTGAAATAACATCTATCCAAACAAGCTGATATATAATCAAAAATATTTGAGCCAAAAAGTTCACTGAACTCTTTACAAAGGGGAAAAATTAGAAACAACCTACAAATCTCATCAATGGGATAAAAGTTGCTTAAGTTGCCATATGTCTGCTCAAGCGATTACTAACTCACTTTTAAATGAGCTGTCATGCAGGGTTTATAATAAGAGGTAAATGCCAAACACATAAAGTTAAAGGGAAAAATTGGGTACAAAATTTTATGTGTAATATGACTACAAACCAAAATATGCAAAAATAAAACTATATAGAAATAAATTTGAAAAGCAGTATAACAACATACTAACTGGTTTCTGTTGCTTGCATGAATATAAAGGATTTCTCATTTTTTTCTGTATAATTTTGTCCTTTTTCTAAAATTTCCATAACAAACATGTACCATTTTATAAAAGGAAAGATAAACAGTAAAATTTATGTTTTTAAAGATATTTCTGGGATGTTTAAAAGTTTTATTATGAGTTTCAAAGAGCCACTCACTGTCTTTGCATAAAACTGAAATATCGCAGGAAACTGAATTTACCATTTTAATTTTATTTTCTGTTTTCTTATTGGCCAAAAGTGTTCTCCTGCTAACTTTCAGTTTTGGGGGTTGAGGTGAGATTTAAAGAAATAAGTAGTATCTTATATAATGATAAAAAGTTAATGAGTCTCTTCCACTTTGAACAGTGTGAGGGTGTGACCAAGGCCTTCAGAAGCAAGGCTCTCCATCCTCTGCTCTTCACACTCCCAGGCTCATTTCAGTGAAGGAGTTGCTTACAGGTCCCTTGTGTTCTATCTTACTTTTGGGTGGCTGCTTTCCCTAAATATGTCTCCTATGTTATGAGACAGAATAACACTATGGGGATGAGCTCAGCCCTGGGATAGAAAGCCTGGGATTCCAGCCCCAACTCGGTAACTTCCCAGCTCTGTGATTTTGATAGTTCTTTGATAATCCTTTCATAGGATAGTTGATATCCTAACTGCTAAAACAGATAATAATAACAATACCAGTACTCATTCACAGGGTCATTGTGGGGATTAAATGAGGTAATACATATCATATTAAATGTTCAATCAGTGTTAACTATTAATGTATCTCATTTGGGTAAGTCAGTAAGAGCCCTTTTAACTCCCAATTTTAGTTTGCATTTAAAAGCCACTGATACCTCTGAATAAAGGCTCCTTCTTTGGCCTCATGACCTTTATATTTTCATCTTGTTACTTGCTAGTTCTTATTGGCTCTGCTTATTTTGGAAACTCTACCAAATTTTGAAAAAAAAAAAACTGGCTTGCGGCCTTGAAATGATGAGTTTTGATATTTTATACTTGAAAAAGTTAACATTTATTTGCTCATAAAGTGATTATGCTTTTTAATGTATTTCCTCACTGGTAAAATGACAGAGGTAGTGGATATGGGTGCTTGGGTCTCTTCTATAACAGTAGTACTCAAGCTTTAATGTTCGCAGAAATCGCCAGGAGATCCACGTGAAAAATGCAGCTTCTGCTTCCGTAGGGACAGGGTGACGCCTGAGGCGCTGCATTTCTAACAAGCTCCCAAGTAATGCCAGCGATGCTGGTCAGTGGACCACATTTTGAGTAGCAGGGATCTGTGATATTACCTTCAATTCACGTTAACTGGTCAGTTATAATGATCCTCCCCATGGTATAAATATTACCTTAAGCAAGATACTTAACCACTCTCAGCTTCATTTTCCTAAAACGAAAAGTTAAGATAACACTCACCTTCTAAGAATGTTGAAAGGATTCCATGCATCAATAGATGATGCATTTGAAATTTTTGGCAACAATATGAAGCATACTGTGGGTGTTAGTAAATTCTACTTGTCTTTCCTTCTCTATTAGAGACTGAGGTAGAGCCTGTCTTAGCCAATGACCTGCTAAACATCACCTTCATATTATTTGATGGTGTAGATCATTAGATATTTGAAATTAATGGAAGATCTACATAGGACATATTTGAATGATGGAGGACAAGATGATAACAGCTTACATTTGTTGAATAATCACTTTGAATCAGGTTTGTCTGATTCAAGTTCCCTTGGCTCGCTCTCTCTCTTTTTTCTTTCTTTTCTTTTTTTTTTTGTTTTTTTGTTTTTTTTTTCTCAAGTTTTTAAGATAACATCATTTGGAGAAGAAGCCGTCTTCATGATCTTCATGTTTGGGCTCTACTTCAAAGTTATATCTCAGCCCTCAGAAGACATGAAAAAGACTTGTAAGATTTCATCTTGAAACGGCTTTTTAAATCCATCAACAGTAAGAAAAAAATGTAGATGTAGGTGGTTTATAAATGCCCTTTTAGGCTTGATCGATTGTTTGTAGCTATAACAAGCTACCTTAACAGTCAAAAACAAAATCTGGAGGAAAAGAAAATGCCTCCAATAAGAAACGCTGATGCAGCCTCCTGAGCTTGTGGTGTCTGTGGAAAATAAGAAATGATTAACTTCCTTTTGTGAGTATAATATTACCCACTTCATAATGATGGTATAAGGATTAAATGAGATAATCCTAGCTTTTTTTGTTACTATAAAAATAAAGATAGTCTTTTTATGTAAATTAGCTAGGGTAGGACTTGTTTCTCTGTTAAGATATGTTTGTTATAGTCTGTTTTAAAAGCACTGTGCACGAGCAGTGATACGATGGAATTAAAGAGAGATTTGCCTATGGGCTTTTCCCTTTATGTTACATAAGGAAAACTTGAATTTCACGTTTCCAGCCACATAGTGATGACTTTGGCATAAAGAGTTCACCAGGTAGGAGGTGGCCCCTTGTGCTGAGAGCCAGCATTCTCATGGAAAATTAAAAACAACTTTATTTTTAGCCATGAAAGTGCAATCATTCTTGTGCTCAAATATGCTTTACATTACCTAAAAAAAAGTTTATTGGCACTGAGTCTGTTGTGTAACTGAGGAAACCATTGTGTGCTATCAAAACACACTAATGTAAAAACCAATCCAGTGAGCAACAGAGTGATGGAAGAAACAGGTAGCAGGGCCGAGAAAAACTCTTCCGGAGGTTGTAGAGGAAACTAAAGCAGGAGAAAAACTGCCTAGTGCTGAAAGGTTAGAATAAAGACTTTATTTAGTCACTTGGGAAAAGGAATTCAAAGTCAGAAAAATGATTACATTAACAGTGAGTGCAATATTTGGCCTGTTTGGATGCAAATTTTTCTTTCCTATTTGAAATGGCCAAGTGTCTTTGAGATGTCATATTTTTGTTCTCTACAGTGCCTTTCTTGGGGGAAAGTCCTAAATTCCTAAACTTAGAGAGTGGAGGAAATGCTCAGGGTGATTCTTGGAGGGAGGGTAGAAGTAAGCATTTTGAAAGTAGGTTAACTATAACTAAACTTTGATTAAGGCATCAAAGGAAAACAGGTTGGAATTGACTAATCGTGGATCTCTTGATATCCACAATTATTAACTTGATCTCCTGGATCGCTGGGCTCATGTTTGCAGCTCTCAAGGTTGTCTTTTACTCTTAATACAAAAGCATTACCAGCAAACTTTATAGTAATTAAATTAAGATAATCAATACTAAGGCAACTCTGGACAGCTTAGGGGCAGGAAAGCCTTGGCATATAAGCCTGAAATATTTTCCTCTTCCTGGTGTAAGGGTAGACTGTAATGACCTAGCTTATTTCCCTTGTGAACACCACTCTGCGAAACTAGCATCTCAGGACAAGCACTGCCCTCATGCAAACAGCTACCTCCAAGATGAGATGCTCCCGGAGGTCTCTCTGACCTTCTCCTTGTTTCTGTGAGAAGACTCCACCTTGTTTCTCTCCTTCCAGGAACCAGGTTGTTTTCTCATTCATCCTCAATATGTTTTATTAACCATATGCTTTGCTGCCTCCAGGCAACGTACAGGCAATGCAGAGAAGAGGAAATCCAAAATCCCATTAGTGGGCAGGGAAATGCAAGAAAATAAACCCAACGAAATTCGAAAGAACAAAATATAAGCTAGAAACTGAAATTAATGAAAAACATTTTCCCTCCCCAGAAATGAGTTAATCAGCAAAACCAAAACTTGTTCTTTGAAATGACTCATAAAACAGATAAACCCTAGGCAAATAGGATCAAGAAGGATAAGAAACAAATAACATTAAAAACCAAAAAATCCTGACACGTGGATAAGTATGATGTTTGAAAATTTCAAGAAGATGTTAATACTATGGAAAACTTTATAATAACAAATTTGAAAATATAGTTGAAACAGACATTTTTCCCCTGGGAAATATAAAAGCAAAATTGGCCCAAATTCCCACACATGTAGAGCCTAGAATTAACCACTGTATTTATAATTCCAATTCTTCTCCTCTAGATCTTATCCTATCTTCTGCAAAACTCTACCAAACACTTTTCCTGGGTGGGTTCCTCCAGTTGTATCTACATTTTTCTCATTGTGCTATTGTTTGTATAAACAGGGCATGATTAAGGTGACTGGGGGAGGAGGGTGCCTGAGTGATTCAGTGGCATTTGGCCCCTCCATACCATTCCATCAAACTCCTCATCCACTCTTCAAGTTCCAGCAATGGGCACATTTCACAGTTTATCTCCCCATTGTCTGTTTCTCCCCAAGGTGTCAGTGATCGGTACATCGTCCCCTGAATTCTCAGAGTTCACAGATTTCAATTTCTTCTATATCTATTCATTAACACTAATATATTTTTCGCCTCTAAAATAAGGTCCTTTGCTGCAGATCAAGACTTCCAACTTGCCCTATACCTATATAGAAAAATGGCTGGAAGGATATACAGCAAAATGCTAAAAGAAGGTACCATAGGAATATAGTTGTTTATTTTTATCTTTGTAGTTTTCAGTGCTTTTCAGATTTCTATCTTGAGTCCCTTTTGTAGAGGAGGCCACTCTTATGTTTGCTGTGCATCCAAATATACTGTTACTTTACTTTGAATTGAAATCAATCTCTAGATAGATAGACAGATAGATAGATAGATAGATATAGATGATAGAGAGATAGATAGATGATAGATATATAGATAGATAGATGATAGATCGATAGATGATAGATAGATAGAAGATAGATAGATAGATAGATATAGATAGATATGTATGTAAAACATATATGAACATGTAGAGAGATATACAACTATACAAAGATCTATATTTTGGATGTGGGTTGATTTTATACCCAATTTTTTTTATCTATACTTCTTTTTCTTGGAATTGTTATTTTTTGCAGTGAACAATATGTTTCACAGACCTTTCCACATTGGTACATGTAGGCTTATCTGCATCTTTTGCAAGTACTACATAGTCCAGATTTACCATGGTGCACTTATCCCAGTTTTGATGTTCATTTCCAGTTTTACCTGTAACTAACACTGCTGCAGTTAACATGCTTGTACTTTCATACAGGGCACATGCAAGTGCATCCTTAAGGTAGAAACAGAAATGAATTGCTGAGTCAGAGGAGACATATTTTTCACTCTAATAGACACTGCCAAAACTGTACTGTAGAATAGCTGCAAAAATTTATACTTACAAAAACAGTGTATATTTATCACAGCACAATTCACAATTGCAAAGATATGGAATCAACCTAAGTGCCCAGCAACCAATGAGTGGATAAAGAAAATACAGAATATACGTATACCATGGAATACTACTAAGCTGTAAAAAAAGAGTATTAATTTCTTTGCAACATCATCAATATTTGATATGATAAAAGTTTGTTACTCTGATGAGTGAAAATTACCTTTCTTTTTTTTAACTTACATTCCTTTGTTATTGAAGTTGAATATCTTTTTACCTATTTATTAGTCATTTGTATTTCATTTTGTACAAATAGGACTATTTGTTCATTGTGATACTAGCAACCGTATCACAGAAGAGGTGTACACTCCCTGCGATATTGGGAGTGATATCATTCTCTTCTTTTGTGAATATTAGGAGCAATATCACCGGGTGGCTGGACACCCCCTGCTCTATTGGGAGTAACGTCATACCCTGAACCATGGATATTAGAATCAGTATCACAGGGTGGGTGTACACCTACTGCGATATTGAAACTAATATCATGCTCTCCCTCCCTATGAGGAACAATATCACAGTGTAGACCCCGTGCAGTATTAGAAGTGATAATAGTGATAATGTCACTATTCATCAGTCATTATTATTATTATTAATAGTAACTGATAGGGATTTCTAACATAATGGTATTATTAATTATTTATAGTAATAGATGTTATTAATCAACATCAATTGCTACGGTTTTATTTACTATTGCTATTATCGATATTATTAATATTAATCGTTATTATCAATATTAATAATTAACATTATTTTCATTGTAAGCACTTTAGTTACTAATAGTAATTATTGATATTAATTAGCATCATTTTATTAACATTAATAATTGATATTATTAATATTAATAAATATTATTGTTCCTGATATCGGTGGGGAGACGATGCTATAACTCCCAGTATCACAGAAGGCATACACCACCTGTGTTGTTCCTAATAGCCAGCGGGTAGAGGATGACATTACTCCAAATATCGCCGTGGGTATACATCCCTTCTGTGATATTGTTCCTGATAATCCAGGGGGGGAGAGGATGATATTACTTCCAATATTGCAGGGGGAGTAGACCCCTCCTGTGATATTGTCTCTAATATCCAAAGGTGGAGAGGATGATATTTCCCCCAAATTCACAGGAGGTGTACACCACCCCTGTGATATTGTTCCTAATATCCAGGGGGTGAGAGGATGATATTAGTCTCAGTATCACAGGAGGTGTACACTCCTTAGTGATATTGTTCCTAATATCCAGGGACGGAGAGGATGATATTACTCCCAATATACCAGGGGGTGTACATCCCTTCTGTGACATTGTTCCTAATAGCCAGCGGTGGAGAGGAAGATATTACTCCCAATATCGCAGAGGTATACACGCCGCCCCACCCCCGTTATATTGTTCTGAATATCCGGAGTGGGAGAGAATGATATTACTCCCAATATCTCAGGGGGTGTACATCTTCCTGTGGTATTGTTTCTTATATTCGAGGGGAAAAGATGGCATTACTCCTAATATTGCAAGGGTTGCACACACCTCCTGTGATATTATTCCTAATATCCAGAAGGAGAGAGCATAATATTACTCACAATATCGCAGAGGGTGTACACCTCCCCTGTGATATTGCTCTTAATATCCATGATAGGAGAGGATGATATTCCTCCCAATATCGCAAGAAGTGTACAGCCTCCTGTGATATAGTTCCTAATATCTAGGTGGGGAGAGGATGATATTACTGCCAATATCGCACAAGTGGTAAAACCCTTTCGAAGTTTTTCCTACAATCCGGGGGAAGAGGATGATATTACTCCCAACATGGAAGAAGGTGTACACCCCCCCGTGACGTTGTTCCCAATATCCACGTTGGCAGACGATGATATTATGCCCAATATCGCAGGGGATGTACACCCACCTTGGGATATTGTTCCTAATATCGAGAGGGGGAGAGGATGATATTACTCCCAATATCGCAGGGGCTGTACACCCACCCAGTGATACTGTTCTTAATGTCCAGAAGGGAAGGGATGTTATTACTCCAGATATCGAAGAGGTTGTACTCTCCCCCTGGGATATTGTGCCTTATATCCAAAGGTAGAGAGGATGATATTACTCCCAATATCGCAGGGGGTTATACACCCCTCTTGTGATACTGTTCTTAAGATTTGGGGGGGAGACAATGATATTACTGTCCATATCACAGGGGTGGACAACACCCCTGTGAGATTGTTTTTAATATTCAGTGGGGGAGAGGATGGTATTAATTTCAATATAACAGGAGACACAGCCCCTGCGATATTGTTCCTAATATCCAGGGGAAGAGAAATGATATGACTCACAATATGGCAGAGGGTGTACACCCCCTCCATAACAGTCTTCCTAATATCCCAGGGGGATTAGAATGATATTACTCCCAATATCACAGGGGGTGTACACGACCCCTTTGATATTGTTTCTAATATCCAGGGAGGGAGAGGATATTGCTCCCAATATCTCAGGGGGTGTACACCCCCCCCACCAACATTGTTCCTCATATTTAGTTGGGGAGAGGATGATAATACTCTCAATATCTCAGAAGGTGTACACCCTTCTTGGGATATTGTTTTGTAATATCAGGTGGGGGAGAGAATGATGTTACTACCAATATCGCAGGGTGTGTACACCCCCCTGTTATTTTGTTTTGAATATCCAGGTTGGGAGAGGATGATATTACTGCCAATATCGCAGGAGTTGTACACCCCACCTGTGATATTATTCCTAATATCCAGAAGAAAAGAGAATGATATTACTCCCAATAGCGCAGGAGGTGTACACACCCCTGTGATATTGTTCCTAATATCCAGCAGGGGAGACGATGATATTGCTGGCCATATTGCGGGGGGTGTACACCACCTCGGTGATATTGTTTTTAATATCCAGGGGGAAGAGGATGACATTACACCCAGTATCGGAGTGCGTGTACACCAACTCTGTGGTATTGTTCTTAAAATCCATGGAGGGAGAGGATGAAATTACTGCCAATATCGCAAGGGGTGGACACCCTTTCTTGGATATTGTTCCTAATATCCGCGGGGAGAGCATGATATTAATCCCAATATCGCTGTATACACCCCTTTTTGATATTGTTCCTAATATCCCTTGGGGGAGGGGAGTCTCTATTACTGGCAATATCACAGGGTGTGTACACCGCCCCTGTGATATTGTTCCTAAAAACTAGTGAGGGAGCACATGATATTACTTCTGCTATCGCAACGGCTGTGCACCCCAGTGATATTGCTCATAATTTCTAGTGGGAACAGTAGGATGTTACTCCCAATAGAGCAGTGGATGTACACCCACTCTGTGATATGTCTCCGAATATTCAGGGAATCACAGGATGATATTACTCAAAATATCGCAAAAAGTGTTTTATGATATTGTTCCTAATATCCGGAGGGGGAGAGGATGACATTACTTTCAACATCGCAGGCTGTGTACACACACTCGGTGAAACTATTCCTAATATCCAGCATGGGAAAGGATGATATTACTCCCCATATAGAAGGATGGTGGACAGTACTTACGAGGCGGGGAGTAATATCACCCCCCTCTCCCCCCCTGGATAGTACGAACAGGCAGGAGAAGGAAATAAAGGGTATTCAATTAGGAAAAGAGGAAGTCAAATTGTCCCTGTTTGCAGATGACATGATTGTATACCTAGAAAACCCCATCGTCTCAGCCCAAAATCTCCTTAAGCTGATAAGCAACTTCAGCAAAGTCTCAGGATACAAAATCAATGTGCAAAAATCACAAGCATTCTTATACACCAATAACAGACAGAGAGCCAAATCATGAGTGAACTCCCATTCACAATTGCTTCAAAGAGAATAAAATACCTAGGAATCCAACTTACAAGGGATGTGAAGGACCTCTTCAAGGAGAACTACAAACCACTGCTCAATGAAATAAAAGAGGATACAAACAAATGGAAGAACGTTCCATGCTCATAGGTAGGAAGAATCAATATCATGAAAATGGCCATACTGCCCAAGGTAATTTATAGATTCAATGCCATCCCCATCAAGCTACCAATGACTTTCTTCACAGAATTGGAAAAAACTACTTTAAAGTTCATATGGAAACAAAAATGTTAGACTTAAATGTTAGACCTAAAACCATAAAAACCCTAGAAGAAAACCTAGGCAATACCATTCAGGACATAGGCATGGGCAAGGACTTCATGTCCAAAACACCAAAAGCAATGGCAACAAAAGCCAAAATTGACAAATGGGATCTAATTAAACTAAAGAGCTTCTGCACAGCAAAAGAAACTATCATCAGAGTGAACAGGCAACCTACAGAATGGGAGAAAATTTTTGCCATCTACTCATCTGACAAAGGGCTAATATCCAGAATCTACAATGAATTCAATAAAATTTACAAGAAAAAAACAAACAACCCCATCAAAAAGTGGGCAAAGGATATGAACAGACACTTCTCAAAAGAAGACATTTATGCAGCCAACAGACACATGAAAAAATGCTCATCATGACTGGCCATCAGAGAAATGCAAATCAAAACCACAATGAGATATCATCTGACACCAGTTAGAATGGCGATCATTAAAAAGTCAGGAAACAACAGGTGCTGGAGAGGATGTGGAGAAATAGGAACACTTTTACACTGTTGGTGGGACTGTAAACTAGTTCAACCATTGTGGAAGTCAGTGTGGCGATTCCTCAGGGATCTAGAACTAGAAATACCATTTGACCCAGCCATCCCATTACTGGGTATGTACCCAAAGGATTATAAATCATGCTGCTATAAAGACACATGCACACATATGTTTATTGTGGCACTATTCACAATAGCAAAGACTTGGAGCCAACCCAAATGTCCAACAATGATAGACTGGATTAAGAAAAATGTGGCACATATACACCATGGAATACTATGCAGCCATAAAAAATGATGAGTTCATGTCCTTTGTAAGGACATGAATGAAGCTGGAAACCATGATTCTCAGCAAACTATTGCAAGCACAAAAAACCAAACACCGCATGTTCTCACTCATAAGTGGGAATTGAACAATGAGAATACATGGAAACAGGAAGGGGAACATCACACACCGGGGCCTGTTGTGGGGTGGGGGTAGGGGGGAGGGATAGCATTAGGAGATATACCTAATGCTAAATGACGATTTAATGGGTGCAGCACACCAACATGGCACATGTATACATATGTAACAAACCTGCACGTTGTGCACATGTACCCTAAAACTTAAAGTATAATAATAAAAATAAAGTAAAATAAAGCAAAAAAATTATAAATATTAATAAATTATTATTTTCAATTGCAATAAAATACACATAACATTTACCATTTTAACCATTTTTAAGTATACAGTTCAGTGGTATTAAGTACATTCTACATTGCTGTGCACCAATAACCACCATCCATCTCCAGAAACCTTTTCATTTTGCAAAACTGAAACTTTGTGCCCACTATACAATAACTCCCCATTCCCTCCGCCTCCCAGCCTTTGTCAACCACCATTCTACTTTCTGTCTCTATGACTCTGACTACTCTAGATACCTTACAGAAGTGGAATATACAGAAGTGGAATAGTATTTCTCTCTTTGTGAATGACTTATTTCACTCAACACAATGGCCTCGAGGTTCATCCATGTTGTAGCATGTGTCAGAATTTCCTTCCTTTTTAAAAATATCGAATAGTACTCCATTGTATTATTCATACCACAGTTTTTTGATCAGTTCATCCATTGGTGGACATTTGGGTTGCTCCCACTGTTTGTCTATTGTGAATAATCTGCTATGAACACTTGCCTTATAAAAAAATTCCTTATCTTGGCTCTCCTTTCTCTCTTTTCCCCTTGATCCAGCTCACAACAGTCTTTGCAAGGAGACTTCTTAAAATCTATTTATCTTATTTTTCTTCTTTAACAGTATCAGATTATATCTTTATTAATATTCAATTTTAATTCTCTTTTGACTTTTTATCTTTTTATTAATTTTTTGTATTCTTAGTTTTTTGCATTGACCTTTGCAGTTTAATAATTCAAATGTCTAAGGCAATCTCTTTCCCTTGGAGGCTATAACCACATCCCATATGCTTTACTGTGTTAAGATATTTTATGACTTTTTAAATTTTTATTTGATTCAATTATTATTTCAAAATTTATTTCTTATTAATTATCTCTAACAGTGCCAGTGAGTGAACACATTTCCACTAACACGTATTGGCCAGCATTAGATGGTCTTACCCAAGTGTAACCCTATCATGTAACCAGAAGAACAACAAAACCAGTCCCTGTGCCAAAAATGTTGAGGACAGCTGTACTGTACTATTTGGTGTGGCATTGTTTACCTGCTTTTTTCTGAAGGGGGAGGGTTAAGACTGCAATTCATAAATTGTGCCCTTTATCATTACATGATATTCCCCTTTGATATGATTTCAACAGAGCTTGAAATTTGTTTCTATTTCCCCTGGTGTCTCTTTTCCACTCCTTTGTTTTCAAGTTTTCTTTGTAATTTTGTGTTAAGTGTGTTTCTTAAAAACAACATATAGGTGTATTTTTAAAAATCACAATCTATATGTTTTTTTCCTTTGAACTTTCATTTTAGTCTCAAGGAGTACATGTACAGGTTTGTTGCATAAGTACGTTGTGTGTCACTGGGGTTTGGTGTACAAATTATTTCATCACCCAGGTAGTGAGCATAGCTCCTAATATGAAGTTTTTCAATCCTCATCCTCTTCCCATTCTCCACCCTCAAGTAGGTCCCAGTGTCTATTCCCTTCTTTGTGTCCACGTGTACTCAATGTTTAGCTCCCACTTATAAGTGAGAACATGCAGTATTTGTTTTTTTTTTATTCCTGTGTCAATTCACTTAAGATAATGGCCTCTAGCTGCATCTATATTGCTGCAAAGGCTATCATTTTATTCTTTTTTATGGCTGCATAGTATTCCCTGGTGTATATGTATCACATTTTCTTTATCCAGTCCACCACTGATGGGTATCTAAGTTTATTCCATGTCTTTGTTATTGTGAATAGTGCTGCAGTGAACATACATGTGCATGTGTCTTTACGGTAGAACAATTTATATTCTTTTGGGTATATTCTCAGTAATGGGATTGCTGGGTCAAATGCTAGACCTGTTTTAAGTTCTTTGAGAAATCTTCCAACTGCTTTCAACAGTGGCTGAACTAATTTACGTTCCTACCAGCAGTGTATAAGGATTCCCTTTTCTCTGCAACCTCACCAGCATGTGTTATTTTTTGTTTTTACCTTTTAGGAATAGCCCATTATGACTGGTGTGAGACGGTATCTCATTGGGGTTTTGATTTGCATTTCTCTAATGATTAGTGATGTTGAGCATTTTTTCATATGCTTCTTGGCTGCATATGTGTCTTCTCTTTTGAGAAGTATCTGTTCATGCCTTTTGCCCATTTTTTAATGGGGTTGTTTGTTATTTGCTTGGTGATTTATTTAAGTTCCTTATAGATTCTGGATATTAGACCTTTGCCAGACACACAGGTTTGCAAATATTTGTTCCCATTTTGTAGGTTCTCTCTTGACTCTGTTGATAGTTTTTTTTTTGCTGTGCAGAAACTCTTTAGTTTAATTATTTTTTTTGTTTAATTTTTAATTTTTTTTGTTTAATTACTTTTATTTTTGTCACAATTGCTTTTGGAATGTTTGTCATGAAATCTTTGCCAGGGTCTGTGTCAAAAATGGTCTTTCCTAGGTTTTCTTCTGGGGTTTTTATGGAACCAAAAAAGAGCCCAAAGAGCCAAAGCAACCCTAAGCAAAAACAGCAAAGCCAGAGACATCACACTACCTGACTTCAAACTATACTGCAAGGCTACAGTAACCAAAACAGAATGGTACTGGTACAAACACAGATACACAGACCTACGGAACAGGTTAGAGAACCCATAAATAAAGCCACGCACCTACAACCATCTGATCTTTGACAAAAGGCAATAATAACAAGCCATGGAAAAAGGACTTCCTATTTAGTAAATGGTGCTGCGATAACAGGCTAGTCATATGTGGAACACTGAAACTGGACTCCTACCTTTCATCATATACAAAAATTAACTCAAGATGGATTAAAGACTTAAATGTAAAACCTAAAACTATTATATATTTTTAATGAAAGAATTCAACTTGTTCATATGTAATGCAAGAACTGAGCCATTCAATTTTATTCCTTCCATCTTCCTTTATGTTTGTTACTCATTGTGCATAAACACGTTCTTTTTTTCTTTTACTTATAATTGTGGGTTTGATCACATAATTATTCATTCCATTTTTTTTTTTGCCTTTCTAATTGGAATGCATACTCTATTTTCAATTCTACTGTGACCTTTTTTCCTAAGCTTTCATGATCATACACATATGACTCTACTATTAAAGCTGAAGTTATAAACTGTTTAGAAATAATGGCACTGTATTCATGAGTTGTAGACAAAATGGTATTCGTAGATTTTTCCATGCTCAATGTTTGTTGAGCAACTACAATGTGCCAGAGACTGCTGAGGTGCTAGAGAGACTTCAGTGGACAAATAAGATCAAGTCCTGCCCAGCAACTGTTCCAACTGAATAAATGGTAGTGCCATTCACTGAGACACTGGGGAAACTCATCGGCAGGTAAATAATATTTAAAGCTTGGAAATGAATAGTGGTAATAATAGCTAATATGTATAGAAAGCTGAACTATGTTCCAGGAATTGTTCTAGGGTTTTTGCATAAATTAATTCATCCTCACAATAGTTCTTTGAAGAAGGTACTGTTACTATTTCTTCAGAAAACAGAGGCACAGACATTTTTAAGTTTGCCATAGTCACACAGCTATTAAGTAGCAGAATTGAAACGAGGCTCTAAGTACGTTAAATCCAGATCCCACATCCACAACCATTATTCACTGATTTCTGGATGAGATTACCTGGAGGGTCTGTGAGGATAAGGAAAAGAGCAAACATAACCCTGGAAAACAGCAACATTCAGAGTTCGGAAGAAGTGAAGGAGCAAACCATGGAGGCTAAAAAGAAGTATCTGGTGAGTAGGAGGACAATAAGGAGACTAGTATATCTGGGAAGGTAGTTGAAGTTAATATATCAAGAAGCTGAGATAAAGTCAGACGTCTAAGGCAATATAAAGAAATGAAAATCCCAGTTGACTTAATCAATAAAATCAGTGTTTTTTTTAGAGACAAAATACACAAAATTCTAGTAAAACTGAGTTTTTTTCTTCCCAACTTTTATTTTAGGTTCATGGGTAAGTGTGCAGGTTTGCTACATGGGTAAATTGCATGTCATGGGTGTTTGTTGTACACATACTTTTGTCATCCAGGGAATTAGTATAACACCTCATAGGTAGTTTTTCAATCCTCACCCTCCTCCCACCCTCCACCTTCCAGTAGGCCCCAGTGTCTATTTTTCCCTTCTTTGTATCCATGTGTACTCAATGTTTAGCTCCCACTTGTAAGTGAGAACGTGCAGTGTTTGGTTTTGTGTTCGTGTGTTAATTAAAAGCTGATGTTTTAAAGCTAGAGAAGGTACAAGTGTGCAACATTAAGAATAAAGAAGATTACACATATACAGATACAAAGGATATTTAAATATGAGAGTATCGTGTTCACACTTATGAAATACACTTGAAAGCATGGGTGAATTAATTCTCGAGAATAGGTTAATCACCAACATTGACTCAGGAAGAAGTGGAAAATGTAAACAAACCCAAAACAATACAAAAGATTGAAAAGCTACAAAAGGATCTACTCAGATTATTTTATAGAATAAATTTACCAGATCTTCAAGGAAGAGAACATTTCAATATTAAGAAACTGCTCTAGAGCATAGAGAAACATGAAAAACTTCCCAATGTATTATACCAAGTCAGCATACCTAGATACTCAAAACTGAAGATAGAAGCAAAAAATGAAAACAAAATAACAAAAGTATAGATATCTTACTTCTGAAAACAGGTGCAAATATCACAGATAATAAAATACTCATTAGTGTTTGCATCCAGTTAAGTATTACAATGAATATTACTTCACAATTAAGCTTGGTTTAGTCTAGGAAGCCAAACGAGTTTCAACATTAGGACACATACTGAAGATCTTTACTACATTAATGGGTTAAAAGAGAAAAATTATACTTCCATTCTCAAAAGATAAGGAAGAAAAATATTTGAACCTGTTTCTTTGGGGGGAAAAAACTAGTAAGTTAGATATAAAAGAAAACTTCAATAATCTAATAAGCAATATTGTAAAAAATTAGGTTTTAGCTATAAGTATTAGAAAGTTCCTGCTCATTGGCCTTAAATGATAAAAAAGAGGAGTCTTGAGTGCTTCCCAGGATAGTTAATCAAAGTAGCTCAAAATCACCAAGGGGCCAGGAGCAGTGGCTCACTTCTATAATTCTAGCACTTTGGGAGGTCAAGGTGGGCGGATCACCTGAGGTCAGGGGTTCGAGACCAGCCTGGCCAACATGGAGGAACCGTCTCTATTAAAAATACAAAAATTAGCCAGGCATGATGGTGGGCACTTGTAATCCCAGCTACTCGGGAGGCTGAGGCAGGAGAATCGCTTGAACCCAGGAAGTAAAGGTTGCAGTGAGCCGAGATCACACCACTGCACTCCAACCTGGGTGACAGAGTGAGACTCCATCTCAAAAAAAAAAAAAAAAAAAATCACCAAGGTTATAGTTTCTCTCCATATTTTTACTCTGACATCCTCATTATATTAACATATATGCTATATATATATATATATTAACATATAACATATGTGTTAATATATGCTATATATATATATATATAGCATATATTAGTCTATTAGCATTTTACTCACTAGTTCACAGTCATAACATTACTCTGCAAAAATAACGTGTCTTGGAAGGAGGATTATTTTTTCTCACAGTCCCGTTTTAAAACAGGGAACTTCATCTAGAAAACGTTTGTCTCGTTATCCACAATTTCGTCATAATCTCAGTCTTGGACAAATCACTGGTAATGAGAGTGAAATTACCATTATTTACCGAGAGGAAACATATGGAAGAGCATGGGTTACTCAAATAAAATCAGAGTTTTAATAAAAGGAAATAAAGATGTCAGTTAGGGAGCCAGTAGTGTCTGTTAAAGATCTCTACCAGAAGCCTGAAATAAAAATTATATTTAAAACACAACTAAATGGTGGGAAATTAGAAGCATCCCTCCTAAAGTTAAGAACAAGATAAGACTGCGAATATCATTAGTATTTAACATTGTATTAAAGATCTAGCAATTCATTCAATATTGTGTGAGTGCCTACTGTGTACTATGTACTGTATTAGATATAGGAAATACAATAGTAAGCACCTTAGAATCTGCTGTCTAACAGAAAAGAAAGACAAAATTAGGTGAACACAAAATAACTGCAAGCTATTTTAAAGGTTGTGTTGAAAACAAACAGAAGGCTGAGATAGAGAAGTGAGGGGGACTTTCTTTAGATAGTTATATGGTTTGGCTCTGTGTCTCCACCCAAATCTCATCTCGAATTGTAATCTCCATGTGTCAAGGGAAGGACCTGTAATCCCCACATGTCAAGGGAGGGAGCTGATTTGATCATGGGGGCGGTTTCCCCCATGCTGTTCTCATGACATTGAGTGAGTTCTCATGAGATATGGTGGTCTTGAAAGTGTTTGGAAGTTCCTCCTCGACTCTTCCTTCTCCTGCCACCTTGTGAGGAAGGTTCTTGCTTCCCCTTCGCCTTCTGCCATGATTGCAAGTTTCCCGAGCCCTCCGCAGCCATGTGGAACTGTGAGTTAATTAAACCTCTTTCCTTTATACATTACCCAGTCTCAGGTATTTCCATATAGCAGTGTGAAAACGGACTAATACAGATCAGAAGATCAGAAAGTCTTCTTTGAGAAATATTTAAGCCTAGAATTAGACCTAAGAATTACGAGGATCTGGCTATAGGAAGAGTAAAGCAAAGGGCATTCCAGGTATAGGAAAATGCACAAGCAAAGGCCCAGAGGCCAGAAAGAATTGCAGTATTAAAATTTAAAGATTCATGTGACTAGAGCATGGAGAGCAAAAAAAATCAGTGAAATTGATAAAGATGAGAAGGTGTAGGTCGTAAAGAGCCTGTATGTCTTTGGATTCTAAATTTATTAGAGAGTTATTGACAGACTAAGTAGAAGAATGACATAACATTATTCCCAATTTAGGAATGTCACCTCTATTCTTTGGAGACTGGATTGAGAAACCCAAAGTAGACATGGGGATGCCATTTTAGAGGCAGTTCAAAGTCATCCTGATGAGAGATGATGGCCGCTGTTAGGGACTGAATTGTTTTTTCTTAAAATTCATATATTGAAGTTCTAACCCCCAGAACCTCAGAATATAACCTTATTTGGAGATAGGGTCTTTTTACAGAGGTAATAAAGTTAAAATGAGGTCATCAGGATGGGTCCTAATTATCCTTATAAGGAGAGGAAATATGGAGATGTACACATACAGTGAGAAGACAAAGTGAAGACAAAGGAGAAGAGAGCCACATACAAGCCAAGAAGAGAGACCTGGTAAAGGTCCTTCTGCCCAGCCCTCAAAGGAAACCAACCCTGCTGAATCCTTGATCTTGAGCTTCTAGCCTCCAGAACTGTGAAAACATATATTTCTGTCCTTAAAGCCACCCAGCCTATTTCCTTTGTCATGGAGGCCCCAGGAAAACAGTACAGTGGCCTAGACCAAGAAGGGGGCAGTAAAGATGCTGAAAAGTAGCTAAGCCCACATGCCTTTGGATACAGAATGACAGATGTCCTGATGGATTATCCAATGGTAATCATACAATGAAATAAGAGGTGTCAGCATTGGAAAGGAAGAAACAAACTGTCACTACTTGCAGGTGACACCACTATTGGTCTAGAGTCTACCCAAGAACTGTAAAGTGGCTGTATATAAGATCACAATTATTGTAATTACTTATGTTTGGACTCTCTTTAGCCATCTCATTTAATGTTTTCTGTTAACATTAAATGTTAACCAATTGGAAGACCCAGGAGCAACATCAGAACTGTCTTTAAAGATCTAAGGGGCCACCATGGAGATTAGGAATTTGACTTGCTTTGTGAGCCTTCAGAAATGAACAGAAGAACTGGTGGAAACAACAGTGAGGCTCAAAACAAAACAACAACAATAACAAAAAAAAGCTGTAGCAATGAAACAGTGAAAACTGATTAACCAAAGGGCATCTTTGGTAATGAGCCTCCTGCCCCTGAAAATACTTAACCAAATGCTGACAGACAAGAGTGATATGGCTTTTTAAAAGGAAAGGAAATCTTCTTTGGAAGGAAATGCAGATTAAATGACCTCTGAGGTTCCTTCCAGTTCTGATTCAGTGATTCCAGGAAATGCACTGATTTGTTATTGTGACTTGGTAGCTTATATAATACCTTGTGGATTTTAAATGCTGATGCAGGAAAACCTACCCTGGCCCTGGCTATTTGCTCTGTATTAATGAATGTAGTGTAACTACAACTTACTTAAGGCACTCCCTGATTACTGAATCCACCAGATCCAGTTGTTTGCTTTGGTCATTCTCTTGTATTTGGTTGTAAGCCAAACACACAGATCACCACACCTTATTCTGGGTCAACTAATAGAGAAGCTAAATATCCTTGGAATCATTACAAACATTTATCAAACGCTTAGTTTCTGGTCAGCAAAATTTCCCACATATGTTTCCATTTTCTATTTAGACTCAAGTTACTCTATAGCCATTTTGTTCCCAGATTTCATTGCAGAAGAAAGCAGTCCCAAACAGCACGTGAAATTCCTCTACACGTAGCCTTCTGTAAAGATTTGGTATGTGCTGTGGTTCATGAGCTAGTCAACATTTGTAAAACCCTTCGAGACTTCTCTTGTGGTATTTCTTGCCAGGAAATTGCTTGATCGATAGATACCTAATGTTTGTGATTAGCAAGAATAAGCTTTCTTAAAGTTGTGTGTTTGTGTGTGTGTGTGTGTGTGTTTTTTCAGTTGGGGTTAGGTTTTTTCAGTTTCAAGATATTTACAAAGCATTCTTTACGTTGCCCATAAAAATGCAAAATAAAGTTTCCCTGACATTCTGTACAAGCTTGTAAAAGAAATGTTGCAGCCACATGAACAGCCTGCAACTCCATTCTGCAATTACAGTTTGCAATAACTCTGGAAGTCCTGGGCCAAGAAAGGATTATGAGCTGATCTGCAATGCTCTGACACTTCAGCAGTGGAAAAGCAGTTGTCCAAGTGCCAATTTGCAAAATCCCAACCCAGCTCAAGCCAGACAGGGGAAACAGATTTCAGTGGCCATATGCGCAATTATTATTCATCCCCATGATGACTGAATAAAGAAACGTTTTGGCCTGACTGGACCCCAATGTGCCCAAGCCAGGGCAAGCTGATTACACTTAACCCCCACACAGATGCTTGTTCCACCTGCCCCCAGAATCCAGATCCAGATCTACCCCCAGGGAAAGGGGCACTATTAGAAGGTCTTAGGCCATGATCACAAGGTAAACATGACACCTAAACGTGTGTGACTGAAATAGAGAAACATGGCCATTTCCATTGATGACATGTCCTTAGCTTACTTCCTCCTTAACCCTTCTACCTGAAACTCTTGCTTTTTATCTGACCATGGTTACCCCTGTCTCCCTAAACTTGCAATCCTGCTCTTCTATGGCAGAAATGCGTAGAACCATTGACACCTAGTTCTTCTGTTAAGGCAGAAAACTATCTGTTTTCAGTGAGAAGAATCATGAGAAGAGTCTCATTGATTTCATACAAATTGTTTAAAAGAAAAACAACACAAAGCAAGGAGCTGAATTGAGGGAGTTACGTTTACTCCTTCTAAAAAATCTGGCTGAACATCAGGTCTTTCCTGCTTTTCTCCTTGTCTGATCTTGGGTTCAGAGGCTAATAAAGCACCATAATTCCTCAGTTATCATAGCTGTTCATTCCTGATGACTTTATCACATACACAAATTGCCACAGATCCCCACAAGAATCCTCAAGCATGTCATATAACCATGAAAACATCCCTGATTCTGTTCCTGCCAATCCACATTTCAAAGTGGACATTCGACAAAGCAAATTATGGGCAAGAAATGGCTCCAATAATAACCACAGCTGTGTAGTCATATGCAAATGACACATGATCCAAATTTGCAAAACCCAGAATCCCTGATTTGAAGGAAAAAAAATCAAGGCACACTAACCAGGAAATTTGCATTCCAACTACTTGCTTATGTAACTGCTTATAATTCTAGAAGCATAGATACCTATAGTTACAGCCACCAGAAATATCTTCTGTTTTACAACATCTATTTATTTCCCACTCACCCATATGACTTAACCATACATTCACTCATTCACTCAATCGGGAAACATTGACTGAGCCTGCACCATGTCCCAAGGATTGTCTTAAGGAAATAAAAATATAAGATGAAAAAGAGGCAGAGGCTGCCTTAATGCACTAAGCCTGGCTTTAAAAAAGCTTCCCAATTAGCTAATCAGCAATAGGAATCATTTTCAATCAAATTCAATTATCTCAGTGCCTCATCTGAATAAGAAGTACAAATTCCCATGGAGAAAACTTGTAAAAGATTCTCCTTGAAGGAGGACTCTGGCAGATTGCTGCAGGGAAGCCTGCAATTTAACACATGCTGGCTCTGAAGAAAAGAACAAAGATTCCAAATAAAGTCATTCTCCCTGGAAATCTCATGTCACTTAATGAAGGTATGATTTTCAGAGGTAAATTCTAAAACTTAAAAAAAAAGATATTGTAAGGAACTATGCTACTTGGTAGCAGCCCCAGTGAGTGGTGGTACCTATAGGGATGGCATAATCTGATAGCTAACTCTTATTCCAGATATCAAAAAATTAAGAATAAGGAACAACAACAACAACAAAAAACCATTTAATTTTGCTTGATATAATTCCTTCTTTTAAAAACAGAAATAAAATATTTTCATTCTATTCTGTGCTAATAAAGAAAGATATTTCTGTTAAAGGACAAAATGCTATAAATATTCCAGCCACTAAGATACATTGCTACCTAAATCTGATGTGCTTACTTAACACATTGACTCCTGCTTGGGCTTTGAAGAAGCCTATTGGAACTGGGGATGGTGGATGCCTCCGGAATCTTTTCATCTTATCAGAAACCTCAAGACTTGCCTTGTGTACCCACCTTCTCATCCCCCTCCCTCCCTGCCCCCACTTTGTCTTTGTTTAATATAGAGTTGGCAAACTATAGCCCTGGCCCACTGCCTAGTTTTGTACAGCTTATGAACTAAAAATAGTTTTTACATTTTTAAATTGTTGAGAAAAAAAGATTATTTTGTGACACATGAAAATTATGTGAATTTAAATTACAGTTCCATAAATTAAGTTTTATTAGCACCCAGCTACCCCCATTTGTCTAAGGCTGCATGTTTGTACTACAAAGGCTGGGTTGAGTAATTGTAATAGAGACCTTACGTGCTCAAAGCAGAAACACGTACTGTCTGAGCTTTGACAGAAAAAAGTTTGTTGATTACTGGTTTAATCTTACCTTATTCTTTTTCTTGCATTTGTCTCACATGTTGGCTCTGTTTGAGTTTAGCCAGGTCTGTCACTTATCTGGCCACAAACTGTACTCATTTATACTTTTTCTATCTCTCCCTGCATTGAACTGGCACACCCAGTGCACTCTCCTCACCAGCTAAGCAACCAGTTGGCTGATCCATAGCATTGTTGGTTCTGTCCCACCTTCCCCAGCCTGTAGGCTTTCTTTGTCTTGGTGACCCTCACCAAAGCTATTCTCAATCATTTTATCTCTGGCACAACTGCTTTCCCCTCTAGAACTCTGTTAACTCTGGTCATGGTCCTCTCTACAAAAGACTTAGTAGGTTTAATCCCCGGGGCTCTTGGCTTCCATATCCCCATCTCTCATCCCCCAGAAGGCTCACCTCAGTGGAGACATGTGGCCATTTCTTTGGACAATGTGATGTTAGCTCACTTCCTCATTGCCTTTCCACCTGAAACTCTTGGCTTTAGCCAGAAATTCTATGGGCTCCAATATTTTTTTTCATTTCTCTAAATATTTTAACACAACCAATCAAAACAAAACTCTATTTAGTTGGTGCAGTTTTTTTTCTGTGATAAAAGTATTTGGAGGCTTTTGTCACAGTAGTTCTATTAAAGCCATATGGTTAAGACACATCTATGACTAATGTCAACATTCCTCCTGTCCCTCAAATTTGTTTTTGTAAACAATTTTTAATTTTCCATAGAAATGGATAAGATGGGAGGGTGCAGTGGGCTATGAATCAGAGCAATCTACTTATAATGCTTCCTGCAACTCTTTACCCAACTCCTGGACTAAGAAGTAGGTTTGACTCCTTGGGTTACTTCCTTTTCTCCTTTTCCCTATGCACCTTCTATAGACAGGGACATTAACAAACCATGAAGGACACAAGTGCAATTGCAGAAGTCAAAATAATAGAAATGAAAAACCCTTATAATCTTCGAGAGAATAAACTGAGTTTCTGGTATTTGAGGTAGTAGGGTTAGAAGAGGTGTGTTATACTCTCAAGAAGGTTTGCTGAGTTGTAACGATCTTTATTGCTTTTGCAATTTAAAAAAGTCATTTATAAAGCACAAAAAGACTTACGACTTTAACTCTCCTGGAAATGAATGTGAAAGGAGTGTGGTACTAAATTATCAAGATCTACTCTGGTCACTAGGTGGTCATTAGCTCTAGTCTGAGTTATGTCATAAAGGACTAACTTGTTTGGATCTCTGTGTTGAGATTAATACTTATTAATAAACTGGACAAGATATTCTCCCATCATAAGGGAGCAATAGGAAACTGCAACTTTGACTTTGCATCAAAGTCAAGGGCACAGCATAGGCAGCCAGATGATATGGACCGCTTTTCTCATTTGTGCATGTCCTGGTATCCTATTGAATGGTTTTCTATATTGTCAACTCTGAAAATACCAAACATACAATTAGTAATTCTTGGGCACTCCTGAATCTGTGGGATCCTCATCTGGGAGATGGAAGCCACTGAATCATGAAAGGTGATCCTCTGAAGTCTCTGGGAATCCTGAGTTCTTGCAGTCATAGGCGTCTATGCACACAGCGTAACTTTCATGCAAAGATCTATAATGGGAACTCAAGAGTCACCTGGATCCTGCCTTTCCACTGACTATAAAGACCTGCATTGTTTTGCCTTTCCAAATAATCCTGCATGCACTGATGGGAATCATTAGCTCTGAAAGAAGCAATAATCTCAGTATGAGGAAAATATAAGCATCAGCACTTCTGTGTTTTTCAAATGAACCCAACTCTTCCCTCCGCAAAGAGGTAATATGGGGAAGTAATCATTATAAATTAAGAGAAAGAAAAAATGTCTATGGAATGTCAAACTGAATTCCGTTCAACTGTAAATAATAATAACTGAACTATCATGGCTTAAGCAAATGAGAGTTTATTTTTCTTAAATAGTAAGTCATCCTCCACAGGCAATGTCCCAGGCACTGTCTCTCTTTCTATTCCACCATCTTTGGCATATGGCTTCTTACTCTTCTGCATGTTCCGTCATGAAACATGCATGAGTCAAAAGAGGGCAGCTCCAATTCCAACCTCAATATTGTGTTCCAGGCAGGAAAATAAAATGAAATGGAGGCAAGCACAACAAACACAACACGAAAAAGAGGAAAAGAAAACAAAAACATTTCTCAGAAATCCTTAGTGGACTTCTCCCTATATCTAATTATCTGGAATTCTATCACATACTCATCCCTAGCTTCAATGCAGATTAGAAAAATATATCACCACTCTGACCCAAATTGACATTTTGTTAGGAAGAAAGGAAGAGTGAAAACTGAGTAGACAACTGGAGGTGTCTGACACATATGTATAATTTCCAGTGGAGAGTTCATAAACAATGTGTTTATCTATAGCTCTCTATAGCTATTATACAGGGATTCTGATCACAAAAGTTTGTTTCCATGTGATATCAAACATCTAGCTATATTACTTCCATCTGAAATATGTTCACATTCAGCAGATGTTTGGTATCTTGACACCCCAATCTGCTTGTGCTGATTTTAACCCAGCCATCCTTAAAACAATGGTTCTCTAGTTACTGAATTAAAATGAAGTGTAAGGCTTGCATTATATTAGAACCAGTGAATTATGCCAAAATATGGAAAGAATGTATGGAATGATCTGTGAAAGTAAAACAAATGTTTTTTGTTTTGTGTGTGATATAATGAGACTTTCTCTGAACTTGTTGCCAAAGCTGAAATTTCTGCTAGTGGAAGGTTGATTCATTCATTGTTTTTGAAACTTCTAGTTTAGGCATGCTTGCCCACCTCTTCACATCTTGGGATTATAAATTGCCAAATCTTAAGGAAAAGAATTTCAGATCCATATGGAAGCCAACTGAAAATCCAATCTTCTCTAAGGACGAGGTTTGGCTGACTGGATTTGCTGTGCCTTTACAAAATAATTTTTATTCTGTTACCTCCAGATTTGCTTGAGTCTGTGAAATTCTGATTGCAAATGAAGTTCACGCAGCTGGCATTCATTTCCAGTTACTAAGTTAAACAACATCACTACCTGCTACCTTTTCTTTTATGTAGAATAGAAGTGAATATATTCAGATGAAATGAAATTTTTAATGGGTCCTGGAGAAGAAAACCAAATTTTATTGAATACCTACCATGAGCCAGACCCTGTGCTAAACTCTTTGCATATTTGCAAAGTAAAATGATACCCTACTTTGTTAGCCCTCTGGGACAAGAACTTTTTGACAACAGCGTCAGCCACGCTTAAAACTCTTAAATCAAACTTGACGTGTTAAGCTGCACAAGACTCCAGCTGAACAGAACCTTTGTGCTATCTTTGTGATTAAAAGAGGTTAACATCACTTAAAGGGCTTTGTGTTCAATTCAGTTCAGCTACTTCTCTCCAGGCCTTTCTCTTTTCACCCTCATGATGAATTTTATGAAGTTTCTTCTCTAATTCCTTCTACTGATCCAAACTGAAACGATATGAGATTTTGCTTGTTGGTGGATTAGGGTCTATGTGTGTGTGTGTTGTGTGTGTGTGTGGTATGTTAGGATGTGTCGGGGGGTGTCTAGGGAATGTCAAAGTATCAATTTAACTTCATATTTTTAACTGTCTTTACCAACAATTGGAAGATAAAAGCTGTGTCCTTACTTAAAATTCTATGCCCTAAAGACAAATAAGTCAGAACATTTGACCAGCAAGTTCTATAAAACTTTCTAGAAACAGAAACTTTCCATGTAATATAATGTGTTTCAGAGCATAGAAAAATGGAAAATTCCCTGATTTATGTTACTGGCCCAGCAAAACTCATATAACAAAGCCAGACAAGAATAACCGAAAAAGGAAGATTGCAAACTGCTTCACTTACGTCTATACATATTCTAAATAAAATGTTCTCCAATCATGTCACAAATTAAAATAATATTGCAGCCAAAATTTATTCCCCAGAATATAAGAGTAATTCAGAATTACAAAATATAGTGATGGGAGAGGAGCCAAGATGGCCGAATAGGAACAGCTCTGGTCTACAGCTCCCAGCGTGAGCGACGCAGAAGACGGGTGATTTCTGCATTTCCATCTGAGGTACCGGGATCATCTCACTATGGAGCGCCAGACAGTGGGCGCAGGTCAGTGGGTGCGCACACCGTGCGCGAGGCAAAGCAGGGTGAGGCATTGCCTCACTTGGGAAGCGCAAGGGGTCAGGCAGTTCCCTTTCCTAGTCAAAGAAACGGGTGACGGACGCACCTGGAAAATCGGGTCACTCCCACCCGAATATTGCGCTTTTCGGACCGGTTTAAAAAACGGCGCACCACGAGATTATATCCCGCACCTGGCTCGGAGGGTCCTACGCCCACGGAGTCTCGCTGATTGCTAGCACAGCAGTCTGAGATCAAACTGCAAGGCGGCAGTGAGGCTGGGGGAGGGGCGCCCGCCATTGCCCAGGCTTGCTTAGGTAAACAAAGCAGCCTGGAAGCTCGAACTGGGTGGAGCCCACCACAGCTCAAGGAGGCCTGCCTGCCTCTGTAGGCTCCACCTCTGGGGGCAGGGCACAGACAAACAAAAAGACAGCAGTAACCTCTGCAGACTTAAATGTCCCTGTCTGACAGCTTTGAAGAGAGCAGTGGTTCTCCCAGCATGCAGCTGGAGATCTGAGAATGGGCAGACTGCCTCCTCAAGTGGGTCCCTGACCCCTGACCCCCGAGCAGCCTAACTGGGAGGCACCCCCCAGCAGGGGCACACTGACACCTCACATGGCAGGGTATTCCAACAGACCTGCAGCTGAGGGTCCTGTCTGTTAGCAGGAAAACTGACAAACAGAAAGGACATCCACACCAAAAACCCATCTGTACATCACCATCATCAAAGACCAAAAGTAGATAAAACCACAAAGATGGGGAAAAAACAGAACAGAAAAACGGGAAACTCTAAAACGCAGAGCGCCTCTCCTCCTCCAAAGGAACGCAGTTCCTGACCAGCAACGGAACAAAGCTGGATGGAGAATGACTTTGACGAGCTGAGAGAAGAAGGCTTCAGACAATCAAATTACTCTCAGCTACAGGAGGACATTCAAACCAAAGGCAAAGAAGTTGAAAACTTTGAAAAAAATTTAGAAGAATGTATAACTAGAATAACCAATACAGAGAAGTGCTTAAAGGAGCTGACGGAGCTGAAAACCAAGGCTCGAGAACTACGTGAAGAATGCAGAAGCCTCAGGAGCCGATGCGATCAACTGGAAGAAAGGGTATCAGCAATGGAAGATGAAATGAATGAAATGAAGAGAGAAGGGAAGTTTAGAGAAAAAAGAATAAAAAGAAATGAGCAAAGCCTCCAAGAAATATGGGACTATGTGAAAAGACCAAATCTACGTCTGATTGGTGTACCTGAAAGTGATGGGGAGAATGGAACCAAGTTGGAAAACACTCTGCAGGATATTATCCAGGAGAACTTCCCCAATCTAGCAAGGCAGGCCAACGTTCACATTCAGGAAATACAGAGAACGCCACAGAGATACTCCTCGAGAAGAGCAACTCCAAGACACATAATTGTCAGATTCACCAAAGTTGAAATGAAGGAAAAAATGTTAAGGGCAGCCAGAGAGAAAGGTCGGGTTACCCTCAAAGGGAAGCCCATCAGACTAACAGCGGATCTCTTGGCAGAAACCCTACAAGCCAGAAGAGAGTGGGGGCCAATATTCAACATTCTTAAAGAAAAGAATTGTCAACCCAGAATTTCATATCCAGCCAAACTAAGCTTCATAAGTGAAGGAGAAATAAAATACTTTACAGACAAGCAAATGCTGAGAGATTTTGTTACCACCAGGCCTGCCCTAAAAGAGCTCCTGAAGGAAGCGCTAAACATGGAAAGGAACAACCGGTACCAGCCGCTGCAAAATCATGCCAAAATGTAAAGACCATCGAGACTAGGAAGAAACTGCATCAACTAACAAGCAAAATCACCAGCTAACATCATAATGACAGGATCAAATTCACACATAACAATATTAACTTTAAATGTAAATGGACTAAATGCTCCAATTAAAAGACACAGACTGGCAAATTGGATAAAGAGTCAAGACCCATCAGTGTGCTGTATTCAGGAAACCCATCTCACGTGCAGAGACACACATAGGCTCAAAATAAAAGGATGGAGGAAGATCTACCAAGCCAATGGAAAACAAAAAAAGGCAGGGGTTGCAATCCTAGTCTCTGATAAAACAGACTTTAAACTAACAAAGATCAAAAGAGACAAAGAAGGCCATTACATAACGGTAAAGGGATCAATTCAACAAGAAGAGCTAACTATCCTAAATATATATGCACCCAATACAGGAGCACCCAGATTCATAAAGCAAGTCCTGAGTGACCTACAAAGAGACTTAGACTCCCACACAATAATAATGGGAGACTTTAACACCCCACTGTCAACATTAGACAGATCAACGAGACAGAAAGTCAACAAGGATACCCAGGAATTGAACTCAGCTCTGCACCAAGCGGACCTAATAGACATCTACAGAACTCTCCACCCCAAATCAACAGAATATACATTTTTTTCAGCACCACACCAAACCTATTCCAAAATTGACCACATACTGGGAAGTAAAGCTCTCCTCAGCACATGTAAAAGAACAGAAATTATAACAAACTATCTCTCAGACCACAGTGCAATCAAACTAGAACTCAGGATTAAGAATCTCACTCAAAGCCGCTCAACTACATGGAAACTGAACAACCTGCTCCTGAATGAATACTGGGTACATAACGAAATGAAGGCAGAAATAAAGATGTTCTTTGAATCCAACGAGAACAAAGACACAACATACCAGAATCTCTGGGACGCATTCAAAGCAGTGTGTAGAGGGAAATTTATAGCACTAAATGCCCACAAGAGAAAGCAGGAAAGATCCAAAATTGACACCCTAACATCACAATTAAAAGAACTAGAAAAGCAAGAGCAAACACATTCAAAAGCTAGCAGAAGGCAAGAAATAACTAAAATCAGAGCAGAACTGAAGGAAATAGAGAAACAAAAAACCCTTCAAAAAATTAATGAATCCAGGAGCTGGTTTTTGAAAGGATCAACAAAATTGATAGACCGCTAGCAAGACTAATAAAGAAGACAAGAGAGAAGAATCAAATAGACACAATAAAAAATGATAAAGGGGATATCACCACCAATCCCACAGAAATACAAACTACCATCAGAGAATACTACAAACACCTCTACGCAAATAAACTAGAAAATCTAGAAGAAATGGATAAATTCCTCGACGCATACACTCTCCCAAGACTAAACCAGGAAGAAGTTGAATCTCTGAAGAGACCAATAACAGGAGCTGAAATTGTGGCAATAATCAATAGCTTACCAACCAAAAAGAGTCCAGGACCAGATGGATTCACAGCTGAATTCTATCAGAGGTACAAGGAGGAACTGGTACCATTCCTTCTGAAACTATTCCAATCAATAGAAAAAGAGGGAATCCTCCCTAACTCATTTTATGAGGCCAGCATCATTCTGATACCAAAGCCGGGCAGAGACACAACCAAAAAAGAGAATTTTAGACCAATATCCTTGATGAACATTGATGCAAAAATCCTCAATCAAATACTGGCAAAACGAATCCAGCAGCACATCAAAAAGCTTATCCACCATGATCAAGTGGGCTTCATCCCTGGGATGCAAGGCTGGTTCAATATATGCAAATCAATAAATGTAATCCAGCATATAAACAGAGCCAAAGACAAAAACCACATGATTATCTCAATAGATGCAGAAAAAGCCTTTGACAAAATTCAACAACCCTTCATGCTAAAAACTCTCAATAAATTAGTATCGATGGGACATATTTCAAAATAATAAGAGCTATCTATGACAAACCCACAGCCAATATCATACTGAATGGGCAAAAACTGGAAGCATTCCCTTTGAAAACTGGCACAAGACAGGGATGCCCTCTCTCACCACTCCTATTCAACATAGTGTTGGAAGTTCTGGCCAGGGCAATTAGGCAGGAGAAGGAAATAAAGGGTATTCAATTAGGAAAAGAGGAAGTCAAATTGTCCCTGTTTGCAGACAACATGATTGTATATCTAGAAAACCCCATTGTCTCAGCCCAAAATCTCCTTAAGCTGATAAGCAACTTCAGCAAAGTCTCAGGATACAAAATCAATGTACAAAAATCACAAGCATTCTTATACACCAACAACAGACAAACAGAGAACCAAATCATGAGTGAACTCCCATTCACAATTGCTTCAAAGAAAATAAAATACCTAGGAATCCAACTTAAAAGGGATGTGAAGGACCTCTTTAAGGAGAACTACAAACCACTGCTCAAGGAAATAAAAGAGGATACAAACAAATGGAAGAACATTCCATGCTCATGGGTAGGAAGAATCAATATCGTGAAAATGGCCATACTGCCCAAGGTAATTTACAGATTCAATGCCATCCCCATCAAGCTACCAATGACTTTCTTCACAGAATTGGAAAAAACTACTTTAAAGTTCATATGGAACCAAAAAAGAGCCCGCATTGCCAAGGCAATCCTAAGCCAAAAGAACAAAGCTGGAGGCATCACACTACCTGACTTCAAACTATACTATAAGGCTACAGTAACCAAAACAGCATGGTACTGGTACCAAAACAGAGATATAGATCAATGGAACAGAACAGAGCCCTCAGAAATAACGCCACATATCTACAACTATCTGATCTTTGACAAACCTGAGAAAAACAAGCAATGGGGAAAGGATTCCCTATTTAATAAATGGCGCTGGGAAAACTGGCTAGCCATATGTAGAAAGCTGAAACTGGATCCCTTCCTTACACCTTATACAAAAATCAATTCAAGATGGATTAAAGACTTAAACGTTAGACCTAAAACCATAAAAACCCTAGAAGAAAACCTAGACATTACCATTCAGGACATAGGCATGGGCAAGGACTTCATGTCCAAAACACCAAAAGCAATGGCAACAAAAGACAAAATTGACAAATGGGATCTAATTAAACTAAAGAGCTTCTGCACAGCAAAAGAAACTACCATCAGAGTGAACAGGCAACCTACAGAATGGGAGAAAATTTTCGCAACCTACTCATCTGACAAAGGGCTAATATCCAGAGTCTACAATGAACTCAAACAAATTTACAAGAAAAAAACAAACAACCCCATCAAAAAGTGGGCGAAGGACATGAACAGACACTTCTCAAAAGAAGACATTTATGCAGCCAAAAAACACATGAAAAAATGCTCATCATCACTGGCCATCAGAGAAATGCAAATCAAAACCAGAATGAGATACCATCTCACACCAGTTAGAATGGCAATCATTAAAAGGTCAGGAAACAACAGGTGCTGGAGAGGATGTGGAGAAATAGGAACACTTTTACACTGTTGGTGGGACTGTAAACTAGTTCAACCATTGTGGAAGTCAGTGTGGCGATTCCTCAGGGATCTAGAACTAGAAATACCATTTGACCCAGCCATCCCATTACTGGGTATATACCCAAAGGACTATAAATCATGCTGCTATAAAGACACATGCACACGTATGTTTATTGAGGCATTATTCACAATAGCAAAGACTTGGAACCAACCCAAATGTCCAACAATGATAGACTGGATTAAGAAAATGTGGCACATATACACCATGGAATACTATGCAGCCATAAAAAATGATGAGTTCATGTCCTTTGTAGGGACATGGATGAAATTGGAAATCATCATTCTCAGTAAACTATCGCAAGAACAAAAAACCAAACACTGCATATTCTCACTCATAGGTGGGAAGTGAACAATGAGATCACATGGACACAGGAAGGGGAATATCACACTCTGGGGACTGTGGTGGGGTGGGGGGAGGGGGGAGGGATAGCATTGGGAGATATACCTAATGCTAGATGACGAGTTAGTGGGTGCAGCGCACCAGCATGGCACATGTATACATATGTAACTAACCTGCACAATGTGCACATGTACCCTAAAACTTAAAGTATAATTAAAAAAAAAATTAAAAAAAAAAAGAAAATCTAGTGATATAATTTAAATATAAATTTACACTTGAGAATGGTTTAAGACCTCTTCTACTCAGAGCAAGAGAGAAAAGAAACAAAGATCATCACACAGTTGAAAAGCTTGAGAAAAGAAGGCCAAGGATGAAAAAGCCAATTCTCTGATTTCATTTTTCTCCCATGTTGGCAAAATGGGAAAAAAAACAGATCCACTGTAGTCAAACATGGAAAAATGGTTAACCTCATACTCTAATGAGTGTGTGTACAGTCATATATCCCTTAATGATGGGGATATGTGTTGAGAAATGCATCATTAGGTGATTTCGTCATGTGAACATCATAGAGTGTATTACACAAACATAGAAGGAATAGCTTACTACACACCTAGGCTGTATGGAATAGCCTATTTTCCTAGGCTACAAACCTGTACAGCATGTTACTGTAATGTTGGCAACTGTAGCACAATGGTAAGTATTTGTATATCTAAACATAGAAAAGATACAGAAAAAAACACATATTAAAATCTTAGGACCACTATATGTAGCCTGTCATTGATTGAAACATCATTATGCAGCTAATGCATGTACACTGGTATAGTCCTCATAAAATAAAATTAGCAGTTATCTATCAAAATTTAAAATATGTGTACCCTATTGACTCAGCCATTCAACTAAAGACTCTATCCTAAAGAAATATTTAAAAAATAGATGCTAGTGATATTGTGGTGAAAAATGAACGCTTATGCACTGTTGGTGGGAGTTTAAATTAGTTCAACCATTGTGGAAAACAGTGTGATGACTCCTCAAAGACCTTAAGACAGAAATTCCATTTGATCCAGCAATCCCATTACTGTATATACACCCGAAGGAATATAATTCATTCTACTATAAAGACACATACACTCATATATTTATTACAGCACTATTCACAATAGCAAAGACATGGAATAAACGTAAGTGTCCATCAATAATAAATTGGATAAAGAAAATGTGGTACATATACACCATGGAATACTATGCAGCCATAAAAAGAATGAGATCATGTCCTTTGCAGGAACATGGATGGAGCTGGAGGCTATTGTCTTTAGCAAATTAACAGAGGAACAGAAAACCAAACACCACATGTCCTCACTTCTAAGTGGGAACTAAATGATGAGAACACATGGACACATACAGGAGAACAGCACACACTGGGGCCTATTGGAGGGTCGAGTGTGAGAGGAGGGAGAGGATCAGGAAAAATAACTAATGGGTACTAGGCTTAATACCATCATGATGAAATAATCTGTAAAACAAATCCCTATGACACAACTTTACGGATGTAACAAACCTGCACATGTACCCCTGAATTCTATTTAAAAAAATAGAATTTTTAACAGAATTTTAAAAATAGAAATTTTAAATAGAATTAGTCCCAATTCTATTTTTAAAAAACCCTCTCCTTTAGTGTGTATACAGTCAGGCATCTCTTTTTTTTTTTTTTTTTTTTTTGAGACGGAGTCTCGCTGTCGCCCAGGCTGGAGTGCAGTGGCGCAATCTCGGCTCACTGCAGGCTCCGCCCCCTGGGGTTCACGCCATTCTCCTGCCTCAGCCTCCCGAGTAGCTGGGACTACAGGCGCCCGCCACCTCGCCCGGCTAATTTTTTGTATTTTTAGTAGAGACGGGGTTTCACCGTGTTAGCCACGATGGTCTCTATCTCCTGACCTCGTGATCCGCCCGCCTCGGCCTCCCAAAGTGCTGGGATTACAGGCGTGAGCCACCGCGCCCGGCCACAGTCAGGCATCTCTTAATGATGGGGATACATTTTGAGAAATGCATGGTTAGTTGATTTTGGTCAGGGATACATGTGCAGGTTTGTTACACACTAACCTTTAATTATAGTTACCTCTGGATATAGCAGTGGGATCAATTGAGAGGGTAGGGTATAAACAGGAATTTTCACATATTAACATCTCTATTGATTGGATTATACTGCTAAAAGCATGTATTACTGTTACAATTTCAAATAAAGCAATACAAATTAATGTAATAAGAATTTCAGGTCCCACAGGGAGGGGAACAACACCCACCAGGGCCGCTCGGGGGGTGGGGGACCAGAGGAGGGAGAGCATTAAGACAAATACCTAAGGCATGTGGGGCTTAAATCCTAGATGATGGGTTGATAGGTGCAGCAAACCACCATGGCACATGTATGCCTACGTAACAAACCTGCACATTCTGCACATGTATCCTGGAACTTAGAGTAAAATTTTAAAAAATTTTTAAAAAGAATTTCAGGTCCCTGAGAAGGAGCTGTTCTTGGAAACTGTGTCTACAATGTTTCATTAGCCTCTACCCCACCTAGACAGGCTAAGAGAAGGTGGCTGTTGGAAGTACTGCTCATGTGTCAGTGTTATCTGGGGAGACTTTGTATCTTCAGGAGAACCAATCAGGCCCAGTACCTTACAACTGAACCACTTCTGTTTACTAAAGGCAATGAAAAATAGTTTATCTCCTTTTCAGACCTTTCAGTAGTCAAAGTTAGTAAGTACATAGTCAAGGCCTCCTATTTGAAAAACAGCACAGGCCAGGAGGTTCCCACAGCCCCAATCCTGGAATAGACTTGGAGACCCTCCTTTGGAGATGTTAACTTTCCTCTGCCCATCCGAGCCTGTTGGAAAATGGAACCCCAACATGAACTGGGTGGTCTCTCCTGAGTCCTTTATTGTCAACTTCAAGTGTGTTCTGGAGTGTGGCCTATAACCTCAATGATAGATATAAAGCCAGACCAAAACATGTGGAGACTGCTAATTTGTCAGCTTTCAGAAATAATATTCTTTAAACATTTATTTTACATGTGTTTATGTGGAGTCTGAACACTGCAGGGGAAAGATAGAGAAGTCTGTGGTTGGCTGACTACAAACAGGGTCATCTCTATTATTCCGAGTACTTCAGTGCTAACTGAAGTACAGATCACTCAGCAAAACAAAAGCCCTCCAGCAACAATGGCTGCTCTCCAGATAAGATGGTAAATGAGCTTGCTTCTGAAGAGTCTACCTCCAAATCTGCATAGCTCATGACAGTAGTTATTCCAACCACACTTGTTACTCTCCTTGAATGGACTCTAGTAAGCGCAATTTTCTCTATCTCTGTCACATACTCCACAATTGCATTCATTTTCCGTTACTGCATAACAAATTATCACAAACTCATAAGCTTAAAATGACATATACTTATTATCTCACAGGTTTCTGTAGGTTGGAAATCTAAGCACAGCTTAATTGGATTCTCTGTTTCAGAGTGTTTCATCAGGTGGCAACCCAGGTGTCAGCTAGGGCTCGGGTCTCATCAGAGGCTGGACTGGGGAAAGATCCACTTCCAAGTTTCCTCAAGTTGTTAGCAGAATTCATCTTATGGCTGTAGGACTGGGATGTCTTGATTTCTTGCTCGCTGTCAGTCATGGGTCTTTCTCATGTCCTTGACACTGCTTGCAGCTCCCTGCCATGTGGTGCCTTCCCATAGGCCTTCTCACAAACATGGCAGCTTACTCATTCAAAGCTACAATGGAGAGTCTCTCTTGTATTAATGTTCACACGCACACATACATAGCGTAATGGCAGGAATGACATCTCATGATTTTGACCATATTTTATTGGTTAGAGGCAAGTGACAGGTCCCACCCACATTCAATGGGAAGTGACTATAGACTTGAACATTGGGGCCACCCTAGGGTCTATCTGCCACAGTGGTGTTATTTTAGTACCCCTTACAGATCACTACTCCAGGAACCGATTGAGTGGTCTGCTCCTTAATCTTTCTCCTAAGGGACAAAAAAAAAAAAATCAGGAGTAAATTATTCTCTGCCTAAATTCATGACAACTTCTTCTTTCATTCCTTGGGAGATTAATGTGTTCACTTAAAAATGAGAATGGGTTTTCAAGTTTTATACAATTTAAGTGTTTTAGTAAAGACAAGTATTTGGGTATTATTTCTTGACCTTTGCTTCTGAGCAGTTGCTGTTAATATTTATCTAAAGTCAATTCAACTGTGCGTTTCCCAGTTTCCATTGAAGGGTGAAACTCATTCATCTCAGTGCATTTGATACTATTGTAAATGAAATCCCTGGAAAAGCAGCATGATGTGGTAAGCCATCCATTAGACCTTAATTTTACTTAAAATCATGGGCTACAAAGTATCATGCTTCAATTTTAAAAAGTGATAGCTGTGAAAAACAATCTTGATAGTGATCCCTAGAGGAATGAATGAGTATGCACCCTTGATTTTGGCATCCTCTCAAGAGAAGAAAGTTTTTAAGTGAGGAGGCAGGATGACTAATGTTTCCATGGGTAAAAAGATCATTTATTTCCATACAAATAAAAAGCCACTTGGCTCTCAACAAAGATCAGGAGATTGAAATTGAAGAAAACAAAATGAATAAACATGGAAAGGATATCTGGGGTCAAAAAAGAATAACACTGTTCCCCAAATTGCAAAGACAAATAAACTTAAAAATAGAAACATGACACTTTAAAGAGCAAATCTTATTCATCCAAAGGAAGCAAAGACTCAGGAGGGGGACCTAATAGGAGATCTATTAGAGCATAGCAGAGACCTCATTGCTGTGTCATTTTTTAATGTTTTTGGAGTGGTAGCCTAAAATATGTGGTGGCATTGCCCCCTTCTCTTGCTGTGACATTGCCTCCCCTTTATTATACACCACTCTCTCCCCTTGGAGACTAAAGGGGAGTAGGTTGGTCAATAGCTGCATTTGCCAACATCAGTTCACTCCCTGAGGCTACTCACAGCACTAGCTTTGTCTTAATTGATAGCCCCATGGTTACCACCTCAAGGCCCTGCCTCTCCAAGCTCCAGAGGGATTTATTTGATGGTTCTGACAAGGGAGTTGTCCATTTCACATTCGTTGCACCACTGTGCTGTTGGAGTTTCTTTATAGGTTGCAGAAAGTACCAAACAAGAAATTCCTCAAAGTGTCTGTACAGTTTTTGTGACACTCTTTCCTATTTTCCAACTTTTATATAGATTTTGCCCTATATAACTTCTTTATTACAATAGAAATATGAAAGTATAGGGAAAGAAAGATTAGTTCAAATCACCATCTTGAACTAGACATTGCAGATTCTTTTCACATCCACACTCTATTTTTAACTATTTATCCTTGAATGACAAAAGGAAATATCTACCTTTGACTGATTTTCCCAGAAATCTTGTAGAAGATACTTATTGAGTGAGCCCACACTTTATGGCTTGCTGTTAGCTTGTGCCACCTAGGACCTTTAAGACCAGCAATGTTTCAATCTGAAGCATACGGGCAGGTACTAGCCAAGGGAGGACCTTGATCTGCAATTAATCTTACTTCACTGTGAGCTGAAGGACAGTTTTCCATACGGGAATGGCTTCTTACCTTCACCTCCACACCAGGTGTGTTGTGTGGTCATACTGAGTCTCTCTCCTGGTGCTTTGCCTGTCAAGTTGAGTGAGTGTCCCTTGATCTTAAAAAGGCAAGGAGCTATCTACATAGGCAGGAAATCTGGTTCAGGAAAACAAATCTCTGTGGGATGCACACTGTTCGATAGGGGATGACCTGTCCCAGAAATGCATGATGCTGCCCACTGGTGTTCTCTGCCTGGCAGTAGTGGCTCTCCAGGCCACAGCACTTATACTTCTATGCAATGATCCAACAGATCCCCTAGTCTTAGTCCCATCCCTGCCACACAACAAAGAGGGTCATCTCAGGTTGGTAAAGACATGATTCATTCTCAAGAAATAACAGAGCTGAACTTTTTTACGACAGTAATATTGGTTAAAAATTGAAAAACTGTTAGGAGAAAAAGGAAAAAATAGAAATGTAATTATAATGAGTTACTTAAATCTGCCAATTTCAGTATATGAGAACATGCAGGCAAAAATAAACAAAAAAGAAGAAGGAAGAATTTAAACAATAAGTTACCAAAGTAGAATTAATAGACATAGATGGAAATGTACACTTTTAAAGCAGACAACACACATTCTATTCCAGGATGTAGAGGGAGCTTAAGGATTTTATTTTGATCACAAAATAAATTTCAATATATTTAAGAAGCAGAAATAATAGATATCACATTCTTTAATAACAAGTAATAAAGGGATGCTGTTAATAAAAAATTAGGCAGAAAATCAACTGTTATCATTTATAAACAGAAAAATTCTATTAAACAGGTATTACTTTTTTCTGATTCTAGGAAACCATCAAATGTAAAACCAACCACTATTTTAATAACAGATTTGTGACGACTGTTATGACAAGCTAATTAATTGTACTTATTCTTGCATTTTATGTAGACTTAGGTTATATGTTGATGTTAAATTTTTTTAGTTGACTTAAACACTGGAATTCTGATATATTCTCCTGTTTTTTAAATTGTGAGAAAATACACATAAAATAAATTTGCTAATTTAACCATTTTTAAGCGTCCAGTCCAGTAGTATTAAGTACATTCACAGTGTTGCATATCCAATCTCCAGAACTCTTTTTTATCTTGCAAAACTGAAACTCTATACCCAATTAAACAGGAACTCTCCATTCCGCCTCCCTCCATCCCCTGGAAACCACCATTCTACTTTATGTCTCTATGATTTTCACTGCTCTAAATACCTCATATAAGTGGAATCATACAGTATTTGTCTTTTTGTGATTGACTTATTTCACTTAGCATAATGTCCTCTAGGTGCATCCATGGATGTTAAATACATTTTGAAAATGTCTTGCAATGACATTCTTCTTACATTATCTATTATTGTTTTTCTTATGTTATCTATTCTTATATATTTATTAATAGATTCCTAATAATCTAACTTCCATTGGTAGGTTAATTCCTGTTCAGGCACAATATTCTTTTACCAATAAAGTGATATTGAATTCAGAACGTGAAAAAAAAAAAAATATATATATATATGTATGAATGTTATGAATCTCCTTAGCCATAGGTTTCCTCTGGTTGTACTCTTTGATAGAAATTGGCTTCAAAGTTAAGCTTATTTTCTAACTGGGCAGATGTCCATATTTTTTAATACTCTGGAGGAGTTAATTCTGTTTTATATAATCTCTTCCTAGGACATGTGTTATCCTTTTCCAGATTTGTTTATTTCTAATTTTGTCTCCATTCATTATTATTGTCTTTCCTCATGTCTGTTTTCTTGTTCTTTCACTTTCCTAGAGGGCTTATTTTTTTTTGTCTTAGTAAAAAACCAGAACATTTAGGGTTTTGTTTTTTCTCGTGGAAATTTGGTACTCTTCCCATAGGTTTTCATATGTAATAGTCTCATTTTCATAATCACTTATTAATGTGTATTTGATTTCCTCCTTAACGTCTTATAACTTTTTCATCTTAAGAGGCCCATTTTCTCATGTTTTAACGTTTTCGAAATTGGTTTGTGACTGAAATATAAAAGACCCAGAATAAATATGAGCAAATAAATTAACATCTGTTCAATTTAACTGGTGGATGCATGGAATCTGTTAAATCTTTATATATATATACATATTATAATTAAAATAATTTCAGTGTATGCTTTTAAAAAGGATAAGCTCTAGTGAGATATGGAAAGAAATAGAGAAGAAAAAATATAACCCAATGCATTATTTTCACTGATGAAGAACTGAGGTCATTTTAGAGGAAATTACTGGTCACAGAGCTTGAATAGTTTTAGGCAATCACTTTAGGGGCAAGCTGGATGTGGAGCATGCCCTCTGAAGTGAATGGCCCTCCAAGGACTAAGGAAGGAGAAGAGGGGCAGGGACTGGCTGAGATGAGCCACCAGTACCCGTGTTCTTCACAGAGCTGTAGGCACTCCCCTAGTAGTCTTTAAATTGATACAAAAATCTAAAAATACCTCCTTATCAGGCTTCCCATGGTATCCGGAATATCCCTCATTATTCATTTCTTTGGACTAAGACATTGGAAGATACTAGGAGACTAAATCCTTGGGAAAGTTAACACCTTAATCTGGTATCATCTTTAATACTTTGGCCTCAATTTAATCCCTAAGTTTGACTGCTGGTCGTCATTCAGGATCCTGATTAAATAAGACACAGAAAGGTGCACTTTTCAGGGGGAAATGATGGGTAGGAAAGTCCACTACATTCAAATCTACCCAAATGCACAGGGTCAGTTAAGGACTGATGGTAAGTGGTGGGTCTCGGCGGTGGGATGGTGTGGTGAGATGAGCAGGCCATTAAAGCCAGGCTTTTGCCATGTCACGTGATTGCCCAGGCTGGGATGTGTGAAAGCACGCCTCCTTCAGGGTCAGATTTCACTGCATCTGAGCATGTGACCAGCACTGAGATATCTGTAAGACCCTGTTCTGTTCTCCAAATCTACAGAAAACCCCTTATTGACCAAATGGTAATTTGTTCACTTTTAAAATACCAGGGTTAGAATAAGTAGCTTAAAAGTAACCTATCATAGAATACTTAGTTGAAATGACACCTAAATGGCTTTCTCAATTTACTTTCTGGAGATTAAAAATAAAAATATGAAATATTGGAGATACTTTATTTTTATTTATTGATTTATTTATTTTTTGAGATGGAGTCTCGCTCTGTCACCCAGGCTGGAGTGCAGTGGCATGATCTTGGCTCAATGCAACCTCCACCTCCTGGGTTCAAGCGATTCTCCTGCCTCAGCCTCCTGAGTAGCTGAGATTACAGGCACGCACCAACATGCCTGGCTAATTTTTGTATTTTTAGTAGAGACAGGGTTTCACCATGTTCGTCAGGCTGGTCTCAAACTCCTGACCTTGAGATCCACCCACCTCAACCTCCCAAAGTGCTGGAATTACAGACATAAGCCACCCCACCTGGCCTGGAGATACTTTTTGTTTAAATTTATAATAGATTTAATTTGCTGAAGTCATGATTTTATTTTATTTCTTATTTCAACAGTAGAAATTTAAAAATAAGCATGATCAGACATGTATATATCAAAAATGGCAAACTACTAAAACCTCAAGTCAATGAAAAGTTTTTGAAACTTAATCTAATGCAACTGGTGTTTTGTTTGGGTGTTAAGCATCAGAACTCCTTTATTAAGATGAAGTCTTATGGAGAAGCTAGTATGCAAAAGAGTAAAGAACAGAGCTGCACTAGTTGAAGGTCCAGAAGGGGAACTAGAGGCAGCCCATTTGGGCCTCTATTAATCAGCTTTTCCTACAATAGTGCTGTGTAACAACGAACCCCAAAGTTTTAACACCTTATAACCACATATATTTATTTTTTGCTCACAGGTCTGTGGGATGGTTGCCTTGGCTCTGTTCCAGGCTGGGAGATCGGTTTAGTTCTGCCCACAAATATTCTCATTGTAGGACCAGACTAAAGGGGCACTTGATGCTCTTATAGCAGGCAGCAGGGGTGCAAGAGGTTAAAGTGGAAACATAAATCACCTTTCAAAGCATCTGCTCAGAATTGGCATACTGTCACTTCCACACAAATGTCATTGAGCAAAGCAAATCATATGGCCATTCCCTGCATCTGTGGAGTGGGAATGTAAACTCCTCCTATGGAAAGAGGGGTAGAGCACTTGCTGATTGAAATATTATCCACCATTTACCTCTTTCCTTCTTCCCCTCAATCACCTCCATAGAAACCCAAGGTACTAAAAAGTAGAGTTTGAAAACTGATAATCGAATTCAGTTCCCTTCCTTTTACATATGTGGAAAGTGAGGTTCAGGGTGAAGCCTGCCTCATCACACCAAGTTCATGGTATACCTAGAACCAGAACTCAGTTTTTCTAACCTGTTGCCCAGTGATCAATCCACCAGGAAACAGTACCTCTCCCCTAAATAATAATGCTCCAATGGATTAAATAGATATTTTATATACTTAAAATTTTTAGGCTTTATGTAAAACTTATAATTATAAGGAACATAGTGAAACTATCAATTAGCTTGTGCCTGGAGTCGATTCAGCCCACTTATTCAAATCTTCTAATTTCATCCATGTCAAAAGCATCTTGGCAAAGATTTGCTGCCAATCGTAATCGTTGGACTTGGTCTAAGGCCCCTCAGGAGAGAAGATGGGATGAAAGTTTGGGAGGAAACAAGGAATTTTATTGTACTTTTGGTTGTTTTTGCTTTATGTTTTCAATTTCATTTGTTTGTTTTCAATCCGGGACATTTTCCTGATCAACGTGAAACAGCTCATCATGTAGCTTCCCTATAAAAACGACATGTAATTCCCAACAAACTCAAGAGGAGTCACAGACTATTTGTGTATTTTAGTGGAGGAAAAGAACAGCCAGTTATATATTTTTGAAGATTTCCAAAATGGTGTTTTTTCTTATGCAGTTAGCAAGCACTACTCAAAGATTCTCAAACTTTTTTTTTTTCTTCTATTAAATGTCTTCATGCCAATCTGGAGATTTTAGAGTGATGGGCTTTTCTAAGCTCTTAGCACTTCCTTTTAGAAACAGGAGTATTGAAAGATCAATATTCCTTACAAATTGGTAAAAAACTTAAGCAAGTCTTTTGCTTCTTCTGCTATTAAACAGCAGAGAGCAGCAGTCCCAGACTTGCTTAATTCTTAAGTAATGAACTTCTGTGTTTTGGGGGGAGAAACTTGGCTGCTGATAGAGTGACTGTTCTTTAGTGCATGTGAGCCCATGGACCTAGGAGAACATCTTTCTGAAGATACCGACACTGGTGTGCTCTTTCTTTGCTAGAGACAGATGGTACCCCCTTCACCCTCCTGACTGAATGTTCCTGTAACCTGAAGATCTCAGGAACAGTCAAGAGAAAGGGTTTTGCTGGAGTGAAAGTGTGAATCTTCTGAGTAACCCGAGAGAGGAGGAAATGAAGGGGAAAGAACTAACAGCAAAAAGCAGGGCTAGGACAAGTGATCCTCCCGGTGCCTGCAGCCTTTATCCCTTCTTCCCAGAAGGCAAGATGCATAAGGAGATAACCTCAACTTTTAGGACAGCATTCCAGCATTCTCCTGAAGCTTTCCCTGCAATAAACCAGCACTGCCCCAGAAGCAGTTAAGCGTATGATCTAGCCTAATCTCTGTTAGTGAAAAACCAAAGTTTAATGATATGGGTCCATACAACAAAGGAGTATGTTCTAATGCCTGGATATCTGTGAACTTGTCATGTTGCTTAAACTCCCTCTGATTGTTGGATCCATCCCTACCCAAATCTCATGTTGAAATGTAATCCCCAATGTTGCAGCAGGTGGAGCCTGGTGGGATCTGATTGGATCATGGGGGTGGATTTCTCATGAATGGTGTTCTCATGATAGTGAGTGAGTTCCCACAAGATCTGGTGGTCTAAAAGTGTGTGGTGCCTTTCTCTTCTCTCTCTTGCTCCTGCTTTTGCCATGTGAGATCCCTGCTTCCTCTTGGCATTCTGCCATGATTTAAGTTTCCTGAGGCCTCCCAGGAAGCAGATGCCGCTACGTTTCCTGTACAGTCTGCAAAACCATGAGTCAATTAAACCTATTTTCTTTATAAACTACTCAATCTTGGATATTTCTTTATAGCAATGTGAGAACAGCCTAATACATCATCTGTCCAGAAACTAAAAAAAATGTAAATTATTGAATGAAACATCAGCTTTGTTCCAGATTTAACTTGATGGCCCTATCTCATCTTTGTGGCCTTCCAGTGGAAACTATAATAGTTCTTACAATACAAGCTACCCTTTGAGATCAATGTGTAGCATTTGAGATTAATTTTGTAGCATTTTAGATCTAAAAAGTTGACATAAGAAATCACCTAGCATAGCCTCATTTAACGGTTAACTAAAAATCAGCAACAAAAGGAGTTTTTCTTAGAGTGGTAGGCAGAATTCTGGCACACACTCCCCAAGATTCCCACCCACAGTGTACACACACTTTGTAAGCTTCTACCCTTGAATGTGGGTGGGACTGTGAATATGATGAATTTCACTCTTATGGTTAGGTTATGTTATACGGAAAAGGTGAAGGATTTTTTTTCAGATGTAACTAAGGTTCCTAATGAGTTACTCAAAAGGGAGGTTATGTTGGGTGGGTCTGAGCTAATCAGGTGGGCCTGTAAAAGAAGTGAGAGATTCAAAACAAGAGTGATCCTCTATTGGCCTTGTAGAAACACCCTTCCCTGCTGCTGACAGGACCACATGGCAGAGGACAGCGGGCCTTCTCTGAGGAGCTGAAGACATCAGTCCTGTAGCCACAGGGAACTGAATTCTGCCAACAACCAGCATGAGCTTGAAAGAGCCCCTCTAGCCTCAGAAAAGAGCATGGCCCTGGTCAGGACCTGCTAAGACCCTGAGTACAAGACCAGGCTCACCTATGCCATAATCCTGACCCACAGAAACTGTGCAACAATAAATTTGGGTCAAACTAAGCCTCCAAGTGGTGCTAATTTGTTACAAAGCATAGAACACTAATACGCTTAGATCAAATGTTGGATCCTAGCAATGCTGGACCTAGAAAAATTTCTGTATTAACAACTCAGTTCCCTCTGGTTATTGCTCTGTTGGGAGACCTCAGTATCCCTCACCCCAGCCCATCACCACCACCACCACCAAGAACACAAACTAAAATGGAACTCCCAAATGAACTCAGAACTTTTGAAAAGGAATTCACAGAAGAGAGTCACTACACCCAGCTGGGATGAACCCAGACAGATGAAAAATGGAGTTTATGACTGTATACTCACAAAAGTAGGATGGAAATTACACACTGACAGCCCTTGGGCCCCACATACCTTGCAGAGGTGGTTTCCTTCACCAACATAATGCTTTAAAAAATGGAATTTGTTGTCAATATGTAAATTTTTTAATTGTATAGAAAAATTAGAATGGCTGGCTTTTCTTGACAATTTGGAAGATAGACAACACTAAGCCCATGGGGTCTGAGCTGTCATGTCCCTTTCCATCCATCTTCCAATGAGACGGTCATTGCAGTCCCCATGGCTCCAAATTGTCTTGCACTTGGACTATTTCACTCAGTGTTTTTTTTTTGTTTGTTTTGTGGGGGGGGGGGTTGTTTGTTTTGTTTTTGAGACGGAGTCTTACTCTGTCACCGAGGCTGGGGTGCAATGGCACAATCTCAGCTCACTGCAACCTCCACCTCCCAGATTCAAGCAATTCTCCTGCCTCAGCCTCCCGAGTAGCTGGAATCACAGGCATGTGCCACCACACCAGCCAATTTTTTCTTTGTATTTTTAGTAGAGACGGAGTTTCACCATGTTGGCCAGGCTGGTCTCAAACTCCTGACCTCAAGTGATCCGCCCACCTTGGCCTCACAAAGTGCTGAGATTACAGGCCTGAGCCACCGTGCCCAGCCTGTTTCATTCATTAGCTTTAAATGCCAGGTCCCCAGAGATTGTGGGTTTGGCATACATGTGGGACAATGTCCCTTGCAGGGAACTAGCTGGCAACTCAACAACAAGAATGAAGTGTGGATTCTGCACCCACAGGCAGAGGTGTCCCTTCCTCCAGCAATAAAGTGCTGTCACGGCCCCAGACCCTTCCTGCAAAGGCAGAGGAAGCAGGAGAGGAAAGGGAGGAGAAGTAGGGGCGTTGGCTGCCTGCCAGGCGACTCCTGCTTCTCAGAGCAGGTATTAAGGCGCAGAAAAATGAGCTGCTGCAGCCTAGCTTGGCTGGGGGTGCTGAACAAAGAACGAACTGCTGGTAACTCCGCGCCTGCAGTTCTTAGCTTGCCAGCAGCCAGGGCCGGGAGAGCATGCTGCGACCCCCACACCTGCTCGCCATTCTTTTCCAGCCAAGCAGCCTCTTAGCAACGGCTCCCTGCGTCAGCTAGAAACGCCGAGGTCCGAAAGAGCCGGCCGAGGTAGAGTGGAGAAGAAGGCTGCCTTGGCTGGGTGCAGGCGGCATCTTCTGCACCAGGTGGAGGACAGGCAGCTTTGCACAACTGAACATCCCTGAGCCAGCCGGCCTCTGAGCATCTTGCGCTGGCAGTGCCGGGCAAAGCTCCCGGGAGGGGAGGCTGCCTGGCATGGAGGGGGCATTGATAAAATGGCAGCCCCTGTCCTTGGCTCCGTTATGCTTACAGGCTCCAAATGGCCTTTATCTCGGTCCTCGCAGCCTGCGCCAGTGCAGAGAGAGAAACGGGCGTCCTACCAGCTGCCGGGAACTCAGGAATGGAGGCAGAGGCGGAAGCAGAGGCTCCAGTTGGTGGAGGCAGCAGAAACCACACTGCTCAGCTTCCCGGGAGGGAAAGGTAAGGAGAAGGCCCAGGTATGGACGCTGCATCGCCTGTCATCCTGGAAGCCCTTTCCCAAAGCTCATGATGGGCTGGCCAGAGGAAGCTACCATAGCCCCGCCAGAGTCTGCTCACTCTACCACCAGCAGCAAGTGTGCCCTCGTTGATTTCACCACTTATTTGAACCCCGTGGATGTCTGGGAAGCAGATTAAAAGGGTGTGCGCGGGGGCCGTGTGCCTCCTTGCCTGACCAAGATGCCCAACCCCTTGTTCTGCAAAAACAGCAGTGCCCTCACCCTCCGCAGTGCTGCTGTTACCATTAGAGTTAATGATCGCCTTCTGTTCATATCCCCATGGCCTAAACCTCAGGCGTCCTAGCGGCCCCAGTTTGGGTTTAGGCACAGGGCACATTGTCCTGCAGCCACTTTGGCCCAGAGCCCAAGTCCTCATTTGTCAAGTAAAAGGGGTACCCCACCTGCAATTTCCTGCCATCTCTGACTACTCCTCAGTGCACCTCTCAGAACCTCATCTCCCCCAGATCACAAGCACTGACATACATTTCAGTCTTCTGTCACAGCATCACTCACATCCAGCAGCTGGCATGCTCCTAGGTCTTATTAGCATGAGAGGGCACAGACCCATGCCACTGTCTTAACCCGAAGTACCAGAATGGACAGTGTAGCCTGGACACCAGCCAGGAAGAAAGCCTTCCAATGGGTAAGAAAATGTGTATGAAAGAAACGTTTAAACTACAAAGCACAATACAAATGCCAGAAGTGGCGATCCATAGTACTACTGCATCAATACTAGAACTGAAAATGTAAATTATGCGTTCTCCAGTGAGTTTGGGGGCTTGCAACCATAGTGGTTTGCACTCATTTGCATCAGGCTTTTATTGTCTTATTTATGCTTGAGACCAGCTCATTAAAAGACAGTGACATTTGTCTTCGAGCAACACAAGAGAGCACCACCCGCAAGAGAGCAGCTTGCACAGTTTTGCTGCTTGACCTGCTCGCCTCTGGACATCCGGGAGTGGTAGGAGGCTTCTGGTGCTTCCCAGGTGCCAAACCATTTCTTGGATAGCTTTGGACAGACTCTGTTGCCTATGCTGAGAGGTCCTTCTGGACTTTTTCACCGACAAATTCTCTGATTCCCTCTCAGGAGTTTTGCCTTTTCGATGTGCATAAAGAGGAGTAGTCGGCAGGGAAACACCTTAAATGTGCTGCTCCCTGGCTCAGGAAGCTGCAAATTCCACCCCCCTCCCCCACCCCAAACCTCCCACCAGTACCACCTGTCTTCTCCCCACTCTCCAGGTAAATAATTCCCCTTTCTGGGGGTCAGTGTGGCATAATTCCCTCTGTGCTATTTTTCTGTCCTGATCCAAGATTCCCTTTGTTATGGCTGAATGGACAAACACAGAGTCCACGTGAACCAATGGTTGAGTGCCTTACACCTAAGGGGAAAAAAAATCCTTTCATAAAACTGCTTTGACAAGAATTTCCAAATAGAGATCTTCAATGTAGAATGGCTGGTCGGGACCTGTGTACGAAGCTCCATATAGAGGCTGAAATTCATTTCTTTAAAATTGTCGCTTATTTCCTGTTTCCTCCTTTACAAATGAAGGTACTGCCAGAAAATTTTCCTGTATCAAGGACATACACATTGTGCCTTCCCTGAATCACAGTTCACTCTTTATTCATTCAATGAACACTCTGATTAACTTCCATTGATTAGGGGTAAGAACTCACTACGAGTGAGGTATTATTTGCAAAAAAAAAAAAAATGCTCCCAATTCAGTTTCCTTTGTATGACAATATAATTAAAAGGCATCCTCCAAGGCCAGGGAGCTCCTAAGGGGAAGGAATTGTGGCAAACATTCAAGTCCACATAACCTCCGTCACTTGTGATTTGGCACCTGAAATAGTTACATGGTTTGGAAGATTTTTTTTTTTTCAGTATTGAACAATAAGCTGATTATTTCACATTTTTAAAAGTCAGTTTCAAATGCTTTTTTTTTTTTTTTTAATCTGCAAACCAAGAACCTGGAAAGGAATACAAATTCCTTCCTGGAAAACATGTATCCCTTCCTGCCCTCCCTCCACGCCCTGATAAATAACATGAGCATGCAGCGATTTGCCAACAGCAGCTCCAGGCATGAGGCACAACATCTGTTACTGAGACACTGGAGAGACAGTGGAAAGCAAGTTGGCTGCCTGCCAACCCTCAGACTCCAGATTTTTGCTGACAAGGCTGTCAATAAATGGGCAGATGGCATCAGCTCTGCTGGCAGGAGAGTTCAGTTAACCCAGTGCGGGACATTATTTCAAATTCATGGTGCACCAGGCTGAGCCCTTTGTTGGGCCATTAAAGCCATTCCTTGATGGAGAAGGGAGAGCAGGACTAGGAAATCAGGAGGCACTAGCTTCATTTAATTAGATTAACTAAGCCTTCCACAGTGGCAGCCAGAATCAGATTAGCCCTCGTGACCATGAAAAGCTATGTATTTTTTTTTTGTTTTTGGAGGGCGGGGAGATACCTCATTCACACATTGCATTTTATGCCATTTAAACATAAGGATCTAATTCTCAGTAGTTATGGATACCCCTGCAAAGAGAACTTAACCCAAAATAAACATTAGGAAAGATCTACACGTCTCCTCTGCAAGCAAGCGCATGGCTGCATTGTCCTATAAGAACTGTATGCAAATATGTGAGCAGTGCTAGCAGCATTTAGATGAAAAGCTAGCATGGGCTCCATGTCCTATCAAGCCCAGGAATATCACGGCTAACTCTCAGAGATGTCCTCTGGTGGTGAATTGGGGACAACACCCTTTCCTATCTGAAAGAATGATTAAAACCCTTTAGAATAGAAGCTTGTGGTGATTGCAGTGTAATCTCATGAGCATAGGACTAAGACAGATCTGCAGTGGGATCTGAAGCAGGTCATTTAAACAACTCTCCCCATCTTCCCATCTACACAAACCACTCGGCTATTGGAAGTAATAAATGAGATAATTCCACACATCTGCATAGTATTTTAGAGTGACAAAGTTGCTTTTGTATATTCTAAGACAGTGGTGATTTTACCCTCCAGGAAACATCTGGCAATGTCTGGAGACACTCTTGGCATCTAGTGGGTGGAGGCCAGGATGCTGCTAAACATCCTCCAATGCACAGGACAGACTCCACGACAAACAGTCATTCAGCCTGAAATGTCAGTAGTTCAAGGGGGAAAAACGCTGCACCAGGATGATGTAAGTAAAAGTTCTTCATACCCCATGAAAATGAGAGAAAAGAAAGAGGGGCTGGCTACCACGGTGTGGAGAGAGAAACTTAGATATTTGTTCTTAATGTCACTTAATTTCAGTGTCACTATTCCAAATGTTATTTTCTTTTTAACCCTTCAACTAAAACATCAGTTCCCGCAATTTCTTCAAGCTGGTCTTATTAATCAGATTTGAATGATGAAATATCACATCCATAAAAGGCATTTTGGGTTTAGCTAGTTATTATCAAATGAGAGTATGCATCTGCCCAATAACTAGGCATATAACACATTGAATAGAAGCATGGCTAATTAGCAACTGGGATCTGAGATGTCAACAGGATTTGGGGGATTAAAAGGAAATTAAGATGACTTCAGAATGTATGGGGTTAGGGATTTGGGGTTTATCTGCAAAGGTGGTCTCTTTCTCGTTTCTCCTCTTGGGTTTGAATTGTTTTGGACAGACAAGAGAAGAGGGATGACTCACTCCCTGTTTTGAATGTGTAGCTGCCCTTTTTAGGTATCAGTCTGGCAAGTCTCTGGCCTGCCACTCTCTTGTTAGGGTTATGAGCTGAACTGTTTCCCCCCAGAATTCCTATGTTGAAGTCTTAATTTCCAGTACCTGGAAATCAGGGCATTGCAAATGGAATTAGTTAAGATGAGGTCATACTGGAATAGGTTGGGCCCCAATCCAGTAAGATTGGTATCCTTTTAAAAAGGGGGAATTTGGATACCAACACACACAGGGAAAACACCTTGTGAACACAAAGGCAGAGATCGTGGTCATGCATCTAGAAGCTCAGGAACACCAAGACTGTGCCAGCAAACCACCAGAAACTAGGAAAGACACAGAGAACAGATTCTTTCTCACAGCCCTCAGAAGGAATCAGCCCTTGATCTCAGGCTTCCAGCCTCCAGACCTGTAAGACACTAAGTGTTTGTTGTTGAAGCCACTCAGTTTGTGGTCTTTGTTACTGTTACTGCAGCTGTAGCAAACCATCAGGTAGATAGGAATTCAAGCAATGGAAGGGAGACAGACCATTCTTGATGGTCATCTTCCACCCGCTGCCACCCTCACCCAATTGCTCATAAGGAGCATACAACTATCTGCTCAACTTACGCAGTGAAAGCCTCTACCCTATCTCCTCTCTAGCAGGCAAAAGGAAGGGAGCTAGGCAATACAAGAGCCCTCATTTCCTTATGACCCAGGCAAGATTTCCAGGAATATTTGCTGCATAGCTGAGTGAAAAACCCTTTCCTTAAAATATCATAAGAGGGTGGGAAATGACGGAGGCAATGCTGCTTACTTTGGTTCCTTCTACTCAATAGGTTCGGGACCTGGCACTTGCAAACCCTTCACATGTAGGGCTAGGTTCACAGTTGTGCCTACCCCTGGAGGCATATTAGCAGCTCTGGGAACTTAAAACAACAACAACAACAACAACGTTTAGGGCCCTTTCCAGACCAGAATCTCTGAGAGGAGGGCTCAAGCATCATCCACAGGTTGAGACACACCAGGATGGAGACCCACTGGACCAGAAGGGGTCACCTGCAAGGAATGACACGCTGGAGGAGGACAAAGGCCAAAGCATGTGATTCTTGCAGGACTTTATGGCCATGCTATGGAGGAGACAATGCGGAACCCCCGGAGTATTTTAAGCTAGGGAGTAATACGGTCAAATTTCCATTTAGACAAATTATTTTAGCAATGTTAAGCAGGATGCTTTAGAAAGAGGAGGTGAGGAGAGCATGAAGACCAGTCAGAAGGCTTTGCAGTGGTCCAGGACAGCATTGGTGAGAATGAAAATGGAAGCATTTCCCTATTTCCCCTGCCCCGCCTAGCCCCCAGCCCCTGGCAATCAGTAGTCTACTTTGGAAATGGGTTGCAATGGTGTGGATTTCAAAAATATGCAAGTGATAACATTGATGGGACTTTAGACCCATGAGATTTGGGCATTGAGAGGGAGGGAGGAATCAAAAGTGAAGCCCAGTGTTTCTTGCTTCAGAACTGGATATTTGGTGGTGAAATTTACTGAGATAAGAAGCCCAGAAAGAGACCCACATGAGTTCTGTTCCAGACGTGTTGAGATAAAGGGATCCACGAGGAGGCTGGAGCTCTTCAGGTCTGGAACTTGGACAGGCATGTTAGGCTGAGTTGTACTTTTGCAAGTTTCTCGAAAACAGATTGAGAAAGAAGAGGACCATGAACAAAACCCCCGGGAACCCCTAAGGATGCATAGAAAAAGGAGGAACACAGGAGCAAAGGGTGCCACAGAGAAAACAAGAGAAGAGAGGATTTCAAGAAACAGGGAGGAGTTAACAGTGTCAAAGGCAGCGGAGAACTTAGGTAAGATAAGTACTGAGGATTGTCTGGTGGATTTGGCGATTTAGCAAAAGAGTTTCTGTGGATCAGTGGGGAAAAGAAAGGAGGTAAGAGAGGATTGAGGAACAACTGAGAGGGGAGCATGCGTAGCTGGTAAAGAACTGTATTTGTAATAATAATATGCCTAGTACCCTCATAAAGTTTTTTTATTGTAGTAACATACATGAACATAAAATTTACTCTTTTAACCATCTTAACGTATACACATTGGTGAGTAAAGTACACGTACAGTGTTGCACAACCATCACCACTGTGCAGGTCCGGAACTAAAATGAACACTCCAATAAACTTCCAGTCCCAAAAAGTAAACTTTATACCCATAAAGAGTCATTCCCTATTTCCACCGCCCTGCTTAACCCCCAGCCCCTGGCAATCAGTAATCTTGTTTCTTTCTGTATGGATTTGCCTATTCTGAATATTTCATATAAATGGAATAGTACAAGATGTGATCCTTTGGGCTGATTTCAAAAGACCTTCTCGTGTTTTCAAGGTTCATCCATGTTACAGCATGTGTCAGTACTTCATTCTGTGTCTAGGGCTCAATAATATTCCACGTTATAGATATATTTTGTTTATCTATTCATGGATATTTGGGTACATGGATATGTGGATGGATATTTGGATCACTATAAATAAAGTTTAAGGTTTACAAATCACTATCTCAGTCTAGGTTGTGTCCGGGTCCTTTTAGAGGCAGATGCTGAAACAATTAATGTGCAAGGATTTTTTTTAGGAAAGCCACCTGTGAAAGAAAATGGGACCGGGGGCTAGATAAGGTGGGGAGAACACGACCCAAGTCTCCCTCAGTGAAGGGGAGAGGAAGAGAAGGTTGGATGGAATCGTCCCGTGCACCAGAGAGTCTAAAAGAGGCTCACCAAGACCTGTGGAGAGTCTGGAAGCCGAAGTCAGATGTTAAAGGAATTCTGAGTGTCCTGTTAATGGGCCTGCCTTAATATCCCTGCCCAGTTCAGTCACTGACTAGAGGAGCTGGTAAGTCCTGGGCACAAAAACAGCAATGATCCTCGGCCTTTAAAGCACCCTATACTTGTTGATTTATGCAGTGTCTTCTCATGGCCCCCACACAATCCTCAATGTATGAAATGAGTATTATTATTATTATCCATATTTGAGAGCTCAAGAAAACATAATCTTAGAGAGATTGTCTTACCCACTATCAATCAGCCAGTAAGTGGTAAACCTAATTATTAAACTCAGGTTTTCCAATGTTAAAGCAAACTAAATATGGCCTGAGAAGGACTCTGTACTTCTATATTTGAGTCCTTGTGGATGAACTGTAGCCAGGCTTAATAGTCAGACAAAATCAAAAACCTAACTTAATAGTATGCACCCATAACAATAGCTGAGTGTTGGCCAATCCCAGCGGCCATACTTCATAGACTGCTCATAGACTGCTGAGTGTTCAAACTGTGTTCTGTTCCTCACTTCCAATTCCTGCATGTCACTCTACCTTTTTTTTTTCTATAAATTTTTTCTGACCATGAGGCACCCTTGGAGTCTCTGTGAATCTACTGTGATTCTGGGGGCTCCCTGACTTGAGAATCGTTCATTGCTCAATTAAACCCCTTTAAATGTAATTAGGCTGAGGTTTTTATTTTATCACTAACAAACCTCTGCTTCTCCCAAACAACTTCAAGATATTTCTAGAATCAGATTGTTCATCTCCATTCTTGGTTCTGTTATTATTTGGAAGTTCTCTCAACTCAATATCTGGACTATTGCCTCTAAATAGTCCCACTGATTTCCAAGCTGATCTCTGTACTAATACCGTGACTATTTTTTTAAAAACGCACAGTATCATGTACTTCAAGCATTCCCCTTCTCAGATAACTTGGATAGGTCCCTACTCTTATAAAAAAAAAAAAAAAAAAAGGAACCTAACCCCTTGACAGGACTTGCTAGGGCTTTAGAATCTTTTCTTTCCTCCCCTTCCTATATGCTAAACCCACCAGCTGCCTCCCCTACACCTGCCCAATGTGCCTTACCCATGGCCATGGCCATAAAACTGCTCTCTGTTCCCCCAAATGTCCTTTACCATCTCAGACCTCTTGCCTCATGAGCCCTCTCAGCCATTCCTGAGTCCCCTCTCCATTTCTTTGATCTTAGAACAGGTACTCAGCCTTCAAGACACAGCTTCTCTGATCTTCAAAGCAGAATCCGTGCTCCTCTAGAACTTTGCGCAAATATGATTAAGCATCTGTAAAGCTGCATTGTAATTAATCGGCTAGTTATTTGGGACTCAAGACCGTGAATTCCTTGAGGGAAGGGATGGAGGCTAATTCATCTTCACTCTCCCTATACCTCACGCAATTCCTATCACACAGTAGCTGCTTAATTGATGTTTATAGTCAGCAAGACTACATCAAGGAAAGCCTATCACAAATCAAAGCCTTGCTTCTCCGTGGGTAGAGCCGCACTCCTTCTTACCTGAACCTGGCAGCGAAGGCCAGTGTACTTAAGCTTGTAAGTAGAGGAGGGTGGCATCGTTTAATGTAATCAGGGATTAGGTGAGTTGCCATCTTCCCAGCTTCCTCCACAGTAATTATGAGCCTTCACCCGGCTGTTTGGAATATGTGAACAAAGGAAGTGCTTTTCTTCAATCACTCATGACACACTTAAAAATGTAAAAAAAGCCAATTCCCCTAATATCTCTTTAATTCCTACCTAAAATAGCCTGAGGAAATGGATATCTGATGCCGAGTCTTCTTGTATGAAAAGAACAATGCTTAAGACATGCAAATGTCAGGAGAGGCTAAGGCTGGTGGTTCCCTTTGATCTACAGAAAGGAAATATAAACAAGAATAACTTCCCATCAAAGTGAATTTTAGTGCCTCCTTTTCAACAGCAATTAACATGGCCATTTCATGATTTATTGTTTAGCTGGAGTGAGTCCCACTTTTTTTTTTTTTAAAGCAGGAATTTGATCTTACACAGAATTCTGGCAGGAATGATAAACTTCTCTCCCTTCTTCCTTTCCACAACTTGAATCAAAAATACCTTTCATCCCTCCCGTATGCAGGGTCTGGAGCCTCCTGTGTAGGGTGAAGTCTGCACAGAAATGCAGTCTGATGTTGGTGCAAGGTTGAGTGTGCTTGGATAAGGATGGATATATGGGTTTTGGAAGCAGTCTATAAATCAGCTTTGCTTACAGTAAGCAGCCATGGCTGTAGAACTCTACTTAAAACTCTTACTCCTCTTTACAAATGTGCTGTGGATGGCAAGCCCAGAAAGGACAAAGTCAGGATGGACCTACAGGTTAGAAAGAGAAAAAACCACCGGGAAGAGGAAGCAGAGGCCTAATCGGAGCTTCAGCGGCCCTGCTCCAGAAGTCCACCTGAGGCAAGAGAATAGGGTCTGGAGGCAGGGAACCTAAGGCTGATTCACTCTGACTTCCTAGTAAGGGAGGAAACCACCCCTCATATTGTCTTATGCCCAGTTTCTGCCTCCAAAGAAAGAAGAAGTAAAAACTAAAAGGCAAAAAATGAAATCCACAAGCAGACAGCCCGGCACTACACCCTGGGCCTGGTAGTTAAAGATCGACCCCTGACCTCATCGGTTATGTTATCTATAGATTCCAGACATTGTATAGAAAAGCACTGTGAAAAGCTCTGTCCTGTTCTGTTCATTCTAATTACTGGTGCATGCAGCCCCCAGTCATGTACCCCCTGCTTGCTCAATCGATCACAACCCTTTCACACGGACCCCCTTAGAGTTGTGAGCCCTTGAAAGGGGCAGGAATTGCTCACTCGGGGAGCTCGGTTGTTGGAGACATGAGTCTTGCTGAAGCTCCCAGCCGAATAAAGCCCTTCCTTCTTTGACTCAGTGTCTGAGGGGTTTTGTCTGCGGCTTCTCCTGCTACACTAGAACTAAATCAAAAGGAAAACTCCAACTTTCCACACCTAACTAACAAAAGCCCCCACCCGCTTCTGCATGGAAGATGGAAAATTGAAACTACCTCTGATTGATTGCTTTCTGCAACCAGTCAGAGCTTGCATAGGGTGTAACCTTTGCAACTTCATTTCAGCTTCTGATTGCAGCCCAATACTTCATTTACATAGATAGAGTGTACACCAGGTAACCAATGGGAAGCCTCTGGAGGGTATTTAAACCCCAGAAAATTGTGTAGCCAGGCTCTTGAGCCCATGTACTCCCGCGGATCCCACCCAGTGAAGTGTACTTTCATTGTCAATAAATCTCTGCTTTTGTTACTTCATTCTTTCCTTGCTTTGAATGTGCATTTTGTCCAATTCTTTGTTCAAGATGCCAAGAACCTGGACACCCTCCACCGGTAATACACCTGCTTCCCACTAAGTTTCCTTCCATCCACCACCCTTACCCCACTCTCTACTCCTACCCTCCCAGGCCTCTGGGCCTGAATAAGCAGAAGTTGCACACTGTGTCAATTATCAAGAAAGCCATGGGAGTTCTTCCAGGATGCCTGTGGGCTCCAAGCTGTTCAAATCTCCCTTCTCCCCAGAAGCTGGGAGCTGAGGTGTGGCCTAACCCCAGGCTTTTACTTTTTCACTTTCACTTGTTCACCTTCAAACAAACCTATTCACATCTGACCTTGGGGCCTGCTTCAGTGCAAGGCAAGCACTGAGGCAGTGTAAGTCATAGAGCCACGAGAAATTCTTTACGCCCTTCTGAGGGCTCCCAGCTTCCTCATTACGACAAAACACAGGGCCCCCAAGATTGCAGCGTTCAAAGGTGGGCTTTTACGTAGAAGCAGTGAACCAGCCCCAAGGCCCAAATGCCCCTCCTGCATCTCATCTCCTCCCTAGGGGTCTCTGCTCCCCCATTCCTGCTGCCATCTTCAAATGGGCCCCCGAAGAACATGGTTTCCCCTGTTTTGCGTGGACACAGCCCTCTCTCCTTTCCCTTTAGCGCAAGCTCCTAGAGTTTTCAAAGGGACACTTCAAACACTCAGAGAGAGTAAAACGAAAACAAACACTGACCATGCAGTAACCACTCAGCGTGAGGTGCTGATGCTGGTGCAAGGTGGAGTGTGCTTGGATAAGGATGGATGTATGGGTTTTGGTGGGTGCTGCCCTCAGACACTCTGCCTCTCCTGCGTCTTTGCTCATTTCACCTGCACCGCAAGGACATGGAGTCCATGCCATCCCCGTTCTACAGATAATAAGACTGAGGAATAAGTAGTGGATCTCCCTTGCTTTCTCTGCTCACCTACTCCTCCTTTCTTCTGGGAACAATATCCCCCTTTTTGGGGGCAGCTTTTCTTTCTCCCGCCTCTAACATACAGTGAGAGGTGGTGTGGAATTGTGGTAAAAAGCACAACTTCGGATCAAAATTGTCTGGATTTTGTCCAGGTGAAAATGGCCCTATTAAGATATGTTACTCATAGCATGACCCAACCATGATGGAGTACCCTCATCCACAGTGCTCAGAGGAGCCCTACTCATCCAGGGCACCATAGGTCATTCCCTAACAGTGTCACTGAGCCAGCCCTCCCCAGGCCCCGCCTTCCACTTCTCACTCAGATTTCTCTGTGTTATCTCTCTGTAATGTGGGATGGCTTTGTTCTCTCAGAACCACTTGGCCCACACAGTCAGAGTCTCCTGCATCTCACATCTCAGAACTTTGCCTCCAGTGGGGCTTAACCTCCCTAATCTCAGCTCCACAATTTACTAGCTATGTGCTTTTGAACAAGTCCCTTTATCTCTCTGTGTCTCAGTTTTCTCATCCCTAGAATAGAGCTGATTGTAAGAGTGACGATCTCATGGGGTACCTCATAATGCTGTGACGAGGATTCAGTGAGTAAATATGAGTACTTGGAACAGTAACTGCTATAAGTTTGGTTTTTTGTTCCAAACTTCCGGAGAGAACAGCTTATCCTAGTACCTAGTGCTAGGGCATGGGACTCATGTGATTAATTAGGGTCTATCCCTTGGGTTTTTCTCAGTGGATCTGGTTAAGAAGAATCAGCCCCTCTCTGGTGGCAAAGTTCTGAGATGTGAGGTGCAGGAGTTTCTGGCCATGTGGGCCAAGTAGTTCTGATGGAACCAAGCGAAGCAGACAGGACAAACCTCAAGGGTGTTCCCAGCAGCCTTTGAGTCTACTTCTAGGTGTTTCTGACGTGGGTGGAGCCCCAGAGCTTTCTCCCATCCTGGACCTCACCTTTTATGGAAGTGTAGTACCCATTCACAGTAATACAAGAAGCAGCATTTTGATGTCTTCCAGGTGAAAGTGTTCCTATTAAAATATCTGTTACTCATAGCACAACCCAACCCCGATTGAATACACAAATTTACGGTGCTCAGAGGAACGTTACTCACCCAGGGGGCCACAGGTCATTCTCTAACAGTGTCACTGAGCCAGCCCTCCCCTGGCTCTGCCTCTCACTTCTCACTCAGATTCCTCTATGCTCTATCTCTATAATGTCGGACGGTTTAACTTGGCCATTTGGGCAGCCATTTAAGTGCCATTCTTGATTATTTTATAGCTGCAAATTTTACAATGCCAACTTTATATTCCAGCGAATAATTAATCAATTGGGTTTCCAACCTTTGTCTGTGATACTCTTAAAGAAAGGGACAACATTGTCCTCGGTTAAGGGGGCTGCTGGTGTCATACTTGGTGTCTTGGGGATAACATTGGTTGGGGATGCGGGGCTTCATGAAAACTAGTGAATATCAGTTCCACCCTACATGCTTGGGATGCAATTGAGGCTTTTTATTTTCTGGGGCTTTTTTTTTGTTTGGCAAATAATGAAAATACCAAACAAGTTTACACTTACTTCATACTTAGCCCCAGGGGAAGATCTATAAAACTTTCAGCTATCAATAGTTACAGTGGAGTATCTACTACTGGAGATAAAAAGTTAATGAGTGTTGCCCTTTGCACATGGATTTCTACTTGATCTAAAATGCCTGGAAGAATTAGATACACAGCTAAATTCTCAACACCACAATGGCCTCAGTTATAATACCACATACCCTTTCATTCTTTCTTAGGTGTGTTTGTTTCTGTTAGTTTGGGAATGAGGAATTCTGGCTCCACCACTAATTGTAAAGCCCTGGACAGATTCAGAGTCTAAGAGCATCATTTAGCCTTTCTCTCTTTTTCTGTCCACAGAGTTCAACAGAGTGCAGTGGGAGAAAGCATACAGTTAGAAGTCATGAGACACAAATGCTTCTATCCTCATCTCTGCCTAATGCTAGCTGTGTGACCTTGGACACATTACTGCCCTCTCCCAACTCAGACTTCCTTACTTCAAAAAAAGGAGTAATAGGAATCATAATTCCTACCCACCTCAATGGATTGAAAGGAGCTGATGAATTAATGTATGCAAAAGTGCATAAATAATTGTGAATGCTTTATAAGTATGGGACACCACCACCACCACCATCATCATCATCATCATCATCATCATCATCATTATCTTTATTTCCTCTTGGCCATGGTGTAGAGCATTCCAGTAAGAAGTCTGGATCTAAAGCAAGGTTTCTCAACCTGGGCACTATTGACATTCCGTGCTGAATAATTCTTCTTTGTTGTGCAGTCCTGTCCTGGATCTAAAGCAAGGTTTCTCAACCTGGGCACTATTGACATCATTCCGTGCTGAATAATTCTTTGTTGTGCAGTCCTGTCCTGGATCTAAAGCAAGGTTTCTCAACCTGGGCACTATTGGCATTCCGTGCTGAATAATTCTTTGTTGTGCAGTCCTGTCCTGGATCTAAAGCAAGGTTTCTCAACCTGGGCACTATTGGCATTCCATGCTGAATAATTCTTTGTTGTGCAGTCCTGTCCTGGATCTAAAGCAAGGTTTCTCAACCTGGGCACTATTGGCATTCCGTGCTGAATAATTCTTTGTCGTGCAGTCCTGTCCTGTGCATAGTAGGATGTTTAGCAGCATCCCTGGCCTCTACCCACTAGATAATGCCTATGGCACCGCCTTCTGCTCGTGACAACCAAAAAATGTCTCCAGAGATTGCCAAATGTCCCTGGGGGATAAATTACTCCTAATTGAGAACCACTGCTCTAAAGGCAAGCACTACCCCAGCTAAGAGATGGAAAGAGGGAAGGAAGTAAGGGTCACGTTATTTAGGCAACATGGCAACTGCTCTCCTCTGGACATGTGAACAAGAATCAGAAAAGATATGAGCCCCTGCATCCCTTTGCTCCTCTTATATCCTTTTGTGCCTTTTCCCAAATACTCTTGCTGTATCATAGACATCATCAGCCCAGTAACTTTTGACTCCCGTTGCCTCTGCCAAATAGTCCCCACATTTATACCTCGCCCTTTGCATGGACAATGTACCATCCACTTTTTCTGGTGATCTACTCTAGCAGCCCAGAACTAGGAATCAGAGTATATGGTACAGGGATTCCTGGCTCTTAGCAATGTCATGGGCAACTCTAGTATCTATACAGCTGGGAAGGACTCAAACAAAAGGGTTATTAGGGGAATTCAACTTCCACCTTGATAAAGCCGCTAAACAGGTTACCAGCCTCCTGAAAAGCCAATATGGGATAAGCACAGAACTTACCACCGTGGAGTCCTCTCTGACTTTTTGTCCTGCTTGGTTCTCTCCCCAAAGATGAGTGCCCTCAAAAGACCCCAACCATTTCTCTTCCTTTGAGAATCTTATCTGTTGTGCTCCATCTTGTCTAGATTCCTAAACTTGCCCTGCAGAGTTACCCTCTCCTTGCAACCAGCCTGACCCATCCTGCAGATCCAAGATGCCTCTCATTCCACCTCCAGGAATTTTGCCTAATCTCACTCCTAGCCAAGAGCCCCACAGTGCCTGGGCCTCCTACCTTTTCCCATCTCCTTGCCAAGAAAGGAAATAGAATATCTATGGTACTTTAACAAGAATAAAGGATTTGAAAAATTGAAGTACTCAGAGACACTATTTCACCCTTCAGCACATCACCTTGCTTCATTTATTTGTATTCTTATCTAATCCCTGTCTACATGCAAGCATAGCTTACATGCTTATTAAGGTATATAGATACTCCTCGACTTTCAATGGGTTGTATTGTGATGAACACTCATAAGTTGAAAAATATTATAAATGAAAATTGCATAGCTATCTGGGAGCTACAGCTTGCTGCCACTGCCCATTGTCATGAAATAAGTGTAATATATTTCTACTGAAGGAGTATCACTTTCACGCCATCCTAAAGTCAAAAAATTATAAAGTTGAACCACTGTAATTCAGGGACCATCTGTAAATATAATTGTTTGTCCTGTTTTTTCATAGTCAATTTTATATCATAAGCATTTTCTATTTTGCTTTAAAAATTACCATTGTAATAACCACCTAGGTCTCCATAGAGTGGTTATAAAATTCTTTATGTGACCATTTTTCCAAGATTTGGTCTGTTCCTTTATTTCGTATTAAAGTTAATTCTGCAATCAACATTTAACATCTTCCATAACTGAGAATTTTTTTCTTCTAAACTATTTCCTTGGGGTAAATTCCCAGAAGAAGGATTAACATTCAAGGATATACATGCTTTATAACCTTAATATAGATTGTCAATTATTTACCCAAAGGATTGCAAGATAACCCTGACATGAGCAATACTGGAGAAATTATTTTATCACAATGATGCCATTATTTTTACTGTTTTAATAGTAGAGTACTGTTTGTGATTCTTTTCATTTCCATGTCTTTGATTGCTCTTTAAGACCAATATTTACCTCTCCATGAATTTTGCAGTTCACCTGAAGAGCTCTTGGGAAGGACAGAGGAAGGAACCAATGTCCTGAGTCCTGCTCCAAGCCACTCAGAATTCCACATTAAGTGTTCTGTCACATCCTTCCTTGGCCTTATCACTGTCTGTGTTTAGTGGTGATTACTTTGATATCTGTCTTTCACCTCAGCCTACCGTCAAACACCAACTTGCTGACACCTGACTATTATCAGAACCTCAAATTCCTCATGCTTTCATATCCAAGACAACTTAGCTCTGCCCAAGACTTATACATCCAAACCCATAAAGGCTCAAAGGCTTGATAGTCCCCACAGGTGAAAGACCCAGCAAACATAAAAGGTAGCTAGCAACGGCATTTTGAGACTTAAAGTTATTGACCCTTGGGTCACACCCTTTACAACCTAAAGTTATCAGTCATACTCCTGAACAAACAGAGGCAGTCCATAGACTCCTGGTGAGGAAATTTTCTCTATCTTATCATCAACTTCTATTCCTGAAGATAATCTGTGTATAATCTCTTCGTCGTCACCTAAGGAACCACATGGAGAATCTGTACCTTGCTTCTGATAGATTTAATGATGCTTTCCTTCTTGTAGATGTAAAAACAACAATAGTAATAAAAGCTAACACTTCTGTAGCTCAAATTACATGCCATGTGCCATTCTAAATGTTTCACGTATATTAACTAATTTAGTCCTCCCCAAAAAACTATATAAGTATGATAATGATCCCTATTTCACAGGGGAGGAAATTGAGGCACAAAGAGTATCTGGAGCCAGAGCCTGTTCATAGCACTCTGCTTTGGGCTCTGAGGGCCATTGATGACTTGCAGCTGGTAAGACACTGGGCCTAGAGAGTACAGAGGAGGAGCATGTGGAGGCCAAGGGACTCCTCGAATGCCTCACTCTGCCCATGCACAGACCGACTCTGTGGCCGGCTCTTTATGCAAGGCCATTCAGGAGAGGCACATGCTCATAGCCACAGTGGGCTCCAGCCTTTGCCCATTCTCAGATACAGGTTTTTGTAAACACACTAATGTCCTATTTCTCTTTGTCAGCTGATGATAAGGTCAGAATGAATGTGGTAGGATAATGGATCTTAGTCAATACTGCACGGGAGGCACATTTTGCTGGTCCTAATGCTTCCTTAAAAATCAATTCCATTGGCTTTAATAGAATGTTCTCATTAAAAATATATGAGGCATGCTGAGTGCCATATGAATGGAAAATAAACATTATGAAACAAAGTCAGTGATGGTGCTGAATCTACTCTTTAATGGCTTCTGTTTTTCTCCAAACTATTAGCCCCTCACTCTGATTACTGCTAATTAATTACTATTTATCAGTGCAAGAACTGACAGCATCACTATCTGAATGGCAGGACCACATACCAGAATAGACACTAGGTCTTTGTGGGGAGTCTGAGCTATGCCACCTGGCACAGGTCCCTGAACATCTCTGAGCCACATGCTCTCCTTTATGAAGCATGGGTGATTAAAAATTCCCTAACTGGAAAGCTTAGGGCCACACAAAGACTGCATATGGGTATCTATAGCAGCTTTATTAATAACTACCAAAACTTGGAGGCAACCATGATGTCCTTTACAGGTGAATGGATAAATAAACTTTGGTACATCCAGACAATTGATTATTACTCAGTGCTAAAAAGAAATGAGCTACCAAGCCATGAAAAGCCAGGAAAAAGACACATGGAGGAAATTTAAAGGCATATTACTAAGTGAAAAAAGCCAGTCTGATACATACTATAAGTTTCCAACTAGCTGACCTTCTGAAAAAGACAAAACTATGGAGACAATAAAAAGATCAGGCCAGACGCCATGGCTCATGCCTATAATCCCAGCACTTTGGGAGGCTGAGGCGGACAGATCACCTGAAGCCAGCCTGGCCAACATGGTGAAACTCTGTCTGTACTAAAAACACAAAAATTAGCTGGGTGTGATGGCACACACCTGTAGTCCCAGCTACTCAGGAGGCTAAAGCAAGAGAAATGCTTGAACCCAGAAGGCGGACATTGCAATGAGCAGAGATTGTACCACTGCACTCCAGCCTGGGAGACAGGGTGAGACTACATTTCAAAAAATAAAAAAAAAGATCAGCAATTGCCATGGGTTGGGGCAGAGGAGGGATGACTAGGTGGAGCACAGAGGAGTTTTAGGGCAGTGAGACTACTCTGTATAATACAATAATGAATACATGTCATTATATGTTTATCCAAACCCATAGAATTTACATCACCAAAAGTGAACTCTAATATAAACTATGAACTTTGAATGACTAGGATGTGTCAATGTGGGTTCATCAATTGTAACAAATGTACCATTCTGGTGGGGGATGTTGTTAATGAGGGAGGTTGTGCATGGGGGGATAGAGCATATAGGATATCTCATGCCTTTCTCAATCTTGCCATGAACCTATAACTACTTAAAAATTTTTTTCTTAAAAAAAATTACTGTAATTTCATTTAAGTCTCTGTGAGACCCAGATGAAATCATGGATTTGCAAGCCCTGCTTCCACCCTCACTAACTCTGGAATTTTTGCAGATGGCATACCTGTGTGAACTTCAGTTTTCTTGTCAGTGAAATGTGGGTTAAAATCATGGGGTTGATGGGGGAATCAGGAAGGTGTAGATGTGGACATAGTTTGTAAACCAGGATGTGTTTCAAATACATAATAGATGACCCCTGCTTCTCTTTAAGTTAACAGATTAAAAATATTAACTAAGAAAAGAATGGAGACCCTTCCTGTTCTCATAGTATCTCTTCTTTTTTCTTCCCAAAGGTGAGGTACTGGTGCCCAAAACCATCCTTCCTTCCCCCATTGAGAGACTATTTTCTTCCAAGGTGACACAGAGGTAGAGCTACCTCATGAATGTCCAACTGGCACTGACCAAATATTTTCAATGACAAATGGTGATGTGAGTGCACCACATGGGCTTATGATGGTTTATACCTAAAATAGGGCATCCATGTGTGGCTGGGCTGTGTCGTTTCAGTTCCACCAAGAAGCAGATATTTACTGGGGGGTGGAGGAGGAGTAAGACCAGTGAAAGAAGCAGGGCTGGAGAGAGAAAGCCTCCAACTGCCATGCAGGGCACACAAAACCTCTGCCCATCCAATGGGGAGCTCTTCAGAAGATCGCCCATAGGAGCCCTGTATGGGGCAGAAATGGCCAGGCCTCAGTCCCCATGCCATGTTCCATCATTGCCTAAAGGCTGCCAAGTGGAAGCATGACCTTGGCTAAGTTGTTGCAGCAGATTCTGAAGCAAGGTGGCCATTCTGGCTGGAGCAATGTAAAGTAGCAGAAGAGTAGTAGGAGAAGACGTCAGAAAGAGAGTGAGAGGCCAGCTCAAATGGGGCCTTGTCAACATTGTGAAGACCAGCATTTACCCTGTTTGAGATGAAGGCCTCAGGAATTGCTTTGTGGTAAGGCCACAAATTTCTTGTATATTTTGTTTTTCCTGAAAATAGAATTTTTTCCTTCTTGAAAAAAGATATCTGTGTTTTTCCTAACAGTTTTTTTTCTATATATTGATTGAATTCTTTTCTCATTTTTGGAGGCATTGTTCTGGAGCCCACTTAATTCTGACTAGAAAAAAATTGTTTCCTCAGCCTGCAGTACAACCATTATCCTGGGATTTATTTTCTTCACATTCACAGGTTGCTTTATATTATTTCTTATGTCTCACATCATCCTTTTCTTTGGCTTTTTGCTCATTTTGCTGGAACATAGTATTAAATAACTTCTTCAGAAATAGTGCACAGGAGATAACATTTCCCACTATTTGAATACCTGAGATTGTTTTTATTTTATCTCCTCTTTCGGATGATAGTTTCAGTGGGTATAAAATTTAAAGTTCAAAATCAATTTTCCTCAAAACATTGAGAACCTAGTTCCAAGGACTCCTAACAACCATTTTCATTTGTGGGAAATATGATTTAATTCTTATTTTTGTTTTTGCAAGTGACTCGTGTCGACTCTTGAAAATTTTTGAAACCTTTTTTAATACATGATATTTTTAAATTTCCCAGTCTTGCTCCTAGGTGAAGATTTTGTTGTTGTTATTGTTCTCTTTTTGCCGGAAATGAGGTGAGTCCTCTTGATTTCAGTACTTCTATCTTTCTTCAATTCAAAACCATACCAAATGTTTGTTCTTGCTTCGAATATTATAGATTAGTGATAAAATATGTGATACACTTCTCTGTGGTGTTTGTATCATTGACAGATCACTGTCTTCTAACTCTTTCTTACCTTCTAGTCATGTATGTAGTGTACTTTTCACTTGCACCATATTGCTATTTAATTTTATTTTTTAACTTTTATTTTAGGTTTCAGGGTACATATGAAGGTTTGTTACATAGATAAACATGTGTCATGGAGGTTTGTTGTACAGATTATTTCCTCTCCCAGGTATTAAGCCCAGTACCCAATAGTTATCTTTTCTGCTCCTCTCCCTCCTCCCACCCTCCCTGCACTATTTAATTTTCTGTGTTTTCTTCCCAATTATGGTACAAGCTCCTTGAAAACAGGCAATGTTGCTAATGAATATGTCATCTTCCTAGAGCCATAGTGGGCAAACTGCTGAATGTCCAAAATATTGAAATGAATTACATTTTCTAATTCCAGTTCATAGGCATTAGAAAATCTAGCAGATACTTTAAAGAAAGACTTAGAGCATTCCAATAACACCAAGACAGAGGGAAGAAGAGAATAGGAATAGAAGATTCACTATTGAGAGGGCAAAATCAGGACAGATCCATGTGTAGGGAACACGGAAAGAGAACATTTCAAAACTGGGGCTAGGGATGAGAGGGGGCATTGTAGCTTCCTTTAGCACATGGTGCAGATGGAGATGAGGCTGCATAAGGAGCAGAGTTGAGCTGAGCCCCTGTACATCTCTGTCCCACCCTTCCTTCCAGCCACACGCTTTCACTGAGCATCCTTTATTCACTGCCAATGTTACACTCAGTTGAAAGTTTTTAAAAGATGGATAAAATATAATGGAGACTACCTTTTGGGGAAGTTAATGACTAGGGCATGACATGGGGTGGCAGTCCTCTGAGGCAGCTGATTGGTCTTTCTCATGATCTGGGTACTGATTACACAGGTATGTTCACTTTGTGAAAATTCATAAGGCTGCACACTTATGATCTGTCCACTGTTCTCCATGTATGTTACCTAACAATAAAAAGCTTACACTAGGCCAGGTGTGGTGGCTCACGCCTGTAATCCCAGCACTTTGGGAGGTTGAGGCAGGTGGATCACGAGGTCAAGAGATTGAGACCATCCTGGCCAACCCGGTGAAACCCTGTTGCTACTAAAAATACAAGAATTAGCTGGGCGTGGTGGCGCACGTCTGTAGTCCTAGCTACTCGGGAGGCTGAGGCAGGAGAATCGCTTAAACCTGGGATGTGAAGGTTGCAGTGAGCCGAGATTGCACCACTGCACTCCAGCCTGGCAACAGAACTAGACTTCATTTCAAAAAAAAACAGCTTTCACCAAACAAAGAATCCCTGCCCTCAAGGAGCTCCCTACCTAGGGAGGGAAGGAGAGAGGAAGATTGTTCTCTTATTGTCCTGTTTTAGGCACTGAGAAAGCCACCGAGCTGCAGTGCAGAGTAGACAGCATTTACCTTCTCAGTGCCCAGCATAGCACGACACACATTCCACGCACAGGAAGTGTTCTGTGGGGAGCTCCGTGGGTTCTGTCCTCATTCCCCACGTGCCTGCACTTAAAGGAAAGTTCCTACCAAGAGGACACATTGTGTCCTTTTGCACTTTGCTTTTCCCCCAGAGGATTCCAAACCCGGACCATTCACCAGCTGCAATAGATTGTGGCAGATGCTACTGGAGAAAAGAGGGACGTGCCCCTATGGGTCAGAATGGCTGGCTGGTCTCTCCCTGACCCACTAGGCTGCCTGCTCACCATTATTGATAATGACTAACATTTAATTGAGTATTTATTATGCATCAGCACTGGGTTTAATTCTTTGCCAAATTAACTCAATCGTCACAGTAACTCTATGGGTTAAGAGCTATTATTTTCCCCATTTTGCAGATTAGGAAGCTAAATGTCATATGGCTACTAAATGGTAAAGCCTGGACTCAAATGTGGAGCTAGGCGACCTCAGCACTCATGTACTCAACCTCCAGGCTGTATTTCTTTTTCACGAGGGAAGGTGTGGGGGTTTCCTATTGGTACATAACAGGCCTGATCCTAGAGGAAAGTCAGCAAGGAGGTCTGGGACAAGGTTTGCCCATTTTGAGGGGCTTTAGTCCACAGATTGCTTCATAGTGGCTTGCTGAATTTTTAAAGAACTTCCTGTAGTGCTACTGCAGGCCCCAGCTGGGAGAGCCCCAAGGCCCTCCGACCATCCTGCGAGCAGTACGTCCAGGCTTCCAGCCTGCAGGCACTTTCCAACCACTATGGCAAGTCAGGCCATGGGGAGCTCATTTGTGGGAACTCACTAAGTGCTCCACAAACATCATCCAGAGAGATTAATTGGTGGTTGAAGTCTGATTGCTTGGAGGTCCCTTGTTGATAGTTTGAAAAGGCAAACACGATAGGTGGGCTGCTCCATTGGCAGCTTTTGCGGCAGGCCAGGCTGAGGACAGGGCTGCTCAGGCGTGACCCAATTACCTGAAAATGGTCATTAGCTGCATCCATTATGAGCTGTGTTTTCCCGAAGCCTACCTTGGTTCCAGGTTTTCCAAAGTTGCAATCAATCCAAATTAAACTGCATGAGACATTCAATAAAACAACTGGTTGTAAACTATTTGCCCTTTAGTAACTTCCAAAGCTTATTCCCCCGGACACCAAAGGCCATTTTTTACATTAATGTTTGTGATATTTTCTGTCACTTTCTAGGTTAAGTTTGCAAGCTCAACATTCGAAATGCTGTTGGTCTGTTAATTCACTTCAACAAGCATCTGTTACAGGCCTAGGGATGTTCCAGGTCCTGTGCCAGGAAGTAAGGATCATTAGAGAAAAACAACACTCGACATGGCCTCAAAGAGCTTGCAGCCTAGGGATGTGGACAGATGTATTGGTTGTATTTTGCTCCAACCTAATATAAACTAAGAATAATGCAATGAAATGTGTGTTAGAACAGAGGTGTGTTCAAAGTGACATGGCACCTCCAAAACAATGACATCTAACTTTGTGTGGGTCTTGGGGGAAGTGAAGGAAAGATTTGAGGAGTGGATGGCATTTGAGCAGAAGGGAAAAAACATGGAAGGACACACTGGCCTGCTCCCAGGGTCCTAGCAGTCTGACATGCTGGGACTTTGGCTATCTGGGTGAGGAGCTGGAGAAGAGGCTTACTAGTGCCACAGTGAGGGTCTTCACTTTATCCTGTAGGAAGTGGAGAATTTCACGTGGGGCCCTTAGTGGTGATCAAGTTGTCATGGAAACCAATGGATTTTTTTTTTTTTTTCTCTAAAGGAAGTCTTCCGGTTTACCTGAGATTAATGTGTTCTGTTCTGTAATATTGGGTTTCTTAATTATAATGACAACATTAAACAGAGTTGTATATATGTGTGGAAAGCTCAGGAAATGTTTTGGTTTGGAGATACAGATTTTGGAGTAATACAAATATAATTTTTTAATTGAAGCTGTTGGAGTGAATAAACTCACCAAAGGAGAAGTTATTTTAAAAATTAAAAGTATAGAGGAGGCTTTGGATTCAACAAAAATATGAAATACCTGTTAATGCACTTACCAAGACATGAAAAGTATCATATAAAAAATTATGCCACTTTGCTAAAAGACAAAAAAGAAATTTAAGATATCAATCCTTTGCAAATAAAACTACACCATTAAGGTCATCCCAACCAAACTCCATATGGTATTAACTTTTTTAATTTGATAACTGTAATTCTAAAGGTCATCTGGAGCCCTGATTATTTTAAAATCTGTTCTGATACCCCTGAATGTCCCCAACATCCTTTCCAAGAGTCTGCCAGTCCAAAATTATTTTTATATTAGTAAGGTCTGTTGGCCATTTTCACTTTCATTCTTTCACAAATAAAGAGTGGAGTTTTCTAAAGCCATACAACGTAATTAAATCATCATTTGATAGTTATTAGAAGATGAGCTTGTATATTCATGTGTTTTTAGAATATTCAAATGTAGTAAGTTTAGAGAATAAATATATGCATTTTGAGGATTAACTCTTCATTCTCTGTGCTTTTACTGTGTTTTGCTGTTGTCTCACTATTTCTTATTTACTATTCCTCTGTAATGACATTTATCATCCTGTAAATCATCACTTTAAAATCTCAAAGTTTTCTTTGTGGCTATGCAAAAACCAACAAGAAATAATGCAACTTGTCAGATTTTGCAATAATACTTAAAAGATTTTTGAAAAAGTTTCTGAATTATGTTACCTAAAACTTATTTTAGAATTACGTATTTTATTCAAAATAAAAGAAACAAACACATAAAGTATTTGTCTCGTATTTACTGCCCATTGGCTTGAAGAAGATTGAAAGATTTGCTTTCTCAACCTACAGGTGCACCATCTAAGTCTAAAGATGCTAAAGAGAGATGAAACAGATGTATCAGAGAATTCACTGACTCATGAAAATGAGGAATCTATGCCAAAGAAACTGGAAAAAACTATAAATAAGAAACAGAAATATGACAAACATTCTTGTTCTCTTGGCTTTAGAAATGTTAGTAATTTACCTTATTGTGCCATGTGTAACCAAATATTTTCAAATAGGATTATGGTGCCTGTTAAGTATCTGCATCCTTTTGAGTCTAATCATTCAGTGTTTCAAGACAACAGAATAGAATATTTAAGTGTAGGCATGATGAGCTCTTTGAAAGGCAGACATAGTGTTTTACAGCTTTTCAAGCCAGAAATGATAAAGCCACTAAAGTATCTTATCTTACAGGGTAAGTTACCCCATTGCACTGACTGGAGAAGTGCAAACAATAATGAAAAGACTAATACTCTTTTATTGAACAGGACTGATAACTTCAAAGACATTTTCCTTCCTTGTATCATATCTATTGATATATACCTATTGGAAATTAAAACTGAGAGATATTTAAAATATTTGTTTGCTAAGGCATGTAGAAATAAACACAATGAGTGGCCTGTGTTTAGGAAAAAAATAAATAAATAAACACAATGTAACCATTACATGTTAACATAAATAACATGATTTCTATTTTTAAAAAGCTACATTTTTTAAGACAAAATATTGGTAAGGACAGGGTTTGGTTTTTTTGTTTTGTTTTGTTTTGTTTGTTCTTTTACAGTTTGAAAATCTCTTCACTGTCTAGTTTACTAGAAGACTGCTTGATTTTTACATCTGATTCAGCATCCAATCTATTGGCCTATGTTGTTTTGGTTAAAGTATATAAAGAAAATCTGACCTCATACATACAAGTAGTTGGAAAAGGGAGGAGTCTTTTAATAGCCTTTTCAGGCAATTGTGGATATTCTTCTCTGATATTAAACCAATACTCAACATATGGTAGTTTCTTAAAGGTTGCTTCCAATGTGTCATCTGAAATTATATCACGGACATTTTTGTACTCTATTACATTAAAATGTACTGGTCTATCTAATTCTTTAAATAAGTCTTTTATCCATGATTTTATAATGCTCTTTATTGTTAATTTGAAAAATATTGGTTCAGCAAATTATTCAGGCCTTCAAAATGTTGACATATTTCATTATACAAAATTTTCAAAATCACATTCATTAATATCATCGTTGATATCATCAGAAAGTGGCACCACCATGATTTCTTTTACTGACTTCTCATCTGGCAGGCATTTGGCAATGCCAACTGTACATTGTATGTAATGAAAACTCACACTAGGAAAAAAAACTCAGCAAATGTGCAAGGACTATGTTTAAGAATGTTCTTCATAACATTGTTTTCAAAAGACCAGCCTGGCCAACATGGCGAAACCCTGTCTCTACTAAAAGTACAAAAATTAGCCGGGCGTGGTGGTGGGCACCTGTAATCCCAGCTACTTGGGAGGCTGAGGCAGAAGAATCACTTCAACCCGGGAGGTGGAGGTTGCAGTGAGCCAAGGTCACATCACTGCGCTCCAGCCTGGGTGACACAGCAAGACTCTGTCTCCAAATAAATAAATAAATAAATAAATAAATAAATAAATAAACTAATCTAATCCTCAACCATGAATAAGGGATTATTTCAATAAGATATGATGCAACCTTAGAATAGAATATGGTGCAGCCACTGAAAACAATAATGATACCAATGGAGAGATGCCCATGACAAATTGTTAGCTGAAAACAGTAGACTCTAAGTTAATATGGATAGTATGAACCCATGTGTGGGAGATATTACTAGTATTTCCACATGCAGTCCTCCTCCTTTTTTGGGCAGGCAGCAAGCCTCCCTTTCCAGTTTCATTGAAACTAGATGGAATCACAGGACTAGCTCTGATCAATGGGATGAGTGCAGAGTGACTGGTGTGATTTCTGGGTTGAGGAAGCAAAAAGCCAATGTCCAATTGGCCAATGTCCAGTCTTTCTTTCTCTTCTCAGTAACCAAGAAGCCCCATCCATGGTCCAGATGGTGCAGTCACAAGACAGTGGAGTCTCTGCTAGCCTGGCTCGCTGAAAAGCCATGTAGAGCAGAGACCCTGCCAACCTGTGTTGGAAAAGCATCATGAGCAGGAATAAATCTTTGTTTTATTAAGCCACTGAGAATCCAGAGTTAATTTATTGCCACAGTAAAACTTAGTTAACATGAGCAACGTGCTATTTTATTAAATAAAATCACAACAAATGTGGTGTGTGAATACACGCACGTGTGTATGTTTGCGTTTGCTTAGTATAATATCTGGAAAATTATATTCCAGGATGTAGGTGGAATATGGATATTCATAATTTTAATTTTACTCTATATTCTTTTTCCTGAACTTTATGTAATAAATATGTATTTCAAAATCAGAAACAGCAGAACTATTTCCATTTTGGTAAATAAAAAGCACATTGATAATATCTTAGGTAAGAATGATCTCGGTCATTTGCGGGCTTATGTCCAGTCATGTTCATCTGTTATTAAGGGAAGATAATAAACCTCTAAGCATGCTTTTTGCAATAAACAAGCATATCACGTTCGGGTAAGATTGTATTTTCCTTTTGGACCAGTACTGAGGGGGGACTACAATTGAAATGAAATATGAGAGTGCCACGTGGGTGGATGCCAGATTGGGCAGGTCTTGAACACCAGAGTACCAAAAGAAAGACCTTGAAAGGGAGAAAAGAGAAGGAGTGGAACGAAAGCACGGGCCAGCTGACCCACCGTCCTGACCATGCCCCAGCCATGTTCCCAGGCAGCTAGTGTCACAGCTGGAAACACAACAGAACTGTCAGAACCCATGAAATCAACCACATAAGTTAGGTTTCTGCTTGCTGGTGCTTGTTATTCATTCTGTGACAGAGAGAAACAAAAGAGCCGTATCTTTTTCAAGATAGGAAATCAAAGCAGAGACTTTGATGCCGTTTCATGAAGAGTCCTAACGCTTCCTTGCCTGTATCTGTGCTCACCTGGCCCCTTCCACTTGCTCCAACAGATATATCTTTAGTATAAATATGTCCCAAATATTGCATGGAACATATTTAACTGAAAAATTAATCTGTTGTTGATCTGAAGTTTAAATTTAACTAGGTATCCTGTATTTTTATTTGCTATATCTGGCAACCTTAAAAGAGAGAAGATATGTTCTACTTCCTGTCCCTGACAATGGCACCCCACACTCACTTCTTCACCCCAGCAGCCACAGTCTATTCTAGTAGAAGCAACTGTATCCAGTGTGCATTCTGTGCAATGCCTGCAGACTCAACCTCATTTCCCACCCTCAGCAATGCCAGCACCAGCTAGCTAGTGCCCCCTCCTCAGAAGTCTGGGTCCCAGCATCAAGGATCCTCCTCCAAGTTCAGACACACTGGCCCCAGCCTATCAGTGCCCCCTTCACAGAAGTCTGAGCTTCAACTCGGAGATGGTTTCAACTGCTTCCTCCTGTTCCCCCAGCCTTTGGGATGGCAATTGCTTCCTCCAATTGTTACTTCTTGATACATTAGTATTTTCTTTTGGCCTCTTTAGTTCTTTAATAACTAGTGAACAATTCTTTACATCGAATTTTCTCTGTTAAATAACGGACATGGTTTCTGTCTTGAGACTGGACTGGCCCATCTGTACCTAATGTTGGCAGCAGGGGAAAAGGAATGGTGGTATTGTTGTAAAGGGGAGAAGAAAAGCAGGCTGGTTGTCTGGAGTCTACATGGGGAGAATGGAGTGCCAGGGAACTAGCCCTGGAAGAAATGGGCTCCAGTGTTTATCATGCAGATCACCTACAGGGTTTCCTGACTAGGGAGCAGGAGTGGCTGTGCCACAGGGACTGGTAGCCAAGTAATGAAAAGTTGGTACTGGGAAATGGCAAGGGATCAAGCGAAGAAATGGACATGAAAGTGCATGACAAGAAGTGGCAGGTGGGCGAGCATTACCACCTGAGCTCTGCTGCCTGTCAGGTCAGTGGTGGCATTATATTCTCATTGGAGCAGGAACCCTATTGTGAACTGTGCATGTGGGGGTTCTAGGTTATGCGCTCCTTATGAGAATCTAATGCCTGATGATCCCCCCACACTCATCCATGGAAAAACAGGTCCCTATTGCCAAAAGGTTGGGGACTTCTGGCTCAAAGCAACACGAACTTATCGTCTTACAGTACCAGGGGTCAGAAGTCTAAAATGACTCTCCCTAGGCCGAAATCAAAGTGTCAGCAGTGCTTCCTTCCTTCTAAAGCAGCGGTCCTCAACCTTTTTGGCAACAGGGACCTGTTTTATGGAAGACAATTTTTCCACAGACCAGGGCGGGGAGACGGTTTTGGGATTATACAAACACATTATATTTATTGTGCACTTTATTTCTATTATTATCACACTGTAATATGTAATGAAATAATTATACAACTTGGCATATTGTAGAATCAGTGGGAATCCTGAGCTTGTTTTCCTACAACAAGACGGTCCTGTCTGGGGGTGATGGGAGACAGTGACAGAACATCAGGCATTAGATTCTCATAAGGAGTGCCCACCTAGATGCCTCGCATGCGCAGTTCACAATAGGGCTCACGCTCCTACGAGAATCTAATGTCACCGCTGATCTGACAGGAGACGGAGCTCAGGTGGTAATGAGAGGGGCTATAAATACAGATGAAGCTTCCCTCACTCGCCTGCCACTCACCTCCTGCTTGTGCCATCCAGTTCTAACATACTGGCCCATGGCCCAGGGGTTGGGGACCCACGTTCTAGAAGATCTAGGATCGAGGAGACAATCTGTTTTCTTGCTTTTTCCAGCATCTAGAGGTTGCCCACATCCCTTTGTTCCTGACCCACATCATTCTTTATATTTTTAAAATTTTTTGTAGTGATGGAGTCTCGCTATGTTGCCCAGGCTAGTCTCAAACTCTTGGCCTCAACTGATCCTCCAGCCCTGGCCTCCCAAAGTGCCGAGATTACAGTGACCCACATCATTCTGACCTCTGCTGTTGACATCACATCTCAGACTCTCCTACTTCCCTCTTGCACTTTTAAGGATCTTTGTGATCTGGGCACTCCCAGATAATCCAGGATAATCTCTCCATCTCAATATTTGTAACCTCAATCACATATGCAAAGTCCTTTTTGCAATATAAGGTAAACATATTCACAGATTCCAGGAATTAGGATGTAGACCTCTTTGGGAGACATTATTCTGCTTACCACAGAGACCATGAGAGAGCTTCATGTGCACCAGTCCCTTTGACTAACTGAAGTGGAGGAGGGTTGATTCACCTGCTTGTGAAACCACCTTTGCAAAATTTAAAACGGAGAAAATGATGCCAATGAAAGAGATCTGACCTAACTGACTCCGTCTCGCTTCTAACCTGCAAGCTGTCCTTGTTCATTCCTGGGCGTAGGCTGAACTAACTTTGGGAGGAACTTAGTTTATAGTGTAACTTTGAAACAAAGATGATAACAGCCCTTTCCCAAAACAAATCTCTTTTGTGCCTGGGGACTAGGCTGCCTTTGCAGGGATAACAAATTAGCCACAAGATTAGAAATTAAAGGCCAGGAGCAGTGGCTTATGCCTGTAATCCCAGCACTTTGGGAGGCCGAGGCGAACAGATCATGAGGTCAGGAGATCAAGACCATCCTGGCCAAAATGGTGAAACCCAGTCTCCACTAAAAATACAAAAATTAGCTGGGAGTGGTGGCATGTGCCTGTAATCCAAGCTACTAAGAAGGCTGAGGCAGGAGAATCCCTTTAACCAGGGAGTTGGATGTTGCAGTGAGCCGAGATCGCGCCACTGCACTCCAGCCTAGCGACAGAGCAAGACCCCACCAAAAAAAAAAAAAAAAGAAAAAAAGAAAGAAAGAAAGACAGACATTATGGCTTAGGAGTCATGCAACTGGAGGCTGCAAGATTCTGAACCTCCCTGAATTGCTCCTGGCGATAACATCACTATTATAAAACCTAAGATCGGTGCGTGAGATATTTCGCAGACCCTGTACTCGATGAATCAGCTGGCACCACCCAGATCAATACACTGGCTCATATGGTCTTGTGGCCCCCACCCAGAAACTCACTCAGTACAAGAGGGCAGCTTCAACTCCCTATGATTTCATCTTCCACCCGACCAATCAGCACTTCCCATTTTCCGATCCCTTACCCACCAAATTAGCCTCAAACACCCCAGTCCCTGAGTTCTCTTGCAGACTGATCTGAGTAATAATGAAACTCCAGTCTCCTGTACAGCTGGCCCTGTGTGAATTAAAGTCTTTCTCTATTGCAGTTCCCCTGTATTGATAAATCAGCTCTGTCTAGACAGTGGACAAGGAGAACCTGCAGGGTGACCTATGATTCTTCAGACAACTCCAGCATGAGGTGGCAGTTACCTATGGGTCATTTTTGGTTCCACCAAGGATGACAATGGGGAGCAGTATGGAGAAGCTGGCCCACATGATCAGGACAGGTCATATCAACAAGAATATTTACAACACCCACGGTATTGGAAAAGTCCCTCATTGGCCATTAACCCTGGGAACTCAAGATAAGTAGCAAATGGCAGGAAAGGTAACAAGAGGAAGGAATAGTGAAGGTGTGAGTGGGGTGCTGTGGAGGAACTACTCTAGCATTTCAGTTCTGCCCTGGAGTGTTGCTGCTGCCAGAGCCCTGCCCCAGAGGACAGACATCCTTCCATAGAGAATCAACCAGGAGAGAAGCCAATTGGCAATTTGGTACCCTTAAACATTTTATTATTGTAACTTAGGAGCCAGGACTTCTGTTCCAGAACACCTGCCAAGTTGGCCAGCAAGAGAGGTTTTTCTGAATATGCTAAGCCAGAAAAAGCAATGTCCATTTGCTCATGTGACCCTTTGTCTGACAGCTTTAAGAAGCACCAAAAGTCAATTATCTGAAACCTAATTTCCCAAATGGAGTAACAAAGGGACAGAGAAGGTAATTAGCAGTTCCTGTGCATCATTTGGGAGACAGGTCAAGAACACAAACCCCAGGCCAGCCACATCCTGGCCACCATTTATATCCTCCCAAACCATGCTGCCATTTCATGCATGGTGAATCTTCCAGGCATGTGGTTCAGGGGGCTTACAAACAGCTGTGTAAGCAAAAAAGCACATAAAATGGCAAAGTCATCACCTTCTTTCATAACACATCTTGCTTCCTTGTAGACATTTTTTAAATTCATAGCAGTGTCTCCAATATTTCTGTTATCTTTAACTGTTGTTATGCCACTCTCTGATTTTCCAAATGAGGAAGTGGTCTCAAAGGGGTGAAGTGACTCAACGTTTATTGAACTTTATGAACTTGCCATTGCGGTTGTCTTTGGGAGCTTTGCAAGGATGGACAAGAAGTGGTTCCTGCCTTCACAGGACTTCCCACCTGGAGAACTACAGGTGTGAGTAGAATATGAAAATAAAAGCTGTGCATGCTACAAGTGGAGAACAGATAAAGTGCAAAGTGTTTGGAGAAAATATAACTCCTGGACAGGGGGAAAGGCAATGTTTCCCAGAGAAGGTAGAGTTCGTGCTGAGCACAGAAAGAAGCAGAGATGGATGGGAGAGCAAAGGCATAGATGCAGCAGAATCAAGGTTTTGTTGGGGGAACAATGGGCCTCCAACTGGGTTGGAATATCCAGATGATATAGGGTGGTAGAAAGAAGAAAGGAATCAATGAAACAGAGCATACGATTTTTACTCTAAGAAACCTGCAGTCATCAAATGCACACATGTGAAAACAGAGCCACAAAGGGGCAGTGCATGAAAAAGTGGGTTGTAAGAACTGAGCGGATGAGGAGCCCAAAGGCAAGGAGGTAACCAAGACAACAGATGGGACTGGGGAGGACAGGGGTCTGGATCTGGGTTTTGAAGGAGCTGAGTCGGGGTAGGGGGTATGTCTTATTTATGGACAACTTGGCAGCCTGAGCCCAACTTTCTGGGGTGTTCCAAAATCCATGAGTGCACAGTGATTCTATGACCCAGAAAGTTCCAGAAAGCTGGCAGATGCCTCAGGGTTCCCTTACAATGAAGCTGTCCCATTGACTTGTAGATTTAAAAAAGGCTCCTAAATACCCAATACCGTGTTTTCTGATGGCTCCCATGGGAGATGCTGTGCTTGCTCCGCATTTATTCCAACCTCTTTAGTGTGTCTCCCGGACGGCAGTCTGGAAAGCTAAAACCAATTCCCATACACCCTTGCAGCCAGGGTTCCACACATTATGATCCCCCAAGCAGATCTACACTAGGGTGAGAACTGATTAAGAAACTAAGTTAAGTAGGAGGGACACAGAAGGTGAGTGGGCAGGAGGACCAGAGGACATCCATTCTGCGGATGCAAATTGTCACAGCAAGGTCCTGGGGAAGGATGTCCAGTGGTAACCTTCAGTGATAGCAAGGACAGCAGCTTCCTGGACAGCTCCACCGTGAAGTATGGTTTTAGGAGTTGCTCCTGAACACTCAGTCTGGAGTCTGTTCCTTAAGCCCTTGCAATTTTTAGTAACCCATTTACTACCTAGAAATATAACCCTTTCTGCTTAAACTAGCCAGAGTCAATTTTGTTCTCTGTAACTGAATCCTGACTCACATAAGAGCTTGGAATGTCTCCTATTAGCAAAAGGGCATGTGAAGTGTGGTCACCTCAGGCCTCAAAGCAATATGGTACAGGAGGCCATATAATGGTCCCCAAGACACCCATGCCCTAATCCTCAGAACCTACGAATGTGTTATCTTACACAGTAAAAGAGACTTTACACATGTCAATAAATTAAAGATCTTAAAACAGGGGCATTGTCCTGGGTTAGCCACATGGGTACCCAAGGCAATCACAAGGCTTCTTGTAAGAGGGACACAGGAGGGTCGGAGAAGGAGATGTGAGGACAGGAGGAGAGGTCAGGGCGATGTAGGGCCATGCCTCCAGGAGCTGGCTGCTTCCAGAAGATGGAACAGGCAACGAAATGGATTTTCCTTTGAAGCCTCCAGAAGGCACACCGCCCCTGCCAACAACTTGATTTTAGCCCTGTAAGATTCATGCAGACTTCTGACCTCCACAACTATAGGGCAGAAAATTGTATTTCTCTAAGCCTCTATATCAGTGGTAATGTGTTACAGCAGTGATAGGAAACTAACAAAGGTGGCAATGAGAATCCGCCCTATGACTGCTGAGAAAGTTACCTTACCCTTTTGTATTGGTTTCTTAGGGCTGCCGTAACAAATTACCACAAACTAAATGGCTCAAAACAACCAAATTTTATTTTCTCACAATTCTGGAGGGCAAAAGTCTGAAATCCAGGTGTTAGCAGTGCCGCACTCCCTTCAAAGGATCTAGGAAAGGATTTGATCCTTGGTTCTTCCAGCTTCTGGTGGCTCCTGGCATTCCTTGGCTTGCAGTTGCATCACTCCAACATCTGCTTCTGTGGTCACGTTGCCTCCTCCTCTTCTCTGTGTCTTCTCCTTTGTGTGTCTCACTCTAAGACATGTTAAATCATGTCTCTCTTATAAGGCATGGATTGCATTTAGGGCTTATCCAGATAATCCAGGATAAGCTCCTCCTTTCAAGATCTTTCATTTAATCACAGCTCTTATCATATAAGGTGACATTCACAGGTTCCAGGGAGTAGGAGGTGAGCATATCTTTTGGAGGCCCCCACTACACCTTGGCCCCTAGGATCTAGGAGAGGGCGGCCAGGTGACATTGAGGGCTCAGGAGGCCCTGAAAGGCCTAGCTCTGAGAGCTCCTTTCAGGACAGCCTGGCTTTCCTGGAATCATCTGGAGCTCCACTCACTGCCCTCTAGCCCATGCCGCGGTGGGGAAGAGCAGCAGGGTGGCAGGAAGGATGACTGGAACAAAAAATAGGATTTGGTGACAGGGTGAGCAGGGCCTAAGTCAGTCGGAAACCTTTGGTTATGTCTCCTGCTAAAACCCTGAGAAATTATTCTGAGAATATTAATGGTATTCAGAGATTCTTGGAAATCTAGCAGGGACCCACACTCAAAAACTCCTAAGATGGAACACTTAATAAGAGACCCAAAGAAGCCGGATGGGAGCTGGGAGGTGCGGCAGGGGGAAGCGCATGACATTTTCTCTTTGAAACCAAATTCTAGGTGCAATAAAAATACTCTGGCAGATGAGTGGATGCCAGGGGAAGAAAGGAGGGGGAAGTGCAGGGTGACTGCTTAAATGGGTGTGGGATTTCCTTTTGAGATGACGAAAATATTCTAGGACTAGGTAGTGGTTATGGCTGCACAGCACTGGAAATGTACTAAATGTCACAGAATTGTAAACTTTAGAATGGTTAAAATCTTAAACTTTAAGTGTATGTATTTTACCACAATGAAAGAAAAAACACTCTGCCCTTATGGCTGGATTAGAGCAATAAAGCCAGACTATCTGGACATGGTGTATCCCTTTAGACACCCCTCAAAGGAAGCTGTGTTACCTATCACCCTGTTCTGCCCCAGGGCAAAGCACAGTGGCCCTGGGTGAGCCCGAGGCTCGGCATGGGAAGCTCAAGAACGAGCATGATCAGAAGCAAGGCCTGCGGCCAGGTGAGGCCGCCCAAACCACCCAGCAGCATGGAGCAGCCCTTGCTGAAAGCCCATCCCTGGCAAGACCCGCATGAGTACTAGTGGTAGAAATATTTAGTCCAAAAGGCTCTTGGATTCCTCAAGCTTTAATAATCCCTGCCCTGTGCCTGCCTACAGGCAGGCACTAAAAGTAAATCAGAAAGCCATGGAACTGGAGGACAGAAACTCCAGGGCTTTGCTGTGGACAAGAGAAGAAAAAAAGTGCCTATGGCTCCTCTCTCTCCTCCAGAGATGGCTAGAAGAGAAGCTCTGCTCAAGAAGTTGCTCTGCTCTTGCTGGTTCTCTGTGCAGCTAAGGGGAGTTTCAAGGACAGACGGCTGTATTCCTTCAGTGAGACAAGGTCTGCAATGACAATCACTGCAAAAACTTAGGAGCTTATGATGTGCCGGGCTTTCTGCACAGTGCTTAATCCTCTTTAATCCATCCTTTGAGGGAGGTCCACCCTAACGTCTGTCCCCACTTTACAGAGAAGGAAACTGGAGCCTCTCGTGTTAAGGGCTGTTTCCCACATGTCACACATATAGAAAGCTTCAGAGACTGAACTCTGAACCACTGTAGGAGGATGAGAAAATGGGGTGAAACAGCTCTTATAAAGAGTTAAAATATTTGTATATTATGTTGTCTTTGGGGAAAAAGGTGTTTTTGCTTTTTTGTCCTTTATACGGAATTAAACTATAGCTGGAATTAGACGATATAGCTATGTTTGTCATAGTGGTGGGAGTGTAGGTTTGAGAGGGAAGCATGAGGGAATGTATCTTCGCTTCACACTGGTAGAGAGACTTCAAAGGCAATGAGACGTAGAATACTAAAGCCCGACCTGGACAGTCATGCCAAAGGCTCCTACGGTGTCACTCTAGGACCTAAAATGAATACTCCCCAGCTCCAGGCAATGTTATGTGGATGGTTGTGCTCTCCATTTTAGTGGAGAAGAGGAGCTGATTCTTGGAGACAGCGCTCCTAGAGGATTGGAGGCCTGAGACAGTCAGACAAGGTTAGGAATGGAGAGGTGCCCACCAGGGGACTTCTGTAGAGGGAGTATATTCCCTTTTGCTATGGACTTTGAAAACAGTCACTTTTTGAACCTTTTATTGAAATACCACCTCCTTACAGAAAAGTGTACAAACTGAGTGTACAGCTTGATGCACTTTCACAAACTAAATTTATTCATGTAGCCAGAACCCAACCCAGAAAAGAGAGCAGGGCCAGCACTTCTGAGGCCACTCTATGTCTCCTTCCGATTGCTATTACCCTCCCACCCCCAAAGGTAACCACTGCCTTGAACTCTAACACTAAAGATCTTCTTGTCCAACACAGAACTACGCACACATGGAATCAAACAGTAAATACTCTTTTCTAACTTTTTTTGCTCAAAATATTTTTGTAAGATTCATTCATATTGTTCCATGAGATGTAATTACAGTTTATTCATTTTTGTTGCTGCATAGTATTTATTTCCTTCTACAAATATAGCCCAATCCATGCACTCTACTGTTGATGGACATCTGGGTGCTTTCCAGCTTGGGGCTATTATAAATACTGCTACAAACATTCTTATAAAAGTCTTTTGGTGAACCTTGTATGTACTTTTTAAATTATATTTTAGTATCCAGTTTTACGTGGGTTTTCCCACGTAAATCGGGAAAGTCCTAAAAACTAGATACTAAAATATAATTTTAAAAATACATACTTGACAGCCTCATCCCCAAACCTGCAGTGAACTCTCTTATATATGCATCTATTAAGTTCAAAATCTGAAAACAGCAATTAAATAAAAATAAAATCCCAAATGTCCATCAACAGTAGAATAAATAAATATCTGTTGGTATATTAACGTAACAAAATGCTATGCTATATTTTGGGGCAGAAGGGACTAAGGGATGGGGAAGTAGAGGAACTGAAGCTTCCCTTTGTGATTCCTTCCCTGAGACCACCGTAGTTGTAGCGACCTCACATTAAGGAAGCAGTCCTCTCCCCATTCCAGACAGCTGTTGATGGCAGTCTCTGTGCATTAGCGAAGATGATAAAGGCCCCCAGCAAGGGCAACTGGGAAATTCAGGTTCAGAGTAAAATCACACCAGGGTCAAGTTCACACTCTCTCAGAGCAGAACTGCCTGCATTCTTCTTTTTTCCTTCATTCTGATTTTGTGTTTTTGTAAGACAATTTCCTATTTTAATGCAAGCCATTACACATCTGCTGAAGAAGTGCTCTCTGAGATAGAGACCCATTTTCGGGATTAGACTTGGATGAGATAAACATGAGAAAGCTTAAGAGAACACATGCTCATGAGTGAGAAGGGAGAGGAGAGAGAAAAACAGAGAAAGAAGGAGAGAGTGCGAGATAAAAAGAAGCTGCCCCATTAAATAGAGTTATCAGATCCTGAAAATGGGATTTCGACAGCTGTTTCCAAACCTATACAAAAGAGTAACTTGTATGCCTACCAAGATGTTCTAAGCCTGTCATCCACTGGATCACATAAGTGAGAGGGGTCCAGAAGGGGAATCCTTGGTTTGTATTTAACCAACCTCTCCTCATTTAAGTTTATGTATTAGGGAACCCTGTGAGGCTTATGAAATGACTCTGTGATATAAATGAGAACTTCTGTTTCCAAATCAACAGCTGGAGGAGAGAGCCTATAAGGTTTGAGAAACAAAATTGAAAAGTACTCTGAACATCTCAGAGCTCTATGAAAACATGCATTAATATTGATGGCTTTTCAATAAATGCTTGTGAAGGAACATCTCTTCCTAAACAAAGTAAGCCAAACTGCCTCATTTCACATAATTTTCAATATTTCCTCTAAACTTTCACTCTCACCCACCTTGAGAAGAAAATAGAGAAAATTGTTTTCCAGGAATAAGTCTCAACATGCACCTTCACTTTGAAACAGTCACTGGGACCATCATCAAGGAGATTATAGCGAAGTTTCTTGGTGTTTTTTAGACAGATCAATTTCACCATGAGAGCTAAAGCATATTCCCCAGGGAACACGCTCCAAGTAATGCTGCAGGGTCCTTTTTTTTCCCCTAGGAAAGACGACTGATTAACTGCAAAAAACATTTTCCTCTTTGCCACTGGCTGTGTTGGAAGTTCTGAAAGTCAGCCTAAACTGATTACTTTCCAATTTAAATGGTGTATTTTTGCATGTTTGTTTTTAATCTGTTTCCCAGGTACCTTACCTGAGATTTTGCCAGTGTGTTAAAGAGACCAGACCAGGAAATGAACAAGATCCCTTCAGTTCCACTGTGGAGACAGTGGAACAAGGATCTGGGGCTGCAGAAGCTGCCTGATCCTTGTTCCTTTGAAGATACGAAGGACAAACCTGCAAGCCAGAAGGAAATAACATCCCAAATATGATCAAAGCCATGTGATATTAAAAGTAAAATAGGGCCGGGCACGGTGGCTCACGCCTGTAATCCCAGCACTTTGGGAGACCGAGGAGGGCAGATCACGAGGTCAGGAGATCGAGACCATCCTGGCTAACATGGTGAAACCCTGTCTCTACTAAATATACAAAAAATTAGCTGGGTGTGGTGGCGGGCGCCTGTAGTCCCACCTACGCGGGAGGCTGAGGCAGGAGAATGGCGTGAACCCAGGAGGCGGAGCTTGCAGTGAGCCGAGATCGCACGGCTGCACTCCAGCCTGGGCGACAGAGCGAGACTCCATCTCAAAAAAAAAAAAAAAAAAAAAAAATGAAATAGTTAAACATAAATAACTCTGAAATATTTAATGGTGTCATCCAAAACTCATGGGTATGTTGAGGCTTCTGTCTGAAAGAGGGTTCGTTTTCAGCTTGTATCAGTCAGGATTCTAGAGAGAAACAAAACCAATAGAAACAAAACAGATTAGATAGATAGATAGAATGTGTACAGATAGATAGATATATAGATAGATAGATAGATAGATAGATAGATAGATAGATATAGGTATAGAGACTGAGAAAGAGATTTATCATAAGGAATTAGCTTACACAATTACGAAGGCTGAGAAGTCCATGTTCAGCCATCTACAAGCGAGAAACTCAGGAAAACCATTGGTATAAGTCCAATGGATGGAGAATCAAGAGAGCTGATCAGGTAAATTTCAGTCCAAGGGCTGCGGAAGATGAGATGAGATATTCTAGCTCAAGCAAAACAGGCAGGAAGAGAAAGGGGAGAATCCCTCCTTCCTCTGCCTTTTTGTTATATTCAGAACGCACATAAGGGAAGCCCATCCGCTTTACTGAGTCCACCAATTCAAATGCTAATCCCATCCAGAAACATCCTCTGAGACACACCAGAAATAATGTTTAATCTGGGCAACCCATGGCCCAGTCAAGGTGACTCTTAAAAGTAGCTATCATAGATGAAATCTGAAAGTTACCATTTGCACTAAAAAGAGTGAGAAAAATGCCCTCCTTTCCATCATAGTAGCACAGATGGAATATAATACAGGCTTCTTAGGAAAACATATACAGACATAATAGAGATAGAAACCAGCAGGTGTGAGTATTTACTCACTGATTCAGCAAAACTGCATTGAGTGCCCACCCTGTGCCAGACACTGCAGTAGACACCGTTTGTGTACAGCTGAGAATGAAACAGACCAAGTCCTGCCCTTGTGGAGCCCAGAATGGTGGCGAGACGGATAACAAGTGTAATGCAAAACCAATGAAGCAGGTAAAGAGGAGCTGCGAGATTGGATGGAAAGGCAATGAAGCCCTCTCCAAGGAGCTGACATGAGGAGGATCTAAATGATATGAGGGAGTGAACAACTAACTTGAAGGAAGTTCATCCCAGTCAGAGGAAATGGCAGATGCAAAAGCCCAGGGCAACAATAAGCAGGGCACCGCGCTGATTTAGGAGGTGCACCTGAGTACCTGGAGAACACTGAAACACGAAACTAAAAGAAATTTGATTCAGATGAGACGAAAAGAAACTATTTTTGCCACATCTGACTCTATGTTTTTATTGTGTTTTTTGTTAGAGGGCAGGAGTTAAATATGACGACCAGAACCCAGTCCACCCAATGGAACATGTAAATGGCAGCAGAAGTAGTGGGGGCATAATTGATTTAGATGAACCAATCTTTTTTCACTTAATGGGTGACCAGCTGGTCCTAGATTGCGCAAAACTCTCCTAATTTTAAAACTGAAAGTTCCACATCCCAGGACTTGCCCTACTTAAGGTTGGTACTAAAGAAAAGGCATCATGAAGTGTATGAATATGTTCCCCAATACAATGAAAGAAGAAGCCAAAGGGAAGAGAATGAGTTTTTAAAATATTTTTAAGAAGTAGAAGTAACTTTACAAAGCATCTTCTTGCTATTCTTAAAGAATCAAAAAAAAAAAGAATTAAATACTACATACAAATGTAAAAATTATTCTTGAAGCAAAGAAATACAGTACAAAAAATATTAATTTAAATTTCATAAAACATATAAAATCCCAGATTGTATGAACAAAGACAAAGAAATGGAGATAAGGAGTAATTAATTTATGCCTTCAATTTTTTTCTAATCAAAATACCTGTTCAGGGTTTGTTACAAGGAGGTAGAAAAAGAGCCTTGAAAAATGATTATAAAATTCATCTGAAAGGAAAACCTCATTAAAATAGGCAATATTCTTGGGTGGGAGAAGTTTAAAAAAGTTTAAACTTGCATTGCTGTATATTAAAACACAGTAAAACCAATATTGTGCTGACCTAATAAAAAGTCACAGAATCAAATAAAAGGCTTAGAAATCATTGCAAGTACATATAACAATTTAATACAAGATAAGTATAAATGGGTGATCTAATAAATGGTGCTTGGATAACTGGCTAAATATTTGGTGAGGGAGGAGAGTTAGATTCCCTATCTTAAATCTTATACTGAAATAAAATCCAAACCATGAAATACAGAGAAAAATGTAAATGAATGAATGAATAAGCAAATTAAAAGAAAATGAAAAAGCAAGAAAATACAAGCAAATATTTACCTGATCTCAGAATAAGGGAAATTATTCTAAGCAAACAAACCACAGAACAAACCAAAAAGGAAAAGATATTTAGATCTGATTCCGTTCAAATTCAAAACTTGTTCATTAATATATATTAGTAGCAAATTGAAAAGTAAATAAAAAACTGGGAACAAATACTTGAGCCATGTAACTGTAGGTTAGTAGCTTTAGTATATGAGGAAAACTCACTTATCAACTAGAGCATACCAAAATTACCATGAAAAGACTGATAAAAGACATATACTGATCATTCACAAAATAATACAATTAAAAAGGCCAAAAATATTTTTGTGTCTCACTTTACTAGCATTCGAATAAATGCAAACTAAAACAATAATAAACCATTTTCAACTATCGAATTAGAAACTTTTAAAAATTATGTTATCCAGTGCTGGGAAGTATGTTGGAAAATTGTAATTCCCACAGTACCTTTTTAGCAATATAGATCAAGACCCAAAAAGAAAATAATATCTTTTAGCCTCCCAATTCTACTTCTAAAAACTCGATGTATAAAAATTTAATTTTTATATACAAAATGTGGTACATATACACCATGGAATACTATGCAGCCATAAAAAAGAATGAATTCATATCCTTTGCAGGGATATGGATGAAGCTGGAAGCCATCATTCTCAGCAAACTAACACAGGAACAGAAAACCAAATGCTGCATTTTCTCACTCATAAATGGGAGTTGAATAATAGGAACACATGGACACAGGGGGGGAACATCACACACTGGGGCATGTCGGGGAGGTGAGGGGCAAGAGGAGACAGAGCATTAGGACAAATACCTAATGCATGCAGGGCTTAAAACCTAGATGATGAGTTGATAGGTGCAGCAAACCACCATGGCACATGTGTACCTATGTAACAAACCTGCACATTCTGCACATGTATCCCAGAACTTAAAGTAAAATTAAAAAAAAAAAAAAATTGGCCAGGCGCAGTGGCTCACGCCTGTAATCCCACCACTTTGGGAGGCCGAGGCGGGCAGATCACGAGGTCAGGAGATCGAGACCATCCTGGATAACATGGTGAAACCTCGTCTCTACTAAAAATACAAAAAAAAATTAGCCAGGCGTGGTGGCAGGCGCCTGTAGCTCCAGCTGCTCCAGAGGCTGAGGCAGGAGAATGGCATGAACCCAGGAGGAGGAGCTTGCAGTGAGCCGGGATCAGGCCACTGCACTCCAGCCTGGGTGACAGAGCGAGACTCCGTCTCAAAAAAAAAAAAAAAAAAAAATTAAAATACATACTCACAAAATTTTGTACATAAGGATATTTAATGCTACAACCTTTATAAAAATGCTAATAATCATATGCATGCCACAATGATTATTTCTGGAAGATAGAATTAAAATAGGTTCTTTTATTTTATTCTGTTTTATTTTATTCCTTGTGCTATTATTTCCCAGTTTTCTTTCTATAAAAGTCCACTATCTATGAACCAAGAAAACTTCAACAATTATTATTTCAAAAAACTACCGGCCTCAACTCAAAGTCCAAATAAGAGCTTGATTTGTACCACCCTATTTTGAACAAATCCAGCTGAAAAAGTCTAACTAATCATGAATTATGGGAAGTCTTATTGATTGCAGGCTATTCAGTCTGCAGGGAGTTGAGGTAGACAAGGGAAGACGTCCCACTTGGTACATTTGCAATATGGCAGGCATAAATCTTAGGTGGATATCAGTGAAGTGATTTTGCAGAGAAGTTATTAAATGAGGTGGGAATTTGGAAGTAATGAAATGGATTTGAGAAATGAGGAGGGATTTGGTATAAGTAAGGAATGCATCCTAAATCTTCCATGAAAGCTGTTGCAGCATAAAGGTCAGAAGAAATATGTGACGCGTCCAGAGCTGAGGAATCACAGACCCAAGACCAGGAGGTTAGCCTAATCAGTCACAGGTATTTCTTCAACTCCAAGAACAGGTTTTTCTCCCTTGCAAAGAATCAGAAGTGATTGTTAATGGGAAGGAGAATCCCCTGGTTGTGTCAAACATTTAGAAACTCCACCTTATTTTAATTTTAATACTTAGTTACCCCAAGGCAAGCACCCCAACCCCAACAGTAACACAAACACAGCTCATGGTTTTCACTCAAGATGATGGGTAAACAAAGAAAAGGTAAATATTTAAACAGTCCTTAAAAGGAAAGAAGCAGAACAATGAAGAAAATGGAAAGCAGAAAAGAAGGAAGGGAAAGAGAGGGAGAGAGGGAGGGAAGGAAGATGGGAGGGAGGAAGGAAAAAAGGAAAAGAAGGGAGGGACATAGATGGGAAAATAGAAGAAGAAAAGTCACACTGTTAATAAAAGTTTTAAAAAGCCATGTGGGAAGTGAAGGCAGAATTGTACTCAGAGTCTATGGAAATGAACCCTGGCCCTGGTTCTGGCCCTTGTATATTGCTAAGAAAATCACTCAACCCCTCTGGATCCCGACTGCTTCTCCTACAAAATAGGTAGTGTAGCAGGCAGGCTTTATAGGCTGCAGGGGAAAGTTTTAGAATGAATTGCAACAGAACTCAACCAGTCATGATAATCCCTTGTTTGTGTCCAACAGTAAGCAGAGCCATTTTACACACATGCTCTCATTTAAACAGGGGTGGACTTGGTGAAAAATTAAACTTCTCTCTCTCTCACTCACTTTAAACAACACTTAGTGTTGTGACAGCCATGGAAAAATAGAGTTTTAAGTAGAGAGCAATCACACGAGCCAAATACTGCCAAGAGGGCTGAAATTGCTCATAACTTTAGCACAGTAATGACACTGATGACCTTGGCAGTAATAGCTTTAGTGGGTGGTGGGAGCAGACAGATTTCAGTGGACTCAGAGACAAATGAGAAATTTGGAAATGAGAAAATGAAGAGGGGGTGTGATCCACACTTTCAAGCAGGTAAAAATTGTGAAATGCAGATGTGTCAGTGGCAGATCCAGGGTTATCCAAAGGTGATTGCTGTTTTCATTTCTTTTCGGATGAGAGAGACTTGTACATGATCATGGGCCACAGAGAAGAGGATAGTAGGTAGGGAGAAATTAACGGTCAGAAACAGGGAAGGGAATGAGGTCCCTGGCAAAATAGAAGTAGCACGTGTATAAATCACAGACGGAAAGAAAGAGAAGATGCCCTTGTAACTAAGATAGAAGGCCAGGGTAAATGTGGAGGGAAAAGACAGGAGGTTGAATGCGATCCTGCTGATTGTCTCTTAAGTGGAAGATGAAGCCATCTGCTGAGAATGCATATGCCTGATGGAAATCTAGAACAGAGTGGTGAGGGTTTGCCATAGCTGCTGATCGTGATGGGAGAAGGACAGGACCAGATTTGCAGAAAAGGTTTACAAAACAGAAACCTGTAGTTTTCAGTGACTTTTCTCTGTAGTTGCTTGCCCACTCATGTGAAAGGTCAAAATGTGGGTGATTGGAATAATTTAAGACCGAATCATATGGCATGGACACTATAGAAAGACAAAAGACAGCAAAGACTTAGAAGGTAAGAGGGCTTAGAGAATGTTCTCTTTGGTTCAGGATAGATGGGAGAGAAAATGAGGCCAGGAGTGAAGTGACCATGGAGCAGGGCTGCAGAAGTGGAGAGAGCAATCATTTTAGTGTGCGTGTGGCCAAACAGCAGGCTTTTGGAAATTAGCATGAAAATGGGAGTGAAGTATGTGGAAATGGAAAGAGTGAAGTGACAGGGGAGCACTGGAGTTTAAGATTCAAACTCTGAGTTTCCCACGGCCATCAATGACAGCAGTAGGCTCTCATTCCCCTTCACACAGTCTCAATACTCATAGTAACCTTCCATTTCAACAACAACTTACATTTTATGACGTTTGGGACATTATCAGCAGGGTGAGGTAAAGCAAGACAATCAATGCCAACTATACCCCACATTGGAGGTGATTCCTCAGAAGTCTCAACCACTGATCTTGTTGGTCCTTGATGAATCAATTTGCCCGACACCAGCATTCTAATTCCTTTTTCTAACACCTTAGTGCCAGGGAGCCAAAGTATCTTTCCCACAGTCCAGCACAAAGGCACACAGCTCACAATAGCATCCATAGATTCCATTGGCTACAGGAAGAATAAGACAACTCAACTATGTCTTAAATGCTACAGGAGACCACAAAACATCCCAAGGCCAAATGGACAGGTCTAGAGTATTCACTAAGAATGCATAAAATCATTAAGCAACACAACTCCTAAGCAGGGAAACAAGGGAGGGAAGAAATGCAGGCAAAATTGCCAAGATGAGTTTGAAATATCCTTGAAACGGTACGCTAGAAACATTTTAGAAATGATCTAAGTGATCCAGACCCTGGATCTGCCACTCATACAGCTGCCTTTCATGACTTTTACCTGCTTGAGTTAATCAAATGGGTGGGCACAGCACACCCCAGCTCTATTTGAGGATCCCCCACCCACATTTTAGAAATGGAATCATTCTGGATGATGGCAAGGTCTGAGGTAGCTCAGGCTATGGTTTATTAAGGAAGGAGGTGAAGTCACTGGAAATGAGGAGGTCACAGAACTCTAAAACCGATGTATTAGTGATGGAGTGTCCAAAAGGTGAGGTTCCCCAGGGTTATGATGGGGTTCAGGGTGGGTGTCATATAGTCTTAGATTATTTTTATAGCTAGTAAATGATGGCACCAAGGAATGGTGTGAGCTTCATGTGAAAATGGATTTTTGCTCAAAATTTGGAAGAAGCGATAGACCAGCAGGGCAAGGCAAGTCCTCTCCTGCCAGCTTATTTCTTAGAGTATACAAAGCAGAATATCCTCCACTGGAGAGGGCACATTGGTTGAGAAATTAACATCCTTAGTGTAGACCTAAGCTTTGGTTAGGGCAAAAATGGCCAGGTAAGATGACTCATGCCTGTAATCCCAACACTTTGGGAGGCTGAGGCAGGAAGATTGCTTGAGGCCAGGAGTTTGTGACCAGCTTGGTCAACATAGCAAGACCCCACCTCTACACAAAATCAAGACAGACATGGTGGTGTATGCCTGCAGTCCCAGCTACTCAAGAGGCTGAGGCGGGAAGATTGCTTGAGCCCAGAAGTTTGAGGCTACTGTGAGCTATGATAGCACTACTGCACTCCAGCCTGAGTGACATCACAAATAAATAAATAAATAAATAAATAAATAAATAAATAAATAAATAAAGGCAAAAGATGGAATGAGCATTGGTGAGGAGGTGTGAATTTCAGAATATGTCCCCAAAATGGCAGGAGTTCCAGAGGTTATGATGTATAGATTGGAAAATTCCATAATGAAAAGTCAGGGAAGGAAGCCTGAAAAAGCAAGAACATGAGAGCATGAAAGAGATGACCCAAAAGGGTCAAATTCTGTATGGTGCCCTTCTGAATTGATTTAGTAAGCTTCATTCTTACAAAAAGATCAGTGATTAAGATGTTATTTTGGAAGGATCTGAGTTTCTGTGCACCATTCTGTAGATGCTCAAAAGGTGTTTATTAGGCTGAATTTTCTCACTTGAACATTTACAATGAGGTACAATGAGGTCTCTTAACTCATTTTTAAAATCTCCAGTCACAACCCCCACCTAAGTCCAGCCCACATACACTCACCAGAATCATTGTTCTAAAATATGAGTTCAGGACCCATCACTCCTGTGCTTGGAACACATCATCAGCTCCCCATCATATATTAAGGATAAAGTATAAACACCTTAAACATGTCATTTAGGACCCAGCACAATCTAGCCTCATCTTACCTACCAGCCTGAGCTCCTCCCCATCTCATTCATGCCAATCACAGTAGACTACCTGCCACATGGAGGGGTGGAATAATGGACAAGAGTTCTGGCTCCAAAGGCTGTTTTGCATGGGTTGGAACCTCAGGTTCATCACATACACTGACTGTGTGACCTTGATCTAGTTAACCGCTTTTAGATGGTAATGATATCTACCTCAGAAGGGTGATTTTTAGGATTAAATGAGTTAATACAACCAAAGCACTGGACATGTGATCGATAAATATTAGTGATTATAGAACAAGTATTTCTGAGATTTTACACCCTCATCTCTCTACTGCAAATGCTCTTCCCACCTTTCCCATCTCAAAATCTTTATCTCTTCTCTCAAATCCCAACTCAAATATCACCACTTCTTTGAAGTTTTTAAGAGTTTTTTCCTTTTCCTATCCTCCAGGTTAAAATTAATCACTGACTTTGTGCTCCCATGAGATTTATCCAGACTCAGAGCAATAATAGCATTGTACTTGATTTAACTGCTTCATGCAGCTCTATCCAGCACAAACCAAGAGTGGGCCTCCTGTTCTGCAAAGGGCCACAGGCTAATTCAAACTTCATGATCTTTGAGATACAAGTAATGACAAGGAAATATTCGTTCTTAAGCAGAAATAAAGAAACACCAATTGCCATGATTTCAAGCAAAAAGAAAAACACTGTATGCTTTCCTAACTGCCAATAAGAAGTCCAATTAGTGTCTTATTAAAAATCTCTACATCCCTAGTGTCTCAATAGTGCTTGACATTTAGTAGCTGCTCAGCAAAGGTCTTTTGGATCAGATGGAATGCAATACAGTGAGACTGAATGGAATTAAATCTAGTTAGCTTTCAGGGAGATAGGGTTATCCACCGTCCATATCCATCAAACCACAAGTCTTATTATCATAAGGTTCAACTATTTTGAAAAAAAAAACCTCTAAACTACACCACTAATAATACAAACATCTAAGATGCATTTTAATGAGCAACAGAAAGCTTATAATATCCCGCTGCACTAACCAGCAATATGTCCCTTTTCTTGCCAGTAATATTTTCAATGAAGAAAGTATCTACAAGTATTTCTAGCTCCCTTTATGTTATTAAAAGTACCAGTGTAACCTAGCAACCACCAAGATACAGATATTAAAACAGACACTTTATAATATATTCCAGTACTTTGCCATCCAGTTAGTGTAAATAATTTTATACTTAATAATTACCCATTTCGAGGAGGAGCCAAGATGGCCGAATAGGAACAGCTCCGGTCTACAGCTCCCAGCGTGAGCGACGCAGAAGACGGGTGATTTCTGCATTTCCATCTGAGGTACCGGGTTCATCTCACTAGGGAGTGCCAGACAGTGGGCGCAGGTCAGTGGGTGCGCGCACCGTGCGCGAGCCGAAGCAGGGCGAGGCATTGCCTCACTCGGGAAGCCCAAGGGGTCAGGGAGTTCCCTTTCCGAGTCAAAGAAAGCTGTGACGGACGGCGCCTGGAAAATCGGGTCACTCCCACCTGAATACTGCGCTTTTCCGACGGGCTTAAAAAACGGCGCACCACGAGATTATATCCCTCACCTGGCTCAGAGGGTCCTACGCCCACGGAGTCTCGCTGATTGCTAGCACAGCAGTCTGAGATCAAACTGCAAGGCGGCAGCGAGGCTGGGGGAGGGGCGCCCGCCATTGCCCAGGCTTGATTAGGTAAACAAAGCAGCCGGGAAGCTCCAACTGGGTGGAGCCCACCACACCTCAAGGAGGCCTGCCTGCCTCTGTAGGCTCCACCTCTGGGGGCAGGGCACAGACAAACAAGAGGACAGCAGTAACCTCTGCAGACTTAAATGTCCCTGTCTGACAGCTTTCAAGAGAGCAGTGGTTCTCCCAGCACACAGCTGGAGATCTGAGAACGGGAAGACTGCCTCCTCAACTGGGTCCCTGACCCCTGACCCCTGAGCAGCCTAACTGGGAGGCACCCCCCAGCAGGGGTACACTGACACCTCACAAGGCAGGGTATTCCAACAGACCTGCAGCTGAGGGTCCTCTCTGTTAGAAGGAAAACTAACAAACAGAAAGGACATCCACACCAAAAACCCATCTGTACATCACCATCATCAAAGACCAAAAGTAGATAAAACCACAAAGATGGGGAAAAAACAAAACAGAAGAACTGGAAACTCTAAAAAGCAGAGCGACTCTCCTCCTCCAAAGGAATGCAGTTCCTCACCAGCAACGGAACAAAGCTGGATGGAGAATGACTTTGAGGAGCTGAGAGAAGAAGGTTTCAGACGATCAACTTACTCTGAGCTACGGGAGGACATTCAAACCAAAGGCAAAGAAGTTGAAAACTTTGAAAAAAATTTAGAAGAATGTATAACTAGAATAACCAATACAGAGAAGTGCTTAAAGGAGCTGACGGAGCTGAAAACCAAGGCTCGAGAACTACGTGAAGAATGCAGAAGCCTCAGGAGCCGATGCGATCAACTGGAAGAAAGGGTATCAGCAATGGAAGATGAAATGAATGAAATGAAGTGAGAAGGGAAGTTTAGAGAAAAAAGAATAAAAAGAAATGAGCAAAGCCTCCAAGAAATATGGGACTATGTGAAAAGACCAAATCTACGTCTGATTGGTGTACCTGAAAGTGATGGGGAGAATGGAACCAAGTTGGAAAACACTCTGCAGGATATTATCCAGGAGAACTTCCCCAATCTAGCAAGGCAGGCCAACGTTCAGATTCAGGAAATACAGAGAACGCCACAGAGATACTCCTCGAGAAGAGCAACTCCAAGACACATAATTGTCAGATTCACCAAAGTTGAAATGAAGGAAAAAATGTTAAGGGCAGCCAGAGAGAAAGGTCGGGTTACCCTCAAAGGGAAGCCCATCAGACTAACAGCGGATCTCTCGGCAGAAACCCTACAAGCCAGAAGAGAGTGGGGGCCAATATTCAACATTCTTAAAGAAAAGAATTTTCAACCCAGAATTTCATATCCAGCCAAACTAAGCTTCATAAGTGAAGGAGAAATAAAATCCTTTACAGACAAGCAAATGCTGAGAGATTTTGTCACCACCAGGCCTGCCTTACAAGAGCTTCTGAAGGAAGCACTAAACATGGAAAGGAACAACCGGTACCAGCCGCTGCAAAATCATGCCAAAATGTAAAGACCATCGAGACTAGGAAGAAACTGCATCAACTAACGAGCAAAATAACCAGCTAACATCATAATGACAGGATCAAATTCACACATAACAATATTAACTTTAAATGTAAATGGACTAAATGCTCCAATTAAAAGACACAGACTGGCAAATTGGATAAAGGAGTCAAGACCCATCAGTGTGCTGTATTCAGGAAACCCATCTCACGTGCAGAGACACACGTAGGCTCAAAATAAAAGGATGGAGGAAGATCTACCAAGCCAATGGAAAACAAAAAAAGGCAGGAGTTGCAATCCTAGTCTCTGATAAAACAGACTTTAAACCAACAAAGATCAAAAGAGACAAAGAAGGCCATTACATAATGGTAAAGGGATCAATTCAACAAGAAGAGCTAACTATCCTAAATATATATGCACCCAATACAGGAGCACCAAGATTCATAAAGCAAGTCCTGAGTGACCTACAAAGAGACTTAGACTCCCACACATTAATAATGGGAGACTTTAACACCCCACTGTCAACATTAGACAGATCAACGAGACAGAAAGTCAACAAGGATACCCAGGACTTGAACTCAGCTCTACACCAACCGGACCTAATAGACATCTACAGAACTCTCCACCCCAAATCAACAGAATATACATTTTTTTCAGCACCACACCACACCTATTCCAAAATTGACCACATACTGGGAAGTAAAGCTCTCCTCAGCAGATGTAAAAGAACAGAAATTATAACAAACTATCTCTCAGACCACAGTGCAATCAAACTAGAACTCAGAATTAAGAATCTCACTCAAAACCGCTCAACTACCTGGAAACTGAACAACCTGCTCCTGAATGACTACTGGATACATAACAAAATGAAGGCAGAAATAAAGATGTTCTTTGAAACCAACGAGAACAAAGACACAACATACCAGAATCTCTGGGACGCATTCAAAGCAGTGTGTAGAGGGAAATTTATAGCACTAAATGCCCACAAGAGAAAGCAGGAAAGATCCAAAATTAACACCCTAACATCACAATTAAAAGAACTAGAAAAGCAAGAGCAAACACATTCAAAAGCTAGCAGAAGGCAAGAAATAACTAAAATCAGAGCAGAACTGAAGGAAATAGAGACACAAAAAACCCTTCAAAAAATCAATGAATCCAGGAGCTGGCTTTTTGAAAGGATCAACAAAATTGATAGACCGCTAGCAAGACTAATAAAGAAAAAAAGAGGGAAGAATCAAATAGACACAATAAAAAAGGATAAAGGGGATATCACCACCGATCCCACAGAAATGCAAACTACCATCAGAGAATACTACAAACACCTCTACGCAAATAAACTAGAAAATCTAGAAGAAATTGATAAATTCCTGGACACATACACCCTCCCAAGACTAAACCAGGAAGAAGTTGAATCTCTGAAGAGACCAATAACAGGAGCTGAAATTGTGGCAATAATCAATAGCTTACCAACCAAAAAGAGTCCAGGACCAGATGGATTCACAGCCGAATTCTACCAGAGGTACAAGGAGGAACTGGTACCATTCCTTCTGAAACTATTCCAATCAATAGAAAAAGAGGGAATCCTCCCTAACTCATTTTATGAGGCCAGCATCATTCTGATACCAAAGCCAGGCAGGGACACAAGAAAAAAAGAGAATTTTAGACCAATATCCTTGATGAACATCGATGCAAAAATCCTCAATCAAATACTGGCAAAACGAATCCAGCAGCACATCAAAAAGCTTATCCACCATGATCAAGTGGGCTTCATCCCTGGGATGCAAGGCTGGTTCAATATACGCAAATCAATAAATGTAATCCAGCATATAAACAGAGCCAAAGACAAAAACCACATGATTATCTCAATAGATGCAGAAAAAGCCTTCGACAAAATTCAACAACCCTTCATGCTAAAAACTCTCAATAAATTAGGTATTGATGGGACGTATTTCAAAATAATAGGAGCTATCTATGACAAACCCACAGCCAATATCATACTGAATGGGCAAAAACTGGAAGCATTCCCTTTGAAAACTGGCACAAGACAGGGATGCCCTCTCTCACCACTCCTATTCAACATAGTGTTGGAAGTTCTGGCCAGGGCAATCAGGCAGGAGAAGGAAATAAAGGGTATTCAATTAGGAAAAGAGGAAGTCAAATTGTCCCTGTTTGCAGACGACATGATTGTATATCTAGAAAACCCCATTGTCTCAGCCCAAAATCTCCTTAAGCTGATAAGCAACTTCAGCAAAGTCTCAGGATACAAAATCAATGTACAAAAATCACAAGCATTCTTATACACCAACAACAGACAAACAGAGAGCCAAATCATGAGTGAACTCCCATTCACAATTGCTTCAAAGAGAATAAAATACCTAGGAATCCAACTTACAAGGGATGGGAAGGACCTCTTCAAGGAGAACTACAAACCACTGCTCAAGGAAATAAAAGAGGATACAAACAAATGGAAGAACATTCCGTGCTCATGGGTAGGAAGAATCAATATCGTGAAAATGGCCATACTGCCCAAGGTAATTTACAGATTCAATGCCATCCCCATCAAGCTACCAATGACTTTCTTCACAGAATTGGAAAAAACTACTTTAAAGTTCATATGGAACCAAAAAAGAGCCCGCATCGCCAAGGCAATCCTAAGCCAAAAGAACGAAGCTGGAGGCATCACACTACCTGACTTCAAACTATACTACAAGGCTACAGTAACCAAAACAGCATGGTACTGGTACCAAAACAGAGATATAGATCAATGGAACAGAACAGAGCCCTCAGAAATAATGCCACATATCTGCAACTATCTGATCTTTGACAAACCTGACAAAAACAAGCAATGGGGAAAGGATTCCCTATTTAGTAAATGGTGCTGGGAAAACTGGCTAGCCATATGTAGAAAGCTGAAACTGGATCCCTTCCTTACACCTTATACAAAAATCAATTCAAGATGGATTAAAGACTTAAACGTTAGACCTAAAACCATAAAAACCCTAGAAGAAAACCTAGGCATTACCATTCAGGACATAGGCATGGGCAAGGACTTCATGTCTAAAACACCAAAAGCAATGGCAACAAAAGACAAAATTGACAAATGGGATCTAATTAAACTAAAGAGCTTCTGCACAGCAAAAGAAACTACCATCAGAGTGAACAGGCAACCTACAGAATGGGAGAAAATTTTCGCAACCTACTCATCTGACAAAGGGCTAATATCCAGAATCTACAATGAACTCAAACAAATTTACAAGAAAAAAACAAACAACCCCATCAACAAGTGGGCGAAGGACATGAACAGACACTTCTCAAAAGAAGACATTTATGCAGCCAAAAAACACATGAAAAAATGCTCATCATCACTGGCCATCAGAGAAATGCAAATCAAAACCACAATGAGATACCATCTCACACCAGTTAGAATGGCAATCATTAAAAAGTCAGGAAACAACAGGTGCTGGAGAGGATGTGGAGAAATAGGAACACTTTTACACTGTTGGTGGGACTGTAAACTAGTTCAACCATTGTGGAAGTCAGTGTGGCGACTCCTCAGGGATCTAGAACTAGAAATACCATTTGACCCAGCCATCCCATTACTGGGTATATACCCAAAGGACTATAAATCATGCTGCTATAAAGACACATGCACACGTATGTTTATTGCGGCATTATTCACAACAGCAAAGACTTGGAACCAACCCCAATCTCCAACAATGATAGACTGGATTAAGAAAATGTGGCACATATACACCATGGAATACTATGCAGCCATAAAAAATGATGAGTTCATGTCCTTTGTAGGGACATGGATGAAATTGGAAATCATCATTCTCAGTAAACTATCTCAAGAACAAAAAACCAAACACCGCATATTCTCACTCATAGGTGGGAATTGAACAATGAGATCACATGGACACAGGAAGGGGAATATCACACTCTGGGGACTGTTGTGGGGTGGGGGGAGGGGGGAGGGATAGCATCGGGAGATATACCTAATGCTAGATGACGAGTTGGTGGGTGCAGTGCACCAGCATGGCAGATGTATACATATGTAACTAACCTGCACAATGTGTACATGTACCCTAAAACTTAAAATATAATAAAAAAATAATAATTACCCATTTCTTATTTATAAGAATAATTGCATGCCATTTTCCCAATGCCTTTTGCAAGACCCCTTCTCCTCTACTCCCTTTTTCTTCAATATTTTGACTGATTTACTCAGAGATGGAGGAAAAGAACAGGTTAGTTAAAAAAAAAAAAGTGAGCATCATAAAGGGTGCTTTGATGGTCCAGGTATGTGGTGTGAATGAATACTTGACCAGGTCCCACAATATAACTTGGACTTCTTTTTATAACCTGAGCAGGGTACTTTATTAGCAATGGGAGGGCGTCACTTTGGTTGAAAAGCTTTGCATCATCATGCAAAGAGTTACTGAGACCCTTGTGATAAATGCCTTAGGTCAATTTATATTCTCACAATCTTTCAGTCTGGGGGCAAGAAATAGGTTAAAACTGGCATGTAACCAAGCTATAGAGCAATGGAAAACAGACTCCTAAACTTGGGGGTTAAAAACTGTCTTTTGAGTCATCTCAGCCACCCTCCCACTTGTGTTTGACAAGCCAACGCCCAATACTTTGGCCACAGAGACCTCATGGGCAGGGTTTAGTGCCACTAGAAGAAAGGGAAAGAGATCTGGGTTGAAGGTGGGTAGGGAAAACATGGAGGCTTTCATTTCTGTGAAAAGCTTGGCTGTGAAGAGAAGAAAGCAAGCTGGGAGTCAGTCCAGGCACAGAACAGGTCAAACAAGATCCCTTTTAACCCTCTACCCCTATAGTAGATATCTGTGGGCTTTTTTTTTTTTTTAGACGGAGTCTCGGTCTGTTGCCCAGGCTGGAATGTAGTGGCGCGATCTCGGCTCACTGCAACCTCTGCCTCCTAGGTTCAAGCGATTCTCCTGCCTCAGCCTCCTAAGTAGCTGGGACTACAGGCATGTGCCACCACGCCCGGCTATTTTTGTGTTTTTAGTAGGCACGGGGTTTCACCGTGTTTGCCAGGATGGTCTTGATCTCCTGATCTCGTGATCCACCTGCCTCAGCCTCCCAAAGTGCTGGGATTACAGGTGTGAACCGCCTCGCCCGGCCTGGCTTTTATGACTAATGAAAACAGAAAGGTTGATGGCACATGGGAAAGAACACATGAAAGAGGATACAAAGCCTGGGGTAGGCTGGAGGGAGTGAAGTCAAGTTCACATAAGTAAAAAAGATAAGAAAATCTTTTCCTAGACATTAAAAGGAAAGGAATAAAAGTAATTGGAGATGGGGATACATTTCTAAAAATAAATTTTTTCATTTACTTGACTTTGATTAAGCTATACCTCTCTGCCACACACTATCTCAGGTATTGTGGATAAAACATAATTCCCTGTGTCTGGTGGCAAGGAGAAGCCCAGAAATGGAAAATCATAGTTCAATAAGAAGATAAACAAAACAATGAAAGCAAGAGATTGAGAGCAAGTAGGAGATACTTAATCCATTCCTCAGTCAGGATGACTTCCAAGGGGAGATGCATGTTATGGTGATAAAGAGGAAAGATGGTTGATGTTATCAGCAATAGGTTGTAGACATTTCCTGGCCATCTTTATTTCTTTCATTTTATTATTTTAATTTTTTAAGTTTTTGCAATTGAGAAGGATAAAACTAAGGAACCACAGGTAAGCTTAAATAAATTAATAGGAGCTGAAAGTGTGATGTGATTGCTAAAGCCATCTGACAGAATCTCCTTCGTATCTTCTGCATCAGAATGAAGCACCTTGCCCCATGCTATAGACCATATTTTAAGAGCACAGAATGATAAACTATTGACTCCAGAAGAAGGTGACCAGTTGAGAGAATCTGGGCACATGTCATGCAGAGTGTGAGAAAACTTAAAAGATTCTACCCCCAGATATATATTTATTTGACATATTGTGAAGTAGCTGCTGCCTGGCCAACAAACAGAAACGGCTTTGCAAAGCTGTCTGTTGTGGGGGAAAATTGCATCTGTAGAGAATCTCCATTAATGCACCCCAAACTGCAACCCCTATGTGTACATGGTGAGTCCTCCTGACACACATTCTTACTGTTGCAGCTGTCACCATTCACTCCAGACAGTGCAGGGAAATGAATTCTGGAAAGACTTGAAAGAATTTAGCTGAGAGAGCTTGATCCTCAGCAGAGGCTCAACAGCAGTGTTTCCTCTTGGATTTATAAACCAGTGGGGTGACTGGTAGGGAGATCGATAATATGTGGCCCATTGTAACTGGTGTTAGGGAACGAGGACCCTTTCCTAGATCCAGGAGACATGGAGAGTCTGACACCTTTAAAACTCTGAAAAGAGGCCAGGCATGGTGGCTCACGCCTGTAATCCCAGCACTTTGGGAGGCTGAGGCAGGCAGATCACGAGGTCAAGAGATCGAGACCATCTTGGCCAACATGGTGAAACCCCGTCTCTACTAAAAATACAACAATTAGCTGGGCATGGTGGCACGCACCTGTAGTCCCAGCTACTTGGGAGGCTGAGGCAGGAGAATCGCTTGAACCTGCGAGGCAGAGGTTGCAGTGACCCAAGATTGCGCCACTGCACTCTAGCCTGGCAACAGAGTGAGACTCCCTCTCAAAAAAAAAAAAAAAAAAAAAAACTGAAAAAAACATTTACCATCTATCTATTCTCATGGAGGGAGGCTTCATCTACACAATAAGGCTAGGCAAGCTTTTTCCTTTTTCTCTCTCTCACAACTTGTCTTGCTGCTAAACCTGACTTACCAACATAACTTGTTTCTGGCCATGCTCTGAGTCCGCTTTCTTTACTGTGGCCTCAGGATGGCATATAAGTTTCTGTATCTTATTGTTGGGTGGGTCTTCATTCTAAAGGCTCCTGTGCATCCACGTTAAATAACTGTGTATGCCTTTTCTCCTAGTAACCAATCTGCTTCATGCCAATGATTTTTTTCACTGAACCTTTAGGAGGCCAATGGCCATGGCCCACAGGAGTGTCTTAAAAGTTGTCAGTGAGTTTGGCCTGGAGCAAAGGGAATGGAGAGGATCCTTGATGATGGGTAAATACAGATGTGAGCCTTTTCCACAAATCATCCAGTGATGCATTGGTTGGGAGATGATAGCATCAGATTCCCATTTTCAGGTTCTTTGGCACTAGTTTCCCACTGATTTCCAAATTGTTATGGGATAACTAATCCCCCCTTCCACTCCTGCAAACCTTAGTCTCTGGGTATGAACTTGGTAAGGTGAAGATCTCTACTCTTAAATTCATTTAAGAGTTCTATGCTTTCCTCCTCTCTTCTCACCCTTTTGGCCTGTACCTCCCTCTTTAAACTTTTTATTCTACCCTGCCTGGCAGGCTCCATATGGTCCTTGGGCTAAAGGAGAAGATGGACAAAGAGTGAGAATGAACAGCTGGGATGAGAGTCAGAAGATGGCATAGAGAATGTGAAATGAAGACTGTCTCTTACCCCCTCCCACACCATGGCTGAAAAACAAATAGGATCCTGTTTCCTGAAAAAACGCTCTCTGCCAAGCCTAGCACCATCTGTCATGTGCCCCAGGATCAGCTCCACTCTGCTGATGGCATTGGCTCATGTCCTAGATAGTAAGTGCTAACTAAGTATCAGGATATATGGGGAAGGGGTAGAACCCAGTGGGTTTCTACTAGGACTAAAGACGAGGTAGATCATTTACACTGGAAGCAACCTAAGCCATCACGAGCTGGTGGAGTGGCACGTAGAAGGATCTCAAATCTGTGGAGGGAAGACCAAAGTCATCAGAGAAACCTAGGGAAGAGACAGAACCAAGGACCTAGAGATTGACAGTAATAGTATCCCATTGGATAAAAGTTGGCAATGACTTTGGGGAAATTGTGAAGTGATTGTTGCAAAAGCCTGGTGGTATTTGCAGCTTCCTTTCACAGGCCTGTGGTGCATCTGCTTCAGTTAAAGAGCAAATAATTGGTAAGCACCTGAGAACCAGGCATCATTCCCCAGGACACCAGCCCATCACCCCTATTTAGCTTCTTCTAACAAGATCTAACAGAATGACACAGATAAGATGTGTAAATGGTGAGTCCTGCCACACATTCTTACTGTTGCAGCTGTCACCAGTTGCTCCAGACAGTTCAGGGAAATGAATTCTGGAAGGGTTTGAAAGAATTTAGCTGAGAGCTTGATCCTCAGAAGAGACTCCAAAGCAGTGTTTCCTCTTGGACTTATAAACCAGTGGGGGTGACCCGTACGGAGATCGGTCATAGGGGGCCCATTGAACTGGTGTTAGAGAACTAGGATACATCCAAAAGAGGGCAACTAAAAGAATGAGGAACATCTGAAAGTTCTGGAAATGTGCCCTTAACCGTCTCTAAACTAGAATTCCCTGGGGTAGTGATTCTCAGAGTTCTTGAGTCAGAATCACCCAGAGAATCAGGTAAATCATAGGTCACTGGCTCCACCCTCACAGTTTCTGATGGGTTACTCTGGGTGGGGGGGGGCTTGAAAATTTGCATTTCTAATGAGTTACCTGGTGATACTGCTGCTGCTTCTAGCAAAACAGGCTGGCCTGGAATATCTTTCCACGTACATTCTTTCTACAAAGCAGAGCTAGGACTAATAAGTCAAGATTTTACTTTGGGTATGTCTGAAACAAAGAAGGATTAAAGTGCAAGCAGAATGAGAGATGGTCCCACCAAACCCTGATGGGTGAGTAGAAAACTGGGACAGGGAAGGGAAGGAACCAAGCAAAAGGATATTATGAAGCCAGTCACCACTGTAGGTATCTAAAGCGTAATATTGCTGGAGAATTCTGTGAAACGGGTGCTTCAATGTTATCCCCCTTTGGGAAGGGGTCTCCAGAGGGAGTATTCTGTGGTAACTCCTATCAGCCATTAGTTGAGGGCTGTCCGGGAGGTGGTTAATTCCTTAGCACTCCAGCCTGCCACACTGGAGTAGCTGGCATGCCCTGAGGATGCAAGTTCTGGTGGGATACAGACAGGATGCTGACAGCATCAGCTACTGTTAGCAATAGGGAGGAAGTTACAATTCCTACCACTTGCACTCTTCCACAATCCATTGACTTGCTTCAAGAGTCTAAATGTTCTCTACGGCAGAAATTGGGTCAATGAGTCACTTCATTGGGTTAAACATCTTGAAGCTCTCCTCCACATGAAGGTTCTATTCTTGGATTATTGGTGGCATATTAGAGGGTTAAAGGAACACTAGGGATGCTTTTAGGGCATTTTTAGGGAGAGAGGCATTTACAGTGGCCTTTCCCCTGATGGCCCCACCCATTAGATGTTCCTGTCTAAAACCTCTCAAATGCTCCATTTCATCTTCCGTGTTAGGGTGTTAGCTCAGCTCTGATCATTTCTCACCTGTAGCTATAAGATCCTAACCTGCAGATGTCACTCTCCTGCGTCAACCACCTCCCAATCTCTCTCGATAAAATTCTTAGGAGGATATTCCAAGACTACTCTTGTTCATATCACTCTCTCCATTTCCAACATCACATGTTCCTCCAGTCCCATAGGAAGCTGAAGCCATGGCACATTGAACCACAGGTGCTTACGTTTCACAAATAAAGCACCGTTCTACATAGCAGTCTTTGCAAATTTTGTTCCCTCCACCTCCAATACCCATCCTTATTTTGACCACTTTCAAGCATCTACTATCCAGGAATTCAAAAGCTCAGAACCACTGATATTGCTCTATTTTATGGGATAAGACCACAAGTTTTATTTTTCACACCTATTATCTTAACTGCTTATTGTCTTTCTTTGCACAGATCTGGTGGCAAGGAATACTTTTTGTCCTTCCTTATTGATAGTGCCACCTAGTGACTCTGCTGCATAAAGACCCTCCCTGGCTGCTTGGCATACCCTGTCATGCCACGTGACCTAGTCCTGTTGGTGGTTAACAACTGGTGATCGCAGCAGCCATGTTGGGGACTGCTGGCTTCCTATAGACAGCTCGGCTTCCCTTGTTCATTTCTATTTTTATTAGTACAGGAGGAAAAAATAGCATCATCGGTGTTTTATAATTGGAAACATGACCTATATATTCTTCGCTGCCCTAACCTTTCCTAGAAGGGGAGAAGGAAGTAAAATTTAATTTCAGAAACAACAGCTTTTCTCATCTGTGTCCTCAGCATTAATACCTCCAGGTTAATTAAGGACAATGAAATGTGGTTGACTCAAAACAATGTGGGAAGGAGGCAGAGAAGTTAGATTCCAGAAGTACAAAGCTTCCAAGAGGAAATTGAAGAATAGGATACATGCCTACGGCAGTCACGGGAGTTTTAAATAGCCGAATCTACTTAACATGCAGGTTAAGCCTTCTGAACACAGCTTCGGAAAGGGGAAGTTTCTGTGGGGCCTGGGAAGCCAACCCAGGGGTTCTAATCCAGCCCTTGAGATGTGGAGACCCCAGCCACTGCCTGCTTCAGGTGACCTTAAGCAGGTACTCTAGTGACAAAGCAGGAAGGACACAGCATTCTAACTTCTGTAGGGCATGGCATTAGAGAAAAGCATAGATACAGCCCCCAGAAAAGTGAGACCCTTTGATTCTGTCCCTCTCCTTTTGTCCTCTGTTCCCATCTTGATGCTAGTGTCTCAGAGGCCTTTTGATCCTTCATCATTTCCTCCTGTTTGTCTCTAGTGTGGAAGCTCAACCCTAGCCAATCCTGAGCCAGTGAGAATCTGGCCTGGCACCACAGTCTGAACCAGCCAGGTCCCCGTGACCCTGGCACGTGCTTCCGGTGTTGGGACTTCACCAAGCCAAAACTTCCCTCTGTCTGCCCCCCAAGTGCCTGGGTGGGATTCAGCCTGCCTCCTGGCATCCCCCTTGTCAGACTCTGGAGCCAGTCTGCACCTGGTCAGAGGCATATCCCCACAAAGCTCCTGCTGGTCCAGTCTAAGACACCAAGGAGACAGGGCCAGACCCTGCCACCAGGAAGACGATGCTGTGAAGCCTCACCACGACAGCCCACTAACCTCTCTTGAAAATGGCTTTCTTCAATTACCCTTTCCTGTAAAATTCATAAAGGTTCTAGTTCCAGTGCTGCAACTTACTGCTAGCTTGGTAGCCTTAGAAATGTCACTTTCTGGCTTTGCCTTCTCTTCGGCAAAGTGGACACAGTGAGTTCTGCATTTATCTCTACAACTCTTTACTCTCTGATGTTGTTCCAGAGCTTGGCCGTGCCTTTCTTTAGCCCTGAGACAAAAGATAATCCTGCCACCATGGTAGAGGAGATTGCTGACCTGAGCTATAAGGTAGCTGATTGAGGAAGGCAGGGTCAAAGGCAGGTGGCTAATGATGACTTCTGTTACTGTCTGCCCAGTAGGTTTCTCATTCCTGTATTCTGCTAACAGGATATTTTTCCCTTGGGGGATTCCCTCTTAACTTCCAGTAATTCTGGTGGGGATGCCAAGCAAGTGCCCTCCTCTCTCCTCCCCAGCACAGAGTGGACACCTGACCAAGAGCAGACATCCTGCACGGCATCCTCCCAACAACACAACCCCAAATGAGCCAATCCAGGAAATTGGCATGAAACGATTGACTAGTTCTTCTTCTTATAGGTGGATTGAGAATTCGAGGAGTATAGACACATGACTGTTGACCATTTTCTCAGCCACACGGAGAAAGCTAATTGAAAATAAAGACAAGTCAGACAAAGCTGAGAAAGAGGAGTTGAAAGTGATTCTTGAGCCCCCCTCTCTGTTTTCATAGGCCTATCCCTGTACTTCCCAGATACCTCTGAATAAACCCTCTCTCCCACTACCACCACCCACTTACGTCTTGTCCTGAGCTAGTATGAAGTATATTTTTATTGCTTGAATCTGAAAATCTCCTGTGTCACATAATAACTCTTTGCTCATTCCTGTTCTTTCTGTGCCTGCAATCATAGCCCATTCACTTTCTACGCCTTAATTTCCTTCATGGCACAAAATCTTCATCTCTTGGACTTTCTGCCAGCCCTGATGCGCTCGGAGGTCTTCCAAGTCTTTTAGGTTCCTTTGAGCCTCTTGACAAACATCAAACACACTCACGCACCCAAGAAATGCAGTCCAGGGGCCATATCCAATTGTACTATCTCTATTTTGAGGAACAGTTTCCAAGCATGCTTGAATATGTAAGAATGACGGTACAACCAGCCAAGGAAAGGCAAGTACCAGTGCTGCCAGAGAAATGAAGCCCACATTTCCAAAGTGTGCCTCCTCCCAGTGCAGACCTCCAGAAAACAGACGCCCACCCTGCCCCACAATTCCCTTAGCCCAATCAATTTTATTAGTCCCAAACTAACCTCTGCAAATACCTTCTGTATGTCTAGCCACAAGGAAAGTGGCAGTGGTATATTATGCATGTGCCGTGTTTACCTGGCTATTGAATCCCATAACCTCTGTTTTTTTTTTTTTTAAAGCTGCTGCTGCTGTGGGTTGTGAGAGAATCATGAAGTTTTAAAACCCTAAAATAAAACATCAAATATAATAATTTCACACTATAATTACTGCATGAATAACCACATCTAGTTTAAATGTGTCATTTGGCAATGTCACAAAGACAAAGGAAAATACCCCTAATAAATCATCTTTTCTCAATCAACCCTGGAAAAAATCTTAGTGCTTTTTGGAGCACGCCACACAAAATGCAGTTTTATTTTTCCATTTTTCCCCAGGTTTCAAGTGGCAGAAGCAATCTGATGGGCTTATAGGCTCCGTATGTAGGTCACTGGCACATTTGCATGTCCTCCCAAGCATCATTTTCCATGGGAGTTTTGCTCAGGGAGTGAACGTATCTAAAATTTAAACTCTTTTTGGTGAGGCTGGTATTCAAGTGGGGAAAAAATAGACAGCGGCTCCCAAGCTGCGCTAACAATGTTGGTTCCGTTTCAAAGTGCATTCAATCGGATGAAAATTACAGAGAGGACCACCTAAGCTCCCAAAGTGTCAAACAGCCATAAACTGTACTGGGAGGTGTCATTTACAGTTCACATGTGCCCTTTCTAGATTTATACCCAAAGGCATCTTGTCATTTTTTCTGTTTGGCCAATGCCTCTTGGAGATGATTTTCTGTAATTATTTCCATGCATTTTCACAGAAGCATCCTGCTCTCAGATGGTGAAGCCCAAGAAGAAAATTAGAGAGGCTGTATATCCAGAAACTCATAGAATCCAAGTTCTCAAAATGAGAAGTGACCAAAGCCAAGGGAGGATGTAGAATGATTTTTTTTCTAATTCTGTCTTTAGAGATAGATTCGTCTCCTAAGTAACTGAGGCAATGGCAGAAACTACATTTGCATTTGCCTTGATTATTCTCTTTGCTTCCATCCAACAGAGTATTAATTAGATAAATCTCACCGCCTGTCCCCTTAATGCACAGGTTGTTCTAACACCATCTGTAAAGGAGGTTGAGACACCCTGACATACCTTCTGTGTGTCCTCACTCTGGTTATGTATTACTGCCCCTATCTGGGAGAAGATAACCAGGGACCAAGGACCACAGTAGTAGCAGCAACTCACCTTTAGGAGGAGCTCAACGCTTTACCTCCCTCCCATTCCCACCTTCCCTGTGGAAGAGAACCAACCAGGGCCAAGGATTCACTCCTTTCCAGGTACTAGTAGTTGGTGAAGCTAAGAATAAAGACATTCTGATCTACCTCTGCTACATATAGTGCAGCGCTATTTTTATATTATATGGCTTCCCTGGTTTGCTTGCCTCCTATATCTGTTTCCTTCTTCCTCTTGGGAATGAACCACCACCCCATTATTAAGATTCAGAAGGAGTTCAAAGAGATGGAATCATGACACCGTGACTGAATTCAGTCCTTGCATTCCTTTGGGTCCCTGCTGTAGCTTTGTGAATGCTAAGATGAGACTCCAGCCTCAGGAAATGCTCACAGGGCATTTTTCTTATCTATAGTTTAGGCTTAGTACAAGAGGAGAAGGTGTGGCTCACATGTGTTTCAGCTCGGTTCACCTCAGCAAGGTAAGCCTCAGGTGGTTATGATGTGCCATCTTCTGTGTAATCTGTCATCCCTGGGGCCTGGCTGGGCTATAGATGGTTGAGTTCCAAAGTATCTGCTTCTTAATATCCCAATGGACAAATAAACTCAACCTTGTCTCCTGGTCATATACTCATTTACTCAACACATCTTTCTGAGACCTGATGACAGATGCTGGGGAAATAAAGATGATCTAGGTACAATTTTGATGTAAGAAAGCACATAGCATAGTGCAGACAGAGTTGTGTGAATAGATACTTACATTCCAGGGTGATCATGGAAGCACCATCCAGAGATGTATGAAGCAATGGGGCCACACAGTGATCAGCTATTCCTGGAGACAGGGAAGAGGCTCCAGAGGGTGATTAAGTAACAAGCAGGAATCAACAGCATGAGCAAAGCAGGAAGGAGGTTCTAGGCAGAGGAGCAGTAAACTTTAAAAAACAGGGTAAGGACCCGACCAGTGGCTCACACCTGTAATTCCAACCCTTTGGGAGGCTAACTAAGGTGGGAAGATGGCTTGGGCCCAGGACTTCAAGACCTGGGCAACAGAGTGAGACTCCATCTCTACAGATAAATTTAAAAATAAGCTGGGCATGGTGACACACACTTGTAGTACCAGCTTCTTGGGAAATTGAAGTAGGAGGATCGCTTGAGCCCTAAAGTTCAATGATCATAGCTGCAGTGAGCTATGATCATGCCACTGCACTCCAGTCTGGATGATAGAGTGAGAACTCATCTAAAAAATAAAAACAAAAAAGAAATAAGTGGCAGGTAAGAAATAACAGGGTTTTTTTGTTTTTTTTTTTTTTGTTTTTTTCCCAGGAAACAATTAGTGGATACTTCAGTATGACTGGAGAACAGGAGCCAGTAAAATAAAACCGGAATAGGTGAAAGAGATGGGTCAGGGCCTTATCACAGAGTTCCTTTTATGTTACCCACACATGTGTTCATTCACTCAACAAATATTTATTGAGCACATTCTCAGTGTCCTACACCCTTCTAGGCACTGGGAATATAGCAGTGGAGAAAACACACAGTTCTTGATTTCATGGAGCTTACACTCTAGTGAGGAGAGACAAACAAGTAAACAGATAAGATTCGCACTGTGAAAAAAGAAAAAAAAGGGAGAGAGAAAAAAACAAGCTGGATGAGGAAGTGGGAAGAGATGACAGATGCTGTTTCATCCAGGGTGCTCAGGATGGCAATTGGACAGCAACTTGAAGGAAGAGAAAAAGCGGGTCAGAAGAGAGCGCTGACCAGCAACCCCATCACAACAGTTTGGTGTTCACAGATCTCAGCTGGGCCTCAGCAACACTCAGCCATGTCACCATGTGTCCTTGCTCAGCTGCGTGGCCCACACTCCACAACAGCCCTCTAGACCTTTCCCAGTTCCATGGGCCCTGTACCAACTGACCTGCCCTTTCTTACAGCAGATGACGTTGCTTTCTTACTGCAATGAGTAATTCCAGGCCACTAAGGCACGGCTTCCATTTTCTGTTCCCACAACTGCAAATATCTGTTTTTGCGTGCACCCAGCTTGGACACAACTTGCCAAAAGCCAGTGCACTGAAATTCAATTCACTGATTCACCAATTTGATGAAGACAGTTGACAGTACAATTTGCTAAATTTACCTACTCCCTTATTTATCAAACAAGTTCTTAGAACCACTTTAACAATGATTACTTAACAACTTTAAGAATGCTTTATTTTTACTACCAATGATGAAATATAACTTTCTAAATATTAACTATTTCATTATCAGAAACCAAAATTTTATCACTTTATAAACACATTTTTTGGTTAATATCATTTTTTAACTCCACTCAGAAATCTCTTTTAATGTCTTTTTGTTGTTGTTTTCACAAATCTTTTAGAATTTCTAGAATTTTTAATTCTTCTTTCACATTTCTATGTGAAATACGAAATTTGAGGTACAAGCATACAACCTACCACAGTATTTTGAGAATTCTTATTCCCTTTCCCCAGATGTGAATGGCTTTAATATTTTATGTCTAATTCCTCAGCAAACTACTAACAAGTCAACACAATCAAATTGTTCCTTATTAAAAATGAAAAAATCAACATTTTAGCAACGTTTTTAGTTCATACTGATTTCCTTAGCATTTTTTCATTTAGTTTATCTTTAAAATTTTAATTGCTACAAATATACACAAGGCTGATTTGAGGGATTTGCAAAAGAATACCTAAAATCCTGGAAGGCTTTTGAAAACAGAAAAATGCATTCACAAGCAACAGAAAGAAATCAGAAGTAACAAAGAGCTTATTACATTTGAAATACAGAAGTTTGAGTTATAGAAAAATAGTATTTTATGTGAAAAAAATGTTTTATAGTGATTTTTCTTTGGTCCACTTTTCAGAATTTTAAAATATGCTTCCCAGTCACTCAAAGGGCAGAAGAATTTTAGATTAGTTCATAATTAGAAAATCTTATTATGTAATCAGTAGCCAAAAATGAACATTTCTGCCAAAGCTTTTAGAACAGTCACTTTGAAGCTTTTAAACTGTAACACATTTAATAAATTGGTCATTTGATGAATTGAATTTTGACAAATTGAGTTTTTGAGAATTAGCTTTTGGTCATATTGCCTGATTTTTGAAAGACTCCATTATTCTCACCCTGGGGAAGTCTGTGCCTACAAAGGCTTCCTGTGGGGAAGTGATCTCCCGGTTGGTTGTATTCTTTTTTTTCTTTCTTTCTTTCTTTTTTTTTTTTTTTTTTTTTTTTGAGACTGCATATTGCTCTATCACCCAGGCTGGAGTGCATTGGCACAATCTCGGCTCACTGCAACCTCTGCCTCCCGGGTTCAAGCGACTCTTGTGCCTCAGCCTCCCGAGTAGCTGGGATTACAGGCGCCCACCACCATGCCTGGCTAATTTTTTTTATATTTTTAGTAGAGATGAGGTTTCACCATGTTGGCCAAGCTGGTCTTGAACTTCTGACCTTAAATGATACACCCACCTGGGCCTCCCAAAGTGCTGGGATTATAGGCGTGAGCCACCGCGCCTGGCCAGCTGTATTCTTATCTGTCCAATCCTACTGACACTTCCAATTAGATCACGAGGCTTGGCCAAATCTCAGGATCTGTCACTTCAGCTTCCTTGGTAAGACAGGATGCAACTGGGACATGAGCTGTACCAACCCCTTAGCTGCAGTTGAATTCACTTCTGTTAATCCCCCCTGTATCACTGTGTTAGGATCAAAACCTTTCTGTCAGTTCATAATGCAGCAAGGATCTCTGTTGAAACACTGACTTCTATTTTTAAGTGAGTCCCAGGTCCAGAGGGCATCCCATTCTGATTGAGTACCTAATACTCTTGATACCTAAATCCTAGCATTCTTGTTTGGAGCACAGTTATTCTCCATTTACTATGAGAGTGTCATCCCAGATTTGCAGAAGAAAAAGCTGAAGATTTCTCTGAAATTACAAGAACTTTCTCTTCGGTTAGCCTAGTGTAGTCGAATAACAAAGTGGGATGGAGAAAAAGGCACTAAACTGAAAGCCAGGAGCCCTAAGTTCCATCCAGGATGCCACTCACTAGGTGATACTGAGCTCATAGTTCCAGTTCTCACACCTCACTTCCTGCCACTGTACAATTAGGAGTGGGATGGGGGGCTAAATGGTCTCTGAGGCCTCTCTTGGTTTTAATTCTGTGATTCTAAGTAGAGCTACTGCCTTTATCCAGAAAATGAGGAGCCCTCTCCACGAACCACTTGTTCCTAAATCACTTTTCTCACTTTTTCTGCATCATGTATTTGGATTTCAGACCAAGGAACAAAGATCTCTATCCCAGAAAAGCCAGTTTTAGAGATGGCAAAGCCAGAAGAGAAGGTGTAGGCCATCCTGGGTCCAGTAAGACTTTATGGCAGACTCTCTTCTCCGTCATAAACAAATCACTGTTTCTGTTCTTCATCTTCAGTCAGAGATAATGATACTCATTCTCTGTACTGGAAAAGGAAAATATGTTTACCAAGATAGTGAAGTATTTTAAAGTACAAGTACTCATGCTATCCTTACATAGTAAGGTTTCTCAACCTCAGGACTGTTGATATTTTGGGCTGGACAATTCTTTGTTGCAAGGAGCTGTCCTATGCATTTTAAGATGTTTAGTGGCATCCCTATTCTCTACCAGCAAATAGCATTCCCCCACTAAGTCGTGACCACCAAAAATGTTTCCGGACATTGTTAAATATTGCCTGGAGGCAAAATTACTTCCTCGTGTGAACCACTGTTTTATCATAATCCTAAAATGCGAATCTAAAATTTAGGTGAGTGAGTTAGTAGATCATGGAAGTAATTTAGGTATGTTAATGTTGCTTGATTTCTGGAACTTAAGAATTTCAGGCCAGAGAGCAGCACACTGACATTGATGAAGAGCAGACAGGAAGGAGATGAATCCTGCTTCCCAACCTACCAGCTGAGTGATCTTGAACAGGCACCACAACTTCTCTGAGCTTCCATTTCTTCACCTGTAGGATGATGGGGTTGTTGGGAGAATTAAATGTGATGATTTAGGTACTTAGCCATGCAGATGTTCCATAATGGTAATATTTGTTACCACTAAACTCTTTTAGAGCTCTTATTGAATACGATTAATTGAGCACCTATTGTGTGTCTACCAAATACTATACTAGTGCTGGAGGTACAAGAATGAAGCAAACAAAATCACTTTCCTGAAGCTGCTCACTCATTATTAGAGAGGAAAGCTAGTCAATAAGTAGTTCCAATGCAAATGATCAATGTGATAACAGATATATAGGGTACAGTGGTCCTCAGACAAAGGAGCGTCTAACACTATTCCAAAGGGATTCACAGTCTATTGGGGTGACAGAAATGTGAACCCAAATGGTCTATACAGTGCGCTTTGTACTATAACAGGGATACCTAAGGAAGAAACTAACATTGCCTAGGGGATTCAGAGTGCTTTCCAGAGAAGGTGATCCATGAAAGTAATATAGCTTTCAAGGATAAACTGTTTAGAGATTACGTTAAGAGTTATTCTTCATATTCTTGGAAATGTAAAGAAAGATGAGAAAAAATGTCCACCGGTGATGAAGTTTTATTAATAGGACCTATGGGGATGTGAAATGACAGGGGGACATTTTTTGTGCACCTGATCACTGCACAAATATTCTCTGTTCCAATGTGTCTGAATTTGATGCATAAGATGGCATCATAAAGAACTGACAAGGTAATGCAGCACTATTAGAATAATGGTCAAAGCTAAGTGAGTAAACTTTTCAGGGTTTACCTAGTATTTAGATATTTTAAAGAAATAAGATTGGATTACACTCTACTGCCATCTTCCAATATAGGGTGCCCCTTTTGGACTAAGTTGGTCTCCAGTCAGCTCAAAGGTGGTTGGCCTCCCTCATGCTCCTCTTCATTGTTTTTAGCTATGCCCTGATCCTTGATACAATCAGCTGTGACTAGGTTTCAATCAAGGCATATGACACAAACCATGGTAAAAAATGAAATGAAGATGTGCTTCCGGTCACCCGCAGGCACTCTGAAGTACGATAGCCTGACTAGCACACAGACCTATAGCTGTGTATTACTTTTTAATAAATGACCCATGGTAACAAATGACCACAAACCGTGGATTAGAACAACAGAAATTTATTCTCTTACAGGTCTGGAGGTCTGGAAGTCCAAAATCAAGGTGTCAACAGGGCCATGCTCTCTCCAGTGACTCTGAAGAAAGACTTTCTTGACTCTTCCTAGCTGCTGCTGTTTCTTCTCCTTCTCCTTCTCCTTCTTCTTCTTTAGAAACAAGGTCTCTTTCTGTCACCCAGGCTGGAGTGCACTTACGTGATCATAGCTCACTGCACCTTCTAACTCCTGGGCTCAAGTGATCCTCCCACCTCAATCTCCTGAGTAACTGGGACTACAGGCACACAAGCCACCACACCTAGCTAAGTTTTTAATTTTTTTTTTTTTGTAGAGACGAGGACTTACCTTCTTGCCCAGGCTGGTCTTGAGCCCCTGGGCTCAAACCATCCTCTTACCTCGGCCTCCCAAAGTGCTGGGATTAGGTGTGAGCCACCGTACCTGGCCTCTTCCTAGCTTCTGGGGGCTCATGGAGACCCTTGGCATTCGTTGGATTGTATAACTGCATCACACCAATCTCAGCCACCATCTTCCCGTAGCCCTCTTCTTAGTGACTATGTGTGTCCTCTCCTCCTCTTATAAGAACATGTCATTGGGTTTGGGACCCACCCTCATCCAGTATGATCTCATCTCAATCTTAAACCAATTACATCTGCAAATAACCTATTTACAAATAAGTTCAAATTTTGAGGTACAGAGTGGACATGAAATTTTAGAGGACACTACCTAACATGCTACAAGCTCTAAGGTAGATATTGTTCTTCCGACTGTATGTTCAGCCTTTGAAACAAGTGTGAATTTATTTTTAAAAGCCGAATGGTATACTTCAAAAGAAAAACTTAAACAAGCTCCTTTAAAATGCCAGGGAAGGAAGTCTTCACAGTCACTTATGTGAAACTGGAGAAGCTATGATTCATCTGGGCCTTAAGGATTAGATAAAATTTCCAAATGGAAATGTCAGTGGGACTTGATCATTTTGCAAAAAGGGATCAACATTAGCCAATGTGTAAGAGTAGATTTACTCATCCAAAAAATAGGAGATGAGCAAGAAAATTGTACTTAACAGTGGGCTTTTGGATAGGAGAAAAAGGAAGTTTTCTGGGGAGGGGTGTCATTATTTGTTAATACAGTAGGAAGTGCTCATTTTTCACTTATTATTTGTGCTTTCCTTTAGCTTAATTAAGAAATTTAATACCATAAAAGTATTGTTCTGCATTTTATTTTTAACATTTTGTTTTCCACACTTACTTTTTTTTTTTTTGGAGATGGAGTCTCACTCTGTCATCCAGGCTGGAGTGCAGTGGCACAATCTCGGCTCACTGCAACCTCCATCTCCCAGGTTCAAGCGATTCTCCTGCCTCAGCCTCCTGAGTAGCTGGAACTATAGGTGCACACTACCACGCCCAGCTAATTTTTGTATTTTTAGTAGAGATGGGGTTTCACCATTTTGGCCAGGTTGGTCTTGAACTCCTGACCTCAGGTGATCCGCCTGCCCCAGCCTCCCAAAGTGCTGGGGTTACAGGAATGAGACACCGTGCCCGGCCCATGGTCTTTAATGGACCTTATAATTGATTTTTTTAAAAAAATATGAGGTAGAGATCTCATTTATTAATTTGGAAAAATTGACATTGTAAACAGGAATATGGTGTGACTCTCCCTTTAATTTTCCTTCATCCTTTCTGGCTTATAAAACACTTTTCTAACAGTTTTGTCACTTATGGACAAGAAAATATACAAGAATATTCATTGCAATATATTTCATAATAGTAGATGAAACATCCCCCAATAATAAAACGAGTAAATAATTTTCATTATATTTATAAGGCAGTGAAAAAAACTGAACTGGACCACACATATAAAGGGAAACCTTAAAATTATAATGTTGAAAGAAAATTAAAAGTTCTAGAATGATATTCTTTGAATCTATCTAGTATAAACAACAGCAAAAAGTGAACAAGATAATTCCATATGCTTAATAGGTGGTAATAGCATAAAAATGTGCATAGGAATAAGAGACGCCAAACTCTGATGCAAGCTCTGGGTAACAAGAAAGGGAACAGAATCAAGAACAGGTACATGATGATGTCTCAGTTTTAATTCTATCTGTAATGTTTTAACTTAAAAACAAAACAAAAACCTGAGCAACAACAACAAAAAAACCAAAATTCATTTCTCCTGGATACAGCATGGTGTTACAGGACAGAGGGGTAACAAGCTGGGTGGAACTGGATGGTATAGAATTGAGTTTGGAATGCTCAGGTGTTTACTATGTATTGTCTGTGCATGACTAATAAAGAAGAAAAGAGAGAAGAATCAAACAGACACAATAAAAAAATGATAAAGGGGATATCACCACTGATCCCACAGAAATACAAACTACCATCAGAGAAAACTATAAACACCTCTACACAAATAAACTAGAAAATCTAGAAGAAATGAATAAATTCCTGGACAGATACACCCTCCCAAGACTAAACCAGGAAGAAGTTGAATCTCTGAATTGACCAATAACAGGTTCTGAAATTGAGGCAATAATTAATAGCTTACCAACCAAAAAAGTCCAGGACCAGACGGATTCACAGCCAAATTCTACCAGAGGTACAAAAAGGAGCTGGTACCATTCCTTCTGAAACTATTCCAATCAATATAAAAAGAGGGAATCCTCCCTAACTCATTTTATGAGGCCAACATCATCCTGATACCAACGCCTGGCAGAGACACAACAAACAATAAAAGAGAATTTTATACCAATATCCCCGATGAACATCGATGCAAAAATCCTTAATAAAATACTGGCAAACCAAATCCAGCAGCACATCAAAAAGCTTATCCACCACGATCAAGTTGGCTTCATCCCTGGGATGCAAGGCTGATTCAACAGACACAAATCAATAAACGTAATCCATCATATAAACAGAACCAAAGACAAAAACCACATGATTATCTCAACAGATGCAGAAAAGGCCTTTGACAAAATTCAACAGCCCTTCATGCTAAAAACTCTCAGTAAACTAGGTATTGATGGGACATATCTCAAAATAATAAGAGCTATTTATGACAAACCCACAGCCAATATCACACTGAATGGGCAAAAGCTGGAAGCATTCCCTTTGAAAACTGGCACAAGACAGGGATGCCCTGTCTCACCCCTCCTATTCAACATAGTGTTGGAAGTTGTGGCCAGGGCAATCAGGCAGGAGAAAGAAATAAAGGGTATTCAATTAGGAAAAGAGGAAGTCAAATTGTCTCTGTTTGCAGATGACATCATTGTGTATTTAGAAAGCCCCATCATCTCAGCCCAAAATCTCCTTAAGCTGATAAGCAGCTTCAGCAAAGTCTCAGGATACAAAATCAATGTGCAAAAATCACAAGCATTCCTATACACCAACAACAGACAGAGCGAAATCATGAATGAACTCCCATTCACAACTGCTTCAAAGAGAATAAAATACTTAGGAATCCAACTTACAAGGGATGTGAAGGACCTCTTCAAGGAGAACTACAAACCACTGCTCAACGAAATAAAACACAGACAAATGGAAGAACATTCCATGCTCATGAATAGGAAGAATCACTATTGTGAAAATGGCCATACTGCCCAAGGTAATTTATAGATTCAATGCTATCCCCCATCAAGCTAGCAATGACTTTCTTCACAGAATTGGAAAAGAAGTACTTTAAAGTTCACATGGAACCAAAAAAGAGCCCGCCTTGCCAAGACAATCCTAAGCCAAAAGAACAAAGCTGGAGGCATCACACTACCTGACTTCAGACTATACTGCAAGGCTACAGCAACCAAAACAGCATGGTACTGGTACCAAAACAGAGATATAGACCAACGGAACAGAATAGAGCCCTCGGAAATAATACCACACATCTACAACCATCTGATCTTTGACAAACCTGACAAAAACAATAAATGGGGAAAGGATTCCCTATTTAATAAATGGTGCTGGGAAAACTGGCTAGCCATGTGTAGCAAGCTGAAACTGGATCCCTTCCTTACACTTTATACAAAAATTAATTCAAGATGGATTAAAGACATAAATGTTAGACCTAAAACCATAAAAACCCTAGAAGAAAACTTAGGCAATACCATTTAGGCCATAGGCATGGGCAAGGACTTCATGACTAAAACACCCAAAGCAATGGCAACAAAAGCCAAAATGGACAAATGGCATCTAATTAAACTAAAGAGCTTCTGCACAGCAAAACAAACTACCATCAGAGTGAACAGGCAACCTACAGAATGGGAGAAAATTTTTACAATCTACCCATCTGACAAAGGGCTAATATCCAGAATCTACAATGAACTCAAACAAATTTACAAGAAAAAATCAAACAACCCCATCAAAAAGTGGGCAAAGGATACGAACAGACACTTCTCAAAAGAAGACATTTATGCAGCCAACAGACACATGAGAAAATGCTCATCATCACTGGCCATCAGAGAAATGCAAATCAAAACCACAGTGAGATACCATCTCACACCAGTTAGAATGGCGATCATTAAAAAGTCAGGAAACAACAGGTGCTGGAGAGGATGTGAAGAAATAGGAATGCTTTTACACTGTTGGTGGGAGAGTAAACTAGTTCAACCATTGTGGAAGACAGTGTGGTGATTCCTCAAGGGTCTAGAACTAGAAATCCCATTTGACCCAGCCATCCCATTATATACCCAAAGGATTATAAATCATGCTGCTATGAAGACACATGCACACGTATGTCTATTGCAGCACTATTCACAATAGCAAAGACTTGGAACCAACCCAAATGTCCATCAATGACAGACTGGATCAAGAAAATGTGACACATATACACCATGGAATACTATGCAGCCATAAAAAAGGATGAGTTCATATCCTTTGTAGGGACATGGATAACGCTAGAAACCATCATTCTGAGCAAACTATTGCAAGGACAGAAAACCAAACACCACATGCTCTCACTCATAGGTGGGAACTGAACAAAGAGAACACTTGGACACAGGGCGGGGAACATCACACACCGGGGCCTGTCATGGGGTTGGGGGAGGGGAGAGGGATAGCATTAGGAGATATACCTACTGTAAATGATGAGTTAATGGGTGCAGCACACCAACATGGCACATGTATACATATGTAACAAACCTGCACATTGTGCACATGTACCCTAGAACTTAAAGTATAATAATAAAAAAAATAAAAATTTTTTAAAAAAAATCATAGATGACACAAACGAATGGAAAAACAATCCATGCTCACGGATTAGAAGAATCAATATTCTTAAAATGGTCATACTGCATGAAGCAATATACAGATTCAACACTATTCCCATCAAACTACTATCATTTTTCACAGAACTAAAAATAACTGTTTTAAAATTAATATGGAACCCAAAAAGAGCCTATAAGGATCTTAGAAGAAACCTGGAAAACACCATTCTGGACATCAACCTTGGGAAATAATTTATGACTAAGTCCTCAAAAGCAATTGCAACAAAAATGAAAATTGACAAGTGGCATCTAATTAAACTAAAGATCTTCTGCATAACAAATGAAACTATCAAAAGAATAAACAGACAACCTACAGAATGGGAGAAAATACATGCAAACTATGCAGCTGACAGAGGTGTAATATCCAGAATCTAAAAGGAACTTAAGTAATTGAACAGGCAAAAACCAAATAACCCCATTTAAAAATGAACAAAAGACATGAACAGACACTTCTCAAAAGAAAACATAGAAGCAGCCAACAAGCATATGAAAAAAATGCTCCACCTCATTAATCATAAAGGGAAATGCAAATAATCAAAACCACAATGAGATACCGTCTCACACCTGTCAGAATGGCTATAATTGAAAAAGTCAAAAAATCACAGATGCTACTGAGGCTGTGGAGAAAAGGGAACACTTACACGCTGTTAGTGGTATTGTAAATTAGTCCAGCCACTGTGGACAGCAGTTTGAATATTTCTTCAAAGAACTTAAAACAGAACTACCATTCAACCCATCAACCTCATTACTGGGTATATATCCAAAGACACATCTTCCTACCAAAAAGACACATGAACTGGTATGTTGATTGTAGCACTATTCACAATAGCAAAAGCATGGAAGCAACCTACATGCCCATCTATGGTGGATTGGATAAAGAAAATGGGGTACATATACACCACGGAATACTATGCAGCATAAAAAAGAACAGAATCATGTCCTTTGCAGCAACGTGGATGCAGCTGGAGGGCATTATCTTAAGTGAATTAACACAGAAACAGAAAATCAAATATTGCATGTTCTTACTTGTAATTGGGAGCTAAATACTGGGTACACATGGACATAAAGATGTGAACAACAGGCACTGGAGACTATTGAGGGGAGGGGGGGAGGGAGACAAGGGCTGAAAAGTCAACCATTGGGTACTATGCTCAGCACCTAGGTAGTGGGATCATTCATACCCCAAACCTCAGCATCACGCGATATACCTAGGTAACAAACCTGCACATATACCCCCGAATTAAAATTAAATCTGAAAAAGACACCTGAGAACTGTAGGAGGCCAAGGACCATCAGCCTCCCTTAAATTGAACATAAATGAGGAGAAAGTCTGGATTTCCACGGGATGTCAAAGTGAGGGATCTAACACGATTTCCACTAGATCTCAAAGAGCAGCAATGCCCATGGATGAATACTGGGTGATAGCAACATCTCAATACATAAAACAGGCAAAAACTGGGCTCAGATGAAGTGGGCAGGAGTGGGTGAGGTGGGGTGGGGGCAGGGAGAACAGAATGAGGAGAGGTTGACTGGAGCCCTTGCTCTCAGCCTCCCTCCAAGGCTTTCCCCAGCAACTGAGGGACTTCCGTGAAAATGGTTGAGAAACAGTGTGCAACCCATTTTACAGATTTGGAAACAGGCCTAGAACAGCGAAGTTACCAGCCCAACGTGACAGTTAATAAAAATAAATCCGGCCTCCTGGCACCTGGCTCATACACTGACCCCCTGGCCGTGACCATGCACCACCCGTTGATGTGAATTGCTTCACGGCGTTCATTAAGTAGAACCGAGAAGATCAGAGCCTTGGGGGAATAAAACATGGTTCATTTCATTTGGGCATGAGTATGAGGAAGTCAGAAATTGGAAAGGGAGTCAGGAATAGGACATCTATGAGAAGGAACTGAATGGGGTTAGTGACAAGAAAAAAAGACAGGGGCCATAGGGCGGTAAGAATGTTCTTAAGAATTTGCATAGGGCTGAATGGCTGCAGAAAAAAGAATGATGGGACCCTGCCAAGCCCAGGCCCGCATGCTCCCATAAGGTTTGTGGACAAATTGCCTCCTCTCAGCCTCTCTGCGCCTCCTAATAAGCCCATGGGAAGGTTTATGGTTGCTAAAGGAACCGCTAAAACAGGTCAAAAGATATATTTGGTGTCAAGACACCAACAATTTGCCTTGCTTTAATTTCCACCTAGTGCCTTCCTGCCTATTTTTATCAGGGCACATGAAAAAGCCTTTCACTAAAGAGAGCAAAGCCAAGAGACAATTGCTTCTATGATCTTCTTTTGACTGCTTTTCTCCAGGTGACTGAAATGTGAGCAGGATGCAGAACTGACAGTCCCCAGTCAGCACACTCTTTATTCTGTTTATGTTGTTTTCATTTTTTCCCAAACTCTGGAACTTCTGAAGGTTAAAACAGACTTTGATTACCTTGGCTTAAAAAGCAGAGCTGGAAATACCAACAGGGAAATTGATCATAAGTTGATCATGAAGTTTTCAAAACAATGTTACTCCACTCTTCTTCAAGGAATATTATGCCTCCTGTTTACTGCTATAAGTAGTAAAAGGTTATAAAGACCACCTAAGTCAACATTTCCCTAAGAACAGCAGCCAAACGTTTACAGTCAAATTCACAGTGATGCAACAATACGGGGCATCTCTAGGTACCATTCCAATGTTTGTCCTCTTTACCCAGTCCACATGAGAACAACTTCTGCCTGTCCTAAGTGCATACAAGAGTGGCTTGTCAACCTAGCATCTTGACAGCCAGACCAAATCTGAGCAGCCCTGGATGATCTGGCAGTTGTCATTAGATTCTGCAATCCTCAGCTCTTGGAAACCATCAGAACACATCATACAGCTCCATTAGAATCAGCTAGGAGTGAAGGACTTCTCCATCCCTGAGCATTTTATTGAGAATGCTCCAAAAAATCACCCACTCCCGGTACCCCAGCTTTCATCCAGAAGGGTCCCGAGCAGGCAAAGAGGCCCATGGAAATACATTTTGAAAACATTGATTTCCTGCAGAACCTCCATATCCTCCTTGCTACTATTATCATTCTCAGTAGTTACCATTGGCACAGTAACACAGTGATGATGACTGTCATCCATTACATATCTTGGGGCAGGGAGGTGTGGTGAGAAGTTCATTGGCCCAGGTCTAGGAATCCTACTGTCCCTGCCCAGCAGCCATCTGCGCGACGACTGTGGACATAACACTCTATCTCCATGACTGACTCCATAACAGAGCATGGGATGATCTTGCCTGCCCCTCACAAGAGCGCATCAAGCAAAACAGAGCATGTGTGGGTTTCACAGCTCACTGCAATGCATAGGCATTGCCAGCTGTGTGCACAATTACAGAACTCCTCTTCTGACCAAAACTGAGGAGAATGTGAGAGGTGGCACCATTATTTAGACAGAGCATAGGGTTAGGCATGGTGGCTCACACCTGTAATTCCAGCACTCTGGGAAGTCAAGGTGGGAAGATGGAGCCCAGGAGTTCAAGACCAGCCTGAGCAAGATGGCAAGACCTTGTCTTTATTTATTTATTTATTTATTTATTTATTTATTTATTTATTTATTTATTTTAAAAAAGAGAGAGCAGAGATGACAGGAAAAGGCATTGGTTATGAGTACTGACTCCAAGGTCAGGTGCTTGGGCTCAAAGCCAACTCCAGGACTTGTTAACTGTGTGACTTTGAACAGGGATCCTCTTCTCCCAGTGCCTCAGTTTCTTTCCTCTGCTATAAATGGGGATAATAATAGTTACTGTGAGTATTAAATGAGATTATACCTGTAAGGTCTTTGGACTATCTCCTGACATTCAACAAGTGCTTCCTTTTACTGTTCTGCAGATTCAAACCTCAAGATTTAAAATGTATCATATGTATTTGTATGTTTCCACAATCCAAGACCTTTTCGCACTGAACATGGAATCAGAAAAAAGATCCAGTGTTCTGCCCTTAAGCAGCTCTGTGACCATAAGTCAGGCACTTACACCATCAGTTACGGTTCTCTCATTTTTTAAACTATACGTGATTATGAACATTCTTCCCTCTTTTTAAATTTTTGGTCATTTAAATTTCATTAATCAAAAGCATATAGCTTGCTTAGTTTTTTAATGCCCATCTTTTTATATTCTGGAGATATTTCATCAGAAACAACACAAATACTTTCACACTTTGGCATTTATAATGACAGTTCCATTATCGCCATGGTGTCTTCTAATGTGCAGAGGTTTCGGATATTTAAATTTTCTACAGTCAGTATTCCAGTAATCTACTGCCACATGACAAACCACCCCAAAACGGCAGCATGATATAAGCACTGCTTTAATGAGCACGGATTCTGGGGATTGGGAATTCAGACAGAGCCCACTTCTTGTCTCTATTCTGCTATGCCTGGGGCCCCATGTAATAAGTCACAAACAACTGGGGGTGACGTGAATGGCTGGGACTTTTTCACTTGTGTGTGGCACCTGGGCTAAGATAACTCATGGGTAGACACACTTCAGAGTAGTCAGATTTCTTATATGGTGACTCAGAGTTCCAAGGGTGAATATTTTAAGGAACAAGCTGAGAGCTACATGGTCATTTATGACTTAGCATCAGAAGTCACACTGCATCACTTCTGCCATAGTCTACTGGACAAAGCAGCCACACGTCTACCAAGATTTAAGAGTTCAGTGCATTGTCCTCACCTCTCAATGGGAGGAGTGCCAAAGAAGTTGCAATCATCTTAAATCTTGTTTTGAATTTTTGTGCTAATACCACTATTCTTAATTGGAGGCCACTCCTGGAAGGCGTTCAGAAATGGGTGACAGCCTTTTAAGCACCCACAATTACAGAGCAGGGAGGTGCTGACATTTAGTGGGCAGGAGTCAGGGATGCCAACTGTCCTGCAATAATGAAGACACTCCCACACAATGAAGGAGTGTCTTGCCAAAACGCCAGTGACAAGTCTGCCAGAAAACCTGCTCTAACATTCTCCACCTTTGACATCATGGATAACAAGGCATTCTTCGCTCCAAGATGAAATATCCATTTATACTGTGCTCCATTATGCTTACAACCTGATTACTTTAAATCCTAAATCTTTGATCCATCTGAAACACATTTAGGTGTATAAAGTATAAGGTATAGATGTGACGGTTAATTTTATGTGCCAACTTGACTGTGCCACAGTGCCCAAATATGTGGTCAAACATAACATTATTCAGGATGGTTCTGTGAGGGTGTTTTTGTATGAAATTAACATTTAAATTAGTAGACCAAGTAAAGCAGATTGCCTGGCTTTCCACAAATGTGCCCGATGTAGGTGGGCCTCATCTAATCAGTTGAAGGCTTGAATACAACACAAAATTGACCTGCCCTTAGTAAGAAAGAATTCTGCAGCAGACAGCCTTTGTGCTGGAACTGCAACATCGGCCCTTTCAAGGTCTCCAGCCTGCTGACCCATCCTGTAGATTTTGGATTTGCCAGCCTCCGTAATCACATAAGCCAATGCCTTAAAATAAGTCTCTCTCCTCTCTCCTTTCTCTCTCTCTCTCTCTCTCCATATGTACGTATACACACACACACACACACACACACACATCCTATTGGTTCCATTTCTCTGGAGAACTAATACAAAATACTTTTACTTACTTCCATTTGGTGAGTCATTTGTTTCAATAGTCTCTATTGTACAATCCAACCTTTCTCTAATATTTAAAGTTACCAACTTTATCATATGATAAAATATTTCATATATGCTTGGGCTTATTTCTGCATTTTTAAATTCTCTTTAATGTTTCTGTCTGCATACTTTTTTGGTAGAACCACGATGACAAATTATTGTCACTTTAAAATACATGTTAATAACTAATAGAGAAAGCTCTCCATCATTATCCCTTTCTACAAATTTTTTGTTTTCTCAGCAGTTTATTCAATCAAGTGAATTTTGTAATTGTGCAATAGTTTCCTAAAAACTTATCTTAGAGACTTCTGCTGGTGATGTGGTAAACATCTAAATTTATCTGGAGGACATTGACATATTTATAATCTTCCCCAACATTCATTAAGTGTCCCACCCAATTAATGAAAAATTATTTTCTATTCATCATTAAAGCTTTATAGTTTAAATAAATGCAGCATATTTCTTGTTAAATGTATTCCTAGTTATATTTTTTATTGTTTCTGTTTTGAATGAGGTTTCCTTTATATATTCTGGGTTACTGTCAGTCTCTAGGAAAGTTACTGATTGTTATATTTTTATTTTGAAATTAGTCCCCTTACTAAACTCTTATTTCAAATACATTTTTAGTTTATTCACTTGGGTTGTCCCAGTAGATTAAAAAATGTCATCTACAAATAAAAATTTTGTCTCTACCTCTTCAATATCTCTGTCTTCTGTTACATTGGTACTACCCTGGCAAAAATACTTATAATAATATTGAAAAACAGTGTTGATAGTAACATTTTTTAAAGTAGCATTTAAGAAATTTTACTATGGGTAGTATGTTTTAATTCTGCAAAGTAGTTTACATATCTTTTCCTTTTTATCCTTCAAAATAACCTTATGAGTTAAAAGAAGTTACTTAACCTTTCATATTCTCAGTTTCCCATCTACGAAGTGGGAATAATAACATACCTACACCATAGGGTTGCCATAGAAATTAAATTGCTGTAAAACACTTCTTTAATTCCCAACACAGCCAGCTTCTATTATGGCAGCAATTAACTCACTCAGTGACTGTCATTTTATCATTGTTTTACATTGTTTATTTACACTGTTTTACATGACTATTACTATCTTGTCATTATTTTGCAGGTGGAAAAATAAGATACTTTGGAGAAATCAAGGTCACACAGCTACTATGGATGGAATTGGGACTTGGGCTCTTATCTGTTAAACTCCTAAATTTATGTGCTTTCTCCAGTTTTTCTTTTCACTTTGATGGAAATTTTCTAGTGTTTCAATGTTATGCATGACAGGCAAGTTACTGTTCAACTCCTAGTTAAGAAGAAGCATTTGCAATGAATAGTTATCTAATTTTATCAATTGTATTTTAGGGTATTGAGATGATTACAGTTTTTTTTGAATTTTCTAATATACTAACAAAATTTATTTTATGGACAGATTTTATAATGTTAAACCATCCTTGCATTTCTGAAATATACTTTATTTAGAGAAGGTTGTTATTCTTTTTATATATGGTGGGATGCAATTTGTTAATTTACTCCCCTTGATTAATTTTCTCATGTAAGACAAGTCCTTATCCATTTTATTTTTAGATTTTTAAGTACTTTGTTTTAAATGTGTGTCTTTTAGAAACAGAGTTGAGCTGAATTCCTTTTTTTTTTTTTTTGGTTGATTTAAGAATATTATGGGTGATAGGTGCACCAAAATCCCAGAATTCACCACTAAATACTTCATCCACATAACAAAAAACCACTTATATCCCAAAAGCTATTGAAATTTTTAAAAATAAAATAAATAAAAAATGATGCACATCAAAAATATTTAAACATTACAACTGCTTATATTTAAGTTTTCTTTCAATATACTTATTATAGTGTAGTATATATTATGACCATGAAAATAGGAGAGATTAGTACACATAATAACTTTCATGATTTCTCACCCAACCTCTCCTGCTTCTAAATATTGTAACTGGGCTTTTCTTTTTTACCCAGCTTCTTTATGACGAGTTGTTTTTACTATATCATGACTCTTTTATTTGAAGAGTTACCTGCAGCATTTAAATTCTCTTTTGTAACCATATTTACAGCAATTATTTAGATTTCATTCATCCTTAAAATATTTTAGGGCTTTCTTGTGTTCCTTTTGTGCCATGACTTCTCCATGCTTGAGTTCTTTGTTTTGATTTATCCCATAGTTGCTTGGTATTTATCTTCAAGTAAAGTTTTTGGGAAGAATATGGGGGCAGTATATTTTCTAAGAGCTCGCAAAGCTGACAATGTCTTTCTTTGCTTCTACTCATAAACCATAAATTTGGCTGTGAATAGTATCTATGGGTCACAGCACTTTAAACACAAAAGCCTATCGATCTCACTTGGCTACTTTCTGTCATTAAATTACAGTCACCTCCCACTTTATTTACATCTTTGCTATAGCATTTCCTATATTACACAGCGATATATCTTGTTGTATGACACCCTGCTACTAGACAATGAGCTTTTGAGGACTGTGACCATATCTTATTGATCTTTGATTCCCCAAGACCAAGCATTAACCCAGCACATTACAAGTGCTCCACAAAGGTTACTTTTATTAGGGAATGTATGAATAAATGAGTTTCACAAATCATAATGTTCTACATGAATATAAGGGCAGGGCCATCATGAAAATCTCTTCAGTATATATAAAATCACATAAAATTATGTTTCAAAGCCTTTCTAGTGAAGTTAATATTATTATACCTTAATTGTGTTTATCGATGAATTGATTTTTGCAGAGAAGACAATGGATGAGGTTAAAAGTCGAGTCAAACAAAAAAATACTTGCTCCTAGGACTTTGTTGGTAAAGGTTGTGACTTCTCATTCGGAGACTTGATAACCAGGAGTGACCATTTAATGAAGGTTAAGTTAGATTTGAAAACAGCCCAAAAGAAAAGCAACCGTCAGAGAAAGCTGATATACTATTACAATAGTGTCAAAAACCAAGCAAACTTCATTCACACAATGTAAGGCTAGCACAGGACATGGAGAACATGTATCAGGAATAGCCAAACATCTTTTCTAAAATAGCATAAAAGAGTTCACAGACAAGTTTCAGAGTCTGAGAAACCTTGGCATAGATGCTGCCTATCTAGTATGGGATTGTAACATGTACCAGAAACTAACCTTCAATTTCCTATTAAAATGAATAAGATAAGGCATCGAAAGGACTTAGCACAATATCTGAAAAACTGTAAGTGCAAAATTAATCAGAATTCCATTTCCTTGCCATCCATGCACAGGTCTTAAATACAGGCACAAATTAATGGATAATTCAGGTTTAGGAGTTTGTCCAATAGTCATGAAGAACATTTTACATGGCCATTTATCACTAATACCCATTTAGTGAGTTGCAAATCATTTTTTGTTTAGGACTGGACAAGGTGCTATGAAATTACAGATATTTAGAATTTGATTTTTTAAATACCATCTTTATGATTTAGTTTATTTACCATAACAGAAAAATTTCATACATCAGAGTAGTGTTTTCAAACAAAGGCCCAGGAATCCAAAAGACATAGATGTGCTTTAAGTTTAATACAGGTGGTTTAAGAATTATCATTTCACTGTCCCCTTTTCCAGACTGGTTGTTATAAAAACTATACATATATACACATATATATGTATATATATATATGTATATATATATGTATATATATATACATATATATAGGGTAAAATATTCTTTGAGTACTAGAGAATGCAAAGGCAATGGGAAAAAAACTAAAATATATCAATAACATACATGTACCTTCCTAAAGAAAAACTAATTCTTAAAGAAATACCCAAGTAAACAAAGAAATACATAAAAATAAAAAATGCAAAAATGAGAAATATATTGTCTAAAAGCAAAAGTGATGAGCAAATAAGTCAGAAAATTTAGAGTTGATATCTAAATAATTATTAATATGATTATAAAACCTATGTAGGCCAGGCACGGTGTCTCAGCCTATAATCCCAGCACTTTGGGAGGCCGAGGCAGACGGATCACGAGGTCAGGAGATCGAGACCATCCTGGCTAACATGGTGAAATCCCTTCTCCACTAAAAATACAAAAAATTAGCCAGGCATGGTGGTGGGTGCCTGTAGTCTCAGCTACTCAGGAGGCTGAGGCAAGAGAATGGCATGAACCCAGGAGGCAGAGCTTGCAGTGAGCCGAGATTATGCCACTGCACTCCAGCCTGGGGGACAGAGCGAGACTCCATCTGAAACAAACAAACAAGCAAACAAAACCTATGTAAATTTCAAAGAGCATTCTTGGAAAAAAGATTCATGTATAAATTAACAATATTTGACTTATATTATTTAATTCCTTTTACTTAATATTAACCAACAAAAATATTGGTTAATATAAAGTCTTAGATATTCACATACATACCCACACAAAACATGAAAATAAAACATAAAAGATATGCAAAGGGTAAGGATGAAGTTAAAGCATGATAAATTTCTCCCAAGATGCTTGGCTATTCCTGATACACGTTCTCCATGTCCTGCCTCCATGAGGCAAATAAATGAAATATTTTTTATTTTTGCATTCAACAGAAATATATCTGATCTGATACGAACATATTTGTATCTCAAATCACTATAATTAGAAACCATATGTACATTTTCTAGAATACTAGAAGGAAAAAAGGTCAATAAAATTTGAACAAAAACTAGTGCAAGAGGGAAGGAAATCAATCAAAAAGAAAAAAATTAAAGAAGCAAAAATAGAAAGTACAAAATAATTAAAATCAGGCACATCCATTACCACAAGAAATATAAATGTATTAAACTCCTCAGTTAAAAAGGTAAAGTCTCTAATATTTAGTCAAATAATGAAATTCAGCTTTGCTCTTTGGGAGAGACATATCATATTTAAAATAACATACTTAATATTTAAAAAAGGAGAGAAGAGATATCCAGCAAAATAAAAAAGGTATCAATATTATTAACAGACTAAAAAATTCTGAGCAAACAACATTTTATAATGATAAAAATAAGTCAAAAATGAATGTATAACAATTAAGAAACATTGGCCAGGCACAGTGGCTCATGCCTGTGATCTCTGTACTTTAGGAGACGGAGGTAGAAGGATCACTTGAGGCCTAGAGTACAAGATCATCCTGGGCAATGTGCAAGACCCTGTCTCTACAAAAATTAAAAAAATTAGCCAGGAATGATAGCACATGTCTGTGGGTCCAGCCTCTCAGGAGGCTGAAGCAGGAGAATTGCTTGAGCCCAGGAGTTCAAGGCTGCAGCTAGCTGCTATGATTGCCACTGCACTCCAGCCTAGGTGACAAAACAAGGTCCTGTCTCTAAAAAAACAAAAAAGAAAAAGAAGAAAAATCCATTAAGAAACATATTTTATATAATTATCATGAAAAAATTTAAAGCCAATCTATTAGAATTTGAAGGAAAAGCGGACATAATCACAATCACAGTGAAAGAGCTTAATCAGCATGTCTTGTGTTTGAAAGATCAATTTGATCAAAATTATATGATGATATAGAATATTCTGATAATAAAATCAATAAAGATTTTTAATAGCTACAATTTTTTAACTTTGCAGTTCAAACACAGTTTACATATTATTCCCAATATTTCTAGAGAATTTATAAAAATTAATTTTAAATCAGAAATAGAACATGTGACATTCTTTTGTGACAATTCAAAACGAAGTTTTTGAGCAAAAGTTGGAAACAAAAATTTATTCAAAGAAATCCAAACACTTGGGAATTCAAAAATACTTTTTAAAACAACACACTAATATTAAAAAGGAAATAATGGTCCCTGTTCTGAGATGAACTTTTTTATAATTCACACAAAGTCACCCTATGTGCTGGTAGCAGCCAGGCTGTGGGCTGTGGTCATGCTGTTTGTGCATTCTTCCTGGGAAAGAGATGGTGGGTGCCCTCTCCCCCTAGCTTCCCATCTCTATCTGGAGTTTCTATTATTCCTCCCTGCCTGCCAAGGACTTAAGGTCCTGCAGTGGGAAGTCAAAGCACATGTTTTCTTCTCAACGCCTACTGAAATTCACTTTGACATTTTTATGCTCCCACAGTTTGAAGTCTATTTATTTTGGAAGATTGGCTCTTTATGTATTATTTCAAAACTCTTGTATGACCCCAACATAGCAGTAACCTTTTTATTTTCTATCTTTTTCTATGTGATCCCTTTCCTAAAGCTGCAGACTTTAAATGTTCTAGCCATGAATTGGCTGAATCTAAGAAGGGCAAGATAAGAAGAAATTTAAGAGAGTATTTCTATAAAATGATAATATAAAATCCAATTTTTATTCTGCAACATGAGAACAATCTTGATTTTTTAAAAATCCAACATATCACACACACATGAAAATTAGGCCAATCTCACCTAAAAATATAGACGTAAATATATTCATATATTGTATATTATATGAACATATATTAACATTATGTGACCACCTAAAAATATAGATGTAAATATATTCATATATTGTATATTATATTAACATATATTAACATATGTGACCACCTAAAAATATAAATGTAAATATATTAATATATTATATATTATATTAACATATATTAACATACATGATCACCTAAAATTGTAGATGTAAATATGTCAGTATATTGTATATTATATTAACATATATTAACATACGTGATCACCTAAAAATATATGTAAATATATTAATACATTGTATATTATATTAACATATAGTAACATATGTGACCACCTAAAAATATAGATGTAAATACATTAAATATTGTATATTATATTAACATATATTATCATACATGATCACCTAAAATATATATGTAAATATATCAATATATTGTATATTATATTAACATATATTAACATATGTGATCACCTAAAATATAGATGTAAATACATTAAAATATTGTTTATTACATTAACATATATTATCATACATAATCACCTAAAATATATATGTAAATATATCAATATATTGTACATTATATTAACATATATTCACATGTGATCACCTAAAAATATAGATGTAAATACATTAAAATATTGTATATTATATTAACATACATTATCATACACGATCACCTAAAATATATATGTAAATATATCAATATATTGTATATTAACATATATTAACATATGTGATCCAGAAAAAATATATTAACAAATATAATTCAGAGGTATACAAAAGGGAATAACAAGATATGCCACAAACTGGCAAAAATATTGATAATCATTGAAGCTGAATATAAGGTTCACTATGCTTTTTTCTCTACTTTTGCTTATTTTTGAAAATGTTCATAATAAAATCATTTTAAATATTCAGACCATGTTAAGGTAGTTTACTCCATTACATTATAAAATGGTTCAATATTAGGAAATCTTTTTTTATAGTTCATCACATGAAAGGGGAAAAAAAAGAAAAGATATTTGATATTGAACATTTATTCCTGAAAAAGCTCTTAGTCAACTAGGAAAATGCGGTATTTTGTTAAAATGATAAAAATATTTTAAGCTAGCAGACATCATATTTACAGATAGAGGCAAGCACTTATAGAGGACATATTGAATGTCCTCTATAAGTATTTTACACATGTACGTGTATTTAGTTTTCCCAAACAATCCATGAGTAACATACTGTTGCTATCACCTCTTTACAGGTGATGGAGTCAAGAACAGAGAAGTTATGTAACTTGCCCAAGTTCACACAGCTAATCAACAGAGGAGCTGGAATTAGGATGCAAGTACTTTGGCTCCAGAGTTTCTCTCTCAACCAGTGTGCCTTGGCACCTCCCTACACTGTGCTCACCTGTAGTACAACTCCAGAGAATTTATCATTGCCATCAGGACCACGTCGGAATGACCCATGATCATCACAGCTGTTCAGTATTTTTCTGAAAGCTCTAGCAATTAAATAGCACAAAAAAAGATGCAGAAATATTAGAAAGAACCTGACCAAATACCACTATTTGAAAGTAAGAAAATCATTTCCCTGGGAAATTCAGGATAATCAATTGGAAAATTATTAGAACAAATTAGCAAATATGAAATAAGTCGTTCACGAAAGAATGTTTCCTACATTCCAGAGATAATTAGTTAGAAAGCATAATGAAAAATAGTTTCCCTTAGGAATGGCAAGAGAAAAATATGAAATGCCTAGAAATAAAGATAACAGTACACATGCTGTTCATAAATGAAGGAAACCACAGATTTTTATTTAAAAATATAAAATATGACTGGAAAAATTATAACACATGCCACGTTCCTGGAGCCAAATTTTCCATATCACAAAGATCTCAATTTCTCAAAATTAATTTACAAAGATGACACAACTCCAGTTACAATTCCAGTGATATGGAGTAAATTGTGTCACCTCAAAATCCATATGTAAAAGCCTTAACCCTCAATGTGATTTATGAGGATGAGGCTCTAATCCAATAAGACTGTAGCCTTTTAAAACTGGGAAGAAAGATCTCTCTTTCTCCCTCTCGCTCTCATGTTCCCACAACACCCCCATCCCCACCATGTGAAGACAAAGTGAGAAAATGGCCATCTACAAGCCAAAAAGAGGGCCCTCACCTGAACCCAACCCTGTTGGCACCATGATCTCAGCTTTTCAGCCTGCAGAACTGTGAGAACATTGATTTCTGTTGTTTAAGCCACCCGGTCTATGGCATTTGATTGTGGCAGCCTGAGCTGAGCTGATTAATACACCCAATAAGGTTTTCTGTTTAAATATTTAACACAATTGTTCTTAAGTTCATCCAAAAGACTAAATTCTTCGGAGTTATATTCTAGAAAATTATCACTTGGCAACTCTCGTAGTAATAATTGATTCATGGAAGAATCATTAATGGATGCTAAAACTAGTGGTGAAATCTTGATGGGCAATAGAATATTTATAGAATTTCCAAGGATTTCCCCACATGATATTTATTAATTACAAAGGGAAACTAATAACTTAATAGTAAAAAAGCCTGGTATGAGGTGCCAAGGTACACTGGTTGAGAGATAAACTCTGGAGCCAAAGTACTTGCATCCTAATTCCAGCTCCTCTGTTGATTAGCTGTGTGAACTTGGGCAAGTTACATAACCTCTCTGTTCTCGACTCCATCACCTGTAAAGAGGTGATGGCAACAGTATGTTACTCACTGATTGTTTGGGAAAACTAAATACACGTACATGTGCAAAATGTTATCACTAAGCTATCACCTTCACTAGTAATATAACAAAAAGATTTGCTATGTCTCCTAATAAGATGCACTGAGAAGAACACAGCATCACTTCTGTGATATTCCTGCCCCAAACTGCACAACTGGAGTCTAAACATGAGGAAACATCTGACAAATCCAAATCCAAATCGACAAACATCCTCAAAATAACTGACCTGCACCTTTCAGAAAAAGTCAGATTTTTGAAAGACAAGGGAAGACTGAGGAATTCTTCAAAAAATAAAAAAGACCACAGAGATATGACACCTGAATGTAGTGTATGATCTGGGATTTTCTTTTGCTACAAAAGACATTATTGGAAAATTCAGCAAAATTGAACAAGGTGTGTAGATTGGCTAATAGTATTGTATCAGTGTTGCTTTTTTGTGGTTACATAAGAGATTGTTCTTGTTTTTAGAAAATATACCTTGAAGTACTCAGGGGCAAAGGGACTTCATTTCTGCAACTTACCTTCGGAAAGTTAAAAGGAAAAAAAATACACACACACACATATGACTTGAAATGTGAAATGTTACACACGTGTGTATACACACACACGTGTACGCACACACACGTGTGTATACACATATATACACACACACATATATGTTCCAAGAGGTGATATTTCCAGAAACATGGTATATGTCCTAATTATGTATGGTAGTAAGGCATGGTATATGTCTTAATTGTGTGTGTGTGTGTGTGTGTGTGTGTGTGTGAGAGAGAGAGAGAGAGAAAGTACATGTTGTAAAATGTTAAAACTTAGAAAATCTGCTGAAAAATACATGGAACTTTTTTGGTGCTCTTCTTGCAACTCTCTGTAAATCTGAAATTACATCAAAATACAAAGTTTAAAATAAGGGTTGCATCCCAAGGATAGCTTTAGCTCCAAGTTGTGATGGGGACACCTAACTGTTGTCCTCATTCTCAGATTGAAACTATTCTTAGAATCAAACACTTTTATAAATGCATATGTGCACACATACCTATAAATTTGGATATATGCAAACATGCATAAATCTAAATTATGAAAAAATGGACCTTATTTTTCCTAGAAATCATTATAACCATGTTATAATCCTTAATTTTATTCCTATATAAGAATTTGATATCAACATGTATCTCTGACAAAAAAAATATATCAAACAAAAACATAAGGAGACTAAGACTTTTAACTATTTTAAATTACAAAAGTAAACTCTCAGATCTAAAAACAGGCACCATTATATTATGCATGCATTGTCTAAACAGATTTCCTATACAGCACCATGTGGTGGGACAGTGTGGGCATTAGAATCACCCAGCTGTAATTCCAACCCTGGGCCTAAAACTCACCGCACTTGGACAAGTCACTGCCCTTCCATCTACCCTAAGTCAGATTACATCTTTCCAGAACTCTCCCCTGAACATGCCTTTCTCCATCCTGAACTCTTTCAACATTGATCAGGATGCACCTCTGATTTTTAGCATTTCATGGCTTTCAATGTTGTTCTATTATTTACAAGTTTCACGATGAAGTAACTCTTTTTCAAAAATAAAATAGAATTATAACAGTTTTGAAAAAAATCTTTAGCTTCAATGAAGTGAGAGGGTCAGATGGATAATGAAAACTAAATGTGTGTGTTTGTCTAAGAAGAAGCGGGTTTAGGAATTAAGATTTGATCTCTGGAATCATAAATCCTCAAGCCCTCAAGATTAGAAAGGACCTTAAAAGTGATTCTTTTCGGCTATGTTCCCACCCAGAAGTATTCAGATTATACCAGAATACGTGCAGTGATAGAAACTTATTACCACTACAGGTAATAAGAATAATTAAGCATTCATCATGCATCAAGCCCTGTGCTAAGCCTTTTGCACACATTATTTCATTTAACCCTCACAACAACCTCAAGAGGCAGACACTAGGATTCCCATTTTACAGAAATAGAAAGTAAGGCCAAAGTGGTTAAAAAACTTGTCCAAGATCACAGAGTTGGCCTTTGAAGGAGCATAGATTATAGAGCAACTTAAAGTTTGGGCAGAAGTCGAAGCTTGAGGCAGAAAAAAAAAAAGTGTCAGGGAACAAAAGGCCAGCGGGAAAGGAAGGGGGATGAGTGCCAATCTGGGATGTGAGTGTTCAACCAAGAGGCTACCTTCTAAGAAGGGTAAGGTTGGTGCCAAGGTAATAGCATCCGGGAATTCTGCAAACACAATTTGGGTTGCCCAAGTGCATGTGAAAAGTTCTTACATCTGTGCAGTGTGCCTAGGAATCAAAGGAAAAAGACCCCAGTTTTTCAGAGATTCAAGAATTAAGAGGAAAATTATAATAAACTGGAAGCATGCTATGGTGTGGGAAGCACAGGTGTTGGTGTTGGACGGACCCACTTACCACCTGTGTAAGCTGGGCAAATAATTTCACCTCTCAACCTCAGCTTCTTCAACAATAAAATGAGAATAACAGTAGTTACTTCAGAGCATTTTATAGGATTCAATAGTTAATATATGTAACATTTCTAGCATATAATAGTTACCTAGTAATAATAGTTCTTTTCCTTCATTCTTCCTCAGAAGAAAGAACCATTATCTCCAAGTGCCTCAATCAAGGAGGACATTAAGAGAGGCCTAGATATTTGAAGATGGTAGATATTAGTAGAAGGCTAGAGGAAGATAAGTAATTATTTAAACCCACACCAGCCGACAAGGGCAGCAATAAGCCTCCCAGCTGGGCTTGCTAAGATGTAGCCAGTCTTGAAGGGCAGAGGTGACAGAGGCTTGCCGAGCACACGGCCCAGCATCCAGGCCCTCCACTCCATGATGTGAATACCATGGGTCAACCAGTTCTCTTGTCTACCTGCCCACTCCTGACCACTTGCTCCTGGAGCTCTCCCACTTGCTGCCTTATTTGTTTGGCTTGTTCTGGTTTGTTTTTAATCGGATCTCACCTAGCCCAGAACCTTCAGCTACCAATGAGGTCTTAGCTGTGGACCGTGAATATGGCTATTAGAATCGTAGTGGCCTCATTACACAGAGAGGGAAAATCGGGCCCTGTAAGGGGCAAGAGCTAACCAGAGATCACAGAGACAATTATGATCATATCCATATCATATCCAGGAACGGAACACACACGTCTTGACTTCTAGAGTCTCCTCAGGACACCTTTTGAGTACTTTGAAAAACAAAGATCTGGCTGGGTGCAGTGGTTCACACCTGTATTCCCAGCACTTTGGGAGGCCAAGGCAGGCAGATCACTGGAGGTCAGGAGTCCAAGGCCAGCCTCGCCAACATGGTGAAACCCACCTCTACAAAAAATACAAAAATTAGCTGGGCGTGGTGGTGGGCACCTGTAATCCCAGCTACTCAGGAGGCTGAGGTAAGGGAATCCCTTGAACCTGGGAGGTGGAGGTTGCAGTGAGCCGAGATCACTTCACAGCACTCCGGCCTGGGCGACAGAGTGAGACTTAGTCTCAAAAAAAAAAAAAAAAAAAAGGGAAAAATAAAGATCTCTAGTTCTCATTGATGATAAGGATGAGGGCAGAAAACAGTTCCCAGGAAAATGACAGCAGGAACGCCTGTGGGCTGGCCTCTGATTAAAGGTTAACTGACCCACGCAGACAGGCAGATTCATGCATCACACATGTGTGTACATGCTCCAAGCTCTCCAGTACAGTAAGTCCATTGGGCAGGGGCACTGCTGTTCATCATTATTCTCTACAGCCAATGCAGCACTGAGTCCAATGCTGTCACGTGCTCAGAAAATAATGGTTGAGCTATATTAGGCTTCTGTTTCAGTTTTGGAGAATGTCCTCTGGCTCTTTCAAATTAACTTCCTCTTTCAAGAGAACAGAGAGAGACACCTACAAAAAGATGAACAGCAAAGCATAGAAAGGTAGAAAGTGGGCCAGATGTGGTGGCTCACGCCTGTAATCCCAAAACTTTGGGAAGCTGAGGCGGGCAGATCACGAGGTCAGGAGTTTGAGACTAGCCTGACCAACATGGTGAAACCCCATCTCTACCAAAACTACAAAAATTAGTCAGGCGTGGTGGCACATGCCTGTAGTCCCAGCTACTCAGGAGGCTGAGGCAGGAGAATTGCTTGAACCCGGGAGGCAGGCGAAGTTGCAGTGAGTCGAGATTGTGCCACTGCACTCCAGCCTGGGCAATAGAGCAAGATTCCATCTCAAAAAAAAAAAAGAAAAAAAAAAGAAACTGCTAAAACTACAAGGTCAACACTTTATTCATTATATATTCATCTAGCACTCTGCAGTGGAGCAGAGTTACTCAAGGTGTGGTCCACAGATCAGCAGCTTCAGCTTTTCTGGGAACTTTTTCAAAATGCCAATTCCAGGACCTCACTCCAGATGTCCTAAATCTCAGTCTCTCATAGTTAGGCCCAGGAATCTGTACTTTAAACAGTGCTCCAAGGGATTCTTATGCACACCAAAGTTTGAAGCCACTGCAGTGGAGGACAGAGGGAATGTGAATTGAGCTCCTCTGCCAAAAATCAACCAAAGAGAAGAAAGGGCCCGACCGAGACCAGCATGGCTGTGCAAAGGATTAGCTCATATCCTGATCACCATTTTCGTTCTGCATACTTAGTAGCCGAGGAGTGAGAATGGATATCCCCTCCCCTGCACCTCCACCCAAATACAAAGACAGTAATGGAAGAGTGCATATCATTGTCATGACTTGCAAGTTGCCTTTATGGTGGGCTTTTTTAATTTGGTAGATTATGTTTTGCTCATTCATTTTCATTTGAAATGAGATTGATCCAGCCATTTCTGTAAGCAGAATGTTAAATGCAACCAATGTGGATGTTCTGATACAACTGTGGTTAAGGCACCCTGCATAGTCATCACAGTTCCAAACTGCCCAGCAAATCTTCAGCAAATCGCTAATGCTAGAGACAAGCGAAGGAAGCAATGGACATGTCGATAAATCATGAAACCTGTTTGTACCAAGTGAGAAACCCAGTCAATACTAAATCTCTGAAATGCTCTTTAACTCTGCCAAAAAGAATAGGCATGGTTAATTGCATTTCCAATTTAGGCAATTGTTAGAATTTGCCAGTTACACGTCATCATTCTATAGGATGAAAATAGACATAAAAAAAGCTTCCAGATTTTAAAAAAAAAGGTTAGCTTTCTACGTGTGTGAACTGATGGGGTGACCACAAAAGTCAATTCAGAGACAAAACAAAATTCCATTAGCATGGAAGAAACAAGTAGAGGCAGCCTGAACTTGAACTCATCATGGATAACCAAGGCCCAGTGGTCACTCTCAATGTTGTGATTCTTTTGTTGTACTTTGCATTGAATCGGAATGGGGTTAAGAAATTTTTTAAAAACTTTGATGAAACCTCTACTACTCTGATGGTGTATAGCTGTTATGAAATTTCAGTTGTTGATCATTTTGCAGGAAGCTAATATTTTAGCATTTCAAGAACAAGTGGGGAAGGAAAGAGATTGGACCTGAAGTTATAGAATCTCATTATTTAAAATGGCCTCATTTCACCCAGCTCAACTCCTCACCTTATAAATAAGGTTACGGAGGTTCAGGAAGAGGCGGTGGCTCACCTAAGTTCCCACAGTGCAAAGTGATGGAGCTATGACTTCCATGCGCCCAGGTCTAGGCTCTCCCATTAATAACTTCATTGTGACAGGTTTTACCTTTAAGATTTTTAATTTCAGGGCCAGAGTACGCTGCTGCCTTATTTTTCCAGCATCACCAGCTGCCCCAAAGGCAATTTTCCAGATGAATGAATCTAACCCTTCTTAAGTACCAGATTTTGAAGCACTTTGGGGATGAAAATATTTCTAAAATAAATTGCTCTTGCCCCACCACATTCCTAAACCAAATATTAAAGGTAGTTTGCTAGGCAGAGCACTGGCCCCCAAAGGTGTCCACATTCTAACATGTTAATATGTTAGTTTACATGGCACAAGGGACTTTGCGGATGCAATTAAGTTTAGGATCTTGAGATGGGAAGATTATCCTAGATTATCTGGGTAGGCCTGATGTAATCACAAGGGTGCTTGTAAGAGGGAAGTCAGGGTCAGAGAAGGAGATGGGATGACCTGACAATGGAAGCAGAGGTCAGAGTGATGTGGGTCACAGTATCTCTAGAGGGAGTAATGTTTAAACTGAGACTTTAAAGAGGAACAGAAATTTACCAGGCAAAGAGGAAGTTTTAAGGAAAATCATTAAAGGCAGAGGAAACAGCATGTGCGAAAGCCCAGTTTTTGGCAAGTGTGGGACTAATTCAAGGAATTAAAAGCTGATGGCCAGCATGGCTGAACTAAAAACCACAAGGGATCTACCAAAAAAAGTGAGGGCTAGATCCTGAATGGCTTTGTAGACCATCTGAAGAATGACGAACGTTATTCCAAGGGCAATGGAAAGCCAGTGGAGGGTCTTATTAGAGTTACATTTTGAAGTGGTCAGTTTGACATCGTGGTAAAGAGTCGACTGAAGAAGGTGCAGCAGCAGAAGTAGGTAGCAATCCTGAAGAGGGACAATGCGATGTACTTAAGGAAGGGTGAAGGCAATGGGCATGGAAACAGAGGATAGACCTGAGTGGTCTTCAAACATCATAATCAACAGACCTGTATGACTATTAGGTATGGAGAGTAGGGGAGAAGGTGGAATCACGGATGTCTGCAAAGGGCTTCCAGTTTAAACAACTAAACAGAGAGTAATGCTATTTCAAACAGAGGGGACACTGGAAGAGAAGAAGGTTTGGTCATTTGGGAGAGGGAAGATGATAAGGACAGCCAGCTTTGGACACACTGCTTTTAAAATCTAAAGGTCTATTAGAATAGTAATAGATCAATAAACTATTATATATGTTTATTATGGGATATTCTGCAGAGTTTATATGAAAAGATGTGGAATATTCTCCAGCAAAACACAGTGTAGAGTGTGCCACAATTGGGTTTTGTAAACATGTGTGTCTGCACTTATTCCCATAAATAAGCATAGAAACAGAAATATAAAGAAACTTTTTTTTTTTTTTTTTTTGAGAAGGAGTCTCACTGTGTCACCCAGGCTAAAGTGCAATGGTGTGATCTCAGCTCACTGCAAGCTCCGCCTCCCAGGTTCACGCCATTCTCCAGCCTCAGCCTCCAGAGTAGCTGGGACTACAGGCGCCCGCCACCACGCCCGGCTAATTTTTTGTATTTTTTAGTAGAGACGGGGTTTCACCGTGTTAGCCAGGATGGTCTCGATCTCCTGACCTCGTGATCCGCCTGCCTCGGCCTCCCAAAGTGCTGGGATTACAGGCGTGAGCCTCACCCAGCCTAAAAGAAACTGTTAGTAGTAAAAGTGATTATCTCTAAGGGAGATATTGTAGGACTCAGGGAGAGGAGGACTTACTTTTCACTGTATAGTTGTGTGTTGTTTGAATGTTTCAACACGTGTATGCATTGCTCATTTATCTAAGTTGAATTTCAAATACATATACAAATAGACTTAAAATACGTATCTTCCTAAAAGAATAGAAAGCATGAGATAATGCCAAGCAGGAGAAAACAATAGAAAGAAGTGGATTTAAGAGATAAATTAGAATTCCTGACAAAAAACCTTCAACAGGCTAAAGTGGGTTATTTTGTGCTGAAGAAAGATACCATGCAGAATGAATTTAGAATGATCATAAACATTTATGTATTAAATGTCATAAAATCATATAGAATTTTAAAACTAGAAATATGAAGATAAATTGATAACTAAAATCAGAAAAAGAAACAAAATGTCTGCTTTTAACAACTGTAGAATAAAACAACAGGAAATAAACTGCATAATAAAGTCTTGTTTTAGTTATAGAAAATAATAAACTTCATAATTTACAGTCTATTCATCCTTTTCAAATAAATGTGGAACATTTATTTTAAGATTATGTTCTAGGGCAAAATGAAAATTAAATAAATTTCCCAAAGTTAAAACAATATTTACTCTTCTCCCAAAACGATGCAAAATTGGAGTTAATATTTAGAAAGCAATTGCTTGGAAAATTTTTTTTAATCTATGAGAGAAAATCTAAATTGCAATTGTATATTGTTTGGATAATAACAGCAGGGACACAGTTATTTTCCATATCATATATTCCATATCAAAACTAGTGACTAAAAGAATATGGAGATATATTCCATATCAAAACTAGTGACTAAAACTGTGCTTGTAATATCTATAGCCTTAAGTGTTGTTATTTACAGAAAGAAATAATTTAAACAATGACTAAACCTCCCTCAAGATCAAAAAGCTAAAAATGAAAGCAAGAAAATAAATCCAAGGCAGCATTTACCAAATTGTTTTTTATGAAATATGAGTCAAAGCTCCCGTGTTCACTAGCAACACACACTTTGAGAAGGAAGGGGGAGTTCCATCCTTACGCAGTTGGTAAAACTTTTAATAGTATAACCTCTCTTGGTTAATCACCAGTATAGGTTAGCATGTTACAACTCTGAAAATTTTTACATTTAACTTTATTTAATAGCACAATAACAGCATCATCTTACCTAAGAAGTAAAAATATAAATTGGGATAATTTTTGTTGAGATAAATTTGTCAATATGTATCTAAAGACTTACAATTTCATGATAATTTGACTCCTGGGAAAATACTCTAAAGACGTGTGCAAATACCTAGCCAAAAGGACTTTATAAGCATTATTTTAGTGGTAGAAATTGAAATACTCTAAATGTACAGAAATCAGAGATCAAGGACTGATTTATGGATCAGCTGTTCAGTAGCATCCTATGTATCCATTCACATTCCTTTTGATACATTTATAATTAGGTGGGAAAAGCAGCTTACAAACTCAACACACAAAGTCTCATTCTTGTAAAATGCCTTATTTAAAAAAAATTAAAACGTCATGAAAAAGATACAGAGATTTCCAAGTAAACCTGTCCTTGATATCAGGAGAATTAGTTCCTAGTTCTAACTATATTTAGCTGCATTATATGGGAAAAATAAAGTCCCTAGATCCAACCCCTTATCTGAGGGGATTGACTTAAACTATCCCTCCCAGATTTAATAAAATATTACAATTCTTGTATTCTATGAATTCAAAATGATAAAATCATTTTCGGTACATACTATAATAAATTCAGATCTCAGTATTTATATTTTGTGAATGACTGCTTTGTGCAAATCACTATGGTATAGACCAGATCAGGGGGGTGCCTACTTTTCAAAGATCTGATGCAATCCCCCAACTCAAAGGTATACTAACGGTCAACTTACAGTAAACCAACTTTTATCTTATGGCAAAGGAAGAAAGCAGAGTGTTAATCCATTCAACCATCTACACTTGAAGACAGTTGAAGAAATATTATTTTGCAGATAAAGCCAAGATGAAACATGAGTTCTGGTTATTTCACATCATAGTTTTAATAGCTCTGTTTGTTCCATTCCTCAACTTTCAGGTTAGTTTAATTCAGCCAAATCTAATTATTGCAGCTTTCCAAGGTACATGGTATATTTATTTAGCAATCTGTGTAACAATCTTCTCCCTTAAAAAATGATTTCTTATCTTTCTCTAAGAATAAGAATTTCGAGAGTTTTAATTAAAGCTTCTAAAATTTAAAAGATATCTGATTCTTTGTTCTCTTTCATTCTTTTTGTTTTTTTTTCTCATTTCCCTTATTTCTGAGCTCGAAATTCAATTTTCAGTTTCTAGTGTCTCAATGTTCTGCAGTGATCAGATAATTTTCCCTTGAATTTATAAGTGTGATGTAAATTACACTGTGTTTCAGGCAGTGGAGACGTTATTTTCTCTAGGCTGACTAACTCCTTGTGGGGAACTGGGAGTCAGGAGTCTTGACTTGAGTACCCGCCTTGCCACTGTGTACAAGTCACTTCCCATCCCAGGTTTCAATATTCATATCTGTTATTTAACACAAAAGGGAGGCAGAAAAGTAGGGAGCTTGTTCTAAGGATTGCAAACCGGAAGTGCCTTCAAGAACCGAACCAAACAGGTGACACAACGCAGTGGCCAGGTGAGGACTGGAACAAAATGGAAGAGTTCCTGCCCCATCATAAGGCAGTGGCTGTTATTTAGCATCCACCAAAAACCCAATGTTGCATCTGATTTTTTCCAGGGATACTAGACATATACGTTTTCATATGTAATAGCTCAGTTATTAAGCAACGACTACTAATTCTGTATTTTAACAAGGTGTAAGCCAGACAAAATATCTATAGCCCAAATTCAACCAGTAGGACAACAGTTGGCTGCTAATCTGTAAAACTATAAGGGCCATTCTAGTTTGAAGTTTCTATCTCTATGGACTTGTCTACAGTTTATTCATTCACAGGATGGTATGCCTTTCATCATACCCATAACAAACCTGCAGGACGCACCTACTGTACACAGAGCATATGCTTATCATTGGAGATGTGACACAAGCACATTTCTCCATCTGAACCCTAACGGACACAGATACCAAAGAACCTTCAGCTTTTTGGGGACAATCTGAGGGACAAGGGCATATCTCCTCCTTTTTGTAGACTTCCCTGACTCATCTCCCACGATGACCCAATACCAAGCAGAAGAAATTCCTCTCTCTTTTACCTTCTTGCAGCCAGCATCATGCTCAAAACTCTCTAAGTAATATATTACACATCATCCTTATTTCAGTGTCCATCATTCTCCACAGTCTGTGAGCGCACTGAGGGCAAGAACGTGCCTTTTTCTAGTTTGTACCCCTAACATTTAGTTTAGGGCCTGTTACACCATGTACATACAAATGAATTGGCCCAGTAGGAACACAGAACACACGCAGTCTGGGTTTGATGCCTGTTTTAAAATGTATGTTTTATTATCATTTGGGTCTGGTGAGGCCACCAGAGCAAGAGACAACAGGCATTGAAAAGACAGTTTATTCTCACAGAGCGCAAGAGGAGGGGGCATACTGTGTCACAGGGGGCACACAGAGAAGCACCAGGGGTGGTCAGGAGGCAGAAGGGGTGAGGGGAAATGTGGACCACAGCCTATTGTGGTTTCCATGGGAAGGAATGAATGAGGCAGGGTAAGCAGACTTAGGGTTGACTGGCTCGAATAATTTCATCAGGCCCTGGAGCATAGCGTCTGTCTCTAGTTGTCTGGTACCTGGTCTTTGAGTGATGAGGACAAGGAAATAGTGAAGGTACTGGGGTGCTTATGGCAGGGGAATACAGACCCTAGTATAAGAGTTCAATGAAGGAGGTGGTTGGGGTATGGGCTCCGGATTGGTCAGTTTGCTTATGAAAGGAGTGCTCATAGGCTTGTTGTTTGCTATTTCTAGGAATTAGCTACCCCTAGAAGGCATAGTTCCTCCAGGGTCAGCAAGGTCCCAAGATGAGAAAGCATCAAAGCTACAAAATAAAAAGACACGATCAATACCATGCCCAGTATGAGGAGCTTCCCTAGAGAAATGCAGAGTTCAGAGGTAGATCCTTTCCTCAAGCTGGAAGAGGAAAAGGGTGGCTTTGTGCAAGGGATGCGGTGAAACCCAGCATACATCTTTGAGACTACAAGAGTTTGTAAGCGAAGGGAGGAAAAGCTTTCCTCTCCTTGGCTCTGCACTCTCCAACCAGAGTTCAGAAGGACCAACATCATTTAGGTCTAACCAAGATGCAACCGGGGTCTCCTCTTCCCTCAAAAAATACCAAAATTGTTATGAAACCTCAAATTCTAAAGCTCATGTCAGCTCAGGAAGCTCGGAGTCTCAGGACCACCTCTGCCTCTGGGCTTCAGCCTATTTCCCACGTGCTTTCTATGGTTGTCACCATGTTGACCCAGATGTGACACTGGCTCCTCCTCTAGTTTTCACACATCCTGCAGGCGACAACAGCTGCCTCGCACAAGACACAAGTCAATGTGGCAAAGGACTGTGAGACAGACAGAAGAAGTCCTCACATGGCAACGACAGAAACAAACCACAAATCACGTTGCAAGTCTTTCTACTGTCACCTCCTCCGAAACCCTTTGTTATTCACCCGTCAAACCCACGTGAACACAAAAACCATGTATAACTCCAGCCATTTCCTTACCTCATAAGTAATTTTCCTGGGCCCCTCCCTCCCCGTTCTTTATGCTTCTTCCATCAGTCCATGCCAATCCACCCCTTCACCCAGAAACAGGGTCCAAAATTCAGTTCCTTCTTCTTGCCTTTGCCCTCTTCTGTGGCTTGGGTTATTGGCAGCTCCCAAGAGCTCAAAGTCTCTCTCCCTTATCCCAGTGCCTCATCATAGACTTCACTACACACAGGCAGCTTCCTCCTTAAGATGAATCTCCCATCTGCAGTGCTTCCCACCATATGACAGAGCCTATGGAAAATCTGACTAATGCCCCAGGACAGGCCCCACAAAGGCTATCGTCAACACGGTCCTCACTTTTTTTTTTTTTTTTGAGACAGAGTGTCACTCTGTCACCCAGGCTGGAGTGCAGTGGCGCATTCTTGGCTCACTTCAACCTCCGCCTCACGGGTACAAGCGATTCTCCTGCCCCAGCTTCCCGAGTAGCTGAGACTATAGGCACCAGCTACCACGCCCAGCTAATTTTTGTATTTTTAGTAGAGACAGGGTTTCACCATGTTGGTCAGGCTGGTCTTGAACTCCTGACCTCGTGATCCGCTTGCTTTGGCCTTCCAAAGTGCTGGGATTACAGGCGTGAGCCACAACACCCGGCCAGTCCTCACATTTCAAAGTTGAGGACCTCAAAAGGGAGCGAACTTACTAGGACTTGTCCTCACCCTGGGCACCTTGGTACAGGACACCAAAGGATCTTTTGCAGGACTGGGGATTTTTTCTCTCCATTTTTCAGAGATATTTGGTAGCATAGCTATGAGGCTATGAAATCACCTCTTTTCTACATTTCCTTAGTTTTCTTGAGACCGATTGGGAGAAGAGAAACTAGATTTCCTAAGACTGATCCAAAGAAGGGAAGATTTAAGGGAATTTGGAATAAATTTGGCTCTCCTTTTTGCTTTTCTGCGGGAATGAAAATAACATCTAAAAATCTCATCATTAGGCACTGGCTGATCAGGAAAGCATCTCTTCAGCTTCGGGCCCAAATGTGACCCCAGTGGCAGCCTCAGAGAGGTGAGGGCAGGGTGAGGGCAGGATGAGGAGTCTCACTATGAAGAATGGTTCACTTTGCACTTAACACTGAGCAGAGGCTCTTTGCTGTGGGGCCTCACACTTTAACATAAATGTCTGCATTCACTAGCCCAATTCAATTTTATTTTACTTCATTTTCTAAGCTAATGTAGTATTTTCAATATGATTCCACAGTGTCTTGGCATAGGAAAGACCATGATGTCATATTTGAACTATTCATTATGATTCTAATATGTGAGGGGAAGTGGCCAATTCTCTTCTGGCTCCGTGTGTGATGGCAGTATGAACATTCTCTATCCTTTTACGAGTAAATCAAGTCAGAAAAGACCTATAATTTCCCCCAAAGAGGGCTGAAGCAGACAGCCCACATAAATTCTGAGTTGCTTACTTGCAGGATATATAAACTTGGTAATTATTTTTAGGACTAGATAACTGTGATCAAATTAAAGTGCTCTATTGATAGAAAAGAGGGAAAGAGAGGGAATAAAACAAAGAAATAAGAAAATTGAATCAGTCTCAGGAATTTCATTCTCAGGAGGGAGAGAGGAAAGAGAAGAGATGCCAGAAAAATAGAGTTGCAGGGATAACTTCCATGCGGGTTCCTTCACAAATGGGCCCCTAGAGTCATAGTCCATTAGTCCTGGAAGAAACTGAGGCCCAGAGATAGGCGGTAACTTGGCCAAATCTCTTGAGGGAGTTATGCCAGAATGAGAATAAGGAAATAAGTCTTCTGCCCTCAAGTATAGTGGTCAACTGTTCACCTTTCACTTGAGCCCTCAGAGTTTCAGGAGCGTGTGTATGAGTGGGGTTCACCTGAGTCATTTTTGCTATTCCTTAACTTAGAGAACTGCCTTTCAGACACCAGCTTTTTGCCACTACCTAAAACAACCCCAAAAGGGCATTTTCCCTCAAGAGCAATGAGGGGGTGGGAAGAGGAGGATGCAGGACCAGAAGGTCAGGATCCTGTCTCAGGCCTTCCTGCCCTGTGTTCAATGAGTCTTGGTCTTCTTTTCAAGATAAATGAGCCCCTCACACCTGCCCAGCCTGTCTCACAGAGTTAAGTGAGAATCAAGGAAGGAGGGGGCAGGAGAAGTGTTCCATCAATTGCATAAAGTGTAAAACAAATGTTTGGGGTTGACAGTGTTGCTAGTGAGATTAAGAACATGATAGATGCCAGGCACAGCAGCTCATGTCCATAATCCCAGCACTTTGAGAGGCCAAAGCAGGTGGATCACTTGAGCCCAGGAGTTCAAGACTAGCCTGGGCAACATGGCAAAACCCCACCTCTACAAAAAATACAAAAAGTATTCAGGCATATGGGCATACCCCTGTAGTCTCAGATACTCAGGAGGCTGAGCTGGGAGGGTTGCTTGAGCCTGGGAGGCAGAGGTTGCAGTGAGCTGAGATTGCACCACTGCACTCCAGCCTGGGTGACAGAGTGAGACACTGTTTCAAAAAAAATAAGAAAGAACATGATAGAGAGGGTCTTCCAAAAAGAGTATAGGAGCCACGGCCTTAGGCTTTGGGGTCATTTGTGCATGCAGCTTGGCAGCTGGAAGAAGAGGGCCCAGAGACCAGATCCTTCCCCAAGAAAGGGAGCCAGAGGAGCCAGAGGCTCGGACGAATGGATAAGGCTGCTAGGACAATGTTCTCCAACAAGATGCTGGAACCTCCCTGAGGAGGGTGCTATATCCTGCATGCCTAGCTTCAGGTCATGCCCAGCCCCAGGTAAACCAGAGTTACAGCTCACTCAGTTCCAAAATTATCACAAAAGGTGAGACTCACAGAGCCAACTTTTCCTTTGAAAATCCCAACTCAATGAATCTAACACATCCTCTTTGTTTTGTATTGGATTGGAACAGATTGAGGTCTCCCTGGTTGGGCCGCTGAAGAAGTAATTTGGCCTATACTGTGCAAAAAGTATGCAAGTTTAAAGACTAGAATCATACTCAAAGGGCTGAGATGGTCCAAGTCTGGGAGGCTGTGGAGATTAGGTGGGCTGAGAAGGCAGACAAGTCATGTTCTCCAGCTATGCAAACTCAGGAGAATAAGCTCACTGAAGAGAACAACGGGCGAAGACCCCACTACCATTTTAATGTTCCCTTTCTCTCTCCTCTCCTTTCCACTTGGGTTTATAGCAGAGTTACTTATGTGAAAGATGCCTTCTATGAAAACGTGTTGGAGCCCTGACCCAGTCTCACTGGATCATTCCCCTCAACTTTGTAGCCTGTTGAGATCTCTCCAGCACCAAGATGTGTGTTATGAGCTGGCTCAGTCAGTGGGCTCAGGAATGGTCATGGGGAGCCCCTAACTGGGCTCTCTAGGGATCCTTTTCACCTTTATGGGTAGGTGTTCTAGACAGCCAGGTGGAAGCCTTCTGCCATCAGTCTTTCCATAAGTCCCAAGGCAGAACTTGTATCAGACCCCCAGCAAAGTACTCAGAGGGATGTGTTGAAAATTACTCTAGTTAAAGAACCCCCTATCTCTTTCCCTGGCTCTTCAGACAAGAGCTGTCTGAGCTGAACAAATCCCATCCCCTCCAGGGCTCTATAAATAAGAACAATTGGACTAGATGATCTCTAGCCATCTCCTGTCTCCCATCTGGACCAACAATGTGTTGATATAGGCTGGAACTAGACAATTTCAAAAAGAGGCAACAGGCTGGACACATCCATCTTCAGCTACACATGACTACAACCCTGAAATTTTTTAAGCATCAATTTGGAGCCCCAGATTGAAAAACATGGGAATAAGATGTGACTGAGATCCAAGGCCCTAAGTGAGGGGCTAGGAGTGCTGCTTTACTACTGAATACAAGTCCCTTGTTTATTGCATTTAACAAATATTTAGGTAGCACCTACTACTGCCAGACATTGTTCTGAGATTTACAAATATCAATTCACTTAGGCCTGGTTCCAACCCCATGAGGAAGGCACTATGATTATGTCCATTTTACTGATGAGAAAACTAAGGCACAAAGAAATTAAGGAACTTGCCTGAGATCATACTGTTAGTAAGTAAGGACTCATTAGCATATTTGCTCTGACATTAATATGACTAATGTTCACATCAAGGGGCTGGAGAGTGGGAAGCAAAATCCCCGGGGAGGAAAAAGGAAGAAAGCTGGGAAATCCACCCAGGCTCTTTGACCTGCAAGCCCATTCTTGAGCCACCTCCACTGCATTTCTTATCATTTGCTGTATTGGTCCGTTTTCACACTGTTAGTAAAGACATACCCAAGACTGGGTAATTTATAAAGAAAAAGTAGTTTAATGAACTCACAGTTCCATATGGCTGAGGTCTCACAATCATGGCAGAAGACGAAGGAAGAGCAAAGAGACGTCTTACATGGTGGCAGGCAACAGTGGAGTCATGCAGGGGAACTCTTCTTAATAAAACCATCAGATCTCGTGAGATGTATTCACTATCACAAGATCAGCACAGGAAAGACCCGCCCCCATGAGCCGATTACCTCCCACTGGATCCCTTCCACGACACATGGGAATTGTGGAAGCTACAATTCAAGATGAAATTTGGGTGGTGACACAGCCAAACCATATCATTTGCTTTTTCAAAAGATATGAATGGGCATTTTTCCAACTACGAAATGGAGGTCTGGATGGGGTTTCCATGAAATGTTGCAGGCAGCTGGCTATAAGGCTTCCCGGAGCCTTTACTCTGCTGCTCTGCATTATGATCTCCAAGGCAGCATGATGGAATGCAACTTCTCCCAAACATGTTTGCCAAAGGAGCCCCTCCCTTTTTTTTTTTCAAGGAATATCTCAAAAAACTAAAATTCTAACATACGCACTTTGGAAATATCAGCTTGATCAGTGGAAAGTTGATCGTGTTCATTACATCTGCCAAATGTAATAATCAGAACCCTATGTCCCATGGGCCTCCTCTGTCTTTCACAGGACTAACTTGCCACTTACTGCTACAGTTATGGGCATTCTTGTCTTACCTCCACTACAAATCAAATGGGGAACTTCTCATGGCAGAGCCTTGTCTGGTTTATCTCAGTAGTCTTCACAGTATTGAACACAGTTTCTTGCACACAGCAAGCACTCAGATGTTTGCTGAACAAATAAGTGAGCATGTGTAAACTATTTCCATATGAGAACCACAGAAACTGGTTTCCCAAGGAAGGAAAGAGAAAGCCATAAAATTAAAATTCAAGGCATCCATTTTTGGTTGGGTTTTTATGGTGATGATGGTGTGAAAAAAAGCAAAGATCATGAGAAAAATCTTATTCTCACATAAGAATTAGTTTGTTGGTAACAGAAAGGGTAGGGGAGCAGGGAAATAAGTTGCAGGATTACCGAACATTTAAAACTGCAGGGGACATTCCACCTCATACCCATTAGAATGGCACCTAGTTTTTAAAAGTACGAAAATAACAAGGATGTGGAAACATTGGGCCCCTGTGCACTGTTGGTGGGAATGTAAAATGGTGCAGCTGCTATGTAAACAACATAATGGTTCCTCAAAAAACAAAAAATAGAACTACCATATGATCCAGCAATTCTACTTCTGAGTATCTACCCAAAAGAATTGGAAGCAAGGTCTTGAAGAGATATTTGGACACTCATGTTCAGAGCAGCATTATTCACAATAGCCAAAAGGTGAAAGCAAGCCAAGTGCCCATGGACAGATGAATGAATACACAATATGTGGTATATACCTACAATGGAATATTATTCAGCCTTTAAAAAGAAGGAAATTCTGTCCCAGGCTACAACATGGATGAACTTTGAGGTCACTGTTCTAAGAAAAATAAGCCAGTCACAAAAAGATAACAAAATGTGTTATATACCTACAATGGAATATTATTCAGCCTTAAAAAGGAAGGAAATTCTGACCCAGGCTACAACATGGATGAACCTTGAGGTCATTGTTCTAAGTGAAATAAGCCAGTCACAAAAAGAGAAATACTGTATGTTTCCACCATATGAGGTATCTAGAATCTAAATTCACAGAAACAGCAAGCAGAATGGTGATTACCAAGGACTGTAGGGAGAGAGAAAATGGAAAGTTGTTTAAGGATATAGATTTTCAGTTTGTAAGATAAAAAGAGTTCTACAGATGGGTGGTGGTGTGGTTGCACAACAACGTGAATGTACTTAAAACGACTAAACTGTACACTTAAAAATGGTTATGCTCTAACCATTTTTATATATTGTGTAAATTTTATGTGTGTTTTACCACAATTAGAAAAAAAACTGAAGAAGACATTGAAGATACACCAACCAGAGCCTAACATTGATATGCGAGCAAACTGAGGCCCAGAGGTACATAATGACATCCTCTAAGCCAAAATATATCAATCTTCAGACTTTAATAATACTATCAAGGCTATAAATACAAGGGATCATTCACAGGTGACCTCCAGAAATTATTTTTAAGAAAATGTTATTATAAGTAAGCAGGAAAAAAATCAATCCCTTATTAGATTCTCCTCCAATTTGGAAAGAGCATAGGACAATCTGATTTGGAAGGGCCAAAGGGCAATATTGCCATCAGTTCTGAGCTCCCGAGCAAGCCCTCCCTCTTACATCACCCTGCTCCTATCCAGTTGCCTGGTCCAAGCTCAGATCCAGGCTGTCTAATGGGAGAGTGACCCGCAACTGCCAAGCCCGAGTTTCCATCCGTCTGTACCAAGCCCACAGAGTGACGAGGCTCACAGTAGAGAAACTGCAATTTCCATTGCTCGCCAATCAGCCAGCCTGCTTGGTGGATCATTTTTCAGCAATCTTGGTAAGAATTGAAGTAAAAATCATGTTTTTTACTCAGATCTAAACCAAATTGTCAGCAGCTGACTTCCTCAGCCTAGGCACAAAACTGCAGTCATGAAATGTGAGAAGGAACAAAGGCCATCGAGCCAGAATATTTTCTGGTTTCCTGTGAAATATCATGTTACCTTCCCATGTCCTGGGGTTCTCTCAGTGCTGATGGAAAGAAACCTCAGTCAGCTATGGGCAGGGGGCAAAGAGATGCCACTGAAATTCAGGGCCCGGGCTAAACCCTACACACGGGTGAGCTCAGGGGACAGTTGTCTTTAAGTTCTTCTGAGGTCAAGGATATTTGTTTGTGGATATGAATGTTTGCTGAGAACTGGCTGCAAGAAAGTGGGATGTTCCCACACACTGCTCTTTAGAAAAAGTCATGATTGATGCTGCACTAGCCCTGCTCAATTTAACCAGATATGCCAACAACACCTGTCTGAAAAATTTGGTCATGCTCTTCTTGCTTAATGGAGGACAGACTTACATATAGACATTTGGACCAAAATAGAGGGAAGGTACCAGAACACAAGACAAAAAAAACTATGTCTTTGTAAGCAAGAATAAACAGCAAGTCGAATTTCTAATGTCTTTCATACAGAAGGGGCAATGTTTACTTTTTTTTCCCTTTTCTTTTCTTTCTTTTTTTTTTTTTTTTTTTTTGGAGACAGAGTCTCACTTGGTTGCCCGAGTGCTGCTGGAGTGCAGTGGTATGGATCACAGCTCACTGCAGCCTTGACCTTCTGAGCTCAAGCAATCCTCCCACCTCAGCCTCCTGAGTAGCTGGGACTAGAGGCTCAAGCCACCACACCAGGCTAACTTTTTGTAATTTTTGTAGAGATGGGGTTTCACTACATTGCCCAGGCTGGTCTCGAATTCCTAGAGTGAAACTCCTGAGCTCAAGCGATCCTCCCACCTCGGCCTCCCAAAGTGCTGAGATTATGGGTGTGAGCCACCACACCCAGCCAATACTTATATTTTTTAAACACTTTTATTCATCTTATCTCATCTGACTCTCACAGTATGAATTGGTGCTAGTTGTAGTAGTAGCATTAGCAGTAGTTGCACCGTTGTACAAACACTGAGGCCCAGAGAGGTTAAAGAAACTGGCCAAGGTCATACAGGGGATGACAAAGTCAAGATTAGGAGAAGGTTGAACCCTCATTCTGTCCAATTCTCCCTATACTGGGAAGATTCAGTTGTACGTATATGACTTCCAGACAGTATTTATTAGATTCAATGGATCTTAAAGATGACATTCAAGTGCCTTGCTACAGAGAAAAAATTACCCAAAGCGTGATTTCAGTCAGTGAATCCATTCTAAAAGAAGTTCTTTATGGCTCCCCGGGCTCGCTGCCTGCAGGGTGAGAGGGCTGCCAGGTGCACGATGGTTCCTGGAGTACAACCCCATGACAGAAGCAGACAGGTGCTGGGGCACAGGTTTCCTGCAACACAGGAGTCCATTCAGGTTCATTGTAAACAACTTTTAATAGCAGAGTGTGGCTATTAATAGCTTCTATTGCCATGTCCAGAAATCAAGTAAAAATTTATAGAGTAAACCAGCAACATGCAGTTTGGCCATTTCCATATTAATTTTCAAAACCAGCATTTAATCTATCCCCAACCTTCTCTCACACTAAACTAGAAAACAGTCTTCCAGGGCAGAATCCTGTAACTGACAGGGCTGTGGCACACACACAGCTCTGGCTCTGACCGCAGGTGTTGGCTTCTGCCATCTCTTGCTCAGCTTCATTCCAGGTGTTAAAAGCCTTTGCCTACCACAGCCTCAGCACAGCACAGCTCCTGAGCTCATCTTGACCAGGCAAAAGGGTACGTTTGGGAGCCTTGGCTTCTCCTGTGAATGTGGTGTACAAAGAGTTTTGCTGCTACAGATCTGTGCACGCAAACGGGTATTCATGCATGTATGCACACACACACACACACACACAGAGCACACACTTCAAAGAAGAGGGGCCTGGAACGTATTAAGTATCAACTAAGACACAAAAATGAGAATCCATTTCCTTCCCCAGGATGAGGGTTGAACTTTGAATAGAAGGAATGAAGCAATTTTAAAACCTCTTAGACAGGGGCTGTTTTCCCAGCTAATTCCACTACGCTGGTAAACTTCGGGTTTGCTAAGCATATTGATTTAGACCTGCCCATGAGGTATTATCATAGTCACATTTCACTGAAGCTAAGAAACCACAACTTGCTAACAAATATAATTAGTTTTATATTTGTTTAAGAAAAAAAGAGTCACTTCCAATTAAACTATGGCAGGCTATCAGTGGTAAGAGGTCACTCAATTTAAGAAATGTTAAAATGTAGAAAAAGTGACTTAGAAATGATAAAATAGTGTATGTTCATTTTGGTCACACAACTAGCATGAATCTCAGATGTAAATCCAATTGTATCTGACTCCAAAGTCAAGATTCTTTCTACAAAACAACAGTATCACGTTCCAGCCTCCCAATCCAACCTTTCAGATGACAAGGCCTTCCAGAACCAACTAGATTCCCTAGAACATTATGTATTAAAGAGTTGATTCCAGGCTGGACATATTGGTTCACGCTTGTAATCCCAGCACTTTGGGAAGCCGAGGTGGAAGGATCACGAACCCAGGATTTCGAGACCAGCCTGGGCAGCATAAGGAGACCTGTCTCTACCAAAAAATATACATATACTTTTCAATTAGCCAGGCATGGTGGCACATGCCTGTGGTCCCAGGTACCTGGGAGGCTGAGGTGGGAGGATCTCTTGAGTCCAGAAAGTCAAGGCTGTAGTAAGTTGTGATCACACAACTGCACTTCAGCCTGGGAGACAGAGTGGGACTCTGTCTCAAAAATAATATCACTAATAATAATTCAATGAAGAGCTAATTCCCACCACAGGGAGCAGCAGCATAGCAAGGCAGCTCCCCCAGCCCAGGGCTGGGTTTGTCTCCTCCTGACTGCCCATTTCACCAAGGTCCTCTGTGCCTTATGCCTGGGCCTGCCCAACATGACAGCAGGTCTACAGGTCTGCGCTCTAATGCAGTGATGCCAAAGAGATGCTGGAGGCATTTTTTTTCTAGCACAGTAGACCAGGGTTCTTAATAGAATAGACCAGCGCTGTTGATATTGGGCTGGATAACTCTCTGTTGTAGGGGCTATCCCATGAACCTTAGAGCATCCCTGGCCTCTACCCAGTAGATATCTGTAGCACTCTCTGAGTTGTGACAACCAAAAATGTCCTGAGACACTGCCAAACCTCCCCTGGGATGGGGTAAGAAGCAAAATTGCCCCCAGTTGAGAACCACCAAAATAGACCATTTTGGGCCTCTTTTTTACTTAAAAAAAAAAAGTCAAGCCATTTCCTTAGCACCCCACCTTAGCCTCCAGAGTGCTGCCTTGCATCTATCTCCACCACAAATGGGAAAAGGAGAGGAAGCAGAACACAGATTCCAACTACGCTGCAGGTCCACAGTGATTACATTTGCCAATCAGGAAAAGTACAGTGTGAAAAGAAGGTTCCTCCCCCTTCCCATTAACTATTTTGTCAATGGCACATTATTTGTTAAATAGATCATATTCTAGTTGTAACCCACTTCTGAAGGATCAAGCTGCAATTTTACAGCTTGACACCAATAGTCTCTAAAGACAATCTGGCTTTTATTTCTTGAACATAATCTTCACAAATGCAATTAGTGAAGTAACATACAACCCAGTTGTTAGAATAACTGACAAAGAGTCTACAACTGGGTAACATTCCCACTTGTGTGGATTCAAGTTCAAATGTTTTCTCCTTTCCGTTTCCACCTTAGTAACTCATTTAATCTAAACAATGGCTGGATCTAAATTAGAAGCAGAGTCTAATGGCTTGATTTAGATTCTAGGGAGTTAATTCTCTTAGGATGGGATTTGAGATATCAGCTGAGTTCTCATTTACTCCCTTTCAAGCAAATCCCTGAAGCATGAATTTAGGAGTAAGTTTAAATAGTCTTTGTATAATTTTAATGGTTATTAGTTTGTATTATCTTTCTTGTCAACTGCCTAGAGGCACACAGTGTGTTGTTATAACGCTAAGGTAAGGCTAAACTAGCCCACTAGATACTAAGGATGAAGGTGCAGTCAGCAAAATAGAGCCTTATCCTGGTTTGCATATACTGTATTTTTTCTCCATGGCTATGCAAATTACCCCAGAAGGAAACTGCATCTGAGATCCAAGAAAACTAAGAAAATAAATATTTAGTCAGGGCGAAAGGGTTTCTATTAAACAGGAAAAAAAAATTTTGACCCATGTATTCCTTCATTCATCCATTTATTTCTTTTTCATTTTAAAAATATATATTAAGCCCCTACTCTGGGTCAGATGCTATGCTAGGAACAGGGGAGATAATAGAAGCAATTTAAACAAGCCCTCAGAAAGCCTATACTTGGAATCAGACAAATAAGTATTATTGAATGGGGTGATTATTGTGATGTGAAAAATATATGTAATATGGGCAATAAAAAGCATTAACTTAATCTAGGAGAGGTGGGGGAGAAGGGCGGGAAGATTTTCTGGAGGAAGTGATCTTTAGGTTGAAATTGGAAGAGAGAGTGACTCCTTCCATCACAGCTAAGGGATGGGGCAAAGGAAACGTGTTCTAGTCAGACAGAACCTTGAACTACAGATTGTTAGAGGTTGACAAGACCTGAGAAACTTCCTGATGCAATGTCTTTATTTTAAGTATAGGAAACTGAGGTTCTCTGGACACCACTAGCAGAGCTAGGACTAAACCAACTCTTCTGACTCATCCTCCACGGTTTACTCCATTACACCAGGCTTCCACGTGGCTAGAATGACTGGCCAGCTTATTTCTCCTGATTTGTGCATTCTTATTGCCATTTAAGTATGTATAGACAACCTCTATGTGCTCCTGATGATAAAAATGTGAGTTAGTCACACACTCTGCCTTCAAGAACCTTATAGTAAGTCACTGTGATAAAAGATAAAAATTGCTTAATGCAAAAGGAGAGGTTCTGGTGAGGATGTGAGGCACCCCTTAGTTCAAGCTGCTAGAAAAAATTACTGTAGACAGGGTGGCTGAAACAACAAATAGTTATTTCTCACCATTCTGGAGGCTGGGAAGTCCAAGATGCCAGCAGAGCTAGTGTCTGGTGACAGCCCTCTTCTTTGCAGATGGCTGTCTTCTTGCTGTTCCCTCACTTGGTAGAGACGAGAGAGAAAGCGGGAGAGAGAGGGGGCGGGAGAGAGAGGGGGCGGGAGAGAGAGGGGGCGGGAGAGAGAGGGGGCGGGGGAGAGAGAGCGAGCTCTCATGTTTTTTTAAAAGACACTATCCCATTCATTAGGGCTCCACATTCATGGCATTAATTACCTCCCAAAGGCCCCACCTCTTTTTTTTTTTTTTTTCCAATGGAGTCTCGCTCTGTCGCCCAGGCTGGAGTGCAGTGGCGCCATCTCGGCTCACTGCAAGCTCCGCCTCCCGGGTTTACGCCATTCTCCTACCTCAGCCTCCCGAGTAGCTGGGACTACAGGCGCCCGCCACCGCGTCCGGCTAATTTTTTGTATTTTTAGTAGAGACGGGGTTTCACCGTGTTAGCTAGGATGGTCTTGATCTCCTGACTTCGTGATCTGCCCGCCTCGGCCTCCCAAAGTGCTGGGATTACAGGCGTGAGCCACCGTGCCCAGCCCAGGCCCCATCTCTTAATATCATCAGGTTGGGGGTTTGGATTTCAACATATTACTTTGCGGGGGGACACAAACATTCAGTTTATAACAAACAGGAATTCTCATTCATTGCTGCTGGGAATGCAAAATGGTGTAGTGACTTTGGAAGACAATTTGACGTTTTTTTACTCTTACCATAAAATTCAGCAATCATATCTTTGGTATTTACCCAAAGGAGTTGAAAACTCTTGCCCACACAAAACCTGCACATGGATGTTTATAGCAGTGTTATTTATAATTCTCAAAACTTGGAAGCAGTCAAGATGCCCTTCAGTAGGTGAATGGATGAATAAACTATGGTACATCCAGACAATGGAATATTCGTCAGTGCTAAAAAGAAATGAATCATGAAAAGATATGGAGGAACCTCAAATGCATATTACTAAGTGAAAGAAGCCTGTCTGAAAAGGCTACATACTGTATGATTCCAACTATATGACATTCTGGAAAAGACAAAACTATGGAGACAGTAAAAGGGTCAGAGGTTGCCAGGGGTTGAAGAGAGGAGGGATTTTATGGGAGACTATTTCGTACAATACTATAATGGTAGATACAAGTCATTTACGTTTGTCCAAACCCATAGAATATAGAGCATCCAGAGTAAACTCTAATGTAAACTGTGGGTGACAATGTTGTGTCAGTGCAGGTTCATCAGTTGTAACAAATGTACCACTCTAGTGCAAGATTTTGATAGTGGGGGAAGCCATGCGTGTGTGACATATGTGAGGGGTGACAGTATATGGGAATTCTCTACTTTCCACTTGATTTTGCCATAAACCTAAAACTACTCTAAAATAGAGTTGATTGAAAATTGAAAAATAAAAGAGAGGTGCAGATATGAAGGCCGCAACATTTGATTGGTGTTGAAAGTATGTATTAATTAGAAGATAATATATTATTGGAATCAGGAGATCCCCAAATATCAGTAGCTTAAATAACAGTAAAGTTTAGTTCTCTGTCACATAACAGTTCAAGATGAGCACTTCAGGAAGCTCTGCTCCAATGGCCATGTATCCCAAGGATGTTGTCCTCATCCACTAAGTCCAAGGTATGTAGACCAATCCAGGGTCCAGCTGCAGAAAGGGAAAGAGGACTCCTTCTGCCTTAGTCTGTCCCTCCCGAAGTGAAATATAACCTCCACCCCCGTTCCATGGGAGAGAACAGAGCCAGATGGCCTCAAGGGATTCTGGGAAATGCATCCCTACCTAGACAGCCATGGGCCCAGCTGCACATCTATTACTATGGAAAAGGGAAAATGGACTTTTTAAGACAGCCTACGGTCTCCAGCACCAAAGGGACTTCAATTATGTAAAAAACAATAAGATAGCTCTCTATTCCCCAAGGATCTGAGAGTCTTAGATAACGCTAAATTCTAGCCCCAATGGGCCGGGCGCAGTGGCTCAGGGAGCCACTTTGGGAGGCCGAGACGGGCGGATCACGAGGTCAGGAGATCCAGACCATCCTGGCTAACACGGTGAAACCCCATCTCTACTAAAAATAGCAGGGTGTGGTGGTGGGCCCCTGTAGTCCCAGCTACTCGGGAGGCTGAGGCAGGATAATGGCGTGAACCCGGGAGGCGGAGCTTGCAGTGAGCCGAGATCGCGCCACTGCATTCCAGCCTGGGCGACCGAGCCAGACTCCATTTCAAAAACAAAAAAAAAAAATTCTAGCCCCAAAGTCTAGAAAAACCTGTCCCTGTAAGATTTCCCCAGGCATGCATCCACACGTGCACATCAACAGGAGAATGAAGGTGGTGCTCTAGCACACTGCTTTTCTGGGCTGTGTCCGCCCAGACCCTGCAAGGCAATTGTGTTGGGGAGAAGGTGGAACTAAAGAGATACAGCAGAAGGAAGCCTAGAGATCGTGGAGTCCATCAGCTCACCCCTTGAGAAAAGAACACTGACCTCTGGAGGACTTAAGTAGCTGGTCAAAGGCATATAAAGGTTTAGTGCAGAGCAGAGAGAGCTCCTTAGACTCCTAACTCTGAGTCTTTATTCTTTCTGCAGCGTTCTCACCATGGGACTCACTGTCTGAAACCCCTGGAGGAAGTTTGTGACTGATGATCACCAAAGCATGACCTGAGATTTTCGAGAGGCGGTACCCTCTAAGCCAGCAAGTGACAGATGCAAAAGGAACTGAAAAAGAGGCAGCAAAAATCCTACTTTCCAATGTAACGAACCAGGGTTCCTCTGAATATTATCATTCCCTTAGCATTTCAAGGACTTAGTAATAACCACAACCCTCCACTCTCATTATTTTTAAGTTTGCTTAATGTCTTTACTTAAATAAAATTGTTTTAAAAAGAAAGTTTATATCCCTGCCACAAACAGGAACCTGTATAATTTGTCTTAAATGGAAAGTAAAATATGAAAATAAGTAACCATTACAATAAAAAAGACATTCCTGTATGTACTACCTAAAATCTTCTTGCTTGTCATCAGGGGAGCGCACGAGGGAAACACTGTCCTAAACCATAAGGGTGACTTTGAGTTACAAAGAGCTTCACCCGGCATCCATGGGCATCCCAGGTTTCTCACTGAGAAGTTTCAAGCACAAGGATGAATGAAAACCAAGGACCAAAGCAAGCATTATGGTAAGTTCCGCTTGAAGAACATAACAAAGTGAAGTGGAGGCACGCATTCACCTTTGCCATCCTGGGAAGATGGCGGAGGCTGAGTGGCCATGTCACCCTGGGACACACACAACAGCACACAGCCTGAGAAGGTAATGGATGCCCATTCCGGGACATTCAGGGCTGGGTCAATGTCCTTTGCCAAGCATGACCTGGCAGCCTGAGTTTTAAGTTTAATACCAGAGACTCCAGGTTCCTAATGCAAGGCCGGGTCCTGAGAGTTCTTTAAACTGTTCAACTCTGTTGTGCTAAATGAATGGGAAGAAACAAGTGTAATGAAGTGAGGGGAAAAAAGTCTTATCAAAGTAACAGCTGGTTCTAGCATTTCTTTTGGGAAGGCAACTGTGTTCATTAAGGAAAATAACTTGATATGTATTTTGAGTTGAAGGTGATTGAGGGGCTTGAATGAGTCCCAAACTACCAAAGGAGAAATAGGTTTGATGATCCAGAGACAGGAGGAGAAAGGAAGAGAGAGACAGAGAGAGATAGAGAGACAGAGACTCAGAGAGAGAGAGAGAGAGAGAGAGAGACTCAGAAAGAGAGAGAGAGAGAGAGAAAGGAAGGTTTAGTAAAGCATGAAGAAACTGCTCCCCACTGTCCAGTGGACTGAATGCATGCAAACCAAAGTGACCCAGAGGCTAATGTGAACTTGTCGTCTGGTGTCCACAGTGCCTCTCAGTCCTCAGGCTCTTCTGGCCACCTCTTAGAATGGGGACAGACAAAGAGATTTTAGGGCATCTGTCCCTACCAGCAGGGTGACTGCCTAGAACACTCCCTTATGCACAGTAGAGAGATGGTGTCTGCCATGGTGCAGAGAGGGTGGTTGGCAAATATGCCACTTTCTTGTCATCCCTGTTCCAGCAGAATCATGCTCTATATTTCTTTTCAAGCCTTTGTCTATTGCTTAAATTCCATGCCTACATCAGCTTCTCATGTATAAAATGGAAGTGATAATAATAGTGCTTTCTTATGAGGTTGCTGTGAGGATGAAATGAATTTAATCTAAGAAAAGGTGCCTGGTTCAATGAGTCTCAATGGTAGCTAAAGTTAGTATTATCCTTATCTTTTCTATTATCCCATCTCTTCCCGTAATAGACAGGAAATGTTGACTGTCTAGTAAGAGCTCCTTTAATTTATTTCCCCTTGCCCCTCAAGTATCATATCTACTTCTCTCTTTATTTGCTGCCCTGTGTCTTACAAAAGAGTCCCTCCCCTGCTCAAGGCTAATGCTCTCACCTAGGCTCTGATGCCATCTCTTTCTCCTCCGGTTCTTCCTCCTCCTCTTCCTCTTTCTCTCCATCATCTCCATCAGCAGCAACCTCACTATCATCATCTCATTGCCATCATCCTACCTATCTTCCTCCCTTTACTCTTTCTTCGGGATGTCACCCCCATCAATACCCTCCTTCCTCTTTCCTGTCTCTTTGGCTGACTCTCTTATGGCTCCTTCTGTTCCCCATAAACATGCTCAATTGTATCCCACGCCTAGGAAACAGAGCACCTTCCTCCAACCTTCTCTCCTCCCTTTTCCAGAAACTACTGCTGTATTTCTCTTCAGGTCTTCACTATCAAAATTCTTTTTATTTTTGTTTTTTACTTTTGTAGAGACATGGTCTCACTATGTTGCCCAGCCTTGTCTCTACCTCCTGACCTCAAGTGATCTTCCTGCCTCAGTCTTCCAAAGTGCTGAGGTTATAGGTATGAACCACCATGCCTGGCCCAAATTATTAATATTATTGTTATTATTATTTTGGTAGAGACAGAGTCTCACTCTGTCACCCAGGCTGGAGTGCAGTGGTGCAATCTCGGCTCACTGCAACCTCCACTTCCCAGGTTCAAGCAGTTCTCCTGCCCCAGCCTCCCAAGTAGCTGGGACTACAGGCGTAAGCCACCATGCCCGGCTAATTTCTTTTGTATTTTAGTAGAGACCGGGTTTCACCGTTTTGCCCAGGCTGGTCTTGAACTCCTGAGCTCCGTCAACCCACCCACCTCGGCCTCCCAAAGTGCTAGGGTTACAGACATGAGCCACCCTGCCTGGCCTTTTTTTTTTTTTTTTTGAAACGGGGTTTCATTCTTGTTGCCCAGGCTGGAGTGCAATGGCATGATCTTGGCGTCGGCTTACTGCAACCTCCACCTCCCGGGTTCAAGCGATTATCCTGCCTCAGTCTCCTGAGTAGCTGGGATTACAGGCACACACCACCATGCCTGACTAATTTTTGTATTTTTAGTAGAGACGAGATTTCATCATGTTGGCCAGGCTGGTCTTGAACTCCTGACCTCAGGTGATCCACCTGCCTCGGCCTCCCGAAGTGCTGGGATTACAGGCATGAGCCACCATGCCTGACCTTACAATTCTTAAAAGAGTAGTGTACACATACTACAACCACTTCACCTCTCCTTCACAACTCAACTCTCTGCAATCTGGATTCAATCCTGACATTTCCTCATGTCTTATGGGCACGAATTTCACCTCTATGCAGCATTTAGCAATAAGTAACAACAGCTGGTAATTATTGAGTGTGCACATTCTGCCAGTCACTGTGTTAAGCACGTCACGTGCATTTTGGTTGATGCTTCCCAAGCTACAAATCAAACCCAATCTTTTTTCCAAGCTCTAGACTAGTATAGTGACAGGCACCACAAATCCATACAGATGAAAACAGAGCTCATTAGCAAAATCCCACTGCTGGATGTCTCCTGCTTGCCCTTCTAGTTCCACTTGCAACCCTTCCCCAACCTGCTCTGCACTCCGAGAGGCTGACCTTTGTGAATGGCCTCCCTGGACTCCCATGCCTCTAGCTTATGTTTGAAGAACCCAGTGGAGAGTCCCAGCAGAAAGCTGGAAGAAGACAGGAGAGTGAGGTAAGTGTATTGATTCCTCAGTCACCATCTGCTGTGGCCGTGTGGGCTGGCTGGGTCCACTTGGCTGTGTCCCTCTAGTGAAAGGCACAGCCGCTGTCATGCAGCCCTCATCGCATAGAGCCCCCCGGATTCCAGCAACTGCTCCCTTCTCTTTTCTCCTTCAGGAGTCACAGCCCCACTGCCAAAGCCACAGGGCCATGCACTGTCTCTGGGACATCACCCTACACCTGCCCGCACCTTTCAAGCAGCCTTTTTATTAAATGCTCCTCCTGTTACTTAATTGGAGTATGTCATCTTTTCTGACCAGAATGACGACTGACACATGCCCTCCCCATTCTCTATCTCTTTTTTTTAATTATTATTCTACTTTAAGTTCTAGGGTACATGTGCACAACGTGCAGGCTTGTTACATATGTATACATGTGCCATGTTGGTGTGCTGCACCCATTAACTTGTTATTTACATTAGGTGTATCTCCTAATGCTATCCCTCCCCCCTCCCCCCACCCTACAACAGGCCCAAGACGGTGTGTGATGTTCCCCACACACAGTGTGGCAATTCCTCAAGGATCTAGAAGTAGAAATACGATTTGACCCAGCGATCCCATTACTGGGTATATACCCGAAGGATTATAAATCATGCTGCTATAAAGACGCATGCACACATATGTTTATTGTGGCACTATTCTCTATTTCATTTAACGGAGTTGCTCCAACGTCATATTCCTAAAATGGAAACCAAGATGACCCTAGACTTCTTCACCCTCCCCTTTATACCCAGTAAGTCCTGCCCATTTTCCTTCAGGAACGCATTCCCCAAATCCACTCTCTCTTCTGAACCCCTGTTCTCATTTCGCTCACTGCGTCAGATTTCAGTTCTCCCTTCTCACTCCAGAAAGTTACAGTTCTAAAATGACAATCTGGGGAGAGGAGCCAAGATGGCCGAATAGGAACAGCTCCGGTCTACAGCTCCCAGTGTGAGCGACGCAGAAGACGGGTGATTTCTGCATTTCCATCTGAGGTACCGGGTTCATCTCACTAGGGAGTGCCAGACAGTGGGCGCAGGTCAGTGGGTGCGCGCACCGTGCGCGAGCCGAAGCAGGGCGAGGCATTGCCTCACTCGGGAAGCGCAAGGGGTCAGGGAGTTCCCATTCCGAGTCAAAGAAAGGGGTGACGGACTCACCTGGAAAATCGGGTCACTCCCACCCGAATATTGCGCTTTTCGGACCGGCGTAAAAAACGGCGCACCACGAGATTATGTCCCGCACCTGGCTCGGAGGGTCCTACGCCCACGGAGTCTCGCTGATTGCTAGCACAGCAGTCTGAGATCAAACTGCAAGGCGGCAGCGAGGCTGGGGGAGGGGCGCCCGCCATTGCCCAGGCTTGCTTAGGTAAACAAAGCAGCCTGGAAGCTCGAACTGGGTGGAGCCCACCACAGCTCAAGGAGGCCTGCCTGCCTCTGTAGGCTCCACCTCTGGGGGCAGGGCACAGACAAACAAAAAGACAGCAGTAACCTCTACAGACTTAAATGTCCCTGTCCGACAGCTTTGAAGAGAGCAGTGGTTCTCCCAGCACGCAGCTGGAGATCTGAGAACGGGCAGACTGCCTCCTCAAGTGGGTCCGTGACCCCTGACCCCCGAGCAGCCTAACTGGGAGGCACCACCCAGCAGGGGCACACTGACACCTCACACGGCAGGGTATTCCAACAGACCTGCAGCTGAGGGTCCTGTCTGTTAGAAGGAAAACTAACAAACAGAAAGGACATCCACACCAAAAACCCATCTGTACATCACCATCATCAAAGACCAAAAGTAGATAAAACCACAAAGATGGGGAAAAAACAGAACAGAAAAACGGGAAACTCTAAAACCCAGAGCGACTCTCCTCCTCCAAAGGAACGCAGTTCCTCACCAGCAACAGAACAAAGCTGGATGGAGAATGATTTTTACGAGCTGAGAGAAGAAGGCTTCAGACGATCAAATTACTCTGAGCTACGGGAGGACATTCAAACCAAAGGCAAAGAAGTTGAAAACTTTGAAAAAAATTTAGAAGAATGTATAACTAGAATAACCAATACAGAGAAGTGCTTAAAGGAGCTGATGGAGCTGAAAACCAAGGCTCGAGAACTACGTGAAGAATGCAGAAGCCTCAGGAGCCGATGCAATCAACTGGAAGAAAGGGTATCAGCGATGGAAGACGAAATGAATGAAATGAAGCGAGAAGGGAAGTTTAGAGAAAAAAGAATAAAAAGAAATGAGCAAAGCCTCCAAGAAATATGGGACCATGTGAAAAGACCAAATCTACGTCTGATTGGTGTACCTGAAAGTGATGGGGAGAATGGAACCAAGTTGGAAAACACTCTGCAGGATATTATCCAGGAGAACTTCCCCAATCTAGCAAGGCAGGCCAACGTTCACATTCAGGAAATACAGAGAACGCCACAGAGATACTCCTCGAGAAGAGCAACTCCAAGACACATAATTGTCAGATTCACCAAAGTTGAAATGAAGGAAAAAATGTTAAGGGCAGCCAGAGAGAAAGGTCGGGTTACCCTCAAAGGGAAGCCCATCAGACTAACAGCGGATCTCTCGGCAGAAACCCTACAAGCCAGAAGAGAGTGGGGGCCAATATTCAACATTCTTAAAGAAAAGAATTTTCAACCCAGAATTTCATATCCAGCCAAACTAAGCTTCATAAGTGAAGGAGAACTAAAATACTTTACAGACAAGCAAATGCTGCGAGATTTCGTCACGACCAGGCCTGCCCTAAAAGAGCCCCTGAAGGAAGCGCTAACCATGGAAAGGAACAACTGGTACCAGCCGCTGCAAAATCATGCCAAAATGTAAAGACCATCGAGACTAGGAAGAAACTGCATCAACTAACGAGCAAAATAACCAGCTAACATCATAATGACAGGATCAAATTCACACATAACAATATTAACTTTAAATGTAAATGGATTAAATGCTCCAATTAAAAGACACAGACTGGCAAATTGGATAAAGAGTCAAGACCCATCAGTGTGCTGTATTCAGGAAACCCATCTCACTTGCAGAGACACACATAGGCTCAAAATAAAAGGATGGAGGAAGATCTACCAAGCCAATGGAAAACAAAAAAAGGCAGGGGTTGCAATCCTAGTCTCTGATAAAACAGACTTTAAACCAACAAAGATCAAAAGAGACAAAGAAGGCCATTACATAATGGTAAAGGGATCAATTCAACAAGAAGAGCTAACTATCCTAAATATATATGCACCCAATACGGGAGGACCCAGATTCATAAAGCAAGTCCTGAGTGACCTACAAAGAGACTTAGACTCCCACACATTAATAATGGGAGACTTTAACACCCCACTGTCAACATTAGACAGATCGACGACACAGAAAGTCAACAAGGATACCCAGGAATTGAACTCAGCTCTGCACCAAGCGGACCTAACAGACATCTACAGAACTCTCCACCCCAAATCAACAGAATATACATTTTTTTCAGCACCACACCACACCTATTCCAAAATTGACCACCTACTGGGAAGTAAAGCTCTCCTCAGCAGATGTAAAAGAACAGAGATTATAACAAACTATCTCTCAGACCACAGTGCAATCAAACTAGAACTCAGAATTAAGAATCTCACTCAAAACCGCTCAACTACATGGAAACTGAACAACCTGCTCCTGAATGACTACTGGATACATAACGAAATGAAGGCAGAAATAAAGATGTTCTTTGAAACCAACAAGAACAAAGACACAACATACCAGAATCTCTGGGATGCATTCAAAGCAGTGTGTAGAGGGAAATTTATAGCACTAAATGCCCACAAGAGAAAGCAGGAAAGATCCAAAATTGACACCCTAACATCACAATTAAAAGAACTAGAAAAGCAAGAGCAAACACATTCAAAAGCTAGCAGAAGGCAAGAAATAACTAAAATCAGAGCAGAACTGAAGGAAATAGAGACACAGAAAACCCTTCAAAAAATTAATGAATCCAGGAGCTGGTTTTTTGAAAGGATCAACAAAATTGATAGACCGCTAGCAAGACTAATAAAGAAAAAAAGAGAGAAGAATCAAATAGACACAATAAAAAATGATAAAGGGGATATCACCACCGATCCCACAGAAATACAAACTACCATCAGAGAATACTACAAACACCTCTACACAAATAAACTAGAAAATCTAGAAGAAATGGATAAATTCCTCAACACATACACTCTCCCAAGACTAAACCAGGAAGAAGTTGAATCTCTGAATAGACCAATAACAGGAGCTGAAATTGTGGCAATAATCAATAGTTTACCAACCAAAAAGAGTCCAGGACCAGATGGATTCACAGCCGAATTCTACCAGAGGTACAAGGAGGAACTGGTACCATTCCTTCTGAAACTATTCCAATCAATAGAAAAAGAGGGAATCCTCCCTAACTCATTTTATGAGGCTAGCATCATTCTGATACCAAAGCCGGGCAGAGACACAACCAAAAAAGAGAATTTTAGACCAATATCCTTGATGAACATTGATGCAAAAATCCTCAATAAAATACTGGCAAAACGAATCCAGCAGCACATCAAAAAGCTTATCCACCATGATCAAGTGGGCTTCATCCCTGGGATGCAAGGCTGCTTCAATATATGCAAATCAATAAATGTAATCCAGCATATAAACAGAGCCAAAGACAAAAACCACATGATTATCTCAGTAGATGCAGAAAAGGCCTTTGACAAAATTCAACAACCCTTCATGCTAAAAACTCTCAATAAATTAGGTATTGATGGGACGTATTTCAAAATAATAAGAGCTATCTATGACAAACCCACAGCCAATATCATACTAAATGGGCAAAAACTGGAAGCATTCCCTTTGAAAACTGGCACAAGACAGTGATGCCCTCTCTCACCACTCCTATTCAACATAGTGTTGGAAGTTCTGGCCAGGGCAATTAGGCAGGAGAAGGAAATAAAGGGTATTCAATTAGGAAAAGAGGAAGTCAAATTGTCCCTGTTTGCAGACGACATGATTGTATATCTAGAAAACCCCATTGTCTCAGCCCAAAATCTCCTTAAGCTGATAAACAACTTCAGCAAAGTCTCAGGATACAAAATCAATGTACAAAAATCACAAGCATTCTTATACACTAACAACAGACAAACAGAGAGCCAAATCATGAGTGAACTCCCATTCACAATTGCTTCAAAGAGAATAAAATACCTAGGAATCCAACTTACAAGGGATGGGAAGGACCTCTTCAAGGAGAACTACAAACCACTGCTCAAGGAAATAAAAGAGGATACAAACAAATGGAAGAACATTCCATGCTCATGGGTAGGAAGAATCAATATCGTGAAAATGGCCATACTGCCCAAGGTAATTTACAGATTCAATGCCATCCCCATAAAGCTACCAATGACTTTCTTCACAGAATTGGAAAAAACTACTTTAAAGTTCATGTGGAACCAAAAAAGAGCCCACATCGCCAAGGCAATCCTAAGCCCAAAGAACAAAGCTGGAGGCATCACACTACCTGACTTCAAACTATACTACAAGGCTACAGTAACCAAAACAGCATGGTACTGGTACCAAAACAGAGATATAGATCAATGGAACAGAACAGAGCCCTCAGAAATAACGCCGCATATCTACAACTATCTGATCTTTGACAAACCTGAGAAAAACAAGCAATGGGGAAAGGATTCCCTATTTAATAAATGGTGCTGGGAAAACTGGCTAGCCATATGTAGAAAGCTGAAACTGGATCCCTTCCTTACACCTTATACAAAATTCAATTCAAGATGGATTAAAGACTTAAACGTTAGACCTAAAACCATAAAAACCCTAGAAGAAAACCTAGGCATTACCATTCAGGACATAGGCATGGGCAAGGACTTCACGTCCAAAACACCAAAAGCAATGGCAACAAAAGACAAAATTGACAAATGGGATCTAATTAAACTAAAGAGCTTCTGCACAGCAAAAGAAACTACCATCAGAGTGAACAGGCAACCTACAAAATGGGAGAAAATTTTCACAACCTACTCATCTGACAAAGGGTTAATATCCAGAATCTACAATGAACTCAAACAAATTTACAAGAAAAAAAACAAACAACCCCATCAAAAAGTGGGCGAAGGACATGAACAGACACTTCTCAAAAGAAGACATTTATGCAGCCAAAAAACACATGAAAAAATGCTCTCATCACAGGCCATCAGAGAAATGCAAATCAAAACCACAATGAGATACCATCTCACACCAGTTAGAATGGCAATCATTAAAAAGTCAGGAAACAACAGGTGCTGGAGAGGATGTGGAGAAATAGGAACACTTCTACACTGTTGGTGGGACTGTAAACTAGTTCAACCATTGTGGAAGTCAGTGTGGTGATTCCTCAGGGATCTAGAACTACAAATACCATTTGACCCAGCCATCCCATTACTGGGTATATACCCAAAGGACTATAAATCATGCTGCTATAAAGACACATGCACACGTATGTTTATTGCGGCATTATTCACAACAGCAAAGACTTGGAACCAACCCCAATGTCCAACAATGATAGACTGGATTAAGAAAATGTGGCACATATACACCATGGAATACTATGCAGCCATGAAAAATGATGAGTTCATGTCCTTTGTAGGGACATGGATGAAATTGGAAATCATCATTCTCAGTAAACTATCGCAAGAACAAAAAACCAAACACCGCATATTCTCACTCGTAGGTGGGAATTGAACAATGAGATCACATGGACACAGGAAGGGGAATATCACACTCTGGGGACTGTGGTGGGGTGGGGGGTGGGGGGAGGGATAGCATTGGGAGATGTACCTAACGCTAGATGACAAGTTAGTGGGTGCAGCGCACCAGCATGGCACATGTATACATATGTAACTAACCTGCGCAATGTGCACATGTACCCTAAAACTTAAAGTATAATAAAAAAAAAAGAAATAAAAATTCTAAGGAAACATGAAAAAAAATAAATAAATAAAATAAAATGACAATCTGACCGTTTCAATTGCTTATTACCTATCATCTCCATGGTCTGAAGAATGAAGAGAGAAGTTACAACTTACACAAGAGGTTGTATGAAGGCAAGTCTCTTTGAAAGCTATAAACTAAGGACCGCTGTGAAACAGAGAATTTCTACATAATTATGCATTTACCTTTACCTACATACCATTTTACCTATATCAAAGCAATACACATGTGATTATGTTTCATTAAATGTCCTGATAGCATTGAGGAGTTATTTCATGCTTTAGCATAAGGCCTGCGCAAATTTGATTTCTAATACCTCACCCAAATAATAACTACAACAGCAACGATATAGATTGTTTCATCTTTCCAGGTCTGTGAGAGAAAATAAATAACAAATCTCAAATCTGGGGAAAATATTTGCATCCTATCCAACAAATAAAAACACACCTGGCCGGGTGCAGTGGCTCATGCCTGTAATGCCAGCACTTTGGGAGGCTGAGGCGGGCGGATCACTTGAGGTTAGGAGTTTGAGACCAGCCTGGGCAACGTGGTGAAACCCCATCTCTACTAAAAATACAAAATTAGCCGGGTGTGGTGGTGGGTGCCTGTAGACCCAGCTACTCAGGAGGCTGAGGCAGGAAAATCTCTTGAACTTGGGAGGCAGAGGCTGCAGTGAGCTGAGATCACACCACTGCCCTTCAGCCTGGGCGACAAAGAGAGACGCCGCGGGGGGGTAAAAACACCTAATTCTCTCCAGCCAACAAGTGACAATTGTCATAAAGCAATGCAGCAAAGGGTCCAATAATTCTATTTAGTTTTTCTTTACGGGAAGGTTTTATTTTGTGATAATTTTTGTGCAATCCGCCTCCCCCCACACCACCGCCAGATGAATAATTGAAGCAGAAAAAAACTAACCCCTGAGCCGGACTTAGATGCCAGCCAGTCAGTGGGCCCTCCAGAGAGGGTGTGAGGCCATGCAGTGCAGCATCGCAGCAGGTCCAAACGACAGCAGCCAATTAGAGAGCAGACTTCTGAGCCACTTTGTTCTCCGCAGAGCAAACAGAGCCGAATGTTTTAATTCCCTGGGAGCGAAAATCTTTCACTGGAGAGACTCGCATAATTTCTTATTTAGGAAAGGTTTAAAGAGATTTGTGCTGGAGTATTTAATCCAAAACCTTGCAACTGTCCCAGCAGTGGGTATAGATTAGGGAACAGTTGACTTCACACATTGATATTCAAAATAGAAAGGCGTTTTTCATCAAACGTGGCAGGGAGATTGGGGAATGACAGCATCTAACACCAGCTGTGCGGGGGCATAGATCTTGCTCTCTCACAAACTTCAGGAGCTCCTGTATCTATTGGCAAGCCAGCTCCCGCTTAACAGAGGACTCCCCTGAGTCTTTGGAGGCACAGTACTTTGCAAAATTAACCCCACGGTCCTGATTGCTCTCAAGGAAATAGCTCTATCCTCTCTCTATCCTCTCTCTCTCTCTCTCTCTCTCTCTCTCTCTCTCTCTCCCCCTCTCTCCCCTCTCCTCTTCTCTCTCTCTCTCTCTCTCTCTCTCTCCCCCTCTCTCTCTCCCCTCTCCTCTTCTCTCTCTCTCTCTCTCACCTTTTCTATTCTATTTCACTGGGTTTTCATGCCACAGACTAGGAATGCTTGCACTTGGCAGTGAGCCCACAGTCATAAAATCCAAGAAGGATTGTTTATTTATAAGAATGCTCCATTTAGGGTAGGCTCAATAGAACATTTCAGTTTAAAATAAGCAAGAAACACTGGGCAATCCATCACCAAATTATATTTTCCATTGAGAGAACAGCATGTATCACTCTCTGCAAATAGCCACATCCTTACTCTCAGGGTTTGCCAAGTCAGATGCCCACCCAGTGAATGGTAGACAACCTTGAGAGAAAGTGAATGCATAAATCAGATCCCTGGATTTTATAGACAGCATGCAGAGAGCTACAGGAGAGGCCCACAGACCTTGGAAAGAAGGTGACCCCTGACATTCAGAGTTCTAAGAATTGACTCTTTTTTTTTTTTTTTTTTTTTTTTGAGACAGTCTCGCTCTGTCACCCAGGCTGGAGTGCAGTGGCGCGATCTCGACTCACTGCAAGCTCCGCCTCCCGGGTTCACGCCATTATCCTGCCTCAGCCTCCCGAGTAGCTGGGACTACAGGCGTCCGCCACCACACCCGGCTAATTTTTTGTATTTTGAGTAGAGATGGGGTTTCACCGTGTTAGCCAGGATGGTCTCTATCTCCTGACCTCATGATCCGCCTGCCTCAGCCTCCCAAAGTGCTGGGATTACAGGCGCGAGCCACAGCGCCCAGCCAGAATTGACTCTTAATGCTTACTGCTAGCCTTAAACAGAAGCAATTCACCCCAAGAGGCAGGGTGTAAGGTGTAGTTACAAGACTCAGGAAAACCCAAGTCCAGTCGGTGACATAGTGCCAAGGTGGTAGGTCTGGAGAGTGGGAGATGTCCAAAAAGGCTGGCAGTGTGCCCCAACAGAGAAATACCATATGAACAAAGAAGGGAACAGACAGCACAAACACGACAAAGGAGACCCAAAGAGCAACAAGGTGTGGGTTAGTCCCAGAGCCCAAGTCCTAGCTTCTGGGTTGGTAGACCAGTGAGTGAAAACCCAGTCACAGAAACTCCTCCAAAGTAAAGGACCCCATAAATTCCTGTTGGAGCAGCCAGGTAGCTCTGCCTCTTTCTTTCTTCTGTCTCTCATCTCTGTGACAAGTTGATGGCTTCCATCTCCTTGAATGCTTCTCTTTTTAACCCCCATCCACCCACCCAATCCCAATCTACCTATCATAAATCCACATTATGTCATTCTAAAGGTACAATGCACAAAGGGATGGATGATGGCCAAGTACTTGCAACAGAATAGAGGAGAAAGGCAGAGGCAAGGCCAAGGTCTAGACTCACCCTGGTGCTGGGGCAAAATGCACCACAATATTAACAGGAGTACACAGAGGAGTGGTTTCTGATGGTTTTCTATATATTCCAAATATTACGGTGATACTTAGGGGGAAAAATAACAAGAACTAGAAGTATTACAAGCAACAAGCTACTAAAACAAAAGTCCAAGAAACGGTTTAAAAAGGGATTGATGTTTGGAGATAGAGGAAGAAAAATTTTATGAGGAGACATAGGCAGAACCTAACAGAAAGGCATACCAATAGATATTCAGGCAAGTGCAAAATCCAAGTATTAACAGGCATTAGGCCTCTGCCAATGGACTTGGGGTTGGAGATAGCCATACCCCATGGAAAGAAAAATTAAAAAGGCAAAGCAAGAAGCTGGTTCTAATCAGACATGAGGATACAAAGTAGTTGTCCTTAACAGGAAACAGAAGATGTTGAGACAAAATCATAGTAATGAGAACTAAGATATTCCAGAGACACAGGGGAGAAGAGACTGAGGTTTCAAAATTGAGCACCAGGTCCTAGTAAGATGAGTTGCAAGTGATGGAAGGGGGATAGTTTGCCTCAGGTATTTTGGTTATTTTTGTGCTAAAAATAACAAAACAATCTCAGTGGCATAGGAAGGTCAGTATGTATTTAGCTCACTCATCTGTGGATTGGTGGAGGGCCCCCTTATGTAGGCTGGTCTCAGCTGGGGACTCTGTCAGTCTTGGTAAGCTCCCTCATGCAGCTGAAGTTCATCTGGGCTTTGATGGACGTAGGCTCAGCATGGCTGGGCTGTGGGGCTGGTGTCACACTGCTCCACACGCCTTCTATGCTCCTCCTGGGACCAGTGGGCTAGCCCAGTCATGTTCTTCTTATAGTGAAAGCAGAAGTGCCAAAAAGCAAGGCCAGTTGCCACCCTGCATTTTAAACTTTTGATAGAGCAAGCCACTAACATTCCACTGGTCAAAGAAAATGACAGCCAAGCCCAACGTCAAAGAGTAAAAGTGTACTCCACCCACGGAGGTGGCAGGAGGGTGGAAGGAATAAGTACTTCTGAACAACAATCCACTAGCCCTCTGGTTTTAAAACATAATAAACCTAAACGCTATGAGGAACAAAAGGAAGGATGCAGAAGGAAAGAACAAGGCTAAGTCTAATTCGATGGTCCTTTTTGTCAGACAAGCCACACATTCGCCAACCCCTCCTCAAAGGTAGCAGGAGACATAGTCCAGATGTTGATACTTGTAATTTTTCTTCCCACAGCTGAGACCCCATTACCTCCATTTGCATATTTAGCCTTGCCTAACAATCTTGCTGCAGTCAGGTAGCTTTTAAAAGCTAACCTCATTCTCACATCCTGAACGTCCATGGTCATCCTATGATGCATACCGTTCAGCTGTCGCCCTCTGAATAGTTGGCCCATTTCCCAGAAATGATTATTTTTTAAATGTGGAGTAGGGATACATTATTATTTAAAATCAATTAAAGGTCGAGTATGATTAGAAGCCAACATAAGGACTTGGGATCAAGATAACATAGTGATTGGTGCTAGAGAAATACTTCAAGACACTTGCTCAGCACTAAATACTTAATGGTGATGAAGTATTGAAATAGGAAAGTCAATGACTGCCCTACTAAAAATGAAACAAAAATCTCCATGGGCCAGAAGTGGAACAGAAGTCTAATTAATGAAGAGAAATGAAGTGGAGGACAGCTTTAAATCCAAAAGAAGGTAGCAGCGTCCAGGAGTTCAGCTTATGTGAGAGTAACGAGGGTGAATGTTTCCGTAAGAACTGGGGTAAGAGCCAGGCACACTACATGAAGTCAGGGACTGGACTGGGGCACCCCACCATGCTTTAAAGAAGGCTGAAAAAATATTGCTGGTGACATCCTCCTAAGGCTGCTATTTCATGGAAACTAGGTTTGGTGCTATGAATAGAGATAAATACTCCAGTGGCTCTGCAGTTGGATATGTGATATCCTCAGTAACACAACTGGCCTTGAAGCCATTACAAAATCTGATTCTACACCATGGGCCTAGGGGTGGAGGTGGGAATCATATAGGGCCTGTAGAAACACAGCTGGATTATTAGACAAATAGGAAAGCGTGAAAAAAAACGAAACCAAACTAAAGTTAAACCACCCACTCAAAATGAGCTTTCAAAACAAAGTTAAAGAGCTAAGAGGTTGTCTACAGAGAAGCAAAATCTGGTGCAAAATTTTGGATCCTGAGGAAGGAAGGGCGGGCACCCACAAGCAGAGGGGTCAGCCAAACACGATGTGTTGCAACATGGATAGGATGAAGAGACTTGCACACAAGGAACAGCAGCAAAAATAACACCTGTGTAGGGAATGGAGTGGTGATGGTGATAGGAGATTAGTTACATAAAAAGAGATTAATCAAGTAAGCAAATGTATTGAGGATAATGAGAACCAGCTTTCTCACTGTCAAAGAAGGAAGGAAATTATAAATGTGAAAAGAGAGAAATATGGAATTAACCCTGTAATGTTGAATTGGAATCGAAAGTATTGTTGTAAACTCGTGTATGTATATAAACTCATATATGTATATACATACAATTTGTATGTATGCCCAAATCTGGCACAATTTGAGCATCAAAATAAATAGTGGCATGACTAATTACAATCTATTGAATAAAATTAAAACCCACAAGTCCATACATACTGATAAAAATAGATCATTGAATAAATTGAACATTTGATGAAGAATGTGATATTTACATCCTTTGAAAGTACCACCCTTCAAAATACTTTTTAATTATAAATGTTGAAAGGATAACTTTTCCAGGAGAAACCACCTTAATTTACTAATTATAGTAAATATAATCGGTAATAGAACAAATATGAATTGGGTGCCACCTGATAAGATATGATGAAATAAACACAGTGTCACTTTTGTCATATTCCTGCCAAAAATGCACGACATGAGTCTGAGGGGGACATTTCCAATAAATTCAAAGTTGTCAAGAAGCTAAATGCAAGGCACGACTATAGAATGGAATATTTTGTTATAAGGAGCGTAACTGGGACAATTGATGAAACCATATGGGGTTTGATGATAAGATTGTCATAATGATTCAGTGTTAACTTCTTGATATTTGTAGTTCTTTGTGGTTATGTAGGAAAACGTCCTTGTTTGCAGGAAATACACACTGCAATATTCAAGGATGATCATGTCTGTAACTTACTCCCAAAAGATTCAGGAAAAAAATCTTTGTACTGCGCTTGCTTCTCTACTTTAAGCCTACAATTATTTCAAAAATTTTTAAATTAATAAAAAAACTAAGTAAATGAGAATTAGAGTTTACTCATGAAAAAGAAACACAATTACACAACACATGAAGAAATTTAATATTTAGAGAAAGCCAATAAAATACATCAAGATATAAATTCACTTCAGATGAAGCATATTTTAGAAGATTCTGATAAAAATATTTAAATAATCACGTTTAAGATAAGCGAGTTAGGATTTGTTATACAACAGTCTTTGCTAATACCTGGTTAACAGGAAAAAATAACTAAATAACTCTGGACATTAAACAAGTGAATAATTTAAATTATTTTTTAAATAGGATATGATCAAAGATTAAGTTCATGGTTTAAAAAGATGTTAAAGAATCCCTCCAGAACAGGCACAGAAAAAGAGATTTCTAAAAATTCAACAGCATTTAGGAGGCATAGAGGATGAAGAATCTCAGAAGAAGAGAATGAAAAGAATAGCAGAGAATCAATAATTAAAGACATAAGAGCTGAGAATTTTCCAAAATTGAAGAAAGCCATAATCCCTCAGAACAAAAGTGCATTCTGACTGCCAAGCAGGTGAATGCACATTATGATTGTTTATGGTGAAACTAAAAGGACATCAGTGATAAAGAGGAAATGTCATTGCTGATGGTAGGTGGGAAACTACCTATTAAGAAATTTAAACTCTGCTGAACTACTACCCAAAAATGAGGACAAAATAGGAAAACATTTTAAATATAAAAATTAAAATGTTGTATCACTTACAGAATTTACTTAAACAATTATTAAAGAAAATTCTGAACCTAATACTGTATAATACATAGAAATTAATATTTTAATTGGTAAATTGAACAAACCACTCAATGTAAAAAATGACAATAATACTTTTTGTATCAAAATAAAGAGGTTAACCTAGAACCCCAGGCAACAATAACAAGACAGTGGAGGAGGGTATTTAATGAGCAAAGTATGTTAAGATATCTGTTATGTTCAGAAACAGAATATTGTTCGAATAATTTATATTTAAGTACATAGATTAAAAATGTAAGAGTAGCCACTGAAGTTATAGTGATAAATTTTAAAACAAAGCAAAACAGAAAAGCAGCCTAGGCACATGAGAGTGACACTGCTGGAAACCAGAGACAAAGAGCCAGTCTTGAAAACATCCTCCCTTGAATTCAAACATGTTACCTTGAATGAAGCAGTAATAAGACTGATAGCGTTCTAAGGACCTTCTATTGTCATAAAAGTGGTGAAAGCACTAATTTCTATTATAGTTTAATAAGTCAGGATTTCATGCTGTATTCTCAAGAGTAACGACAAAAAGTCTAGTAAATGGACTAAATATTCCAATAAAAAGACACAGCTTTTCAGACTAGAGTTTTAAAATCCAATTATGTACTGCTTACAAGAAATGCATCTTAAAAACAAAGATACAAAAAGATTGAAAGGAAAAGATGGAAAAAGATTTACCATGAAAATACTAACCCCAAGAGCCTGGCATAATTATATTAATATCAGACAAAATAGACTTTAAGGTAGGAAATATGACTGGAGTTAAAGAAGGGAAAATAATGATAGAAGATTCAGTCCACCAGAAAGATTTTACATGTGTAAATTCAAATGCTCCAATAACAAAGGCTGAAAACATAGGAAGCAAAAACTAATCATAACTACCACAGTAATTTTTTAAACTACATCTTTCAAGCAGGTAGAGAAAAATCAAAGGAATTAACAGCAACAAAATCTGATCAATTAATTAAATGGAAAATTTTTTCAAACAACTCAGCTTTCCAAATTTGTTTTGCCCTTGGCAATTTCCTTTGTTATATTCCTGGCTTAGCAATCGTTAAAGTTATGTACGTGTGCTATCTTTAGTTGTATTTTAACAATAGGGGCTTTCAGGATATCTAGTTCACCATACTGCCAGAAGCAGAGGCCCCTTTCACAGCCCTTCTCACTGTTAAAATTTTACATTCTTATTGTGATTGTTGGGTTAATATCTGTGTTTTCCACGACACTATACATCATTAGATTTGAGGATTATGTCAGCTTTTACTCACTGGTATCCGTGCCTAGCACAGTCATCAGCAATTAATATGAAAAATCTGATCTTTGCTTTGAGAAGTTTAACAGAAAGGCAGTTATTATACAAATAATAATATGCAATCAAATAAATCTACGTGTGCTAAGTGGTAGGAAGATGTACAGTTTGCTAAGGAGTACATAACAGGAAAGCTGACCTAGCCTGGAAGGTCAAAATGAGATGGTGCCAAATGGAGGTTGTACCAAGTGCTCAACTCATGCATAAAGAGGCTGAATGCTCCTAAGGAGAATTCCTCAGCACAGGTCACCCTCACTGGATGAAGCTTCCATTATCCTGCCAAAATGGGCTCTCATTGCCTCAAGCCTAGTGACACCAAACGTCAGTACCGATAGGACTGACCCATTCCACAGATCATGTGTTCAGGGGTCAGCCATGACTAGATAAGACAGACCTAACTAGGTTAGCAGTCTACCCCTGGGAACACCTTTCCTACAAACATATTCTCATACCAATGGGGGTTTTCCATAAGTGGTAAAGGGCCTATTTCCATTTAAAGCATCATAGTTCTAAGAGAATTTGGCTACTTTATTCTGTCATCAGGAAGCACAGGTTTTGGAATCAGACCAGGTTTGAAACCCCACTAAACTATTTCCTATATACTTTTGGACAAATTGCTTATCCTCTCTAAGAACTGAGTTCCTCTCTGGCAAAACAGAAAAGCAGTGGCACATTGGCTTACGAGGACTACGTGAAATATGAGTCAAGTGCTTAGAGGGGATCATACCCATCTTGCTCAGCACTGTAAGACATTCAGTGCAATGCTTAGCACCTGGTAGATGTCAAATAAATGAAAAACTTTCTGCCCCAGAGGTCTCCAATAATGTATTCTGAGCCTCCATAGTCACTACTCCCCTATTAGACATAAAGGGGCCTCAAACTTATTTTGGAGTTATATTTTTCAATATTTATTTCTGTAAAATACAATGGGGATGGCAAAGTGTGATCTGTTCACCGCTCAGAGCTTGTTCCATGATGCCTTCTGTGTGAAGCAGAGAAAGGGAAGAGGGACCTGTGCACTGTGCATAACCCACTGTGTAAGTCCAGAGGGAAGATGTGAGCAAGTAGATCATTTTGCTTCATAAAGCTCACTTGGCAACATCATCAGTGGATTTCACAAATTGGATTCTCGGTTGGGTAGAAGAAAAACATAGAGAATGGGAATGTAATCTTAAATTACTATTTCAAGGTGGGCCATCAGTTATAGAAGGAAGGTAGAAAACGGATGGATGGATGGATGGATGGATGGATAGAGTGGATGGGTGGATGGGTGGATGGATGGATGGATGAATGCATGGGTGGATGGATGGATGCATGGGTGGATGGATGGATGGATTGAATAGATGAATGGGAGGAAAATGTTTACAGATAAAAGAAAAAAATTTCCACATGACACATGATCCAGTTAAGACTGTGTGAAGGGGAGGTTTGCAAGACATGTAATGTAAATTGAGGATTCGGGAGTTTAGAATCTAAGAATAAAAGGTTTGGCCAACAAGTTACACTACCATTGCTTGCCTGTGCTGCAGAACCATTTATAGTGAGCAGTTTATTGATTTGGTAATCATTTCTCCTAGCATGAAGGTAAAATGGTCTCTAGGAACCCTTCACTGACGTGTACAAGGACAACTGTGTTTCCTTTTATTTAGAGTGGACCAGGGAAAAATCAGAAGAATTTTCTTCAGATAGTCTTACAAAGTGAAAACCGGGGGATCAGGTAACGGATAGGAAGTGTGATTCATGACTTGTGTGCGTGTGAAGTGGAATTCAGTATGTGGCACCAGCCGTCTCTCTACATGATGAAATAGCACGAATACTTAGCTCCTTCTTATGTAGCAGAGACATTTTTCACATGTGCTGCAGCACAGGAATAGGGAGAAGTTATACCTCTAAAATCATTTGGGGATTGAGGGTACATCAGATGCCTGTGTGTGGACAGTACTTTAAAGTGTAAAGTTCAGCAATGGGATAAATCCATCGGAGCAAATTCAGTAACTACCATAGTCTATTTCCCCAAGCTCAAATTATTTTGACACCTTCATGAAATATTCTGGTACATATGAAAGTTACATAGGTAGACACAGGTCACAGGAGTTTGCTGCACAAAGTATTTCATCACCGAAGTATTAAGCCCAGTAACCAACGGTTATCTTTTCTGCTCTTCACCCTCCTCCCACTCCCTCCCTCAAGTAGAGCCCAGTTTCTGTTGTTTCCTTCTTTGTCTTCATAAGGTTCTTATCATTTAGCTCCCACTTAAAAGTGAGAACATGCAGTATTTGGTTTTCTGCTCCTGCATTAGTTGGCTAAGGATAATGGCCTCCAGTTCCATCCATGTTCCTCTAAAGACATAATCTCTTTCTTTTTTATGGCTGCATACTATTCAATGGTGTCTATGTACCACATTTTCTTTACCAAATCTGTCATTGATGGGCATTTAGGTTGATTCCATGTCTTTGCTATTGTGAATAGTGCTGCAGTGAACATTCATGTGCATGTGTCTTTATGGCAGAATGATTTATATTCCTCTGGGTATATAACCATAATGAGATTGCTGGAAAGAAATGTAGTCCATGGTTCTTTCCTCCTCCCACCCATCCTCCCTCACTAATGTAGGATGGTAACCCATAGAAAAGTCTACCCCCTACCCCCACAAACATTATAAATACATTTGCACACCCAGATATGCCCAATTAATTTTGGAAGAAACCAGGAGTGTTCTCACAAGTACATACCAAAAAATCCAATATGTTACCACGTGTCATCTGCAATTTTATTCTTCCTCTCCTATGACAGCCCTCTCTACTGACTATCCCTGGAACACATCCAGAACGTATGAAGAAGGGCCCTCTCTCCCTCAATATCCTCTGCATGCTCATATCTGCTCAAGGCCCCAATGTCTTGCAGACTGTTTACTGAGCCATCACTTTCAATATAGATGGCTCTCTACTTTCCACCATAGCACTCAGACATGAATCCAGTTGAGACTGGGCTGGCAGACAAATCCAAGTAAAAATACAGCAAGCTTGACTCAGAATGGCTCTTCCTCACTGATGACTCAGTTTTTGTTACTTGGCCAAGGTTGTTCTCTTTCTTTAAATCTGATTCTCTTCCATTAGGGTGAATTATATCCTAGGGGTGGGGGACTCCTCACTCCCTCAAACACATCATCTCCTGGCAGGTCCACCCCACAGTTCCCCAGGCACACCGAGGCAGGTCTGAACCCCAGGGATGGGCCCAGCTGAGGCTCCGTGTGGGATCCCTGCTATCATCATCAACAACAACCTTTGTTTTAAAATTAGGCCAAAAAAATATTTTAATGAATTGTTTAGGGTTGCAATCTGAATCCTGACAGTATTTAAAATACCTCTTGTGGGAAGAACAAATGTTTCTAAAACCTAAAATAGACAAATTGCACTGGCCTACTTTACAACAAGTCCTAACAAGTCATCAACAATAAAAACTTCCCATTTTCTTTTGGCCTTAACCAGACTAGGAAAGCACTGAGCTTTGGTTTGCAATTTTCCACTGGTCAAAAGAGAGCACTTTCTTGAATCACAGCCTACAGACATAGGCATTCTATGGCAGTTTCAAACTCTGGGGTTTTTCCCCCCAAAAGAAGGGCCACAAATAATCTTTCTGCTCATGGTTAATAAATTTATCATTTGAAAGAAATGTATCTTCATGGATAGGATCAATGACTTCTCTAATGAAAAGCACATTTCTATACATGTTCCTAACAAGATCTCATGGAGGGCCCATGAACGTTGAAGCAGCTGAAGCCTGCACAGCTTTCAAAACTAACTGCTTCCAGGTGCCCAATGAATACAACTTGAGCTCAGCTACAGCTATTTTCAACCTAGTGCCTAAGCGTCTTGTTCTTGCAAGTGTAAAGTTTCCCTCATTCTCCTTTTTATGGCCACAGGTTTCTGGGTTGCATAACACCCAATAAGAGAGCACCAAAGGGCTTAGTTTTATTGTTTTGTTGTGTTTTATTGACTAGATGTTTTATCCAGCTAATGTGTGCTGGAGAGGCAGGCAATAACAGCCCAATTATATCACTCATGCTCTTCCTCTCCTCCAAGTGCCCAGCGACCTAGCACACTTTTATTGCATCCACACGCAGATGTTAAAAAAAGAAGAAAGGAACGAAGGAGGACTGGTTAAAGTGTTAAAGCTGGAACCGCTCCTTTCCCAAGTGATCCTTGAAGGCCAAGAGCCTTCCAAAGAATGGCAGTTTGTTCCTGCTTGCGGTCATGGAGTCAGTCACCAGATCTCGTCTTGGGAAAAGAATGCTGTTGCTCTTTGGAGAAACGCCAGAGGAAACATTCTCCCCATTGGGAGGATTTGGGACTCCAGGATTGTGCCAGGAGTGCCTAACAATCCCTGAGTCTTTCTGCCAGCCTTGCAAATTCGATGGCATTTCAGTAAAGATAGAGGAGTTCACTCACACCCACTTAGATTTCTCAGTTATTAATTTTCATAATGTTTTAAAATAATTCATAGGAAACTGTGTAACCAAAGGTTTATTTTTTTGGAAGACAAAGTAAACAATTTTATGACTGAATAAGCGTTAAACCAGAATGCGATGTGCATCACAGGCAGTCCACTACAAAGACAGAATCTTACTCCCTTGTACAGCTGAGTGGCTTCAGCCCATCACATTAGTTAGGTTTTGCAATTTGGAGTCAGGTGACAAGTTAGGCCCTTGTCCTACCAGGAAACTGAAAGTGTGGGCCATATGTCCCTTGAGAATTACATTTCAAAGAGACAGCTCCCAGGAAACATTCCTGAGTTGAGATTGGTCATAGGTTTATTTACCCATTAAAAAAACTTGCATATATTTGAAAAGGAGGGAGAATAAAATTCTGAAAGAGAAAGAGAGTGGTATGGAGGGGACTCTTAATTTCCACAGGGAGAAAAAAGCCCAATATTTAATTTGTATTTGCCCTTCTACGTGCATCACCTTTCCCATGTGCTAGTCCCACAGGTAGGTTCCTGTCCATTCCCAAGGCCCTGCTTCCCTGTCTTCTTCAACCTGGTTCTTCCAAGGCTATGTGGCTGCACTAGGAAGACCCTGCATCCCCGCTGTACTCAGATATTTCCCCTCTTACCTGTACAGCCATCGTAGGGGAAGCCATCCGGGGCTCAGCACACTTCTCCCAGCTGGGCTGCCAGGGCTCTGTCCTGTTCCATGCCCTTTTAGCTGTGGGGCCCTGGAGAGATTACATAACTCCAGCCTTCAATCACTAAAGGGGTACCCAAGGGCAGTGGAGCAACTTCACTGAGTGGACACACAGAATCCTCATGATGCCTCCAACCCTCCCTGCCCCATCAACTTAATCAACGCTTTAGAATCAGAGAGGGTGGGATTCAAATCCCAGCTCTGTCACTTCCCAGTTCTCTGATCGTGAACAAATGGCCTAAGCTCTAAGCTTCAGTTTCCTCATCTATAAAATGGGAATCATGTAACTCGCCTCAGGGTTGCTGTGAATATTTAATAAGATACTTACACAGCACGTAGCATATCACCTGAATTCACACCACTTGGTAGTATATTATACTTTTTACATCTTTATAAACAGATGCATTCAATTTTTATTCTTTGCTTGTCATCTCTTGTTCCATTAAAAGTATACCTGTGATTTTACACCCTCTTGTTAACATTGTTTTCATTGCATCATCATGTTGTACTTTTAGCCATTTCATCATTGCTAAATATCTAAGATTTCACTAATATCCATGTAAACAATGCTATAAAATGCATGTTTGTGTGCAAAATTAATCAGCTTTAATTATTATACCCTTAAAATAGATTAACAGATGAGGACTTACAGGATCAAAAGTTATGAATATCTTTAAAATTCAACACATATCACAAAAATATTTTCCAAGAAGATTCTCCTTACATTTTACAACAATGCTAGCATCTCCTATCAGCCATCAGAAAAGGGAAGAAATAGCCCAAATTTGACTTCTTTCTTTTATGAAAGATTTGTGTTTGGACATTAGGTTCACATTCCTTTCTACATAGCAAGAAGAACAGAAAATAGTGGTAACTATGCAGCTAATAAAACTTATCCATAAGATTGAAAGAAAAGTAAAACCAAGCTGTCTGAATATTTTCTTAATTCTCTACATTACATTTCCAGACATAATCTCAATAGCACAGAATTATCATTTCTACATTTTAAGGTCCAAATGTTTTCATCCTAAAGTAAAAAGAGTTCCAAGCTAAGGCATCCAGCAACCTGATGGGGTCTTCAGTACTCAGCAGGTAGAAGAACATGGGTACCCAATAATGAATTTGAAGGTTGTGTAGGAAATGGGGTTTCCAATATGACCATTGATGTAAGGTTATTATCACAGTGGAATAGAGTTTACAAATGATCCATCTCAATATTTTTGTAAGTAAGTAAACTGAAACCAAGAGAATGCAAGGGATTTGCCCAGTTACAGGATTTGCCTAGTAAGTGACAGAATAAGGACCATCCCGCAAGCAGTGCTTGCCCAGACTGTCTTCCTCTACATGGCAGCATCTACACCACCCTAGGTGATGATCACCACCACTTTCTGATGATGATCACACATCCCTAGAGATGGCCTGGTTCTCAGATCTGCTATCCACCTAATGGAGATATCCTCATGGGAACTGAGAAATAAGCCCTGATGAGGAAAAGCAGTAAATCATTAACTGACATATCCATGTATTAGGATAATATACTATTGGAGCCTACTTTATCAATGGGAGGCAGACAAACCCCTATATGCTTGCCATTGTTTACTGCCTTGTTTAACTATATCAAATACAAGGCTATTTCTTATGTGAGTTGATGAATCAGTAAGCAGTAATTGTCCCAGGGGGTCTTATTTTCTTTCTTTTCTCTCCACTCGTCTTATCTTACAACAAAAATTATTTAGTTTGTCCATGAGCTCAATACCATACAGACACCTTTGAGTTTTCCAAAAATATGCATCCTTTGATACATTTGCCTTCCATATATTGTTTCAATTCAAAAGACAATGAGTCATTGTAGGTGATCTGGAAATAAATATAAACAAGCTTCATATCACTTTAAAATGAATTTTTATTTCAGATTCAATATTATGAGTAAAAATACCTTTCATCTGTTTAAGATTTTATAGGTTATAAAAAAGCGTATATGTAGTTGACCCTTGAACAAAGTGGGGATTGGAGGCACCAACTCCCTGCTCCCCATTCAGTCAAAAATCCACTTACAACTTTTGACTCCCCAGAAACTTAACTATTAATAGCCTACCTTTAAATGGAAGCCTTAACCAGTAACATAAACAGTCGATTAACACATATTTCATATGTTGTTTGTATTATATACTGTATTCTTACAGTAAAGTAAGCTAGAGAAAAGAAAATGTTATTAAGAAAATCATAAGGAAGAGAAAATACATTTACTATTTATTAAGTGGAAGTATCAGAGAAGACTGAGTAGAAGCCACAACTTTCATGACTACCAGCTGCTAATAAGCCCCCACCCCACACTGACCTGTGGGAGCTGGAACTCCCATCCTGCCCATTTACAGACAGGAAACCTCTCCCCCTCTTCAGGTATCAACAGAGCTGAGTGGGGAAACTTGACTTCTACCTCGCCTGGTAAAAATAATATATAATATATATATTATATATAATATATATGCATATATATTATATATAATATATATGCATATATATGTAAAAAGACTGATAAAATAGGCTTACATAAGATCCAGGGTCTTATAACTTAATATTAAAATGTCCAGAATTCAATCAAAATCACTTATCATGCCAAGAACCAGGAATATCTCAAAATGAATGAAAAAAAATCAACAGATGCCAACACCGAGATGAAAGAGATGTGAGCAATATCTGACAAAGATTTTAAAGCACAATAAAAATGCCTCAATGAGCACTTATAAACAGGTTATAAACATGCTTGAAACATGAAAAATAGAAAGCCTCAGCTAAGAAATAGAAAGTCTTGGCAAAACACATCTCATTGGCCAGAATTGGGTTAGTTCTGGTCAATGAGATGTGTTCTGCTAAGACGATTACTAACTCCAGGGGGTTAGTTCTCCCTTGGAGTTAGTAACCATCCGTGGCTACAAAGGAGTCTGAGAAAATGCCTTAGCTTCCTAGCTTCTTGAGTAGAGGAAAATGAGGCAAAACAAGGTTTGGGGATAATAAATCCATGCTGTCTTCCACAAACCTACTTGCAAAATATTTTTACAACCTGCTGTTTTATTTTAAATCAACAAACTAAAGTTAGCTTTTCTGTGTATCTTCTTCTCCGGTTCTTCTGGTGTTTGTTGTGTAAACTTGTGTATTTGGCCCCAGTCCTTTGTGGAAAATAATAAGAAAATGAATCATTACCTCGCAGTTGGGTGATGATTAATGATTATTGATCAATGGTCTCTGTGAGAAAATACTATAAAGACTGGAATCCTTTCACTTTCACATTGATATTTTAATGACTGATTTTAAACAAGCTATTAAAAGGTTAATATTTCAGAGGAAATATACAGATGTTTTTTGAAACTGTCATACCAAAGGCTGTGTGTTTGCTATGACAGCAGAGGCCATAACAAACCTTTTTTCTAAAGTGGCTATGTAACACATCCACTCAAACAAATTAATGTTCCCCCGACTGTCTCCTATTGCCAGAATGACATCACAAGTCAATTTGGATGGAGAGGCACTTTACCACTTTATAACAGATGAGCACAGGCACCTCATTAAAAAAATAAAAAGTGGGTCTGCATCACTAATATTTACCAAAGGGGTAGGGGATGAACGGAGAGTGGAAAAATACCTGGATATTTCTAAGAACAGAAGAAGCCCCCATGATTCCAAACTGAAGCCCTTGTTTCATGGTGTGGGGCTCAGAACAAGAAAGCTGCTAATTTTTTTTTTTTAGAAATTAATAAGAATAAAAAATGTAGTGAAAATATTTTGCTGATTACATATCTTATGAGGTTGTGTGTTAATGCACCTTCCAAAAGTTTAATTTGAGAAAAAATGTATTTATAATATATGGTGCTTCGAATACAAGTCGCAACAGAGTGAGGTGCTGTTGAGGGAGAGGTTAGTAATGATGGGAAATCAGGCAAGGGGTTTTGCCTGGAAAAAAATAAACTAGAAGAACAGGCAAGTGGAGAGAGACTTTTCTAGAAGGGGAAGTAACAGCCACTGGATAAGGGTGATTGTGCTCAGAATCACCCCCCACTGGCCTCTGAGGGCGTTTACCTTGCCAGATGGGTGAGAAAGGCCAGGGCTGTGAGAAAATGTGTCCTGCCCTTGGATGGTCTCCCTCAGGGCTAAGGAGAGCTGGAGGCCTGCTTCAGGTCTTCAGGTTATATCTCTTTGAGTGCAAGTTACAGAAACAGCCTCCAGCTACCAAAGCACTAAAAAGAATGGAGTTGCAAGGGCCTCATCTCAATAAATCAGCACCACACATCTTCCTTCAAGGTTTAAATGCCCGGGAGAGAGCACCTGATCAGTGTCCTGTGGGCCAGATGCCCACCAGCTGGCCAAGGACTTGATTAAGACTAGAAAAATTGTAGCAGTGACCATCGTCACTGCTCCGTCCAAAGATGGAGTCATTAATGCCCCATAGGCCAAAAAACCAAAGATGTCCAGTACGCTAGTACAAGTCTCAGAGGAGTAGGCTAATTATGAGAAGGTCAAATCAGAGAATTTGGAGTTTAAGATGAATTGGTCAAGTTATTTTCAGTCAATGGAGTTAAAAATGGAAATTAGAAGAAGCAGGCAATGAACACCACCAAGAAAGAGGAGAAAGTAGGTTGCCCATGGTCTTATTCTTAGCACATGTGCCAGGCACTGTGCCATGAATTTTATGGGCATTACCTCTTCCATCCTTACAACAACCCCGTCAAGGAAGTACTAATATTTATCCCTATTTTACAGATGAAGAAAGTAAGCTTCGAAGCTCTTAAGGGATTTTCTTAAAAATCTCATAATAAGGGCCAGGTGTGGTGGTTCACACCTGTGACCCCAGCACTTTGGGAAGCTGAGGCAGGAGGATTGCTTAAGCTCAGGAGTTCAAGACCAGCCTGGGCAACATGGTGAGACCCCCATCTCTATAAAAAAAAAATTTAAAAATTAGCCAGGCATGGTGGTGGCAGATGCCTGTAATCTCAGCCTCCCGGGAGGCTGAGGCAGGAGAATTGCTGGAACCTGGGAGTTGGAGGCTGCAGTGAGCCAAGATAACACCACTGCACTCCAGCCTGGGTGACAAAGTGAGGCTCCATCTCAAAAAAAAAAATTAGCCAGGCATGGTGGCATGCATCTGTGGTCCCACTACTCAGGAGGCTGAGGCAGAAGGATGGCTTCAGCCCAGGAGGTCAAGGCTGCAGTAAACCATGACCACATCACCGCACTCCAGCCTGAACAACAGAGCAAGACCCTATCTTAAAAAAAAAAAAAAAAATCACACAACAAGTAAAGAGATGAGGGAAGAAGCTGGGGGTCCGCGAGAGCTGACCCTCTTGTTAAGAGTCGCAGAGTTAACAAGTAACAAAGCAAATGCACAGACCCATGTAACTCCATCCCGCTCCCTTCCTTGGCTGTCTCTCACACGCCCAGCCCCGCCACTGGAGTTCTGTGTAAGATCTTTTTCTTGGAATACAGAATTGGCTCTGTTGCTAAATATACAACAAACAAACAAATATTTGTAAAACCTCTGATAGGTTTTAGACACTTCTAGATTCCAGCCCCTAAATGGATGGCAGGCATCATATAGGGATTCTATAATGTATTGCTGAAATGTATGGGCAGAAGCATTCTTTGACAAGAACTGCAGTAACAGAAAATGACTTTAGCAAGTATTTTATGCTACAGTGGCAGGGGGATGGAATCTGTATTTGGTTAAATGTCCATGTTAATTCCTTACAATTTGCCTGTTGCTACAGTATATGACTCACTGAGCATATTTTCGTTTTCAATCCTAAGCATAGTAACGTATTATATAGTTTAAAGTTGAAGTTTTTAAAGACAGAGTCAAAATTAAAACCATTTTCATAAAAGGCAGAAAATTATTACATGTCATCTTGATGCTTTAAACTATATATTTAATGTTTTATTTTTTATATCAATTATTGGTATGAAATGTTATCTATTTGGCACTTTTTTTCAACTCAATGCACTCAAACTATATTCTTTAGTACTCATATTAATTGGAAATATCCCACTATATCTGATTTTGTGTGCAGGAACTGTGCTCTTGTAACAATGACAGTATTCAATTTTTAAGTCTTTTCTATATTATTGTATAGGGTATAATTTGTGCCCAAAAGCTTTTGTTAGTATTTCTACAAACTGTGATTCTTTTATGTGGGTTTCATTACACCATTGATCTCCAAAAACTGAAATGCATGCCCATGTCTCCCCTGCCTTTACTAAACAGTTCAGCTTTCAAAATTCCTGTTTCTGAGTCCACTGCAACCAAAGGATTCCTGCCTCTGGCTGTGACACCAAGGAGCTCACATAAAGCCTTTGGAGGGAAAAGGATGCGGAACAATGGGTCTGTGACTCCTGCATTTTATTTCTGGAGTTTCTCTGATCATTTCTAAATGTGAGATGCAGTAGAAGAATCATAACTGAGGGTTGGAAATTCAGGTCTCCATGGCTAAACTCCCTGGGTCACAGTCTCTTCCTCTGTGAAATAGAAATAGCGAGTCTCGCCTCTCAGCTCTTTGGATCTCTGTTCTAGCAGAAGATCTACAATCTTTTGTGACTTTTTAAAAAAGAATGTGAGTTGTGAGGGGAACTAAAATGAAGTTGTGATACTACATGTTTAGCAAAACTATTAAAGAACATTTGCATGATGCTTCACAGGTGACAAAGCCAGGTCACATGCATGTTCGTATTTGAAGGATTCAATACTCCTGTCTGGCAGAGAGGAGAGGTAGCTAAGAACGTGGGTTATGCCCTGCCTCCACTGTCAATAGCATTTTGACTTTGAGCAGCTTACATAACTGCTTTGCACCTCAATTTTCACATCTCTAAAATGAAGATTGTAATAATGCAAACACCTTGTTGGGAGGATAAATTGAGTAAAGACACATACGCATAAAAAATGTCAAACAGCACACGGTGTTTGCTCAGTGTTTATATGGAAGCCAGCTGTCATCACTATCATCGTGACCATCATTATTATTATGCCGACTGTGCTTATAGGGAGTCTAAGGTTCTGAATGGTAGATACTGTGGATTGCCTCATGCAATTCCCATCCCAGCCTACTTCCAGTATGCCTCCCTGAAGTCACAGTCTGCAAAGCTAAAAACACTTCCCAGAATCCATTAGAATAGAGCCCTAAATGATTTCTGTTCCACCATTCAGATAAATTCAGGCAAGGCTCAAGGCGTTTACTTTAATAGAGGGGAGTCCAGCAGAGGAGTGTGATTCCGGAGCTGGCATGACCATATACAGGCAGAAGTTCCTTAGATGACTCAGTCCAGTGGCATGGCTTTTGGGGGTGCTCTCAGAAGCACAAGCTAAAGTTTGTTTCTTTTACACTCCCTATGATATTATGAGCTATGTATGTCTCTTAATCTATCTCATTTTCTTAGACCAGGTAGAGAGGATTCTGTTTGTCTGCTACTAAGAAGGCTGGTCATTCTGGGAGGTAAAACCACTTTAATTAAATCATAGGCATCAACTGTAAAGGATCAAACCAGGTTGATGACTCTTACGTTAGTGCTCATTTTACTACTTTAGCCAACTTTAATCCAAATTAATTCATTAAGTCTGAGACATGATTACATTCTTCCTCTAATCCAGGAACTGTGCTAGGTACTAGGAACGTCGCTGAGTTAATATGCAGCTAAGTTACTTGCCCTCAAAGAGCTTTTAATCAATAGAAGGGACAAAACTAAAGCAAATAATAAATATAATATGTACAGTAGGAACATAGAGAAAGTAAATATATCAGGAATTAGTAGGGTGGAATTCTCAGGTGAGGGGGACAGAAAGGATAGATGGGGAGGAAGTAATTATGGCCAAAGGGAACAGCCCGCACGCACAGAGGCTCAGAGGGCATAACCGTTCATGGCAAGGTTGTTTTAATATTCAAATAAAAATCAACATGATTTTATTTCAAGATTGGGTGCCTTTAAAATTGTACATCACAACTGTTTCAACCACCTTGGCTCCATTTATTACAGCACATTCAAGCAATCAACATAGAAGCCATAGGCTACTAATTAGTCAAATAAATGCACATGGCTATAAAGCTTTTTGGATTATTTAATCACATTAGCATAAGCTGTCGTTCTCTTTAGAGGAACACCAGAAGCCATTGTGAGTTATAATTGTAAAGATACTATATTCAATCCACAGGTATTCCCTTTTTTTTTTTTTTTTTTTTTTTGAGATGGAGTCTTGCTTTGTCACCCAGGCTGGAGTGCAAAGGTGCGGTTTCAGCTCACTCCAACCTCTGCCTCCCAGGTTCAAGAGAGTCTCTTGCCTCAGCCTCCCGAGTAGCTGGGACTACAGGTGCATGCCACCACACCCAGCTAATTTTTGTATTTTTAGCAGAGATGGCGTTTCACTATGTTGGCTAGGCTGGTCTCGACCTCCTGACCTCGTGATCCGCCCACCTTGGCCTCCCAAGTCCACAGGTATTCTTGAGTACTTGCAATGTGCCATGTGTTGCTCTAGACTAGGAATGCAACAAAATCCTTGCCCTGGAGAAAATGACATTAGCTTTTTGTTTTATTTTTCTTAAAAGATTCATGGCCAGGCATGGTGGCTCACGCCTGTAATCCCAGCACTTTGGGAGGCCGAGGTAGGGGGATCACTTGAGGTCAGGAGATCAAAACCAGCCTGGCCACTTTGGTGAAACCCCATCTCTACTAATAAAAAAAAAAAAAAAGTAGCCATTCCTGGTGGCGCACACCTGTGATTCCAGCTGCTTGGGAGGCCGAGGAAGGAGAATCACCGAAACCCAGGAACTGGAGGTTGCACTGAGCCGAGATCATGCCACTGTACTCCAGCATGAGAAACAGAGTGAGACTCAGTCTCAAAAAAAAAAAAAAAAAAAATTCACTGACCACTAGTAGGAAGAAGAAAATGTTATAACTTCTCCTCCCCATGCCTTTGCAGAACTTTGGACACATATTATTCTAAATAACCCTTATTTCATTCCTGACCCTGAGGTCAACATTCCAACTGCTAACAGGCTTTCCGTGCTTCCTTCTCTACTCTCTTCCTTGCCTAGCCCTAACACTTAAGCATCTCTCAAAACTTTCTTTTGATTGGTTCCTCTCCCCTACTTTCTTATACTGATTTCTTGCTTAAGATCTCAAGAAAAGTCTGTAGCATGTTGTGATGAAATTAAAAAAGAAATGGGAGTCAGGAATTCTAGGTTTCTACAGCTGTGAGACAGTTATATCCCTATTCTGGGACCCCAAGACTCTAATCGGAAAATGAACTCACTGAGATAGATGACCTCCCAAATTCCTTCCAGTACTGACAATTTGAGTGCTTGTGCCTCTGTGGACCAGGGGAGCTTCTTTCAGATGCAGTTATAATTGTGTTTGCAGAGTATAATTGAGATGGAACATGAGCCATAAAACATTTGTTGTTTAAATTTGTTTACAACCAGAGGAAACTGAACTAAGGATAGAGCTTCTCCACTTCTGATCTAAGGAATTCAGGGGGAAAAATCAGACCAATGCTGGAAATTCCCACTATAGAAGCATCTGGAGATCAACTGGATGGAATAAATTGTATGCACAACCCCTATAGAATAAATAACTAAAAAATTGATTGCTATTCCTAGTGAAACATAAACGTAATTTTATAATTTGGCCAGCTGGTTTTTAACAGGCTTCCGTCATCATCTTGATATAGAATATTTTTTTCAAATCTAAAGCAGAATAACACAAGCTGAAATTAAATTACAATGCAGCCTGGACATCATGACTTCCAGGGACTGATGAGGGCAGAGAAGTAGTCAGAAAACCTGGTTCTGCATCTGGTTCTGCATCCTTACTTGTTGTATAATTCTAAGTAAGCCACTCAAAACTCTGAATTCATGCCAACCCTAGTCACAGGGCTGTTGTGAAGTTCAGTAGAGACCACAAAAGTGAGATAGAATTTTGCAGGCTGTAAAACACTGTACCTCTTTGGGGAATTCTTATTGTCTAAGAATCCAGAACATTCCTGTTTTATCTTGTGCTTAAGAGGGACTTCAATGCATGGGTCTTCTGTTGTTCCAGATATTGAGCTAAGGGCTTAAAATACATTTTGATTCTCAAACAGTCCTCCTATCCCCATTTTATAGATGAGGAAACTGAGATTCAGAAAGATGAAGTAACTTGTCTAGGTTCACCCAGCTAGTTAGTAAAAGCAGAGTCAAGACTCAAACTCAGATCCGACTGGCTAGCACAAGTAGAAGTTTGTCTTGTTTACGAATGCATATCCTTTTCAAGGTAGAGTCTCTTTTTCAGAATAAGACTTGAGGATTCGTTATTGGATTTCCAAGTGATAAAGGAGGCAAGAGCTATTATTTGTCTATGAATGGTCCAACTCTGTCATTTTCCCAGGCTGCACGTTTCCAGGATCTTCTCAATTCCTATAGAAAAGCACTGTGACTTCCTCCCAGGTCTCACAGGTGCTGGCCTTTCCAGATATCACACGGAGATTGCAGTATCGTGGCCCCTTAGGAGTACCCTACACATTTCCATGACTGGTCAGCCATATTGGTCTGAAGATATTCAGCTCCCTGGGTTATCACCATATTAGATATTTCCCATGGGCATAGATTTAGAAGAGAAAGCCTCTTGGTAAGTGAAAGGGGGCCAGAACATGCCATGCCAAAATCTGACACTTTGGCATATTGATTATTTTGAGATGAAGGCACTTGAGAAACAGCAGATGCAGGAAAGGCTCCCTGACCTCCCCCTTTCTACCTAAAAGTAGTTCATAAAATTTCCCATGAGAAAGGTGTCCTCCCTGTACCAGGAAGAGAAGGATATTCTTATCACCAGAGACTGGGAGTCAATGGACCTGTACAAACAAACCTACTAAAATAACCCTTATCTCCCATTAGTTTCCCCCATATATTTCCTAGTCACTGTCCCACAGTTTACTGCCCTGAGTCCCAGCCCCTTTGTCTTGTCAGATCCTGCAATTTATCGTTCTTTGTGTAAAAAGGCATATGAGCTTTTGGGCTTCGTGGCTTCTTCGGGTCTTTATTTCCCTTTTGAAGACTCCTGTGTACACATAAAAATATCGCATAAAATGTGTATGCCTTTTCCCTGTTAATCGGTCTTATGTCCATTTAATTCTTAAGCCCAGACACAGAACCTAGGAAGACAGAAGGAAGTTTTCATTCCCCTAGATAAGCATATGGAGAGGGTTAAGAGTATTCCAGCTGAATGACGAGATGCTAAGGAAAGCTGGGGCCCACATGGGCCAGCTTCCCCAGGCTGCCATCACACATCCCGGGGAGGATGCAAGCTACACCTCGTACCAGCCTCTGCCCTGGAGGCATTTACACTCAAGTAGTAGAGATAAGACAGATGTGCAATTGCTCTTTAATGAATGCAGCAGATTTCTGGGCCTGTAATGCATCTCATTTCTATATAAGTGAAGCCTTGCTATTAAAGGTGTGGCAAAGAAACAGAACGAAAGAAGCATTTTTTAAATAAACTGATAAACAACTACTTGTCTAGTCAGGAAATTCGTCTGACATTCATATTTATGCATGGCTTAAAATCCATGGCAAGGATTGACAGCTGTTTGAAGAATTCAGAATGGTGAATGTCCAACACCACTTCCCATTTGTACCACAAAAAATAGGAGACTGTAGCCACAGGGAAATACATCATTTACAACATCCATTATTGTTCTCTTTCTCAGAATGCTAGGAGTCTTTATAAGAAAGAGGAGAAAGGAAAAGAAAAATATAAGAAATCCTGTTTCTAGAATCACAGCATCATTCTCTATTGGAATGTTTGTAAGTGATATTATAAAATGCCTTGTGGCAACTTTTCACTTGGCAAATGAGAAAACTGAGGCTCAGGGAGAAGAGATGGCTTCCAAAAATTCCACAGCTAAACAGCCAGGGCTAGAGCATCCGGCCTGTTTGAATTCACTTGGCTTATAAATTAGTTTCTGTCGATCTGAAGAGAGGAACACTGATGAAGTAAAAAGAAGGAAGGAAGAAGGAGGGAAGAAGGAAGGAAGGAAGGCAGGAAAGCAGGAAGGCAGGAAGGAAGGGAGAGAGGGAGGGAGGGAGGGAGGCTACCCTCTTCTAGAGAATTCTCCAGGTAGCCAGGACCACAAAATTCTCTGCCCAACTGTCCTTGAGCTCACACACCACCAGTGTGTGAATCACCATGCCCAAGAGGAGACCAAAGTGGGGATGTGACCAGCGTGGGCTTAGCTAGGAAGCAGAGGCTGGGAGGTCCAAACATAGACATGAAATAGGACAAACCCAGAGATATGGGGAGAGCAGGGTTGGCCACTCATCAGAGTCTGGGAAACAAATCTTCTTGACAGCCATGTACTGATGCCAAAATCCAGAAAGTCCAGATTTTAGTTCAAATCTAAATTCTAACTTAGTTTTTCAGGTCATCATGAATGAGGGCATATTTCTCATGGTAAAAATATAGGACATATTGATTTAATAATGTGTTAGCTTGACTGCTAATGTTTAAATGTTAGGACATCTCGTAAGTGGGCCTCCATTTGTACTCTTACCTTGGACCCAATAGATGAAGCTTCAAGTTGTCTTCTGCCTCAAAATGCTTTCCTTGCTGTGAAGAAAGCATTGACTTTATGCTAGTTCTGGTGTTTTACTACCAAACCTGAAACCAGCCACAGTGGAGAGGAGGGGACCTGGTTGTTTCTTCTTATTCTTGGTGTCATCTCTCATGAGGAGAAAGCTCTGTTACTCTAATACTCCTAGGCTGTCTATCCTTTCACTCGATCCTGCCCAGGAGAGATGGAGTGAGTTCTCCAATATACTTCTTCCCCTTTGCTATTGGGATGAAGTTTCTTAAGAGGAACAGGAATCCTCCTCTTTCTTCCATGCATACATCTGTTACCTGTGACTGGATAGGTAATTCTGTTCAATAAACTACAGGCTAATATCTAAAAAATATAAATACAAAAATTTAAACAAATTGAATTCAGATATCAAAGTATATTGTATAGCCACAGTAAGATTTATTCTAGAAATGAAAGGATGGTTTGTGAAATGTATCAGTTATATTAGTAGGTCAAAGGAGAAAAATCACATGATTAACTTGATAGATGTTCATTTGATAAAAATCAAGATGAATAATTGATGAAGCTCTTTGTAAACTAGAGATAGAATGATACATCCATAACATGACACAGAAAATATTAAACCAACTATACCCAAAACATAAAACACTAAACAAGGCTTCCCAAGATATTTTCAGCTAAGCAAGAGCTCTGTGAATGTGCTGTCCACTACCTTCCCTCTCCCCATCTTACCTTTCTTCCCCAGATTTGGGGAAGATGTTTGGAATCCATGATGAAAAGAATTTAGAATGCCAGCCGTGGTGGCTCACACCTGTAATCCAAGCACTTTGGGAGGCTGAGGCAGGTGGATCACCTGAGGTCAGGAGTTCAAGACCAGCCTGGCCAACGTGCTGAAACCCTGTCTCTACTAAAAATACAAAAAAACTAGCCTGGCGTGGTGGCGCACGCCAGCAATCCCAGCTACTCGGGAGGCTGAGGCAGGAGAATCACTTGAACCCAGGAGGCAGAGATTGCAGTAAGCCAAGATGGCGCCATTGCACTCCAGCCTGGGCGACAAGAGCAAAACTCTATCTAAGGAAAGGAAAGGAAAGGAAAGGAGAGGAGAGGAGAGGAGAGGGAATTTAGAAAAAAAATGCATACTACATCCTTATTTTTTTAGTAAAATAACCCATTCGGAATGATGAAATGCAGTATAAAAAGTTTTGAAAATGACTACAGTGAATAAAATTTAAATCTTTAACCATAAACACTTTGACCATGGAAGCTTTTATCATTAATGTCCCCAGGAATGGACTACTATAGAGCACATTTTGTAAACTAATGTGTAGCATGTCATAGGGTCAAAAAGAAAGCAACCAAGCACATTATCCTACGATTTTTTTTTTTTTTTTTGAGACAGTCTCACTCTGTCTCCCAGGCTGGAGTGCAGTGGTACAATCACAGCTCACTGCAACATCCACCTCCCGGGTTCAAGGGATTCTTGTGCCTCAGCCTCCCAAGTAGCTGGGATTAATAGGCATGTGCCACCATGCCCAGCTAATTTTTGTATTTTTAGTACAGATAGGGTTTCGCCATGTTGGCCAGGTTGGTCTTGTACTCCTGGCCTCAAGAGAGCCACCTGCCTTGGGCTGCCCAAAGTGCTGGGATTATAGGTGTGAGCCACCAAGCCCAGATAATCCTACTATTATTTATACATTTCTAAATGAAACAAGAAAGAATAATAGAAATAAGTACTGAACATTAAGAAACAAATTATTGCTATTTGGAGATGATGTAATTGTCTATCTGGAAAACCAGGGAAGTCAGCTAGAAAAACTAACACAACTAATTACAATTAATGAGACAGTTCAGTAATACAGCCAGTCACAGAACAATATACAATAATATATAGCACTCCTGTAAGCCAGAAACAATCAGTAGTAGCATAAAAAATTTTAAATCATTACAGCAACAAAAATATGTTAATATCTAAGAATAGCCAAAACAAAAATAAACCATATACATAAAAAGAAAAACTATAGACCTTTACTGAAAAAAAACACAGAACAAGAGTTGAAAAAATTAGAAGACACAGCAGATTCCTCTTTTTGGAGAATCAAAACAAAAACATCAGCTAAGCTCAAATTATCTAATGGATTTAAAATGATCTCAATACAAATTTCTAAAGGATTTTTAAAAATGTGTCTAAAAGTATTTCAACATTTATCTTGAATAATAAATAAGACCAAATGTGTTTTATTAATTAAATAAAAGAGGTACCCTGCTAGATATTAAAATCTAATATAACTGTAATAATTAAAACATTGTGATCTGGTATTGGGTTAAACAAAAAACAAAGACCAGAAATAGAGCAGTAAACACTAAAACCAACCCAATTATAATTAAGAATTTAGTACAATCTCCAACATTTTTTAAGGCCAAAAAAAAGAATTCAGCAGTAAACAACAAAAAAGAATATATTCAATATAGTTTTGGGGCAATTGAATAATCGAAAATAAGAAATGTAAATCCTTTCTCCCCACACCTTTAAAATAAATTTTAGACAAATACAATATTTTAATTTAGAAATTAAAATATTTTTATATAAACTTCAAGTAAAAATGATTTTAAAGCAGGATACCAAAAGTAGAAATAATAAAGGAAACGATAAGTGGAAGTAGATTTAAAATTCAATGTATACCTTATCAGACATCTATTAAACATCTACTGTGTATCAGGCATTGTATAAGACCCTGGCCTCACCACGTTTGTACTCTAGTATACTTACTCTGGTAGACTATATTTTTGGCTGCTTTATATCTGGATATAGCCATGTGACTGAGTTTGGGCAATAAAATATGGAAGGAAGAGATGCAAGCTACTTCCAGGACTGGCTCCACTTAAAAACAACAACAACACAAACTTCCTCTCTCTTCCCTGTTTGCGGTAACCTTGGTGGCCACATACTGGTGGTGGTATCACATTGGTGGAAGAAGCCTTAACCTAGAGAAGCACCATATGGAAAAGGACCAGCTGGGAGAGCCTCCTAACCATGAAAATAGCGATGGAACTTTGCATGAGCAAAGAAGACGTATTTATGACATTAAGCCTTTGAGATTTGAGGCCGTTTATTACAGCACTTTGCTTTTCCTGACTAGTACAAAAATCATTACTGAAAATGGGATTGGCTTAGGAGGGAGTAGTGGTAGCAGTGAGGAAACATAACAGGCTGGAGGCTGGATATCATGTTATTCAGAAGCAAAACATTTGGAAAACCTGACATCTGAAGTGACTTAATAGGTAGTCCATGTGTCTACGGACCCTAGAGGAGAGAGAAAAGGTTAGAAAACAAAACACTAGATGTGGATGCTGGTTGTTATTTGCTGAATTTGGCAAGGTATTATGAGAAAGAGCTGCACTGAGGAAAGAAGTGGCTGGCTTATATACAAAAATAAAAGAGAACAGAAAGATTTCAGATATTTGCAGCAATGAGGAGTGAAAAAGCCAACTGCTTCTAGACCCCAAATAGGACAAGTCAGAATTTTTAACGGCTTTGAGTCACAAAACCCAGTAAAACTTCACAGAGGAATCAAGAGACTCCAGGCTATGTTTATAGTAAGGATGTATCCTTCTTGATATGGGTTGGCTGTGTCCCCACCCAAATCTCATCTTGAATTCCCACATGATGTGGGAGGGTCCCACTGAGAGGTAATTGAATTATGAGGGCAGGTCTTTCTTGCAATGTTCTCACGATAGTGAATGAGTTGCATGAGACATGATGGTTTCATAAGGGGGAAACTCATTTGGCTTGGCTCTCCTTCTCTCTTTGCCTGCTGCCATTCGTGTAAGATGTCACTTGCTCCTCCTTGCCTTCCACCATGATTGAAAGGCTTCCCCAGCCAAGTGGAACTGTAAGTCCAATTAAACCTCTTTCTTTTGTAAGTTGCCCAGTCTCAGGTATGTCTTTATCAGCAGCGTGAAAATGATTTGTACACTTCTCAAAGGTTGTTCTAGATACATTCAGGTAGATGCCTTTATTAATAGTGTGGTTTAAAGTGGGGAAGCAAAGAAACTGATAAAGAAATGAGGGGAGGGAGTGGTTGCTTAGCACATAGTACTGAATGAAACCAAAGAAATCAGAAGTCTTCCAAGTTTTAAAGGGAATTATGAATTGCTAAAGAAGCTAACATTAAGCAAAAAAACTGTTCAAGATATAGAACTTTGGCTTCAAGTTGCAGGAGTAAGAAGAGAGCAGAAGCCAGATGCAGTGGTTCACATCTGTAATCCCAGCATTTTGAGAGGCTGAGGTGGGTGGATCACCTGAGGTCAGGAGTTCAAGACCAGCCTGGCCAACATAGTGAAACCTCATCTCTACTAAAAATTACAAAAATTAGCTGGGCATGGTGGTAGGTTTCTGTAATCTCAGCTACTCGGGAGGCTGAGGCAGGAGAATTGCTGGAACCCAGGAGGCGGAGGTTGCAGTGAGCCAAGATCGTGCCACTGCACTCCAGCCTGGGTGACAAGAATGAAACTCCTTTTCAAAAAAAAAAAAAAAGAGAGAGAGAGCAGAAAAAGCTGTGTAGCTCCCAAAGAGAACCATTGCCTCTATACCCACTTCTCATATGGTCAAGGAGGATAAGAGAAAAGGAAGTCTACCAGAGAGAGGACCAAGGACCACAGAGTGCAAGGCTAGAGTAGCCTTTTCCAACCAGGTTCCCTTCCAGGGGAGAATTAAGTCCAAAGCATATCTTGTAAGTAACCAAATTAACTTTTCTCCCTATCTGTCTAGGATGGTTCTAGCTATATACCAAGCTTGGGAGAATTGGAAATAGTCACTGGGATCATTTTCTGCTTTATTTTCTCATGGAACCCCCATTAATAAAGGATTCCAGAGAGTTTCTTCCAGAAAACCAAATCTGTTTCTAATTAGAAAATTCCTCCACTTCCAAGACAGGAGACTTCAGGATTTCAACCTTGACATGCACCAGGAACAGCTATGTGGAAAGTCAACACTTTTGAATTATACTGATGGCTTTGAAAATTAAGTCAACATTTTTTGGGATAATTCAAAAGGTCTTTCAAAATACGCATCTCTTTTAATCCTGCAGTTCCACTTTTAGGATTTCATCTCAACAAAATAAGTTTGTGTATTTGCAAAGAAATTCACTGAAATGTTAGTCATGGAGCAAGTTTCTTATGTGTAGATTTGGGTATGCAAGAAATATCAACATACTTTATAAGCTTAAATCAAACTAAATATAACAGCCTCCCCACACAATCCTACCAAGAAGGTGAGAAATCAGTCTTGGCCCTTTTTGAAACCTCCTCTCTCTTCCTGGGGTCTCTGGTGGGCACTGATGATTTCCTTGTCCAAGCTGGCATGGTCTCTTGGAGGCAATGCACCTTGCCTTCTCTGCCTTGCTTGGAGACAGGATTATTTGCCAACACCAAGAGGCTACTGCCCAAGGTCACCCCTCCGCAGCTGTTCCTGGTGAGGTCCTGCCACCCCCGGGGGCCCTGTCAGGCCCAGACTCACATCCTTCTACTCTCTCTGCTTCCTTTGATGACTCCAAAACTCCTCTTTCAGACAAAGCCCCTTTGTACTTGCTCTTTGCATGATCCCCTCAATAAACTGAGACTTACTCAAACAAAAGCCAGGAAGAATGTCTTCATGCCCCTGCAGCAAAGAAAGTGTTAAAAGGAGGGAAAGTCAAAATGGGGGAGAATGGAACTCAAAGACCTCTTTTCCTTTCATATCCTTCCACAGAGACAAAAATAAAATAGAAAATCATCTTTGTAAATTGTTCTGCACTTTTATGAGAGCGAAGCTATCAGCAATAAACTAAATTATTTGCAATGTAAGGGTTTTAAATTTATTACAAATTATCCAATGTAAGGCATACCATGCAGCTGTAGAGCATACAACTCTACATACACACACACACACACACACACACACACACACACAAAAGCATTTGCCAAGTGATGTGGAGGGGCAACACCCACCCTTTGCCCCTTATTGGAGACTTCTCTCTCTTCTTGGGGTCTCTGGTCCAAGGAATCCAAGAAGCTTACATTGAGGCCAATCTGATGGGCACTCATGGCTTCCTTTTCCAAGCCGGCATGGTCTTGGAAGCAATGAATCTTGCCTTCTTTGCCTTGCTTGGGGACAGGAATATTTGCCAACACTAAGAACCTACTCCCCAAGGTCAGCCCTCAGCAGCTATTCCCAGTGAGGTCAGGAACTAAACATAATGTAGACTATTTAATAACAGGAAAACAACAGAAAAAAGGTAGGAAAGGTAAGAAACAGATGACAAGAAGTATTTAAATATGTTGCCACTTTTATAAACCCAAAGTTTATAGAATAGAAGGGAAACTATAGTGTGCATATATACACATCTATAAGCCTATGCATGCATGTACAAGATATGCAAAGACACCCTGCATAGCACTACACCACATGGTGGAATTACATATTTTTTTCTTTTCACTTTCATCTACGTAATGAAATTTTATAATGACATATTTTACTTTCATGATCAGGTTTGTATACAGAACCCAGAACCCATTTCCCCCCGCTGCCACCCGCGCCCTGCCTCTGTCCTGCTTAGCTTAGGGCTCTGGCAGCTGCTAACTCAGACTTTGGAAAAGCAGAGCCCAAGTCATGTGAATTATAATTGAAAACATTCTTCAAGGGCTTTGAAAGCACTGTTGGTTGTTCATATTGTGCTGAGGATGGGCCTGAGTCTGGGCTTCACAGGGACCCAAGGGAAGGCAGGGAGGGAGCAAGGTTCCTGTCAGATCTAGAGGACCAGGGAAGGAAAGGAAGGGAAAAGACTGAGGAGCAGAGAGGAGGGGGAGGTGGGCAGCAGGATGAAGAAGGAGGGGCCAGGCACTTCCTGACTGTCTTTTTTAAAGAGGAAGCAAAATATTAGGTTGATGCAAAAGCAATTGCTGTTGCATCAACTTAATATATGGAAAAGGCACAGGCTTGGATCCTTGCCTGTTGAATGTAAATAATGCCTGATTCATGATGTGGTGCTGAGTATTTTACAAGAGTGTAATTTTGGAGTCTAGTATTTACCCTGCCCCAAAATTCATCTTACTGTGCATGAACCTGTGGTTACCAAAGTGGCATCAATGAATCCTTATGGCCAAACCAAATTAAAGGTTTCTGAAGTATGGTCTAAGAAAATGAATGCTACGAAGGAGCCCTGGGGCCAACATGGGCTTGCTGCTGACAAGCCCTGGGGCTTCGGGTAAGATTCAGCCTCCTGGCACCACTGTTCTTCCCTGAAATGAGAAGCCGAGGCCAGGCTGGCCCAGGGATTGTCAGGGCCAGCTGTAGGAACCCATGTTCCAAAACCTCCAGAGACCCCCACGGGACCTCGTGTGTGTGTGTGTGTGTGTGTGTGTGTGTGTGTGTGTGTGTGTGTGTCTACAGCTGAAATATGGTTTGCAAACTATGGCACTTGATGACTTTTGCATTCCCTTTCTCAACTGTCGTTTGGTGGTTTTTTAAATTGATATAGAAGCAAGGAGTGATTCAGTACCAACGCTGGAAGAACACCTAAAGCAAGACAGCAGCACAGCACAGGTTCCTGTCCCAGGTCAGCCTCAGCCGCTCCACTAATTATGTCTCCTTAGACAGATAATTTTAGGCGTTAAACATGGATTCATAAGAAGGAAGAGAGAAATAAACAAAGAGAAAGGGAGATTGAGAAGGACCGAGAAGAGAGCAGAAGGGAGGGAGAAGGGAGAGCGCCTGTGATCTTTGGCATTGACAGAACACGGGCTGGTGGTATTATGACTTCCACGGGCCCTGGGTGCTTTTAACTTCATGGGCTTCTTCCTCCATAAAGCAATATTAAATATTCTATTTTATAAGTGCACTGATATAAAGAAAAATATACTCCAGCTCTGATTATATTCATTTTCTTTCTGCTAATTTTAGAAGAAATTAAGGCATTTCCAGGGGCTCCTAAAAGTACAGAGAGCCCTGGGCATTGGGCCTGCTGTGCTTGGTGGGGAAGTCGGCCCTGAGTACCCCCTGTCTTGGCCCCTTATCCACCTTCAGCTCATTCTGGGATGGACTTGTCCCTATCCTGACCCCAAGCTTGAGGCAAATGTCTTAAAAGAGGGATCTAGTTTTAAAATGCCCAGAAGACAGAAAGTTCAACACAATGTTCTGTAGGAATTTCTGTGGATCTCTGGGAGAAAATGATCCTAAAAATGATAAATACATTCGAATTAACAAACTCTCTCCCTCCTCTTCCCCTCTAAATCCCTTCACAACTGTGAGGAAAAAAGTAGACAAATAAACAAATAACAGTTTGGAAGAAATTAACAGATCATTATGGTATGATTTTACTCGGTTTCTGCAAAGTGCAGTTGGCATTCTTTCTAGTGTAACAGGCAATTAAGTCCACAGTGGAGACAAGAGGCAGAGGCTCATTATAAAAATAAACCTGTGACCAGAGCACCAAAAGGGAAGAGGCAGGGCTGCATATCATCACAGTTGGGGCTTTTTTAAAATAACTTGAGCTCAGTCCAAGTGTTTAACACACAAAGTGAGCCAGAGGCCTCAGAAGGCCCCCATTTGAGGACAGGAGTTAACTATGGGAGATCAAAGTAAAAAGGAGAAATGCAGCAGGAGAAAGACAAAGAAAGAGAGGCAAAGGGGCTGTCGGGTTCCCTGCCATGCTGAATGTCAGGGTGAAATAGGGAACTCAGGCACCATATTTGCACAGTACCACCAAAGAAGAGAGTATGAACAATCTTTTGAAGACAGTTGGCACTGGGTGGGTGGGCAGCTTCCATGCTTGCATTTGGAAGGCAGAACACTGCCAAAGAGGTGAAGGGCATTGGCTTGGCAGGGCCCTTGGACAGGCAGGCTTTCAACATTATCACGAGGTTGCTGGGTGACCTGGGTTCACCTCTGCTCACTGAAACTCTGTTTCTTCGTCTGTAAAATGGGGATAATTCCGTTACCTGCCTCTCAGGGTTGTGAAGATTAAATGAGAGCACGCATATGCACTACCCGGTTTAGAATAGGAATTCACTAAGAGGTTGCCATCATTATCATCATTCATAATATTATTATCATCAGTATTTACAGACATAGCCAGCTCTAGCAGGGATACTATGGAGAAGTGGTATGGCAGAGACTTAACTTTTGGTGCTGAGGGCCCTCACTTACAAAGGCGTATTTAAGATTTGGGGGACTGGAGAATAGGACTGGGGAGGAGCCATTAAGATTTATTAATTGTGCTCTTGCTCTCTCTCTCTCTCTCTCACATACACACACACACACACACACACACACACACACACACACACTCTTAAACTACTTCACACAAGTTCCTCATTGCTTGTTGCAGTGAGGTCAGGAGATGAAGCCTCACGTATTAATAACATATTTCTGGATATCACCAGCAAGTGCCAGCTCTCTCTGTCCTCTAAACCTGTCAAACTCTAGCAGGATCCAACGCTTTCTGCACTGACAGCTTGCCACCCTCTGAATCCCACACCCTTCCCTCATTCCCTACAGTCTTCTAGCCACCTCTGAGCTCTCCAAGTGAGAGAGTCTATGACACCAAAGAGTAAACAAAGAAAACAAAGACCTGGCTCCGCTGAGGGGAGAGGCACAGGGCTGGGTAGGATAAGGGATGCTAGAAACAATTCCCAGGACCCCTGCTGACCCAGCCCAGGGCTGACCCAGCCCAGGGGCAGCCCATCCCCAAAAGGAAGCCCTGAAAAATAAGGTGCTGCTGGCCTCCCTCCTTCCTGACCTCCTTCTGTCCCAACTTTCTTTTTGTTGTTGTTGTTTTTTGTTTTTTGTTTGTTTGTTTTTTAGACAGAGTTTTGCTCTTTTGCCCAGGCCCAAGTGAAGTGGCATGATCTCGGCTCACAGAAACCTTCGCCCCTTGGGTTCCAGTGAGTCTCCTGCCTCAGTCTCCCAAGTAGCTGGGATTATAGGCACCCACCATCATGCCCAGCTAATTTTTGTATTTTTAGTAGAGACAGGGTTTCACCATGTTGGCCAGGCTGGTCTCGAACTCCACCCGCCTCGGCCTCCTAAAGTGGTAGGATTACAGGCGGGAGCCACCACGCCCAGCCTCTGTCCCAACTTTCACTGAGCCTCTGCCATCACATCAGACTTGTCTCCTAACTGCTGAGCTATGAGGGTTCATGAAAGTTTCTAACTGTATGTTTAACTTTTTCTGAGAAAAAAAAAAGAGCAAATTCTTATTTCCTTTTTCTAAAGTTAGCCAACTTTTTACTTTTCCCTTCATCACCTGTCCAGCTCTAGCCCTGAATCCTGCATTTCCACATGCTATTCATTGTGAGGCTCATGCTAAAATCAACAGCCAGAGCTGACTACATGCTTACTATGTGCTAGGCGACGTGCTATGCATTTTATATGCATTATCTTTATTATCTCATTTACATATGTTGGAAGCAAAGCTCAGAGAGGTTAAGTTACTTATGCGAAGCCACACGGAAGAAATTAAGCAGAACTCAAAGCTGTCTGACTCCAGCGTTCATGCTTGGAACACTAACTACCCTCTACTAGTTCATTAGAGGCAACTGGGTAAAAGTGGAACTAGGTGTGCCCGTGATAAAGCCTGTGATTAAGTAGTTAAAATGAGGATGGATTCCGGTAAGCCAAACGTACACATAAGGTTTACGGCACTACAGCCTCTGAGAACTAGACAAGTAACAGGCTAGAACTGACACCTGGTGAAGGTGGAAGAGGGTTGGCAGGCTTAACTCTGAGTTTAGCTTGATGAAGCAGGAACAGGATAAAGTCTTGAGTCTGAAAGTAAACAAATTCTCAGCTACATAAACTCTATGGCATTGAATAAAGGTCAGTGGGTTTGAATAAAACCCAAGATATGGATAAAACTTTGAGAATAATCAGAATAATCCAATAAACAGTTCTGGGGAGAGCATCTGAAGTGAGAAGTAGCCCGGATATACAGTAAGTCTGGGGTCCACATGAAGCCCAGAATGTGTCTGAAACCCAGAGACTGGTGAGAGTAAGTAAAACCTGAACACTAATGAAGTCTGGGGCTCGGGTGCTGGCTGAAGTGTATGCTCCACTAGGAATCTGCTCTTCTCTGTGAGGCACTGCTGAAGAGCATTCCTAAAGGACCATGGTCCCCACCAACCAGGAGCCTCCACTGTCCCTCTTTCCTTTCCTGTGGGTGGCACTGCCTTAGGCTAAATCCTCTTCTCTCCTAGAGGCACGAACAAACACTCAGTTCCTTTGACACTTTCCCAGAATGGGACAAGAGAACCCAGTCCATATGCTTGAGGCCACTCATCCTTCCACTTTCTCCCAAGATTCCCACCAGTCCCAAAGAAGTTTTTCTTTTATCTTCTTCTGGGACATAACTGGAAGGAGCCCTTGCCTCAGTGTCCCTGACTTTCAGCCTTTATATAGGAGGACAAAGCTGACCCCAGGTCTCCCAGCTCCATGAGCTTGCAGTTTCCTCCAGGGTCTTGACTCAAACCTCTAATGATGCAGCCTTCTGGAGGGAGGGCCTCCCTTTGCCCAGCATCTGAAAGTGATCAGACAGGGCTTCCCCTAGGTATCTCAGGACAGACAAGCAGCTCTCCTGGCCAGACTGGATTAATACAGTCCCTGAGTGGCTTCAGTCTTCTGGGCCCCACTGGAAGTCAGAGCCTGGGCTCTGGGCCCTGGCTCTGCCCCACAGGTCAGAATCTCACCCTCTGTCCTGTTTTCCATCTCCACCACCAGGGAGTTCCAGGAGATGAGCATGGCCCAAGCTGTTTCACAGACCGCCAGGGGCCCAGGGAGTTCCCAGGATCTCAGTGAGTTCTACTACTAACAGTTTTCTGTATTGGTTTTTACTGCCTGCAGTTTCATTCGAAGAAAGATCTCCACTGTGTTAAAGGGTTTGCGAACCACTGGGCCATATGGTCACTCAAATCCCTTCCAGCTGTGGCCTCCCATCATTCTATGACAAGTCCCTTCAATCAGTCATTCCCGGCACCAGATGTGGGGGGCCCTGCTGGAGCAGGCCAACTCATATTGATTTTCTTCTGGCCCCCAGCCAGGAACTGGCACGGCCTCTGCTCCATGGCACTCCAGGGACCAGCCCCAAGGGAGGCTCTGGTTAGCTCTCTGGCTGATGGACGACAGCTGGCCAAATGCTGGCAGCAATTTCACGGACCTAAAGACTCACTCTCTCCCCTCCTCCATCCAGTAAGATCCTAGTCCTGTCATTGGGCCATGAAGCTTCGGCCAGCTTCCTAATGGCCTTTGGAGCCTCAGGAAGGTTAAAGAAGACAGACACAGCCAGAGGCTGGGACGGCCAGAAATAGCCACTGTGCCCTTTGGAGGGAGAGGTGAGCCTGGGCCAGCAGGCAGCCTCATGAAGCAGGCACAGCTTCAGGAAACCCTGCCCTATGACCAGCTTCACTCTGCGTTGTCCAGCCAGTGTCAGGCTAGAAGCCTGGCTGAGGACAGGAACCCCTGCCAGTGGCCTCTTCCTTGTGTGGAAGCCAGGCCAACACTGAGAATCCCATTGAGCCTGCTCACCTGCTTGGCCTCAATCAGACCCGCATTTAGAATTTGAATCTTGGTTCTCCGACTTATTAGGTAGAAGAGCATGAAAAGTTGTTTTGCCTTTCTGAGCTTCAGTTCCCGCATCTATAAAATGGAGGTAATAACATCTATTTAGCTGGGTTGCTTGAGAAGCAAAACCTAATGCCTGCATATAGTACTGGTTTTTTTATTATTACAATTGTTTGATGAGATGTGTGCATTTTAGCCCATTTGGGCTGCTATAACAAACTCCCATAGACTGGGTGGCTTATTTCAGGGAAATTCAAGATTAAGATACTAGAAGATTTGGTGTCAGGTGAGAGGTCACTCTCTGCTTCATAGAAGGCATCTTTTTGCTGCGTCCTCACATAGATGAAGGGGCAAACAAGCTCCCCTGGGCCTCTTTTATAAGAGCCCTAATCTCATTCATGAAGGTGGAACCTTCCCAAAAGCCCCACCTGTTAACACCAGCATAGTGGGGAGTAGCTTTCAGCACATGAATTTTGGGAGATACTAACAGACCCCAGTAGTGTGCCTCTGATGCTCTTAAAACTGAAAAATCTCTTCCTAAGTGCATTCCTTGGAAGAATCTATAATATAAGCATTTATCACAGAGTTCAGATGACCTCCCCGCCAAGCCCGTCTCCAGTCCCACCTTTTCTACTTACAAGTTGAATGACCTTCACTGAGTCTCTAAAGTAAAGGGGCTCGACTAAGTCAGTAGTTCTCAAACATTAGCATGTGTCAGCTTCAAAACATCAATTTCTGGAGGTAGAGCCATTGGCAAATGATTAGGTCATGAGGGTGGAACCCTCATAAAGGAGGCCTAAGGGAACTCATTCATACCATCTGCCACGTGAGAACACAGCGAGAAGTGCCATCTATGAGCCAGAAAGTGAGTCCTCACCAGACACCAAATCTCCTAGCACTTTGATCTTGGACTTCCCAGCTTCCAGAACTGTAAGAAATAAATTTTTGTTGTATCTAAGCTGCCCAGTTTATGGTATTTTATTACAGTAGTCCAGACAGACGAAGTTTAGCATTTTGCAAGCTGGAGACTTAGGATGGGTGGTGATATGTTTCCAAGGCCTAGAAAGAAAGTCCCTGGTGTAGATTAGGTCTTCAGACCTGAGAACCAGGAGCTCTGAGAGCTGAAGAAGGTTAATGTCCTGCCTCAGTAGTCAGGCATGGAATAAATTCAACTTTTCTCTGCCTTTTTGTCCTATTCAGGCCCACAGCCAATTGAATTATATCTATTCACATAGAGGAGTCCCATCTGCTTTTTACTCAGTCCACCAATCCAAATGCTAATCTCTTCTGGAAACACCCTTGAGACACACCCAGGAATAATGTGCAATAAACTCTCTGGGCATCCCATAGACCAATCAAGTTGTCAGGTAAGATTAACCAACACTGTGACCTTGAGAAAAATGACTTATCCTCTCACCAGTTTTCTCATTTATAAAATGAGGTAATCACAATACCATACCTTATGTAATTTGATGTGGAAACTGGGGTTCACATCCTTAATCCCTCACAACAGAACATCCATTTTGTGCCCAGCCACAAGATGTGGATCATCACTAGCCAAAGCCAGTTACATTCCTCTTTTGTCAGAAACTGTTGCCGGGGTAGGGGGGTGAGTGTTGTGATATAAATTGGTTTCCATCCACAGTTCCTGGCTTTTAACTCCCATCACCCGAGATAGTTTTTTGTTATAATGTTGAATGTGTTCAGTCTCAGAAAATAGAATCTCCTGCCCTCCTTTCACCTTCCCCAAGGCAAAACTCTCATCTTTCCCCATCTTTCTGATTGTGAGTCTTAAGATCTTCCCCAGGGAGGTCCCCACTCCAAACCCTGGAGTAAGGAATGCTGACATCATGAAGCTTCCATAAAACCCAAAAGGTTTGGGTTCCTGGAGCTTCCGAATCCCATGGAGGTTCCAGGAGAATGGTGCATACAGGGAGGGCATGGGAGCTCCATGACACTTCCCCATAGCTCACCCTATGCATCTCTTCATCTGTAACCTTTGCAACATTCCTTATAATAATCCACTAGACATGTTTCCTTGAGTTCTGTGAGCCACTCCAGCAAATTAGTGGTACACAAATGACATGGTTTGGCTGTGTCCCCACCCAAATCTCATCTTGAATTGTAATCCAAATAATCTCCATGTGTCTTGGGAGGGACCTGGTGGGAGGTAATTGAATCATGGGAGCAGTTTCCCCCATGCTGTTCTTGTGATGTGAGTTCTCAGGAGATCTGATGGTTTTATAAGCATCTGGCATTTCCCCTGTTGGTACTCATTCTCTCTCCTGCTGCCTTGTGTAGAAGCGCCTTCCACCATGATTGTAAGTTTCCTGAGGCCTCCCCAGCCATGTGGAACTAAGAGTTAATTAAACCTCTTTTCTTTATAAATTACCCAGTCTTGGGTATGTCCTTATAGCAATGTGAGAACAGACTAATACCAAGGTAGTGGAGCACTGCCATAAAGACACCCAAAAATGTAGAAGTGACTTTGGAACTGTGTAACAGGCTGAGGTTGGAACAGTTTGGAGGGCTCAGAAGAAGGCAGAATGATATGGGAAAGTTTGGAACTTCCTAGAGACTTGTTGAACAGTTTTGACCAAAATGCTGATAGTGATATGAACAATGAAGTCCAGGCTGAGGTAGTCTCAGATGGAGATAAGGAACTTCTTGGGAAATGGAGCAAAGGTAACTCTTGCTATGCTTTAGCAAAGAGACTGGTGACATTTTGCCCCTGCCCTAAAGATCTGTGGAACTTTAAACTTGAGAGAGATGATTTAGGATTTCTGGCAGAAGAAATTTCTAAGCAGCAAAGTGTTCAGAGGAAGCAGAACATAAACGTTTGGGAAGTTTGGCTGGGCATGGTGGCTCATGCCTGTAATCCCAGGAGTTTGGGAGGCCAAGGCGGGTGGATCACCTGAGGTCAGGAGTTCAAGACCAGCCTGGCCAACATGGTGAAACCCCATCTCTACAAAAACACAAAAATTAGTCAGGCATGATGGTGCATGCCTATAACCCCAGCTACTTGGAAGGCTGAGGTGGGAGAATTGCTTAAACCCAAGAGGCAGAGGTTGCAGTGAACTGAGGTCATGCCATTGCACTCCAGCCTGGGTGACAGAGTGAGACTCCATCTCAAAAAAAAAAAAAAAATGTTTGGATAGTTTGCAGCCTAATGATGCAATAGAAAAGAAATACGCATTTTCTGGGGAGAAATTCAAGCCTGCTCCAGAAATTTGCATAAGTAACAAGGTGCCAAATGTTAATCACCAAGACAATAGGGAAAATGTCTCCAGGACATGTCAGAGACGTTCACAGCAGCCCCTCCCATCAGAGGACCAGAGGCCTAGAAGGGAAAAATGGTTTCTGGGCCCTGCATCTCAGTTGCTTTAGTCCCAGCCATGGCTAAAAGAAGCCAACCTATAGCTCAAGCTGTTGCTTCAGAGGGTACAAGCCCCAAGCCTTGGTAGCTTACATGTGGTGTTGGGCCTGCAGGTGCAAAGAAGTCAAGAATTGAGGTTTGGGAACCTCTGCCTAGATTTCAGAGGATGTATGGAAGTGCCTGGATGTCCAGGCAGAAGTTTTCTGCAGGGGTGGAGCCCTCATGGAGAACTTCAGCTAGGGCAGTGCAGAAGGGAAATGTGGGGTCAGAGCCCCTACACAGAGTCCCCAGTAGGGCACTGCCTAGCGGAGCTGAGAGAAGAGGGCCACCATCCTCCAGACCCCATAATGGTAGATCCACAGACAGCTTGCACTAGGCACCTGAAAAGGCTGCAGACACTCAATGCCAGCCCATGAAAGCAGCCAGGATGGGGGCTGTACCTTGCAAAGCCACAGAGGCAGAGCTGCCCAAGGCCGTGGGAGCCCACCTCTTGCATCAGCATGACCTGGATTTAAGACATGGAATCAAAGGAAGTCATTTTGGAACTTTAAGGTTTAATGACTGCCCTATTGCATTTTGGACTTGCATGGGGCCTGTACTCATTTGTTTTGGCCAATTTCTCCCATTGGAATGGGTGTATTTACCCAATGCCTATAGCCCTATTATGTCTAGGAAGTAACTGACTTACTTTCAATTTTACAGGCTCATAGGCAGAAGAGATTTGCCTTGTCTCAGATGAGACTTTGGACTTGGACTTTTGGGTTAATGCTGGAATGAATTAAGACTTTGGGGACTTATGGGGAGGCATGATTGCTTTTGAAATATGAGTACATGAGATTTAGGAGGGTCCAGGGGCAGAATATGATTAGGCTCTGTGTCCCCACCCAAATCTCATCTTGAATTGTAATCCCCATAATCCCCACGTGTCAAGGGTGGAACAGGTGGAGATAACTGAATTATGAGGACTGTTGCACCCATGCTGTTCTCATGATAGCGAGTGTGTTCTCATGAGCTCTGATGGTTTTATAAGAGGCTTCCCCCTTCACTTGGCACTCACTCTGTCCTGCCACCCTCTGAAGAAGGTAACTGCTTCTCCTTTGCCTTCTGCCATGATTGTAAATTTTCTGAGGCCTCCCCAGCCGTGCTGAACTGTGAGTCAATTAAACTTATTTCTTTTATAAATTACCCAGTCTGGGGCAGTTCTTTATAGCAGCATGAGAATGGACTAATACACAAAGAAAGGGTCTTGGGAACCCCAAGTTGAAGTTGATGGGTCAGAAGTTCTGGAGGCCTGGACTTGTGACTGGTGTCAGGTGGGCAGGGGACAGTCTTGGGGACTGAGCCCTCAAGCTCTGGGATCTGATGCTATGTCCAGGTAGATAGTGTTGGAATTGAATTGGAGGATACCCAGCTGGTGCCCGCTATTTGATGTGTGAAGGGAAAAACCCTGCACCTTTGGACACAGAAGTCCTCTTCTGTGTTGACAATTGTTGTGGTGGTGTGAGAGCAGAAAAAAAATATGGTTTGAGAGAGATTTTCCCTACACAAGTCCCTCCCCATTGTTTCAAGTCCCTTCCCATTGTTGCAAGTCCCTCCCCATGGTTGCAAGTCCCTCCCCATGGTTGCAAGTCCCTCTCTATTGTTTCAAGTCCCTCCACATTGTTGCAGGTCCCTCCCCATTTTTGCACTCCCTCCCCATTTTTTCAAGTCCTTCCTCATTGTTGCAAATCCCTCCCCCTCTTGCTGAAGTGACTTCCAGGGGGATTGAAAAGGTTGGTGCTTTTTTTTCCCCTTTATTTTCATCTTTTTCTACTTTGAGGAGCTAGACATTACAGACTAGGGCATTCAAAATCAGTTGCATAAACAGGAGAAGTTAGAAAATTACTGCACATGCCCAGGAAAAGGCATCAGCTCAGAAAAGACCTGAGAGGGTGTTACGTTTACACCTGAGGCTGATTCTTGGCACAGGGACAGCCTAAAACATTTTTAAGCAAAACAAAAGTAAAAAACAGCAAACCCTTGGGGAGGCAGAGAATCTGACTTCCAGAGTTACCACATTATTACATTCAAATTTTTCAACAACAACAAAATCACAAGGCATACAGAGAAACAGGAAAGTATGGCCTGCTAAAAGGAGAAAAACAAACCAACAGAAACTATGTCAACGAAGAAACAGATAACAGACCTGCTAGACAAAGACATTTAAACAACTGTCTTCAAGATGCTCAAAGAACTAAAAAAAAAAGTAGAAGTCCAAAAATGCTGTACAAACAAAACAGAACTATTAATAAAGAGATAGGAAATCCAAAAACAAATTATAGAACTATAAAGTACCATAATTGAAATAAAAAATTCACTAGAGGGAGTCAAAGACTGATCTGAGAAGGAAGAAGTAAAAATCGGTGAAATTGAAGATAGGACAACTGAAATTATTGAGTCTGAGAAAAAGAAAGAAAAAAGCATGAAGAAATGTGAACAGAGCCTAAAGGACCTGTAGAATGCAATAAAGCAGACCAACAAATGCATCATAGGAGTCCCAGGGAAAAAGAAAGAGGAAATGGGGCAGAGAGATTGTTCTCTCTATTGGAATAATGACTGAAAACCTCCCAGATTTAATGAAAGACATGCATATAAATATCCAAGAATCTCAACGAACTCCAAATAAGATGAACTCAAAAAGTCTGACACAAAGACACAGCATAATTAAACTGTCAAAAGTCAAAGGGATGATTTCTTCTCTCTCCTTTCTCTGTTTTGAAAGCAGAGAGAAGAAATGATCACATATGAGGGGTCCTCAGTAAGATTAACATCAGATCTTTCATCAGAAACTAGAAGGTAGTGGGCTGATATATTCAAAGCACACACACACACAACGCTGAGGGAGTTCATTACCACTAGACCTGCCCTGCAAGAAATGTTCAAGGAAGTCCTACAGGTTGAAACAAAAGAATACTCGTCAGTAACCTGAAGCCTTATGAAGAAATAAAGATCTCTGCAAAGGTAAATAACATGGGCAGTTAGAAAAGCTATTATTGTATAACAACAGTTTATAGCTCTACTTTTTGTTTTTAACATGATTTAAGGGACTAAAACATTTTTTAAAAAGTAATTATTAGTCTAAAAGCTAGTATTATTGTAACTTTGGTTTGTAACTCCACATTTGTTTTCTACATAATTTAAGAGATTAATGCAGAAAAACAATTATTAATTTATGTTTTTGGACACATAACATAAAGATGTAATTGTGTGACATTAATAAATGGAAAAGATGGGGTTGGAACTACAAAGAAGCAGATGTTTTGTCTGTTATTGAAGTTGGTATAAATTCAAATTAGAATGTTTTAATTTTAGGATATTAAATGTAATCCATGATAGCTACAAAGAACATAATTATAGAATATACACAAAAGGAAATTATAAGGAAATTAAAACATTTTACTACAAAAAGTCAACTAAGCACAAAAGGAGACATTAAAGCAAGAAATGAGGGACAGAAAAAGGTATCATGCATGTAGAAAACAAATAGCAAAATGACAGAAGTCCCTCCATATCAGTAATTACTTTAAATGTAAATGTATTAAACTCTCCAATCAAAAGACAGAGATTGCCAAAATAAATTTTTAAAACATAATCTAATTATATACTATTTACAAAAGATCCACTTTAAATAAAAAAACACAATAGTTTGAAAATGAAAGGATAGAAAATGATATTCCATGAAAATAATGACCAAAAGAGACCAGGGGTGGCTATACTAATGTCCAACAAAATAGACTTTAAATTTTAAAAAATTACAATAGGCAAAGAAGGACATTATACATTAACAAAAGTTTCAACACAACAGGACAATATAGTAACTATAAATAATTACACACCTAACAGACCATCAAGACATATGAAGCAAAAATTGACAGGATCAGTTGGGTGCAGTGGCTCATGCCAGCACTTTGGGGGGCCAAGGCAGCTGGATCACTTGAGGTCAGGAGTTTGAGACCAGCCTGGGCAACATGGTGAAACCCTGCCTCTACTAAAAATACAAAAATTAGCCAGGCATGGTGGTGCACCCCTGTGGTCCCAGCTACTCAGGAGTCTGAGACACAAGAATCACTTGAACCAGAAGGTGGAGGTTGCAGTGAGCCAAGATCATGCCACCACACTCTAGCGTGGGCTACAGAGCAAGACTCTGTCTAAAAAAATAAATAAATAAAAATGACAGGATTAAAAGGAGAAACAGACAATTTTACAATAATAATTGGACACTTCAACACCCCACTCTCAAAAATGGGTGGAACAACCTGACAGAAGATAAATAAGGAAATAGAGGACTTGGACAACACAATGAACAAACTGGATTTAACAGACATACACAAAAAATTCCACCCAACAACAACAGTATGTACATTCTTCTCAAATGCACATGGACATTCTCCAAGATAGACCATATGTTAGGCCACAAACTGAGTCTCAATAAAGCTAAAAATATATGTATTATACACAATATTTTATTATATCACAAGATAAAGTTAGAAATCAATAACAAAAGGAAAACTGGAAAATTCATAAATCTGTGGAAATTAATCAACATACCCTTAAGCAATCAATTGATCAAAAAAGAAATCACAAGAGAAACTAGAAGCAAAAAAAAATATGTAGGACAGATGTGGTGGCTCAGGCTTATAATCCTAGCACTTTGGGAGGCCAAGGCAGGAGGATCGCTTAAGCCCAGGAGCTCAAGACCAGCCTGGGCAACACAGAGAGACACTGTCACACAAAAAAAAAATTAAACTAAAAAAAAAAAATTATATATATAATTTCCATACGATTTGGCAATTCCACTTCTGGGTGTGTATCCAAAAGAATTGAAAGCAGAGTCCTTAAGAGTTATTTCTTTGATAGCAGTGTTATTTACAATAGAGAAAACATGGAAGAAACCCAACAAATGAACAGATAAGCAAAATATGGTATTTACATGCAGTGGAATATTTTTCGGTCTTAGGAAAAAAATTCTGACATGCTACAATATGAATGAACTTTGAGAACATGATGCTAAGTAAAATAAACCACTAACAAAAAAACAAATACTGTAGGATTCCACTTACATGAGGTACCCAGAAGAGTCAAATTCATAGAGACAGAAAGTAGAACGGTGGTTGCCAGGGGCAGAGAGGAGCAGGGAATGGGGTACTGTTTTTGAATGAGTATATAGTGTAAGTTTTGCAAAATGCAGAGTTTAAGACATGGATAGTGGTGATGGTTGCACAACAATGTGAATCTACTTAATTACACTGAATTGCATACTTTAAAATGGTTAAGATGGTCATTTTTTATGTTGTATGTGTTTACCACAATTTTTAAAAATTTCATTGGCTGTAAGCATTGCAGCTAGAGGACATTTCTCAGAGTCTGCCAAGGTCTGTTCTCTGTGGAATGTGTTGTTCAAGAGCTGTGGGGCTGTGCTACCTAGGTTTGATCCCAGCTCTGCAACTCACTAGCTGGGTGACCTTGGGTAATTTATTCAAATGCTCAGTGCCTTGGTTTTCCTATTTATAAATGAAGATAATAATAGTCCCTACCTAATAGAGTACTCGTAAGATAAAATGTTGAACTGTATATACAGACCTAATCAGAATTCCCAACCCATACTAGATCCTCAATCATTATTATTATCATCATTGCAGAAAAACAAGCATTTTAGAAGAAACCAGTCAGGCCCCAAAACTCATAATTCTACATTCTTCTTCTGTTTTCCACTGTTTTCATAGTCCTTTTAGTGGTCTCCCTTCCTCCAGTCTTGACTCCTTCCAATCTGATATTCACCTTTAGGCTAAGGAAAACTTTCATAATGGCAAATCTGATCATGCACCTTCTCTGTCTAAGACTGTTCAAGTGCTACTGCCATGATCTGGCCCCTGTCAGGTTCTTGAACCCTACCTCTTGCTGTTCTCCAAGACTTCACCCATGCTGCATTTGCACTGAACTGCTTGCGGTTCCCTGAGACTGCTTTTTTGCTTCTCACACCTCAGTGCTTTGTCCACACAGCTCCCCTCACGCCCCAGGGAAGTCCTTCCATGCTTGGTCTACCTGGCAAACACCACTGATCTTTGAAAGCACAGCTTTACGGTCACTTTTCCATGAAATGTTTTCTGGCTGCCTTGGCAGTTGATCACAGAAACTGTAATACTTGAGTGCATTACTTGTCTCGCTCTGGCAGGAGCTGATGCTTATTCCACTTCATGTGCCCAGTACTCAGCATGGGCCTGGCATATACTACATAAATAACACAGAATGAATGGACCTACTGTGCACCAACCAAGACAAGCAGACCTAAGTCATGGTGTCTGCTCTCAAGGAACCTAATATTGAATTAAGGTTAGAGAATAATCCCAATCAATAGTTCAGAAGGGATGCAGTTAAATGTCTCATGAGGGTGCAAAGAGAGTCTCACCTTCAAAATGATGGCATAATTTGGGGAGATTTTATAAACATTAAAACAGCGGCCAGTATGTATCAAGCACATTTATTATTTGTCAGGAACATGCTAATTATGTTAAAATTATTATGTAAATTAAATCTTTTTTTTTTTTTTTTTTTTTTTTGAGACAGAGTCTCACTCTGTCACCCAGGCCAGAGTGCAGTGGCGCGATCTTGGCTCACTGCAACCTCTGCCTCCTAGGTTCAAGCAATTCTCCCTGCCTCAGCCTCCTGAGTAGTGGCACCTGCCACTACACCCAGCTAATTTTTGTACTTTTTAGTAGAGATGGGGTTTTGCCACATTGGTCAGGCTGGTCTTGAACTCCTGACCTCAGGTCCGCCCCCTCAGCCTCCCAAAGTGCTGGAATTAAATCTTAATATATTAAAACATCAGTTTGAGCAGATAGAAATCAGACACTGACATTTTACATAATTGAACTTACATCAGGCAGTCCTTGGTTATTACATCCATTTTCTCTTCATGTGTATATGTGTTGATTTGTATTTATTAACCCTGTTATAGAAAGAATGCAAACAGAAAGAAAAGACTTAATGTAATCTTATATAATCTTGGATTCTACAGAGGAGCAATGGTTTTGAAAGCCAAACTTTAAAAAAATAAAACCAGAGGAAGGGTGACCTTACCTCCAAATACTTCTTGTTCACGTATCAGAGGCAATGCTGGCCAACTTGGAGGAGATAGTTGTACTGTAAACTGTGGATAGGGGGAACCCAGCTATGAAGTCAGGGAAGTTTCTGCCACGAGGAAAAGGGAAAGCCCATCCTTTCTGGCCCTCTGGAATGTGGGGAAAAGAGAGATGCAACAAGAGGTGAATCGAAGATTCCAGAGCACTCATCAGTTTCGCTTAGAGTGAAACCTAGAGGTAGAGGAGCAAAACCTTTATATGGCTATGGAAGAATTCAAAAATACTGTGTCCAGGTTTGCTTCCCTGGACACAGCTTGAGGAAAGCTGCAGATCTAGAGAAACTCCACATTCAGCCTGAAAACACATCTAAACTGTCATAGAAATAAGAAGGCAGCTCTGAGTGAAAGAGGTAGCAGATCTTTGATTTTTCCAACCGTGAAGGGGATCTGGAAGTTCCGTGTGTCCCAGAGGAGACCCCAGAGGGATTGGAAGGGCGTATAGATACATAGCTTTAGAGGTGGGTCAAAGGGACTGCAGAACATGGGCCTCAGGATCAAAGGAAAATGACCCAGACCACAGTTTTCAGCATTAGGTGCTAATGCAAGATCCCAAAGTACCACATGACTTAGTCACACCTAAGCGGACACTCTGCAAGGATCCAGGAACAGGGTAAGACCAGTCACCCAGCAGGGAAACCAGTAAGGACACAGAAGACACCATAAGATCCTATACTTGCACAGACTGAGATGGACCTCCTTTCTCCAGGGCCATCAGGTCTTAAAATCTCTTACTGTAGGCCCAAATCATCTGGGGACAAGCAAGGAAAGAGAAAGAAAATCTGAATGACTGAACATTTAATCAAAAGAGATTTATCTGGATGGGCATGGTGGCTCATGCCTGTAATCCCAGCACTTTGGGAGGCTGAGGAGGGTGGATCATTTGAGGTCAGGAGTTTGAGACCAGCCTGACCAACATGGTGAAACCATGTCTCTACTAAAAATACAAAAAAATTAACAGAGCGTAGTGGCACATGCCTGTAGGCCTGTAGACCTAGCTACTTGGGAGGCTGAGGCAGGAGAATCGCTTGAACCTGGGAGGCAGAGGTCGCAGTGAGCCGAGATCATGCCACTGCACTCCAGCCTGGGTGACGGAGCGAGACACTAGGAACCACAAAGACAAAGAACCTACATGCATAGATCTTGCATTCTGGTAGATAAGACACACACACATCATAAAAAAAAAAACAAAGAAAGTATGTCATATATCAGAGGGTGATGAGTACTAAGGAGGGGGTTGAGAAGTGCAGAAGGTTGCTATTTTATGTAGAATGGACAGGAAATCCTCAATGATAAGGTGGCATATGGGCAGAGATCCGAGAACGTGAGCAGGGAGCCACAAGGATGGCTGGGAGAAGAAAGTTATGGGTACAGGAAACAGCAGGTGCAATGTTCTTCTACTAAGAGTATGTTCTGGGTGTTCAGAGAAAATCAAGGAGGCCAATATATCTAGAACAGACAGACCAAGGGGAAGAGTTGTCAAAGAAAAGCAAGGGGCCAGATCATGTAGGTCATACGGGCTTCCATAAGAACTTTAGCTTTTGTTCTGAGAAAAATAAGAAACAAATGATGGATTTTGAACAGAAGAACGGCATGATCTGACTTATATCACAAAAGGATCACCTGTTGGCTAAGAAATAGTAATAGAGGCCGGGCGTGGGGGCTCATGCCTGCAATCCCAGCACTTTGGGAGGCTGAGGCGGGTGGATCACGAGGTCAGGAGATCGAGACCATCCTGGCTAATAAGGTGAAACCCCGTCTCTACTAAAAATACAAAAAATTAGCTGGGCGAGGTGGCGGGTGCCTGTAGTCCCAGCTACTCTGGAGGCTGAGGCAGGAGAATGGCGTGAACCCGGGAGGTGGAGCTTGCAGTGAGCGGAGATGGCGCCACTGCACTCCTACCTAGGCGACAGAGCAAGATTCTGTCTCAGAAAAAAAGAAAGAAAGAAACAGTAATAGAAGGAAAGAAATAAAAAGAAGCCAAAGAAAGACAGACACATAGTAAATTCATAATAAAGTGATATGATTACACATACGCATACATCAATAATCACAAACAATACAAATGGACTAAACTCTCTAGTTAGAAGACAAATACTGTCAATAAGGGTAAAAACATCAGCTGCATGTTGTTTATAAAACACGTTTTAAACATACAAACACAGAAAAATTTGAAAATAAAAGAAGAAACTGCTAACCAAAAGAAAATTGTCAAAATAGACTTTAAAACAGAACGCATCACTAAAGATAAATGAAGTCATAAGTGATTAAAGGTTCCCTTCATCAGTAAGATATAAGCATTCTGGTGGCCTCCATGCTTTGTAGATTAATGAAAACCTCTCTGGAGGAGAGCACATCCATGCTAAGCCTTAGGGAACTTCACAAACGATACTTCAAGGGAAATGGTGAACACGCAGTCGAAGATAACCAAAGATAAAGACCAAGATTATTGACGAAAACATTCAACTATCCACTTTTCATAGAAAACAGCTAAAACTAGGAAAATAGAAAGATTGAAACTAAAAAGATACCACTTACGAAGCAGCTAAAAATAAAAAGAATACAGAACATGAATAGAATCGAATATAGGAAGAAATCTAGCATAAGGTAGGTAAGGCTTGAGGGACAAATTGTAATACTTACTGAGAGGCACTTTAAAAGGGTAAGTGATTGGAGAAATGTACAATATTCCTGGATAGGAAGATTCAATATTGTACATATCGGTTCTTCCCAAACTATCTATAGATTCAGTGTAATTCAAAATTAAAATCCAAGAAGACATTTCATAACTGGACAGTTGATTCTAAAATTTATATGGAAAAGTTAAGGGCCAAAAAAGAGGCAAAACACTACTGACAAAAGACCAAGACAGAAGGCATATGTAAAGACATATGATTAAACTAAATAGCTACAGCAATGAGGAATCAATCAGAAAAGATAAATAGATAAATAGAAGGACTAGAGCGTCTAGAAACAAATCCATACCTATATGAAATTTTCTGTAGGAACAATTGCCAATCAGGAGAAAAAAGAGGTGAATTTTTAAATGAATGGCTCAGAGACTGTGATAATCCATATTTTAAAAATGAAATTGTATGTTTATATCATATCATACCAAAAATCAATTCCAAGATGTCACAAGACTTGAATGGAAAGGAAAATTATAAAACTTCAAAAGACAACATATATTAATATCTTTGTCATTTGGGAATAAAGAAGGGCTTCTTAAAACATAAAAATTATGAAACAGAAAGTAGAGTATTTAAAAGACAACTACATTCAAATTAAGAACTTCTATTTTTGCATGTGATTGAAATTTTCCATAAAAGAATCTTAAATGTAAAAACTCTGGCAATCCAAAAGCACAATAAAGATAGTACAAAGTAGGGGCCATAAATTAAATGACTTAATTTAATGCTATGAATTAAATTATAATGAATCAATATACAAAATATGTAAAGAATTTCAATGAATCAATCAAGAAAAAGACAAACAATCCAAAAGAAAATAGACTAAAGACATAAAGCAATGTCATAAAGACAAAATACAAATGGACCATAAGCATATGTTCAATTACATTAGTAATCAAAGAAATGCCTATTAAAACCAATGAGAAAACTTTTCAAGTCCACTCAGTTGGTAAAAATTGAACAGTTGGACAATACCAACCATTGGCTAGGATGTAGTACAACTGTGACCCGATGCCCACTGCTGAAAATACTTTGCAATCAGTTTGAAAAACAATTTGGCATTAACTAATAAAATTAAACATGTACATATCCTAAGGCCCAGATATTCCCCTAAGGCTATATCCTGAGTAACTCCTACACATATGCAGCAAAAGATGCACACAAGATTATTCATAACCACATGTTTTTAACAGGGGTCAGTACACTTCTTCTGTAAAGGGCTAAATGGTAAATATTTTATTCTTTGTGGATCATCGAGCAGCCAGTCGACTCTGCCATTGTAGAAAGAAAGCAACCTTAGACAATACATAAAGAGATAAACATGACTATGTTCCCATAAAACTTTTCTATGAACGTTGAACTTTGAATTTCATATATTCACATACCATGAAATATTCTTCTTCTTTTGATTTTTCCAACCATTTAAAAATATAAAACTATTATTATGTTGTGGGCTATACAGGATCAGGAGGATTTGGCCCATAGGACTTTTTTTTCCAGCCTCTGGTTTATAATGCAAAAGAAAAACGAAAAAGAAACAACTCAGTGTCCATCAACAGACAAAGAGCTCGATAAATTATGATATATAAACAATAGATATTATACAGTGGAGAAGAAGAATGAAATTCACACATTAGCATGAATGGAACACAAAAAGAAATAAGCCAAAAAAAGACTACTGTGTTAGTCTAAGTCTTCTAAGAAGCAGACACCAAGACAGAATTAAATGTGTAAGAGTTTTATTCCGGGGAAATACCTACGGTAAAGAAGGTGGAGCAGGAGCTGCAGAAAGTCTAGAAGAGCCATCAGACTGCAAGTCTGACCCCAGGTGAAAAGGAGGAAGAAAAGTCTGAACATGTCTTAGACAGCCATGCAGCCTAAGAAAGTTTATTCAGGGAGTCCTTGAGCCAAGCTGGTCCACAGCAGGCTTTTTACTTTATGTTTTTTTATTTTTTTATTTTTAGAAATAAACTCTCCCTCTGTCACCCAGTCTAGAGTGCAGTGGCATGATCATAGCTCATGGTAACCTCAAACTCCTGGCTCAAGCTGTCCTTCCACTTCAGCCTCCTGAGTAGCTGGGACTACAGGTGTGCACCACCATTTTTTTTGTAGAGACAGAGTCTCACTATGTTGTCCAGGCTGGTGTCAAACTCCCGGCCACATATGATTCTCGACCCCTGCCTCCTAAAGCGCTGGGATTACAGGCATGAGCCGCTGCACCCAACCAAGTCTACTTTAGCAGCCTCGCCGCAATGTCACTGCCAGTGAACTGCACGTGGGAGACAGGCACTGACACCCATGGATTTCAGAGTTCAGCAGCTAAGCTTTTGGTCACTTGATCCCTTGCAGAAGGAAGTCTCTGAGGTGCATTCCCATGGCCATTGTAGCCACATAGAGTATACAACCCACTCATATAAAGTTCTAAAACAGGCAAAACCAAACACTGTTTTGTTTGTTGATTTACACGTAGATACTGAAACACAAAGATAAGCAAAGGAATGATAAACGTAAACTCAGGATGGCGGTTTACTCTGTGGGGGAGGGTGGGGAAGTAATTGAGGAATTTCACACCATGGCTCATCATTAAGGCACTGGAAATATGTACTTAAGCTGGGTGGAGGGCACATAGGTATATATTGTTTTATTATTCACTAAGCTATACATAGAAATTTTATATGCTTTTTTGTATGCGTGATGTATTGTCTGATAATTTTTATTGTAAAATATCCTTTGCATATCTAAGGAGTAGGGTGTGTAAATATTCAGTCATGCTACGAGTATAATGGCTATGTGCTTGGATGTTGTAAACTTTCAAGATTAGGTATGTAAAGCAACCTAGTTGAAGCTCAACAAATCATAGCTCTTTTCCTCCTTTCCCTCCTGCCAAAGGCTTCAGTACTCTTCTGTATTTCTTCAGGTTCTTCTAGGAAATGGTTCTTCTGGTTTTACTGAGGAAATCAGTCGACGCAACCTAATGGTCGCCATCCAGTGGGATGTCAAAAAGCAGCCTCTCCATCTTTCTCCTTCCTTTCATCATGGTAGATGTGGGCAGAACAGCATGATTCTGCCACCTTCCTGATCACTACTCACAGGTGTAACTGAATTCATTAAGGACAGATAGTCCTCCATTGGTAAAATATGTGTGAATCTGACCTGCTCCAATATTAACTTCCTCTAAAATTCAGAAGCATAGTCTGTATTCTCACAGTGCTTTATATTCCCAACCAGCTCAACCCATTGTAATTCTAAGAGGCTCTGCATTGGACTAGTTGTTAAGACTCTTGTCCTGAGACAGAAATAAAGAGAAACTTGATACTGCTGAGGCAGAATTTCCCATTCCTAGTTCATTGTTGTTCATCAGTAATTGAATTTAAATTTTAACAGATTCCATTTTTGCTACTATTGAGATTTTCTTGATCTATGGATATATGTTATAGTAAAATATTTCTTTTTTTTTTTTTTTTTGAGACGGAGTCTCAGTCACCCAGGCTGGAGTGCAGTGGCGCGATCTCGGCTCACTGCCAGCTCTGTCTTTTTATTTTTTTTCTTTGAGACAGAGTCTCACTCTGTTTCCCAGGCTGGGGTACAGTGGCCCGATCTTGGCTCACTGCAACCTCCGCCTCCCCAGTTCAAGCGATTCTCCTGCCTCAGCCTCCTAAGTAGCTGGGATTACAGGCACGAGTCACCATGCCTGGCTAACTTTTGTATTTTTTAGTAGAGACGGGTTTTGCCGTGTTGGCCAGGCTGGTCTTGATCTCCTGGCCTCAAGTGATCCTCCCACCTTGGCCTCCCAAAGTGCTGGGATTATAGGCATGAGCCACCACACCCGGCCTTCTAGTAAAATATTTCTAACATCAAATCATTATTGCATTCCTTGAATGCCGTTAATTTAGTCATGAATGTATCTTCATTTACTAGAATGCTGTTCTCAATTTGCTAGTGTAATTTTTTACAATTTTTGTTTATTTTCATAATTCAAGTTGGATTATAATTTTTGTGTAAAGAGAGAGTAGCTGTGTCAATTCTGTTACTGAGGTTATTTGTATTATAAATGAATAAGGAAATTTTCCATGTATCTTCTTGCTGTTTCTTGTACATTTGAAAGAACCTAACCCATAAAACCGCCCATTCATGCCCTCATATCCTTTCCTAAATGTACCTTTTGACATCTCTAGAAATGGGTCCTTACTTATTCTACCTTTCTAGATTTTCCATATCTAATGTAAATTTCTGTAGCTACAGTTTCCTCAAAATCAGTTAATATATTGAGATGTTCAAACTTATTTTAATTATACAGAAAGATTTCTTTTTTTTTTTTTTTTTTAGACTGAGTCTCGCTCTATTGCCCAGGCTGGAGTGCAGTGGAATGATCTCGGCTCACTGCAATCATCGCCTCCCAGGTTCAAGCAATTCTTGTGCCTCATCTTCCCAAGTAGCTGGGATTACAGGTGCCCGCCACCACACCCTGCTAATTTTTTGTATTTTTAGGAGAGACAGGGTTTCACCATATTGGCCAGGCCGTCTCGAACTCCTGACCTCAAGTGATCCACCCGCCTTGGCCTCCCAAAGTGCTGGGATTACAGGCGTGAGCCACCGTGCCTGGCCCAGAAAGGTTTCTATGTTTTAATTTATCTCCTCATCAAAAAAAGTTTAAAGAAAAAATTGACTTCATGACAATTTCCATAGTTTATTGTCTTTTAATTGTTCATGTTTGGCTTAATATTATTCCTTCTTTTTGTTGTCATAAAATTTTATTTGCCTTTATTCTTCACACTCGGATTGAATCTTTGGTCAGTTTCATTCATTTCCCAATTCCTATTGTTTACTTTCATTTTTTAATTTGAAATCTATTTCTTTCATCACTGTTTTTATAGTACCTGTGAGTTTGATATGGAGAACTCTCATTTTCACTGTTTTCTAAGATAGATAGATGATAGATAGATAGATAGATAGATAGATAGAGAGATAGATAGATAGATAGATAGATAGATAGATAGATGTGTGTTTTTGTTTTGGGTTTTGTTTTTGTTTTTGTTTTGTAGAGACAGGGCCTCGTTTTGTTGCCAAGGCTGGTCCTGAACTCCTAGGCTCAAGCAATCCTTTCATCTTGGCTTCCCAAAATGCTGGGATTACAGGCATGAGCCACAGAGCCCAACCTATAATATCTCCAAGATATTTTAAACCACAAGTTTAAGTTGAGGGTTTTTTTTTTTTTTTAAGGGGATTTCGCTCTTTTCCCATGTGATTAAGGTTTAGGATAACAGAAAATGCACATATAATTTCTCCCATTGGAAATGTATTAAGGTTTTCTTTGTGATCTAATTACATCTCATAGTTGTTCAATGAACTCCTAACAAGGAGTATTCAACTATTTGTAAGATACAAATTTCAGACTGGGTGCCGTGGCTCACGCCTGTAATCCCAACATTTTGGGAGGCTGAGGAGGGTGGATCACGAGGTCAGGAGTTTGAGACCAGCCTGGACAAGATGGTGAAACCGTCTGTACTAAAAAAATTTTTAAAAATTAGCCAGAGGCTGAGGCAGGGGAATCGCTTGAACCCGGGAGGCGGAGCTTTCAGTGAGCCGAGATGGCGCCACTGCACTCCAGACTGGGCGACAGAGTGAGACTCCTTTCAAAAAAAAAAAAGACACAAATTTTAATTTAGTCTACTTAATTAAACTTAGTAATGTTATTATCCAGATTCACTACGTTCTTTTTTTTTTGAGACGGACTCTCGCTCTGTCGCCCAGGCTGGAGTGCAGTGATGCGATCTCCGCTCACTGCAAACTCCGCCTCCCAGGTTCACGCCATTCTCCTGCCTTAGCCTCTGGAGTAGCTGGCACTACAGGCTCCCGCCACCATGCCCAGCTAATTTTTTCGTATTTTGAGTAGAGACGGGGTTTCACCGTGTTAGCCAGGATGGTCTCGATCTCCTGACCTCGTGATCTGCCCTCCTCGGCCTCCCAAAGTTCTGGGATTACAGGTGTGAGCCACCGCACCTGGTCCAGATTCACTATGTTCTTAATTTTGGCTGCTTAATCTTTCAGAAATGTAGAAAACTATGCTTAAGTCTTTCTCTTCTGGGCTTTAAATTTTTTTCTTCTTGTGTACCTTATATAAAAATCTTTCACTGTATATGTCAATAACATGTTATGGATTGGATGAATATTCCTGATCATTATGTCTGTAATGTGCCTTGTACTTTTCACAGGAGTAAAATGACCCTTCCATCACTTTTAATGCTTTTATACTTTTAATTCTTAATGATATATTAATATAGGAGTCTTTTAGTCATGATTTTTGCTTTTTTGTTTGTTGTCTGCACATATTAATGAACCCAACATGTTGGTTTCAATCTTACTGGGTGTTTTATTCGTCTTTTCTTTCTTAATAGATGTATCCTTTACAAATAACACATAATAAGATTTTGTTTGCTGGGGTTTTTTTCCCTATACTAAGGGTAATTTTATTTTACTCCAATATCTTGACCTATTTATGTTTACTGTCATGAATATGTAAAATGTATAAAATGTTCAATATTATTTATGTTCATCTTATTTCATGCTTTTGGTTTTGGGAGAAATCTTTATTTTTTTTCGTGTTTTCTTATAGTTTCACATCATGTTCTATTTATTGTGTCTTCTGCAGTGATATGAAAATTGTCAATTTTAAAAATGTATACTGGTGATTACCCTTGAGTTTTACATTAAGACTTGAAACAGGCCGGGTGTAGCGGCTCATGCCTGTAGTCCCAGCACTTTGAGAGGCCAAGGTGGGTGGATCACTTGAGGTCAGGAGTTTGAGACCAGCCTGGCCAACATGGTGAAACCCGGCCTCTACTAAAAATACAAAAATTAGCCAGGTGTGGTGGCAGTCCTCTGTAATCCCAGCTACTTGGGAGGCTGAGGCAGGAGAATCGCTTGAACCCGGGAGGCAGAAGTTGCAAAGACTCGAAACGTCTTATAGTTAAGTATTATTTCCTAGTTGATACTTTCCTACTACAGCAACCCTATTTTTTACTTATTTTGGTTCATTTCTTGGCCATCTTCAGTCTTGTGGATAATATCCCAGAGAAAGGGTTCATGGGTGTTTTACATTCTGGGCCTTTTAGTGTCTCCTAACACCCCTACCCACCAAAGAAAAAAGAAAAAAGGTCTCATTGGTGCCTTCACTTATGAATAATTTTGCTAATACAAAATTTAGGGACTCAGATTTTTCTTTCAAAACAGTAAGTTCAAGAAGACTAGAGTTAGCCTGGATAGAAATAAGTAAACTGCTGTCGTGTTTTCCCTCCCGGATTGGATAACTATAGAGCGATCTATGGGTATGGATATGGACACATCTTTATGAAGGTACGACAACACCAGATGGCCTTCCTGTTTCCTTATCTTTTATTTTATTAATTGTATTTGGTACTTCTTGGGCTTCAGACAGGTTTTCTTCTAGTTCTTTGTCATTATTGCTTCTCTTTCCTTTGATCTCTTCTCCGGGATTTCTATTACTTTCAATACCACGCTGTGCTTCAACACTACGTAGCGCTTCAACACTACACTGTGCTCCATGTCATCTTCTCTTACCATTATCTTTTTTTTTTTTTTTTTTGAGACGGAGTCTCACTCTGTCACCCAGGCTGGAGTACAATGGCGTGATCTCGGTTCACTGCAACCTCTGCCTCCTGGGTTCAAGTGATTCTCCTGCCTCAGCCTTCCAAGTAGCTGGGATTACACACAGCCGCCACCACGTCCAGTTAATTTTTGTATTTTTAGTAGAGACGGGACTTCACCACGTTGGCCAGGCTGGTCTCAAACTCCTGACCTCAGGTGATCCACCTGCCTCAGCCTCCCAAAGTGCTGGGATTACAGGCATGAGCCACCATGCCCGGCCAACCACCATCGTTTTTTTTTGTTTGTTTGTTTGTTTTTGCACTTTTCTTCCAAACATTGGGAGCCTTTCTTAATTTGATTTAACATGAGGAGTTTTCTATTAGTTTTAGCCATAGAAACAATTTCCAACAAAATCTGATGCCCAAATTATACAGAATTATTTTTTTAAAAAAGATCAAAAATAAGCTGCTGTGGTTGTGGTTGAAGTGGGGCTAAGGAGCCCTTGGCCCCTCCCTAAAACCCCTTCACCCCCTACCCCAGCCTCTGAGACCCTACCAGGTGGCTCTAAGGTGCTCAGTTTGAAAACCACTGCATTTCTGATTAAATTTTCTGCAGGGTTAACTTGCTTTTTTACTACTTCTAATGCTGATTTTGTGTCTATGATTTCATTGTTAATACAAAATACTGTTCTGTGTATTAGACTCATTCTTCACTTCCTAAAGTTGTGTATCTAATTCCTGTATACACCTGTAACTTTAAAAAGCTTAGACTCTACATATAATTAACAACAGAACCAAATACTTCCAGAGAAGTAAGATTTATTAACATTTGGAGAAATTTTAATAGCACATTTGGCATTCATTGATGGTATGTCTCCTTGAAAAGCCAGAGTAGTAAAAAAGGAATCTATTTAACAATTTTCTATTCATGAAAAGAGGCTAAATGTACATTTTTAAAATAAATTTTGAACTACTAAAAACATCTGTCCAAAGGTGGGAGGATTACAGGATGTAGAATTAGCCCTGGTAACTACATAAATTAAAAAAGAATGCAATAGGCTAGGTATTTGTTGTTAAGTTTTTGCTTCCAGATCCGTTATCAACCATTTAAAAAGTCATTAAATTTTAGTTTCCTTAAAAGCTTTCCTTATCAAAATAATCTCCCTTTTCATCAAAGTCTATTGTGTTTTCATCTCCTCCTTGCCTTCCTGAAGTTTATTGAGCTCAAATTAGATGTTTTCTAAAATTTTCTGCTCTTTCCTATAATAAATTTTTTCCACGGAACACTATTTCTCTGCCTCTCCAGTTTTATGTTTTCTCTCTTCCACGTTCAATCCTTTGATCGGGGAGAGATCTGTTTTGATATTTGCTCATAAAAGCACGTGTGGTTTTGCTTTGGTCCCCATGCCTGTCTCTCTGCCTTCTGTTATAAACCAAATGTCTCTGCCCATTCCAAGACAACTTTCCCATGATTGCAACTTACTTAACCTACAGAAGGATCTCCAGGTCATCTCTCTGGTCTGAAGCAGTGTATATTTCCTTGTCAAAAACATTGAATGAAAAACTTAGTCTCCTATTTGTACTAACCCCTGTTTATTCAGTTGCCAAATTCTCATCTCTTCATTAGCATTATTGGGAATTGTAGCCCAGGAGTAGGTGAAAGAGAGAGATGGAAAGAGGGAGAAAGAAAGAGAGGAAGAGAGAGACTCTATAATGGAGAAAGAATTTCCTATGACCTCTTTTTCCCTACATGGCCTTACTTTGTTCCTTGAGGCTTCCTCTAAGTTCTGTAGAGTAGAAATTTCTCCTGGCTTCCAGTAAGTTATTAAGTAATACTTCTGGCTTCCAACTCTATTGGAAATTTGAATACCTTTCTATATTTTCATAATTATGTCAGTGGGAAGGTGGGAGGGGTAAATGGGAAGTCTCTAGTATCCTGCCATCATACCACAAACTAGTGTGGTAATTCAAATTCATCAGGCCACTGATCAAACCTGCGATCTTCCCTGAAATTTTGGAATGATTGGTAGTATTGAGTCTGAAATTTGTGAACATGTACAAAAGGGAAACGTTCAACCCTAGGCAACCCTTGAAAGTGAAGAAGGCAGTGGAGGACTTGTGTGTATGCATATGTGTGTGCCCGTGCATATGACGTGGACATGTCCATGTCCATTTATATACATGATGCGGAGATGGTAAAAAAGAAGGCAAGGGGTGAATAAGTAAGAAATTTAATAACATTTAAAATCGGTTTGTATACTAACTTCTGGAGTGTTCTTTGGGGAAACACTTGAAGGTCATTCATTTTCCTTTCCTCTGGACTCCAATCTACTTGGTGCATAGAATTGCGAGGTGCTTTGGTGGTGAGCCACTCAGCATCCACTCACCTCTCTCCCATCTTAACGGCACCCAATTTTTGTTCAAATCCTCCAGCTCCCTCACAGAGCCCTTGTGCTTTGAGGAACATTGACCTAACACTAGTGCCCCAGGTGAATCCTGATTGGTCTAATCCAATCAGGGTCATCCCATCTCCCTACCACAGGGGTTAACCAGGTAATTGGCCTAAGCCAATTAGTGCCAGGCTATCCCCAGCCTCAGCGACTGATCTTCATAACCTTGGCGTAGGCCAATGTTTCTTTTAAAACACACACACACACACACACACACAAACATAAAGGAAAAGATTGGCAAATTGAGCTTCATTAAATGAAGACTGTCTATTTATCAAGACACCATTAAGAGAGTGAAAGGCAAGCGACTGAGTGGGAGAAGAGGATTTTCATGCAGCACGTATAAAGAACTCCTACCTATCAATCTTTAAAATGAGAGACAACATGTTCAACCCTAGGCAACGGTCTTGAACAGGAACTTCACAAAAGAGCATATCCAAATGGCCAAAATCCATGAAAAGTTTCTCTACATTATTAGTCATCAGAGAAATACATGTTAAGAACACAATGAGACATCTCTATACATCTGCTAGATCATGTTTAAAAATTTCATGTAACAATACCACTTACAGACAAAGATGTTGGGCAAATGGAACTTTCATAGACACCTGGTAGAAGTAGAAAGTGATACAGCCACTTCAGAAAACTATGCCAGTATGTACTAAAGCTACAGGTATGCCTACCCTATGACCCATCAGTTCTATTCCTATACACATATCCAAAGAAATCGCATACATATATACACCAAAATACATTATAAGAATATTCCTAGTATCATTATTTTAATAGCCAAAATTGGGAATGATCCAAATGTCCATTAATAGTGGAAAAGGCATCTGGGGTGTTGGTAATATTTTATTTATTAATCTGGGTAGTGTTTATACAAGTACTTGCCCACATTGATCTAAAAAGTGGAAGGATTTCAAACTCAAGTATATCTGACTTCAAAGGCCTGTCAATTACAGTATTTTAATAAATGTGAGTATGTAGTGGTGATGAGGTCGACTTTAAAATGTGTATGAATTGAAACATGTTCCAATTACGTCTCCTTTTATCATCCTTTTGGTGACCAAAATTATACAACCATGACTAAGAAACTACTGCCACCTAGTGGCACCCTTCCCTAATTGCAGGATAAATTATTGTGAGCGTGACTCAACTTCAAGCGTGTACAGTCAACTTAAAATAGCATGATGACAACAAAAACTTTCGTTAGATTTCCCCACACCCACCCAATATTTGTTTCTACTTATGGAAAGCAATCACTTCTTACTCAGATAGCTTCATCTGAGTAATGTAAACATTTTGTCTTTATCCTATTCTTTTTATATATAAAAATAGTTAAAATGATTACCTGCCAATCATTGAGCAGTTACTACATGTCAGACATTGCATTAATACCTTTGCATGGATTATGTCATTTAGTTGTCATAACAATTCTCTAAGGAGTCTACTACTATTATACCCATTTTAGAGATGAATAGACATAGATATGTTGAAGTTTCCCAAGGTCAACATAGCTAAGTGATCAAGTTGGAATTTTAATCCAGATCTGCAGGATTTCAACCCTCTTGCTCTCCTATCTTCCAAGCATCCAAGTTGGATATTTTTTCTTCAAAGTAGGGAATCCAGAAATGTGAGTTCCAGTGCTGGAGGTGACAAGAACTCACTGTGGACCATAAGCAATTCACTTCACTTGTCAGAGACTCAATTTTCTTATCTGTAAATTAAAAATCTTGCCCAGGTGATCTCTGAGCCTCCTTCCCACACCATCACCTAATAGCTCCTGATCACAGAAGAAAGGCATTAATCTAAGCCACTGGCAATATGTTTTTGTGGTTTGGTGCAACTATTTTTAGACCATCACAGAATAAGAGCTCATTTCATGGAGCCAGTCACAAATTTCCCACAATCTTTGGGGGAAATCCAAGCCTGGGTGATTCTGGTGCTTAATGAGATGATGTAATGCAGGAAAATATATAGCTGGAAGAAAATTTTATTGGTGTGAGTAAATGTGCATTTTCAAGTGAATTACAAGACCTTAAGAAGTAAATGTATATGCCCCAGGGGAGAAATCACCTAAGACTTTAAAACAGAGCATGTAGTGTTCATTTGTAGGCATTCTAAGAACCTTTGCAGATGTGAAGGAAAAGGAAAAATTGTGCAGAACCTTTAACCCTAGAAAGAAAAACAAATGACCTCAGAAAAATATCTTCAACTAAGTAAATTGAGGATACCCCATGACAGGTGCAACTGTCAGATAAAGGGGCTTTATAATGCAACATGAGCTAACATATTCATTCAGGAGAGGTGCACTTATGTAAATCTGCTAATGGGAAATCTACAGGATTAGCAACTTTAAAGAATAATGCATGAAACTAGTCTGGCATTTAAATGATGAAGCATGCACTCTCTAACATGCCTATGTTTTTTTTAAAAAAAAAAGGCATGTTGTCTGACGCAAACACAAGAAGTAGCATTCTGAGTCATGTAAATTTCTTGAAGTTTTTCTAAACTGCCACATACCTATAATACATTTGGCATATACATCCTAGCAAATTCCAATCCTGTGATGTCCATTTCAGAGTGCACAATTTTGACAGACTGTTAGTGACTGGGAAGTTTGGGGTTTTTTTCCCTTTATTATTTCAATAGCTAACTTTAAGTAGATATAATAAATAAGGTAAAACATTGCACAATGAGAAAGATGGCCAGAGAGATGCCTTTTTGTCCTGTTTTGCCTGTTTTATCTCTGCAAAGGCACTCCTGGTATTTTTCAACCACAAAACAAGAATTTATCAGTGTATAAGCTAAGAATCAATTCAGACAAGTCCATCTTAGGAAATACCACTCACGGATGCTTTCAAAATCAATAGAGCATTGCAAGGAATCAAGGGCTGCACCATAAACTTGACAGGACTAAGGCAAATAACACATCTCCGCTCTGCAGTTACCACGCTAAAACAATCTGGCTCACAGCATGCAAATGGCCATTGTGTACACATTTACAGACTAGAACACTGAAGCACAGCAGGACAGCTAAACTGTGCCTGCCTCCAACAGACCCAACTGCTGACGCCTCCAAATGTGACCTGAGGGCTCCTCTGCAGAATGCTCCTCTGATCATTTCAGTCTTGCTGCTGCTGTTCACACCTAACCCAATGGCAAACACCATCTCCAGGTGTCATCTAGCTCCCCATACTGCTATGCCCCTCAATGCTTGCTCTAACTGTAGAGGGTTTATCTCTCCCTTGCTCAACAGGGATCATAAATCTATGGGAATGCTACAGTAAGGATAGACCTTCAGGATATCTAGCCGTCTCTCTTTACGTCAGTTCAAGTCTACAAACATGTATGCAACTAGCATAGTGCTTGACACAGAATAGAGTCTCAAAAATTATGTATTGGGTCTATGGATTTGCAAATTGTTTACATTTACAAGATGAGCAAGACCTATCTTCTGCTTTCAGTTAAGGGGATGGGACATGTTAAGAGTAACTATACTTGAAGAATAAGAAACCACAGCCATTCAGGGAGGCCCATGGAACGAGGTGGCATTTGAGGTAGACCCTACAGGATGGATGGCAAAGTATAACAGAGAGATAAGAAAATGCTTCCTCTTTCTTTAGAATCTTTCTCTTCTAGTTTCCTTGCATTCTTCTGAGAATTTCAGCCTCTTTGCTTAAGTTTTATCTCCACTCTCCAAATAGACAGGCTCATAAACAATCCCCACTGAGTGCTTGTGGGTTGGATAGATGAGTGGACAGATGGATGAAAAGTGCTCCCTGCTTAAGTTTTGCAATAGCTCCCTATTGTCTACCATATTGCATTTAAGCTAATCTTCATTGACCTAATTAACCAAACCCTAGTCACAGTTTCATCTTCACTGTGGTCTAGCAAATTTCCTAAACATCTTGCAGAAATCTTTGCTGTACCCCATCTTTTGATCTGCCTACTGAATTCTTCTGCTGTAAAATGGCCTATTTACTTTTTCAATCTCTTCATCCTCCAAAGTTAAGTTCAAGTTTTGCTTCTTCCAGGAAGTCGTTTTGGCCATAGTAATCCACAGGGAGTCCTCCTTTCTCTGAATTTCTGCAGGACTTGCAATGGGTGCCAATCTGTTCCTAAAGCATAATGCCCAGAATCTCCTCTGACTATTTCAAATGACGTCAGATTGTTCTGTAAGTTATTTCTCTCTTCATGCACAAGAAACATTTTGCGTTTATGATGTATCCTTTCCTAGACTTTGCATAGATCTTGACTTACAAACTGCTGAGCAAGGCACAGTGAGGAGGGAGGGAGAGAATGGATGGATTCTGAGCTAGTTTGAAGCCCAGATCCCTCACATACATGTCATTATTTTCTGAGACACTACTTCCTCATCTGAAAAAAAAAATGAGATCAAGGTCCTTCTATTGCAAACATGGTATGACAATCAAATGAGACAACCTATGTGAATGCACTTAATATGGCATTTAGCAAATTTGAGTCATTCAACAAATGACTGAGTCCCTCTTCTATTAGAACTCTAAGATGCGGAGGTGGGTTGCAGGTAAGGCAAAATAGCCTGCTTTCTCCAAGGGTTAATATTACCAAATTCTGAAACTAATTGTCTGGTATTTAAATAATTCTTTTGAAGACAACTGAAAAAGTCAAGCCTTAAACTTGAAACCTGTTTTGCAAGGTCAGCCCTCATTCTAGAAAAACAAAACAAAAACCCTGTAATCCAGGAGAGAACAGGATGGTGTTCTGTGCAGGCAATATAAATGTGCCACAACTCCACAGAGTCAAGGATTTATCAAAACAATGCAGTTCTCCTACCAGCCAAGTTCCTGACAGCTACATTGTAACTCTATAATTATCTATAAAATGCCTGCAGATCATAACGGTGCTTCATTCTTTTCTATGTCAATGGCAGCCTTTCCCTGACATTGGGGCCCTTCTCTTGCCGCAGACATGAGCAGCCACTCAAAACAATGTGCTCAACTTTGTGGTCCTCAGTCAGAAGAGAACCCACACACATAGTGGCATCTTTCACTGGCCCTGTTTACAAACCCCTGTGGCAGAAATCTAAACTTGCTTAAGCAAAATAATAATAAGGCCGGGCGCGGTGGCTCACACCTGTAATCCTAGAACTTTGGGAGGCTGGGAGGCCGAGGCGGGTGGGTTGCCCGAGCTCAAGAGTTCGAGACCAGCCTGGGCAACACGGTGAAACCCCTTCTCTAGTAAAATAAAAAAGAAATTAGCTGGGCGTGGTGGCACGCACCTGTAATCCCAGCTACTCGGGAGGCTGAGGAATGAGAATTGCTTAAACCCTGGGAGGCAGAGGTTGCAGTGAGCCGAGATCACACCACTGCACTCCAGCCTGGGCGACAGAGCAAGACTCCATCTCTACAAAAATAATAATAATAATAGGTGATGAGAGGGAATTGTTTTTATCCATGCAGTTAGGAAAGGCCAAGCGGAAAGTTTCCCTGCACTTAGTCCACACTTCCAGATTCTGTTTCTCTCTGTGCACTGATTTTTTTCTCCTTCTATACATGGGCTTCCTCCTAGGACTTCCTCCAGTTATCCTCTTATTTCTTTTTTTTCCTTTGTAGTCATATTTCTTGAAACCATAGTCTACACAAGACAGCTCCATGTACTCCTCTCTCACTCTCTCCTCAAACTATCCAGGGCTCCTTTCTGCCCTACTGCTTCATTCTGAATCTGCTCTCATGCCAGCTATCAATAATCTCCTAAGTGTCTGCTTTGGCCATACTTTGAATCCTACTAGGTTTTTCTTGTATTTCTTCTTATTGGCTCTCTCTCTCTTTTTTTAAATGTTTTTTGTTTGTTTGTTTGTTTGTTTTTTGACAGAGTCTTGCTCTGTCACCCAGGCTGGAGTGCAGTGGCACAATCTCAGCTCACTGCAACCTCTGCCTCCCGGGTTCAAGCAATTCTCCTGCCTCAGCCTCCCGAGTAACTGGGATTACAGGCACCCACCACCAAGCCTGGCCTTTTTTTTTTTTAATTTAGTAGAGACAGGGTTTTGCTTTGTTGGCCAGGCTGGTCTCAAACTCCTGACCTCAAGTGATTCGCCCGCCTCGGCCTCCCAAAGTGCTGGGATTACAGGCCTGAGCCACCGCTCCCAGCCTCTTTATTCACACTTATATTTTTCAAATTATCTGCAACTTACATGTATGACTTTTTAAATTTTATTTGTAATTGACAAATAGTACTTGTAAATATTTACAATGTTTCTGTGTATCATACTCTCTGGTCTCTTTCTGGCAGCCCCTTTTCAGGGTCGTTTACTAGCTCCCTTCCTCTACCCATCTCTTAAATGTTGTTATTCCCCAGGGTTCTGAGATAGGAGGTGGAACTCGACTCAGGGCCACTTGAACTCGAGTTGTTTCTAGTTGTCCTCAGAATAAAGTGTTAAGTTTTCTTATCTGCCCCATGCATGCCTCACCAGCCTCATCCTCCTCCCCTGCGGTCTCACGATCTGGCCTCACCAACTCTGTGGAGTTGCTCAAATGTGGATACCCCTCTCCCACCTCTGCACCTTGGCCTGGGCTGTTTCTCTTTATAAAGTGCTTTCCCCTTTGTTCACCTAGAGGAATCCTACTCATTCTTCCAGGCTCAATTTAGCCATTGTGTTAGTTTCCTGGGCTGCTGTAACAAAGTATCTCTCGTTGGGTGGCTTAAACAAGAGAAATGTATTGCCTCTTGCTCAGCTCTGGAGGCTAGAAGTCTGCAATCCAGGTGTCAGCAGGATGTTTTCTTCTGAGGGCTGTTGGGGGTTGTGGGGAGTGTTCCATGCTTCTCTCCCAGCTTCTGGTAGCCTCACGTGTTCCTTGACTTGTAGATGGTGTTCCCTTTGTGTATTCACAGCATCTTCACTCTATGTGCATCTCTCTCTGGGTCCAAAACCCCTGCTTTTTTTTTTTTTTTTTTTTTTGAGACGCAGTCTCCCTCTGTCCCCCAGGCTAGAGTGTAGTGGTGCGATCTCGGCTCACTGCAAGCTCTGCCTCCCGGGTTCACGCCATTCTCCTGCCTCAGCCTCCCGAGTAGCTGGGACTACAGGCGCCCGCCACCACAACCGGCTAACTTTTGTATTTTTAGTAGAGACGGAGTTTCACCGTGTTTTAGCCAGGATGGTCTTAATCTCCTGACCTCGTGATCCGCCCGCCTCGGCCTCCCAAAGTGCTGGGATTACAGGCGTGAGCCACCGCACCCGGCCAAATTCCCTTCATTTTTTAAGGCCACTAGTTATATTGAATCAGGACCCACTCTAATGACCTCATCTTAACATGATCATCATCTGCAAAGACCGTATTTCCATATAAGGTCGCATTCATAGGTACTCGTGGTTAGGACTTCGCTGTCTTTTAGGGGAGACACCATTCAAACCATAGCAGCTAATATCGTATCTTATCTAACGCTTTTTCTTCTTTTTATTTACAATGACATCCCACTTCTACACTTAGACGTAGGAAGTCTTCCTCCCATAATTAACAAGGCAAAACTAAGAAGACCAGAGCCCAGGGAGACAATCCAGCCCTGCTAGCCATTTGTTCTTGCAGGGAAACAACTATTCTTTTGATGGCTTCCCAGGCCAAGAACCAAGGGATAGAAGTAAAAGCCAAAGGTCACCTCAAAGTTAGGAGTCTGATAGAGCTCTTAACCCCACATTATGCCATGATAAAGAAAGTCCCTGGGGTGAGAGTGAGCCACAGGTAAACTGGACTCCCTGCCCCCAAACCAGCACTGCAGTTCAGTTGCTTTGGTGCCCAGCAGTGAAGGGAGGGAAGAAAAGTAAAGGGGTAAAATCTATTTCTAAAGGTAGTGAACTAACATCAGCCCTTAGGAGGCAGGAAAATAGGTCCGGAGGCAGGGAACCTAAGGCCATTTCATGCTGAATTCCTAGAACTAAGTTGACAGGAAAACCCTACCTTTCCACACCTAAGTAACAAAAGGACCAGAGACTACTCCCTTTGCAAAAGCCCACCTTTTCTGCAGGGCAGATGGGAAATTGAAAGTTCCTCTGATTGGTTGAATTTGCAACCAGTAAGACGTTTGCATAGGAGTGTAACTTTGTAACTTCATTTCAGCCTCTGATTGCAGGCCAAGCCTTCATTTGCATAGAAGCGCAACTTAATAACTTCAGTTTAGCCTCTGATTGGTTGCTTTCCACAACCAATCAGACGTTTGCATAGGATTGTGACCTTTGAAACTTCACCTTTGTAACTTCACTTAAAGTGCAGGCCACCACTTCATTTATAGTAGTTGAACACCAAGTGGCCAATGGGAAACCTCTAGGGGGTATTTGGACCTGAAAAGATTCTGTAACTGGGGCCCTTGCAGCACTGCTCAGGCCGCTCCCACACTGTGGAGTGTACTCCATTTTCAATAAATCTCTGCTTTTGTTGCTTCGTTCTTTCTTTGCTTTTTTTATGCGTTTTGTCCATTTCTTTGTTCAAACACCAAGAACCTGGACACCCTTCACCGGTAACACTAACACAGAATCATCGCCCAAATTCTCAACATCAGGGTAGTCTGAATGCCTCATTCGCTCTCTCTTCCTCTCATATTGAGCCATTGAAGCTTAATCTGAAAGTACCTATGCACCCAAGGAAAATACAGGGACAAAAATGAACGATGGAAAAAATATATGGCATCTTTAGAACAAAAATCAATTTAAATCAAAACCATGTAATATTAACACAGGGAAGAAAGGAGAGTGAGTAGAAAACTCTTTAGGTTTTTGGCTTGCTGCTTTTAAAATTCACATTCTAATAGTGTATTGTTTCAGTTATTAGAATGATATATAATAAAAATTCTCCATTCCTCTGATATCTGATTAAATTACTTCACTTCCTCCTTTTTTTTTTTTTTTTTTTTTTTTTTTTTTTTTTTTTTTTACTATTTGGGCTTTTGTTGGCAGGAGGTATTGTGACATTCTTGGTGAAAATTTTACTGCTTGGAATCCAGTGATTGTGAAAACATTAAGAAGCACCAATGTTTTCATAATGTCACAGTCAAAACAATTCTCAGGCGATGAGTTCTACCACCAAGCAGGCAGCCTCTGCATCCATGGCCTCAGGAAGCTGGAAACCTCCTTCAGGAAGTTTGAAATATCCTTCTTCACCTCCACTTTACAGAACAATGTCAGCCTCCCTGTTAGAAAGCAGGTGGTAAGTGAGATAACGGGATAGCTGTCAAATAAAGTGAGGCATTTTGGACCTTGAAGGGGCCTTAGAAATCAATTTTCTGTAAAAGCTTAAGCAAGTCCTTTTGTAGGACGCATGTGGTGGCTATTGAGCTGTTTCTGGCACAACAGAGGCCCAGGTAGATGAAGCCAAGGTGGACAGCTCATAGAACAGCTTAGAAAATAGAGGCACTGGCCAGGCATGGCAGCTCACGCCTGTAATCCCAGCACTTTGGGAGGCCAAGGCCGGTGGATCACCTGAGGTCAGGAGTTTGAGACCAGCCTGGCCAACGTGGCAAAACTCTGTCTTTACTAAAAAAATACAAAAATTAGCTGGGCACGGTGGCAGGCACCTGTAATCCCCGCTACTCAGGAGGCCGAGGCAGGAGAATCACTTGAACCTGGGGAGGCAGAGGTTGCAGTGAGCCACGATTGCGCCACTGCCCTCCAGCCTGGGAGACAGAGCGAGACTCCGTCTCAAAAAAAGAAAAAAAAGAAAAAAAAAAAAGGAAGTAGTGGCATTGCCTGAAGACTTTGGTCCAAGCCACGGACAAGTTTTCAGGTAGTTCTCAAGCTCCGGAATCCCCTTATCACTGTTGCTGCAAGTTGAAGCAGAGCCCTGTGCACCTAGCAGGAGGGACAATGATCAAGGAGATAAGCCTCCCCCAGGGAAGGCACAGCTAGGGCAAGTGGTTTGCATAGCAGTGGTTGAAGAAGCAGAAGAGCATCCCAAGATTCTTTAAAGTTCAGGTGTACACAGATCTAGAAGTAGCATATATGGAACAAAATAGATAACAGTTATATAGCTGGTAAGGGCTTGGTAAATGAAATGAAATTTGAACTATCTCAAATAAAAAGACCGAAAACTGGTTTTAGCATGCAGGTACAAGGGAGAGCCCATTCTCAAACAGGCCACTGTGGCACGTGGCAGTGGGTAATGTGTTAAAGAGAATGCACGAATGAATCGGAACCAGAATGATTCAAAAGGATGGGAAACCAAAAGGCCCAAGAGAGAGAGCCATTTCCCTTAGCCACACCTAGTTAAACTTGCCCACAGTTCCCTAGTGAAGTTCTTAGCTGGTAACATCAGACCCACCAGTGCAGGAAGTGAAACTTACTGAAGATAGGTCGGGCGCGGTGACTCACGCCTGTAATCCAAACACTTTGAGAGGCCGAGGCGGGCAGATCACCTGAGGTCAGGAGTTTGAGACCAGCCTGGCCAACATGGTGAAACCCTGTCTCTACTAAAAACACAAAAAAATTAGCCAGGCGTGGTGGCGTGCACCTGTAATCCCAGCTACTTGGGAAGCTGAAGCAGGAAACTCCCTTGAACCTGGGAGGTGGAGGTTGCAGTGAGCCGAGATAGCGCCACTGCACTCCAGCCTGAGTGACAGAGTGGGACTCCTTCTCAAAAAAAAAAAAGAAACTTATTGAAGATAATTATCCTCAGTTGACCTCTTAAGGAATGGTACAGAGTTCTCTTAGAATAAAATGGGTTCATATATGCTCTTCCTCTAGTTGTCCTTTGTTAAGGAGGCCCTAGGGTACTGTGAGAACCGTACCTCTTCTGAACTAGTAGAACCCAAATAACAGGCAGAGCCATTGCTGGCCAGTGGGGCAGACCAGTTAAGCACATCCTTCCCCAAACTATGCTTATTCTTTCCTGAGTGTCTACGCTGGGCACTTTCACCCCTCTGGGCTTCAGAGTCCTCATTTATGTAACAAATGGGTTGGGCAACATTATTATTTTAGTCCCTTTTAGCATCTTGATTATACTAGTTTTCTATTGCTTCTATAACAAATTCTCACAAATGTGGTGACTTAAAGCAACACAAATTTGTTCTCTTTCAGTTCTGTAGGTCAGAAATCTGAAATGGGTCTTGCTGTGCTCATATTAACTTGTGGGCAGGGCTGTGTTCCTTCTCTGGGGGAGAATAGGTTTCCTTGCCTTTTTCAGCAGAAGCTGGAAAATGAGAGGCTGCTCATTTCCTTGGCTCTTCTTCCTTCTTCCAGCAATGCCAGGGTAAGCCCTTCTCCCAGCAATGCCAGGGTGAGCCCTTCTCCCACTTGTCATCGCTCTGCTTCTCTCTCTCTCGAGGTTTTTTCCAATTCTGTGGACTCTTGCAATTCCACTGGGGCCACCCAAATAATCCATGAGAATTTCCCTATCGTAAAGTCCGCTGATTAGCAACCTTAATTCCATCTGCCACCTTAATTCCTCTTGCCATTTAACCTAACACATTAACAGATTCTGGAGATTAGTACACAGACATCTTTAGGGGGCCATCATTCTACTTGCCACATCAGTAACACCAACCTCTTTTTCTATAATAATCAGCTTTCACTCCTATCACTAACCTTAACTTCCCTAGGGCCCAAAGGGTGAGTGTCATTTAAATAAAGAAGGAACAAATTGGCTTATGAACCACCTGCTATTGAGAAGGCAAAAAAGAAGACACTGACATGTATTGAGCATCTAATATATATCAGCTACTGTGTTACATGCTTCATCTACAGAAACTACCTGTTACACACAGAACCCTGCAAGACAATCATTGGGACCACCATTTTTAGGAGAAAACTAAGATTCAGACAGTTTAATTAAAACGTCCAGGCCAGGCGTGGTGCCTCACGCCTGTAATCCCAGCACGTTGGGTGGCCGAGGTGGGTGGATCACTTGAGGTCAGGAGTTCGACACCAGCTTGGCCAACATGGTGAAACCCCATCTCTACTAAAAATGCAAAAATAAAAATAAAAATAAATAAATAAATAATAAAATGGCCAGTAAGTGGTAGAGTCAGAATTAAAATCATAAGCATCAGAACAGCTTCAGAGTTTACGGTCTTTTTAATACATTAGTCCTCTGACAGTCCCTTGGTCTATGTGTTCAGGATGGCTTTCCAAAATGCAAATATAAGAACAATGTAGCTGAATATACTCAATTCAAAAAGGTTGTCCTTTATTTGGAGTTTTTTTCCTTCCTAGTTTTTTTTGGTTTCAAAGCTATTTTTAGTTTAAGGAATGCTGGGGGTGGAAAAAGAAGATTGTTGGAGTCATACCGACCCAGACTTGAATATCAGCACTGCTGCTTCCTGCCTGTGTAACAGCAGAGGCTGGAGCCTCTGTTTGCTTATCTATAAAACGAGGATAATGAGGCCTATCTCATAAAGCTGTTTTGAAGATTGAGATAATGTGCAGTGCCTGACAGGTTGCCTAATCCACTGTTGATGTTCATTCTCTCACTCCACCGTCTTTGCAACGCCCACCAATCACTTGGCTCCGTCCATCGCTTGCATGTAAATGAATCCTGCATCCACATTGTCAGGCCTTTCCTCTTCCTGGTCCTGGCCTTCTAAGCACCTCCACCCCCATGCCTTGCCAGTGTCTCAGGCTCAGCATATCCAAAGCTGAACCCTCCCACCCCAAAACCTTCTTTCACTCCTGTTTCCTTTGTTTCTGTTGATGACACACCCATTGGCCCTGTCACCCAAGCCAGTAAACTTGAGAGTCGTTTTTGATTCCCTTTTCCTGTACAACTGATGGGCTAACATAGCCAACAGTCTCACCCTCCCAATTCTCACCGCCACTCTCCCACGCTGGTTCTTAGATCCCACACAGGGACCACACTCACTCCCAATGCCTTCACCTCCAGCCTCTCTGCCCTGGATTGCTTTTTGGGAGGTAACATCACATCCCTGTCCAGAAGGCTTTAGTCATTTCCAAAGGCCTCGAAGATCACATCCAGACTCCTTAGCCTAGTTCTCAAAACCCTCTGCAACCTCACACCACCGTTCCTGTTTTACCATCTTTCTCCTACCATCCTGTGATACACTCTAAACTCCAGCCAAATTATCAAAGACCCACTTTCTGCCTTCATCTCCCCCAACGAGGTCTAGCCCCATGCTTTTGCATATGCTCTTTTTTTTTCCACCAGATTTCCTGATGTCTATTTTTTAATGGGGTACATGTGATATTTCAGTACACATAAACGACGTGTAATGATCAAACCATGGTAACTGAGATATCTATCACATCAAATATTTATCACTTCTTTGTGTTGGGAACATTCAAAAATCCTCTCTTCTATCGATTTTGAAGTACACAATAAATTGCTGTTAACTGCAGCCCGCCCCACAGAGCGTGGGAATTTATTCCTCATATCTAACTGTAATTTTATACCCATTAACCAACCTCTCCCTGTCTCCCCTCCTCCATACTCTTCTCAGTCTCTGGCAACTACTATTCTACTCTCTATTTCTATAAGTTTAGCTTTTTTAGTGCCCACATATGAAAAATTGCCTAATATCTTGATGAGACATCCCCAGGAGGATCCCCTCCCGAAGCCCTAACACTCTCCAAGCAAATGCCAGCTTGTTAGAGCTCAAATGAGCCAAGATTCTGCTCTTTTTAGTAGTCATGTAGTCATGTCTATAGGTCTTAAATATAAAGCTGGCTAAGTATGATACATTACTTCAAATTTAGTCCTCAATGCTTTGTTTGAAATATAAGTAGGTAAGTTGGCTTTCAGTTATATATTCAGAAAGAACAGGTGCATCACTTATATCCTGGCAACCAAGCTTCACCATACCTGGCCCGTGTCAATAAGAGTTAGGACTGCACCCACTTACTCTGTAAATCAGGGGGCCCAGTGGTTCTCCCTCTGGGACAGCCTGAGGCTACAGCCTGAGGCACACCACTCCTCTGGCACCCACCAAGATCCAATAGGGAAGGTATCACCTCTCCTCTGACTGGATGAGAAAGAGCTGGTTTGCTAGGGGACAGGGGCTGTGGGAACACCCCAAAATCCTTTTTCTTCCCCATCAGACCTGGGGAGACAGAAGGCAGCATCAAGCTTTTCTTATATCCACACCTCCACCTTGTGAATCTGCATTCTCTCAAGGGACCCACTGGTGTACAGGGAAAAGAGCAACTCCTAGCTCTACTCCTGAACCTAGAAAGTGAGTCCTTAATGGAATCACTAATCCTTCCCTTTCTCCCATTTCCACATGCTCACGGGCTCCACCTCTATCACGTGCCAGTGCTAAAGCCACACAGTGCTGGAGGCCTCTCCAGTGCCATCTCTGAGCTGGCTCTCCTGCTGTGAATTTCCACTGCCCTCCATCAGGGTCGTTTCTAGTCGTGATGCTGCGTTAGAATGATCCATGGAGCTCTGCAAGTGCTGAAATTCCCACCCCTGCCAGGCCCAACCATAACCTCCAGGGGATTGGGCCAGGTGTCTGTACTCTGTATCATTGGAGCACCCTTATTTGTAGTTTGGCATGGAGAGAATGGGCCCACAACAGTGTCCTGAATTACAATATTAATGCCCACATGAGTGTAAAATTTAGTCACTCTCCCTTCGGAACGGCCCCTCCTCCAACACATACCACATGTCTGGGAATCCCCCGCATGCCCATCATTTCCAAAGCTTACCCTTTCCCAGAGCTGCCCCACGGGATGCACAAAGGCCCCTGGTGAGTGTGGTGGACAGTCAGCTCAGTGCCCTGCCAGCTTGAAGAAGCCCAACATCCTCTTCACGTGGCTCTCCCTGTATCCCTCATGGGAGGGGGCATCATTCACGGTTTTTATAATGCCTTCCACATTTGCAAATAAAATGAATTCCGCTCCACCTTAAGAACTAAGTCAAAAGAAAGAAATCAATTTTTGAAGCCAAATTCAATGAACTAAATTCGTAATTTAAAATAAAACCTTTTAGATTCTTTCACTATATTTCCCCCTCTAGTTACTTTTTATTACTACATTTCAAATTCCTACTTCTGACATCCCTTTTTCACTGAAGTTCAACCAGTTAATTTTTTTTTTTTTTGAGACGGAGTCTCACGCCCAGCCTGGAGTGCAGTGGCACCATCTCGGCTCACTGCAAGCCCCACCTCCCGGGTTCACACTATTCTCCTGCCTCAGCCTCCCGAGTAGCTGAGACTACAGGCGCCCACCACCATGCCTGGCTAATTTTTTGTATTTTTAGTAGAGACAGGGTTTCACCATGTTAGCCAAGATGGTCTCGATCTCCTGACCTCATGATCTGCCTGCCTCGGCCTCCCAAAGTGCTGGGATTACAGGCATGAGCCACCACACCTGGCCCATTTTTTAAAAATATATATACTTCTATTAAATGCCAAGAATGATGGATCCAAACCAACACCAAAGATAAATGCACGTTATCCTGTTCCTGGAGGAAATCGGCTACACACATTGTTTACTTCAAACCCCAGCACTTGATTCAGTTCAAGTGCCACTATTTTTGCTAATTTAAATTATCTTGCAAAAAATTAAAACATTCTGAGATCCTTTGCTACTTGCTTTAAATATTATTCATATATTGTCCAAAAAATTCTTGATTTTCTTTGTGTGCCTTTTCTGAATAAATAGTTTTCCCTCTTTCTACAAGGTGACTACATTTTGTCTTGAGATCAAAATATTTCCAAAGAAACATATGGCCAATGTCATGGAAAAGCCCTCCCCATATGTCAGCGTTTGATTTACATGCCACATATCTACCTTCGGGGGGTGGATATGTAGATGAGAAATAGTCACGGTGGCGGTTCCCCGGTTCATCTTTCCCTTGAAGCATCCTAAACTCTGGGGAAGAGAAAAACAAGTGTTTTAGAACTCTGGATAAGCATCAGCAGGACATTTCTGGGGACCCACTTTGTAGTTCAGGTGCAGAATGGTCAGGTTGGTATCGCCAAAACAGGGACAAGCTGCCCATAAACATCATGGCACTGTAAAAAGGCGGCCAGGCTGAACTGCAAAGTCATCTAGGAGAAAAAAGAACTAAAATCTTTCAAGCTCCTATGATGCTCTGGGCACAGTGTTCGTCCTACTTATCCCAGTAACATTAAGAGAGAAGCAGGAGACTTTGTTGTCGCCAAGGATATATTGTGAAAAATCTCTAAAAATACATTTCAAACTTGCAGCTTACCAAAAAATTGTTACCAAAGGCTGTGAGAAATGAAGACCCTTACCACTGCCCTACACCCATCATCAGCATTATTTCCTAAAGTGTGGCTGAGGCCGAGGGATGTGATGAAGTTCATTGAAGAAATGATGAGCAAACAGGAGTTAAAAAAAAAAATGGCAGGTAAAAGTGAGGGAAGGGCTGGAAGCTAGGGATGCACATTGGCTACCTATTGCTGAGTTTAAAATTACCCCCAAAACTTAGTGACTTAAAACAACAAACATGCATGGTTGTTGTCACAGGTTCTGTGGGTCAGGAATTAAGAAGTGGCTCTGGGCCGGGCACAGTGGCTCCCTCCTGTAATCCTAGCACTTTGGGAGGCCAAGGCAAGTGAATCACTTGAGGTCAGAAGTTCGAGACTAGCCTGGCCAGCGTGGCGAAACCCCATCTCTACTACAAATACAAAAAAATTAGCCGGACGTGGTGGCTCACGCCTGTAGTCCCAGCTACTCAGGAGGCTGAGGCAGGAGAATCATTTGAACCAGGGTGGCAGAGGTTGCAGTGAGCCGAGATTGTACCACTGGACTCCAGCCTGGGTGACACAGCGAGATTCTGTCTCAAAAAAAAAAAAAAAAAAGTGGGTCTGGCTCCCTTTTGAGGTTACAGCCAAGATGTCAGCAGGAGTTCAGGTATCTAAAGGCCTAACGGGGTTCTCAAACTCTCTGGCGCCTTGTTAGCAGGAGGCCTCAGTTATTCACTGGTCCTCGGACAGAGGCCTCTGCTCCCTGTCACACAGGCCTTCTCATAGGGCTTCTTGAGTGTCCTTATGACATAAAAGCTGACTACTCCCAGAGCAAGTGATTCAAAAGAAAAAGCACAAAAGAAGTCTTAATGCCTTTTATGACCTCGTCTAAGAAATTGCATGCCATTATTAGCACTTTTTTCTATCCATTAGAAATGAGTCACTAGGTCCAGCCCACATTCATAAGGAGGGGAATTAGACTCCACCCCTTGAAGGAAGAGTATCAAAGAAATTGTATGTATTTTAAAACCACCACAGAAAGGGTGAGGGAGCAGGAATAGTTTGGTAGCAGGGAATTTTGTTGTGTGCATAACTTGGCAATAAAAACACGACTTTTACATTCTAACACAGTTGCTTCCAAACAGCCAGTCAGACCCTTTAGACCCATTTATGATCACTTTCAACTCCAACAATCTATGACTCAGTATTCAAGCAGTCTTGCAACTCACTTTATGTTTGGGTGCTCAAAGCCAATAAGCAATTGTATCAACCTTATTAAGAAGGTCTTACAGGTCATGAGCCTGTAGGGAGGCCCAGACTAAGTTCACTGTCCTCAGACTGACCTCCCAGATTTCATTGACTGTTGCAGTTAAACAGAATGTGTTGAACAATTTGCACATTTGACCCATGTATTAAATTCATATAATTTTGTAGCAAGAGATGGCTTTGTCCCTGCAAAGGCTCTCTCACTCCATCTCAGATAAAAATAAGCAAAGCTGCTTTTAGAAGCTTTGTATACTTTTTCCCCTTCTGACAGCCTTCAAGTGGCAGCATATGATTTGGTCCCTGAGACATACAAAGTGTTTTAATTAAAGGTTGTCTAAAAATACAGAACGTTTCCACAACCACATCTGCCATTAACTCTTCTGGCATCCTGGTGGCATTAAGTCCTAGAAAATTCTTACATATTAAAAAGAACCCAAGTATGCCTCTGCTGTCTGTTTGCTCCGACAAAACCAAACAGCATGTTTGTCGTTGGTGACCACAATAATTACAGGCACTGTGGGGCCTGCTACAATTTGTTCTTACAACTTGAGAACCAAGCGTAGAGATTTTGTGGCATTTTGCTGAATGGCTTTATTTAAACATTCTGTGTGGAGGAGTAATGGCTTAAGTGTCCACTAGACCAATCCAGGGTACCAGCTTTCTGTGACTTTGGACAAGTCCATTAATTCTGGTGGGCCCCAGTTTTTGTTTTTAATCTATCATTGCCATTGAACAATGACAACATGCCAAGGGCCATGTAAAGTGCTTTACATCGATGATAGCACCTAATCCTGTCTCATCCTCATGAGACAGGTCCCACTATGCCCATTTTATAAGTGTTCTTCATCTTGATTGTTTATGCCTTACCTGATGTTGAAGAAAGGCTTTCCAGCAGGGTTCAGTGGCTCAAGCCTGTAATCCCAACAATTTGAGAGGCCGAGGCAGGAAGATCGCTTGAGCCCAGGTGTTCGAGACCAGCCTGGGCATCATAGTGAGACCTCATCTCTAGTTTTTTGTTTTTTTTTTTTTTTCTTTTGAGATGGAGTCTCACTCTATTACACTGGCTGGAGCGCAGTAGCACAATCTCAGCTCACTGCAACCTCCGCCTCCCGGGTTCAATCGATTCTCCTGCCTCAGCTTCCTGAGTAGCTGGGATTACAGGCATGCACCACCACATCTGGCTAATTTTTGTATTTTTAGTAGAGACGGGGTTTCACCGTGTTGGTCAGGCTGGGCTCGAACTCTTGACATCAGGTGATCTGCCCGCCTCAGCCTCCCAGAGTGCTGGGATTACAGGCATTAGCCACCACGCCCGGCCTAAAATTTTTTTAAAAAAGAAGGCTTTCCTTTGAAAAGCAATGGAGGGTAGTGTAAACAGCATATATATTGGAGAGAGAGCACCTAGGTTCAAATGCTGGCTCTGCAATTTACTATACAGCTGAGTGATCTTGAGCTAACTACTTAACATCTCTGTGCCTCAGTTTTTCCCATCAATAAAATTTGAGTCTCAAATTTAACAAGACTTATAGTCTTGTTAACATGAATTAAAAAAGTTGAAGAGCTTAGAACAGTGCTTGGTACATAATAGTTTGCCCCAAGAACAGTAAATCCGGAATGACCTTGAACCAGTCCTTCACTGCACCAAAGAGGTAGACTAGGGAATTCGATCCTTGATTAGTCAAGGGAGAGGAAAAATACGCTTTCAGGAATGACCTCTGTGCACAGCCACCTCTAGAGACACCAACCTGAGCCAGAAAGAGAAGAGCCTTAAGGCTTTCCTGCATGCCAGGTTATCTGGGAGATAAGGCGGAGCCTGCAGCAGTGTCTGTCTTCACTTGGCAACAGGGCCATGAATGGCAGCAAGGCCCTGTCAGATGCACCTCAACAAGGGCCACCTGCACTGTAGGACAGATGTCATGACATTTCATGCAGAATTCCAGCTGCTGGTGCCCATTAGGCCCATTATGAGACTCCCTTCCTCATTCCCTGTAATCTCTACAACAACCTTGTAATCGATCAACACCCAGAAGCCTGAATCCAACTTTGGCTACAGGCTTGCTTTGGCCCACAAATGCACAGCAGCAATACATGAATAAAATCTTTGTTCTTTCCTTCCTTCTTTACCCCAGATATTCTTCCCAACAAATGAGATGCTGCCATAAATATTCCCAAGACTGCTGTGGGTAGTATAGGAGACCTGGTCTTTAAGATAATAGGCTGAATGTTTCCCTAAACAGGAACCCACTTTATATATCTTTGCAAAGGTAACAAAAGATAAACATTTCATTCACTGGAACCTGAGGAGTGGAGTAAAAAATGTAAATTACTGAGAGAAGAGCACTTCAAATGGGAGAGAAAAACTACATTTCACAAGGGGCTTTTGGCAGCTGGAGGTCATGAATAGCACGTATATCTGCATTGAACAGAGGACTGTTCAGGGAAGTAAATGGGATGAGAGCAAGAGTAGAGATAGGATCTCAAGGAAAATCTCACTCCTATTGAGCTGAGCATTGTGTTATGGGAACAGCTGCAGTCCACATGAAGGACACTTAGAGAAGGAGACATGGAAAAGAGAATTTCTAAGAAGTGTTGCCATGCACTAAGAATCTCCCCCTCCTTCCTCCAAACCACCCCTTGGAGACTTTTCGAGAGACTAAGTAAAAACTGGAGGTGTTTTTAATTATCTTTTTCTGAGGGACTTTTAATTCTTTTTATTGATACTATACAAAGTTGGGGCCACATGGGGCCCCAGTTATAGTTAGGTTATATATACAAAACTCACTAACTCAATAGAATCTCAATCCTGGGATTCCATAGTTCTAAGAACACAATATCTGGGCGAATATTACCTAAGCAGTAGTGTTTGTGCCAAGCCCCCATAAGAAAATGTGCCTTTTCATCTTGTGGGGCCCTGCAACCTATGTGAGGGACAGCACAGAAGGCAGATCGCTAGGGGTAGAAGAATGGGACTTGCAAGACTCTCACGGAGACCTACACTTATCAGGAAGTTATGGGGTTCCAACAAATCCCTGTGGATTCAAAACCAGTGAGCTCTCTCTGGTTACCTTTGTTATAAATCTCCTATACTCCTAGGCCAGGAAAAGAGGACTACTCATTAGAATTCTTTAGCCATAACACAATGTCACTCATAAGACATAAGAGCACACCATTAGTGTAAAAATAACTGGAAGGAGCTGAGCCAGGGACCACGTATTCTTCTATCACAAGAATGAGCTATCTCTCTTCTCCATCAAAACAAACATTTTCTCCACTTTCTCCTCTTCCCTTTACTCTCAAATCCTAGAGATGTTTGTGAGCCCGTCATTCCGACACTGATGACTCATGTCAATAAACACCACAGACATTACCTTTTTTGATTTTTTAAATTTTTGTGGACAGGTTCTCACTCTGTCACCCAGGCTGGAGTGCAGTGGCACAATCACAGTTCACTACAGCCTCAGACTCCTGGGCTCAAGCTATCCTCCCACCCCAGCCTCCTGAGTAACTGGGACTACAGGCACATGCCACCACACCCAGCTAATTGTTTTATTTTTTGTAGAAAAGGGGTTTTACGATGTTGCCCAGGCTGGTCTCAAACTCCTGGGCTCAAGTGATCTTCCCATGTCAGCCTCCCAAAGTGCTGAGATTACAGGTGTGAACCACCGCCCCTGCCCTCACAGATATTATTGAGCCCTCATCAGACAAAGCTTCTCATCAGCCTTCAGTGCCAGTGACACCCCCTCATCTTAAACAGTCATCCCTCCCCCTTGGCTTCCATGGTGTGGCACTGCCTTAAGTAGTTGCCCTAATCCTAATCCTCTGGCTGGGCCTTTCCTACCACATTGCAGGCTCCCATTCCTCTACATACCCATTTTATTTTCCTTCAAGGACTCCATCCTAAGCTTTCATTTTATTACCCTGTGTCTCTTCCCTGGGCAGTCTCAATGCACACGGCTCCATTACCATCCAAAATGTCAGAGCACTTAGAACTCAAAAGTGCCCTAATTGTACACTTTAAATCTCCACTTGAGCATCTCCAAGAGGATTCATATTCAGTGTGTCTAAAACTGAACATGTTATCAACCCTTCAAACTTGGTTCTCTGCCAATATTCCTCCCCTCAGTAAATACCAAAAATAATAATAATGATAACAAATATACACTCTCTGTTTACCATATGCCAAGCACCTACACATATTACACGTGACTTCTATAAGTCTCTTACTTTGTGCAGAAACTCTGAGGGGTCGCACTTTATTCGCTTTATATTACAAATAAAGAAATGACAAGAGGTCAGGTGATTTTCCTGAGGCACTCTGTTAGTAAGCAGTGGGTTCACAGTCTGCATAGTTGTTGATATGGTTTGGCTGTGTCCCCATCCCAATCTCATCTTGAATTGTAGCTCCCATAATTCCTATGTGTTGTGGGAGGGATCCAGTTGGAGGTAATTGAATCATGGGGGCAGGCCTTTCCTGTGCTATTATCGTGATAATGAATAAGTCTCATGAGATCTGATGGTATAAAGGCGAGTTTCTGTGCACATGCTCTCTCTGGCCTGCCACCATGTAAGATGTCCCTTTGCTCTTCCTTCCTCTTCTGCCATGATTATGAGGCCTCCCCAGCCATGTGGAACTCTGAGTCCATTAAACCTCTTTTTCTTTACAAATTACCCAGTCTCAGGTATGTCTTTATTAGCAGCGTGAAGACAGACTAATACAGTTGTCAAGCCAGAAACCAGGGAGGCATCATTGACACTTGCCCTTGCTAACACCCTAATTCCTCACCAAGTTCTGTTTATTTTTGCTTCCAAATAGATGTTGATTCTCTCTGTTCTCTCAATCTGTGTGGCTACCTCCCTATTTCAGCTTCCAGTGCTTCTTGCTGAGATGCCTGCAATGGCCTATCCATCTTCCTATATTCCCTCTTGTCTATGTCTAACACATGGGAGGCACAATGACTCTTTCAAAATGTGAATCTGATCACTTATGCCCTTAATGTCTTCCCCCTTGCTTATTAAATAAAAACAAACTCCTAATGATAAGCCACACAGATTCTGAGGGTCTGCTGCCATCCCCCTCCAACTCTCCAGCATGACATGTAAACACTGTCTTTCTTTCTTGTTCTCTAGGCTGCAGCCACACTGTTCTTTCAGTTCCATGATTGAAATCTTCTTTGCTTCTTGCAATCCTTCTTCTTCTTCTACCCCTGCTCTTCCCTCTGCCTAGAATGTTCTTTACCAGCTCTCTACCTAGTTAACACCTACCTGTTCTTCAGACCTCAGACCAAATTCATTTTTTCAGCAAAGTTCCTTTGCCCCCAAATGGTGTGTGTGTTCTTTTCTTCATGGTGCTAATCTCATTTAATAATTTTACAAGCATCGTTTCACTATTGGATTGCTCTCTGTCTCCCTCACTGGTTAGAAGTGCCTTGAAGCCACCAACCATGTCTGTTTTGTTTACCACTGCATCCTCCTTTAACCAGCACGAGACCTGGAGAATAACTGGCACCCATTGATGTCTGTTGGATGGATAGATGGATGGATGGATAGATATGAAATGAAGAGGGACAGTGAGAAGCCCAGCCTACTGCCCATTTTTGTCCTCCACATTCATCTGAAAGATGATCTTTTTTCTTCTTTGCACACTTAGCCATGTCTTTAGTATGCAGTGTGGGTGTTAAGCACTGGAAGACAAGTGATTCCTATAAACCTAAAAAGAGGCTGGCTAACAGGCTCATGATAGCAATGAATAAAACTGGAGGAAAAAAAAAACCAGTTCTGATCACCGCAGGAGACAGTGTGAAGAGCACTAACACGATGTCTACAAATGTGTTTCCAGGTACAACTTTGTCATACATTAGCTGCGTGACCCTAGAGAAATCTCTTTGCTTACTTAGTTTCTCCAAATGGTATTTTTTCAAAAAGATGGAGATATAATGTTGCCTTTACCTTTAGAATTCCTGTTTGCTTATTAATGTTTCAGTTATTTCTATTATAGTATTTGAATTCATTACATAGAGCATTTCCCATAGGTTATAAAAGGGAGGTTTGAAATTAGAAAATGTATATAAAAAATAAGCATGGCTTTTAAAGTTCATTTGGCATTGTTTCCACACCAGGTACTACTAGTGTTTTGCTGCATTTTAAAATAGCAATTAAATGTTCCACCCCTTTTATTCACTGTAGCCATATAGTTGCCACTCTATAGACTTTAAACTAACATGGAAGAAGCCATGTTACTTAATTATCAAAATTATTAATTTGTCTTTATCATAAAATGTTGCTGAGTAGAATTGGTTTATATACTACTATTCAGGGCTGCAGCATATCATCTATCTTCAATCATCAAAACACATTTTCTTTTTTAAAAAAATCAATAAACTATAAGCACCACAAGTTGAGCTTCATCTTCTTGCTGAATTCTATTTGTACACTTTCCAGAAATTACCTCTGAAAGGGAAGAAAAGCAAACTTCAGATCTATGTTGAGTCTAATTAAGATAAGTACATTGGGTAACTTGGAATGAGACCCACACCACCAGGAAACTTCAGTTCATTTCCCAAGTGTAAATAAACACATCCACTTTGCTGTTAATAAAAGCAATGGCAGGGCAATAAAAAGCTTGGCTGACATGAATAAAGATGAAGTTGTGAATACTTAATGACAAAAAGCCCCAGTTAAGAGACACAGACCTGGAATAAGTTAGTTGGAATACATGTGAATTTCCACCAGTGAGGGGCAGGACCTGTAAGTTTCACAGTAATGCTGAGCTTCAAATGTGTGAGTTCCATAAATTCACTTTCAAATAAGACTTTGGGGTTTATTTTAGATCTGGCATTTAAAATGCAGGAGAGATGCAATGCTCATGGATGGCGTACTTGGTGTTTCTTTATCAGGTGGTGGGTGAACATGGGTTGACGAGGAGGCCAAGTTGGAGATTTATAGAAATTCAACCCCCTTTTATATAAAGGTTAATTCCAAATGTACCATTTTAGAAACCTGTTTAAAAGTGTTCATATCCAGAAAGCAAATGAGGGATTTTATCTAACAGGAAGGAAGAGAGATACAGGTGGTAACCATATTTTGTTTAGGGCTCGTACAAATTTGTAGATTGGCAAACAGGTTTGTAAGCATCAGCTTACAAACTGGTCTTTGGGCAAGTCCTTTCCCCACTATGGGACTCAGTTTTCCAAGCAATACACTTTTTATTTTAAAATGGATGTCTTCCAAAGTCCTTTCAGCTGTAATATTGTAGGATGCTATAAGATTATTTTAATGATTTCATGGAAGCATGAGTTGAATTATTTCTGCCTCTGAGTTTTCATTAATAAAGATTTGCCTTCTGATTTGCACATGAGTATCTTGTAAGTTTGGTGGGTGAAAGTCCTTCCAGACAACTTGATCTACTGTACGGCACCATTCAATCATTAATTCAACAAACACTTATTGAGTGCTAGGAACCACGTCTCCAACAAGTGTCAAGAGCTCCTCGACTGAAAACCAAGCTTAGAAATGAATGCTTTCATTTGAATGTGGTCACTAGGGAGGCCCTCTCCGTTCAGCAGATGATCCCCACAATCATCTTTATTTCAGTGTTTTCTAACTATATTGGTATTCCCAGTATTGATCTATATAACCAAAATAAAATTTACTTATGTCTAAATCTTTGTTACAGCACCAAACTGGACAGACTTTTAACAAATTTAAGGAGAATATTTGGAAGAGCCAACTGTATGACAGCCAACTGTATGATAGTACATGAAGAACCTGGAATTTACTTTGAGTGCCCTAAGAGTATACTGAGAGATAGGTGGCCCTCCTCAGAGGCAGCTAAAACTAAGGTTCAACACGATGTCCCGACACCTGCCAATTAAGAAATAGATACATTAGGATACTGTGAGATAGAAAACAAATACTCATTTCAAGTATTAGTCCCAAATTCCAAGAACTGATTTACAGTCAAGCTGTTTCTTGGCGAACAGCTCTATGTAGCATGATGAAGTGAAGTGACAGCAAAAGTTTACTTATTTAAAGATGATTAACAGTTCTCCCAAGTGGCCGGGCGCAGCGGCTCAGGCCTGTAATCCCAGCACTTTGGGAGGCCGAGGTGGGCAGATCACAAGGTCAGGAGTTCAAGACCAGCCTGACCAATATGGTGAAACCCTGTCTCTACTAAAAATACAAAAATTAGCTGGGCATGGTGGCACACACCTGTAGTCCCAGCTACTAGGGAGGCTGAGGCAAGAGAATCACTTGAACCCAGGAGGTGGAGGCTGCAGTGAGCCAAGGTTGCACTACCGCAGTCCAGCCTGGACGACAGAGTGAGATTCTGTCTAAACAAAAAAACAAAAACAAAAAAAAAAACAATTCTCCCAAGTAACACTGAAGGAGTCATCTACAAAAGTTACTTATTTACCTCCATAAGTAATCTGTATTTAAGTAAATATAAAACAAACATTTATTAGTAAGGGTACTATGTGGAAAGCAGAAGATTAGCGTGCATTAAATATGATCTCAACCCTCTAGCCTGTAAGTTAGAGAGAAAAGATAGTGACGTAAATAACTATTCTAGATATCCAATTTTTAATGGCAGAGTAATGATAGTCCTGCTCCTTTGATGTCTTTGAAATCACCCAAAAACAACAAAGAAAGAGTAAATATAAATGTGCAATCCAGAATTTGGACACACACAAACACACACACACATACATTACATTTGCAGGAAACAATTCATTGTTGAGGAATAACAACCTCCATTACAAGCAGCCTTATTTCTGCCAAGCTTTGTTTGAGAGGTGAAGCCAGCTGGACTTCTGGGTCGGGTAGGGACTTGGAGAACTTTTCTGTCTTACAAGAGGATTGTAAAATGCACCAATCAGTGCTCTGTAAAAATGCACCAATCAGCGCTCTGTGGCTAGCTAGAGGTTTGTAAAATGGACCAATCAGCACTCTGTAAAATGGACCAATCAGCACTCTGTAAAATGGACCAATCAACAGGACATGGGCGGGGACTAATAAGAGAATAAAAGCTGGCCAACCCAGCCGGCAGGGCAACCTGCTGGGGTCCCTTTCCATGCTACGGAAGCTTTGTTCTTTTGCTCTTCACAATAAATCTTGTTGCTGCTCACTCTTTTGGTGTGTGCCACCTTTAAGAGCTGTAACACTCACTGCGAAGGTCCGCGGCTTCATTCTTGAAGTCAGTGAGACCATGAACCCACCAGAAGGAACCAACTCTGGACACATGTTGAATAGGTAGTAGTTTGAATCCTAAAACAATTCACCCACGTGTACAAAACCCTGAGTAATGAGAAACCAGGGACAATTCCTGCTGGCCTGAAAGACAGTCCTGGACTGGGGGCGGTGGGTCACGCCTGTAATCCCAGCACTTTGGGAGGCTGAGGTGGGCAGATCACGAGTTCAGGAGATCGAGACCATACTGGCTAACATGGTGAAACCCTGTGACTACTAAAAACACAAAAAATTAGGTGGGCGTGGTGGCAAACGCCTATAGTCCCAGCTACTCGGGAGTCTGAGGCGGGAGAATGGTGTGAACCCAGGAGGAAGAGCTTGCAGTGAGCCAAGATTGTGCCACTGCACTCCAGCCTGGGCGACAGAGCAACACTCTGTCTCAAAAAAAAAAAAAAAACACACACACACAGTCCTAATATCCCCCACTGAAACTTCCTAAAAACAGCTAGTCCAGGAGAAACTTTTCATATTTGAAACTGAGTAGGAATTTTTTGTAAGAAAAGATTACACAAAAGTGTCATAAGAAAAAAAAATGGGTAAAGAATCTGGAAGAATAAATGACAAAGAACTCTCATTAGAAAACATGAAAGCAGATGAAAATTATAATCAACATACTGCCATGAATTTTTAAAACTGGAAACAATTACAACTAACAAACAAGAGCACAAGGCAAAAACAAAGAGCTAGAAAAGCTATGACATTATAAGGAAATGATATATTAACTGGTAGAACTCAGGAAAGAAGTAAAACGGATAAATCATTATTAAAAAGGGTTATATTGCGGTGGCTCACACCTGTAATCCCAGCACTTTGGGAGGCCGAGGCAGGTGGATCATGAGGTCAGGAGATCAAGACCACCCTGGCTAACACAGTGAAGCCCCATCTGTACTAAAAATACAAAAAATTAGCCAAGCATGGTGGTGGGCGCCTGTAGTCCCAGCTACTCCGGAGACTGAGCCAGGAGAATGGCGTGAACCCAGGAGGCGGAGCTTGCAGTGAGCCGAGATCATGCTACTGCACTCCAACCTGGGCGACAGAGCGAGACTCCATCTGAAAATAAATAAATAAATAAATAAAACAGATACAAAAATTAGCTGGGTGTGGTGGCAGTTGCCTGTAATCCCAGCTACTTGGGAGGCTGAGGCAGGAGCAGTGCTTGAACCCAGGAGGCGGAGATTGCAGTGAACTGAGATCGCACCACTGCACTCCAGCCTGGGCGACAGAGCAAGACTCCATCTCAAAAAAAAAAAAAAAATCAAGTGATTTCAGATTTGTCTGCTTCAACCTAAGAAGTGCCCCACTAGAAAAATGCCTACAAAGATTTTTGAGGAATAAAATATGACTCAAGAGTTTTAAACTCAGCCAAACTGTCATTCACATATAAAACCTATAGATAAATATATTTCCCATGAGACTTTTCTGAAGAAACTACAACAAGAGAAAACTCACTTAATCAATGATAAACGGAGAAACTACACTGAAATAACAGACACTGAACATTTAATCCACTTAACTGTTTGGCTACAACTAAAGTAAACATAGAGATAAAGACTACATAAACAAATGTAAATGGGAGTGGGAGTCCAGCACAGTGGCTCGCTCCTGTAATTCCAGCTGCTCTGGAAGCCGAGGCAGGAAGATCACTTGAGACCAGAGGTTCAAGATCAGCCTAGGCAATATAGCAAGACCCCTATCTCAAAAAGAAAAAAAATTTTTTTTAACTAGCCAGGTGTGGTTGTGCATACCTGTAGTCCCCATTACTTGGGATGATGAGGTCGGGGGATAACTTGACCCCAGGAGTTTCAGGCTGAAGTTAGGTGTAATCACACTACTGCATTCCATCCTGGGCAACAGACTAAGAACCTCCTCTCTTAAAAAAATAAGATAAAATAAAATAAATGGTATACACTCTCCTGACAACATAAAAAATGATTAAACAATAAGATTGAGAGACATAAAAAAGACAGGGAGTTACATAATATAGTAATTTTCTCATATTTATAAGCTAGAAAATTAAGAAATAGTGGTAATAAAGTTATAAGTAGATGTAAGGCTATAAAAGTGCATGTTAAAAATATATATAAGTAATCCAAAAACTAAATGGAAAGCAGAGGAAATACACTGATTTCAATATTGAGGAAAAATACAAACACAGAAGGAGAACAGTACAACAAAAATTTCACCCACAGAGATTACATGGAAAAAAAATTTTGGCCAGGCAAGGTGGCTCACGCCTGGAATCCCAGCACTTTGGGAGGCCGAGGTGGGCGGATCACGAGGTCAAGAGATCAAAACCATCCTGGCCCAAATGGTGAAACCCCGTCTCTACTAAAAATACAAAAATTAGCTGGGCATGGTGGCAGGTACCTGTAGTCCTAGCTACTCAGGAGGCTGAGGCAGGAGAATCGCTTGAATCCAGGAGGTGGAGCTTGCAGTGAGCCAAGATCGCACCATTGCACTCCAGCCTGGGCGACAGGGCCAGACTCCGTCTCAAAAAAAAAAAAAAAAAAAAAAAATTAAGCACTAAAAACAGAATTAACATAAAATATAGTGACAGAACAAAGTTGAAGTCTATCTGTATAGCAGCAAATGATTTGATGAAATACGTTTACTAAAAGAAAATGATCCAAGCAATGAAGCACCACATAGCAGTTTTTGAAAAATAACTATCAAAATCCCAGCTGCCTTTCTCGCTGAAATTGAAAAGCCAACCCTAAAATTCATCTGGACATGTGAAAAACCCACAATTGCCAAAAACAGTCTTAGAAAAAAGATGAACAATGTTAGAGGACTCATAGTTCCTGATGTTGATACTTACCACAGGGCCACAGTAATCAAGACAGTATGGTACTGGCTTAAAGACAGAAATATAAAACAGTGAAATTAAATTGAGAGTCCAGATATAATCCCCTACTTCATGATCAACTGATTTTTAACAAGGGTGCTAACACATTTCAGTAAGAAAAGAATAGTCTTTTTGACAAATGGTGCCAGTACAACTGACTATCCACATAAAAATAAATAAAGATGGATCTCTACTTTACAAAAAAAAATTAACTCTAAGTGGATCAAAGATGTAAATGTAAGGGCCAAAACTACAAAGCTTTTAGAGGAAAACGTAGGAGGAAATCTTTCTGATCTTGGATTAGGGAATTACTTATTAGATATAATACGAAAAGCATAAGAGACAAAAAAAGTTAAACTGACTTGAACAAAGTTAAAAAATTTTGTGCTTCATAAGGCATCACCACAAAAGTGAAAAGGTAACCCACAGAATGGGAGAAAATATTTGCAAACATTTGTAAATATCTGCTAAAGGACTTCTATCAAGAATATATAAAGAACTCTTACAACTAAACAATAAAAGGACAATTAGCCCAACTTTTAAAATGAGGAAATGATCTAAGATTTGAATAGCTACTTCTTTGAAAGAAGATACACAAATGTCCCATAAGCACATGAAAAAAAAAAAGTTCCACATCATTAGTCTTTAGGGGACTGCAAGCCAAAACCACAATGAGATACCACTTCTCACCTACTAGAATGGCTAAAATCAGAAGATGGACAATAACATCTGTTGGTGAGGATGTAGAGAAATTAGAACCCTCCTACACTGCTGGTGGACATTTTAAAATGGTGCAGCCACTTGCCCAACAGCTTGGTAAAACCTCAAAAACGCTAAATATAGAATTATAATTAGATCTAGCAATTTCGCTCTTAAGATATCTGTCTTAATTCTTTCAGGCTGCTATAATAAAATGTCTTAAACTGGGTAGCTTATAAATAACAGAAATTTATTTTCTCACACTGCTGGAGACTGGGGAGTTCAAGATCAAGGCTCTGGCAAATTTGGTGTCTAGTGAGGCCCCATTTTCTGCTTCATAGATGTTTGTCTTTGTGCCATAATCTTGCACAGTAGAAAGGACAAGGCAACTTTGTGGGACCTCTTTTATAAGGGTAGTAATCCCATTCATGAGGACTCTGTGCTCGAGACTTAATCATCTTTCAAAAGCCCCACCTCCAAATACCAACATTTGTGATTAGATTTCAACATACAAATTTTGGGGGAACAAAAACATTCAAACCATAGCAATATCCAAGAGAAATAAAAACATATGTCCTACCAAAACTTTGTACATAAATATTCACAGCAACATTATTCATGATAGCCAAAAAGTAGAAACAACCAAAATCTTCATCACATGATGAACTGATAAACAAAATGTTATATTCCTACCATGAAATATTACTCAGCCATAGAAAGAAATGAAGTACTGATACATGCTACAACATGAATGAACCTTCAAAATATTATGCTAGTGTTTTAAAGAAGCCAGAAACAAAAGGCCACAGATCATATGATCCCATTAATAAGAAATGCCCAGAACAGGCAAATGTATAGAAACAGAAAGTATTTTAATGGTTGCCAGAGACTGAGGGGAGGGATGACTGGGAGTGGTTTTTCATGGGTATGAGCCTTCTTTTGGGGGTGATGAAAATATTCTGGAATTAGATACTGGTGATCGTCTGCACACTCTGTAAATATATTTTTTAAAACCCTGAATTGATCACATTGAAAGGGTGAACTTTATGGCATGTGAATAACTTCTAAATAAAGCTGTTATTTTTTAAAATGAGAGAGAAGGAGGTGTTTTGACGTGATCATCAAAATATGTATAATAAAGGAAAAAAACAAGTTGATATAGTATGTGTAATATAGTACCATGTGTGTAAAAACTAGATAAATGGGCAGAGATACAGATTATGTATAGATAGGGAGAGAAAGAGAGATTTACCGATAGGTGTGGGAGGGCAACCAACATTTTATTCTATACCCTTTTATGCTTTTTGTTGTTTGAACTATGTCCAGGTGTTATATCTATTAAAATAGTATGAATTCAATGGCTTACTCTAAGGAAGACCATGATCACCAGCATATGAGAGGCAGACGAAACGCTATCCACAGCAAGATGAACACCTACACAGCAGGGAGAACATGGGAGGATTCAAGGTGGTAAGAAAATTTAATACAAGTCTAGGCCTGGTGTGGCGGCTCACGCCTGTAATCCCAGCACTTTGGGAGGCTGGGGCGGGTAGGTGACCTGAGGTCAGGAGCCAAGACCAGCCTGGCCAACATGATGAACCCTGTCTCTACTAAAAATACAAAAAAAGTAGCCGGACGTGGTGTTGCATAACTGTAGTCCCAGCTACTCGGGAGACTGAGGCAGGAGAACCGCTTGAACCCAGGCGGCAGAGGTTGCAGTGAGCCACGATCGCGCCATTGCACTCCAGCCTGGGTGACAGAGCCAGACTCCATCTCAATTAAAAAAAAAAAAAAAGAAAAATTAAAGAAAAGAAAAAAAGAAAATTTAATACAAGTTTAGAAAGATCTGGCCAGGCGCAATGGCTCATGCCTGTAATCCCAGCACTTTGGGAGGCCGAGGCGGGCAGATCACGAGGTCAGGAGATCAAGACCATCCTGGCTAACACGATGAAACACCGTCTCTACTAAAAATAAAAAATAAATAAATAATAAATAAATAAAAATTAGCCAGGCGTGGTGGCGGGCACCTGTAGTCCCAGCTACTTGGGAGACTGAGGTGGGAGAATGGCGTGAACCCGGGAGGGGGAGCTTGCAGTGAGCTGAGATCGCACCACTGCACTCCAGCCTGGGCGACAGAGCAAGACTCCATAAAATAATAATAATAATAATAACCCTCATTGGGGACAGTAAATGCCAAATTGATGTTGCAGAAAATTGAATTAGTAATGTGAAAAACAACTAGAAAATCATTCTCAGATTTAAAAGAAAGTGATCATTAGACTAGAACGATGAAACGATTTATAAAAGATCATGGAACAGTGTTCTGACATATACATGATTGAGATTCCTAAAAAGCATACCATAACAAAGAAGAAAATAATCATCTAAAACATAATAAAAGAAAGTTTCCTTTAGATCAGTAATTCTCAAAATGTAGTCTTCAAACGTTTGTGGGTCCCAGGACGCTTTCAGAGAGTACATAAAGTCAAAACTATTTTCATAATAATGTGATGACATTATTTGCCTTTTTTCACTGTTTTGGTAGTCACAGTCATAGCACAAAAGCCATAGTGGATAAAACTCTAGCACCTTAGCTCAAATCGAGGCAATAGCACCAAACTGTATTTGTAGCCATTATATTCTTTACCCCCATGCACTTATGTTTTTAAAAATGCCAGTTTCATTTAAGAATGTCCTCATTTAAACAGTGAAAGTATTAATTTTATCACATCTTAGCCTTTGCAAACAAGCATTTTATATTCTGAGTGATGAGTATAGTATGGTATTCAGCCTCCAAGCCAATACAGGGAATCTCTCCTCCTAGGATTCACACTCGTGTATAGGCTTCTCTCACACTGACCAGGGATGACCTATGTAACCAACAGAATATTGCAAAAATAATGGTGTGTGACTTCCAAGACTAAGTTATAAAAGATAACTTTTAACTTTTCTCTCTTAGTTTGCTTCCTCTGGAGAAGCCAGCTGCCAGGTTATAAAGACCCTTAAGCAGCCCCACGCAGAGGTTTCCATGAGAGGAGTTGAGGTCTATCACCAATAACCGGCATTAACTTGCCAGGTACATGAATGAGCCATCTTGGAAATGGATCTTCTAGCCCCAGTCAACGCTTATGATGAAACTGTGTGAGATAATAAACGTTTATTTTTGTGTTAAGTTGCTAAATTTGGGGGTAATTTGTTATACCCTAAAATCCTTTGCCACATGGCATAGTACAATGGTTGCTCCATTAGTGTGCAAGAAAGGTTAATTTCTTGCTCACACTACAGGCTTTTGATGACACAGCCATCCACTTTGGAAATTTGTAGTTATCATGGCAGAGGGGAAGGAGGGAAAGCATGATTTGGTTTCAGACTTTCATCTGGAAGTGACCCATGAGTCTCCTGTTTATAATGGGGTTATTTTTTAGGTGAATTAATTGCCAGTGGAATCAGCCAATTCCTTCATGAAATAGCATTTTTACTGACAAACTATGGGTATTCATATACGGGCATGTTGCAGACATTTTTCTCAAAAATGAACAAATGAATCTGTCACTTCAAGGGCAACTGACAGCATTTGGTGCAAATGATAAAACTTGGGCTTTTAAAGGAAAATTAAAATTTTGGAAAATGTATATCTGCCACCATGAATCTGACAGTTTTCCAATATATAAGGTTTTTCTGATAAAATAATGGCAATATTAAACAATGTGACTTTTCTAACATAGTATAATGAAATGTGGCAACTTTCAGAAGATCTATAAAGTTCGGTAAATCAATATTTTCCAAATGACCAATGCATCCATTCTAAATGCAAGATAGAGCAATGGATTTTAATGTAACACAGGACAAACAGATCATTAATGTGATTTTCACAGTTCACGTTGCAACTCACCCTTAAGAAACTACTACTTGCCAAGTTTTGGCGAAATATCAAAGAAAAATATCCATAATCATCCCAAAAGGCTTTTAAATTATCCCCCTCTCTTCTCTAATTACATAGCTGGGTGATGCTGGGTTTTCTTCATATGCTTCAGTCAAAACAATGTCATGCAGCAAAGTGGATGGAGAAGCAGACATAAGAATTTCACCATTTGTTATATAGTCCCTCTTAAAGAGATTTGCAATAATAAAAAACAATGCCACTCTTCTCATTTCATTTTATTTTGTTTGGGAATATATAGCCGGTTTTCATAATGGGCTAAGATACAATGGGTTTTTTTATGTGAATTAATAAATAAGTATTTTAAAATTCTCTGTTTTAATTTTTAATATGGCAAATACAGATAGATATATCACACACAAACAAAAGCTTGGAGAGGTACACCCTTTAAACTTGAGAACATAAAGTTTGAAAACAACTGCCTTGGCCAAAGAAAAAGACATGTATATGCCTAAAGGAAAAGTTTACCATATCTGTTACTCAGAATGGGCTTGGTTATGCTGTGGTAACAAATGCCTCCAAAATCACAATGTCTTACAGCAAGAAAGGTTTATTTATTGCTCAAACTATAGGCTCTTGAGGAAACAGTACCACTTGGGAAATTTGCAGTCATAATGGCAGAGGGGAAGGAAGGAAAAGCATGATTTGGTTTCAGACTTTCACCTGGAAGTGACACATGTGTCTCCTGTTCATATGTCATTGAAAAAGGTAAGTCACAAGGCCAAACTTGACTTTGCATGAAAGGGCACTAGATTAGATATGGTGAATTGTAATGGGGTCTATCATACCACATTCTAGGCAAAAGTCAATTTGAAGAACCCACATCATAGACACATCATAAAAAAAATTAATGACAGAAATAAAATAATACAAGTATACATGCAGAGGGAGAAAATATTGCAAGAAAGAAAGAGAAGGAAAGAATAAAAGAAAAAAGGAAGGGAAGAACAGAGGGAGGGAGGGAAGGAAGGAAACAAGGAGAAAGGAAGGGAAGGGGAGTGGAGGGTGGGGAGGGAAGGGAAAGGAAAGGGAAATGAAGGTGGGGAGGGGGAAGAAGAGGAAGAAAGACGGGGAAGGGGGTGAAAAGGAGGAGTAAGTTGGGGAGCTGGGTGGGGAAGGGAAAGAGAAGGGAAGGGAAGATCGAACTGTGCTCAGTCTTCTCTGCAACTTTAAATGCCAAACGACAATGGATAGCTACAGAGTTTTAAGGGTAAAATCATGTGACCCAAAAATTGTGTTGGTCAGATTTCAAAGCAGTAGAAAGCCATTTGAGATGTTTAAGGATTTAGAAATATACCACCCTTAAATACAACCTCAAAGGTATTTTCTAAATGACTGAAAAATTAACAACATTAAAAGCTGAGAAATGAGAAAGCTGTGTTATGAATAAAATGTCAGTGAGCCCTGAAACCAGATAAACTAAAATAATGCTAAATATTTATTTGTCATATATCTGAGCATAAAATGGAAGGCAAATAACAAAAATTATTTTTGCAAAGGTGTAATACTCTGTTCTCATGCTGCTAATAAAGATGTACCTGAGACTAGGTAATTCATAAAGGAAAAAGGTTTAATTGACTCACAGCTGGGGAAGCCTCAGGAAACTAACAATCATGGCTGAAAGGGAAATAAGCATGTTCTTCTTCACGTGGCAGCAGGAAGCAGAAGTGCCAAGCAAAAGGGGGAAAAACCCAACCATCAGATCTCATGAGAACTCACTCACTATCTCTAGAACAGCATGAGGGTAACCACCCCCATGATTCAATTACCTCCCACCAGGTCCCTCCCATGACAAATGGGGATTATGGGAACTAGAATTCAAAATGAGATTTGTGTGGGGAAACAGCCAAACCATATCAAAAGGAAATAGTATATAAAAAGTAACAGCTTAATAATAGCAGTTGGCAGGGCATGGTGGCTCACACCTTAATCCCAGCACTTTGGGAGGCCAAGGCGGATGGATCACAAGGTCAGGAGTTCAAGACCAACCTGGCCAATATGGTGAAACCCCATACTAAAAAATACAAAAATTAGCTGGGTGTGGTGGCGCCCACCTGTAGTCCCAGCTACTCAGGAGGCTGAAGCAGGAGAATCACTTGAACCCAGAAGGTGGAGGTTGCAGTGAGCTAAAATGGCGCCACTGCACTCCAACCTGGGTGACAGAATGAGACTCCATCTCAAAAAAAACAAAAATAAAACAATAATAATATTAAATAAATAAATAACAGCAATCAAGAAATTTCAGATATCTTTCAGATAAACAGACTATGAAGTGGGAATTGAATGAGACACAGTTTTAAAATTTCTATTTCTGAAATCAAATGATATTACTTCCCTCTTGAGTCTGATAATTGGGGAAACATAGGCTAAATCTTTAAAATTTTTCAATGTAGTTAATAATCAAAATAAAGATTACATATATATCTTTCAAATAATATAAAAGATTAAAACAATGAAACCCTTTAATAAAGATACAAGAAAAAAGCAATACAGAGAACAAAAAAAGTTAACTTTTCATAATGTTTGTGGAGAACAAATTTATTATCTGAATTTTAAGCCCTTTAAAACGACTTCTAAGATTTTTAATTTGGAAAAATCACAAAAGAAAAGAGATCAGACAGAGAATAAGAATTATCAAAATAGAAATAAAGGTTGAAAAAAATTGTTTAAGCAGAAATAAAAAACAACTTCAGGTAAATTGAAATATTATATTATACTTCAATTCATGCAACAAATTCTTTCCTTTTAACATAAAAGATTGAAAAAGCCGTCTAAATTTTTTTAAGTGACATCATAAAACATTGAAAGCAACTACACATATTTATGGAATCTTAAGGCAGAAAAGTCCTTTGAAAGCCTGATACCTAAGGGAAAGATTTGAACACAGAAATTCTAAGATTTCCTCATGTTAAGAAAAAAACTCACAAACAACATTAAAAGAGAACATAAAATATTCGCAAAGTATATGAAAAAGAACTAAAATGAACACCCAAAAGAAAATTAAGCAATGGGTATAAACAGATAATTAGCACACATAAAATATTGCTAAATTTTACTAGTGATCAAAGCAAACTCAAAAAAATCAGTTATTATTTCTTATTAGATTGGCAAAAATGAAAAAAGTGATAATGTTCATTACTGGTGAAGGAGTGAGAAAACACAAACAGACTCATACACAGCTAGTGGGAGTATCAGTTGTTACCACCTTTCTAACAGGCACTTTGATCTTTCAAATATACCTTAAAATCTCCAAAAATGTACTTAAATTTTGACCCAAGAATCCAATTTTTAGAACACTATTGTAAGAAAATAATAATCCAAGTGTACAGTGATACTTATACTTGAAGGTTTATCACAGAGGAACTTATAATTTTGAAAGGTTGAAAACTACTGGAATATTCAAAAGATGAGTTTTATAAATTAATTACACTATCATCTACACAATGAACTATTATTTAGGTGCTAAAATAAAGGTGAAGTCTGACATTTGTCTACCTCAAATTATGCTCTCTTACAAGTGGAAAAAGTTGAGTAAGGAGATTGAAACAGTAATTAACAATGTCCCATAAAACAAAAACCAGGACCTAATGGCTTCATAAGTGAATTCTATAAAATGTTTGAAAAAGAATGAATACCAATCCTTTTCAAATTGTTTCAAAATACTGAAGAAGGAGAAGCATTTTCAAACTTATTTTACAAGGCCAGCATTACCCTCATATCAAAGCCAGATAAGGATGTTACAGGAAAAGAAAATTACAGTCCAATATCACTGGTGAGCACAGAAGCAAAAATATTCAATAAAATACTAACAAACTGAATGCAACACCACATTAAAAGGACCATAAACCATGATCAAGTGGGTGGGATTTATCCCTGAATGCAAGCATGGTTCAACATAAACAAATCAATACATGTGATACACCATGTTAACAGAATGAAGGGTAAAAATCATACGACAGTGTCAATAGATGCAGACAAAGCATTTGACAAAATTCAACATTCTTTCATGATAAAATTAGAAATAGAAAGAACATACCTTAACATAATAAAGGCCATCTATGAAATGCTCACTGCTAACATCATACTCAACAATTAAAAGCTTAAAGCTTTTCCTGTAAGATCAGGAAAAAGAAAAGGGTGGTCACTCTTGCCAGTTTTATTCAATGTAGTACTGGAAGGCCTAGTCAGATAAAAGGCATCCAAATTGGACAAGAAGAAGTTACATTGTCTCTCTTTGAGGATGACATGATCTTATAATAGAAATCCATAAAGACTCAGCAAAAAAATAAAAACTGTTAGAACTAATAAATGAATTCAGTGAAGTTGAAGAAAATCAAATCAGTTGCAAAAATCAGTTGCATTTCTACATACTGACAACAAATTATCCAAAAATGAAATTAAGAAAGCAATCCCACTTAGAATAGCATCAAAAAAAATAAAATACATAGGATTAAATTTAATCAAAAAGGTGAAAGACCTATATACTAAAAACTATAAAACACTGATGAAAAAAATTGAAGAAGACATACATAAATGGAAAGCTATCCCATGTTCATGTATCAGAAGAATTAATAATGTCAAAATGTCCCTACTACCCAAAGCAATCTACAGATTCAACACAATCCCTGTCATTCCAATGGCATTTTTCACAGAAATGAAAAAACAATTTTAAAATTTATGTTGAAAAACAGGAGATCCTCAAATAGCTAAAGTGATATTGAACAGGAACAAAAAAGCCAGAAGGATCACACTTTCCGATTTCAACCTATATTTCAAAGCTGGGCATGGTGGTGTGCATTTGTAATTCCAGTGACTCAGGAGGCTGAGGTGGGAGGATCAATTGAGCCCAGGAGTTTAAGGCCAGCCTGGGGAACACAGAACCCCAAATCTTTTTTAAAAAACTATATTACAAAACTATAGTAATCAAAACAGTATGACATTGGCATAAAAACAGATACATAGACCAATGAAACAAAATAGAAATCCCAGATATAAACTCATGCACATAAGGTCAATCAAGCTTCAACAAAGGTGCCAAAAATACATGATGGGGAAAGAATAGTCTCTTCAATAAATGGTATTGGGAAAACTGGATATCTACAAGTATAAAAATGAAATTGGACCCTTATCTTACACTGTACAGAAAAATCAAATCAAAATGGATTGAAGACAACATAGGACCTGAAGCCATAAAACTCCCAGAAGAAAACATAAGAACTTGGTTCTATCCCTCTCCTCCTCTGTCTATTCTACCTTCTGGGTAATTGCAAGCAGTTCCTTTACTTCAATACCCTCTGAATGTCAATGACCACCTCAGTGAGCCTCAATATGCTTCAGACTCATAGATCCAAGCATATCCTTGGCATCTCACATTTGATATGGTCCAAAAAATTATTTCTTTAACCTCTCAGTGAATGATAAATCCATCAAACCAGTAATTTTAATCAAAAGTATAGGATTTGTCCTTGATTCCTCTATTTCCTATACATCTACAGAAAAAGTTATTTGAGGGCTCTACCTCCAAACTGCCTCTCCCTTAGTCCCCTTTCCTCCTTCTTCAGGGCTGTTGCCTGAGTCTTTATCCTGCCAAGTGAGCCCTGCATGGCAACTACCCTCTCCCTCCACCACTATGATCTAATATCAGGACTTTTCACTTGCTACTACTTCTGCCCAGAGCATTCTATACCTGACGCCTTAATTGCTGGCTTCTTTCTGTCATTTATGTCTAGGATGTATTACTGCCTCTTTTAAGACATCTTTCCTGAACTCATTCTCCTCTGTAGATATTCTCTATCCTATCACTGTTTTATTTTATTTATCTGAAAGCACTATATTTACTTACATTTTTATTTGCTTATTGTACGTCTTTCTCCTATTGAATGTAAGGTCCTTGACAACAGGAATCTTGTATTTCCTTTCACTATTATGGCACCTTGACACAGAGTAGGGAATGAATGAGTGAATGAATTATTTAATTAATGCCTCAAATTACATAAGTTAAGAAATTTGTGTTAGAACGTTTTGGATTTATAGAAAAACATTTTGGATTTACAGAGAGTTCCTATATAATATACTCCACACCCAGTTCCCCCATTATTAATATCTTAATTAGTATGGTACGGTTGTTAAAATTAATGAACCAATACTGGTATAGTGGTTTGTTTTGTTTTGTTTTGAGACTTAGTCTCCCTCTGCTGCCCAGGCTGGAGTGCAGTGGTGTGATCTCAGCTCACTGCAAGCTCCACCTTCCGGGTTCACGCCATTCTCCTGCCTCAGCCTCCCAAGTAGCTGGGATTTGTAATCCCGGCTAGATTTTTGTATTTTTAGTAGAGATGGGGTTTCACCGTGTTAGCCAGGATGGTCTCGATCTCCTGACCTCGTGACCCACCCGCCTCGACCTCCCAAAGTGCTGGGATTACAGGGGTGAGCCACCGCACCTGGCTGATATCGTATTATTAACTAAAGTCCACAGTTTATTGATACGTGCTTAGTCTTGACCTAGTATCTCATATATGGTTAGTCTGTGTCCCACCCAAATCTCATCTTGAATTGTAGATCCCATAATTCCCACGTGTTGTGGAGGACCTGGTGGGAGGTAATTGAATCATGGGGGCAGGTCTTTCCCCTGCTGTTCTCCTGGTAGTGAATAAGTCTCACTAGGTCTGATGGTTTTATAAAGGGGAGTTCCCCTGCACATGCTCTCTGACCTGCTGCCATGCAAGATGTGACTTTGCTCCTTCTTTGCCTTCCACCATGATTGTGAGGCCTCCCCAGCCATGTGGAACTGTGAGTCAATTAAACTTCTTTCCTTTATAAATTACCCAGTCTCTGGCATGTCTTTATTAGCAGCCTCTTTTTTGTTCTGGAATCCCATTCCGGATACCACATTTCATGTAGTTGTCGTGCCTCCTCGCCCCTTTTAGCTGTGATTGGTTCTCAGACTTCCCTTGTTTTTGATGACCTTGACAGTTAGAGGAGTACTTGTCAGGTATTTTGTAGAATGTCCCTTAATTTGCATTTGTCTGCTGTGATTCTCATGATTTGACTGTGATTGTGTGTTTTGGGAGGAAGATCATGGCAAAGTGCCATTCTCATCAAGGTATGATCTAACACCATCATGACTTATCACTGTTGATGCTTACTTGACCTCTTGGCTGAGGTAGTGTTCATCAGGTTTCTCCACTAAAAAATTACTTTTATTTCCTGTTTTCACACCATAATCTTGGGAAAGAAGTCACTGTGTGCAGACCACACTTAAAAAGGGGAATGTTACTCACTGCATACTTGACAGTGAAGAATCTACATAAATTATTTGGGATTATTCCACATGGGAGATTTGTCTGTTCTCCTCCATTTATTTATTTAGTCAAATCATTATTTATATTAGTGTGGATTCATGGATATTTATTTTATACTGTGGGTTATAATCCAATACTACTTTATTTAGTTTGCTGCTCAAACTGTTCCAGCTTTGGCCTTTGAGAGCTCTTTCCAGTTGGCGCCTGTGACTCTTTGACATACTCCGTTTCTTTGTTTTGTTTTGTTTTGTCCTTTTTTTTAAAGCATTTCTTTACTTTTTAGCCCTACAATGCTCCAGGCTTATCTTATATGTTTCCTCCCCCAGACCAACAATCAGCATTTCTCTAAGGAGCTCTGGTTCCATTGGTCAGAAAATGGTATTAGAAACCAAGATATGGGAACTGGATATTAAATTACCTTTTTAAAAATATGATTCGATGCTGACAGGATGTGTTAAAACTAGAATTTTTATCCATTACTGGTGAAGGAGTAAACGATACAATTTTTCTAGGAAAGCAATTTTTCAATGTGTACAGAGCCTTAAAAATTGTTATATAAATTTTGATATTATAGTCACACATCTGACACTCTAAAATGCAAAGATTTTTTCATATTACTTATAATAGCACAATATTAGAGAAGCCAAACAATATAGAAGGGGTTAAATTTAAAAATAAGAGTCTTGCTCAAAAAGTAAGTTTAAACCACCTTAAATTATTTGTTGTATAAGGTGGAGAAATAAATAGATACACAAATTTATGGATGCCATGGACACATCAGTTTTATGTGAAGGAGAAACAGTAATATTATATATACATACATATATTTGCTTGTGTGTGTGTCATATAATTTGTTTATTTTGTTTTTTAGTTTAGTTTTGTTTTGTTTTGAGACAGAGTCTCGCTCTGTTGCCCAGGCTGGAGTGCAGTGGCACAATCTCGGCTCACTGCAAGCTCCACCTCCCAGGTTCACGCCATTCTCCTGCCTCAGCCTCCCAAGTAGCTGGGAACACAGGCGCCCGCCACCACGCCCGGCTAATTTTTTCTATTTTTCAGTAGAGACAGGGTTTCACCGTGCTAGCCAGGATAGTCTCGATCTTCTGACCTCGTGACCCACCTGCCTCGGCCTCCCAAAGTGTTGGGATTACAGGCATGAGCCACCGGGCCTGGCCTGTTTATTTTGAAATATATGTATTATAATTTGTTTACATGGAAACATGTTTAAAAATGGAAGGAAAATTTCTAAAATATTCATAGTTATGCTCTCTAGATGACAGGATTATATTATGTTTATTCCATTTCTTTATATTTTTCTGTTTTCAAGTATTATTTTAAATATGGGTACTTAGAATCCTAAAAAAAATACAAAGTAATTTTATCATTTCGTATAGCTATGTAGCAGGAACATCTAAATAATTATTGCTGGCTATTCATAGTTTATAGACTGATTTACCCAATCGCTGAAGGGCACCATGATTTCTTGACAGTAAGCCCCTTGTCTGCAATAGAGGAGGGGGGCCTTAACCACGAGATGTTTCTCCCCAAATCACACAGCAAATTGGTGGCAGTAATCGAACTCTTTACAGCACGGGGCACTAGAACACACAGGATGAAAGGTTAGGCAGTCAGAACTCCTCTGGATTGATTAGTTTTGTCATTCTTCTCCCAGCCTTGCTAACGTCTCAGAAATGGATGCACTTTCCTGGGTCATAGGGAGGGCTGGGGAAAGGAGAAGATGAATCTCAAAGTATTGCGGGGAGTGAAGCATGTTGAAATTACAAAGTCAAACAAACTTGCCTTTCAGATGATGGCAAGGTGGGTAATTAATTCACATGGGACTTTGAGTTCTGGATTTGTTTTTCTCTTATGTGAATCTTGGTTTGTTTTGGTGAAGTAAGTAATAATTTTGTGTCGTTTTCCCCAGCTACAGAGCTAGGTCACATGACCCAAAGTTTTACCAAAAGCAGCACTTTTATTCTGTAAAGTTGCCAAGGCAACACCAGCTGCTTATGACATCATGTGACTGAGGGGACACAGACTGATTTTAGAAGCCTAAAATTATCACTCAATCTGCTCACCAAAATTCTGAAACAGCCAAGACGGCCCCAAGCCCAAGGAAAGGCTTCAACAACACTGTTCTGTGAAAATGATGATGGCAATGAATTATGCATTGTTCTCTAAAGTCTGGTACCACGGCCTCAAATCACATACTAAAAACATACTCAAGATCAACATAAGCTGGGCATGCAGGACACACCTGCTAATCTGTTTTCAATTAAAGTTTTCCCATCACCATGATGGATAAAGGTAATTTTTAGCTTTCGTTAAATGAACTTTAAGATTTAAAATCTATTTTTATGTACGTCAAAATTACATCTCAAATTATTCTAACTCAAGATACACCGAAGATAAAAATTAGGAAGAACATTTTGTTTTTCTATTATCATATATAATTATACAGTAATTAGAGATGTATTCGCATAATTGTTTCAATATTTTTATAATAATAAGCAACAGTCCGTGGACCATACTAAAAGTCTAAATTTTACGGGTTCCCAGAGAGGATTAACTACATAGACAGATTCAAGAGAACCATAATATAATTCAGAATTGATCATTTTTCAGGCATTTAGAAGCAGGGAAACTGGTCTCAACCTTATGTCATCCCCTCCCAAAAAAACAAATAAATTAGAATGGAAAGTAAAAATTGGACTAACTGGATTATGTTGCCCAGGGCTCACCCCTTTTTGCTCTCAAAAAACTCACTCTTAAATAAAGATGGTTGCATTGCAATTTATACTTCTACTGGCAAAATGAGTGATATTGTTCCTAAAGGAAAATATCCAGAATATAAATACTTCTTGTAAAAAGAAATACTTCCCTGATCTTTGTAGTTCATTTCGCAATCATTAACAGATGATCTCCTACTAAGTGCAGGCCAGTGTGCACTATACTAGGTTATATCGAAATAACGAGGTGGATTAAAAGTCATCCTTTCCTCCAAGGAGATAAAATAAAGACACACGTAACTAAACGAAGATATAAATAACTAAAACTAAAAGCAAAAGAGCCATGGGAACACAGAAGCAGCAAAGATCCCTTGTGGCTCGAAGGACCGGGGGACTTCACGGAAAAGTTGGCATTTTGAAATTGCACCTTGAAGGATGGGTAAGTCTTTAAGAAGTTGATTAGGGAAGGTCATGCTAAGAAGAAAACAGCTTAGGCAAAGATCAAAGGAGGTAAGGGGAGAGCTTGGTTGGGAGGCAAATATATTTAGGAAACTGATGGAGTATAAGAGTAAAACATAGATTGGGACCACATCCTAGCAGAAGCTGATACCATTCTGAGGAGACTGGACTTGACTCTGAGAACAGAAGGAAGTCACTGAAGATTTTAGGCAGAAGAATGACATGTACTGTAGGAAGATGTATTTGGGGACTGTCCATTGAATGAAGGGTGACATGGGAGCAGGTTGCATTGAAATTCTATCAGGGGCCCGTGGAAACAATGGTGGTAAGAGGCAATGCGGATGGGAGCTGGGCGAGGAGAATGAGCAAACAGATGGACGTAAGGCACACGTGAGGGCGTGATTGGCAAGACGGGGTAGCCAGCTGCATGTGCGTGGGCGGAAGGGAGTATTTAGAGACAGTCCCTTGAAATGTGTTCTCAGAAGTAGAATTGCTAATTTAAACGCAATTTGATCTAAATCAAAATGTCTTCACCTGATATATAAAATCAATCTCTCCCATTTCTAATTTTGGGATATCTGATAGGAAAGAACAAAGGATCATGAAAATTCATGCAGTGGCCTTCACCATTATATCATCCTCTCTTTTTCTGCTTTTCTCATGTGAAGTAATTAAGTGCTAAAAGCAGGAAGGTAAACTGAGGCTGGTGCCAAATGAACTGTTGTGCCAGAGAGCTGATTAGACACTAGAGGGAAGTGTATGAGGGGCACGTGTTTCCCCATCTTGTTTCTGAGCATGAGTCTCTGGTTTCTACACCCAGTTCTGACAGCACACGACACTGACAAAAATTCTTTCCTTGACCAAACTCCTGCCAGGCTCCTCGGAGCCCTCCTCTTGATGAGGCCTCAACCTCGGCCTATAAAGGGATTGAACATACACTAACACAGTTTCTAACCGCTCGAGGCTGTTAGGATGACCTAGACTGCCTTCTTGAGAAAACTCATGGCTGCCAAAGCAATGGACTGTTTGTTCCAGCCATCACCTGAAGATAGATACCCTGTCTCCTAGCCTCTGCGCAAGGGTAGGAGCCTGACTTCAATAAGCGCCAGTTAGCAAACCCAGAGGGGTTTCACATGGACTAACTCCAAAGCCCCTTCCTGCTTTTTGTAATTGTTCACTTCCCTGACTCTACTGAGGCCCCACACTGCCCTATCCATATGCCTTCATTTCTCCCTTTAAAATACCCAGTCACCTCCGAATAAACTAAAGCTGAGGTCAGTTCACATGGGACTCTTTTCCCAGTTGCAATAGTGGACCACAGGTTACAATCTGCCCTTGCCACTTCAACCCAGCATCCAGCTTTGGTTATCTTTGACAACATCTGTCTGAGGCTTTGCCTCGACCTCCCCTGTCTATAGTGCCTCAGGCCCATCCCCCAATGCCCCAGAGTCATGGGAAAAAGCCATAGCAATGAACTCCGATTCAACAAACTCAGACCTAGATGGTGCCATATCAATATGTGTCTCCAAAAAAACCAAAACAAAAAAGCACTCTAGTGCTTAAACAAAGTGAACAGGTTTTCTTGATTGAAGATTTTCTCAGAGCCTTTATAGTGCTATTATACTCTGTGAATTTCCAAAAGGGAGATACAGTATATACTACTTTCCAAACTTGTTTGACTATAAAACCCTTTTTCTCAGGACTTTTTGAAGGTCTATGGATTGATAGGAAAAATGTTAGGAACACTGTATCCCACATTACCGCTTCCTCCTCCCTTCTACCCAACACGTTCTCGTGTTCTATCAATCCCTCCAAAATGTTGAAGTTCACTCACCAGCAAAGCACTATGCTAGTATTTTTGAAACTAAATAAGCAGGTGGTCACTGCTCTCTGTCCCATTTATATCTCTTTTGTAAACCCAGATTAATGAATCTTTAGCCTTCAAGCCACTTTCCTAACAGAATCTTTATTCTGCAAATTGTTCTCTGGTAAACACATGCGTATTTAGAAAGATGTATACAGCATGTATCAAGAACAGCATATGTTGGCCGGGCACAGTGGCTCACGCCTGTAATCCCAGCACTTTGGGAGGCTGAAGCAGGAGATCACGAGGTCAGGAGATCAAGACCATCCTGGCTAATATGGTGAAACCCGTCTCTATTAAAAATACAAAAAAAAAGGTTGGGCATGGTGGCTCACGCCTGTAATCCCAGCACTTTGGGAGGCCGAGGTGGGCAGATCCCCAGGTCAGGAGATCGAGACCATCCTGACTAACATGTTGAAACCCTGTCTGTACTAAAAAAATACAAAAAATTAGCCGGGCATGGTGGCGGGTGCCTGTAGTCCCAGCTACTCGGGAGGCTGAGGCTGGAGAATGGCATGAACCTGGGAGGCAGAGCTTTCAGTGAGCCAAGATTGTGCCACTGCACTCCACACTCCAGCCTGGGTGACAGAGCAAGACTCTGTCTCAAAAAAAAAAAAAAAAAAAATTAGCCAGGCATGGTGGCGGGTGCCTGTAGTCCCAGCTACTTGGGAGGCTGAGGCAGGAGAATGGCGTGAACCCGGGAGGTGGAGGTTGCAGTGAGCCAAGATTGCGTCACCACACTCCAGCCTGGGCGACAGAGTGAGAATCCATCAAAAAAAAAAAAGAACAGCATATGTTTATATGTTTTACACTAAAGCTGAATCCACTTCAAGATCATCAGCCATTCATTATGAATAGGTAAGTAAAAAAGGTAAACCAAATATTAAATATCACTGGAAGCAAAAATATATAATAATCTGGGTTTAAGCAAACTGCAGACCTTATGGCTCACAATGTAGACATCTGAAAATGAGAACCTGAAAATGCAAAGCCATTTTAACACATTATTTAGTAAGTTAGTTTTCAGAAACTAAGATGTACACCTCCTTAGCAGTCAGTAAACATATTTTTTCCTTATGAAACCAGGCTATAAATGGCTAGTGTGGATAAAATGAAAGCATTTGGTGAAGTCTGTCTCTCTTGGGATTTCTGCTTAACTGAGGAATACATTATATTCAGATATTTCCTCAGACATAAATACCATCTTGATTAAGACATAAAGTTCCCTGGTTACACATCATGGAAATGGACTTTGGACTCAGACCATCACCAGTGATGGCCGATGTGTTTAGGGTAAAGCTTTGTTTGCAGAAAGAGCCATAACTTGAGCATAAATTATGCGTTGGAGTCACCACTCCAATTTGCCTATTTTTTGTTAGAAACTTTATGTGAAATTTGAGGTTGAGGGATAGGGGTTAGAATTGGCATCTTAGGCTGGTTTCCCGCAGTGCACCCACAACAAGGCTGCTGTGGACAAAGGCCTCAGAATCTGGCTTCCCGGAGTGTGGGTGGAGCTGAGCTACAAGTGCATGCCCAGTACCAAGTGGGGTCCACCAAGCTTCCATAACTAGAACCCTATGTAGACAAACCCCTCAGCTTCCAGAGACTAAATGCTAGAAAGCTTAAGCATTCCATGAAATGAAACCAGCAACCATAGCTTGGAAAGTAATACAGGCAAAAGCTCAAGAATAGAGATCATAATGTGTCCTAATGGGTCAACTCATAGCTCCAGCTCTTGGATTCTGTGGAACAGGATAGATTTCCAAGAGCTGGAAGGCACTGCTGAAAGGTAAAGATAGAGAAGGAATGGGAATGACCTGGAAAACGGAGAACCCAAGAGGGCTTGGATCCAGAAAAGGATTGCCCAGTAATCCAGGCCTTCCCAAGGAGATAGTTTGCTTCTCTCCTTTTCCAGAGTCCTTCATGACCAGAAGCTCTCCTGTTAGCTACCATGCCTTGCTCCTGTTTCTTATCATTGTCTGTGTCTCAGCACAACCATTGTTGGGTTTTTTTTTTTTTTTTTTTTTTGAGACGGAGTCTCGCTCTGTCACCCAGGCTGGAGTGCAGTGGCGCAATCTTGGCTCAGTGCAACCTCCGCCTCCCAGTATCAAGTGATTCTCCTGCCTCAGCCTCCCGAGTAGCTGGGATTACAGGCGCCCACGACCATACCCGGCTAATTTTTGTATTTTTTAGTAGAGACTGGGTTTCACCATGTTGGCCAGGCTGGTCTCGAACTCCTGATCTTGTGATCTGCCCTCTTCGGCCTCCCAAAGTGCTGGGATTACAGGCGTGAGCCACTACGCCCAGCCCACTGTTGGCTTTTGACTACCACGAATTCTGGCTAGGGAGTTTCTGAAGGTGTCAGAGGTTGTCACAGATCAGGCTTCCCTCCTTCTGATCATAGAGTGATGGTTCCACCATTCTCCCAGCTCATGACCTAGAACTCAATTCCAGAGTTTCCAACTCCTTCTCCAAATATAATTACCCGTAAAACTTTGAAACTCTCCTCATTGTCCTTCATACCCACAAGACATACCACTTCCTGTGCTCCCAACCTTTCTTGAAAATACTGCTTATCACACTAGACTCTGAGACTTGTGAGATCAAGCCCATGTCTAATTCATCTTTCTAATTCTGGCTCCTGGTACAGTGCCTGACTCATGGTTGACTTAGGGATGTTTGGTTGAAGAAGTATGATCCGGCCAACTTTTCTGTTACATGTGTTTCCTCCCTTGCTTTATATTCCTGCCAACACCTTCATCATCTTTCAGCTAGACACTCAATAATATAATGATTAACGTTCAGATAGAGAATGCTGTGAAGGAAATAATGTATAATAAGAAGACCGAAGCAAGAGGTGGAAGGGAGGTACCATTTTAGATGAAATAGTCAAAGATGTCTCTGAGGAGATGACATGTGAGCAGAGATACAAACAATGAAAAGAAGAGAGGCATGTGGTCATCTGGCTGGGGAGGCATTCCAGAGGGAAACAAGAGGAAAGTTAAGGTCCCTGAGGTAAGGATGAGTATGTCCTGTTTCAGAAAGAGCAGGAAGGCCAGCCTGGCTACAGTATGGTAAACTGGAGGAAGAGGAACAGATAAGGCTAAAAAAGTCGGCAGGGTCTAGATCCTGTCTTTGTAGGTATGTCAGGAAATTTGGATCTTAAGTGTAATGAGAAGCCATGGCATGTTTTAATTAGGGAAATTAGGTCATCTTAAGTTACTTACTTCAAAAAGTTACTCTAGATGCTGTCTGCAGAATGGATTAAAGGGGACAAGAATGGAGAAATACCTGTTAGGGAGTGTATGCAGAAATTTAGGAGAGGTGATTATGGATTGTTCTTGGGAAGAAAGAGTGGAAAGAGAAGTGGTTGGCTAAAAACTAAATTTCAAAAGAAATTTATTAAAAAAAAAATAAATTTTCCAAGACCAAAAAATGTGTTAGTAGATTGGATATGGGGGATGAGGAAACCAGAAGAACCAGGGAGGACTCCCATGCCTTAGGTCTTGGGTAAAAGGTGGGGCCATTAGGCCATTACCTGAGATGGAGAAGACTAGGGGAGGGGCATTCTTTACAAGGTGAATGGGGTAAGAAGCCAATGGAAGGAAAATCTATTTAGGATAAAGTGAAAGTGTCATGTGGGCAATTAGATAGCATGCATCTGGAGCTTAGAGAATAGCTTGGAGAAGTCCTCAGAATGTAAATTTTTGAGCCGATAGTGTATAGAAGGTATTGAAATCCATAGAGCTAGAAGAGTTCAATGCAACATGTTTTACAGTCATGATCTATTCTTTGGCCATGAGCCACTCAGGCCATAGTGCATTAATGGGATTATTTTTACACCTTAGAACAGTTTGTCTTTTACACCTACCTCATAATCCTTTTAAAAAATTATTAAACTTTAAGGAACACTTGGAGAAAATGGGATAAAAGCAAGAGGAGCAAGAACCTCAGGAATTCATATGGCCTTTATTGAGGCAACACCAGAATGCACTGTCTACTGCAAAAAGAAGCAAGCAAAGTTGTAGAAATTCTCTAACAGGTGTGGCTCAGGCCAAATTGTCTTGGCAGGAGCAACAACAGCAATGACCCAGGAAACAATGCCAGTAATTCAGAGCCAGGGACAAGCCAAGCAGATGCTCTAGAACCTCTGCGTCTACCAATCTCTTAGTCTAGGAATATCCAGTTTCCCTAGACCTTCTCCATCCAGACCCTTGGGAATTTTCAGCAGCAGAATTTATTCTCTTCAATCACAGCCAGGCCTGGGATGCCCCAGTTCAAGCATTCCACCAGGGGTTCTGGCACCCATGGACTTCATTTTAGAGTCTGAATGTTTCCTTGAGTCCAAAGTGCACCCTTTACTGCAGACCCCTTTAGTGACCCCCATATCTCTCCCTACTGTTTCCTGCCATAATACTTTGGCCCCAAGGTGGGACTGACTCTCTGGATGAGAAACATCAGAGCATGGAGACATTTCTGAATTTACAGAAGAGTCAGTCCTCTGAAATGTCCTGTGGATACCTTAGGGAAATCACAAAAAACACTATGACAACAGAATATGTTTCTGAGACTCATTCATGTTGTTGGCAAAAGCTATAATTCATTCATATTTATCTCTGTAGAAATAAAATTCTACAGCCAGAAACAGAGAGAAATTCTGTTCTTAATCTTTAAAGTCCATCAGAATTATCTGAAAGGCTTCTTAAAATGTAAGTTCTGAGTTCTGAGCCCCACTCTTATAGTTCTTATTCACTGGGTCCAAAGTGAGATTCAAGAACTTGCATTTCTAACAAGTTCCCAGGTGATGCTGATGTTTCTGGTCCATGGTCCATGCTTTAAGAACAACTTTTATAAAGTGTTTCATTATGTGACAATACAACAACTTATTCATTTTATTATGATGGACACCTTCGCTGTTTTCAATTGGGGGCTATTATAGTGTTTCCATGAATATCCTTGTATATGTCCTTTGGTTCACACATGTAACACATTTCTGTTGGGTCCTCAAGAATTGCTGGGTCGTATATGTTCAACTTTGATAGATACTACCAATGGGTTTTCCAAAATCGTTTAATTCATTTTCATTCCCACAGGCAATAAATATTTGAAAGTTTCTGAAACTCAGGATTCCTACCAACATTAGGCTTGTGAAGCTTTTACATTTTTGCCAGTCTGGTGACTGCATGTGTAATTTTCATTGTGGTTTTAATTTTTCATTTCCCTGACGACTAATGAGGTGGAGGCCTTTAATATGTTTATAGGACATTAGAATTTCTTTTTACATGCAGTGCCTCTTTACGTTTTTTAACCCATTTTTCTAACTGACTTGAATGGGTTCTTTATACATTTCAGATACTAGGTCTTTGTCAGTTATATGTGTTGCGAACATTTTCTTCCATTGTGTAGCTTGTCTTTTCACTCTTTACAGTATCTGTTTATGAATAGCATTTCTTAATTTTAATGGAGCCTATTTCAGTGTTTCTCAGACTCCCTGTGGTAAGGGACCTATTTTTTTTCCAAATCAATTGAGGACTGATATTTTTGAAAACACACAAAAAAATGCATAATGTAAACATGAAAAAAATTAAAGGTATTCAAAAACCTTAAGCATTTTATTTTCAAGTAATGTGTTCAAGAGACCTATCCCTAAGCCTCACCCAATTTTCTGACAATCCTGTGCTCGAGAATAAAACTCAGGCATCAGAGTGGAGACGTTGACATTTGTACTTAACAATTAAACAAAAGAACGACAAACTACCAAGTATTTTCATTGCAGGATAAAGGTCACAATAGACATCCTTACCTTGCTCCCCTACTCTTTAATTTTCTCCCACTCTGTTCTTGACCTTCGTTCTATTTCTGTCCCCATTCATAAGCCTCTATCTTCCTTGAAGAACATAGATGGTTAAAGTCATGATGTGGTAAATGTACCTGTACACATGATACTTAGTAATAAAAAAAAAAGAATTTAAGGTTTTAAAGTACTGTCAAAATTTCCTCACAATTTTTTTCTTAAATCTGAGACAAAATGTCATGTTGACTAGGTGAGTGTTATACTCACAGTACAGCTTGATTTTAGCAGAGCATTTAAAAACTCTTCAGTAAGATATAATTACAGATAAAATGGTGCAATAAGAGCAGGAAGACTGCACTGTTAGGTCATAGAAAAGGGAATATTTCAGCAATATTATTATATAAAAAGAAATTCAGATGTGATGGCTGACTTAATTGATGTTACCTTTACCTTCTCCTTTGTTAAAGGGACTTCAAAGAATGATTTTGTGGTTCATGGCTTCTGCATCTATCTCCCCCTGACTGTAAGCTTCTTGAGGACAGGAATTATTTCTTATTCACCTTTGCAGTAGATTTTTTTTATAGACAATCTTTAACAGATTATGACATTTTCTTCTATTTCTAATTTGTTAAAAGTTGGCCATGGGAGAGCAAAGCAGGATCGCAGAATAGGACTATCCAGTGATCGTCCCCACCAGAAACATCAATTTGAACAACTATCCACACATAAAAATACCTTTATAAGAACTAAGGAAGCCAGATGAGAAATCATAGCACCTGGTGATAGCATAATAATTTTAAAAGATGCATTAAAGATATAGGAAGAACAATTTTACAGTACCCACATCACCCCTCCTCCATATCTAGGCAGCACAGCAGAGAGAGACCTATCATTCACTTGGAGGAGAGGAAAGTAAACATAAAACTTTGCTTTGGACACCAAGACCAGCCCTGCCATGGTAAAACCCAGCACCAGGCAGTCCCTACGGCCCCTATCTCTAGGCCAGTGACAGAGCCTATAGATCCACTCCAACACAGGATAGGAACCTATAGCCACTGCAAGATGAACTCAAGTCCTGGCTTGCATCAACACTAGTCAACTACAGTGGCCCAGGGCTCTGAATAACCCACAGTAACAGACAGGACTCAGCAGCCAAGGACTACAGACATGCCCCAGTGTTGCACTAGTCTCAGTGGCTGTAGGCTTTGGGTGTGCTCAGTGTGTGCCAGCCTTGGCAGCCACTTGATTCTAGCCCAGCAGTGCACTTGGCATGGCAGTCCAGGTCTTAGGGCAACCCCCTAGCACAGCAACAGCTACAGCAGTTATGGGCTTAGGGACTACACCAGATAATCGGCCCAGAATCTCTGAAGAAGCTTACTGCTAAAGGACATTCCCAGATAAAGCCAGGCTGTGAAGACTGGAATAAATACCTACTTAAATGCACAGAAATCCGTACATAACCGCAAGGAACAACCAGGGAAATGTGACCTCACCAAATAGACAAAATAAGGTGCCAGTGACAGACCCTAAAGAGATGGAGATGTATTAATTGCCTGGCAAAGAATTTAAAATCGCTATTTTAAAGATGCTACTGAACATCAAAAAATACAGAGAAACAACTCAGTGAAATTAGGAAAGCAATAAGTGACTAGAATGAGAAACTTAATAAAGAGATTAAAATAATTTTAAAAAATCAAACAGAAATCCTGGAACTAAAAAATACAGTGAACAAGATGGAAAATGCAATTGCACCAACAGCAGAACTGATCAAGCAAAAGAAAGAATCTATAAACTTGAAAACAGGTTATTTGGAAATATATAGTCAGAAGAGAAAAAGAATGAAACAGAAGAAAGTTTATGGGATTTATGGGATAGCATCAAAAGAGCAAATATACAGTTCATTGTGTTCAACAGGGAGTAGGAAAGGATAAAGGAGTAGAAATCTTATTTAAAGAAATAATACCAGAAAACTTTTCAAATCTGGAGAAAGATATGAATATCCAGGGACATAAAGGCCAAACACCTCCCATCAGATTTAATCCAAATAAGACGATCTAAGACATATTATAACTAAAAGGTCAAAGATCAAAGAAAAAGAGAGGATCCTGAAAGTAACAACAGAAAATAAGCAAATAACATATAAGGGAGTTCCAATCCTCCTAGTAGCAGCAGAAACTGGACAGGCCAGGAGACAGTAGGATACTATATTTAAAGTGTTAAAGGAAAAAAACCTGCCAACCAAAAATACTGTAACTAGCCAAGCTATCCTTCAGAAATGAAGGAGAGATAAAGATGTTTCTAGACAAACAAAAGCTGAGGAAGTCCATCACTACCACACCTGTCTTAGAAGAAACCCTAATGGTAGTCTTCAGACTGAAATAAAAGGTTGCTGATGAGTAACATGGAAACATCTGAAAGTCTAGAACTCACTGGTAAAAGTAACTACACAAGCAAATTCAGAATACCCTAATATTGTAATGATGGTGTGTAAATCACTTAACTTTTTAGTATAAAGGTTAAAAGACAAAAATTATTAAAAAACAAAAATAATTACAATAATTTATTGAGAGATATGCCATATAAAAAGATGTAAACTGTGTCATCAAAAATTCAAATGGAGAGTGGGGTTAAAGTGTAGAAGATTTGTTTTTTGCAATCAGTTGTTATCAGCTTAAAATAACCTACTGTAAGACGTTTTTGTAAGCTTTGTTGTAATCACAAAGCAAAACCTGTAATAGATACACTAAAAGTAAAAAGCAAGGAATCAAACATACTACTAGAGAAAATCATTTAACCACAAAGGAAGACAGTAACAACAGAAGAAATCATTTACAAAATAACTAGAAAACAACTCAATGACAGTAGTAAGTCCTTACCTATCAATAAGTACCTTGAATATAAATGGATTAAATTCTCAAATCAAAAGACATAGAGTGGCGGAATGAATTTTTTTAAAAAGACCCATATATGTCTGCCTACAAAAGACTCACTTCACCTGTAAGTGGACACACACAGACTGAAAGTGAAGGAATGAAAAGATATTTGATGCAAATGGAAACCAAAAGAGCAAAAGAGTAGAAGGAGTTATACTTATATCAGATAAGTAGATTTAAAGTTATTTGTAAAAAGAGACAAAGAAGGTCAGTATATAATGATAAAGGAGTCAATTCAGCAAGAGGATATGACAATTGTAACTACTGCACCCAACATCAGAGCACCTAGATATATAAAGCAAACATTACTTTGAAGGGAGAGACAGACTGTAATACAATAATAGTAGGGGTCTTCAACACTCCCATTTTAGCAATGAAAAGATCATCTGACAGAAAATCAACAAAGAACTATCAGATTTAAACTGCACTCTAGACCAAATAGACCTAGCAGACATATACAGAACATTCCATTCAACAGCTGCAGAATACACATTCTTCACAACAGCACATGGAACATTCTCCAAGATAGATCATATGTTAGGATCACAAAACAAGTCTTAACAAATTTAAGAAGACTGAAATCAAATATCAGGTATTCTTTCTGACTACAATGGTATAAAACTAAAAATCAATAATAGAAGGAACTTTTAAAAATTAACGAATACATGGAAATTAAACAACATGCTCCTAGAAAAACAATAGGTCAATGAGGAAATTCAAAGGAACATTTTTAAATATCTTGAGACTAATGAAAATGGAAACACAATGTATCAAAACCTGTGGCATACAGCATAAGCAGCTCTATAAGGAAAGTTTATAGCAACAAATGCCAACATCAAAAAGGAAGATCTCATACAGCCTAACACTGCACCTCAAGGAACTAGAAAAATATGGGCAAACTAAACCCAAAATTAGTAGAAGGAAGAATATACTAAAAATCAGAGCAGAAGTAAATGAAATACAGAATAGAAAAAATAATACAAAAGATAAACGAAGACTTGGGTGTTTTTTTGAAGATTAACAAAATGAACAAACCTTCAGCTAGGCTGAGAATAAAAGAAGACTCAAATAAATAAGAGATGAAAAAAGAGACAATTGATACTACAGAAATACAACAGATTTTAAGAGACTATTATGAACAACTATATGCCAACAAAATGGGTAACTTAGAAAAAATGGAAAAATATTAGCCGCATACAACCTACTACAATTGAATTATGAAGATACAGATCTGAACAGAACAATAACAAGTAAGGAGATTGAATCAATAATAAAATGTCGGGGGGGGAGGAGCCAAGATGGCCGAATAGGAACAGCTCAGGTCTACAGCTCCCAGCGTGAGTGACGCAGAAGACGGGTGATTTCTGCATTTCCATCTGAGGTACCGGGTTCATCTCACTAGGGAGTGGCAGACAGTGGGCGCAGGTCAGTGGGTGCGCGCACCGTGCGCGAGCCGAAGCAGGGCGAGGCATTGCCTCACTTGGGAAGCGCAAGCGGTCAGGGAGTTCCCTTTCCGAGTCAAAGAAAGGGGTGACGGACTCACCTGGAAAATCCGGTCACTCCCACCCGAATATTGCGCTTTTCAGACCGGCTTAAAAACCGGCGCACCACGAGATTATATCCGGCACCTGGCTCGGAGGGTCCTACGCCCACGGAGTCTCGCTGATTGCTAGCACAGCAGTCTGAGATCAAACTGCAAGGCGGCAGCGAGGCTGGGGGAGGGGCGCCCGCCATTGCCCAGGCTTGATTAGGTAAACAAAGCAGCCGGGAAGCTCGAACTGGGTGGAGCCCACCACAGCTCAAGGAGGCCTGCCTGCCTCTGTAGGCTCCACCTCTGGGGGCAGGGCACAGACAAACAAAAAGACAGCAGTAACCTCTGCAGACTTAAATGTCCCTGTCTGACAGCTTTGAAGAGAGCAGTGGTTCTCCCAGCACGCAGTTGGAGATCTGAGAACGGGCAGACTGCCTCCTCAAGTGGGTCCGTGACCCCTGACCCCCGAGCAGCCTAACTGGGAGGCACCACCCAGCAGGGGCACACTGACACCTCACACGGCAAGGTATTCCAACAGACCTGCAGCTGAGGGTCCTGTCTGTTAGAAGGAAAACTAACAAACAGAAAGGACATCCACACCAAAAACCCATCTGTACATCACCATCATCAAAGACCAAAAGTAGATAAAACCACAAAGATGGGGAAAAAACAGAACAGAAAAACAGGAAACTCTAAAACCCAGAGCGCCTCTCCTCCTCCAAAGGAACGCAGTTCCTCACCAGCAACGGAACAAAGCTGGATGGAGAATGACTTTGACGAGCTGAGAGAAGAAGGCTTCAGACGATCAAATTACTCTGAGCTACGGGAGGACATTCAAAGCAAAGGCAAAGAAGTTGAAAACTTTGAAAAAAATTTAGAAGAATGTATAACTAGAATAACCAATACAGAGAAGTGCTTAAAGGAGCTGATGGAGCTGAAAACCAAGGCTCGAGAACTACGTGAAGAATGCAGAAGCCTCAGGAGCCGATGCGATCAACTGGAAGAAAGGGTATCAGCAATGGAAGATGAAATGAATGAAATGAAGCGAGAAGGGAAGTTTAGAGAAAAAAGAATAAAAAGAAATGAGCAAAGCCTCCAAGAAATATGGGACTATGTGAAAAGACCAAATCTACGTCTGATTGGTGTACCTGAAAGTGATGGGGAGAATGGAACCAAGTTGGAAAACACTCTGCAGGATATTATCCAGGAGAACTTCCCCAATCTAGCAAGGCAGGCCAACGTTCAGATTCAGGAAATACAGAGAACGCCACAAAGATACTCCTTGAGAAGAGCAACTCCAAGACACATAATTGTCAGATTCACCAAAGTTGAAATGAACGAAAAAATGTTAAGGGCAGCCAGAGAGAAAGGTCAGGTTACCCTCAAAGGGAAGCCCATCAGACTAACAGCGGATCTCTCGGCAGAAACTCTACAAGCCAGAAGGGAGTGGGGGCCAATATTCAACATTCTTAAAGAAAAGAATTTTCAACCCAGAATTTCATATCCAGCCAAACTAAGCTTCATAAGTGAAGGAGAAATAAAATACTTTACAGACAAGCAAATGCTGAGAGATTTCGTCACGACCAGGCCTGCCCTAAAAGAGCTCCTGAAGGAAGCGCTAAACATGGAAAGGAACAACCGGTACCAGCTGCTGCAAAATCATGCCAAAATGTAAAGACCATCGAGACCAGGAAGAAACTGCATCAACTAACAAGCAAAATAACCAGCTAACATCATAATGACAGGATCAAATTCACACATAACAATATTAACTTTAAATGTAAATGGACTAAATGCTCCAATTAAAAGACACAGACTGGCAAATTGGATAAAGAGTCAAGACCCATCAGTGTGCTGTATTCAGGAAACCCATCTCACTTGCAGAGACACACATAGGCTCAAAATAAAAGGATGGAGGAAGATCTACCAAGCCAATGGAAAACAAAAAAAGGCAGGGGTTGCAATCCTAGTCTCTGATAAAACAGACTTTAAACCAACAAAGATCAAAAGAGACAAAGAAGGCCATTACATAATGGTAAAGGGATCAATTCAACAAGAAGAGCTAACTATCCTAAATATATATGCACCCAATACAGGAGCACCAAGATTCATAAAGCAAGTCCTGAGTGACCTACAAAGAGACTTAGACTCCCACACATTAATAATGGGAGACTTTAACACCCCACTGTCAACATTAGACAGATCAACGAGACAGAAAGTCAACAAGGATACCCAGGAATTGAACTCAGCTCTGCACCAAGCGGACCTAACAGACATCTACAGAACTCTCCACCCCAAATCAACAGAATATACATTTTTTTCAGCACCACACCACACCTATTCCAAAATTGACCACATACTTGGAAGTAAAGCTCTCCTCAGCACATGTAAAAGAACAGAGATTATAACAAACTATCTCTCAGACCACAGTGCAATCAAACTAGAACTCAGAATTAAGAATCTCACTCAAAACCGCTCAACTACATGAAAACTGAACAACCTGCTCCTGAATGACTACTGGATACATAACGAAATGAAGGCAGAAATAAAGATGTTCTTTGAAACCAACGAGAACAAAGACACAACATACCAGAATCTCTGGGACGCATTCAAAGCAGTGTGTAGAGGGAAATTTGTAGCACTAAATGCCCACAAGAGAAAGCAGGAAAGATCCAAAATTGACACCCTAACATCACAATTAAAAGAACTAGAAAAGCAAGAGCAAACACGTTCAAAAGCTAGCAGAAGGCAAGAAATAACTAAAATCAGAGCATAACTGAAGGAAATAGAGACACAAAAAACCCTTCAAAAAATTATTGAATCCAGGAGCTGGTTTTTGAAAGGATCAACAAAATTGATAGACCGCTAGCAAGACTAATAAAGAAAAAAAGAGAGAAGAATCAAATAGACACAATAAAAAATGATAAAGGGGATATCACCACCGATCCCACAGAAATACAAACTACCATCAGAGAATATTACAAACACCTCTACGCAAATAAACTAGAAAATCTAGAAGAAATGGATAAATTCCTCGACACATACACTCTCCCAAGACTAAACCAGGAAGAAGTTGAATCTCTGAATAGACCAATAACAGGAGCTGAAATTGTGGCAATAATCAATAGTTTACCAACCAAAAAGAGTCCAGGACCAGATGGATTCACAGCCGAATTCTACCAGAGGTACAAGGAGGAACTGGTACCATTCCTTCTGAAACTATTCCAATCAATAGAAAAAGAGGGAATCCTCCCTAACTCATTTTATGAGGCTAGCATCATTCTGATACCAAAGCCGGGCAGAGACACAACCAAAAAAGGGAATTTCAGACCAATATCCTTGATGAACACTGATGCAAAAATCCTCAATCAAATACTGGCAAAACGAATCCAGCAGCACATCAAAAAGCTTATCCACCATGATCAAGTGGGCTTCATCCCTGGGATGCAAGGCTGGTTCAATATATGCAAATCAATAAATGTAATCCAGCATATAAACAGAGCCAAAGACAAAAACCACATGATTATCTCAATAGATGCAGAAAAGGCTTTTGACAAAATTCAACAACCCTTCATGCTAAAAACTCTCAATAAATTAGGTATTGATGGGACGTATTTCAAAATAATAGGAGCTATCTATGACAAACCCACAGCCAATATCATACTGAATGGGCAAAAACTGGAAGCATTCCCTTTGAAAACTGGCACAAGACAGGGATGCCCTCTCTCACCACTCCTATTCAACATAGTGTTGGAAGTTCTGGCCAGGGCAATTAGGCAGGAGAAGGAAATAAAGGGTATTCAATTAGGAAAAGAGGAAGTCAAATTGTCCCTGTTTGCAGACGACATGATTGTATATCTAGAAAACCCCATTGTCTCAGCCCAAAATCTCCTTAAGCTGATAAGCAACTTCAGCAAAGTCTCAGGATACAAAATCAATGTACAAAAATCACAAGCATTCTTATACACCAACAACAGACAAACAGAGAGCCAAATCATGAGAGAACTCCCATTCACAATTGCTTCAAAGAGAATAAAATACCTAGGAATCCAACTTACAAGGGATGTGAAGGACCTCTTCAAGGAGAACTACAAACCACTGCTCAAGGAAATAAAAGAGGATACAAACAAATGGAAGAACATTCCATGCTCATGGGTAGGAAGAATCAATATCGTGAAAATGGCCATACTGCCCAAGGTAATTTACAGATTCAATGCCATCCCCATCAAGCTACCAATGACTTTCTTCACAGAATTGGAAAAAACTACTTTAAAGTTCATATGGAACCAAAAAAGAGCCCGCATTGCCAAGGCAATCCTAAGCCAAAAGAACAAAGCTGGAGGCATCACACTACCTGACTTCAAACTATACTACAAGGCTACAGTAACCAAAACAGCATGGTACTGGTACCAAAACAGAGATATAGATCAATGGAACAGAACAGAGCCCTCAGAAATAACGCCGCATATCTACAACTATCTGATCTTTGACAAACCTGAGAAAAACAAGCAATAGGGAAAGGATTCCCTATTTAATAAATGGTGCTGGGAAAACTGGCTAGCCATATGTAGAAAGCTGAAACTGGATCCCTTCCTTACACCTTATACAAAAATCAATTCAAGATGGATTAAAGACTTAAACGTTAGACCTAAAACCATAAAAACCCTAGAAGAAAACCTAGGCATTACCATTCAGGACATAGGCATGGGCAAGGACTTCATGTCTAAAACACCAAAAGCAATGGCAACAAAAGGCAAAATTGACAAATGGGATCTAATTAAACTAAAGAGCTTCTGCACAGCAAAAGAAACTACCATCAGAGTGAACAGGCAACCTACAAAATGGGAGAAAATTTTCGCAACCTACTCATCTGACAAAGGGCTAATATCCAGAGTCTACAATGAACTCAAACAAATTTACAAGAAAAAAACAAACAACCCCATCAAAAAGTGGGCGAAGGACATGAACAGACACTTCTCAAAAGAAGACATTTATGCAGCCAAAAAACACATGAAAAAATGCTCATCATCACTGGCCGTCAGAGAAATGCAAATGAAAACCACAATGAGATACCATCTCACACCAGTTAGAATGGCAATCATTAAAAAGTCAGGAAACAACAGGTGCTGGAGAGGATGTGGAGAAATAGGAACACTTTTACACTGTTGGTGGGACTGTAAACTAGTTCAACCATTGTGGAAGTCAGTGTGGTGACTCCTCAGGGATCTAGAACTAGAAATACCATTTGACCCAGCCGTCCCATTACTGGGTATATACCCAAAGGACTATAAATCATGCTGCTATAAAGACACATGCACACGTATGTTTATTGCGGCATTATTCACAATAGCAAAGACTTGGAACCAACCCAAATGTCCAACAATGATAGACTGGATTAAGAAAATGTGGCACATATACACCATGGAATACTATGCAGCCATAAAAAATGATGAGTTCATGTCCTTTGTAGGGACATGGATGAAATTGGAAATCATCATTCTCAGTAAACTATCGCAAGAACAAAAAACCAAACACCACATATTCTCACTCATAGGTGGGAATTGAACAATGAGATCACATGGACACAGGAAGGGGAATATCACACTCTGGGGACTGTGGTGGGGTGGGGGCAGGGGGGAGGGATAGCATTGGGAGATATACCTAATGCTAGATGACGAGTTAGTGGGTGCAGCACACCAGCATGGCAGATGTATACATATGTAATCAACCTGCACAATGTGCACATGTACCCTAAAACTTAAAGTATAATAAAAAAAATAAATAATAATAAAATGTCTCCCATCAAAGAAAAGCCCAGAACCTGATTGTTTCAGTGATGAATTCTACCAAATATTTAAAGAAAAGCTAATATAAATTATTCTCAAACTCTTCCCAAAACCTGAAGAAGAGGCCCTTCTTCCAAAGTCATTTTTTTTTTTTTGAGACAGATTCTTGCTCCGTTGCCCAGGCTGGAGTGCAATGGCATGATATCGGCTCACTGCAAGCTCCACCTCCCGGGTTCAAGCGATTCTCCTGCCTCAGCCTCCCCAGTAGCTGGGATTACAGGCATGCGCCACTACACCCGGCTAATTTTGTATTTTTAGTAGAGACAGGTTTCTCCATGTTGATCAGGCTGGTCTCGAACTCCTGATCTCAGGTTATCCACCTGCCTTGGCCTCTGAAAGTGCTGGGATTACAGGCTTGAGCCACTGTACCTGGCCCCAAAGACATTTTATAAGGACAGCACCCTAACATCAAAACCAGACAAGGACACACACACACACACAAGAAAACTACAGGCCAATATCCCTGATGAACATAGAAGCAAAAATCCCCAGCAACATGTTAGAAAATCAAATTCAACAAGAAATTAAAAAGATCACTCATCATGGTTAAGTGTGATTTATCCCAGGGATATAAGGATGGTTCAATAAATGTAATACATCACATTAATAGAGTGAAGGACAAAAACTATAAGATCATTTCAATAGATGCAGAAAAAGCATGTGACAAAATTCAACCATCTCTTCACGACAAAAATTCTCAACAAGTTAGGTATAGGAATGTACCTCAATGCAATAAACGTCATGTATGACAAATCCACAGCTAACATAATACGGAATGGGGAAAATTTGAAACCTTTTTTTCTAAGAACTGGAACAACACAAGAATGCCCACTTTTCCCCACTTCTATTCAACATAGTACTGGAAATCCTAGCCAGAGCAATTAGGCAAGAGAAAGAATTAAAAAGGCATTCAAATTGGAAAACAGGAAATCAAATTGTTCCTCATTGCAGACAGCATGATCATATACCTAGAAAACCCTAAAGACTCTACCAAAAAAACTGTCAGAACTAATAAACAACTTCAATAAAGTTGCAGAATGCAAAATTAATACACAATAATTAGTAATGTTTCTATACACTAATAGTGGACTCTCTGAAAAAGAAATCAAGGAAACAATCCCACTTAAAATGGCTCCAAAAAAAGATACCTAGAAATAAACTTAACCAAGGAAATTGAAAGTTATCTACAATGAAAACTGTAAAACACTGATGAAAGAAATTGAAAAGGATACAAATAAATTTAACAATATTAATTGGAAGAATTAATATTGTTAAAATGTCCACACTACCCCCAAAGCAGTCTACAGATTCAGTGCAATTCTTGTCAAAATACCTATGGCATTCTTTAAAAAAAAAAAGAAAAAAAATTCTAAAATTCACAGGGAACCACAAAAGACCGCAAATACCCACAGCAATCTTGAATAAGAAGAACAAAGGTGGAGACATTGCACTCCTAACTTCAAAATATGCTGCAAGGCTATAGTAACCAAAACAGCATGGTACTGGCATAAAAACAGAGACAGAATAAAGAGCCCAGAAATAAATCCAAACTTTTACAGCCAACTGATTTTCACAAAGGTGCCAAGAACACACAATGGGGAAAGGACAATCCCTTTAATAAATAGCATTGGGAAAACTGGATATACATATGTAGAATAAAATTAGACCCTTATTTCTTAACATATACAAATACCAACTCTAAATTGGATTAAAGACTTAAATAGGCTGAACGCAGTGGTTGATGCCTGTAATCTCAGCACTTTGGGAGGCCAAGGCAGGCGGACCACCTGAGGTCAGGAGTTGGAGACCAGCCTGGCCAACATGGCAAAACCCTGTCTCTACTGAAAATGCAAAAATTAGCCGGGCGTGGTAATGCACTCCTGTAATCCCAGCTACTCAGGAGAGTGAGGCAGGAGAATTGCTTGAACCTGGGAGGAGGAAGCTTCAGTGAGTCGAGATTGTGCCACTGCACTCCAGCCTGGGTGACAAAGCGAAACTCCGTCTCAAAACAAACCAAAAAAAACTTAAATATAAGACCTGAAACTATAGAACTACTATAAGAAAACACGGGAAAACTCTATGAAATTGGTCTGGGCAATGATTTTTTTAATATGGCCTCAAAAACAGAGGCAACAAAACCAAAAATAGACAAATGGGATTGCATGAAACTAAAAACTACTGCACCGCAAAGAAAACAATCAACATAGTAAAGAGACAACCTACATAAGGAGAGAAAATATATGGAAACTACACATCTGATAAGGGGTTAATATCCAAAATATTTAAGGAACTCAGACAAGTCAATAGCAAGAATACAAATAACCTGATTTTAAAAATAGGCAAAAGACATGAATAGACGTTTTTCAAAAGAAGACATACAAATGGCCAACAGGCATATGAAAAAGTCTCAATATCACTAATCATCAGGAAAATGCAAATTAACCACAAGGAGCTATCACCTCACTCCTGTTTGAATGGCTGTTGTCGAGCTGGGTGCAGTGGCTCACGCCTGTAATCCCAGCACTTTGGGAGGTCGAGGCTGAGGTCAGGAGTTCAAGACCAGCCTGGCCAACATGGTGAAACCCTGTCTCTACTAAAAATAAAATAAAATAAAAAAAAAAATAGCCAGGTGTGGTGGTGGGTGCCTGTAATCCGAGCTACTCAGGAGGCTGAGGCATAATTGCTTGAACCCAGGAGGTGGAGGTTACATTTAGCCGAGAGCATGCCACTGCACTCCAGCTGTGCAACAGAGTGAGACTCCGTCTCAAACAAAGAAAAAAAAAAAGAATGGCTCTTGTTAAAAAGACAAAAGATAACAAGCTGGCAAGGATGTAGAGAAAAGGAAACTGTACACGCTATTGGTGGAGATTGAAATTTGTATAGCCATTATGGAAAACAGTATGGCAGTTCCTCAAAAAATTAAAAACAGAACTGTCAGTCTTATGACTTGCACTTTTTTATTATTACATATTGATCTTCTTTGTCTCTAATAATGTTTTTTACCTGAAAATCTATTTTGTGTGATATGGCTACACCTATACATGGTTTGTCTGATATAACTATACCTGCTTAATATTTACCTGGAATATCTTTTTCCATTCTTTTACTTTCAACTTTATATTTTAAGTGTGTCTCTTATAAGCAAAAAATGGCTAATCTTTTATTTTATATATATATGTGTGTGTATATATATATGTGTGTGTATATATATATATGTGTGTGTATATATATATATATATATATATATATATATATATATATATATATATAGTTGTGTTTTTGAGATAGGCTCTCACTCCGTCACCCAGGCTGGAGCGCAGTGGCACAATCACAGCTTACTGCAGCCTGGACCTCCAATCCTCCCACCTCAGCTTTCCAAGCATCTGGGACTACACGCATGCAGCACCACACCTGGCTAATTTTTTTGTTTTTTGTAGAGAGGAGGTCTCGCTATGTTGCCCAGATTGGTCTTAAACTCCTGAGTTCAAGGGATCCTCCCATCTTGGCCTCTCAAAGTGCTGGGATTGCAGGTGTGAGTCACCGTGCCTGGCCTAATCTGTCTTTAAAATTTCATGTGACAGTATTTACTTTTAACTGGATAATCGATTCCATTCACATATATTGGGATAAATGGTTAATTAATATTTATTTTATTTTGTAATTTCTATTATTTTTTGCATTTTCATTTTCTTTTGTTTAACTATTATTATCATTCCTTTCTTCCATTCTTGTGGATTAATTTTATTTTTTACTTTATTTTTTCCTTTACTAGTTTGAAAGCTTTGCACTCAATTTCTATTCTTTCGATGACTACTCTAGAAATCGTAACATACACATATAATTTAGTTAAATCTTATGATACTAAATACTCACCTCTTGAACAGATCAAGGACTTTAGTGTACTTTAACTCCGATTAATCCCATTGGTAGTTTAGCTTTATCTTGTCTTTATTTAAATTAGTTGTTATTTTTGTTAAATGGCTAATGTTTGTTTTGCCCTGACCAGTCTTAATTCCTGCATTTTCTTGCTTTGGGCATCTGAAGAGTACTCCTACTTTCTTGCTAATTTAGCACTTAAATAATTTTTAAATATAGCATATGAGATGTATTGCAGCAGAAGGCTTTTATGGATGTATCCAGGATACCAAACTACTTGGAATGGACATCTCCTATTCATCTTTGTAATCCTTTTGTCTCATTCACTGTCTGGTATGTAGTGAGTGCTTAATTAATCATCATAGAATGAAGAGAAAAAGAGTTTTAGCCTGTGGGCTTGAGAAACTAGCTACCACTGATGGAAACAGGGACGCTTAGTAGCAAAAATAAACTGGGCTTAAACCAGAAGATTCTAGATGTATTGAGTTTGAAGTTGACTGTGGGATTTGCAAGTAGCAATGTCCGACTGAAAGTTAAAGATATTATAAAATCTTACATTTGGAACCTAAATAGTCATAACATCCAAATAAGTACCCACCACAGGAATCCTAATGATAAAGATCATTACAGCCTATACCTTAACACTAAAAAAATAGTCTTCACCCATTAATGCTAGAGTTGGACATCTCTAACCTTAGAAAATTCTACATTAAGTACCAAAATCTGTCCTATTTAGGTTTAAACTCTTTTTTATCTGACTTCTAAATTAGTGCAGATTATGTCAACTCTCTTTTCCTGGTGATAGTTCTTCAATGTGAGTTCTCACTGACCTACTCCACTAGGGGCTCTCTTTATACCCTCCCATCTTTTCTAGAACCTTCCATTTGTACAAACTAATATTCACCAGCTGGTGATGTTAACATTGAAAGCAGGAGCAATTTCACTAATGGCGGCTTATATACATAAGTGGCTTATGTATATACCCTATATATGTGGGCTGACAGAGTCACTCATTTAATGCAGATCCTTTTACTAAAGCCTAGCAATTCAGGATTGAGGGAAGCCTTACCTTGTAGCTTGAAAGAGGTAGTTGAACCTGAGAGAATATTGACATAGCTTGAACCTATCTTGAAAAAGTCTTAGGGAAATTCCTGAACAGCATATCATTGACATATGCAAATCCCTCTATAATTTGCTAAAAGTTTTCGTGTGCATTACCTTACGAGGGAAGAATAATCATGATCCATGGTGTGCAGATGAAGAAAATGTCTTAGAGTGTAGATGACCCAAGGTCCCAAAGCATGAGGGAAAAGCCTAGAACTTGAATCCAAATCTTCTAGTTGTCCACCACATCATTACTCACCCAATTTAAGTTGTTAGAGTAGATAGAGTCATTCCAAGAAGATGGCTTTAGATCTTTGGGCCTCATTTCAAGGACAAGGATGACACCACTCTCACTCATACCTTGACCCCCTTAATGAAAGCCTTTTCTTTCTACCATCTGTGGTAAGCAGATAATGCTGCAAAGATGTCCGTGCCCTAAACCTGTGAATATATTACCTAACCTGGCAAAAGAGAATTAGGCTGCAGTTGCAATCAGAGTTGCTAATCAGAAGATTTTGAGATGAGGAGATTATTCTGGATTATCCAGATGGGCCCACTCTAATCACATGAGTTCCTAAAAGTGGAAGAAAAAGCTGAAGAGAAACCTGCAAAATGACAGCATGAAAAAGACTCAACCCACCCATGCTGGATTCAAACATGGAAGAAGGAAGCCACAAATCAAGGAATACAGGTGGCTTCTAGAAGCTGGAAAAAGCAAGGAAATGAATTCTGCCCCTAGAGCCTCCAGAAAGGAACACAGCCCTGGTGACACTTAGATTTTAGCCCAGTGTGGTCAAAAGCCCAGTGTCAGACTTCTGACCTACAGGACTGTAAGACAATCAATTTGTATCATTGTAAGCCACTGTTGTAATTAGAAAATAATATGCCACCTCTTAACGTTAGTCTTCCTAAAGATTATTTGACCTTCAAATTTTATAGCTACTTAGGAACACTTTTAAGATTTAAAAAATAACTACAAGCTGATGCCTCCAAAATCAACATCTTTAGCCCTGACATTCTCCCCAAGCTTCAAATGTCTACATCCAACTGCTTATGGGGTATTTCCGCTTCCATGCCCCATGTTTCCACAAACTCAGTGCATCTTGATGGAACTCACCTTCATTCTTTCCAATCCTACTCCTCCTTGTATAATATATCCCCTTATCTGAATTAGGGGCTGTCAATCTACACCAGAAACTCAGGAGTCCTCTTTCACGGACCCCTCAATTCTCCCTCTCTCCCACCAGTCAGTTGATCACTACGTGCTCTTTATTTTACCTCTGAAGTTATTTTTTCCTCTGCTGTCCATCCCAGCGATTTACCACCATCCTAGTTCTCACCCTCAGTATCTTTATTGTAACCTTCCTTTCTCTGATCTCTTTGCCTTTCAGCTGGTCCTTCGGAAATCCAACCTCCACAGAGTTGAAAGTGATACACCTAAAGTTTAAATCTGACCAAATCACTCTCCTATTTAAAAATGTTCAGGCTGGGTGCAGTGGCTCATGCCTATAATCCCAGCACTTCGGGAGGCTGAGATGGGAGGATCCCTTGAGCCCAGGAGCTGAACACCAGCCTAAGCAACATAAGAAGACTCTATCACTAAAATAAATAAATAAATAAATAAGCAAGCTGGGCATGGTGGTGGTAGTCCTAGATACTCGGGAGGCTGAGGTGGGAGGATTGCTTCAGCCCAGGAGGTCGAGGCTGCAGTGTGCCATGATCACAGCAATATACTCCAGCCTGGGTGACAGAGTGCTCAAAAGAATAAAAAATAAAGAAATAAAATTAAAATTAAAATGTCCAAAGGCCACACTTCTTCCCATGGCCTTTATGCAAGATGTCTCCTGGCCTGACCTCCCACTCTCACTCCCGGGGCCATCTCTTGCTATTCTCTGCTGTCCTTTCTCCCTGCCTTTAGCGTCTCTGCTGTGTGAAATGGCTATATAGCATGTTAGAGCTGTGAAAGTAATTTTGCAAATAGTATCTCATTTCTCAAAATAACTAACAAGAGAGGTAGAAAAAAAAACCTTGTATTCTCATTTTACAAATTAAAAGGCTGAAGTTCAAAAAAGCTAGCTGATTGCCGAGGGCATACAGCCAGGAGGAAGTGGAAGAAGACAAGAATCCCTTCCCTCCCCATACCTTTGGGCACATTGGCCAGTGCTTGTTCTAACTGTTTTAAATGACAGCATAAGAAAGCGGACTCTACCAATTAGAATATGAAGGCAGAGGCTGGCGCGGTGGCTCATGCCTGTAATCCCAGCACTTTGGGAGGCTAAGGCAGGTGGATCACTTGAGGCCAGGAGTTGGAGACCAGCCTAGCCAACACGGTGAAATCCCCTCTGTACTAAAAACACAAAATTAGTCAGGTGCAGTGGCGTGTGCGTGTAATCCCAATTACTCAGGAGGCTGAGGCAGGAGAATTGCTTGAACCCAGAAGGCCATGGTTGCAGTGAGCCAAGATCACGCCTCTGCACTCCAGCCTGGGCTACAGAGTGAGACTCTGTCTCAAAAAAAAAAAAAAAAAAAAAAAAAAGAATATGAAGGCAGAGAATGAGGGGAGCATGAGTGAAAACAAAACAGAGAATAGCACGTTGAAGGTCTGTTTGGTTTTTGTGTTTTTGAAACACTGTGATTATTCCTCACTGTCCAGTTCTAAATGTTTGTTCAAGCATCCAGACGTCTTAAAAGACAGATGCTACAGCCTGCTGAACTTTTAGTCCCTTGAAGATGAAAACTTCTGCTTCCTGAAACTGTCAATTATCAAAAATAATTGTGTGGTGCTGAATAAATCCTCACTGATGCAGTCAGCACATGGGCACGGCAGTGTATTAGATCTCATAGAATAAAAATGATTACACCAAACGTGCTACTACCAAGTCCTTTCTCAATAGCTTCCACTAGAAAATATACATCCTTATTTTCTACTCCTTATTTCAAGATAAAAAGTAGAGCACATTAATAAATGGTCTTATACAAAGTAATACTTATTACATGATCTAGCCAAATGTCCCTGTCAGTGTCCCCCAGACGACCTTTGTCTACCCCAGGAATTCCGGGCTCTTTTGTGTACCTTTAGCTGTCACAGAGTCCTCTTCAAGACTTTAACTCTTCCTCTCTCCTGACACACCAAGAGTCTTTAATTCTCATCCTAAAAGCAATGAATTTGGCATCAGATTGACAATTGTGCAATTCCAGAAACCCCATCCATCCCTTCGTCAGTGCAGCCATGCAGCTTTCGGGACACCTCACATCTCATCTATCAGAAAGAAGTCACTGTCCCCAACACCCCCAGGGCCTCCTACAGCCTCTGCCTCCGTGTCACAGCAGTGACTTAATCTTCTTCTTCCCGCCCTCTAAGCCAGAGTCATACCCAAAGGCCACACGTTCCTGTCCCACCCCTGAGGCCCAGGCAGTCTCCTCTCTCTTCCAGTTTCGTGGCTCTCCTGCTTTAACCACTGCTGGAATCTCATCTTCCAGGTTCAAATCTCAGAGGCAGTCAGGCAGCCCTAATAGGGCTGCTGAGGAAAGTTTAAGTGCGCACCATTATACGTCTACATCACACCCTGGAGCTCCTCCTCAGCAACGACTCCATCCATCCCCACTGCTCATGGAGGTTCCCAGGTCTGGAAAGACTGAGCTAGCAAGTAGAGACGTCATCGATGCAGCCTCTCCATGAGTAGGTGACAGGTGTACTCTCCTCTCTTCCCTATCCTCTTTTTATCCTCAGAGGACTGGATTCAGCCTTGGGTCCCTGTCCTCTGGGTTCCTTCACCTTAGTCACAATAAATGCTCTTGAATAGAGTAGGAAACAAATGGTGATCACCATCTCATATTTTTCTGCCAGGCAGAAAAACTTCATGACAATTTTATAGGATTCAAACACCCTTTCCCATGGGGTTAGAAATTTCTAAGTGTGCCCTTTTCATGGGCTTAGAAAATTCTTTTTTTTTTCAGTCTTTCATATGATTTTATTTTCTTCATTCAACCATAATAATATGATATCCAAAGTTTGTCTTAACTGGTGGGTCTGTAAACATAGGCTTATCTATCCCACTTATAGGCAAGGCAAATGCTGCTTCTTGAAATGGTCCCTCCATGGACCCTCTGGTCATCTAACCCAAGTCTCCCTCTTGCCTGGCTTTATCTTCACTATATTGTGTGGCCACTCCATTGAATCTCATTCCAGACTTTAACTTTTCCATGGCTTCCATGATTTTGCCATGTTTTTCACATAGAATGTGTGTGACCTTTACTTCATTGCCACCACCTTTGGGACCTTGAGCCTTCTTGTCAGTGCTGTCACTCCCAGAGGCTGCTCCCCCTTTTCCCCCTTTTCCAGAATCACTTTTTCCTTTGAGCGGCATCTTGGAAAGTTGCTGTTGTACCATCCAGGCTTAGAAATTTCTAACCCCATGGAAAGGGTGTTCTAATCCTGTGAAAATGTCACTGAATCTGAAACATAAAATTGTTATATTTTCCAGGCTCAGTAAAGATCTCATCACAATAAAGTCTTCCAGAATCTACCTCTGAATCCCCCTAACACATCTCTCCTCTCTTCTTTCACTTACTAGAACCAAGAGTAGCTTCAACCAGAACAGTATTAATTGTGGGAGCCTCCCGCTGAGACGGAGGCACAATTGGAAGAAAGAGAAAGTAAAAAAGAAATTGCTGGTTGCAGAGAAGTTGCTCCTGAAGGGGTTCTGTGGACTGCTTGACTGCCCCTACATATCACGCATTAGCATCTCATCCTCAGCTTCCATCCTTAACCCTGCCCTCTTCTCTCTGAGAACCTCATCTCGAGTTCCCTTTAGAATATTACCTCCTTCCAGGCAACTGCAAATTACGTTATTTCTGCATTCATCTTCATCTTTGCCCCAGTTTCATTCCTCCTGTCCAAGACTGTTACCCACACCTGTGCCTTGGGCATCCTCCCTGCCTCACCTCCTGAAGAGCTTTCTTCATCAGTCTTTACATCTCTGCCTTAGGCCTGAAATCTCTCCCTCCCTCCTGGCCCTTTCCCCTCAGTGAATAAACATGTCTGTATCTCCCATTTTTTAAAAAAATCCTACCTTAATCCTGTATGGTAGACAGAATATTGCACCCCTCACCAAAACATATCTACCTCCTACTCCCTGGAACCTATGAATGTTACCTTACATGGCAAAAGAGGCTTTGCAGATGTGATTAAGGTAAAGATCTTGAGATGGGGAGATGATCCTGGATTATCCAAGTAGGACCAATGTAATCCCAAGGGTCCTTACTTAAGGGAAAGAGGAGGGCCCGAGTCAGAGAAGGAGAAGGAGATGGGACAACAGAAACACAGATCAGAGTGATGCCATTGCTGGAAAAGGGGCCATGAGCCATGGAATACAGATGGTCTCCATAAGGTGGAAGAGGCAAGGAAGAGCTTCTCTTTTAGAGCCTTAAAAAAAAAAAAAAACAGCCTTGACGACACCTCAATTTTAACACTATAAAACCCATTTTTGAACTTCTGATATCCCACAATTGCAAGACAATAATGTTTTTGTTGTTGTTGTTGTTGTTTTGGAGACAGAGTCTTGCTCTGTCGCCCAGGCTGGAGTGCAGTGGCTCAATCTCGGCTCACTGAAACCTCCACCTCCCGGGTTCAAGTGATTCTCCTGCCTCAGCCTCCCAAGTAGCTGGGACTACAGGCGTGCGCCACCACGGATGGCTAATTTTTGTATTTTTAGTAGAGACGGGGCTTCACCATGTTGGCCAGGATGGTCTCTATCTCTTGACCTCGTGATCTGCCTGCCTTGGCCTCCCAAAGTGCCAGGATTACAGGCATGAGCCACCGCACCCGGACTGTTTTTGTTGCTTTAAGCCACTAAGTTTGTATAATTTGCTACGGCAGAAAGTGGAAACTAATACACCCCACATCCTTCTTTAGCTAATTTTCAAACACTGTCCTCTCTTTCTCATGCAAACTTCTTTATCAGCTCAATTTCTTTTCCCATTAATTCTCCAAATCACTGTAATCTCTCCCCAGACTGCACTCAGTGTATTTTCCTACCAATTCTCATCCTGGAATATTCCTATCACTAGAATTTCATCTCTCTGTATCCTCAAAGTATTAGCTATAGGCCAGGCGCGGTGGCTCACGCTTGTAATCCCAACACTTTGGGAGGCCAAGGCAGGCAGATGGCTCAAGCTCAGAAGTTCAAGACCAGCCTGAGCAACACAGTAAAACCCTGTCTCTATCAAAAATACAAAAAGTTAGCCGGGCGTGGTGGTGTGCACTTGTGGTCTCAGCTACTCAGCAGGTTGGGGTGGGATAATCACCTGAGCTCGGGAGACAGAGATTGCAGTGAGCTGAGATCAGATTGTGTCACTGCACTTTCTAGCCTGGGTGACAGAGTGAGACACCATTTAAAAAAAAAAAAGTACATAATAAACGTAAAATTTTCTCTGAAATCAAAAACTATTGCCTCTGGCCCTAGTTGCCCTGAGCCTTGTTTTTCATAAACAGCAGACCCTCCTCTGCTCTTGGGGGTTTTCTGCTTTCTATGGATGAAAATCTCTGTGCAAGTGGATTTCTTGGAAGAAGGGAGAACATGGAAACAACTGGCAAAAGTTATTTTACTCATTGCTCGTGTCCTTTCACATCCCCCTGTGCCCTCTGTCAGCCCTAGTGCCTCACCCTGCACAAAGCTCAGCCCACCATTCCTTCACCCAAACCAGAGTCCCTTATTTCTTAAAGCCCTCCTCCAGCCTCCCGTTGTCCATCAGAACCCCGCGCCTCTCAGCCACTCACAGTATGGCTCGTCCTTGACCTCCTGAGGATTTCAACATGTAAACAAGGCCCTGGCTCCTCTTCTTTCCCCAGGGTCAAGGTGTCCCTCTGAGCCTGTCCTGGTCTCTGAGATCGCTGTTCTGTCCCTTCCCGATGCACTGTCTCCTGGACCCCACACTGGTGGTGCCACCTGGGTAGATGAGGTAGATGGTGCATTGAAATGTCTTGAATGTCACTGAGTAGAGGCTGTTCCCATAGGTACCGAATCTCTCTCTTTATTATTTGCTACATCAGATTGAAGGGTCTGGGTGAGTCCTCTGTAGGCATCGGCACCTCCATTGAAGAAAAGCGACTGCCTCTTATCTCTGCAACTGTTGTGTCTGCTTGGCCCGCTTGCTTTTTACACATATCATTTTTGGCATCTAGTTTTCTCAGCTTGGCTGACACTTGATGTTACCACATCTCCAATTTTTTTTTTCTATTTGGACTCCAAGGTTCTGAGACAGAGAGTCTTGACTCTAACTCCTCCTTGAAGAAGACTCAGCAGCTGAAAATATCCTCCACCCCATGCAAGTGTGCTCTAGAATGGTCTCCTGGGGGACAGACAGCAGCTGGACATGCAGCAGAAGCCACACTCTGTGCCGACTAGCTTCTTCAGGGTCTCTTCTCTTTTCCCTGGTTAAGAACAAGCTCACGTTTTTCAGCCATTACCTCCTCCACCAAAGACCTGATGGGACTGACAAAAAGCAACAACCGATAAACAAGAGCAAGCTTTAGCATCTTAAAAATACGCTCGCCAGAGTTTATTTTACATTTTCAATTGAAGGGTGGCAAGATAAAAGTGAGAGACTCTTGTACGCGTATGCCTCAAGCTCAGAAGATCAAACAATTCAAATATAAATTCCAGAAAGATCTTTTAGAACAGGGAGAAACCTAGTCAAAAATGAAAGGAAATTTCCCCCAGCTACAGGGAAACACTGATTTTCAAATTAAAAGGCCCCATAAAGTGCTGGGGCAGGATGACTGAGAAATGACCCCACTCAGACGCATCATTGCAACATTTCAGAACACCAAAAATGAAGCAAACAAGTCTAAAACTTCTAGACTCTAGAGAAAGAAAAATAGGTTACTTAAAAAGAAAGAAGAGGTCGGGCGCAGTGGCTCACTTCCGTAATCTCAGCACTTTGGGAGGCTGAGATGGGTAGATCACCTGAGGTCAGGAGTTCAAGACCAGCCTGGCCAAGATGGCAAAACCCTGTCTCTATGAAAAATACAAAACTTAGCCGGGCATGGTGGCAGGCGCCTGTAGTTCCAGCTAATCAGGAGACTGAGGCATGAGAATCGCTGGAACCCAGGAGGTAGAGGATTTTTTTGTTTGTTTGTTTTTGTTTTTGTTTTTGAGACGGAGTCTCGCTCTGTCACCCAGGCTGGAGTGCAATGGCACGACCTCGGCTCACTGCAACCTCTGCCTCCCGGGTTCAAGTGAATGTCCTGCCTCAGCCTCCCTAGCAGCTGGGACTACAGGCACGTGCCACCATGGCCAGCTAATTTTTGTATTTTTAGTAGAGACGGGATTTCACCATGTTGACCAGGATGGTCTCGATCTCTTGACCTCGTGATCTGACCACCTCGGCCTCCCAAAGTGCTGGGATTACAGGCATGAGCCACCGCACCTGGCCCCCAGGAGGTAGAGGGGACTCCGCCTCCAAAAAAAAAAAAAAAAAGAAAGAAAGAAGAATTAAATATAAGATTCCCATCAGTGATACTTGTTGACAATAGAACACTCCGCTCCCCTGATGGAACAGTTTCTTTAAAAGTTTAGATAACTGATTAGTCAGAAGAAATGAGATCCAGGAAACAATAGCTCCAACCCAGCCCAGCCATAAAGGGATGTCCCATTATGACACTAATGCAACAGGCCTGGAGAAAAAAACACTGCAAATTGCAACAGACTGATTGAAGTAAATTTACATTATAAATTCAATGATCTCACCTTATGTCCACAAATATCTATTACACACCTATTATCCAGCCAGCAAGGCACAGAGGATATGGTGATGAGAGAGACAGACTGTCCCTGCTCTCATGAAGCTTACAGTCTAGCCCAGAGGACACTCTCTGTGGTCGGTCCCAGCTATGACCTTCCAGATACACAGTCTGGCTGTTCTCTGGCTCCGTCCCAGGACTGCAGTTCCTTGGCATCTTGGTGAAGCCATATGTGACTCAGCTGCTCTTAGCTGCTGGCCGTTCAGTGGGAATAAGGATTCCAGGGATGGCATTCCCCTTCTGACCTATGGCCCATCCTTCTGCCTTCCAAGCCAGGATAGTGTTTCCTCTCATCCTTCACCAGCCCACTGCTTCTTAGAAGGAAAGCCACCAGTTGGTGATCAGTGCCCTCCTTCAGGCTGGTCCCACTGTACTCAACTTGGCAGAAATTCCTCCAAAGTATGGCCCGTGGATGACCTCTTCCCTGAGGCAGATGCTCCCCGATTTTATGTTCTTTTTGATTTTCAATCAAAATGCAATGAAAGCAAAGTGAAATGGAGAAAGTAATTCGATGCATATGATAAAGCTGCCATTTTACCCGGAATCAGGATGAGCTGAGAGATTAAGGAGAGCAAGAAAGAAAATTGGAAGTTAACTGCTACTTAATAGCAGAATAAGGAACTGAGAATGGCTTGCTTTACTTATTATCAGTCCTCCCTGAATTACAAAATAAACAGGATAAAACTTAGTGTTTTCTCTATGCAGAATAAAGGGTGACATTAAGAGGCTCTGGTAATTAAATTTAATTGGAACCAGATTTATAAAACAGACTGTGAGCTGTTGAGGACAAGGACTCTGTCTTATTCACCTTTGTCTTCAAGTAAATGCTAGCTATTGTCACTGCTGTTGATGTTGTTATCTAATTATTATGTGTAACAGAATATAGAAATCAGTGCCTCAGAGGATGCACAGAAAAGGATTTTACTTTCATTGATAAATATTAGATTTTTCTATGCTAAATCGTGGCTGAATAAAAAGAACATGTACCGCTTTTCTTTGTTTTTTTGTTTTGTTTTGTTTTGTTTTGAGATGGAATCTCACTCTGTTGCCCAGGCTGGAATGCAGTGGTGCGATCTCAGCTCACTGCAACCTCCGCCTCCCAGGTTCAAGTGATTCTCCTGCCTCAGCTTCCCCAGCAGCTGGGACTACAGGCGTGTGACACCATGCCCGGATAATTTTTGTGTTTTTAGTAGAGACGGGGTTTCACCATATCGGCCAGGCTGGCCTCAAATTCCTGACCTTGTGATCCACCCGCCTTGGCCTCCCAAAGTGCTGGGATTACAGGCATGAGCCACCATGCCCAGCCCATGTACCGCTTTTCAAGGGATAGCTTTATATAGCAGTGTTTTTATTTAAGCACTAGGAATAATATTTGTGTGAAGGCTCTTATAAGAATTCATCATTTAAAAAACTCTTTCTCCTCCTTGATCACCTGAACATCACACTATTGATTCATGAAAAATAAAACTTCGTCTCTCTGAGCACATTCACCTGCTCCTATTGCAGATTGACCTTCTGCATCAAGGCAAATGAATGCTTTGTTGGGAAAACCAGAAGCAAGTCCACATCATCACAAGGAGGACGTCCATAGTGCAGAGGGTAAGAATGCCTCTGTGGCATGGCCTGGGCGGCAGGGAAGCACCAAGGAGGAGGAGCAAGGAAGAGGGAAGCCAGGAGGACAGAGTAAAGGGCCAAGGGAAAATGGGAACAACATAAGGCAAAGGAGAGAGAGCCTTGTGAAAGTAGAGGATGTAGCTTGGAAAAAGAGAAAAGGAAGCAAGAGTCAGAAACAGCAGAAAGCCAACCAAAAACCTGAGAGAGAAGACATGCCTGTGGCAAGGGATGCTGGTCAATATCGCATGGCTGTGTGTCCAGAGAGAAGAAGTGGGCTTGGTAAACAACCAGCAGTGTCTGCCACAAACCACCCCTCTGGGCACAGAATACCTTTTACTCCCTTCTCAGGACACAGAAAACAAGGGGATGTTTTCTGGGCCAAGGGGATGCTGAGGCAGGAGTCACCCTTTATGCCTGGGTCAGAGCACCAGGAGGATGGAAGAGAAGGCTTGTGGGGAGAGAAATGGACAGTAAGTTCTCTTCCTCCAGTTCCAAATTTTTCTTGAGGCAGGGACAGTGTTATATACATTTTCATCCACGTAAGCAGGCATAATAAATGCCTAACATAGGACAGAACAAAATAAGACTAATAATTCTAAAACTAGCATTTACTGAGCCACCATGATTGGCCATGCCTTCCACCAGGCATGATGCACAGATTATTTCATTGAATCCTCATAACTAGCCTGTGAAAGGGAGGTTTTTCTATTCCTCTGTTACAGATGGGAAAAATAATTCTGAAGGAGATTAAATATTTTTCTTCATGGTCAAACATTAAGTGATGTGTGTGTCTAAATACAACAAGACCTAAAGAATCACACAGTGCTTTCAAAGTCTGACAACAGCTTGATGAGTCTTATTACATTTGCTTTAAACATTTACCTAGTAAAATAGTCAGATTACTTATTAATACTCTCATTGGACAAATGAATAAAGAGGGGTGCAAGTCACGCAGCCAGGAGAAAGTGACAGAACTGTGGCTATGGCCAAATCTCCCAATTCCCTGATAAATTATTTTCCACACTTCTTCAAGTTGACAGGAAAGAGGGGAGATCGACTCATCCATGGAAGTGAGCATGGTTCTGAAAGGAGCAGAGAATCCCCAGCGAATGAGGGAAAGCAAACGTTGTTCCTTTACAGTTATGTGAGTTGAGGTCACTCTGCTGCTGAAACAGATAAACCCCCAAATCGCAGCAGAGTAACAACCAGGGGATTCTTTTTCATGTGAAGTGCAAAAGAGGTGCTCTCAGCCATCAGGTAGCTTTCTTCCAAGTGGCGATTCCGGGGCCCAGTCTCCTTCTATCCTGTGTCTCTGCCAACTTCAACACATGGCTCCCACGGTTGCCATGACTGGGAGAAGAGAGGATGGGTGGGAAGGTTTTATGGGCTGGGCCTGGGAGTAGACCTGTCACCTTCACCCATATTCCAGTGGCTTAAAACTCAGACATGCCTGTGGCAAGGGATGCTGGGCAATGTGGTGTGGCTGTGTGTCCAGGGAGAAGTGGGCTTTGTGAACAACCAGCAGTGTCTGCCACAGGCCACCCCTCTGGGCACGGAATATCTGTTTCTCCCTTCTCAGGATGCAGAAAACAGACTCATGCTCACGCCAGCCACAACAACCAGCTCACAGCCCAGGATCTCTGGGTCCAGATGAGGCTGTTTGTGGTGCAACAACCAAAGAGCCAGAGGACAGACTATCTCCTCTCCACATACATGCCAGTCAAACCATAGTGGAGTAGGAACCGGAAAACCACAATAAGTCCCAGCCAGATATGAGAAGAATGGGAGACCCACAGCGACACAGGTCCAAAGCAGTGATGCAATCCTGCCTGGCCCCTTCCCCTGGCCCTAGGGGAAGTTCCTTTTCTAACCCTGATTCTGCTTCAGGGAAATACTCTGTGTCCCTTGTTCTCATGGCCACTGGCTCAGCCTTCTGGGAGGGTTTTCCTCGCCCACTAACCCATTACCCTCCGGGGTCACTGTTGAAGTGGGTACGGGTGAGTATGAGGTCCTGCATTCGCAGCAGCCCACCTCCACTTGTGCAAGGCTTGCATAGTGGGGATTGTTTTAAGTCTCAGTCAAAACCTTTTTAAATGTAGGCTACCGGTTTCCTTGGCAATCCAGTGATCTCAAAAACTTGGCAGGTTTCTGATGTATTTTCTTCCAGGTAGTTCCATGTGCCAGGAATCATACCCCAAATTCTTTCTTAGATGTAATTTTCAAGTCTGATGTCTTTATTGCCTCTTCGCCTCCATTCCATCTCTCTACCTAACGCTGCTACCTTGAGACCATCGCAAACAATAGGTAATAAGGCCACACCTTTCCTCTGATCTTCACCACAGAACTCAATCACTGTGTTTCACTAATATCAGCCTTATTTTTTAATATGTATTGTCTAAAAGCATTGGCTTTTCTCTATATTCTTTTTCATTTATGCTTGCTAATTGGCCAAACATTTCCTGAGTGTGTTTGTATCTCATAGTAGAACACAAAAAGTAAAAAGTAAAAGCCAACACATTTTTTTCTAGAGCCACAGTTTTATTCAATATGTAGCCTGCCTTTAAAATGATCAAAGGTAATAGTTTTACTAAATGTTTTGGCACTGCATGACACAGAGCTCCATCTTTCCATCACCTGATAGCAATTTTCTCACTCCATGGCTAGAGGGTAAGCCAACACCACATATTTTGAGTTTTGTTACAGAAACACCTCGCTTCAAGGTACCAAGTACCAGTTTCTCAACTAGGTAACACTAGATGTAATGTAGCAGGTAAAGCACAAAATCTCAATGGCATCATATAATATTAGTTTATTTCTGGCTCATATGAATCCAAAATAGGTGTTTGTGATCAGCAAATAACTCCTCCAGTGGTGAGTCAGGGACCCACAATCCCTCCATCTTGTAGTTCTACCTTCTCCAAGGTTAACACAGAAGGTCAAGAATGTATGGGAGCCCAGAACATAAAGCAAATCCCTTCGCTCACATTCCACTGGCTAGAACTTGATCGCATGGCCCCATTCATTGCAAAGGTAGCTGGGAAGTGTCATCTAGCTGTATTCCCAGGAAGAAGAGAAAATGTATGCAGTAATTAGCTAGCTCTGCCATATACATCCAGTTCCCAAATTCTAATTTAGCATTCTCTTCTGGTTTCTAGATATAGAAAAAGCCAAAATAATTAAGGACTATTTAAAGCAATTTTGCTTCAAACATTTATTGAGCATATACTATAGGCAAATAAATGGGCAAGACAGGGTATGAAATCTGGAACAATGTATGTGCGTGGAAGATGCTCTGTAAGAACCCTTGTTTTATTACTGCCTTCTTTCCAAAAGCAGAAAGAAAAGATACACACTGTGTGCCCTGGGCCTTATTTTAGGATGGAAAATGAAAGCAACTGTTTTGACTGAAGCCCCCTTTTAGTGGGGGAAAAAAGGAATGGTCTGGCTAAATGGTCCTAAAATAATTCCCATTTCCAAGGGAGCACTGCCCACCCCAGAAACGTCATCTCCCTCTCTGAACTTCCGGGCATCAGGACTTTCCTTCCTGATTTTCAGGGATAGGCAGATATCTCCCTGCCTCTCCTCTTCTCTCTGTCATACCAAGAAGTTCAAACACGGCAGTCAGCAGATGACTGGCACTGACGTTTCCCTGCGCCCACTCCTCTCTCTCCATTAGAAACCCAATGCCTTCCAAGATGGCTTCCCTGAGCCACACTTCAGATTCTGTTCCCGAGGCTTGGGTCGTTAATACTAAAAGCTCTAGGGCTTCCTAGCGCATCTGGCAAATATAACCTGGGCATTTTTTGCCCACCCACTAGGCTGGAGCCAACTGAAAGGGACGCATGTCCCTATCCCTCCTTCTAGGATCCAAATGGTCTCTTTGCTCCAATATCCAACCAGCCTCCCTTCTCTCCTGTCCCTTCAGGCACAGCTTGTTTCATTCTAGACCTCACATCTCAGAACGAATCAAGCCATCCCAAATGAAAAAGGAAACCTCAGATATGATCACGTTCCTGTCCAAAGCCAGCCAAACCCATAAAATGTTCTAAGTCATTGATAAGCCTTCTCATCCCAGAAGCTCCTTGGGGATTCCAGGGAACACCAAGTCAAAGCAGTGCCCAGAGAGACTGATGATGTCATAAAGCCAATATCCATATGAAGAGATTCCTCCTTTGCTACTGCTCCACATGCTGTCCCTGAGCCTTTTCTGTGACAGGCTGAGCTCATCCAGGCACCCCTGGATTTTGTTTTGGCCTTTAAGCTCCTCCCCACTCTGAGCAATCTTTGTCTCAGTGACCAGACAGCAATCAGAATTGGAGTTGGAAGCAAAGGACCACCACATGGGCTTCCTCCTCCAGCCCCATGTTTCCCTGCAAGAGGCATCAGGCAGCCTCCAGAAGACAGTGGAGAGGGTGCTGACAGAGCCCAGCAGGCCTTCACTGTGCAAAGAAGCATTCACCCTTTAATTAATTAACTAATTCATCTGATCAATCCACAAACATATGCTGATGCTTTCTCTCTGCCAGTCCCTGTGCTGGGCAATGGAGACAGGATGACTCACACAGTTTCTCCTCCAACACCTCATCCCAGGGAATTTTCCTATCAGGAGTCTCTTGGTCCATGCTAGCACAATTCTTTTTCTGAAGTGTTCTGTAGGACCCCTTCACAGGACACCGGACATCAGTTAGAGATAAAAATTTTAATGGATTTTCCCCCCTGGGCGTATGGGTGAGAGACTTAAATAAAAACAATCCTCTTCAAGCCAAATAGCCTTGACTCTGTGAACCTGAATATTTTCCTGAATCATGGGCTCTCCTCAACTCCTTGCATGGTTCTCAGGAGACAGATTCTGCTCCCTGAATGGAGATTGCTGGGAAGAAATGGGAACTCGATGGAATTTGGATAAAGGGATATAGACCCATTTTTCCTACCCAGTAAGATATCCACATGGCTTGGTGACTGTTCTGGCTCTTTACAATGCAGAGAATTTGGTCAAAGATGAGTCCCCTACACAAACATAAACACCAGACACACACACACACACACACACACACACACACACACACACACACACACTGCTTATGTTCTGAGGGCCTCTACTATCCACTTGTTTCTCATCAAAATCTCCCTCACACAAGACAGTGAGGCTCATGCTCAGATGCTGAAGGCTTTGCCTTCCATAGGAGGCCCTGGTTCCACCAGTTCTCCTGGGCATAGGTGTCCCTTTAAAGTCAGCTCTTCCAAGCCTCCTCTGAGAACACCTGCGCCTGGGCTCAGTCTTGCCCTGCAATCCGGAGACTGGATGTGTGCTGGATTCAAGTTCCCTTGGTACAGATTTTTGAAAAAGAGGATGAAATGCCCCACTATTGAAATCTCTTTCAAAGCTGAAGAATCTTATCCTCAGTCCTTAGGCAATAGTTCTTCTCATCTTGAGAGCAGGGGATTCCTTTTCTTCATTCCAAGCCTCTGTTTTTTGTTGTTTCTTTTTTTCTTTTTTGCAGCCTGTCCAGCTGTTTTTCCAGCCTGAGCAGCTGCTGTCTCTGCTCACCCGACTGCTCTTGCAGGTCTCAACATGTTTCTTCCTTTCCCTCCTCTCCTATCTTGGCAGCAGGCCCAGTAAAAGAAGACACCAATAGTAACCAGCTACTCCAGCCAGGGTCACTGCCTGGGCTTTCCTCCTACTCCCCTTCAGGAACAAGCTCTGCTATTTCAGATTCTGTCTCATCTTCAGAGGTTCCATTAGAACTGACCAGGGGTCTTCTGTTAGTGTTGCCTGTTGGAGAACAAATGCTGCTGTCTCCTGAAAGCTGAAAGATTTGGTATGAGGGGAAGGGTTCCTCAATGAGCATAAATATGATCTCTGCTTCCCATTCAATCACCCCCACCTGCTTCTCTAATGCCCCACAGGTACAGCTTGTTGGCTTTGAGGGAGACCCCCCCACAGCTACCTACTGGGCTTTCCTGGGCCTGGTGGGATTCTTGGTTTGGAGGATCTAGAGGATCTAGCCAAGAATATCTTTCCTTTTCCACTAATGGAAATCCCCATGAGGTCTCTGGATCTCCTTCCTCGTTTATAATCTAAGGCAGATTCTGTACCATTGGCGATTTCCACCCACACCGCACCCCTCGGGAACATTTGGCAATGTCTGGAGACATTCTTAGTTGTTATATGTGGGAGGAGGGATGCTGCTGACATCTAGGAGGCAGAGGCCAAGCATGCTGCTAGGCATCACACAACACACAGGAAAGCCCCTGACAACAAAGAATAACTCTTCCCCAAATCTCAATAGTGGAGAGGTTGAGAAACCATGCCCTAAGGGTTTTCGTCTTAAGGAATCCATGAGGTTATGGCCAACCTGCCAGTCTATGAAATCCCATCAATTTCCTCCAACCCTGACCCCAGAGGCTTCCCCTCCCCTGATGATTTGAACTCCAGAGAAATATCCAATTACAGTGCTTGATTTCAAATAGACCAGTAATAGTAATAACCTAATGACAAAATTTGATTCACCTTAAAGAAAACAAACCTTGCTTATATGTAGGTTGCCATATTTTGTACATTTTCCATTTGTAGAGTACATGTGAGTTTAAATTTTTTAACATTTCAACTCATTTGTTGAATGTTGGATGAAGCCGTCCTTTGAGACTTGGGGAAAAAATTGTTTTACTAAAACTTCGTGATGCAGTTTTATCTCAATGCAGGAATATGTGATTTTCCTTAGTAATTTTGTAGTGAAGTAGAAGAAATACTGACCTCTTTGAAGGTAAGGTGTTTTACATCAGCAACAGTGTTTAAAGAATGAGAATGAATCTTATCTTTCTGTAAAGGCTTTTGACAAGATGTAGACGTGTTCTCCTTTCCCCTTGACAATGGTAGAAGAGGTTATCTATAGACTGAAAAGTAGTGAAATTGCCTTTCTCCAAACATTTCCTCTCAAGCCAAAGTTCTTGAATTCAGATTAGCCTCTAGAGTGACGTTGAATAACTGACATCTATTGTATCTGAAAACTTTGACGTCAGAAGCCAATTGCTCAGTCAAAAGCAAGGCCCAGAAAATGCAAAGGGAAGAAGAGTGTGTGAGAGTGGCATGCGTGATTGCAGTGGCCTTGAGCAGGTGCTCGGGTGTGTTAGGAGAACAGGGCCTCTGAAAGGAGAGAGGGTGTCTACCAGGAGAGGAAAAGAGGCGAAAGGAAGGCAGCAGGAAGAATGAAAGGGCCAGAGAATGGTGATGGTCAAAGAGGAGAGTTCCAGAAAAGATACGGGACAGAAGGACAAACAAACCAGGAGACGGAGCAAGGAAAGGGGATAGCAGAGGGTCACAGGGATGAGAGAACAGGAGAGACGCACAAGGAAAAAAACATGGCAGCATACTCAATGTGGAATTAGAAATTCCACATTCTCCAGTTAGGCAAAGCAGTTTTGTGTTTTCTTTGTTTGTTTGTTTGTTTGTTTGTTTGTTTTGAGATGCAGTTTTGTTCTTGTTGCCCAGGCTGGAGTGCAATGGCTCGATCTTGGCTCACTGCAACCTCCGCCTCATGGGTTCAAGCAATTCTCCTGCCTCAGCCTCCCCAGTAGCTGGGATCACAGATGCCTGCCACCACGCCCAGCTAATTTTTTGTATTTTTAGTAGTGATGGGGTTTCGCCATGTTGGCTAGGCTTGTCTTCAACTCCTGGCCTCAAGTGGTCTGCCCACCTTGGCCTCCCAAAGTGCTGGGATTACAAGCGTCAGCCACCACACCCAGCCGGGATTTTTTTTAATTGGAAAAAGATGAAGTTTTTCCTTGAGAGTTTCTTGATCCCTGAGTGCTGGATGGATGGGAGAGACAGAGAAGGGTAGGGAGACTGGGAGCCAAGGCTGAAGGGCCTTCCCAGCCACAGTCTTTGACCTGAGTCCATCCTTGCCTCTGCAGTGTTAGGACTCTTGTCTTCCAATTACAGCAACATTGGAGCTCTAGGTTTTGTTGAGATGCTGTGTGCTCTTGCCCCATCCTACTCCTTTGAACTTCGGTTTTCTCTGAGCTTCCCTACCTTCTTCCTCTCCTCTGCCTCTTAACTCCCATCCAACCAACAACCACTTCTCTAAGAGCTCAGCTCTGATCAGATTTCCCCATCTCACACTCCTTGGTTTCAGATATTTATCTTCCTTTCCCTTTCACCTATAATAGAAAGTCGATAATAAAAATGCAGGTTTTAGAATATTTAACCAGCATAGATTAATTGAGAGTCGTGGCAGGCAGTGGCCCCCTCCTGACAGTTATTGACATGCAACTTATCACTGTGCATAGGCTAACTAAATGACAATGGAGGAATTAATCTATGCTTAGTCTTACCTTAGACTCACAGCAAGATTCATAAGTAAGACATGCTGGAATGGATATATTATATGAGGCCAAAAGACCCACTAGAAGATTATGCTCCATGGGTAGGCTCAGTGAACCCATCATTCAACAAGGCCACCAGGAATGAGCTGGCAAGAGGTTCACAAAGAACACTAATCAATTCAGTGATACCTGTCCTCAGCAGGCTGGGTAGGGCTAACTGTAGATGAGACACTCACAAAGCTGGACTTATTAATGGTTATTTGCAGAATGGGGCCCCAAATAATGGAGCCCTGGTAGCAGTCCCTCACCACCAGAAGTGGGGGGCCACAATTACTACAAAGTCAGAAGGGTAGCCAAGGGGGCTTGACCCACAGGGAACTGTGGAGATGGTTTATAGAACATGGTGCACCGAAGGGCAAAATAGGCAGGAACCAACAAGGGTACTGTTTGACATCTATAATCAGAAGAAGTCAAGAATGAAAGAGTAGAAAGCTGATGGTGATCACCCCAATAAAAAAAGTCATGATCCTTCATTCAGTTCCCAGACCTGAAGATCTTCAATTTCAGATCCAAAACCCATTGACTGAGGAGTTGGCCAGGTGTCCTAGAGAAAGGACCCTGCAACACCACAGGAAGTATATACTGCAATGAATCTCTCAGTCCTTCATCAAAGGACCTACGAGCAATACCCTAGTGACTACACACTGGGGAAGGGGGAATGCCCAGGTGTTTCAGGTATTACTGGACAGAGGATTTAAGTTGACATTGACACCAAAAGACCCAAAGCTTCATCATGACCTCCTTGTCAGAGTGAGGGCTTACAAGTACCACGTAGTCAGTAGAGTCCTGGCTAACATCTAGCTTACAGTTGGTCCACTGGGTCAATTGATACAACTGGTGGTCATTTTCCCAGTTCTAGAGTGCATAGTTGGGGTTGATGCACTTGTCAGTTGGGGTAGCCCCTGTAATTGTTTCCTATTATGCTGTAACAAATCACCACAAACATAAGTAGTTTAAAATGACAAACATTTATTATCTTATGGTTCTGCAGGTTAGAAGTTCAAAATGAATTTTACTGGGCTAAAATCAAGGTGTTAGCAAGGCAGTGTTCCTTCTGGAGGGTCTAGGGAAGAATCTGTTGCAGGGTTGTTGTTTGTTTGTTTGTTTGCCTTTTTTTAGCTTCTAGAAGCCACCCACATTCCTTGGCTTAAGGTCTCTTCCTCTACCTTCAAAGCTAGCAATTGCATCACTCCAACCTCTGCCTCCATCATCCCATCTCCTTCTCCGACTCTCCTGCTTCCCTATTTCCCTTATATGAACCTTGTGATTACAGTGGGTCCACCAGACAATCCAGAATAATCTCCCGGTCTCGAGGTCCGTAATTTACATCTGCAACGTCCCTTTTGCTGTTGAAGTAGCATATTCACATGTTCTGGGAATTAGGACATGAGTATCTTCAAGGAGCCATCCTTCTGCCTGTCACAGCCCCACATGGGGTTCTTGGCCTGTGGAGTAACAGATATCATAGTAGAGAAGGCCAAGTGGAACCCTCTGAATTTGCAACCCCTCCCCTAGCCCTGGCCAAAATAGTTAATCAGAAACAATGTGCTATCTAGGGAGATGCCAGATATTAGTGCCATCTTTAAGGATTTCAAGGAGGCAGGGGTGATAGGCCATAACATATATCAGTTTCATTCACCAGTCTAGACCCTGCAGAGACCAGATGGATCCTGGAGAGTGACTATAGATTCCCACAAGATCAACTAAGTAGTCTTGATTACAGCTGCCCTGCAGAAGGCAGTATTATTGCTAAAATAGATTAATAAGGCCTCAGGTACAAGATATACCATCATTGGTTTGGCAAGCTCATTTCTATTCCACTCAGAAAAGAGCAT